>NC_000020.11:33737998-35026184 GCF_000001405.40 Homo sapiens | reverse complement strand
TACAAAGCTGCAATCGAGACACTATGCTGCTGGCCTGAGGATAGACATATTGATCAATGGAATATTGTTGAGAGTTCAGAAATAAACCCTCATGCTTATTATGATCAATTGATTTTCAGTGGGTACCAAGACCATTCATTGGTGGAAACAGTAGTAGTCTTTTCAACAAATGGTATTGGGACCATTTGATGTCCACATGCGAAAGAATGAAGTTAGATCCCCTGCCTTATGTCATATACAAAATTAAAAGGGTCAAAGACCTAAATGTAAGAGCTAAACCTGTGAAACCCTTAGAAGAAAACATAAGGATAAAGCTTCATGACCTTGGATTTAACAATTTAGCTGTCATACACAATGACATCTGAAGCACAAGCAACCAGATAAATAATAAATTGGACTTCATCAAAATTAAAACTTTTTGTTCTTCAGAAAACACAATGAGGAAAGTGAAAAGAGAACCCACAGAATGGAAGAACGTTTTTTGTGGGTAAGGCAGGGTGGGACATCTTTGCAAATAATATATCTAATAAGGGATTTGTATCTAGAATGTATAAAGAACTCTCATAACAATAATAAAAAAACCCATTTCAAAATATAGACAAAGGATCTGAATAGATGTTTCTCCAAAGAAGATATATAAATAATTATTAAGCACGTGAAAAATGTTCACCATCATTAGCCGTCAGGGAAATGCAAATCAAAACCACAGTGAGGCCAGGCACAGTGGCTGGCACCTGTAATCCCAATACTTTGGGAGGCCAAGGCAGGAGGATTGTTCAAGACCAGCTCAAACAACAGAGCAAGACCTCATCTCTACAAAAAAAAATTTTGTTTCGGTTAGCCAGGCATGGTGGCACGTGCCCATAGTCCTGACAACTTGGGAGGCTGAGGTGGGAGGATTGTTTGGGTCCAGAGTTCAATGCTGCAGTGAGCTGTGATCCTGCCACTGCACTTAAGTAGTCTAGATGATAGAGGAAAAAACAAACCCCACAATGATATAGTACTTCATACTCACTAGAATGGTTATCATCAAAAAAGGTGGATAATAAGGGTTGGCAAGAATATGGAGAAATCAGAGCCCTCAGTCACTATTAGTGGGCATGTAGAATAGTGCAGCCACTTTAGAAAAGAGTCTAGCAGTTCCTCAAAGGGTTAACATACAGTTATGTCATAGGGCCTAGAAATCCTACTCCCAGGTATATACCCAAGAGAAATGAAAATATATGTTACACAAAAATTTGTTCAGGTATGTTCATCACAGCATATTCATAACAGCCAAAATATGGAAACAACGCAAATGACTGTCACCTGATTAATGAATAAACAGAATTTTTTTTTTTTTTTTTTTTTTTTTTTTTTGAGACGGTCTCTCTCTGTCACCTAGGCTACAGTGCAGTGGTGTGATCACAGCTCATTGCAGCCCTGACCTCCCAGGCTCAGCCATCCTTCTACCTCAGCCTCCCGAGTAGCTGGAAACAGGTGCACACCACCACGCCCAGCTAATTTTTTTATTTTTTGTAATAAAAAGAGACAGGATCTTGCTGTGTTGCCCAAGCTGGTCTCAAACTCCTGCACTCAAATGATCTTCCCGTCTTGGTCTTCCAAAGTGCCGGAATTACAGGCCTGAGCCACTGTACCAAGCCAGAATGTGATATATTTATACTAGCGGATATTATTCAGCAATAAAAGGGAATGCTGATAGGGGCTACAACATGGATAAACCTTGAAAACATTGTACTAGGTGAAAGAAGCAGTCACAAAAGATGGCATATTGCATGAGTTCATTAATATGAAGTGTCCTGAACAGGCAATTGCATAGAGATGGAAAATAGTTTCATGGTTGCCTAGAGCTAAGGAGTTTGGTGGGAAATAGGAAGTGACTGGTAGTGAGTACAAGGCTGCTTTTGGGGGGTGATGAAGATATTCTAAAATTGATTGTGGTAATGGCTGCACAACTCTATGAATGTCCTAAAAATCACGATACCATGGTTAACTAAATGGGTGAATTGCATGGTATGTGAATTGTACCTCAAAGCTGTTAAAAAAAAAAAAAAGTGAGTGTGCATGTCCGCAGAAAACAGTGCAGTGCAGACAGAGAGTGGTGACCGCTCCAATCGGTGTGGTAGAGCTGAAGAGACTCAGGGGAGCACAGGCCTCGTGAGCTGGTTTTCCCATCCTCATCCTTGGGACTGACCTTGTTGCTAAGCTCTGGCCATTGCTTTGGAGACTGTTTCTTGAAAATATTTATCACAGAAAGTCTTGTCAGGCCTGCGCAAGCCAGGCACCAAAAGTTGGTGGTGACTTGGAGAGGGGTCAGGCTGCCCTGTCTCTTTCTTCGCAGACGTTCATTTCTCAGTAGGACTTGTGTGCCCCACACTGTGCCCACTGCTTGCATAAACATCCTTCCCTGCAGGACTCCCTAGAGCACCATGGGCTGGGTGCCGAGGATGCCAAGCACGCAAGGTCTCACAGCAGTGCACGACAGAGGCAGGATTCTGCGTGATAGTTCTTCAGGTTCACTTCACAGATTAGCTGACACTTAACTGTTCTGGAAGCTGGGCCAAGGAGTGCTAACATGGAAATTGAGTAACTATAGTTTTTTGCCCAAGGTACAGGAGAATAAATATGAGTAGATAGAATCTCTTAAATTAAAAATTTCTCCAGTAAATTTTTCCTAAGTCTTTGCCTCCTGCCTGTTTAGTTCCCATTAAAAGCTTGGAGATGAAAAAGAATACAAAGTAACAAGCAAGCATTCGCAGAAAAACTCAGTTTTCTGAGAACTTAACTTCTATTTAGTTTCTAATTGTATGTTGCTTACTTGGGGCTATGTTCCAGGCACCTTCAGTATATCCCTCTACTCCTTACAACATTAAGGGGTAGGTATGGTTGTCAGTATTGCTGTTTTACAAAGGAGGATGGATACTGAAGCACAGAGAGGTCCACTGATTTACTGAAGACCACCCGGCTAGTGAATGGGGTTCAAACCCAGTAGTCTGGCTTCAGGGTCAGTGCTCTTAACTACCGTGTCACACTGTGTCTCAGTCACACTTCATTCAGCAGCTTGTCGTCTTCCAAGGTTGTGATTTTAACATGACGGGGAAAGATAGTTCCAAGTCTGTAGGATAGAGTAAGTTAGATTCTCTCTTTTTTTTTTTTTTTTGAGACAGTCCAGCTCTGTCGCCCAGGCTGGAGTGCAGTGGCACGATCTCTGTTGGTTCACTGCAACCTTCACCTTCCAGGCTCAAGCGATCCTTCCACCTCTCCCTCTTGAGTAGCTGGGACTACAGGCGCATGCCACCATGCCCAGCTAATTTTTTAAATTTTTTTATAGCAATGAGGTCTCACTGTATTGTCCAGGCTGGTCTCAAACTCCTAGGCTCAAGCAGTCCACCTGCCTCGGCCTCCCAAAGTCCTGGGATCATAGGCATGAGCCACCACACCTAGTCGGAATAAGTTAGGGTCTTCTGTCTTGATACTTTAAAGAGTATCACTGTGTTTTCTGTATGAGCCTTACCTGAATATATCTGATAACCACTCCTCTATAACACATAGAGGCCTTTGCAAAAGGCCTCTAGGGAAGCAGTTCCTGTAGGAACTTGAGAGGACCTTGGCAGTTACTGATTCATCTGTTCACCTTTAAAATGAGGAAACTGAAGGGAAGTCACTCTGCTAAGATCACCTAGCCTCTCCTGACTCTGACCAATGCCCTCTTAAAATAGTAGGGATCTACGCTGGGCACCGTGGCTCACGCCTGTAATCCCAGCACTTTGGGAGGCTGAGGCGGGCAGATCACTTGAGGTCAGGAGTTCAAGACCAGCCCGGCCAACATGGTGAAACCCCATGTCTACTAAAAATAGAAAAATTAGCTGGGCGTGGTGGCACATGCCTGTAGTCCCAGCTACTCGGGAGGCTGAGGCAGGAGACTTGCTTGAAACCAGCAAGCGGAAGTTGCAGTGAGCCAAGGTCATGCCACTGCACTCCAGCCTGGGTGACAGAGCAAGACTCTGTAAATAAGTAAAGAAAGGATCTAGGAGTGAATGGGGGCTTCCTAAGAATCAGATGCTGGGCTTCTCTTACGTTCCCATTCAGTCTGCACAGTAACCCTAGCTGTCTGCTGCAGAGCAGTCTAAGGCCTAGTGAGGAGGTGACTGGCCCAAAGTCATAAAGCCAGCAAGTCTGACACATATCAAGTGTCCCATAAATATCACTTAGCTGCTGTTGATGTTAGCAGTAATGACATTGGGTAAAATGAAAATCTGCCTGTAGATAATATGTTCATCTGCATCAGTAGCATCAGTTGTGATACCCAGTCTGCTTTAGAAAGTTGAACCTTAGAAAAATTTAGATGGTTCTTCTTTTAAAAAACGGGGAATTCTTCAAAAAGAATCCCTCTTGGGCTTCAGCAGTGTCCCTCATGGAGTCTCAGCAGAAGAACCAAGTAAGCAGGGCCATTTGCGACTTGAAGAGCGGTCCCCATAATTTGCTGTCATACATCTGCCTGGGCACTTCCTGGGGGTCTGGTTGGTGGCAGGAGAAGGGCATAAGCAGGGAGGGATGGGTCATGTTACTGTATTGGCTGTGTCCGAATATTTTTACTTTATGTTAAAGTTGATGAGGCACAACTATTGCAGAGTCCATTTTTCCGAGTCTCTGCGCTCACCTGGCTCCTGGGATTGTGGAGGGAGTTTTGCAGCTTTCAGAGTCTGTGTTTTGGGCTCATGGCCCAGCCGAATGGCCATGCTACAAGTCTGTTCAGAGCAGGTTCGAGGGGCAGAAACGTGTTTCCTCACAAGCTGTGACTCAATCCTGTCTCCGGTGGCTGTGTCAGCCTCCATTGTGTTCCCTCCTCCAGGGGCTTCTGAGGAGAATGGCCTGCCTCACACGTCAGCCAGAACCCAGCTGCCCCAGTCAATGAAGATTATGCATGAGATCATGTACAAACTGGAAGTGCTCTATGTCCTCTGCGTGCTGCTGATGGGGCGTCAGCGAAACCAGGTGGGCCCCTCTCCAGCGTCTCAGGACACGGGGAGCAGGTGCTGCCCGGGTGCTCATGGTATGCCAGGTGCTCCACTGGGCCTTCTGTTAGAATGGCTCTCGCTTTAGCCTGGCAAAGCATAGGGGTATTTCTCCTTCTGTTCTACCTATAAGGAAACCAGGCTGATTCCAGAACCGGGAGTCTTTTCACTGTGCCTTGCTGTATGGAGCGTTTCTAGGCAGTCTTGGTTGGTGCTGAGGGCAGAAGCAGGCAGTTGCCTCTGTGAGGTGAAGACTAAAGAGTTGAAAGCTGGCAAGCCTGGCCCTGTGGACATGCTAGAGGAGTTGCCAACCTGATGTGGGCTCAGGGCAGTGGGACAGAGCCCAGAGCTGTGTCTGCTTAGGAAAACTGGGCAAGTACAGGGAGCTCCAGATGTGCAAGGTTCCCTGAGCCTTGAAGTAGTTCCAAGACGGAGGAGGAGGGGCCCATAACCTACAGTGGAGGAAAAAGGGCTTGGAACAGTGCGGCCCTCCTCAAGACTATTGAGAAGTAGCCTTTTCCTGCAGACCGCGCCCTTCTAGGGAGGAAACCAAGCATGGGGGCAGGAGAGGCTGGAGGCTCAGCAGTCCTTCCACATCTTTCTGAGTCAGACACTGGACTGTCACAAGTCTGGGCAACAGAGGTGCAGTTACCCCCATTTTACAAGTGAGGATGAAAACGTCCAGAAGAGAATGAAAGAGTGTACCAGGTGGGAGGGGGCAGTGCCCTGGGGAGGAGTGTGCATAGTTGCTGGAACAGTGAGGCAGCGCGGGACAGCCTGGAGCAAACAGCCAGGAGAGGAGGGCTGAGGGCTCACAGGGACCAGGTCATGTCAAGCTGTCACAGGCCATTTTAAAGACTTTGGTTTTTACTCTGAGTGAAGTGAGAAGTCATTCCTCTGACTGCTTTTGGAAAGACTGGAAACAGCAAGGAAGGGAATAGGGCGACCATTAGGGGCCCTCATAATAGGGCCAAGAGATGATAGCAGCTAGGACCAGCACATTGATGGTGGGACTGGTGGGAGGTGGTTGCATTCTGGATATGTTTTGAAAGATAGGATTTGCTGATGGTTTGGATGTGAACTTAAGAGTGAGGAGAGGAGTTAAGGGTGACTCCCAAGGTTTTTCGCCCAAGGAAGTAGGAGAATGGATTTGCCAGGTATTGAGGTGGTTAAGACTAGCAGGTAAGGGGTGGAGGAGCAGGCTTAGGGAGGAAGATGGGGAGTTGTGTTTTGTACAAGGTAGATTTGAGGTGTGTGTTAGAATTGACACTTGGATTGATTACCTACACCTGGTGTTGGGGAGATGGCAAGGCTGGAGGTATCACTTTGGGAGTCCTCAGCATATGGTTGTATTTAAAACCAGGACACTGGATGAGATCCCACGGTGATAGCCACAGCATTGGTGTCCCTTCCTTCAATACGGAACATGTTTTTAATAAAAAATAATAGTTTTAGGGACAGCTTTTATGCATTGAGTGCTATTACTTTTTTGAGGCACTTTCGCAGTTGCTTATATGTGAAATAATTGTAGGGACAGCTTCTGTGCATTGAGTGCTATTACTTTTTCGAGGCACTTTCACAGTTGTTTGAATTTTCAGGTATTTAGTAAGTTACACAACAGGTGGTGACTCTGTGTCCCCACACTCGATTCTTGAGAAAGCCAGGGCATAAACTGGGCTGTGCGCTCAGGGGACAGGCCTGGATAGAGCCAGGATTTAAACTCTGCTGCCCTGTCTCCTCTTTCTGCCCTCTCACAGCAGTTCTCTGTTCCCTGAGCCTTCTTGTTGCCAGGTTGCTATGAGTTGTTGCGGTCTTGAGTTAAACTGTATGATTACAGTGCTGGTTCCTTGGGAAGGGACCACTAATGACCTTGAAATCCTGGCCCCCCAAAACCACTGTTTCACTAGCGTGTTCTCATTTGCACAGTCAGCATTTCCTGGGTTTCTGCTGTGTGCCGGGCACCGTGAGGATCTGGATTCCCAGATCCTGCCTACACTGGGTAGCAAGGGGAAGGGTTTCCTTGGCCAGGCCTCACAGAAGGCTTCCTCCTTAAAGAGGCCTCCTCGTTAATGAGCAGTTGGGCCAAGTTCTCAGACCAATCTTGGCCAAATTGAAATCTCAGGACTGGAAAGGCTCCCCATGTGCTGTCAAGTTTCATCCCTCTGGTGCTAATGAAAACCATCCATATAGCAGTCGTTTCTTTTAGTGCCCCCTGAGTAGCTTCTACAGTACCTCACTGAGCCTTTTCAACAGCTCCATCGTCCCCCATCGCCTTTTCTATCAAGGGACTTGGGTTCAAAGAATGTTGCCCAGGGTCACAGAGCTATCTTGTGAACCCAGGGCTGTCTGACTGCAGAGATAAATGCCTGAGCCTGTACCCGCTGCCTCCTCTGGTAGAGTGGCACTTCATCTCGCCCACCTGCCTACCATCCTGCTATAGAGCAGGCTACGGGGCTGGACCTGAGAGTAGGAATAATGCATTCTACAAGTAAAATTTGTTTTACAAATTTTACACATGAAGAAGCTGCTATTTTCTTTCTTTCTTTTTTTTTTTTTTTTTTTTTTCTTTTTTTGAGACAGTCTTGCTCTGCCACCCAGGCTGGAGTGGTGCAGTGACATGACCTCGGCTCACTGCAACCTCTGCCTCCCCAGCTCAAGCGATCCTCTTGCCTCAGCCCTCCAAGTAGCTGGGGTTATAGGCACACACCACCACACCCAGCTAATTTTTGTATTTTTAGTAGAGACAGGGTTTCATCATGTTGGCCAGGATGGTCTGAAACTCCTGGCCTCAAGTGATCCGCCCGCCTTGGCCTCCCAAAGTGCTGGGATTAACAGGCGTGAGCCACCATGCCCGGCCGAGAAGCTGGTATTGTTAAGAGAAAAGGGAAATGATGTAGTAGAAACCTCAAACCTAAGCACTGGCCTGAACTTAGGAGACCCAGGGTCAGGTCCAAGTCTGCCTTAGAAGGCCCCTCTCTTCCCAGCTGTGTGACTCACCCCTAATCTCTTAAGCTTGGGTTTCTAGTCTGTGCAGTGAGGCAATTGCACTGGATGAATTTTTTTGGGCCATTGTTGGAACATTTTATAGCTGTGTGACCTGGGCCTGGCTTAGGGCCCTTTGGAGTGAGACAGGAAGGCACATGGCTTGGTGAACACCATAGATGTCAGCCGTACCTCCCCACCCCCAGTTAAGCAGGGCAAGGTAGATCCAGGCTGGGTTTTAGTAAAGGCCTGAGTGGCAGAACAGGTGTCATTTTACATCAGCCTCAGTCTAACAGATTCTGGGCTGCTTATGAGTCTTAACACTGGCCAGAGGCTGTGATTTCTAGTAGGAAGAGAATAGTCACCTCTATTACTTTCAGTGGCAAAAATCGCAATTACTTTTACACAACCTAATATGTTGAAGGAAGAGGTCCATGGAAATGGAGGCTGCCAGGGATGTCTTTGTCAGCTTCTGGTCTCCCAAGATAAATGCATACCTGTAGTGGGCTAGAAAGGGGCAGACTTAAGATCTGAACACCTGAGTTAGGTGCCGTTGCAATCACTGACCTTACCCAGGCTGGTCTTGCTGAACTTCTCCCCCTTGTAAAATAGCAATAAGCGAGCACTGGTGCTGTGTGCAGAGCTTTACATCTGCTTTCTGACTCGATCCTTACAACAGCCCCGAGAAGGGCTAGTAATAGCCTTATGTTATATAAACAAATTTTAACAGGGAAATCATTCCTGCAGTTCTGTTTTAAAAGATATAAATTAGTATAAGTGAAGCCTCTCTCCCCTCTGATCCTTGACATTCTATTCTAATGGTTCCATGAAGCAGCTAATTTTACCAGTTATTAGTGTATCCTTCTAGAGACATTTTTATGCTTACAAAGGCGAATTGTATTCCTCTTTTTTTACACAATCAGTAATACAGCATGAGCACACTTGCTTTCCCAGTATTATCTCTCGGCAATTGTTCAGTTCACGACATATAAAATACCTTGATTCTTTTTTACTGGTGCCTTGTATCCCATTGAGTGGCATACCATAATTTATTTTGGGGTATTACAAATAATGCTATAGTGAGTAGTGTTGTAAATATATATCATTTAGTGTTTATATGGATCTGTCTGAGTGTAAATTCCTAAAGTGGAATTGCTGGTTTAAAGGGATTATGGATTTGCAATTTTAGAGCTACTGCCAAACACTCTTCCCTGTGCAGGTCATACCAGTGTGCCCTCCCACCAACAGCGTGTGAATGTACCCAATGCCCAAGTCACCAACACGGTCTTATAAAGCTTTGTCATCTTTCCCAGTCTGAAAAAGTGAAAAATCAGAGACATTTGTAGGACTCCTTATAGAGGAATTTCTTTGCCTGTGGCATGAATTGCCAATGTATGTTCTCTGTTTGTCATATTTGGCTTGTGACTTTGCTTGAGTTTTGCCATACAGAATTTTTAAAGGTTTAGGTGGTTGATGTCAACAAGCTTCTTTTTGAGCTTCTAGGTTTATTATAATCCTTCAGAAAGGCTTTTCCAACTCTTAGATCATTTTTTTTTCTTTGCAGAGATTTTTCTAGATCTTAGAGTTTTTTAATAATTGTATCTTACTTTCAGCTGAAATTTATCCTAGTGCAAAGCATGAGGAACATTTTGATGTTAATACGAGGAGACAAATCTTAAGGAATTTGTTTAAGGTTACAAAGTTTGCACATGGTAAAGCTAAGAGTCAAACCCAGGACTCTTGCATCCCAAAGGACTCTTGAATCATATGCAGGACTCTCTGAATCCCAAACTCATGCTTCTGTGATAGGAACTACCGGACATTATGCCTTGTAGGATTATTGTGAGCATTAATGAGCAAAGTTAGAAAGTGGGTTTGTGTGTGCTGGGCATAGGGGATACACGGATGTTTTCTTCAGACCCTGGCCCTCCTTACTGACAGTACTGATACTTGTCCTGAATATCATTATCGTGTGTACTGAGCACGAGGTTTTGCTAGATTTTTCAAGCACATTTGTCTTAATACTTTTTCCTTCCTATCCCATTCAGGTTCACAGAATGATTGCAGAGTTCAAGCTGATCCCTGGACTTAATAATTTGTTTGACAAACTGATTTGGAGGAAGCATTCAGCATCTGCCCTTGTCCTCCATGGTCACAACCAGAACTGTGACTGTAGCCCGGTAAGCAGGAGACCCCCGGGGACAGATGGGGCCTCACTGGCTTGGAGTAGTTGTTTCAAGACCTGCTGCTGACCCTTTGACCTTTTTTCCTTTGGGAGTAGAGCAGAAACTAAAATCATATCTTATAGTCCCCTAATTGGAAGCTACCTTGGAGTAGGATCTGAGTGAACTCCACTCCCCACCCCAACCTATGCAGAAATCCCTTTTAAGATCTTCCTAGGCTGGGCACAGTGACTCAGGCCTGTAATCCCAGCACTTTGGGAGGCCGAGCGGGCAGATCACTTGAGGTCAAGAGTTACAGACCAGCCTGGCCAACATGGTGAAACCCTGTCTCACTAGTGTGAGAGACACTTGCGTCTCTCACTAAAAATACAAAAATTGGCCAGGTATGGTGTTGGGTGCCTGTAATCCCAACTCTTCGGGAGGCTGAGGCACCAGAATTGCTTGAACCCAGGAGGCAGAGGTTGCAGTGAGCTGAGATCACGCCACTGGACTCCAGCCTGCGTAACAAAGTGAGACTGTGTCTCAAAAAAAAAAAAAAAAAAAGTTCCTGCCTGAGGCCCTCTAGCCAACTTCCCCTTGTAATCTCTGTGATAGGGATCTCATTTCACTCCAGGCAGGGGCTGCCCACTGCATGAGCTAGCAGCCTGCTTTTCCTTATTTGCTGTTTTATCCTATTGTAATTTTCATCCACCTATAGAACCGTGCTCCCGGGCGTGGTGGTCACACCCGTAATCCCAGCAGTTTGAAAGGCCAAGGCGGGCAGATCACTTGAGGTCAGGAGTTCGAGACCAGCCTGGCCAACATGGTGAAACCCCGTCTCTACTAAAAATACAAAAATTAGCCAGGCATGTTGGTGGGGCACCTGTAATCCCTGCTACTCAGGAGGCTGAGGTGGGAGAATCACTTGAACCCGGGAGGTAGAGGTTGCAGTGAACTAAGATCAAGCCACTGCACATCCGGCCTGGGTGACAGAGCAAAGACACTGTCTCATACAAAAAAAGGTGGCTTTGGTTTTTTGAGCCCAAGCACTCTCCTTTAGCTTGTGTCTCTCACAGTCCCCTTGAGAGAGCTCTGAACAGGACATTGGAAGGCTTGTTGGAAGAGCTTGAATGAATCACTGAATCTCTGAGCCTCTGTTTTCTTGCAAAAGAAGGATAATACTCTTTCCCCTATTGGCCCCCCGGCTAGTCGGCACCCTGCCTACCAGCATGAGAAGGAAAGTGCTCTGGGACCTAAAAGTGCCACCCAGCCATCGGCCTGGTGCCATGGGGCCCTCTTCTCTTCACTGCACTCTGGGGACTTCCCTCAGCGACCTGTCTTCTGCTTTATCATTTGAGTTTTTAATTTCAAGCAAATATATTTTGCATTTCTAGATGTTCTGTCTGGCTCAATTCGGAAACTGCTTAGCCATGATGTTAATATCTTTTTTCTGCTGCATATTCTGTTTTTAATCATTTTTAAAATACTTTCTTAAGGTCTCTTTCGATTGCTCATGGGGCACTAATGCTTGTGTTTGGGTCTTCAGACCTCAGGGTGGAGTGTTGCCTCGTGTTTTGTAATGTCTGTGGAGCGGCCACCAGAATTGCTTGAACCCAGGAGGCAGAGGTTGCAGTGAGCTGAGATCACGCCACTGCACTCCAGCCTGGGCAACAGAGTGAGACTGTGTCTCAAAAAAAAAAAAAAAAAAAAATTCTGCCTGAGGCCCTCTAGCCACTTCCCCTTGTAATCTCTGTGATGGGGATCTCATTTCACTCCAGGCAGGGAGGGGGCTGCCCACTGCATGAGCTAGCAGCCTGCTTTTCCTTATTTGCTGTTTTATCCTATTGTAATTTTCATCCACCTATAGAAACGTGCTCCCGGGCATGGTGGCTCACACCCGTAATCCCAGCACTTTGAGAGGCCAAGGCGGGCAGATCACTTGAGGTCAGTGGGGTTAGTTTCCCCCTTGGATACCTGTGTAGCCTCAGCCCTGGAGGCATTTCTACAGGGCACTTTTGCTTTTGTCTGGCAGCTGTCCCAGGGCCAGTTTTCTTATTTAATGTCTTGGCCCTACTGCCCCAGTCGTATGAGCCCAGGGTTTCTGCTGCTCTTGGGAGGGCCCCCTTCACCCACCAGCAGCACCATGGCAGAGCCAGGCTCCCTGGGCTGGTGGGTCAGGCCTTTCTAACCCTTCTTTCACCAAGTGTACATGCTCCCCAGGCTTTACTGGGACCTGACACCCTGTCTAGTCCCTGCAGGGCATTAAAACCCAAGCCTTAGTGTGACTAGGTCTTGTCTCCACCTCTCCACACTGCCCACAGCTGCTGAGTATCAGTTCCTTGGCTCACTATTCCAAACTCCTCGGTCCTTTCTTCATTTCTAACTCCTATGGACTTCCCCCGCTCCTCCCCACACGTGTTGTTTTGTTTGTTGGTTGGTTGGATTTTTGGGACAGAGTCTCCATCACCCAGGCTGGAGTGCAGTCAGTGGTGCGATCTCGGCTCACTGCAACTTCCGCCTCCCAGGTTCAAGTGATTCTCCTGCCTCAGCCTCCTGAGTAGCCAGAATTACAGGCGCAGCAACTATGCCTGGCTAATTTTTGTATTTTTAGTAGAGACAGGGTTTGCCATGTTGCCCAGGCTGGTCTCAAGCTCCTGACCTCAAGCGATCTGCCCGCCTCGGCCTCCCAAAGTGCTGTGATTACAGGTGTAACCACCACGCCCCGCCTTATTTTTTATTGAGTGTGATGGCATGTTTTTAGCAGGAAGGGGGCCACATTAGCTTAATCTGCTGTTGATCAGATGTGGAAGTGAACAGATGGTTTTCTAACTAAAGAAAAGTCCTCATGGTACATGAGGACAGAGGCTTAGAGAAGCAGGCTCCCACCAGAGTGTCTGCTTGTGTTATTTTGGAACCTTGTGGCTGTGGTCCTAACATTGAGGCTGTGCATGTGTTTCAGGACATCACCTTGAAGATACAGTTTTTGAGGCTTCTTCAGAGCTTCAGTGACCACCACGAGTAAGTACAAGAGTGTCCCTGCAAGGAGAGTTGTTGGGCTGTCTTCGGAAGGCCTCGATCTCCTTGTCTGGTCCCTGACCTCAGCTCGAGAGGAGGCCCTGGAGCTGGTGGAAGCCCACTGTCCCCTCAGTGTTAGCAGGTGTGACACTGCAGTCGGACCTCCCGTCTTTCCAGACTTCCTTATGGCAGGCACTGCCCCAAGCTTTCTTCTAACCCTCATAGCCACCCCAGGAACTGAGTATGGAAGTCGTTGGCCCCTTACTACCTTTGGAATCAATGGATTTCTCAACCTACTGCCCCTCTAAAGCAAGAGTGGACAGCGTGGCTATTCCCAGGGGCCGGCAGGAACTTCAGACAGGCAAAGCCGACTGCTTACTGAGCAGCTGGAGGATTCTTCCCTCCACAAGGAGGTGTGCTCCCATTTTTCTTGAAAGACATTCTGCGCTCATTTATTTTTTAACCTTCGATGGAGAATGTACAAGGAAAATTACTCTCTGCTGTAAGGAAAACAGTGCAGGAAGGGGGTGACTAGCAGCTGACCCTTGACCTTGGCATTGGGGAGGTGATGTGGGGACCTTAGTGAACAAGAATTTCAGTGAGCTCAGCTCCAGCCAGCTGCGTGTGCACAGGAAACTGGGCCCACTGTTGCATAACTTCTGATTTTTTCTGCCAAGCAAAGGCAGAAATTAAGATTTATGTGAAAGGTCCTGATTTTAAATGTTGGTTTAAATATTTTAAAAACCTTGCATTTGAGCTAACAGAACATGCCTGGAGACAGCTGTGGCCCCAGGGCACCTCCATCATATGCACCCATCCTCTGTGAGAGGTTTTCCGGCTGAAAGCCATAGAAGGGCTCCAGGAAGCATGTTAACCTTCTGAAAAATGGCACCACATATGTTATGGAACTGTGCTGTTTTCCCTGAGGAAGTGAGTCTCTGGCTTTCATCAGACTCTTCAGTCTGAGTACTCTGTGGGATATCAGGATGAATGCAAACAGCCATGGCCCCTGCTCTCATGAAGGGCAGAGTCTGAAAACAGAGACAGTTGTTCATCCAAGGATTCCACCGTTGAGCATTAGTGATAAGTGGAGATGGTATTCAGGAGGAGAGGAACGGGGTCTGTGAGAGACATTTGACAGGGTCCAGGACTGGCCAGAGGACACTCAGGAACTCTCCCCTGCAGAAGTGGCTTGCCAGCCAAGACCTGAAGTGTCAGCTTGTAGTGAATTGAGTGAACAGGCATGTGAGAGGGTGTGTGTTCTAGCCAGAAGCCCCTGAACGAGGGAAGACCATTGTGGCCAGCTGATGGGAGTGATGTGGGCTTGGCTCTGGGCTGGGCTGCACAGGACGTTGTGGGTCACAGTCACAGGGTGTTGTGGGTCACAGTCACAGGCCTGGATTTTATATACAGATGGTCCACTTAGAATTTTTCAACTTCACAATGGTACAGAAGTAGAATTTTGAATTTTGATCTTTTCCTGGGCTCATGATAAACAGTTCAATACTCTTGCAATGCTGGGCACTGAGCTGCAGCTGCAGCTCAGAATGTATTTCAAGAAAAATGGTGACCAGCTACACGATCACCAAGGTAGACAACCAGTACTCTGTGCTGTGCCTGCCGTGTTGCCAGTGATTATGGCCAACTGTAGGCTGAAGTCAGTGTTCTGAGCACATTCCAGGTAGGCTAGGCTAAGCTAGGAGGTTCAGTGGGTTAGATATATTAAATGTGTTTTCTTTCTTTTTCTTTTTTTCAAGACGGAATCTTGCTCTATTGCCCAGGCTGGAGTGCAGTGGCATGATCTTGGCTCACTGCAACCTCCACCTTCTGGGTTCAAGCAATTCTACCTCAGCCTCCTGAGTAGCTAGGATTATAGGCGTGTGCCACCACGCCCAGCTAATTTTTTATATTTTTAGTAGAGATGGGGTTTCGCCACGTTGGCCAGGCTGGTCTCGAACTCCTGACCTCGTGATCCACCCGCCTGGACCTTCCAAAGTGCTGGGATTACAGACGTGAACCACCGCGCCCGGCCTCAATATGTTTTCAACTTAACGGCATTTTCAAATACGATGGGTTTATCAGGACATAACCTCCTCCTAAGTCAGGAAATGTCTGTTCTAAATGCAGTGGGAAGCTGTGGAAGTGTTTTCACCGGGAGTGACAGGATCAGAGTCCTGATTCTGAAGATCACTTTTGGCACCGTGTGATGACTCAGTTCCTGTGGGATACCTTTTAGTAAAGGGAGCTGGTGTCCTGGGAACACAGGACCCAGCAGTGACAGGCCTGGATGGCAAGTCGGGGGAAGTGTCACAGTTAACCAGGCCTCTGTGTGATGTGTGACCGTGGTGCTTGGTGGGACTGCTGCAGCAGGGCCAGGCTTGAGTGTGATTGGACCTGTTGAGGTGTTGGTGCCTTTGAGAAAACAAGTGGAAATGTAGGCAAAGAGAAAGGCCCAGAGCTGCTGAGGGAAGGGGCCTTGTCGATGAATGTGGCAGGCAGGGGTCGGGGATGGGGGTGGGGCCAGGGAGAGATTCCACTGCCTGAGAGCCCAGAGTTCCCTCCTGCAGGTGCTGGCTGGAGTGAGAGGTGCTAGAGGAAAGTGCCTGGTGGCTTCTCAGATTCTGTCCACAGGAAGTGGGCAGGAGACTCCCTACACTAGCCTGGTGCTGACCCAGCAGCCCCAGTTCCTGTCCTTTACCTCCTCCAACCCATTTTGTTTCAGGAACAAGTACTTGTTACTCAACAACCAGGAGCTGAATGAACTCAGTGCCATCTCTCTCAAGGCCAACATCCCTGAGGTGGAAGCTGTCCTCAACACCGACAGGTGAGTGCAGGGGTGCAGCTTTTCCCTCAGCCCATCCCGGCTGCCCACGTTCCCCGGGGGCTCACCGGTGAGCACATCCAGGTATGCACGCGTGTCCTCTCTCACATGCAGCTACAGTGTCCTGAGGGCTCCTGTGTGCCAGGCATTGTATTCATGTCACCTGCATTTTCTCATTGGAGCCTCACAGCAGCCCTAGGAGGGGAGCCCCATCAGTACCTGCACTTGACAGATGAGGTGAGCCTCAGAGAGGTCACCTGCCAGAAGTCATGTGTGCTCCGCACTGCCCCACCGCCTTGTCTCGTGCATTCAGCCCCTTTGCTTATGTGCTCCTTTCTTGCCTGGTGGCATCTGCAGCCAAGCAGGACAGACAGAAGCCTCTTACCTGCTGCCAAGTGTTAGGTTGCATTACCTGGGTTAGGTTTGCCTCACCTGGAGCCAGGCAGTGGGGGGCTAGTCTCACAGGCGTCAGAATACAGTGGACTTTATCCAACAAGAGCCATGATTTCCCAACCTTTTTTGTTTGTTTGTTTTGTTTTGTTTTTTAGACACAAGGTCTTGCTCTTTCTCTCAGGCTGCAGAGCAGTGGTGTTATAGCTCACTGCAGCCACAAACTTCTGAGCTCAAGTGATTCTCCTGCCTCAGCCGCCCGAGTAGCTGGGACTACAGGTGTGCGCCACCATTCCCAGCTAGTGTTTTTACTTTTTTTTTGTAGAGATGGGGTCTCACTATGTTGCCCAGGCTGGTCTCGAACTCCTGGCCTCAAGTGAGCCTCCCAAAGTCCAGGGATTACAGGTGTGAACCACCTCTCCTGGCCTCCCAATCTTTTTTTTCTAAGGTAGCAGAACTCTTCATTCAAATAAAATTGTACCCAGTCCTGCCCTGATGTCTGCAGTGGATCACAGCAGAGCTGCTCTGTTTGAAGGGCCCAGACCCCTGCGTGCCTGGCCGTCTTCCTTCCCCCATGACGGGGCCAGAGTCATTTCCTCATCTCCTGCCTTTGCTTCATAGACTGGGAAGCTGAGGCTTGGAGTTGTGGACACTTGCCCAAGGCCAGCTGGAAGTGAACCTCAGGCACGGAGTACGCTGGGCCTCACCCTATTGGCAGAGTCTTTCCCCATCTGGCAGACTGGCATGACCTGTTTCAACACACTTTTGGTATAAACAGCTCTCCTCTGGCAGTTCTAAGCCATGTCTGATTCTGGATATGTTTCTGGCCTGGGAAGGAAAGCTGGCCTGAGATGTGGTGGGAATGCACTTGGCAGTTTAATTCTGTGGCTGCAGGGGTCTCCGGGGCTCTGGACCCAGTTGGAGCAGGAAGGCATCCTGCAGACTTGGAAATGTCCCCATGGTTTTTCACCGCCTAAGCCAGCAGAATGACCCATCCCCAGGGCCCCTGTCAGCCTCTCAGATCTGTCACCAATATCTCTCTTCTATTTCAGGAGTTTGGTGTGTGATGGGAAGAGGGGCTTATTAACTCGTCTGCTGCAGGTCATGAAGAAGGAGCCAGCAGAGTCGTCTTTCAGGTGAGTCTGGGGAAAAGTACCTGCCGATTCTGCGGGGCTGCAGAGCCAGGTGTTTCTCAGGAGGTTAGGAATACCTCCTTTAGTCACCAGCGTCCATGCCTCCTGAAGCACAATTACTGTTGGGGAGAGGTGGTTTGACTGCCATCTTGTGTAGTTTTGACTCGACAGGTATGTGAGAGCTTCTTCTGCAGCCCACAGTGACCGAGCATTCACCAAGCACCTGTTCTGTGCTGGTGCCTTATGGGTGGGAGAGAACTAGGATACGGGCCCTGCCATGAATTCCCTAGAGCTGTGCTGTTTCAATGCAGTGTGGGAAGGAATGGAGCCAGGGTTGGCCCAGGAGCTATAGCAGCAAAGGAAAGCCTCTTCCGCTGCTAGGGCTGGGGGCTGGGTGAATACAGGGAGACCTTCTCTGAGGTCCTTAGATACATCTAAGATGAGTCTTGAAGTCAGTGGACAGGTAGAGTTCCATCAGGGCCGGGCGTGAGCTGTCAGGAGGCTTCATGCCCACATGGGCCTTTGTCACTTCAGTGCCTTGTCCAAACTCCCTGTCGTGGATACCCGCTGTGCCCTCTGGGTCCCTCGGTCAGCATCAACCACTACTTCCCTAGGCCAGCCCATCGTCTGTGAGCCCAGTGGCCTGTCTGCATGTGTTCGTCCGCTTCCCACACACATTCCTGGCCCCTCAATTGCACGTCCTCCCATTCTTGTGAAAGGGCAAGGCCTAGAGTATGTTTCACGGGGGCTCGCAGGAGCCAGCCCTTCGATCCCAGATGTTACCCTTTCTGTGACACAGCCCCTTCCAGACAGACCCAGATAGAAGACTTCTCCACTGAGCTGGCTCTCTGTGAGGATGGGGGCACTGCTGTGTCCCCAGGCCCAGGATGAAGCCTGATGCTTGGTAGATGTTCAGTAAATGTTGAGTACATGAAAAGGCAACAAACATCTCCCAACCCCTTGGAGAACTGAACATGGGCCGGAAGAGGGCAGCCTTAGCCACCTGAGCCAGTATTTGGGTCGCAGGTTTTGGCAAGCTCGGGCTGTGGAGAGTTTCCTCCGAGGGACCACCTCCTATGCAGACCAGATGTTCCTGCTGAAGCGAGGCCTCTTGGAGGTATGATCTGGAGCAGCCAGTGTCTTGGGTTCCGTCTCCCCCCAGCCCACGCGTTGCTGTGTCCTGTCCTGAGCCCCAAACAGTTCATCAGGAGCAGAGCAGATCTCGTGACTTCCAAATGCCTGTGCAGGCTGCCTTAGATTTTGCCCTGGGTTTCCAACTGTGGGTTCCCCATGGGTGCTTACGGGGTGACAGGTTTAGAGGGTGGCCAGGCCATGCAGGAGGGTGACAGTTTGGTTACCCAGCAAGGCATTTTGACCCTGAAGATATTTTGTACTAAAAGTTAATTTTCCTTTATTGAATAATGGTCTTCAGAAAAAGTAAAACTTAGAGCAGAATGGCCAAAGTTATAATTGGTCTTTCAGATTTTTTCATATGGACAAGAAACTGACCCACGAATTATAAAATCCATGTGGAAAAGAATTGATCCAAATCAATGTAACTTCAAGAAAATGTAGAAAACTTTATAAAGGAGTAAATTGGCTTTATTCTCTTGATGAAAACTCAGTATTTTGGTG
Organism: Homo sapiens; assembly: GCF_000001405.40. NCBI lineage: Eukaryota > Metazoa > Chordata > Mammalia > Primates > Hominidae > Homo > Homo sapiens. Next base: position 35,007,031 of record NC_000020.11, on the reverse strand, counting down.
TAAACTCTATTTAAACAATTTCGTTCATAAACACAAAGACAAACCATGGGGTCAAAATGTGTCCTTTGCTTTTAAATTCTGTCCTTCATTTACTTGAATGACCTCAGTGCTTAGGCAGTGGCCTGTGTTTTAGACCTGGTGATGACAGCTCCCCTCACCTAGGAGCTGAGCACCCCGGCCATCTTGGTGACCACAGAGCAGGTCACAGGCTTCAGCTGTACGCCCTGGGCAGGGGAGAGATTGTGCTGCATTCCCAGTCTGCTCCACCTCCTGGTGAGGTCTGTCAGGCCTGGTCCTGTCCTTGGAGCCACCAGCATCCTCAGACAAGAATCTAGACAGTGTTGCCAGTTCCATCCCCAGGATGCTTGCTCAAAGCCAATGCATGGTCTGAGCTCCATGCCAGGCCCTGGTGGGGGCAGCCACGTTGACACCTTCACCCTGTCCCTCCTCACCCAGCACATCCTTTACTGCATTGTGGACAGCGAGTGTAAGTCAAGGGATGTGCTCCAGAGTTACTTTGACCTCCTGGGGGAGCTGATGAAGTTCAACGTTGATGCATTCAAGAGATTCAATAAATATATCAACACCGATGCAAAGGTAAAGTTAACCCAGGGCTCTGTGGAGTGTGCTGGGTTGTCCAGAAGTTCACCTGGAGTCCTGGTCTGCCAGGCTTTAGGCACAGGTTTTACGTTAGAGACGACGGGGGAGTCTGGGCAGTCTTTGGCAAACATTCATTGGAACCTGCTCTGTCTGGCTTTGTGCTAGACCCTGGGAATGCAGGGATGAAAACCGGGGCTGCTTGTGGGTAGGGAGTGAGGGTGGGAATGGGTGGCTTGTGCGCCTGCCGTGACGCAGCATGGTGGGTGCCACGGTGGGAGCCGCTGTAGGGAGGGACTGGGCCTGGTGTGTTAGGCTCACCGAGTGTGTGTGACAGAAACCCAGCTCAGGCTAGCTGAAGTAAAATTAAAAGTAAAAATTAAAGGAATCCAGCACCCTTGAGCGTAAAACCACTGGAGAGAGTGTCGGATCTGTGCTGAATTCCGGGGAGTGCCTCTTAGTACCTGGGTGGTGAGGGGAGGTCCCTCAGCTTATCTGAGCCTCTGTCTTCCTATCTGAAGCAGTGGGGCTGGTAGAGGTCGCTGATGCCCCTTGTAGTGACTATCCCCCCGGGCCATGGCCATACCTGGCCAGCAGCCCACTGCCTGCTGTGAGCTTGGTTTCTGTATAGTTCCAGGTATTCCTGAAGCAGATCAACAGCTCCCTGGTGGACTCCAACATGCTGGTGCGCTGTGTCACTCTGTCCCTGGACCGATTTGAAAACCAGGTGGATATGAAAGGTACATGAAAGGCAGGCTGTCAAGGCAAGTCATGCAGGGTAAGAATGCTGGCATCAGACACCCTGTCTCCAGCAGGGAGACAAGAATGACTGAGGGAGCTGCACCAGATGCCCACGTGGCCGGCCTCAAGGTGGCGGCTTCCAGGGCAATTGGCTTTGCTGCCTTGTTCAACACTTTAATAAGGTGAAAATCCATTGTTGCTAGCAAGATGCAAAGAAAACCAGAAAAAGACCTTCCTCTTCTGGGCTGGTATTGCCTGGCACGATGAGTTGGCCCCCTCGTCCTCAGTGTGCTGTGCGTGGCATCGCAGGTGCCCTGTGGTGCAGCAGGCATCTGAACCCTCCTGGACTTGCTAACGCACTTCCATGTGTATGCGCACGCGTTTCCTTTTTTTCCTAGGAGAGGGCTTGTGGCATCCAGCAGATTCTCCTGAGGGTTTGTGACCCCCCCACACCCCCAAAAAGTCAGGCACTTGTTCCTTGTCACGGTCACTGTCATTGATAGCAAGAAGTATCCCGGTTGTTGGTAATTTAGCCGTTTGCTTCCTTTTTCTGCCCCAGAGGGTCTGTTTCAGGGGAACAGCCACACAGATTTTGGTACCTTCGGTTATTGCCCTGCCTCCCAGTTGTGCGGGAAGCAGTTGCTCCGACACTAGTGGACGGAGCAGAACCTGTGCCTTGTGGTCTCAGCACTGGGCCGGACTCACCTGAGAGCTGGTGTGGAAAACCAGTTGCGCTAGGACCTCTGCAGAAGGAGTGGAACTTTTGCGTTGTTTTTCTTAATGCAGCGTCATGGATCCATCTTCCTGTGGAGGGAACTCTTCTGTGTGTGATATGGAGGGCACGGGTCTGGAGCCAGTCTGGGGAGGGCTGAGGGAGAGCTGCCCTGAGCTTGGTTCTGGAGGATGAGGTGGGGTGCTCCTGGGCACTCTGAGAACATGGCTTTGCCTGGTAGCAGGACAGCTGGAGGTCCTTCTTTCTGCCACAGTCAGCTTTCGTTGAAGCTGTTTTGATGATGAGCTCCTAGCTTCAGAGTCAGGACCCAAGCGGGGCTCCACGAAAGGCCTGGGCGACCCAGCCACTGGGCCTAAGCCTGACCTGCTGCACCCCTGCCTCCCTCCACAGTTGCCGAGGTACTGTCTGAATGCCGCCTGCTCGCCTACATATCCCAGGTGCCCACGCAGATGTCCTTCCTCTTCCGCCTCATCAACATCATCCACGTGCAGACGCTGACCCAGGTGAGAGGCCCCGGCAGACACACAGCAGGGAAGGTCGATTGGAAACCACTTCCTTTGTCCTGGTGCCCAGCAGGTTTCTGTCCCCCACTCCAGAAGTGCGTCTCTGGAGACCCAGCTCTTCTGAGGACTGTGCTCAGGAGGAATCAGTGTCCCATTGTACAGACAGGGCCTAAGGAAGGAGGGCTCGCAAGTGCCCTCAGGTCACAGGCTGACTTGCAGGCCAGTGCTCTCCCCGCCTCCCCCATGTCCACGTCCCTCACACCTTCTGCCCTGCTGGGCTTTGGAATCGGACCTGAGGCTGCCCAACTCCCTCACTGAATAGTCATGCAGCCTTCCCTTCTCTGAGCCTCCTGCCCCTCTTTTCTAGAGTGAGGGTGATCTTAGCACCTCTCAGAGGTGGTCTTTGGTTCCGTTCTGAGGTGAAGCACCAGGTGGGAGTGCATGGTGAGTGGGGCAGAACTCTTTCCCCACCGAGGCGCGCAGGCTAGTGCTGAATGGCACTTCTGAAGCGGGATAACCGCCCCAACACACGCACCCAGCCCTGCCTGGGACGGACCTTCCGGAAGGAGTGATGCTTGAGCCCAGGTCTGGACAGGGACAGGTGTTGTTGCCTCAGGTGGGGTGGGAGGTGGGCGTGGGGAAGAGGAAGGTGCTCAGTCAGGAAACTGGGGCTGCTGGGGGCCCCCTTCCCCCAGTCCTATCTCACCTCTGTGCAGGGAGAGCTCTGTGGGTGGCCCGAGGCCTGGGGCCACTCTCCTCCCTGCCTGATGGCTACCCAGGTTCACCAGGGGCCACTGGGGCTCCCACCAGCCCCTGACCCTGTGGGCCTGTGGCCTTGCAGGAGAACGTCAGCTGCCTCAACACCAGCCTGGTGATCCTGATGCTGGCCCGACGGAAAGAGCGGCTGCCCCTGTACCTGCGGCTGCTGCAGCGGATGGAGCACAGCAAGAAGTACCCCGGCTTCCTGCTCAACAACTTCCACAACCTGCTGCGCTTCTGGCAGCAGCACTACCTGCACAAGGACAAGGACAGCACCTGCCTAGAGAACGTGAGTGCCCCACCCTCAAGGGGGTGATGGGTGGGCCGCGGACCCAGGGCCTCTCAGAGGGGTGTCCCGGTGCTGGGCTTGACCTGGGTCCTCCAGGCGCCCCCCAGCCCCTCCCTCTTTGCCCAGAGCTCCTGCATCAGCTTCTCATACTGGAAGGAGACAGTGTCCATCCTGTTGAACCCGGACCGGCAGTCACCCTCTGCTCTCGTTAGCTACATTGAGGAGCCCTACATGGACATAGACAGGGACTTCACTGAGGAGTGACCTTGGGCCAGGCCTCGGGAGGCTGCTGGGCCAGTGTGGGTGAGCGTGGGTACGATGCCACACGCCCTGCCCTGTTCCCGTTCCTCCCTGCTGCTCTCTGCCTGCCCCAGGTCTTTGGGTACAGGCTTGGTGGGAGGGAAGTCCTAGAAGCCCTTGGTCCCCCTGGGTCTGAGGGCCCTAGGTCATGGAGAGCCTCAGTCCCCATAATGAGGACAGGGTACCATGCCCACCTTTCCTTCAGAACCCTGGGGCCCAGGGCCACCCAGAGGTAAGAGGACATTTAGCATTAGCTCTGTGTGAGCTCCTGCCGGTTTCTTGGCTGTCAGTCAGTCCCAGAGTGGGGAGGAAGATATGGGTGACCCCCACCCCCCATCTGTGAGCCAAGCCTCCCTTGTCCCTGGCCTTTGGACCCAGGCAAAGGCTTCTGAGCCCTGGGCAGGGGTGGTGGGTACCAGAGAATGCTGCCTTCCCCCAAGCCTGCCCCTCTGCCTCATTTTCCTGTAGCTCCTCTGGTTCTGTTTGCTCATTGGCCGCTGTGTTCATCCAAGGGGGTTCTCCCAGAAGTGAGGGGCCTTTCCCTCCATCCCTTGGGGCACGGGGCAGCTGTGCCTGCCCTGCCTCTGCCTGAGGCAGCCGCTCCTGCCTGAGCCTGGACATGGGGCCCTTCCTTGTGTTGCCAATTTATTAACAGCAAATAAACCAATTAAATGGAGACTATTAAATAACTTTATTTTAAAAATGACTGCTGTGGACCTGGCTTTTGTCCCTAGGACTGTGTTTTTCCTCCTGAACCCCAAAGAAAAGAATGAGAAGGAAACTGGCTGTGGTGTTTATTCAGGGCCCAGGGAAGGCTGAAGGCAGCAGGGGGCGATGCAGAGATGGCAGGATCGGGGCAGGTGGCCTCAGCCAGATGTGCAACAGCAGACATTCCTCTTTAGAGCCCAGGGGGTCAGGCCGTCACTCCTTGTGCTGAGGAGAAAGGGATAGCTGAGTGAGCAGTACTACCTGTCAGCCCCCACAGTCCCCCTGCACAGAGAGCAATGCCCCTGCCACTCCTCACCTTGGGGCCCAGGGCGTCCCGGGTCCGTGCCCGCAGCTTGTTGGCCTGGGTTTCCGCCATGTCTGCCCGCTCCTCCGCATCATCCAGCTCGTGCTGGGCCTTGCGATACTTGGCCAGGTTGGTGTTGGCCTGCTGCTCCTGGGGGCACACACAGGGCCTTGGTTCCGCTTGGGTGACTGAGATGCTTATTCTGGTCCCTGCCCCAGTCCAAGAAGGGAGCTAGCTCCTCCTGGTTCTCAACTTTGTTCCTATTGCCACTGTCCATCCTCACCAATACCACAGCGGGAATAAGGAAGTTGGGACGCACCAACTTCATGTGCCTTTTTGTGCCTGCCCCACCCCTCAGAGGCAGCCCCAGCCTTGGCCAGGGGAAAGCACATGGGGTCTGTTCCATGAGAAGGAGCTAGGTCTGATCTCCCCAGAGATGTTAGAAGCTTCTCTCTTCCCTCTGGGTCACTGACCTTGGAGGGTGGAGCTGCTGCTGATGCCTCACCTGGCCACAGACCCTGGGGCAGAGCTGGGGTGCCCGGTCCAGGTGTCCAGGCCCCAGCGCACTCACCGCCTCCTCAAACTGGCGCTTGTAGCTCTTGACCTTGCTCTGCAGCTTGTCCACCAGGTCCTGCATGCGAGCCAGGTTCTTCCTGTCCTCCTCGGCCTGGGCGGGCAAGGGGGACTCAGGGCTTGCTTGGGCTGGGCCAGCTCCAGGGCCACTCCCCAGGGAGACCCTGTCGCCCACCTGGTATGCGAGCTCCTTGACACGGCGCTCATGCTTGCGCACGCCCTTAAGGGCCTCGGCGTGCTTCTTCTGCTCTGCATCAAGCTCAGCCTCCAGCTCCCGTACCTGCAGGCAGGGGGACAGCCTGATGCCAAGCCCACCCCTGGGTCACCCACCCTGCCTGCGCCAAGGACTAGAGGGGCTGCACACACCTTGGCCTCCAGCTTCTGCACCTGCTTCTTCCCGCCACGGAGGGCGGCCTGTTCTGCCTCCTCAAGGCGGGCCTGGAGCTCGCGCACCGTCTGCTCCAGCGTCTTCTTCATCCGTTCCAGGTGTGCACTTGTGTCCTGCTCCTTCTTCAGCTCCTCGGCCATCATGGCCGCCTGTTGGGGAGGAGGAGCTGGTCAGGTGCCCAGCCTCAGGGAAGTCCCTCTGCAATTCTGTCCCAGGCTCCCCACAGCCCTTGCCCAGCCTCACATCAGTGATGGCCTTTTTGGCCTTCTCCTCAGCCTCCCGCCTCTCCTGTGCAGCCTCCTCCACCTCCCCGCTCAGCTGGGCCAAGTCCGCCTCCAGCTTCTTCTTCTGGTTTAGGAGGCCTGTGTTCTGAGGGGAAGAGGAGTCTCAGAGCCAGCCAGCCAGCAGGCCTGCACCTGCTCTGTCCCCAGGGACTCCTGTCCCCACCTGCGAATGCAGAAGGTTGAGGCGCTCGGTGGCCTCCAAAAGCTCCTGCTCTGCCAGTCGCCGGCTGCGCTCGCCCTGCTCCAGGGCAGCCCGCAGCTCCTCCAGCTCCGCAGCCAGCAGCGAGGCCCGGCGCTCCAGAGCCTGCGCCTGCTCGTGGAGCTCAGCTGCCAGCCGCTGCTCCTCGTCCCGCCCTGCCTGCTCCTCCTTGAGCTGTGCCTGCATCAGCCGCGTGGCAGCCTGGGCCTCTGTGGCCTGACGGGTGGCATGGCCCAGCTGCAGCTCCAGGTCGTTGAGGTCACCCTCCATCTTCTTCTTGAGCCGCAGCGCCTCATTGCGGGCCCGTGTCTCTGCATCCAGGGAGGCCTGCAGGGACTCCACAGCTCGCTGGTGGTTGCGCCTATGGGAGGAGGGTGGCATGAAAGGGGGTCTCGTAAGGGCATACCTGTCCTTACAAATGCCCAAGGACCGTTGGAAACGAACCCATTTTGAGAACAAATGAGTCACCCCTCCCCGATTTAAAGTCTCTTGTGACTGCCTGTGGCCCATCAGAGCAAGTTCATGGACAAGAGTGAGGCCCAGGCAGACAGAGGTGGACTGACTGGCTCCACCCCCACTGTGTGACTTTGGGCAAGTCCTTTAGCATCTCCGAGGTTCACAGCTAGAATGGAGACAGCAACCCGGACCTCAAAGTCCCATGGGAGGGACAGACTAGAGAGCAGAGTACACACTGCTTCCCTCCCCTTCTGCTCTCGGGAGGTGGGGACGGGAGAAGGATGGACACACCTCAGGTTAGCGCACTCCTCGTCTTTCTCTGCCAGCTTCCGGTCCACTTCTGCTTTGACCTGGGAGAGCTCCAGCTGGATCCGCAGCGTCTTGGTCTCCTCCAGCTCCAGGGCCCCCTGTGGATACAGAGCAGGCAGGGTAGGGTGGGGGGGGGGGATGGCCAGTGGAGCAGCAGGTCAGTGTCCACCCACCCCTGCAGCCAGCCCCTGACCTCTGCCTCCTCCAGTGCAGCCTGGATCTCACTCTTCTCGCCTTCCAGCGCCTTCTTGGTTTTCTCCAGTTCCTGGATGCTCTTCCCACTGAGACTCACCTGGTCTGTGAGGTCGCTGATCTCCTCTGCAGTGGACAGGGTGCTGAGAGGCCACCCCCATGGCTTGTACTCCCACCCAGGTCACTCCACTCACCCCTGATTCCAGGGTGGCCCCACCAGGGCACCCCCATAACTCAAAGTTGCTCCGACCCCAGGGCAGCACCCTGGCCCTGGCGTGTGGCAGGTCCTACCCTGCAGGTTCTTGTTCTCCCGCTTGAGCGTCTCCAGGGCTTCAAGTGCCTCCTCGTGGCCGTGCCGCAGCCGGAAGAGCTCGGTGCCCAGGCCACGGGACTCCCTCTGTGCCGCCTCCAGCTCCCGCTGCATCTCCTCCTCCTGCCGCCGCCGTTCCTCCAGTGCCCGTTCCAAGTGCCGCTGCTTCTTGTCCAGCGCAGCAGCTGCTGAGGTCGCCCGCTCCAGCTCCAGGGTTACATCCTCTGACTCTGTCTGTAGCCGCAGCTTGGCCTTCTCCAACGATGAGCACTTGGCGTTGGCAGCCTCCACGCCCTCCTCTGCCTCCTGCAGCCGCAGTGCCAGCTTTTTTCTAGGCCATGGAACCAGACAAGGTGTGGACCATGGAAGGAGGGAGAACAGCCCCAGCAGCTCCCTTCACCCACCCTCAGCGGGGCTCAGGCACAGGCATAAAGCTCTGCATGGCAGTGGCCTGGCCAGCAAAGCACTCACTTGGCCTCCTCCAGCTCCTCGGTCCTCTGGATGGCATCTGCTTCGTACTTGCTCCTCCACTGGGCCACCTCGGCATTGGCCTTGGACAGCAGCCGCTGCAGCTCAGCCTGGGCCTCAGCCTCCTCCTCGTGTTGCTCCCGCAGGAGGTCACAGTCGTGCCGCAGAGCCTGCACGGCGTGGGCCAGGGCACTCTTGGCCTGCAGGGACACCAGTGACCTCAGCGTTAGTGCAGCCCAGTGGCTCTGGTGCCCACCTGCCCACTCCATGGTCACCGGTGCCAGCCCACCTTGCTTTCCTCCTCTAGCTGGCGCCGCAACTCTTCCAGGCTTTGGGCGGCCAGGGCCTTTCCACGGCTCAGCTGACTGATCAGACACTCCTTCTCCTCTAGCAGGCGACTCAGCTCCCCTGCAGGCAAAGAGGCGAGCGGACAGGTCAGGCTGGTGAGGGCTGCACCAAAGCCCTGCCTGGTGTGGCCAGCTGAGCCCCAGCCTCACCGCTTTCCGTCTGTAGTCGCCCACGCTGCGTGCTTGCGTCCGCCAGCTGCCGCTGCAGCTCCTCCACCTTGATCTTGGCCTCGCTTAGCTGATCCTCATAGGTCCGGCACAGCTTCTCTGCACTGGCCTAGGATCCCAGGTTGGGAGTCAGGGGTCAGGAGTTAGATGTCAGAACAAGTTTGTGCATCAGATGGCAGGATCTGGGATCAGAGACTGGTAAGCTAGATGTGGGCCCAGGAATCAAAGGGAGAGCAGAGCCCCAAGTTCAAAGTCAGGGAAAGAGATTCTACTGCTGGGCTTAACAGGTGTCAGAACTGACAGGGCTGGGCCAGTCCCAGGGCAGTGGGTCAGGGTGAGAGTTGGGATGGTAGCTGCGGAGTCACCTGGGGACAATGGTCAGAGGTCAGCTGTCAGGATTATGTGGTAGAAAGGTCAGGGGTTAAGGCTAGGGTGCTGGGGTTCAGGACAGGAAGAGAGGACAGGTATTAAGTCAGAGTTCAGGAGTCAAGGGCTAGGGTCACAACTACTGCTGGTTCAAGGGTCTGAGGCTGGAAGTAGATGCTGGATCAGAAATGACCTGGAGTCAGGGAACAGGGCTTGGGAGTCACGGCTTAAGGTCAGGACTGGTAGGAGGCTGAGAAATGAGGGTTGTGTACCAGGTGAAGAGGTCAGGGCTCAGGATAAGGTACTGGGTGGAGGCTGGTGTGGGAACAGTATTGGCTGCTGGGATCGGGATTGGTTTAAAGTCAGGGTGGGTATGGGGTGAGGAAGGCACGGACACCTTGGCGCGGGTCAGAGTCTCCACGTTGGCAGCCAGGTCGTCCACCTCCATGCGCAGCTCACTCTTCTCCTTCTCCAGCTTCTGCCGCACCCGCTGCAGGCTGTCCACCTGCTCCCCCAGCTCCGCCGCGCCCTCCGCCTGCTTGCGCCGCAGTGCCGCCACTGTGGCCTCGTGCCGCAGCGCCGCCTCCTCCAGCTCCCGCCGCAGCCTCCCCAGCTCCGCCTCCCGCTTGCGGCAGCCCTCGCGCTGCCCCGCGGATGCGCCGCCTGCCTCCTCCAGCCGCTCGCTCAGCTCCTCCAGCTCCCGCGCCGCCTCTGCACGCTGCTTCTCCACGCGGGCCCGGGCTGCCCGCTCTGCCTCCAGCTCCTCTTCCAGCTCCTCCGCCCGAGCCTGGGGTGGGCACGTGGGGCAGCTGTCACCTCTGTGGGCCTCTGACCCCAGGCCTCACCCACCCGATCCCCACGCACCTGCAGCTCCTTGATCTTCTTCTGCATCTGGGCCCCCAAGAGCTGCTCGTCTTCCACCCGCAGGCTCAGCTGGCTCAGCTCGGAGTCCTTCCTGGGAGCCACAGAGTGGGTGGCCAGCACAGGCCTTAACTCCCACCCACCCGCCTGGGACCCCATAACGCCCCCCAGTCCCCTTCAGGCCCTGAGGGACCTCACCCCATGCACCTGCTGCACTGGGCCCTGAGGCCTCAGCCCTGGACCCTGGCTAGGGCCCTCAGTACAGGGAGGGCAAGACACTACCCCTGCACCCCAGTGCCCCATCTGTCAACCCCCACCCTTAACCTCTGCAATGCCGCAGGAACCACAAGAATCCAGAAGGGAACAAGGGCCAGGTGCAGGCTCAGAAGGCCCCCACCTGCTGCCCCACCACACCTACTTCTTGAGCTTCTCCTCCAGCTGCTGCTTGTCTTGAGCAGCATCAGCCACCGACTCCTGCGTCAGCTTCAGGTCACCCTCCAGCTTGCGCTTGGCCCGCTCCGTGTCCATGCGCAGCTTCTTCTCCTGCTCCAGGGAGCATTCCAGCTGCAGAGCAGGCACAGCAGGGGTCAGCCATGGCCCAAGCCAGCCGGCACCCCGGCCCCGCCACCCAGTCTCGGGGTGGCCCTGACTCACGTCCTCCACCTGTTGCTCCAGCCGGAGCTTGGCCTTGGTCAGCGCGCTCACACGGTCCTCCTCGGCCTGCAGGTCACCCAGGGCCTGTTGGTGGGCCTCCTGCAACGCCTTCTTCTCCTTGGTCAGCCGGGCCACTGACTCGTCCAGCGCAGCCATCTCTTCCGTCAGGTTCTTCACCTGTGCCAGGGCCAGGGCCAGAATGGGGACGCCCTTCCCCGCACTCTGAGCGGCCACCACACCACACCAGGTCAGAGCAAGTGCCCCTTCCAGCTATGGGACTCAGGCAAGTCACTTGACTCCGAGCCTCCACCGCTTCTGCCTGAGGGAAGGACCCTCCTCATGGGGTTGTAATGAGGATTCACGAGTGGATGCACCCGCAGTGCTCAGCACCACACCTGGCCTGGTGAGAAATCCACAGATGCCAGCCATGTGCAGTATTAGCATGTGCTCAGGGCAGCTGCCTCCTAGTCCCGGCTTCCTCAGTGAGCACCTGTGAGAACCTAAGCTGCCTACCCCTGCCTCACTTTCCCTCCTGTGTAATGGAGTCCCTCCTCCAGCACTGGGAACCACAGGGGCCATCACGAGGGCTCAAGGGCAGAAGTCACCTGCGGGATGCCGAGCTGGGGACATGGAGTTCCTGCCCTCAAGGGGCTTGCACTCCGGGATGGATGAGGATTGCCAGCATGTGCTAAACACCTACCGTGTGCAAGGCCTAGGAGCGTGTGCTCAGTAAAGGCCAATTACACACATCACCACCTACCCTAATGGGGTAAGTGCTGCTAACCCCACTTGACAGATAAAGAAACTGAGGCCCAGGAAAGGCAGTGACATGCCCAGGGCCAGAAAGCAGAGGCTTAGCAGAGCCGGGGTGGGACCTGCAGCCACCTGGCCCCAAAGCTGGCCCCTGGCTCAGGGCCCTTCCCCACAGCTGGCCCGGCCCACACCTTGTTCTCAGTGGCTTGCTTCTCCTTCTCAGCTTTGGCCAGTGTCAGCTCCAGGTCATCAATGTCCTTCTTGAGCTCCGTGCACTCGTCCTCCAGCTTGCGCCGGCGGGCGGCCAGGTCAGCGTTCACCTCCTCCTCATCCTCCAGCCGCTCACTCAGCTCCTTCACCTTCCCCTCCAGCTGCACCTTGGACTTGATCAGCAAGTGGCAGCGCTCCTCGGCATCTGCCAGGTTGTCCTGCTCCTGGAGGGCACACGGAACGGGGCCAGGTTGGGGGAGGGCCAGGTAAACCAGCAGAGAGACACCAGGCCAGGCCCTGGAGAGGAAACTGCCTCTGTAGCAAAGTTTGGCTGTGCTCTGAGAACTCAGGAATGTCTTGACTCGCTCTTGGGCATGGAAGGGCAATAGCGCAGAGGGACACACCAGAGCATTAAGAGGGGAAAGTTAGAAGTGCGGGGCGGCCCAGAGTGAGGCCCAAACAAGGGTTCTGAGAGGGAAGCCCGCTGCTCACTGCCCCGCTGTTGGGCTGAGGCCTTCCGAGGGGCAGGGTGAGCAGCAGCAGCCTCTGCACAGCCACGGACGGGCTCCTGGAGGCAGTCCCTGGAAGGGCTCAGGTATCCTTACCCCCCATTTCCTTACTGTCCAGCTGCGTCACAGTCTCCTGCACTAGCAGGTGAGTTTTGTGACCACAGGGCCATCTCTGTCTTCCCACCAACGTTCCTCCTGCACTAGCCTGAGCCTGGCACACAATTGATACACAAAGCCATGTGCCGAAGGCAGGAAAGCTTGCTCTGTGGACCTGGGGAGATTCCAGACCTTTGATCTGTGCTCTCTGGCTATCACCCTGTTACCTGCCACCTGGGTTCCCATGGCCCTTAACCAGAGAAGAGAGCATGGGTCTGTTTGGTTTCAGGGATTGCAGGGAGGGGAGAGCTGGGGAGCTGGGGTTCCTCTGCTTTAGCGGGAGGCCAAGGTGGCACGAGGGGAGAGTGCCAGGAAACGTGCCAGACGAGGCCTTGGGGTGGTGAGGCTGGGACATGGAGGCCTCATCTCATGGCATCTTTGGAACAGAGAGACATAAGGCCTGAGCCCCATGGGTCTCGCTGTACTATCCCTCAGAGCAGCCAGGGGTACTCGGGGCTGGGGACGCCCGGTCACAAGGGGAACCCTGACTCACAGCCTGCAGCTGCAGGGCCAGGTCATTCTTCTCCTGGGTGATGCTGACGTGCGTCTCCTCCAGTTCCTGGCGCTTGGCCTCGGCCGCAGCCAGCGCCCCTCGCAACCCCCGCAGCTCTGCCCGCAGGGCCGCCAGCTCCTCCTCAGCCTGCGCCGAGCGCAGCAGCGGCTTCATCTTGAAAAAGAGCTTCATCCATGACCAGTTCTTGACGGCATTGAAGGCACGGATGTTCCACTGGATGGTGAACAGCGCATCCCTAGGGAGGGGCAGCCAAGCTGTGAAGGTGGCTCAGTGCTGCCCGTCACAAATGGTGACACTCAGCACAGTTCACTTGTTTTGCCTTCCCAGCAGCCTCATGGAGTAGCTCCTAATAGCTCTGCTTTATAGGTGAGGGTGAGGGGAGGCCCACAGTCCCACAGGCCTGCCTCCAGTGAAGGGGCTCATGAGCCCCCCATGTCCTGGTGGCCTCTGCAATTCCCGGAAGACACCAGGGCTGTTAAGCCACGGGGCTCTGGAGTCAGCGGCCTGGGCTGACGTGCCAGCTAGCTCTGGATCTCTGACACGGGCACCCTTCTGCTGAGTGGAGGCCATCACAGCGCCTGTTTCTCAGGACCGTCAGCGCTTTAACCAGGATAATGCAGAGAAAGTATCTTGCCTGGGGCCCGGCCCGCAAGAGTCTTGGAAGACACTGGGTGCCATCGCTACCCCTCCGGGCCACACGCTGATGTCCTGAAATGGAGAGGCAAGTGCCGTACCCCGTTTTTTGAGGTGGGGAAATGGAGGCTGGGGGACACAGAACAGAACCTTGCCCCAACCAGCCACAGGGGCTGATCTGACTACAGGGCAGCATGTTAGGGTTGGGAGAGCCAGTGGGTCTGGGAGCTGAGAGGCAGGGGACACACCCTGTCCCCAGCCTCCTTCCCACACCCACCTGCCTCCCAGCAGGCGCTGGTACTCAAGGCGCATGAGGCGGCCACGGCTCCGCGCCTGCAGCAGCGTCAGCACCTTGGCCAGGCGCTGGTCACGGAGCTCTTCCAGGACGCCTAGAAGCCCAGCCTTGAAGAACACCTGGGGGCGGAGAGGTAGACAGCCAGGGTAACCCCCAACCATCCGCATGAACCCTGCCCAGTGTGACCGCCACAGCCATGGCCAGCCCTGATCCCACAGTGCCCCGACCTTGGTGTGGCCAAACTGGTACTGGGTGTGATCCAAGTCCAGCGAGCCCAGCAGTTTCTCTGTGGCCTTCCTGCTGTCCATGAAGGTGTCATCCGGGATGGCACTGGGGTTCAGGATACGGTACCTGGGAAAGGAGGGCAGAGCTGGTCAGGAGAGGGCTGGGTATGGGGCACAGGCCACTGAGAATGGGGAAGTCAGGGACTGAGGAGGCTCGTGTGGGTAGCAGGGGACTCGTTCCTGGGCCTCTCCGAGGCTGGTGCAGAGGTTCCAGCAGGGCACATGCCAAACAAGGGGGCCAGGGATGCGTCACCACACTGGGACACTAGGGACACTCCACTTAAAATCCCTGGGGGGTTGGCTGGGTGCGGTGGCTCACGCCCATAATCACAACACTTTGGGAAGCCAAGGCGGGTGGATTGCTTGAGCCCAGGAGTTCAAGACCAGCGTGGGCAACATGGTGAAACCCTATCTCTACTAAAAACACAAAAATTAGTGGGGCATGGTGGCGGGCGCCTGTAATCCCAGCTACTCGGGAGGCTGAGGCAGAAGAATTGCAGAATCGCTTGAACCTCAGAAGGCAGAGGTTGCAGTGAGCCAAGATCCTGCCACTGCACTCCAGCCTGGGTGACAGAGCAAGACTCCGTCTCAAAAAAAAAAAAAAAAACACAACCTTGGGGGGATTTTAAATGCATTCATTAAGTTTTTAAAGAGGCTTTTTACAGAAGGCATGCACTATTTTTAAAATTTTTTTAAAGGCAAAAAATATTAGTAGAAGGTGACATGCTGTACCCTATCACTGAAGAAACATTTGGGGGAAAATTCTTTTTTTTTTTTTTTTTTGAGACGGAGTCTCGCTCTGTCGCCCAGGCTGGAGTGCAGTGGCACGATCTCTGCTCACTGCAAGCTCTGCCTCCCGGGTTCAGGCCATTCTCCTGCCTCAGCCTCCCGAGTAGCTGGGACTACAGGCTCCCGCCACCACGCCCGGCTAATTTTTTTATATTTTTAGTAGAGATGGGGTTTCACCGTGTTAGCCAGGATGGTCTCGATCTCCTGACCTCGTGATCCGCCTGCCTCGGCCTCCCAAAGTGCTGGGATTACAGGCGTTAGCCACCGCGCCCAGCCCATTTGGGGGGAAATTCTAATGCAAAAGAGCCAGGGCTCCCAGCCTGCCCACTTCTAAGTGGACACATGCACAGGGCTGTGTGGGTCAGGTGGGCTACAGCCACGCTGTGAAGGCCCCTCATGAGGGGGACTCATTAAACAAAGCATGCAGTCCACCAGACTGTGAGATGTTTCACAGCCAAGAAAAACGGATGACGATGGCAGGCATACGCCTGGGGATAAGGAACGATCTCCAGGCCAGACTGTTAGAAAAAACAAGGTCACAGCACCATGCGTGTGTGTGCGTGTATGGTATCTGTGTGAACCTCTGTTTACAAAGGATAGTGTGGATGACACCATGACTTCTGGAGGGAGAAGGAACGATGGATGCTTGTTGCCCATTGAGGGAACGGGGAGGAGCTGGCAGCACTGCCCAGGTGCTTGCTATGTGCCAGGTGTCTCATGAAGCCTCGTCCACATGATTCTCGTTCAACTCCCAAATCTGCATCCTTTCTGCCCGCTGCCCTGAGCTCCAGATTGATAATCCCAATCTCCCCCATGACTTTTCTAGGATGTCTGCTGGAGGCATTTCAAACCTGATACACGCAAAACAGAGCTCAAACCAGTATCCCTTCACCTCTCCTCCAAATCAAAAAACCCTGTTTTTGTAGCTCAGTAAATCTACCACTGGTAGCTCCCAGGTTGCTCACTCCCAAAACTAGAAATCATTCGTCTTTTCTGCATCCAGAATTCCATGTCCAGCTTATCAGCGAGGCCTGTAGGCTCCACCTCCACTATTTGCCCCAAGCCTATTCACTTCTCCCCAAGTCCCCGGCCAGGTCTGAGCCACCCCCATGTCTTGCTGGGATACCTGGCCAGGCCCCTCACAGTCCCTGCTTCCCCCTCCAGACAGGGGACCGTCTGTTGGGCTCTGATATGTGTGTCCTGCCCAGCCCCTCAGGCCTCCACCTGGAGCAGCAGGCAGGGGGAAGGGGTCACCCACCGCTGCCGGAAGTCGGTGTAGAGCAACCTGTTGGGGAACCCTTGGCGGCAGATCCGGATCCCCTCCAGGACCCCATTGCAGCGCAGCTGGTGTAGCACCAAGAAGGCATCCATGACCCCTGGACGTGAGAGGGGAAAAGGTCAGAGGTCAACAGGCACACCCGCAGGCCCCAGAGAAAAAGCAGCAGTGGAGACCCTGCGAGGTGAGGGGGAAGATGTACTCAGCCTCCCGGCCTCTGCCCTGTCACCTTCCCATGATGCCTCCCGGCCCCAGCCAGGCCAGCCCTGGGTGACTACCTGGGGTTTTGTTCTCGTTGGGGACAATGCAGCGGACGAAGTGGGGCTGTGTGGCCCGCAGGTTGGTCATCAGCTTGTTGAGGTTCTCCTGGCAGTGGGGAAGAGTGAGGGAAAGGCACAAAGGGGGCAGAGAACCAGAATTGGATGCCGCAGTGGTCAGGACCGAGACGGGAGCAGGGCCCTAAGTGCCCTGCACTTTTGCTCTTTCACTCTCATTCTGGTGATGGGAGACCCTTCGCTGTCTCCCATCACCACCACCAAAGTCTTCACTTCCCTGCCAAATCCCCGTCCCTCCCAGAGCCCCAGGGCTCCCACCCCTTCCCCACAAACCCTGCCCAGGCAGCGTAGGGACGGGAAGCAGCACAGACTTGCTGTGATGTTCACGTGGAGAGGAGTTAAACATCACTGCAAGTCTTAACAGCCGCCCGCCCAAGGCACAGGGGACAGGGCAGGGGGTGAAGGACGGGGCTGGAGGCTGCCAAGAGGGAGGGTCTGTCTCCCAGATGGGGCCTTACCTTGTGCAGCTGGGACACCGTCTGGAACGATGCTGCCTTCTTACGCTTCTCTTTCACCCCAGACTTGGGGGGCTCAGCTAATAGAGACAAGGGGCCTGGTCACTCCAGGGAATGTCGCTCTGTGGGCCCCTGTCAGAGTGGAGATCTTGTCCCTCCATACTCACTGGAGCAGGAGCCCGCATAATTCTCATAGAGAGTCGCCAGGAGCCTATTCTGTGACTTCTGGAAGATGGGGACCACGGTCTCATTCAGGGGATCCTTGTTTTTCTCCAGCCAGCCCACAATGCTGTAAGGCACCTGGAGAGACAAGTCAGGTGCTGAGCCCGGGTGGGAGACCTGGAGCAGGGCGGGAGGAGCCTGGCCGAGGGCTGGGGTTCCAGCAAGCACCTACCACGCCTGCGTAGTGGACCACCTCGAAGTGGGCCTGGTACTTGCGCTTCTTGTCAGGCCGAGGCTGCTGGAAATTGGGTGACTTCCCCGCGTGGTTGTCGTAGAGCTTGGCCCGGAAGCTGGCGTCTGAGGCCTTGGGGAACATGCATTCCTCCTCCAGGATGGACAGGATGCCCAGTGGCTGGGAACAGAACGAGCTTGAAAAGCCACCATCAAGCCAGTCCATCCTGGAAGGACTGAACCCCTGGTTCCCCAGGCCACCTCCCTTCTGGGAGCCTTCCCAGATCCCCAGCTTCAGCCATCTCCCCGGATGGTCAGACACCACACCCACTCCAAGAACCCATCTCCTAACAGAGAAAAGTTTGTGGCTTGGCTCCAGTCCCCTCCTGCAAAATCTGCAGCACTGAGGTGTCATCTTCACTTCTAACAATGGCAAACCCAAGCTGGCATCTCTGTACCCACTCTCACCCCCGCCACAGCCATGGCTGTCACACACAAACATGGGGTAAGTCAAAAAAAGCCATCAAGTTCACATTTTGGCTTCCTCACTCACTAGCTGTGGGGCCCTCCGACATCACTAAGCCTCAGTCTTCTAACCTGCAGAGTGGGAAGATGAATGTCTTCAGTGCTGACATAATATTTAAAAAGCTGTCAATCACCTAAACGCCCAGCTGTAGGGGACTGCAGAAATGCATCGTATGAAACTCATCCACTGCATGAACTACTCTTGCCATGAGCAGCATTCAAAATACATTTTCAGAGAAAAAGTAGGATATGAAATGAAATCTGTGTCTATAAAAGAAAATGGATAGGCCAGGCGCAGTGGCCCACGCCTGTAATCCCAGCACTTTAGGAGGCCAAGGTGGGTAGATCACTTGAGGTCAGGAGTTCGAGACCAGCCTGGCCAAAATGGTGAAGCCATGTCTCTATTAAAAATACAAAAATTAGCTAGGTGTGGTGGCGCATGCCTGTAATCCCAGCTACTTGGGAGGTTGAGGCATAAGAATTGCTTGAACCCTGGAGGCGAAGGTTGCAGTGAGCTGAGATGGTGCCATTGTACTCCAGCCTGGGCGACAGAGTGAGACTCCATCTCAAAAAAAAAAAAAAAAAAAAAGGGATAAAGGATTTCGAGGAAATGAACCTAAGTGTCATGTGACTGGCTGTGATAGGAATGGGGAGAAACATTTTTTCCCCTGCCAATTTTTCAAATTTTCTTTCTTCCATTCTTTGTACAATGGGTAAATATACATAATGTTCCACAATCACAAAAACAAGGAAACACACCCTGCCCTGCACCCAGGGCAGTTCTAGGGATCCAGTGAAATTGTGGCTGCAAATAGGGCCTTGTGAGCTGCAGAATTCTGAGCACCCAGGAGGAGCTGTTGTCCACAGTACTGGGATGCATGCATTCACACTGCTCACACACTCACCAAGGCTCACTCATGGTCAACTCCAACACACCCACTCACACACGTGCCCTTTCACACACAAGCACATAAACGCTGTCACAACTACACTCACATGCATGCTTACTGCAACGCACAGTCACACGCTTCCATGCACACTTGCAGGCTTCCATGCAAGCCATGGTCATCCATCCCTGCTTGCTCACCACACACACCCTCCCTTCCTCAAAGTGACCTTGCCGCGGCACCCACCTTCTCGATGAGGTCGATGCAAGGCTGCAGGTCAAGGCCGAAGTCGATGAAGACCCAGTCGATGCCCTCCCGCTTGTACTCCTCCTGCTCCAGCACAAACATGTGCTGGTTGAAGAACTGCTGCAATTTCTCATTGGTGAAGTTGATGCACAGCTGTTCGAAGCTGTTGAACTACAAGAGGGAGGGGCCTGGCTCAGCAGACCTCTCGCAGATGGGGAAAGGGAGGCCCGGGGAGGGGCATGAGTTCACCCCCAACTTCCAGGCAGAAGGCCAGGGCTTCTGCCCCCCCACAGGCCCATGTCCTCTACCTTGGAGAGAACAGAGGCCAAGGTGAGGGCCTGTCCTCACCTCAAAGATCTCAAACCCAGCGATGTCCAGAACCCCGATGAAGAACTGCCGGGGCAGCTTTGTGTCCAGGGTCTGGTTGATCCGAGACACCAGCCACCTGAACAGCCGGTCATAGGTGGCCTTGGCCAGAGCCCCCACAGCAAACACCACCTGGAGGTGCAGGGAGGCTGGGCTGGGACCTGGCAAGGAGGGGACCCTGCCCGGCTGTCCCCCATGGGTTTGGCCTGCAGGCAGCTCACCTGCTCCACACTCTGGCCCTTGGTCACGTACTCGTTCCCTACACGCACCCGGGGGTGCAAAAGGCCTTTGAGGAGGTCCCCACTGCTGACCCCCATCAGGTAGGCAGCCTTGTCAGCACCTGGCAGGGCACGAGTGGGGTAAGGGAGGAGGACACCACCATGCGCACTCAGGGGCTCTACTGCCTCAGCCTGGGGCTAGGAGAGGGAAGTTAAGAGGGGTCAAGTTCAGGGCTAGCAAACAAAGCCTCAGGAGGGTAAGGGTTTGGAGCTGAGGAGGCAGGGCCAGGTAAGACTGAGGTTAAAGGTTGTGGACAAGAGTTGGGGTTAACCATCATGGACAGGATGCTGAGGTCTGGGTCAAGTTGAAGGCCAGGTTAGGGCCCCTCACTCTCAGTGCCATCGGCCTCCGCCTGCTCCTCCCGCTGCTTCTGCTTGAACTTCATGTTGCCAAAGTGCAGGAGGGCGCCCACGATCTTATAGCAGGCACATTTCTCATCCACGCTGAAGCCTAGGATGTCCATGGCATGCTGGGGGGCAGCAGGGAAAGCGAGTTCAGAGAGGTCTGGGCTCCTCCAGGGTCCAGCCAGGCACTGCCCCGGGACCATTCATGCAGCTGGGGGCACCGGCAGTGCTGCCCGATTCCACCACAGGCGTCCACACAGCTCCCCTCCCACCAGAGCTCATACGTCGGTGGCGATGAGCTCCTCCCCATCATTCATGTTGTCCACGGTGATGACGCCCTGGCTGCAGAAGTGGTAGTCATAGGGGTTCATAGACAGAAGCAGCATGTCTGGGGACACAGGGCAGAGAAGGGAGGGTCAGGCAGTGCTTACCGGCTATTCTCCCCACAACAATTGCAGCATAGGGGGTCCTGCGGGGGCAAGCCCAGCAGGAGTCTAGGGCCCTCCCAGAGGACCTCATCTCCCAGTCTGGGGCCTAAGTTTCTCATCCTCACTCCTGCCAAGGCTGAGGGCACTGAGAGTGAAGGGCCCTGACCTGGCCTTCACTTTGACCCTGGCTTCTTTTTCTGGTTCTCTGAGGAATGAGCCACAGTCCTCACGTCTCACTCATCTTTTGACTGTTGCTCATGGCCCCCTCTGGCCCAGATCCCATGCTAGATGCTGGCGCACAGGGAAGACCAGACTCTGCCCTCAACGGGCTTGCCAGAGAGGAGAGCTGGGCCTAGACAGTCATCAGTCCGCCTTGGTGCTGGGTGGGACCTCTCTAGTCTCAGGACAGCAAGTGGGGTTTAGGGCTTAGGCTCCTGGAGGCAGCGATAACACGTTGGCAGGTTGCTGGAGCTAAGAGGACTGTTCCCTAGCAGGAAAGTAACCAAAAGTCCCAAGAAGGAAGAGAGGCCACAGACCCCAGGACAGGGAGGGAAAGACCACCAGGGCCTGGCCTGATGGGGGCCAGGAAGCGCCAGGCAGCCCCTCCAGGTTCTGACTCCCACCCCCTTCATCGTACTGCCCCTCACCCTGCAGCTCTGGCTTCCTCCCTGAGAGGATCTGGTAGTAGACATGGTAGCTGCGCTCACCAGGCAACTGGAAGATCACCCGCGACTTCTCCAGGAGATCTGGGGAGAAGGGACGCTGGCCTGCCATCTCCCACACCTCCCCAGAGTGGACATCCCAAGGGGGCGATGCGGAGGGAGAGAGGTGGGCAGGGAGTGTGCAGGGGGGCTGCATCTGCACCTGCCAGCTTGTGTGGGGAGGGTATCTCCCCTGTGCCTGCGTCATCACACGAGCCGTGTGTCTGTACCTGTGTGTCTGTGTCTCTGGCCAGATGGGTCAGTGTGTGTCCTTGCGTGTGTGTGGGGTGAGTGTGGTGTCTGCGTGTGCAGGTTTTTATCTGTTGGTGTGTCAGCGTGTGTGCGTGTGTGGCCGAGCCTCCGTGTGTGTCTGTGTGTGTCTGTGTAGGGGTCAGGGTGTGAATTACAGCCTATCCCTGTCCCCGTCACTGCCTGCCTGCGCTCATCCGTCAAGACCTAGCCATGCAGCCCAATGTGGGGAGTGGCCAACGTGGGGGCCCCTCTGTGTCCCTGGCCCCCTTGAGTGTGGCCTAGGCGCCTGGGGTCTATGCAGCTGGTGGTACTGGGGCACTTCCCAGCGGGGTGCCTGGAAGGATGGGGCACTCTACGTGTAGCTGTGCAGCTGGGGCAGGAGGGCCGTGGGCCAGGCCTGCCCTCTTGGTGGCCAGAGAGAAGACTGGGGACACGCTAGGGGTGCAGTCACAGGAGCCTGACTGGCCAAATGAGGATTTGGGTCTCCATCCTCAGGTGACAGGATCTAGAGAAAGCTTTCAAGCAGGAACAGGATATGACCAGCAAAACTATGGCCGCGTAGAGGAGAGGAAGCTGGAGACCAGGCAGAGGCTGGGGTGATGTTCTGGTGATAGGTGAGGTGGCCTGAGCTGGGCAGCAGCCAGGGGGTAGAGAGAAGTGCCCAGAGCAGGCAGGAGCCCAGAAGTCGTGATGACAGAGGCCGAGTTGGGGTGACCGGGCTCAGGCCTCCTTCCCCTGCACCGCCCGCAGGGGGTTGACTCACAGCTGTCAATATCCGCGGATGCCAGCTTCCCAGAGGGACCAAAGTGAATGCGGATGAACTTGCCCTGTGGGCAGAGGGGCAGCCCTCAGCCAAGGGGCACAGCCAGCACTGTCCCCACCTGTGCCCGACCTGCCGCTGGTGGCCTACGGCATCCCCGCCACCCCTCCCACCTCAGCCACTCACAAAGCGGGAGGAGTTATCATTCCTCAGGGTCTTGGCGTTGCCAAAGGCCTCCATGGCAGGGTTGGCCTCGATGATTTGATCCTCAAGGGTGCCCTGGGGCGGTGGGGGTGAGGGGGTCTGTCAGTTCTGGTGCCTACCCACCGGGAGGCCAGAGCCACCCGTGGCCCCTCTGTTGTGCAGAGGAAGGGGGTACCCCCAGGGCTGCCCCATTGACATTGGCCCCATACTCACCCCCGTCTTTGTTGCCAGAAATTGCTGGGGGAAGAAGACAGACAACATTAGAGGGCCAGGCCTCCGGTGGGGAAGGGCGGGGTGGGGCAGGGTATCAGCGGGAGGCAGCGGGCAGCAGGACAGGGGGGTGGAGTTAGTCACCGGAATGCATGGCCCCCACCCTCAGCCCCTCGGCCTGACCCTCCTGCAGCTGTTAGGAGGCAAAATGCTGGAAAGTGGGAGTGGCACAGCCCCAGCCAGAGTCTCCACCTGCAGCCTCCTCTGCCCCAGCCCGGCCTCTGGCCTCCCTTCATTTTCTAGTCTCCATGCAGTGGCCCTGCTCCAAGCCCCAGGGGCCTCCCGACTAAAATCTAGGGCCCTCCAGAGCCCAGCCCAAGTGCCCCCTCCTCTAGGAAGGCCTCCTGGCTGCTCCAAAGCTGGAATAGACCTCTTCCTGGTCTGAACCTTCCTGCCCTAACCTCCCACTATGACCTTACACACCTCTCCTTTGTAATGCAACTGGGTGTGTCTTCATTGTTTGTCTGCCTGTATACCTACCAGTGCGCACAAAGGCCCTGCCAGGTGCCCATTATTAGCCCTAATTTGCAAATGAGGAGACTTAGCTCTGGGCAGGGAGTGGATCTGCTCAAGGCCACACAGCAAGTCAGGAGCGGCAGGGCAGGTGCCCAGCATCCTGCCGCCTGGACGCCACAGCGGTCCTGTGTGTCACCCAGGGGGACTAAGTGAATTGAGCAGATCCTCCTTCTCCCCATCCTAGCCTCATCCTCACTTTCCCTTCCTTTTCCTTTCCTTCTCTTCCCTACTCCGGATGCTGGGAGCCAAGGAAGAAAGGGAGAGAAGGGAAGGAATGGATTCTGGAGGGAACAGATATACCACCACGGACTTTGTGGTCATTCATTCACCTCCAGGGAGCCCAAGAGTTAAAATACCCACAGGGACATTGGGCAGGGGAGGTGGAACCCCCCAATACACTCCCATCCAGTGCTTTTGTGCAGGGCTCTCTCTAGCCCGTTTGGCCAAATTTGGGGCCAAGGTAAGGGGAGCTGATCAATCTTTTAAGTTCCTGCAGCCATGGCTCCTGCGGGCAGCCTCTCCCACCCCTCCCTTGCCCGACCCTCTCCCCTGGGCTCCACTGTCCCAGCTCCTTTCTGCCCAGGTGCTCCTCTGCCCTTCCAGCTGTGTCCCTGCCAGCTCTGGCCTCTCCCTGACATCTCTTCCTGTCACTTGACCCACCCAACTTTCTGTTACGTCCCCAGAGACCTTTTTAGGGATTTGGAAGACAGGGCAGGAAAGGGAAGGAGGAAAAAGGACCAAAAAGTCAACAGCAAAAACAAAACAAAACAAAACTGAAATGAAAATCAAAAATCAAGACAATCAAATGGGTAAAAAGGAAAAGGCAAAAAAAAAAAAAAAAAAAGAAAAGAAAAGAAAAGAAAGAAAAAAGAAAGAGAAAAGAAAGAAAGAAAGAAAACAGGGGAAAAACAAGAAAAACACCCAGAATAAAGCAAGGCTTAACAGGACCAGGAGCAGGGACTGGGTGGGGAGGGAGGCCTCGGGCTTCTGGAAAAAGGCAGCCCATCTAGGGGTAGCCACAGGGCTCTGAACAACTGGCCCCAAGGCTAGGGATGAAATGTTATGCCTTAAAAACAAAAACAAAAAAACTTGGCCCCATTGTTTCAGAAATTTCCAAAAACTGTACAGAAATCACAAGGCACAAAATTGCCCTGCCAACCCCGGCTGCTGGGAATGCCCAGTGCCCTGCATGCCAGCCAACCTCTGTGTCTAATGTGTCAGCAGCAGGTAACTGTCAGGGAAACCAAGACAACAACGCTTAGTAAAAGCAGCCCATCTAGTAAACTCTTTCAATATATGAAGGTCACAATGGAAGATAAAAATTACACAAATTTAGAAACGGCAACGTGGCCCCACCCCTCCATGTTTACCAATGGGAAGGCGAAGGCAGGCGCGTCAGGTGGCCACAGCCTTTGTGGTCAAGCCTTGCTCAGGCCAGAGTCCCCCACCAGGGTGGGAGGCTCAGGCAGGGCTCAGGGTTCTGGGGAGTAAAATTTTTAAAAAGGGGGAAAAAAAAAAAAGAGAGGAAGAAAGAAAAGAAAAACAGCGAGAAGCAACGGGGAGCATGCCCGAGTGGGCAAGTCTTACGGCCTTCTTGCCCGGCCCGTCTCCCAGGGCAGCGACGATGGCAAAGTACTGAATGACCCGCTTGGTGTTAACCGTCTTACCGGCCCCCGACTCTCCGCTTGGACGACACAAACATGAGTCACCAATGCCCATCTGGCCTAATTCTCCCCCACCCCCAATGCCTCACCCCTCAAGCAGAGCCCTCCACCTCTCCTTCCCCCCAGCTTGAAACCCCCAAGGATGGATCAACCCTCAGAGGTGTACAAAGCAAGCCAGTGTAGACCATCCCTGTGAGATGACAACACACGATGATGCCATTGTCCACTACGGACTAACTCAGTGCCCGGCACTTTACTCCATTGGCTCAGTTACAGCTCAGAAAACCCTGGAAGGCAGGCTCCATTATCACCCCCATTTTAGGAACAAGGAACTGGGCCTCAGGAGTTCTGTGGCTGTCCCTGCTGTGTGCCAGGCACATATATCAACTCACTGACTCATAACTTTGTGTGGTAGGTAGGATTTTTTATTTAACTTTTCAATTTTTTTTTTTTGGTAAAGATGGGGTCTCGCTATGTTGCTCAGGCTGGTCTCAAACCCCTGGCCTCAGGCAATCCTCCTGCCTCAGCCTCCCCAAGTGCTGGGATTACAGGTGTGAGCCACCACACTCAGCCGGGCCCGTCTGGGTTAAAGGTACTTGCTTTTTTTTTTTTTTTTTTTTTTTTCGTGAGATGGAGTCTCATTCTGTGGCCCAGGCTGGAGTGCAGTGGCGTGATCTTGGCTCACGGCAACCTCCGCCTCCTGGGTTCAAGCAATTCTCCTGCCTCAGCCTCCTGAGTAGCTGGGATTACAGGCACCTGCCACCACGCCCAGCTAATTTTTTGTATTTTTAGTAGAGATGGGGTTTCACCATGTTGGCCAGGCTGGTCTCGAACTCCTGACGTCAAGTGATCCACCCACCTCAGCCTCCCAAAGTGCAGAAATTACGGGCATGAGCCACTGTGCCCGGCCAAGGCACTTGCTCTTAACTGCATACGCGCATGCACACTCACACTAAACATTGTCCATATTGGCCTGACTGGACATGAGCCTGGCATGTAAGAATTATTCTACCATTTTCCCACAGAGGCAATGGAAAGATCAGAGGTAAGATTCAGACATAAGTAGATGGTAAAAAGGAGGAAAAGCAGAGGAATCTTTCCGCTGCCCCTGAGCCAGAATTAGAACCCCAGAGGATCAAGGTGGGAGATTCCAGGCCCCGGGGAGAGGAGGTGTGGGGCTGGTGGTCACTCCGTTTGTGGGTGTCCCCTCCCTATCCCCCATCAAGAACACATCTGTTCAGAATGGGGGCAGGGAAAGTGCTCAGGCCTAATTTAGCTTCAGCTGGGACACTAGCTCCAGGTGGTAAAAGTCCTGGCCTAAGCACTTTGGATTCAATCCTGGGAAATGACTGTGGTACCGCCCTCTTTCTGCCAGATGGCCAGCATTTTCCACCCCACCCCCAGAGCCCCACACTCACGTGATCAGCATGGACTGGTTGTCTCGGTCTGGAGGAAAGGGAAGGGGATAGAGAAGTCAGCCAAGGTGTGGGGCCAGCCACAGGTGGAACACCCTGGGTATCCATCTGGGGCAGACCCCACCACCCAGAGCCAGGAATGGGAAGGAGCAGGTGGGGCTGTCCCTAGTGGAGGTCAGCTCCCATGCGGAGGGACAGAACGGCTGGGCGACCATGTCCAGCAGCGTCAAAAGGGGGGCAGTGCCAGTGGGGGAAGGGGGTCCCTTACAGAGGCCTCCCGGGACCGAGGTCGGGGTCTGCGGTTGGGGAGGAGTCCAGGCGGCCCTTACTGCGCAGCATGTCGTTGTAGGCGTTGTCCGCCACCGCATATATATGGGGCGGGGAATCTGAGCGGCGCTTTCCCTTGTAAGCAGCCACTACGGAGGCCGTATAGACTGGGAGCCATTTGTAGGGGTTGATGGTGACACAGAAGAGGCCTGAGTAGGTCTGAAGAGAGAGTATAGGTAGGGTTTATGTTGTTGTTTTTGAGATGGAGTCTTGCTCTGTCTCCCAGGCTGGAGTACAACGGCATGATCTCGGCTCACCGCAACCTCCGCCTCCTGGGTCCTGCCTCAGCCTCCCAGGGTAGCTAGGACTACAAGCGCGTGCCACCACGACCGGCTAATTTTTGTATTTTTAGTACAGACGGGGTTTCACCATGTTGGCCAGGCTGGTCTCGAACTTCTGACGTCAGGTGATCCGCCCGCCTTGCCCTCCCAAAGTGCTGGGATTACAGGCATGGGCCACCACATTCTCCCCCCATAGGTAGGGTTTTGGGAGGGATACGCAAGTTCCCATCCCCAGGCCCCAGGCCCCAGTCTTCAGAAGAACCCTGCGATATTCCTCAAGGAGCTACTTGACTTGCCACACCACACCCTCTGTGGCCGTCCTGGCCTCACCCCTGACTTGTGCTCACAGCCCTGCCCCAGCCCACACGCACGGCCTCCATAGTCCGCAGGTGAGTTCTAGACCCGCCCCGCACTGCTACAGCTGCTCCCCTAAGGTCCCAAGGCCCAACCTCCAGCCCCGCCCCCACTGCTCAGAGCCCCGCCTCATCGCTCACAGCCCCACCCCCGCTATGGACCCGCTCTATCATTCACAGCCCCGATCCACCGCTCACAGCCCCGCCCCACCGCTATGGGCCCGCCCCCAGCACCTCATCTCTAGCCCCGCCCCACATACAAGCCCCACCCCGCCCATGGCCCGGGCCTGGGGCTCACATAGATCATCCAGCGGGCATAGCGCTGGCGCAGGTTGTGCAGCACAGAGGCCTCGTTCAGGTGCGTCATCATGGCCATGTCCTCCAGTAAGTCGAAGCGAGGCGGGTTCATGGGCTGCAGCTCGGCTTCACGCACCATCAGCACCTACCAGGGAGATCGTGTCAGGGGCCGGGGGACCGGGAGGAACCGACCGACCTCACCTGTCACCCCCACCCACATACCCAGACCCCCTTCAACCAGAGGGCAGATCCTGTTGGCCAGGAGGCCTAGGGACAGAGAGGCTAATCTCAGGAAAGGGGGAACGGAACCTTCTGGTCTTTGGTCTCCACGGTGACTCTGCCCCCGGTAGCCTCCGACTTGACCTCGGCCTCCACGTAGGCGTCCTGTTCATCAGGCACCCAGACTCGCTTCTTCCCTGGGTTGCAGAGAGAGCTCTGGACTCAGAGAGGGGCTGAGGCACCTCCAGGTTCTAGCTGGAGTTCCCAAGCCATGGTATCCATACAGCTGTGACCCTCCCCAAAGCCCCTCTGCCAGGACCCAGGAGTTCCAGTGAAGAACCCTCCAAACCCAGGCTCAGGAAGGGCGGAGCTGGGAG
This sequence comes from Homo sapiens, assembly GCF_000001405.40. Lineage (NCBI taxonomy): Eukaryota > Metazoa > Chordata > Mammalia > Primates > Hominidae > Homo > Homo sapiens. Next base: position 34,979,209 of record NC_000020.11, on the reverse strand, counting down.
GGTCCCTAGAGATCCCCTTATTGGAGGATGAGTCTGGGTTAATGGTTGGGTTCCAATTCCTGCTTCCGCCATATTTGCCCTCTGACCTCAGGAAAATCCCTGATTCTCTCTGGGCCAGTTCCCTCACATGCAAAATGTTATGGAGATCTCCTTAGGTCCCATACAGAGCAGCCCCTCAATATCAGGCATATGACTCTTAGGGAGGGGTCCTGCCTTCCCTATTTCACTGAAGACTCAAACCCAGGCCTCCTAACTGTAACCTGTGCTCTCCTGCCTGGCCAGCTGTCCCCAGAGCTTTGAGGAGCCCAGATTTCATGGTGGTTAGAAGCATGGACTCAGGCTGCAAACCGGAGTTTGTGTCCCCTGCTCTGCCAAGTGCCTGGGTCAGGACCATCTAGAACCATCTAGGACCATCTACATAACCTACAGACCCCAGTACAAAATGACGATGTGGGTCCCCTTGTTGAAAACAATTAAAACTTTCAAGACGGCAACAGCAGAGTGTCGAATCAAACACAAGGTCCCTCTTAGCCTGGCGCCCTGTGAAGCTAGGTCTGGTGCTGGCCCCACCTCCCCAGGTTGTTGAGATGATGCATGGAAAGTCATCTGCTCTGGGCCTGACACACAATAAGCATTCGGTACACACTGCCTATTGTTAGTATTGTCCTATGAGCAAACCAGGTCATAAATAGTACAGCCTTTATTCCTGTCCCTAATAAAGGGTGGCTTTGGCTCTGCAGAAACCACTAAAAATAACCCCAGCACAAGTTTTGTGGACACGCGGAGGCAGCCTGCACACATGCCGATCAGTCTCATCTCAGAGGCCTCGGGCTCCAGCCTGAGTCTTCATAAACTGCAGCTCCGGAAGGCAGGTGCTATTATCCCATTTCACAGGGGAACAAACCAAGGCTTGCTCACAGACACACAGTGATATACAGTGTCCCTGGGGTTTTAATTTCCAGGCCCCAGACTCTGCAGGAAAGGTCCAGGGCTCCAGCTGTCAGGCCCCAATGCCCCTTCAGCCCTGAGCTGGTGCCACCCCTCCCAATTCCTGGTCTGAGTCCATAAGGGCATCTCTGTGGCTATGACCCCTCCCCCTCTGTCTCCACTTACCGTCCCATGGGATAGTGTGCACCTTCGTCATCTCCTGGTAGCCCTGGCGGAGGTAGCGGGCAGACTCCCCAAGTTCACTCACATCCATCATGGCAGTGGCACTGGGGTGAAGGAGGAGGAGCTGGAAACCCTGGAGGTTCAAGGCGGCCCAAGGCAGCAGGCACTGGAAGATGGCAGTGACAAGGGAGCTGAACTAGGGCACGATCCCCCAACCCACAAGACCAGATACTAGGCGACTCCCTCTGGCTCCCAATGCAGCCTCCTTGGGTGAGTGCCCAGCATACATGCACACCCTCAAACACCAGGGCTTCCTCCACTCCAGATTCAGAAGACTCGCGGCCACCCATGGGCACCCTCACCCACCCGCCCACCCTCCTGCCCTCCCTTCGGCTCCAACCCCAGCCCTGATCACCTACCTCGGCACCACGGTGAGGGCAGGAAGCTCTGCTACCCCTTTTATTGCCACTGTCAAGGTCAGAGGAGGAGAGCTATGTCAGCAATCTCCACGTGTCACAGCCCCCCCAGCCTGGCCACAGGACACAAAAGGCAAATTCCCTTTTATCTCCACCAGCACGGCCCCTGGGCTATTTTTACCTCCCATTGTCAGGGGATCACAAAGGCGGAGAGAGACACTCCACTGAGAGACAGGGAGGCTGGGTGCAGAGACTGACGGGGACAGGGACAAGGCAGTAAGAGGTTCAGGAGACTGAAGAGCTCACGGGGAGAAACCAAGTCACGCAGAGTCTGACACACCCAGAAAAATACCCCACCTCCAGATACAGAGAGCAAGGACACTCAGAGGGGAAACCACAGAATGCCTACTGAGATTGGACCAGCTAGTCCAACCCTCTTGATACATCCAGGGAAACTGAGGCCCAGAGAAAGGAAAGCATTGGCCAAGTCTCACAGACGAGCAATGGCCAAGAACAGATCAAAAAGAGAAGGAGAGAGAAGGAGAAGAACAGATCAAAAAGAGAAGGAGAGAGAAGGAGAAGAACAGATCAAAAAGAGAAGGAGTGAGAGGGAGAGAGAGAGGGGGGAGGGGTAGGGGGAGAGGGACATCCTTCTCAGACATCTGCAAAGCGCAAACACCTGTGTCCCCTCGGCTCTACTCAGGGTATAGGGCATCGCCTGCCTCCCAGAGGCTCTCTGGTGCCTCCACTCTGTACCCTACCTCAGAGGTCCACTCTGCCACTTCTATCACCATAGGCGAGATTTGCCTGTTTTGAATGTATATGGCTGAAAATGTAGCTTTGCACTTATTTCTCTATATTTTATCTGGCACACTTGTGCATTTGGAAGTGGGAGCACATCGATGCCCTCTTTCCCTCTTCCTCCCTCCCCATCCTCTTTCTGGGGACCCCCTGGGGAAATCATACATGAAGAAAACCAGCCCTGGAACTTATAGAATCAAGGAATTGTTTGGCTGAAATGGAAGCAAATCAAGGAAATGTAACCCAGTTAGGAGCCCCTTCAGATCCCCACATTGAAGATTCACAGGAAGCCACCTTCCCGTGGCCCACTCTCGACAGAGGTTCAGGGCGCTGGCAGTCCATCTGCCTGATACAGTCTTTGGAATGTGTCAGGGCACCTCCAGGCTCTCCTGTCCATCACCCCATTCAGGGCTCCGTGACGCCACAGGATTTTAGAATCGAGAATGAAAGGATCTGAGAACCTCAGACGCCAGACACATGGAACAATGGAGTTCCAGATCCAGGGTTCCAGCCAGAGGCCAGACCAGGCTCACACGGGAAGTCCTCCGACCGATGCGCTCCCATTCCAAATGCACAGGTGTGCTAGACGAAATATAGAGAAATAATTTCCCAGCTACATTTTCAACCATCTACATTCAAAACAGGCAAAACTCGCCTATGGTGACAGAAGTGGCAGAGTGGTCCTCTGAGGGAGGGTAATGGCTGGAGGCACCAGAGAGCCTCTGGGAGGCAGGAAATGCTCTATACGCTGAGTAGAGCCATGAGACACAGGTGCGTGCACTTTGCAAAACAAATCAAGCTGTACATCTAAGATGTATGCACTTTACTGTGTGCATATTACATGAACACATTTAAAATTACAGTGCCGGCCAAGCGCAGTGGCTCACGCCTGTAATCCCAGCACTTTGGGAGGCCGAGGAGGGCGGATCACGAGGTCAGGAGATCGAGACCATCCTGGCTAACACAGTGAAACCCCGTCTCTAGTAAAAATACAAAAAAATTAGCCAGAGGTGGTGGCGGGCGCCTGTAGTCCCAGCTACTCTGGAGGCTGAGGCAGGAGAATGGCGTGAACCCGGGAGGCAGAGCTTGCAGTGAGTGGAGATGGCACCACTGCACTCCAGCCTGGGCGACAGTACGAGACTCCGTCTCAAAAAAAAATTACAGTGCCAAACTTGGCGATATTTATCAAAATTACAGCCGCCCAGACCCTATTAGGAATTAGTCCTACAGTGTGTCTCCATTAGGAAATGACGCGGGTCCCCTCTCGGTAGACATTTCGATTGTTTTCAGTCTTTTGCCATTACAGTCAAGGCTGCAGTGAATGATCTTATAAAGTTTGATGAATTTTCTCAAAGTAAACATACCCTGGGTCAGGCACAGTACCTCATGTCTGTAATTCCAGCACTTTGGGAGGCCCAGGCGGACACATCACTTAAGCTCAGGAGTTCAAGACCAGCCTGGGCAACACATCAAAACCCCATCTCTACAACAAACAAACAAACAAACAAAAATTAGCCAGGCATGGTGGCATGCACCTGTAGTCTCAGCTACTCAGGAGGCTGAGGTGGGAGGACCGCTTGAACCCAGGAGGCAGAGGTTACAGTGCGCCGAGATCACACCATTGCACTCCAGCTGGGCAACAGACCCAGTCTCAAAAGCAACAACAAAACAAAACCGTACCCTGTACAAAAACAGAAATTATGAAAAATTATCCCCTTCGGGCCATCCCTCACCTAGGATAATAGAATACTGACTTCTTTTTTATTTTTATTTTTTTTATACCGACTCTTGCTTGATCCACAATATAATACTGACTTCTAACCTCAGAGATTAGTGTTGTCTATTTTCAGAATTTGTTTGAATGGAATCCTACATTATGTATTCCTTTCTTCTTTCTCTCCGCATTGTCTCTGTGAGAACCTCACTGTTTCAATTCTCTTTGTAGAGCTTAGATTGTACCTTGCCTACCTCCTGCCACTAGAAAAGACCTGCACAAGGGCAGGAGCTTGGTCTGTGTCCCCGGCACCTTGCCAAGTGCCTGCACATCATAGAAAGTCAATAAATACCTAGTAAGTGAACGAACCAAACCTGATAGATAATAGGATTTTAATCTCCTATGGCATCAGAGGCTGGAGAGCTGGGCTGGAGCAATTTATAGAAAGCCCAGAAAGTGGGAAAAATTCTTTTCATTGTTCAAGGATGCTCAGAAGGTAGGGTTTCTTGTCAGGGACCAACAGAATTAGCCTGGAGAATCAGAACCTCTAGCAAGTCTAACTTACACCTATCATGTGGGTCTGAGTCCTAGAGTTACCTACTCAGTGTATGAACCTGGGGCTGAGAAACCAAGCCTCAAAATGGGTCTAGATCTTCCTCGTAGGTTCCCTTCCACCACCCAGGGTGCATCTTCCTGCTGAGATAAGCTCACAAACAAACATGACAACGCAAAGAGGAAACCCAATGCTCTGAGTGATTTGCAACAAATACTATAACCTGCAAGGACTTAAGTAAGATACTGACTTTCAATACCTGAAGAGCTTGTAATCCCAGCACTTTCGGAGGCTGAGGCAGGTGGATCATTTGAGCTCATGAGTTTGAGACCAGCCTGGCCAACATGATGAAACCCCGTTTCTACTTAAAAAAAAAAAAAAAAAAAAAAGGCTGGGCATGGTGGCTCATGCCTGTCATCCCAACACTTTGGGAAGCCAAGGCGGGTGGATTACCTGAGGTCAGGAGTTTGAGACCAGCCTGGTCAACATGGTGAAACCCTGTCTCTACTAAAAATACAAAAAAATTAGCCAGGCATGGTGGCAGGCGCCTGTAATCCCAGCTACTCGGGAGGCTGAGGCAGGAGAATCACTTGAACCTGGGAGGCGGAGGTTGCAGTGAGCCGAGATCGCACCACTGCACTCCAGCCTGGGCAACAGAACAAGACTCCGTCTCAAAAAAAAAAAAAAAAATTAGCCAGGCATGGTGGCGTGTGCCTGTAATCCCACCTACTTGGGGAGGCTGAAGCAGGAGGATCACTTGAACCTGAGAGCTGGAAGTGGCAGTGAGCTGAAATCGTGCCACTGCACTCCAGCCTGGGCAACAGAGCAAGACTCCCTCTCAAAAAACAAAAAATCAAAAAAACTTGAAGAGCTGTCCTGGAGCAGAGGGAGCTGATGTGACTTGTGTAGCCTCAAAAGTAGATCCATGGGCAGCGACAGGAAGCAGGATGCGGATGCATGCAAAAGGGGACTTTTCACCATCTCAGCCCATCAGCAGCGGGAGAGGCTGCCTTGGAGGAAAGTGAGCCTGCCAGCACCAAGGAAGACTCAGGCAGAGGTCGACCAGGGCTGAGGCCTCTGAACTGGATGACCTTTGAAGTTCGTTCCGATTTCAGGAGAGCGAGACTCCAGGATTTTAGATCCCAGCCCAAAATGTATCTGCCCTCAATGTAACCCAATGCCTGGAATTTCTTCTTTGGGTAAAGACATCGAAGGACTCTGTGAATAATGCTTCTACAGCTGGGAGGGACACATGGAACAAAAGACACTCATTGTCTAGGAAAGGAAAGATACTCAAGGAAGACATCAACACGGAGGAGTCTGAAGGATAAAAGCTAGTTTGAAGGCTGGGCGCAGTGGCTTATGCCCATAATCCCTGCACTTTTGGAGGCCAAGGTGGGAGAATCACTTGAGGCCAGGAGTTTGAGACCAGCTGGGCCACTGGGGCATAAAGGGGAGCGGGGCAGGACTGAGCAGTTGGGACTGGAGTGTGAAGGGCTTCAAAGGCCAGATTCAGATCTGGAACTTTATCCTGCAGGAGTTGGGGCGCCATCAAAGGCATTTTTATTTATTTATTTTTTGCATCAAAGAGCTCTGAGCAAGAGAATTTGACAGTGTGTTCAGATTTATGTGTTTGTAAGCTCCCTGTGACATCTCTACAAAAAAATATTTTTAAAATTAACCAGGCATGATGGCTCACACCTATGATAATCCCAGTAACTTGGAAGGCTTGAGGCAGGAGGATCACTTGAGCCAAGGAGTTCAAGACCAGCCTAGGCTGATATAGCAAGACCCTGTCTCGACAAAAAATTTAAAAATTGGCTGGGCATGATGGTACACGCCTACAATCTCAGCTACTCAGGAGGCTGAGAGGCGAGAGGATTGCTTGATCCCAGGAGTTCAAGACTGCAGTGAGCTGAGATCATGCCACTGCACTCCAGCGTGGGCAACAGGAACAAGACCCTGACTCAAAACAAACAAGTGTGACACCCAGACTGCCAGGAAGAGGGGTATGGCAACAAGGTTCCTTCCCTCATAGAGCTGACACTCCCCTGGAGAAGCAAAAAATAAACAAGCAAACACATTTTTAAGGTAATTAAAGATTGTGGCAAGTGGTAAGCATGAAACAAGAAGTATGGCCTGGAGGGTAATGGGGTACGTGTACTTCGTTCTGGTGGGTGAGGGAGGGCCTCTCTGAAGAGGCGATACTGAAGGTGAGACCAGAGAGTGCCAAGAAGCCGGTGAGGCGGGAAGCCCTTGGAACAGTATTCCAAGCAGAAGGAACAGCAAATACAATAGCCATGAGGCAGAAAACAGCTTGGGATGTTTAAGGTGCCGTCCTAGTGGTCAACAAGGGGAGAGTTTTCCAAGGTGAGGGTGGACAGGCAGATCATTCAGAGCCTTGAAGGACTTGGAAGGGACCCAGGGTTGTATTGCAAGTGCAAAGGGAGCCTGTGAGAGCAGAAATGTGAGTGAGCTGAAGTTTCATAGTGACCACTTGAACGGCTTGGAAGGGGCAGGGGAGGCAGCGGGGCGAGCTGCTGCTGTCACCCGGGTGAGAGCGGATGGGTCTGGCATGGAGGTGGCAAGAGGGGACAGGAAATGGACAGCATGACCTAGAACTCCAAGGCAGGGTAGGGGGTGAAGATGGGCCCAAGCAGCCCCACCAGCTGCAGCTGGGCCACCAGGGGCATAAAGGGGAGTGGGGCAGGACTGGGTAGTGGGCTGGACTGTGAAGGGCTTCAAAGGCCAGATTCAGATCTGGAGCTTTATCCTGCAGGAGTTGGGGCGCCATCAAAGGCATTTTTATTTATTTATTTTTTGCATCAAAGAGCTCTGAGCGACGGAATTTGACAGTGTGGTCAGATTTATGTGTTCCTAAGCTCCCTGTGGCAGCTGGTGTGGAGGATGCACTGAAGGGGTGAGGCCGGTGGCAGGAAGAAGGACTCAGGAGGAGGCTGCCATAATGGTCCCAGTGCAAGGTGGTGAGGCCCAGAAAGGGGCCCACGACCCTGGCACACTGGGGGTGGTTGGGCCCCTGCTTGTCCCAGGTTTGTACCCCTCCTGGGGCCCTGGGCAGCTGCAGAGGGCCCAAGTGGGCCCCAGCTCTGAGGCTTGAAGCAAAAAATAGGACGAGGGCAGCCAAAAGGCATCAGGGCTGTTTATCCAGAGGAGAGATGCCTCAGCATGGATTTATGGCTGAAAGGTTACTGGGGGGAGGGGGTGGGGAACCAGCTGTCCCCCATCTTCACAAAGGACAAAGAAAGGAGGGGACTGCGACCTCAGCCACAGCAAGAGGAGGGAGTTAGACACATAAAAGGAAATCTCCTGACATCATTGGAGGATGAAGGGGCCCTTCAGCCATCATGCCAACCAGCTCTCTCATTGGACAGCTGGGGAAACTGAGCCGCAAAGAGAGAGGCAGGTCCTTGCTTGATGTCATACAGTGAATTCAAGCCATGACCAGGCCTGACAGCACAACCTCTCACTTCGGAAGACCTTGAGGCCTCCCCGAGCACACACAAGGGTACCTCAGACTGGCTGCCCCCAAGAGTGATTAACATGAACAGCTGTTCTGGAGGGATGGACAGAAAGACCTGAGCTGGGCTGAGGTGCTCCAGACCCCAGCACCCACTCTGGTCCAGGTCTCTGACATGCCGCATCCTTGAGTTCAACCTGTGGCTCAGGCCCTGCGTCTGCCCTCCCACCCCCAGCCAGTCTGAGTATTGTCGATATTTGATGGGAGTCCATCGTATCTCTCAAGGGTCTTGTTCTTTCGATGTTGTCCTGTCCCACTCTCTGCCTTCCAAGACTCTGTATTTCTGTCTTGGCCTCTGACTCTTTATCTCTAGAGCCGAGCTGAGCTGAGCTGGGCTGGGCCAACCTCCTACCCCCAGGAGTGGGCCTCACTGCTTAGAGTGCCCCTCTGTAGACAATGCTCAGGCCCAGTGCCCAGGCTGGGACAAGTGACAGCAGCTGTGGATCTATCTATAGCTCCCTTGTCCTTCAATTGTTTCCAACTTCAAACAATGGTTGGGCCCTGGATTAAAGTCACCCCCCACCCACCCTGCTGAAATAGATCCCGGGAGGCAGGGGATGAGTCTCACCAGGGCCACCTGATGATCTCTCGTGTCCACCTCTGTTTGGGCCCCTATGTTCCCATCTGTAACTCTGGGCTCTAAGGCCTTCCAGCTCAGAGGCGGTGTGACTACAGGACTAGTGGACATGGGACCAGGGTGTGTCTGAACAGCAGACCTATACAAGGGCACATGGGTATGAGACAAGTGGGTTTCCCTCCTCCTGCCTTGGCTGGCAGACACTCATGGGCACTGGGATGACAGTTCCATGAGGACAGAGGCCTGGTCTCCCTTACACTGCAGTAGCCCAGCCTCAGCCTGGTACGTGGTAAGTGTTCACCGTACATGGCTTACCTTGGCCCTTAGGAAGAGGGAGGGCATGATGTGAGTCTCAACATGTCTCAAGCTTGGGAGGCAGCACAGAGCAGTGAGGAAGGAGCACCTCATCTAAAGTGAGGCTGCCTGGGTTTTAGTCCTGGCTCTGCCAGTTACCAGGCACGAAGTCTTGGAGAATGACTAAACCTCTTAATGGTGGAGATTCACAAACAGGACCTACCTCCTAGTGCTGTGATGAGCATTATATGAGTTAAACCATCTAAAATGCTTAGAATAGTACCTGACACTAGTGGAGACTCAATATGTCATTGCTGTTATTTCCAAGATAGATCATTAGGTTACAAAAAAAAAAAAGTTGTGGCCGGGTACGGTGGCTCACACCTGTAATCCCAGCACTTTGGGAGGCCGAGGCAGGCAGATCCCCTGAGGTCAGGAGTTTAAGACCAGTCTGGCCAACGTGGTGAAACCCTGTCTCTACTAAAAATACAAAAAACTAGCTGGGCATGGTGGCAGGTGCCTGTAATCCAGCTACTCGGGAGGCTGAGGCAGGAGGACTGCTTGAGCCCAGGAGACGGAGGTTGCAGTGAGCCGGGATCGTGCCACTGCACTCCAGCCTGGGCGACAGAGCTAGACTCCATCTCAAAAAAAAAAAAAAAAAAAAAAGGAGCAGAAGAATGTATGGGCTATGCCATCTCCTGCGTAAAAATCGGGGGAGAGAGACATTTGTGCATCTGTGTGCTTATCTATGGATGGACTGCCTTTGGAAGTCACCCAAGAAAGCTGGTAACAGTGTTTGGTAGCTGGGGGCCAGGGAAGGGAGGCAGAGTGATTTTTTTTCCCTTGTAAACCCTTTGAACTTTAAATCGTGTATGTATAACCTATTTTTAAAGTGTTTGCTAAATGAATAAGGGTCACTTCCAGCATGATCCTTGAAAAATACAAACCCCTACTCTGTGCCAGTGGTGAGGGGCCTGGGTGAGGGCTGGTCCTCAGAGAGTGGGCCCACTGCCTTCAGCCTGAGGTCAAGCAGCCTAGGTCTGAGTCCCAGGGGTACCCTCTTTCCTCCAGTCCAGTGGTGGACAAGATGTGTCTATGCAAAACCATCCCAGAGCAAATGGTGAGCCAGGAGGCAGGCTTCCCAGCTTCCAGGCCAAGCAGCAGGAGGGGGCAGTAGGAACAGGCTCCTGTCCTCTTCCCTGGCCTCAACCTCTGACTCTTCATCCCAAGCTATTCTTAGAGCCTAGATAATGCCAGCAGTTGCTGCTGCTCATATCGGCTTCCAGAACCACTCAACCCCAAGAAGCCCAGTCCCGCCCCCAGCCCCTTGTGTGCTGGCCTCCCTGCCAGGTAAGGGCATTAAGGGTGTCCTGCGGGCTCCATCCTCTACGCTACGTGCGCTGTGCATACTTAGGTAGGCTGCCGCAGTGTAAGGGCCTGGGTAGTGGGCCCCTCTAACACGCCCCTTGCTGCACAGCTGGAAGAGACAGGAAGGGCTAAAGGACACACTGGGGTAGAAGATGTACCCCCAGGGGTCACCATCCAGATAATGTGGCCCAACCGCAGGCTCCAAACTATGCTAAGAATAGACATGAAAGGGGCAGGGGCCATGGACAAGGCTTAGCCGAGTGTAAGGGAGAAGGGGTGTACAGACCACGAGCAGGGAGGGGCCTGGGAGGCCAGCCTGGAGGATGGAAGAAGCCAACAAGAGGAGGTCAGACTTTCCAACTCACTATGTGACCTTGAATAGGTCCCTCTTCCTCACGGAGCTTCAATTTCCATCATAAAACAGGCATAACCTTATTCCACTGGGTTGTGGTGTGGATTCAATGAAATAACACATGCAGAGAGCCTAGCCTGTGCCTGACCCATCATAAGCACTATGTAAATATCTGGTGATATTATCATTAGCTCCTTAAGAGCAGGCAATGTTTCTCCTTCAGCTTTGCATCTGCAGGGACTCGTTCAGGCCTGCCACATGTCAGGACTGCCTTTTCAAATCCTTGCTCTGCCATTTACAAGCTGAGTGACCCTGGGCAAGTTACGTAACTTCTCTGAGCCCTGGGTTCCTTCTCTGCAAAATAAATACACAAAGAAGACCTACCTTGTAATGTGGTTGAGAGAAATAAATGAAACAAAGTGCTCAGCCCATGGGAAGATGTCAATTAATTTGAGGATGCAGCTGTGGCTCTGTGGGTGTTGGGGTACTATGGCGGGAAGCCTTGGGTCTGCCACTCTGTAGGTGGAATTTGAGACAGTGCCCAATGCAGCCAACATTCTGGAAGAGAGGTCTTAGTGGGGCCCACATGTGAAATCCCAGGATCTTGTAAAACCACCCCACAAATCCTGGACCAAAGCTGAGGCCCTGCCTGGGGTCTCAGGATGGGCTTGCCCCAGGCTTGGTCAGTTTCCCATGTAGTTCAGTGCTTCAAACAAACACTCTCCCGTGCCCTCCAGGTTGGAATTGGCATCAGGTTTGTTCTGAAGGTTCAGGAGTCTTAGGCTGCTGGGGGACACACAGGCACAGACGGTTAAGCACAGTTGACACAGGGGCCTCCCCAGGAAGGGTCCTTACCTAACCTGGTGGAGTGGGGAGCAGGAGAATGTCTGTTCTCCATGAAAGACCAAGCAGCAGTGGAGGGCGGGGGGTGCTGTAGCTCTGCTCTACCCTTGTGATCGTGGTCAATCAGCTTGAGGGGTGAGGGGCAGAGGGAGGCCCAAAAGGCTAAGCTGGGAAACCTACCCAGAGGGTCTGAGGGTACCACCGCTCTATATTGAGTGTCCTGAGGGTGACCCTGCTTGCTCCCACAGCTGGGGGCACACTGCCTACCTCCCTGTGACTTTGCTAACTCAAGGACAAGAGACCTCCTTGAGCAGAGCCTTCAGATTTTTTTTCCATGGGCTGAAAATTTTATTAGTACAAATATCTCTATCATTCTATCTAATGCTTTGGGCCTTAAATTTCCTATTTTTTTTTTTAGATGGAGTCTCGTTCTGTTTCCCAGCCTGGAGTACAGTGGCGTGATGTCGGCTCACTACAACCTCCGCCTCCTGGGTTCAAGCGATTCTCCTGCCTCAGCCTCCCCAGTAGCTGGGACTACAGGTGCGCGCCACCATGCCCAGCTAATTTTCATATTTTTAGTAGAGACGGGGTTTCACTATGTTGGCTAGGCTGGTCTCGAACTCCTGACCTCGTGATCCACCCGCCTCGGCCTCCTAAAGTGCTGGGATTACAGGTGTGAGCCACCGTGCTCAGCCTCCCTTTTTTAAAAAAAAAATTTTTAAAGACAAGGTATCACTGTTACCCATGTTCGAGTACAGTGGCATAATCATAGCTCACTGCAGCCTTGAACTCCTGGCTCAAGCAATCCCCCTGCCTCAGCCTCCCAAGTAGCTGGGACTATAGGCGTGCCTCACCATGCCTAGCCAAATTTCATTTCTTAATTAAAATTTCTATTGAGATAATTGTATATTCGCATGCAATTGTAAGCAATAGTACAGTAACTCTGTACTATTGACATTGATATAATGTACCGATCTTATTCAGATTTTCCCAGTTTTACATGTACTAGTTGTGAGCGTGTGTGTGCACGCACATCTGCATGTATTAAGTTCTATACGACTTCATCACCCGTGTCAATTCACAGATCTTCCACTGCCACCAAGACACTGAACAGTTCTAACAATAAAAAGGTGTTGCCCTTATAGAACCACACTAACTTCCCTCCCATCTTTAACCCCTGGCAACCACCAGTCTGTCCTCTGTTTCTAAAACTGTCATTCCAAAATGTTACATAAATGAAATCATATAGGATGTACTCTTTTGAGACTGGCTTTTTTCACTCCACATAAGTCCCTGGAGATTCTTCCAAGGTGTTGCTCATTTCATGTTTGTGTCTTTATTGCTGAGTGGTACTCATGGTATGTATGGATGCGCCACAGTTTGATGAACCGTTCACCTGTGGAAGGATATCTGGACAGCTATCAGTATGTGGTGCCACCTTATCACAGGGCCCTGGTGGCTGAGGCCACCCACCCTCCAACCCATCTGGGAGTCAGTGGGATGCAGCCTCCAAATTCTTGTTCCAGCTTTCTAGGGCCAGAAGCCAAGAATTCTCCCCACCCCCCGACCCTCTTTCCCAGCCTAGGCATCAGGATTCAGTCCCTTCCAAATATGCAAACACCCAGTTCTCAGGGACAGCAAGAAGACAGTCTTATGGGCCTTATTTAAACATGTTGGCTATAGACCTATATGTTGACCCTGGCCTGGAGACCCAGCCTGACCTGGCCCTGCCAACTGACCAGCCCATCTACAGTAGCCCCACCCTCTCATTCATATCACTCCAGATACAGTGGCCTTCTGAGAGTTTACAACTAAACCAGCTCCTTTCTGTCTCAGGGACTCTGCATCTGCCATTTACTCTTTCCCCAAACTGGGGCATGGCTGCTTCCTTCTTCTCGAGCCTCCACTCAAATGTCACCTCCTCAAAGGGGCTTCCTTTGACTACATTAACTAAACTAGGTCCTTTCTATAAAGGTTCTCTCTTCACCCTCTGTATCACATGTCCCCATTTCTGAGTGTATTACACTTATGGGTAAGTCTGCTTATTATCATCTGTCTACCCCACAAGACAGGTCTTTCTTGAGACCCAGGAGCAGACAGATCCCATTCTGGGTCCCCAGCAGCCAGCATGCCCAGAAGAGGCACCCATGTGCTTGCTGATGGGCCATGTCCCCTGGCGTGAGGCTTCTGCTTTTGAGAACCATCTTTCCCAGCGGCCTCTCGCTCTGCTCCCTGCTGCGCCCTCAGGCCAGGCCCAGTGAATATTCTGACTCCTGTTTCTCACCCAAGCCTGGGCAAGCCTCTCTTTTCTTTGCTCTAGTGGATTCGGCTGAGCCAGGTTAACCACACAGCATGATGCCTAAGAGTTCTGGAGTCCAACTGCCTATGTGCAAACCCTCAGAGTTGCTCTGTCTCTTTGATCTTCTGATTCCTCATCTATAAAACAGGAATGAGCCAGGTGCGGTGGCTCATGCCTGTAATCCCAGTACTTTGGGAGGCCAAGGCAAGAGGGTCACTTGAGGCCAGGAGTTTGAGACTAGCCTAGACAACACAGTGAGACTCATCCCTATTTTAAAAATAAAATAAAATGGGAATACTAATAGTACCTGTCCCATAGGAATTGAATGAGATAATACCTATTTTTAAAAAGAAAAGGCGTAAGTGCCTGGCACATAAGAGTTCAACATATAATCATTACTATTCATTTTCTTATTATCATTAAGACCATCTCCAAACTCAGTAGATTAAACAAGGAAAGTTCATGTCACACCAATATAAAGATCATGAAAAAGTCCCAGAAAAAGGGTCATTCCTAAGGGTCACTTAGGCCACTGTGACCTCTCATCCTTAGGCAATTCCCTTGTTTTTTAATTTTACAAAAATTTTTTGTAGAGGTGGGATCTCACTATGTTGCCCAGGCTGGTCTCTATCTCCTGGTCTCAAGTGATCCTCCTGTCTTGGCCTCCCAAAGTACTGGGATTACAGGCGTGAGCCACCGCGCCCAGTCCCAGGAATTCTCTTTTGGCTTCACTCTTTCTCCACTCCCTCCCTTCTTGGAAAATTCAAGGAGATGGAAGAGCAGGACGATAGCCTCTCCCTGGGTAGAGAGAAGCTCCCATCACTAGTTTCAAGGTGACAACCGTCCTCTCCCACATCTAGAGTTGTCAGCCTGCCCCCAACATTCTCTAGCTCCACGGTGTCCCTACAGAGAGCCACATAGTCTAGGCCCAGAGCCCTGCCATCCTCCAACAACAGGCAGAGTAAAGGGTTATTCTGGGCCCCTTCTGCTTTCATGCATTCATCCATCCAACCATGTAAACACTTACTGAAAAACAAATCTTGCTATTAATCTGGAAAATCACAACGAGACACCGTTTCACATCACTAGACTGACAAAAGCTAGAAACCTTGACCATTCTGTCTCGGTGAGGATGCAGAATGAGGGCAATTCTAATACACTGCTGGCAGGAGTGCACATTTGCAAAACCATTTGGGAAAGAAACTTTGTATTACCTTGTAAGTCTGAATATGCTCACGACCTTCAACACACTGCACAGGAGGCATCTATTAGTCTTTTTACCATATATAGTAATAAAATACTAGAGAACCCAAGTGACCATTCACAGGAGAATAAACAAAACTCTCATACAATTGCTGCCACTTTGGTATTTTTATGCAATGAAACCTATAGAGCAGTGAAAATGAATGAACTATTTCCCCTTAAAACATGGATAAATCTCCTGATATAACACTGAAAGAGAAAAGCAAGCTGCACAAGAATCATATAATTTACCACTTAAAAGTGCAAATACCATGAAAAAGTGTCATATATTGCTTAGAAATACACCTAATAGGAGGGTAAAAATGCATAAGACCTACCTCACATCCTATATAAAAATTAACTCAAAATGAATCAAAGACTTAAATTTAAGAGCCAAAACTATAAAACTCTTAGAAAAAGTAAGTGTAAATCTTTGTGACCTTCGAATTAGGCAATGGTTTCGTAGATATGACATTCAAAGCACAAGCAAAGGAAAAAATAAATAAATTGGACTTCGTCAAAATTTTAAAATATGTGCTTCAAAAGATACTATCGAAAAACAGAAAAGACCATCCACAGAATGGGACAAATTATTGGCAAATCACATATAAGGAAGGATCTACTATCCTGAATATATAAAGAATTCCTACAACCCAATAATAAAAGGACAAATAACTTACAAATAAGGAAAACATTTAAATAGACCCTTCTCCAAAGAAGATATACAAACTACCAATAAGCACATGAAAAGATATGCGCATTATTTGTCATTAGGAAAATGCAAATCAAAACCACAATGACCAACCAGGATGGCCACAATCAGACAAGTACAGTGGGACCTCCATATCCATGGGTTCCACATCTGTGTATTCAACCAACTGCAGCTTGAAAATATTTGAAAACAATGTTTCAACTGTACTGAGCATGTACAGACTTTTTTCCTTGTCATTATTCCCTAAACAATACAGTATAACAATTTATATAGCATTTATGACTTCTTTTTTTGAGACGGAGTCTCGCTCTGTCACCCAGGCTGGAGTGCAGTGTCGCGATCTCAGCTCACTGTAACCTCTGCCTCTGGGGTTCAAGCGATTCTCTGCCTCAGCCTCCCTGAATAGCTGGGACTACAGGTGTGCGCCACCACGCCCAGCTAATTTTTGTATTTTTAGTAGAGATGGGTTTTCGCCATGTTGGCCAGGCTGGTCTCGAACTCCTGACCTCAGGTGATCTGCCAGCCTTGGTCTCCTGAGGTTCTGGGATGACAGGCGTGAGCCACTGCACCCGGCCGAGATGACTTAAAGTACATGGAAAGGACAGTGTGGTGGCTCTCGCTTGTAGTCTCAGCTACTTGGGAAGCTGAGACAGGAGGATCCCTTGAACCGAGGAGTTCAAGGCTGCAGTGAGCTATGATCGCACCACTGCTCTCCAGCCTGACAGAGTGAGACCTTGTCTCAAAATAAATAAAAATAAATTTAAATTTAAAATAAAATAAAACAAAATTAAAGAGCATATGAGAGGATGCATATAGTTTATATGAAACACTACACCATTTTATATAAGGGACTTAAGCATATATGAAACACTGCATCATTTTATATAAGGGACTTAAGTATCCTTGGATGTTGGTATCCATGGGAGGTCCTGGAACCAATTCCCCACAGATACAGAGGGATAACTGTATTGGTGAGGATGTAAAAATTGGAGCTCTGATACAATTGCTGCCACTTTGGAAAACAGCAGTTCCTCAAAAAGTTAAACATATACTTACCATATTACCCGGCAATTCCACTCCTAGGTATCTACCCACGAGAACAGAAAACATTCACACAAAAACCTGTACATGAATGTTCATAGCAGCATTATTATAATTATTTTTGAGACAGGGTCTCGCTCTGTCACCCATGCTGGAGTGCAGTGGCGTGACCATAGGTCCCTGCAGCCTTGACCTACTGGGCTCAAGTGATCCTCCCACTTCAGCCTCCCTAGTAGTGGGGATGACAGGCGCATGCCACCACGCCCGGCTAATTTTTAAATTTTTTTGTAGAGAGCCTTATGTTGCCCAGGCTGGCCTTGAATTCCTCAGCTCAAGTGATCCTCCCACCTCAACCTCGCAAAGTGTTGGGATTACAGGCATGAGCCACCACTCCTGGCCATAGCAGCATTATTCTTAATGGCAAAAAGTGGAAACAACCCAGATGCCTATCAACTGATGAGTGGAGGAACAGAGTGTGATATATCTGTACAATGAAAGACTATTCAGCCATATGAAGGAATAAAGTTCTGATCCATGCTACAACATGGATGAACCTTGCAAACATTATGCTAAGTGAAAGATGCTAGTTACAAAAGGCCACAGATTGTAGGATTCCACCTACAGGAAATATTCAGAAAAGGCAAATCCATAGACAAAGAAAGTAAATTACTGGTTGCCAGGGGCTGGGGAGAAGGAGAATTGTGGAGTATCTACTAATAGGGATGAGGTTTCTTTCTGTGGTGATGAAAATATTCTGGAATGAGACAGTGGTAATGGTTGTACAATCTTGTAAATATACCAAGAACCACTGAATTGCACACTTTAAAGGGGGAGTTTTATGGTGCATGAATTATATCTCAATAAACATTGCATAGGAATAATAAACACCAAATCAGGAGAGTCTTTACTTCTTGGGTTGGGGGGTCAGTCATGGAGGGAAACAAAAAGGTCTTTATATTAGCAGTGTTTTATTTTGCAAGCTGGATGGTAGGTACACAGGTATTTGTTCTGTTAATTTTTATACCTTTCTCAGTGGTTTCATAATAAATAAAATGTAAAAGTATTTACTGGGCATCAACCTGGATTAGGCACTGGGCTACATGGGTGGTACAATGTTGAGTCAAAACAGATCCATCCTGCCAAAAAGTAAGTGGATACATAAGTATATAACAAGTGGAGAAGAGGGTCTATAAGTAAGTTATCTCCCCTTTCTAACCTTCTGTGTCCTCACGGATGAAATGAGAGCCGGACTGGGAACCTGTTAGTAGAAGGTCTCTGAGGATCCCTGGAGCCTTGAAGTGTGTCTTCCCTTTTTCAGCCCACACACCTCAAACACGACCAGGGCACAGACCCTAGAGTTGGCCCTCGTGCCATCAACCACCACAAGAGGGCCTAAGGCAAAGCCCAACTTCAATTAGTCTGTTTCTTCTCGGTAAAATAGGCAGAGTAACTTCTCCCTCCCAGGATGACTGTGGGGGTGTAAATGAGATAACACATATAAAGTGTCAGGGACAGGCCTAGCATACAGTAAATCCTCAACACCTGGGACAGTCCTCACTTTGATTCCACAGGCATTTCCTGAGCAGCAATGCTGGCCCAGGCCTGTGCTAGGGGCTGGAAGACAGAGGAATTCCACTCTGAATGGCCAAAGCAGTGGCCCCCAGCCAGGTGGGGAGATGGCCTCATAAACAACAGTATGAGGCAGGGTGATATCACTGCTAAAAAGAGACAGTAGCCATGTGCACAGATGCAGACCATGTGTGATGCAGACCCTGGGGCTGACAGAGATGTTCCAATCAAAAGGCACAGTCCAGTGGCTGGGTGCGGTGGCTCCCGCCTGTAATCCCAGCACTTTGGGAGGCTGAGGCGGGTGGATCACAAGGTCAGGAGATCGAGACCATCCTGGCTAACACGGTGAAACCCCATCTCTACTAAAAATAGAAAAAATTAGGCGGGCGTGGTGGCAGGCGCCTGTAGTCCCAGCTACTCGGGAGGCTGAGGTAGGAGAATGGCATGAACACGGGAGGCGGAGCTTGCAGTGAGCCAAGATGGCGCCACTGCACTCTAGCCTGGGCTACAAAGCAAGACTCCATCTCAAAAAAACAAAAACAAAAAAAACCCACAGTCCAGACTTGGAGAGAGGCCCTCGCAGGGAGAAAGGCAAGACACAAAATTAAGGGATTGGCCTCCATTCACAGTGAAGTACATCCCTGCATACCTTTTTTCACCTAATTCAGACCCAAATGTTCCCACAAACCCCAAGAACAGAGGATGAAATTGATTCAACAGTTAGCTTTGGGAAGTCTGAGCCCATGGCATGTCCCAAGGTACATATGTGGGAACACCATGGCTGACACTGCTGCTGTGATCTTTGGCAAGTCAGGATACCTCTTCAAGCCTTCCTTTCCCCGGCTGTAAAATGGAGGCTATAAAGATACTGATGTGATAGGGAGGTAAGGGAAAGTGAGATAACGACTGTAAAGTCATTAGCCAAGTACCTGACACTTAGCGACCAGATCAATAAAGGGTAGTTATTGTTAGGAAAAAACAGATTTCACTTTGAAAGTGAGGAAAGCCAGGCGCGGTGGCTCACACCTGTAATCCCAGCACTTTGGGAGGCTGAGGCAGGCAGATCACGAGGTCAGGAGTTCGAGACCAGCCTGGACAGCAAGGTGAAACCCTGTCTCCACTAAAAATACAAAAAATTAGCTGGGCATGGTGGCATGTGCCTGTAATCCCAGCTACTCGGGAGACTGAGGCAGGAGAATTGCCTGAACCCGGGAGGCAGAGGTTGCAGTGAGCCAAGATCGTGCCACTGCACTCCAGCCTGGGTGACAGAGAGAGACTCCATCTCAAAAAAAAAAAAAAGAAAGAAAGAAAAAAAATAAAATGAGGAAAGTGGGATTCGGAGAGGTGAGATGACTTCTGCACAGTCAGGATTCAAACTCAGGTCTGAGACACCAGAGGCTCAGGGCAAATCATCTCCCTCTGCTCCGGAATCTTCAGCAGGTTCCCTACAGTCCACTACATGGACTCCATCCTTGCCAGGGAGTGAGGATCCAGCAAAGGCCTGGGGCCAAAAAGACCCTGGGCAAGTTCCCCAATCCTATGTGTCTTGATCTGAGATCCCCAAGTGAGCCTGAGAAGGTCTGTGAATTCCTCCACGTAGCTGATGCAAAATTTTATACTAATGGATCTCAGACGAGTCTATAGCCTCAAAAGTAACAAACCACAGACTTGACCTGACTTAGCATGGTTTCTTATTCACCCAATGGAGATACGATTTCTACCTTGAAAGGCTGTGAAGGGATTAAATGAGGTAATTTGTGAGAAGTACTTGAAACATCCTCAGCTTTCATTAAATGTTGGTTTCCTTCTCTTTCTCTCTCCCCAAACTATTTCCATCAGTTAGCAAATATTATTGAGCATCTGCCACGTGGCAGGCACCAGTCAGGTCCTGGGGGTAAAGTGGTGAACAAGACAGACATGGCCCATTTTCATGGGGCTCACATTCTAGCAGAGGGAAACAGCAAACAAATAAAAGCAACAATTTCAGATATGAATAACTGCTATGAAGAAAATACAAGGCCGGGCACGGTGGCTCACGCCTGTAATCCCAGCACTTTGAGAGGCAGAGGCGGACGGATCACAAGGTCAGGAGTTTGAGACCAGCCTGATCAACATGGTGAAACCCTGTCTCTCCTAAAAATACAAAAATTAGCCGGGCATGGTGGCACGTGCCTGTAATCCCAGCTACTCAGGAGACTGAGGCAGGAGAATTGTTTGAACCCAGGAGACAGAGGTTGCAGTGAGCCAAGATCGCACCACTGCACTCCAGCCTGGGCAACAGAGTGAGACTCCATCTCAAAAAAAAGAAAAGGATAACGTGATAGACTTATAGGGTGGGGCAGCCTCCAGGGATGAAACATCTGAATGACCAAAGGAGCCAGTCATGCCAGGATTTTGGAGGAAAGCACCCAGGCAGAGAGTGCAGAAAGGGCAAACGCTCCCTGGAAAGATTCTTAGTCAAGAGTCCTTCACTCCCAGTCCTACCACAAACTGGGTCACCTTGAACAAGTCACGTAACTTCTGAGGCTCAGCTGCCACATCTACAAAATGGGAATAAAGACATCTTACCTGCCACATTGTGAGAGGTTTCAACCAAAGGGCTGTTAAGGTCTGGGATCCTCCCCAAATCTCACCATAGACACCTGATACTCATCACTTGGCACCCGTCTTGGAAGAGGGGAACCTGCACAGAGAACCCTGGGTCATGCTTTTGATTTTTAATTTCATGCTGCACTAGAAATAGCTTCTTTTGTTCCTGGTTGACCCAGGAGCCTCTTCCTGCCACCTGGGGCCTATTCTAGTTAACAGCTGCTTATCCCCTCAGGTACAAAAGCCAACGAGGAAAGGACATCAGGAAACATTGTTCTGGGAATAACCAGACACCTATCTGCCACCATCTCCCCCCATCCCGTGACCACACACGGGAGACTGGAGGACTCAGCCTGTCCTGTAGTCAGATAATGTACATGGTTTATTTAAAGAGTCAAAAGGGGCCGGGCGCAGTGGCTAACGCCTGTAATCCTAGCACTCTGGGAGGCTGGGGCGGGTGGATCACCTGAGCTCAAGAGTTTCAGACCAATCTGGCCAACATGGTGAAACCCTGTCTCTACCAAAAATACAAAAATTAGCCGGGTGTGGTGGTGGACGCCTGTAATCCCAGCTACTTGGGAGGCTGAGGCAGGAGAATTGCTTGAACCTGGGAAGTGGAGGTTGCAGTGAGCTGAGATCGTGCCACTGCACTCCAGCCTGGGCAACAACAACGAAAACTCCGTCTCAAAAAAAAAAAAAAAAAAAAAGAGTCAAAAGGATCTTGGTCCCTGGGTTGGGCCACTGATTTACGATCACTAGGAGTTCTCACTCCTAAATTTCTTTGATCTGTTCGCTTCGCTCCATCTCCACAGCTGCTGCACTGGCTACAGCCTCATGATCTCACATCTTAACTCTCTCTGCTTTCTCTGGCCCATCTCCCCACTTCCAAACCATTTGTCACGCTGTAACCAGTGCCTAACACACAAAACTAACCATGTCCTTCCCCTGCTTAAAGCCCTTAGCTCCTGTTGCTCAGTGGAACTGGCGTCTGAGGCTACCTCTCCAAGCCTAAGCGCCTAAGTCCTGTTGCAACCCTCAGGCCCTTCCTCATTATCCACACCAAACTCCTCAGTGTCTGTAAAACAAGCCGAGCAACCCTCAGAATTATATGCCTTCGCTGCTCGTTTGTTTTGTTTTTAGGACAGGGTCTCACGCTGTCACCCAGGCAGGAGTGCTGCAGCGTGATCTCAGCTCACAGCAGCCTCCGTCTCCGGGGCTCAAGAATTCTCACGCCGCAGCCTCCCGAGTAGCTGGGATTACAGGCACGGGCCAACACACCCGGCTAATTCTTGTATTTCTAGTAGAGACGGGGTTTCGCCATGTTGCCCAGCCTGGTCTCCAACTCCTGAGCTCAAGTAATCCACCTGCCTCGGCCTCTCAAAGTGCTGGGATTACAGGTCTGAGCCACTGCACCCAGCCAGCCTTTGCTGCTTTTGTTCCTGCAATTTGGAACACTGTCCCCATCCCAGCCTCTCACCTCTACCCCTACCTCCTTCACTACCTATACCTTCCTATCCATCCTTCAAGACCCCAAAAACCATCCCTGATTCCTTCAGAAAGGCAGTTTATTGCCTATCTTATCAGACTGAAAGCAGTGGCTGTGTCTTATTTATGGTTAATTCCCTAGAAGCTGGACTGATACATTCCATTTAACTAAAATTCGTATCAGGTGCTTCGGACTGCAGACAAGCCTATCACAACCCAGAAGGAAGAAACAGGGAAGGCACCTGGGGGCTGCCAAGCAATGAGGTGGGGGGTAGGAATCATGAATCCGCATATTTTTAAAAACTGCCCCAGATCCTGATGTAAACGGTACAAGAGAGTCTGAGAAACACAGGGCTCCCCTCAAACAGTCCTGACTTCAGCATTCCTGGAAAAATGAAAATCCTTTCCTTTTGCCTCTAATGCTTTCCCTGCTGGTATCCCAGGTTAAAAAAAAATAGATAAAATCAGGGGGATTTTTCTGGGACTTGGCTGGGCTGGGAAACAAGCCTGGGTTCTAATACAGGCTCAGCCCCTGACGTACTATGGGCCCCTGCCCCTCCTTGGGGCCTCCATTACCACGGCCACCCCCACCCTTATCAATTGTGTGCCCCTGAGGTAGTGACTGTCCCGCTCTGAGCATTAGTTTCCCCATCTTCCACTAGTCGTCGTCAGCTCTGACGCTCTATGAGCTATGCATACCCGTAGCTCCCCGCCGACCCCGATGGTCCCCTCCCCTCCTTCCCAAGGTCCATCCGCCAGGGTGCAGCCGACGCACTCCTAATGCTAAGGCCGCCCTCTCATCGACCGCCCCTTCCTGGCCTCGACTCAGCGCCAAAGGTATGGGTCTCTGCCCCGCCTGCTCTTTAAGCCTAGCCGGGGCGGTCAGCGCAAGCGCACTGGGTCGCATCGAGGCCCCGCCCCCTGAGCCTGGGTAGCGGCGCGAGGGCCGGGAGAACCGTTCGCGGAGGAAAGGCGAACTAGTAGGTTGGGGCGGCCACGGCGGCCGGCATGGGTCACGTTTCCTCGGGAGGAACGATGTGAGGGAGGGGTCTGGCAAGAGATTGGAATTCCGGAGGCCGGGAGACCTTGTGGCTGAAACCCTTCGTAGGAGCGGGGCAACTAGTGTCTAGTGAGGGGGTTGGGCTGGCGCGCACTGATCCCAGACTTTCCGGATCTTCTGCCTTTAGATCGGGCCGGTGTCGGGGCATGTAGGCCAGTGAGACTGGAGCCAGTTAGAGCTACAACGGGGAGCGATTAGGGCCAAACTTTGTCCAGGGTGGAAGCGAGCGGGCCCGTGAAGTGGGGCCAGCCTGGGCAGCCGACCGTGTCGTTGCCTCGGGGCCTTTCCAGGCACTGGCCTAAGTCCTGGCGATAAAGTGCGACCGATTTCCTTGTGGGCGTTTTGAGGCTTTCGGTGATCTGACCCGTCTGTCATTCATTCTTCATTCATTCATGTGATGAATGAATACAGTACTAAGCGCGGCTAATTACTAGGTAGAGAAGTGATCAAGACAAACACTGTTCCTACGGTACAGGGAAAAGTGATGGGCTGTAGAATGTAGAAGCCCGGGGCGGAGAACAGGGACAGCTTCCGGAACGAAATCGCGAGCCCAGATCAGGAGTGGTGGCGAGAGTTCCAAAGAGAAGACAGCACGTGCCAAGTCCTGGAAGGGGGACAGAGGCCAACATATCCTGGTCACTGAAGACACCTGACTCTGAATCTGTTTCACGCCCAGGGAAGAGATGACAGTGGCCGGGGCTAGGCTACAAACTCTGGAAATGGAGATAAATAAAGGAATTCAAAGTACTATATACTTAGGCAGCAAAATCCATAGGATTTGGGGAGAGTGAGATGTAGGAAACAAGTACTCAAGGCTTGGGTACCTGGGTGGGGTTCATCAGAGAAGAAGCAGATTTGTGGGAGACAACAACAAATTCTATTCTGGTTGTATGGAGACTCGCAGGAAAAAATTGGATATTCTAGTTTGAAGGTAGGAAAGTATTGCTGTGAAGATGTAGATTTGAATGTCATCAGCAAAACATAAATAAAGCCAAGGGAGGGTTGAGGCTGTAGAATGAGAAAAACAAAGGGCCCACTTAGCACCTTCATCTGATTTCTTTTCTTTCTTTCTTTTTTTCTTTTTTTTTTTTTTTGACAGAGCTTTGCTCTTGTTGCCCAGGCTGGAGTGCAATGGCACGATCTCGGCTCACTACAACCTCCACCTCCTGGGTTCAAGCTATTCTCCTGCCTCAGCCTCCCAAGTAGCTCGGATTACAGGCATGCGCCACCAGGCCCGGCTAATTTTGTATTTTTAGTAGAGATGGGGTTTCTCCATGTTGGTGAGGCTGGTCTCGAACTCCCGACCTCGGGTGATCCGCCTGCCTCGGCCTCACAAAGTGCTGGGATTACACGAGTGAGCCACCACACCTGGCCCATGGTGATTATCTTTATGTCTTATCCTCCTCCATATCCCCAGTACCTAGTCAAGGGAGTGGCATTAAATGCAAATCAGTGTTTGCCAACTAAATAAAAGCCCAACAGCAAACAGATGTTGGAATTTCAGAGTTGTGGAACGATGGGGGCTCATGGAGGGTTTCATTACTCTAATGTCAAGGTAATGGGTTCTTGTCCTGGCTCTGCCACTAGGCTTCTGTGTGACCTCTGACAAGTCTCCTCCTACCTATAAAGAGAGTACAGCCAAAAAATGGTCTCATGTATAGAGCTTCAAACACTGCTGATAAATTTCACACTGATTTTTCTCTTTTAATCCACACAGCAATCTTACTTGAAAGGGAAGTCGGCTGGGCGGGGTGGCTCACGCCTGTAATCCCAGCACTTTGGGAGGCCGAGAGTGGGGGATCACGAGATCGAGACCATCCTGGCTAACACGGTGAAACCCCGTCTCTACTAAAAATACAAAAAATTAGCCGGGCATGGTGGCAGGTGCCTGTAGTCCCAGCTACTCGGGAGGCTGAGGCAGGAGAATGGCATGAACCCAGGAGGCGGAGCTTGCAGTGAGCCGAGATCGTGCGGCTGCACTCCAGCCTGGGCGACAGAGCCAGACTCCGTCAAAAAAAAAAAAAAAGAAAGAAAGAGGGAGGGAGAGAGAGAGAAAGAAAGAAAAAGAAGGAAGGAAGGAAGGAAAGAAGGAGGGAAGGGAAAGGGAAAGGGAAAAGGAAGGAAGGAAAGAAGGGAAAGGGAGAAGTCGTATTATTATGGACTCAAACCCAGGTCTGTCTGTCTGTCTGACTTGAACCTTGTTCTTTACTATGATTGCCCTCATGTATGTCTCACTCAACAGGGATATTATCAGGACCCTCTTGAGATCACATGCGCATTCTTTCAAAGCATTGTGCTGAGGCTGGCAGACTTTCATAATTGGCCTGGCACTGGCTCTGTCATGGGGACAGGGGGACAGAGCTGAATGTGATGGAGGTTTCCTATTATTCTCTAACTCCCTTCCTGGGGACCACTGAGTTGGGCAACCATGTTCTGTTAAATGGCAACAGGGCAGAACAAAATTAGTGACTGTGTTTCCAGATTTTTACCCAGATCTTAAACTCCTGAGGCCTGCTGAAAAATGAATGAGTATCAGGGTGTGAGTTTGTACACCTCTGTATGTCTCTGGGCAACCAATCAGACAACTTCTCCTATTACATTGGACACTTGGGTTTCAGCAATTTCCATCTTGCTAATGTGATTTCTCAAAAATATTTTCTGTCTTTTGGTGCTTTGATGATAAATGTCCATATATGGAATGTAGTCATTTCCTGCTACTAAGATTCCTTCTGGTTTGTATAAGGGAGGAGTTCACCTTATTCGCATTTCATGGTATTCCACAAAGAGCTCCCTCCCCCTTCCCATGTAATTTATTTGAGATCTGCTGACATGAGTTGTTGGAGCTTGAAGGGAATTAATAATGTACTGCAGTGACTCCTATCCCAGGAAAACTTGTTAAAAATACAAAGCCTCGGCTGGGTGTGATGGCTCACGCCTGTAATCCCAGTACTTTGGGAGGTCGAGGCGTGTGGATCACAAGGTCAGAAGATCAAGATCATCCTGGCTAACACGGTGAAACCCCGTCTCTACTAAAATACAAAAAATTAGCCAGGCGTGGTGGTGTGTGCCTGTAATCCCAGCTACTCAGGGAGGCTGAGGCGGGAGAATTACTTGAACCCAGGAGGCGGAGGTTGCAGTGAGCCAAGATCGAGCCACTGAACTCCAGCCTAGGCGACTGAGTGAGACTCCATATCAAAAAAAAAAAAATACAAAGCCTCAACCCCTCCTTCCCATCAGGCCTCTTGCATCAGAGTCTCTGGGATGGGGCCCAGGAATCTGTATTCTTTCCCAGCTCCCCAGAATGTTCAGCCAGGTTTGGAAACTGATCTATCCGATTCTTCTTGTTTCACAGTTAGGGAATCTGTAGCTCTGGGAAGGGAAGGAACTTGCCCCAGTCACATCTGATATTAGTGCTTCTTTCTCCAATGAAGAGCCTTTAGGCTGGGAGTCCAGAGACATGGGTTCAAGTCCAGGCTATACCAGTCATCACCTCGGGCAAGTCATTTCACCTCTCCAAGCCTCTGCTTCCTTACTGTGAGAATAATGCCATTGTGTTGGGAATCAAAAGAGAGAGTGGCAATGGAAATGCTTTGTCAAGCTTTCTATTTTGTGCACATGGAAGTTGTTAAGAGCTAGAACCAGCCAGTGTTCACTCCTGTATACCACGCTGTTCCCTTCCAACAGAGGTCAGGGTCCTGCTGTGTTGGGGGTGGCCGCCAGCCAGTTTCGGTGGTTGCTGGGCTTCAGGCCATCTGTTACCAACTCTCTTCTCTCCATCTTTTGCAGGTGTTGGGATGGCCACCAACTGGGGGAGCCTCTTGCAGGATAAACAGCAGCTAGAGGAGCTGGCACGGCAGGCCGTGGACCGGGCCCTGGCTGAGGGAGTATTGCTGAGGACCTCACAGGAGCCCACTTCCTCGGAGGTAAGCCCCTAGCTCCTCCCCACAGCATTCACCATGGCCCACTGTCTGGCCCCGGCCAGGCTGAGGGTCACTCCTTTGCATCAGGGACCATATCTCTTTTGCCTTATTTTTTCCAGTAACTAAAATTGATCTCTAGAAGTAGAAAATAAAAAGGCAGTGTCCTGGAGTAATCAAATTTAAATATGGGGTTTGAAGTGTGACTTAGGCAAATTACTTAACCGCTCTCAGCTGCAGTTTCTTCAGGTGTAAAAATGGGATAATAATAGGACCTACCTCACTGGTTTGGTAAGAGAATTACAGGATGATTCATGTGAAGCACTTTGCCCAGTGAGCTATTACTGAAAACCCCATAATCACTCTACCTTCTCTGTAACTGGTTTGTGATATATGCTTTCAAGCCTTTCTCTGTGCATTTATATACATAGATAGGTATATATAGAAATACGTCTTTTTTAAAAAACAAATTGTATCATATATATTATTCTATGATATGTTTTTGGTTTTTTATTTGTCTGTCTTAGAACTTTCTAATGCCTTCTATTAGGGTCATCTTCATTCTGAGGCATAGTATTCCAGATGTGGGTGTATCACAGTTTAGCTTCCCTCTACTCATGTCTATTTAGGTGATTTCTCATTATTTTATGACCATAAATAGCATTATAGGGAACATCCATGCATATGTCTGTTGGGGCACCTATGTGAGTGTTTCTCCAGGTTCAATACGTAAAAGTAGAACTGCTGAGTCCAAACCACACCTTTTTAAAACCTCATCCTTAGGGAAGAAAAAAAAATAAAAAAATAAAATCTTTTTTAATTTGGTGACTAGGTAAGACATTTTCATGGTTCAAATTCAAATGGTACAAGAGTTTACCCTAATGCAGCTTGTGTTTTGGTTTCTTGTTGATCCTTTCAGATGGCTTATTCATAACAAGTAACTAATAACAAGTAAATATATTCCTTGGGGCCTCGCTCTGTTGCCCAGGCTGGAGTGTAGTGGCACAATCTTGGCTCACTGCAACCTCCGCCTCCTGGGTTCAAGCAATTCTCCCACCTCAGCCTCCCAAGTAGCTGGGACTACAGGCATGTGCCACTACGCCTGGCTAATTTTTTTTTTTTTTTTGGTAGGGACAGGGTTTCACCATGTTGTCCAGGCTGGTCTCAAACTCCTGACTTCAAGTGATCCACTGGCCTCTGCCCCCCAAAATTGCTGGGATTACAGGTGTGAACCACCGTGCCCAGCCTCCTTTTGCCCACTTTTTTTTCTTTAACTTAACAGTACACCTTAAGACCATATTGGTGACTAAAGAGCTGCCAACATCTCTTCTTTTTTTAGCCAGACCCATTCTTTTTTGTCTCTGTGTGCCCAGAACCTACACAGGCCTGATGGAGTCCACACTCAGTAATTGTTTGCTAAGGCCCAAGTAAATGACAATGTCTGTCACCTAAGGCAGGCTGATGGTATGGAATAGAATTGCTTGGGCTGTGAACCTAGATTTTGTGAATTACTTGTATGAATCTAAAATGAAGCATTTTCTCTTCCACGCTTTTGTTTCTTCTGTTAATCAATAGGTACCATGTGAAGATCCAACACTTGGTCTTTCTGGGAGGTTATGGAGCCTAGAAAAGGCGTAATCCACAATGAGATTTCTAATCCAGAAAAAAAGTCAGAAAGTGTACGTGTGTGTGTATGTGTGTGTGTGTGTGTGTGTGAGAGAGAGAGAGAGAGAATGATTTTACTCCAAATCTTTACCAAATGCCTGCTCTATGCCGGGCCATTGTAGGCACTGAGGACAGAGAGGTGAGTCAGCCAGAGCCCTAGCCTCTGGGGCTCCTGGTCTAGTTAGAGAACATACCACAAAACAAAATTAAATAACATCAGCTCTATGAGGAAACACAGGCAGTCTGCTACACAAAGTTAACTATCATTTATTGAGTATTTAGTATGTGCCAGGCATTATTCTAAACACTTTGGAATCACTGACTCCTCACCACAACAGAGATAAGGAAACCGAAGCCCAGAGAGGCTAAGTAACCTACCTGAGGTTATTTAAATGGTAAAATAATTGGCAGAGCCAGGATGTGAACCCAAGGAATTTGGCTCCTGAGTCCATGCTCTGAACATCCATGCTTTTTTTCCTCTCCCAAGATACTATATAGGACAGCTGGAAGAAAGAGTAGTTCATTATGATTAGATGATTGAGATGGGGGGTGGTATTTGAACTAGACCTTAAAAGACAAATAGGGAAAAGGAACAGCATAGCAAGGACCCAAAAGTAGGAAAAGGCAAAAAAAAAAAAAAATGTTCAAGAGAATGCAGCTGAAATGCAGGGCGCATAAGTGGATATAGTGGGAAAGAAGGCAGGCCAGCGTCAGACAGCCGCGGGGCCTTAGCTACTGGGTGGAGGAGGAGTATGAACTTTATCCTGTAGATCAGAGCTGCAAACTAGCCATATCTAGGCTGAGTATTTGGCTCCTGCAGTGTTTGGGGAGTTAATTTGTTTTTTACAATAAGTAATACGTTCAAATACATTTGAACAGGGCGCAAAATTCAAAAGGGTATTCAGTACAGAGTAAGTCCCCTTCCTCCAGCCACTGTTTCCCTGACCAGGGGCAAGCATTGTTAACAGTTGTTTTCACCAGAGTATTTTTAAAAAGTCAGAGCCAACATTTAAAAAAAAAAATCATGAAATTAAAACAAAAAATCTAGCAACCCAACTTGTCTTGAAAAATTATATCATCTGGCAACTCTGGCCTACTTTCCTGCATGGCAACAATTGGCTAGAGCAGAGTTCTGGCTGCCCCCTTTAGAGAAGATGCAAGTACTTCTTTTTGCCACAATTCCTATCACTCCCTGTTGCTTCCTGGCTACAAAGCAGAATTTTGTCATGCACGTGCTATAGGTTTTTTTAAATAGTAGAAAAATGTTTCTTTTTTTTTTTTTGAGACAGAGTCTCACTCTGTCGCCAGGCTGGAGTGCAGTGGCACGATCTCAGCTCACTGCAACCTCTGCCTCCTGGGTTCAAGCGATTCTCCTGCCTCAGCCTCCAGAGCAGCTGGGACTACGGGTGTGTGCCACCACGCCCAGCTAATTTTTGTATTTTTAGTAGAGATGGGGTTTCACCATGTTGGCCAGGATGGTCTCGATCTCTTGATCTTGTGATCTGCCCGCCTCGGCCTCCCAAAGTGCTGGGATTACAGGCATGAGCCACCGTGCCCGGCCAGTAATGTCATTTTATGTTAATGTCTCTATCAAAAGTGAGAAGACTGTGTGTTTCAGCCTTTAGCCTGTAGATAGCAGAGAACAGCTATAAACTATTGATCCTAAATTCAGGAGGGCATAATGAGCCCTGGGACAGAGGCAGAGGGATGTCTTAGCAGAAAAACTCTGAGTTTTTGAGGCCAAGATGAGACTTGTTGGGGGCAGCAGAGCTCTATGTGTTCAAGCCAAGGAAATGCTCCTGTAGTCATCACATAGCTACTCAGGGTATTAGGTCACCCCTTATGTAATCTGCAGTCATTCCCATTCTAACTCATAAAGGCTTCAGACTGAATAAACCTTATTCTCACAAATAGCCTTCCTCAGTTTTATCTTAGATGCTGAGGCCAGGGCAGTGGTACACACCTGCAGTCTCAGCTACTGGGGAGGCTGAGACAGGAGGATTGCTTGAGCCCAGGAATTTGAGGCTATAGTGCACTATGATGGCACCTATGAATAGCCACTGTATTCCAGTCTGGGCAACATAGTAAGACCCCACTCCAAAAAAAAAAAAAAAAGATGCTGAGAAGGGTAATTTAGAAATTATCTACCAAAATTTAAAATAGATTTACCTGAATTACTTGATATTTTTACTTTTAGAAATTTAGAATGTATGGACTTTCTCATATATGAAAATATCTAGAATGTATATTCTAGGATACCCATTGAAACATTAATGGTAATAGGAAAATAAAGAAACCACCTATATACTAGATTCAATAAATTATGGTATATCCTAAGAGTAGAATAATATACAGCAATTAAAAATAATGAAAATGCTCTATTTGAACATATAAGGAAATATTTAAAAAGCACAATGTAGTATAGTTTGCTATGGGGGTGAAAAAAAGAGAAAATATATGTGTATACATATATATCAATACAAAGATGACTGGAAGGATGTGTGAGACACTAGTCTGTCATTTGCCTCTGGGGAGGAGAACTGGGTGGCTGGGGCCCAGTCTTTTCCCCAGGAGACTGGAATGAGAGTGAGACATACTTCTCACTATATATTCTTATGTCTCTTTTGAATTTTGTATCATGTATTTGTATTACCTGTTAAAAAAATAATAATATTTTGGCTGGGCATGGTGGCTCATGCCTGTAATCCCAACACTTTGGGAGGCTGAGGCAGGCAGATCACTTGAGGCCAGGTGTTTGAGACCAGCCTGGACAACACAGTGAAACCCCATCTCTACTAAAAATACAAAAATTACCTGGGTGTGGTGGCACACACCTGTAGTCTCAGCTACTTGGGAGGCTGAGGCAGGAGAATTGCTTGAACCCAGGAGATGGAGGTTGCAGTGAGCCGAGATTGTACCACTGCACTCCAGCCTGGGCAACAGAGTGAGACTCTACCTCAAAAAAAAAAATAGTACTTTAAAAATAAATATCTAAATACCAAGTTCTAACACCGTAAACTTATACCACCATAATGACAAACTGATATTAACTCAAAGGTTAAACTCAGGAATGCTTTATAATACAAGTCACAAGATTTTCTTTTCATCTCTTACCCAAGTTCTAGTTCAGTTGTTGGCAGGGATCTCAGAATGCACTTTTCCCTTCTAGAATCAGTGTCCTTGATGGTATTTGGGTTTCTCGTCTATGATAAAGTCCAAAGAATGCGGAATGCAGCTGAACTCTAGGCCTGTTAACCTGAGTCACCATCACTAACATTGGTGGAAAAAACACTCCTGGCTTCTACTAAGGGAACCAGAGTTCACTTGTCCTACCCAGTAACCAAATCAAAATCAAAAGGCAAGGAAACTGGAGTGTGAGCTCCTGATGCATGGAAGGGCCTGGGCTTGAACATCAACCAGCAAGGAGCAGGCTTCCATGTATGTATGTGTGTGTTGTGTTTAGTAACCATCCTGGTTCAAATCCCAGCACCCCGTTACTAGCTGAATATAATTTTGGATCTGTTAACTGTTCTGGTTCAAATCCCAGCACCAGTTCCTAGCTGAATATAATTTTGGATCTGTTAACCTCTCTTTCTCAGGTCCCGTCTCTGTTAAGTGTGGATAATAATAGTATCTTCCTCACAGGGCTGAATGATGAATCTATGTAAAGTATTTAAAATAGTACCTTGCACATAGTAAGTGCTCAATAACTTGTGGGTTTCTTTTTGTTATTTGCATTTTGCTTTTTTGCTTCTCTCTCTTCAATACGTAGAGATAAACTATCACAGAATCTGGAAGCTCTCTGGGTTCCACTCTCCCCCTTCCACTCTCCCAAGGTAACCACTAATCTACAGTTGGTGTGTCCTCAGTAAATATAGGCCAGACTTTCCATGGGATTCCATTTGCAGGAAGACAACCCGTTCACAGGTGCCCTACCCCTGTCCCATTCTCTCTTCTTGATCACAGGTGGTGAGCTATGCCCCATTCACGCTCTTCCCCTCACTGGTCCCCAGTGCCCTGCTGGAGCAAGCCTATGCTGTGCAGATGGACTTCAACCTGCTAGTGGATGCTGTCAGCCAGAACGCTGCCTTCCTGGAGCAAACTCTTTCCAGGTAGGGGACAGTGAAGCATTGGGGGGCCAGGAGCTGCCAGAGCCAAGGAACTGGAAGATTGCAGAGCCGTGAGGTGTTACTGTGTCAGCTGACTTGGTGGGATAGAGGAAAGGTACCTCCAAAGAACAAAAAGTCATAGGAGTCAGGAAAGCTGGCTTCTAATCCTGGCTCGACCAGTTATTTATATGGCCTCAAGCCACTCCCTTTCCTTCTCTGGGCCTAAGGTTTCTTCATCTGAAAAATGAAGAGACTGGCTTAAATCCAAGATCCCTTTATTGTTGACATTCTGTAATCCGTGACACCCTACTTTGAAGACTGATATTTCCATTTGGAATTAGGGGAAGTCAGCCTGGTTTTGGAGGAAAACAGAGGTAGGGAAGGTTATTGGGTTAAAGTCAGATTTTCTACTTCTCCTAAGCAGCGACACTTTCTTGTCACCTCAGGCCTCTCATCTTTGGATGGGATGGGGTACAGACTGGGCCACACTCAGGGCATGAGGAAGCAACCTCTGAAATGGTTCAGCCCATCCGCCCTTCTCTGTCTCTTTCCCTTGATCTTTTTTTTTTTTTCTTCAGATTCTGGGGCAATTTCTTAAAATTTCTTTATTTATTTTAGAATTAAATATATATAGGCTGGGCGCGGTGGCTCAGGCCTGTAATCCCAGCACTTTGGGAGGCCGAGGTGGGTGGATCACTTAAGGTCAGGAGTTTGAGACCAGCCTGGCCAACATGGTGAAACCCCGTCTCTACTAAAAATATAAAAAAATTAGCTGGGTGTGGTGGCGGGTGCCTATAATCCCAGCTACTTGGGAGGCTGAGGCAGGAGAATCGCTTGAACCCAGGAGGCAGAGGCTGCAGTAAGCCAAGATCACGACACTGTACTCCAGCCTGGGCGACAGAGCGAGACTCCATCTCAAAAAAAAAGAAATAATAATACATATATATATGTATATATATTCATTGTAGAATTAAATATCTAGAAATATTATGTATTTACATATACATGCTAGATGTGTATATACTGTACAGGTTGAGCATCCCTAATCCAAAAATCCAAAAGCTGAAATGCTCCAAAATTCAAAACTTGTTGAACACCACATGACTCTACCAGTGGAAAACGCCACGCCTGATGTCATGTGACAGGTGCAGTCAAAACACAGTCAAAAGTTTGTTTCATGCACAAAATTAATTAAAATATTGTATAAAATAATCTTCAGGCTATGAGTATAAGGTGTATATGAAACAAATGAATTTTGTGTTTAGACTTGAGTCCCATCCCCAAGATGTCTCATTACGTATATGCAAATCTTCCAAAATCCGAAAGACTTCTGGTCCCAAGCATTTCGGATAAGGGATATCCAACCTGTAATTGCATGTCTTTGATTAATTTTTCAACAGAAATTAGACTTTTGTTGGAGACAAAATCTTTTAAAAATGTGTGGGTGAATATGAGAAGGGGTCATAATGGTAAGAAGCTTGGAAACCATTGACTTGTAGCCAAAAACCCAATGAGTCATGAATGTATGAATCTGCCCACCACCTTGCCCCTGAGCTGTTTCTTGGAATGGGCCCAGCTTTGTACCTGCAATCCTGGATTGTGGGAAACATGAGCAGCCTGGCTTATAACCCTAATGATGCAATTATGAAGGAGACTTGCAGCTCATCTTTGCAACCCCTGCCTTCTCTGTTCCTCTCTCCTCTCATACACATATAAACCCTAGTTCCTAAGGGAGAAGAGCCCCCTACAAAACATGAAGGGGAGCACCTCTTCAGAAAAAGGAAAGTGTGTCTCAACTTCCTTGGAGGCTGAAGCCCAGCTGGGACTCTCCTCCTAACCAAGGGCTGGCATGAGAGAGCTCACCCTTGGGAGAGAGCTGGCTGAGGAGCAGAGGAACTTCAGGGCAGGCCTGGGCTACTTGGCTTCCCCCCACTGGTCTGCTGTGACGTTTCTGTAACAAGGTGATTCAGGCTTGAGCAGGTGTGCAGAATCCACCCTGAATCTCAAAGGGCAGTAAGTGTGATGTTAATCACCTGTGGATTCCTTCTTACTGTGGCTCTTGTTGAGACTTCAGAAAACCATACTGGATAGGCCCCTAACACATGTCACATGTCATGGCAGTACACTGAGCTGTGACGATGAGCCTGCATAGACACAGCCATTACCTTCATGAGGTTTATAGTCAAACAGGAGAGATGACACTAATCATCACACAAAGAAAATGTAAAATTGCAACTGCAGTCAGTGCTGTAAAGGAGTGGTTCTTAGTTCTATGAGAACACATAGTAGGGGGATCTGACTCAGATAGGGAAGGCTTCCCTGAGGAAATCACATCATATGAGGACTAGTTGAAGAAGAAACAAACAAACAAAAAAAACCCAGGATATTTAGCTTGGGTCAGAAAAATCTTATTGGTGCACAGGGCATAACTGCTGTCTTCTAATCTCCAAGGGCTGCTGTGGAGGAGGAGGAGAAGGCTCACCCTGGGAGGTCGCAGAGGGTAGGAAAAGCTATGGAGAGTTAGTATTAGGTCAACCAGAAGGCTTGCCAACCATCAGAGCTATTCAAGTAGAATAGATACATCATGTCATTTTCTAGCTCTTCTTCGGTGCAGTATGTTCAATTCTTTGAATGTAATATCTTATTGGCTTTTTACCACAACTCTATGATATAAATATAATTATATTCTCCATTTTAAAGATCAGCAAACTGAGACACAGAGAGGTGAAATGATTCCCTGAGGTTGCCTACTAGTGAGTGGTAGAGCTAGGATTTGAACCCAGGTCTAGAGTTGGATTCTTAGCCACTGTTCTCTACCACATTGGGGCGGACATTCAAGTTTTGGCCAGTAGACTCAGAGAGGATTCAGGAGTCAATGACTGAGGATGGGACTCCTTGAAATTTTAGGTCCAATTAAGCCTGCAAAATGTTCTCTGTTTCTTCCTCCAGCACCATCAAACAGGATGACTTTACCGCTCGTCTCTTTGACATCCACAAGCAAGTCCTAAAAGAGGGCATTGCCCAGGTAACCATTCCCAGCCCTACTCCAGTCTGTAACCTGTCCCTCCCATCTCTGTTTGTTTTCTGTTTTGCTTGAAGAATTTGGTCCAGGCCCTCAGCTCATGGGAATCTGCCTCTCACTGGTCCTCACTGGGTTTATCCCAGTGACCAATTCTAGGATGACCAGAAGAATGATTCCACTGGGCTTGGGAGTGTTTGCTGGTACCTCTAATCTCTGTGTAGAGTTCATGGTACCTGTGTGCTCTGTGGCTAGGTCCTCAGAGTCAGTCCCTGGGCAGGTACTGTCAGCCTTCAGTTTTCCCCACAGACTGTGTTCCTGGGCCTGAATCGCTCAGACTACATGTTCCAGCGCAGCGCAGATGGCTCCCCAGCCCTGAAACAGATCGAAATCAACACCATCTCTGCCAGCTTTGGGGGCCTGGCCTCCCGGACCCCAGCTGTGCACCGGTGGGTCCCCTGGGCAGCCCCCGGCATACCTGTGGGGTGACATGCTGATGGGTGTACAGTCACTGGCTAGGCCAGGGAACTCCAGCTATGATTGTGCTTTCCTGGGCCCCGGGTCACATGTTGCCCCTGGCCACCCCGACAGCAGTTTCCACTTGTAATGAGATCCTTGGTATGTCAGGGAGAAAAAGGACCTCATAGCTCATCTAGTCCTGTCCCTCCATTGTACAGGCAGAGGGAACAATATCTTGAGAGCCCCAGAGAGAGGAATGCAGGGACTTCTGTCTGGGGGCTGGGCCTGGTAGCATCCATTTCTAGCCAGCAGTGATGCTCCAGGTTGCAATGATTTTAGATGGTCTGCAGCAGGATTCCAGACAGCACCTGGAGGCCCAGAGTAAGGGGCTCCAGCTCACTGGGACACTAGGGTAGGTTGGGGTGGGGACAGAGGCTCTCAGGTCTCCTCCAGGCATATACACCAGGGGCCAAGGTTAGGGCAGCCCAGCATATTCCAACCTGAAGTGGATCTTACAGGAATGTGATGGGAGGATGCTTTTTAGTGCTCAGCTGATTCTCAGAGTCATGTTGCTGTATATATGAGGTCATGGGCAGAGGGGTCTTCCAGGTCCATCCAATTACTGAACAGCCATCTCTCTTCCAACAGACATGTTCTCAGTGTCCTGAGTAAGACCAAAGAAGCTGGCAAGATCCTCTCTAATAATCCCAGCAAGGGACTGGCCCTGGGAATTGCCAAAGCCTGGGAGCTCTACGGCTCACCCAAGTAAGGGTGTGAAAAGGTAGCAGGAGGATCCTGCTTTAGTTTCAGCATTCATGGGTTTAGCAACTTCTTTTCTTGCCAGCCATCATTAGAGAATAAGGGGATTTTTCTAGGAATAGAAACTTATACCTTTACATGCCAAAATTATTTTAAGGTTTCCTTCTTAAATAACAGATGCTGACTATGATTTAACTTTTTCTTATTGAGTGGAGGTCATCATTATGACTGTCAACAATTGCAGCTTGCTGTAATACAGTAGTGCTACCTAGGGTTAGAGAGGCACGCAAGGCTGTTTGCCTGCGCTAATAGCTCTGACTGCTAGGCTTTAAGTTCTTAGTCATTTCCTTTTTTTTTTTTTTTTGAGACAGAGTCTCACTCTCTCACCCAGGCTGGAGTGCAGTGGTACAATCTTGGCTTACTTCAACCTCCACCTCCCGGGTTCAAGCAATTCTTCTGCCTCAGCCTCCTGAGTAGCTGGGATTTCAGGCGCATGCTGCCACACCTGGCTAATTTTTGTATTTTTAGTAGAGACGGGGTTTCACCATGTTGGTCATGCTGGTCTCGAACTCCTGACCTCGTGATCCGCCCACCTTGGCCTCCCAAAGTGCTGGGATTACAGGCATGAGCCACTGCACCCGGCCTCTCATTCATTTTCTTCATAGTTTTCTTGTCTGTTTCCCAATTCTCAGCTCTTACTTTTGACTGCTGTTGGTATGCTTGAATTTGGAATCCTCCACCCCCCATGCCCATGCCTCCCTTCTGATTTGCTGTGGTTTGGGAAAACAAATGATCCAGATTGTTATGATTGGGTCTGAAGAGTGTGAGGGCCTCTTGGATGAGTAAATGCATAAGCTTTGACTACGAAATTTTATGGTATCCTTTTTAACTGCTTAGAGGCATTTTTTGCTTTCTTCCTATTTCTCAAGTGAAGATGTTAGGTAAGTGATTTTCAGATCATCGAGGGGCCGCTATACTAACAGTTATTGCAATGTTAATATAGCATTAATAGTCCTTAATGTACACTTACTAGTGCTACACCTTGTGCTAAGCTCTGTACATACAGGATCTCATTGAATTCTCATAATAAGCTCTCTGAGGTCAATACTGTTCAACTCCCTCATTTTACAGATGAGGAAACTGAGGTTCTGAGAAACGAAGTGAATTGTTAAGGCTAAGTGATGAGTTGGTGGCAGATCCCAAAGTCTACCTCCCTCTAAAACCTCCACTCTTAATCATGCTCTTACCTCCAAGGGAGCCTCTCTGTCCTTGCTAAGCCTCACTAAGCCCAAAGAAACCTCAGACTGTAAGCATTTAGAAGTCATCAGACAAATATTCTTTCAAGTATATTGGCTAGGTTGTATTTTAAGAGAGTGAAGCCAGGGGATGGGTCAGCTGGGGAACTGCTGACAGACAAATGCTGCAGAGGGTTTTGCCTGCCAGCCTGTCAGTAACGTGGACAGAAAATACTTGTGTGTCCAAAATTAGGCACTGGTAGGTAGGAGTTATGTGGCACCTGAGCCAGAACTGGCTTCCCCCATTGTGAGAGTGAGATAGGTTCTTCTGCTGACATAGCACATGACCTTGGCAAGTTAGTTCTTCTCTGAGCTTCAGTTTCCTCATTTGTAAAATAGGAGTAATAATAATACCTAAAGGGGTGTTAGTGAGAATTAAATGAGATCATGGATCTGAAAAATGTTTTTAAAAATCTGTGTGGATCATTATGTGGTACTTTCAATAATAATAATAGGCCGGGTGCAGTGGCTCACACCTCTAATCCCAGCACTTTGGGAGACCGAGGCGGGTGGATCATCAGAGGTCAGGAGTTCAAGGCCAGCCTGGCCAACATGGTGAAACCTTGTCTCTACTAAAAAATACAAAAATTAGCCAGGCATGGTGGCAGGCACCTGTAGTCCCAGCTACTTGGGATGCTGAGGCAGGAGAATCACTTGAACCCGGGAGGTGGAAGTTGCAGTGGCCAAGATCACCCCACTGCACTCCAGCCTGGGCGACAGAGCGAGACTCCATCTCAAAAAAAAAAAAAACAAAAAACAAACCCAAATAATAATAATAATAGCTATCATTTGACAAGTATTAGTTTTAATTCATACAACAGCAAACTGAGGCTAAGAGAGTTTGAATAACTTGCCCAAAGTTACACAACCGGTAAGTATAGAATTCATCTGCCTCTAAAGCCTATGTTCTCTCTACTTCCCTATTCTGCCTTTAAGAGATATGGTTCCACAGTATTGACTGAAAAACTGCATTGGTAGAGCAGATTAATTTTCGTCAATTATCTCATGATTTTTAAAATTTCTTAAAAATGGAAGCCTGCAAAATGACTTACAATTTCAATTTAGACAAACTCTCAAAGCATAGGGCCTGTGGTTAGAATGAGTAGAATAAGAAAAGGGGACTACTGGTGATAAAAGTTTGGGAACTGTGATCTTTTTAACACCAATTTTTTTCTTTTTTTTTGAGACAGAGTTTCGTTTTTGTTGCCCAGGCTGGAGTGCAATGGCACGATCTCGGCTCACTACATCCTCCACCTTCCAGGTTCAAGGGATTTTCCTGCCTTAGCCTCCCAAGTAACTGGGATTACAGGTGCCCACCACCACGCCTGGCTAATTTTGTATTTTTAGTAGAAACGGGGTTTCTCCATGTTGGTCAGGCTGGTCTCAAACTCCCGACCTCAGGCAATCCGCCCGCCTCGGCCTCTTAAAGTGCTGGGACTATAGGCGTGAGCTACCATGCCCAGCCATAACACTCTTATTTTATAGATGGGAAAACCAGGGCCCAAGGAACGAAATTGCCTTACCCAAGTCAATTACCAAGACACACTACAAGTCACTGGCAGAGCCTGGACTACCTACGACTCAGGGGTCCTCACCCCCAGCCCGCATGCGTCCTTAGCTGACAACTTTCCTACTAGGAAACAGACTGCTGAGAACTGCTCAGAACTGAAGGCAGGAGAGGTCAAATATGTTTTCTGAGCCCAGCTCTGATTGTTTAGCAGTTGGCAGGCTGACTTAATTAGCTGGGGCGTGCAGTTCCTCTTTAACCTCCAGCTGCCAGCCTTCCTCCTCCGCCTCTTTTTGGAGGTGGGCCAGCCTGGGCCAACTGCCTCCCTCCCACACACACCCTCACCCATGAGCGGGACAGTTTAGGCTGCAAAGTGAAGAGCAAAGCCATTGGCCCTTAGGACTCTCTCAGGGCAAGATGACTTGTGAGAGCACCACTTTTAGTTTGTCTCTCAGGCACCCAACTCAAAGCCAAGACTCAGCTTAACATCACATCTGACCTCATGAGATTTCAGGCAAACCAGGAGAGGGGACTTACTAAGACCTATATTTTGGCTAAGCAGAAAGGAGTCAGGCAAACAGAGTTTAGACTAAGAGGTTCAGCCAAGGTCAGGAGAAGCAGAGATAGACAAGAGAGGCTAAGCAGAGGAGGTCAGGGAATACACACTTAGAATCCTAAGCCAAAGCCTAGGGTTCCATGGGTCTCAGGAAGAAGCCACAGACACAAAGCAGTACAGTCACAGCAAAAATGGAGTTTGGAGGCTGAGCGCAGTGGCTCACACCTGTAATGCTAACACTTTGGGAGGCCGAGGCGGGCAGATCACCTGAGGTCAGGAGTTCGAGCCCAGCCTGGCCAACATGGTGAAACCCCATCTCTACTCAAACTACAAAAATTAGCCGGCGGGGGTGGTGCACACCTGAAATCCCAGCTACCCGGGAGGCTGAAGCAGGAGAATCGCTGGAACCCAGGGGGTGGAGGTTGCAGTGAGCCTAGATTGTGCCACTGCACTCCAGCCTGGGCAACAGGGGGAGACTCCGTCTCAAAAAAATAAATAAAATAAAATGTAAAAGAAAAAAAATGCAGTTTGGTACTGCTGAGCATTAGCCCTAGGAATCTCTTAGGGGACTGGACCTATCTTTGACAACGGAAATATGTTAGCTGGCAGCCAAACAGATAGTTCCCTGGCATAAGCTTTTCCCTGAGCCCTCAAGCCCCTGCCTCTTTAAGAAATACATGAATAATCAGAGAGGAAGAAGCCACATAAGCCCTAGTGATCTCATTAATACTATGAGATCAAATGTGGCCCTGTGTACATTATAGGAATCTTGGGAGGGCCCAGGAGATAATGTCGTTGTTTGTAGTTGGCCCTGTGGGTTTCTGTAGGGTTCCATCTTGTGTAAGAACCACATTCCTTTATTGTATCCTTTACAATCTAGTAATAGAGCCATTAGCCCCGGACCCCCTGCATTGTTCTTTTACAAAATGTTCCTCAATACTCCCACTTGTTTATTCTTCCAGAAAGATTTTAGAATTATGTTAAGTTCTAAGAAAAAGTCCTCTTGGGTTTTTGAGATGGTTTTAAATCTAAATTTTAATTTGCACAGAAATTCATCAACCCATGACATCATTACAATATTTCATCTGCCCACTGGAGAAGGGTCAGAGGCATCTTCATTTTTGAAGTTTTCTATTTTCAGGAAATCATATGTGATAGCATCAGGTGTCTATGCCTGAGGTAATCTCAAGGTTCCTGAGAGAGGGAACATCTGTTCTTTCAGGGAAGCGGTGTTCTTATTCTTATTCCAGGAGGTGGGGCGGTATGGGGGTTGAGGGGAGAAACAAAAGAAGAACAAGTTCTATAGTAGCCTCGGGCCACCTGTGCTCTTTCCCCAGTGCTCTGGTGCTACTGATTGCTCAAGAGAAGGAAAGAAACATATTTGACCAGCGTGCCATAGAGAATGAGCTACTGGCCAGGTAAGTAAAGGAAGGGGGACTTCTAGGTGTGGCTCCAGGATTAGGGGTGGGGCACTCAGAACATAGCATCCATTCCCTCTGGCTCTTGCCCATTTTTCCCAGGAACATCCATGTGATCCGACGAACATTTGAAGATATCTCTGAAAAGGGGTCTCTGGACCAAGACCGAAGGCTGTTTGTGTAAGCATTCCCAAGAATCCAGTGGAAGGCTGGTTTATGAAACTCATCCTGCCACCCTCTTCCCCAAAATGATTCTTTCTTCTGGGAGATGTGATGGCTTGCTTCCTTCTCTCATAATTCCTGAAATATCTCATCCTCCCAGGAAATTTTGGAGAAAGCCAGCCACGCTGTGCTTCTATCAGAGCTGTTGACATTCTGGATCAGGGTCTCCTTAGAGATCATCTTAGTTTTCATATGCCCTAAGTTCCCAAAAGTTTTCTTGCCTCTCCTAGTAAGGTGAGGTCAGGCCTGAGAAGCTGAGCTGGGCAGTCAGGGAGGAAGAGGAGCAGCTGGCTCATGCTGTGATTGGTCTGGATGCCACTGTCTGAGCTCGAGCCTGGATTTGTGTTCCAAGCCAAGCCTTATCCTTTTCTCTAGGGGCCACCACCAGGTAGATTTGGTGCTACATATTTGGGTAGCATTGCAGCACATATATTTAGACCTAGACCTTTGTGATTGTTAAAATTAAAACTGTCCATGGAATTTCACAATACCACTCACTGTTTTTCAAAATGTGCTTTTATCATAACTAAACAAAGTAGTTAATTTACTTTTCAGATAAACTAGACAATATCAAATAGGTCAAAGAAAAGGAAAAGACATTTAAAAAGCCTGTGTCTTAATCAGACTCATCATTTTACATGTTTGCGTTTTCACCTTCACCCCTGCCATTAAAAATTTTTTCATTCTGGTTTCAGCTGCTTTAAGCAGTGGAAATATAAAGTGTGTTTTACTACACATGGCAGTATGATTCTGCTGCTCGGTAATTTCGAGCCAACATTTGTATGCATTTACCAAATTTGATTCTAGTGACCTTCTTGTTCCTTCTGGCCTTCTTAGAATGACTCTAAATCTGGCATATTCTAAAGTATTCTGTATGGCACACCTCCCTGTTTTCAGTGGAAGCCCTGGTAGTGTGGATATCTACTTTCACTGGTTCCAGTGAACCCCTGACCAGGCTCCCACTGTGGGCTGAATTTTGAAAAAGCCAAATTCATCTTGATGCACCCTGAAATAGATTGAACCACTGAACAAATCAGTTATAATTTAACACAGCAGCCTTCTCCATCCTGTGTTCCAGGGATGGCCAGGAAATTGCTGTGGTTTACTTCCGGGATGGCTACATGCCTCGTCAGTACAGTCTACAGGTTGGTATTTTCTGTGAGACCATTCTTTGCCTCCTGGGACCCACAAGAGCTCCACAGAGACCCAATTCAGGCTTATAACAACCTGGGTTTTCCGAGTCCTCACTTCACTTCTTTCTCAGGGAGCTTGCTGCTAGAACCTCCTATCCTCCCTCAAGCCTTTTGCTACCTA
Source organism: Homo sapiens (assembly GCF_000001405.40). Classification (NCBI taxonomy): domain Eukaryota; kingdom Metazoa; phylum Chordata; class Mammalia; order Primates; family Hominidae; genus Homo; species Homo sapiens. The sequence goes on along the minus strand of NC_000020.11, from coordinate 34,935,406 downwards.
TCACTCTACACAGTCTTCTAGAATTTGAATCCTCAGGAATCCACAGAGCTTCAGCCATTTACACTGTTTCCAGAGATGTGCTGGCAAATGTTTAACAACAATCAGCTCTCACTGGTTGATATAAGCCAGTTCCAGCATACTGCTGACCATTTTTTTTCCTGCCAACTCTTACCTTTCCTTTATCTGAATCAGAAAGTTTTATCATCTCCTCATTCATGTTAATGACAGTTATATCACCTCATTTTGCTATCCTACCATGTAGTTTCATTAGTTTCCACATCCATTATTTCATTTAACCCTCACAACCACTCGGTGAGGCATATAATTATCCCCATTATACAGATGGAGAAACTAACGTTTAGAGAGATGGAGAGGCTTCTCTAAGGCCCTACAGGAAGTTCCCAGGTTTTCTGACTTTCAGGCCGATGGTATTCCCATTCTTCTCCTCTGCTCCTAACATCCACATCATGGAGAGGCTAAGAAGCTCTGCTCTCAGCTGGGAGATGATAAAGGAGGAAATAAGTTTAGAAATACCATGGGCAGTGAGCTGGAGGTCATGAGCTTGACTGCCTCTGTGTGATGATGGGCAAGTTCCTGACCCTTTCTAGGTCTGTTTCTATGAGCGGGGGGAGCTACACTAGAAAACTGAGGGGGCTCCTTCTAGGTCTGTAATTCATCTAGGACTCCCCCCGAGGGTTGAGCTCCACATGAGGAGGCTCTATAGAGGTGGTATCTCGATAGAACATCCTTTTCTTTAGATAGGTGGTTAGCAGTGGTGGCAACTTGCTGACTACAGGAGAGATAAACTGTCTATTAGAAAAATAGGTCTAGGCCGGGCACGGTGGTTCACGCCTATAATCCCAGCACTTTGGGAGGCCAAGGCAGGTGGATTACCTGAGGTCAGGAGTTCAAGACCAGCCTGGCCAACATGGTGAAACCCCGTCTCTACTAAAAATACAAAAATTAGCCGGGCGTGGTGGCATACCCCTGTAATCCCAGCTACTCAGGACGCTGAGGCAGGAGAATTGCTTGAGCCCGGGAGGCAGAGGTTGCAGTAAGTTGAGATCATGCCACTGCACTCCAGCCTGGCTGACAGAGCGAGACTCTGTCTCAAAAAAAAAAAAAAGAAATGGGTCTAGATTTCAAAACACGACAAAGAAAACTTAGAAGAGTTTGAGATAACAAGGAAGGAAAGTAGTGTTTAAAGAGGTAGACTTTTTTTTTTTTTTGAGACAGAGTTTTGCTCTTGTTGACCAGGCTGGAGTACAGTGGTGCGATCTCGGCTCACTGCAACCTTTGACTTCCAGTTTCAAGCGATTCTCCTGCCTCGGCCTCCTGAGTAGCTGGGATTACAGGCACCCACCACCACACCCAGCTAATTTTTGTATTTTTAATAGAGACAGGGTTTCACCATGTTGGCCAGGCTGGTCTCGAACTCCTGACCTTACGATCCACCCACCTTGGCCTCCCAAAGTGCTGGGATTACAGGTGTTAGCCACCACACCTGGCCAAGAGGTAGACATTTTTAGGGAACTGAGCAGCTCAGAGCAGGTTTAGACATGGAGAGAGATCTAGAAGGCTTAGTGACTTACTAGATGACCCTGGGCAAGTCCTTGCTTATCTTTGGTTTTGCTTTCCTGCTTCTACCATAATGGGGTATTTCTCTGGGTTTATTTCTGATGTTCTGGTCACGTGTGATTCTGCGTGGAATGCCAGACTAGTAGTTGGGTTCCTGGGGTTATTGATGAAGATCAGGTCAAGGTGCTACAGGTGGACCAGTAGTATCAAAGGAAGGACAGCATTGGGTGGGGGTCACAGGAGAGACCTGATCCTGCTGTGTGCAGTTTGCAGTGGTCTGGAGCCAAGGACAGACTGTCTCCCCATTGCATGAGAATGGGAACCAGAGTTGGGAGGCATGATCCCCTGCTGTTTCCTTGCCTTTTATACCCTCAGCTCTTGTGGTAATAAACCATTCATCCTGTGATCATCCACTTGAGACCTGTGTTCATATTATTCTCTTAGCCTGAGTATCCCTTCCCTATTGAGTCTCACTTGTCAGGCTCTACCTGTCCTTCAGAACCCCACTCAAATTTCAACTTATTCAGCAACAACAACAAATATTTATTGAGCAACTACAAAGTGCCAGGAACTGTGTTAGACACTGGAGATACAACAGAAAATGAGGAAAATGATAAGAGCCCTGTGCTATGGAGCTCACAGTCTGGTCAGAGAAATGGGCATCAGAAAGTAAACAAAAATATGGCCATTTACTGTGGCTCGTACCTGTAATCCCAGCACTTTGGGAGGCCTAGGTAGGTGGATTGCATGAGCTCAGGAGTTCAAGACCAGCCTGGGCAACATGGCAAAACCCCATCTCTACAAATAATACAAAAATTAGCTGGGTGTGGTGGCGTGCACCTGTAGTCCCAGCTACTTGGGAGGCTGAGGAGGGAGGATCACTTGAGCCCAGGAGGTAGAAGTTGCAGTGAGCCAAGATTGCGCTGTTGCACTCCAGTCTGGGTGACAGAGCAAGACCCACGTCTCAAAAGAAAAAAAAAGTAAACAAAAATAGGAAAAAAAAATTGGGATTTGTGTGTGTATGTTTGTGTGCGTGTGCGTGTATGTGTGCATGTGTGTGTTTTAGTCTCAGGTAACTGCTTTCAATGAAACAACTGGGTAAAAAGAGAATTATGGGAAATCCACATTAAATAGAGTGGACAGGGAAGCCTTCTCTGAAAAGGTGACATTGAGCTGAGATGTAAGGATGGTAAGGATCCAGCTATGCATGGGAAAAGCCGAAAGGAAGGGGGTTTCAGGTTGAGGGAAAAGCAGTGCAGGCCCTGAGGAGGGAAAGAGCTTTGTGATTTGAGGAATGACAGGCCTGTGTGAGTAGAATGGCAGAGACTAGGAGTCAGGGATGGTACAAGGTTGAAAAAGTAGACAGGAGCCAGCTCCTGAAGGATCTTGAAGGCCATGGTAGGGAGTATGGAACACAGTGGGAAGCTGAGCACGTAGACAAATGTTCTACCCTTACACCTTCTATTGTTTCCCACAGATTGGGGGATTCTTGCCTTTGCAGGGGCTCACAGTCTGGCACAATGATACATAACTACAACATATCACACCTGGCTCACAAGGATGTTAGAATGATCCTGGGTGATAATGAGGGTGAAGATACAAATCATGATACCTGGCACCTAATGGATGGATGTTCAGTAAACGTCAGCTGAAGTAAAATAAAGTCGAATTCCTTTTGTCTTCTTCCCTCTGCAGAATTGGGAAGCACGTCTACTGCTGGAGAGGTCACATGCTGCCAAGTGCCCAGACATTGCCACCCAGCTGGCTGGGACTAAGAAGGTGCAGCAGGAGCTAAGCAGGCCGGGCATGCTGGAGATGTTGCTCCCTGGCCAGCCTGAGGCTGTGGCCCGCCTCCGCGCCACCTTTGCTGGCCTCTACTCACTGGATGTGGTACGTGGGCAGCCTGTTTCTCCTACCACAGGCCTCCTAGGTGGCAGAGACCTACAGCCCAATGTGTTGGGGAGGGTGGAGCTGGCATTGTGACAAGGGGAAGGTGGAGCTGGCAAGGTTGGTGATGCTCTGGAGAACCCCTAGAACTCTGAGCAGAAGGGCAGCCTCATAATGGAAGGATGGGGGCTGGAATCCATTGTAAGCTCCCTCAGCAAAGGTAGAGATGAGGATGGCAACCAGAGGGAAGGGACTAAGGCAGGTGGCAAGAATTGAGAAGTGTATCAGGCTGCCTGCTGCAGAGCCCTGAGCTGTTGCTAAAGAAAGGCCTGTTCTCATTGCATCGGCTGCTGCAGGGGGTTTGTTGGGAGTGTCATCCAGATAGTAGCATCCTGCCTGAAGGAATTTGTGGCTGTTCTCCCTCCTGCTCTTCCTCTGATGCTGCTCTGCATAACCAGCTGGACCTAAGCTTCTTGCCTCTTTAGCCTTTAAACTTTTGATAACTGCTTTCTGCCTCCTGCCAGGGTGAAGAAGGGGACCAGGCCATCGCCGAGGCCCTTGCTGCCCCTAGCCGGTTTGTGCTAAAGCCCCAGAGAGAGGGTGGAGGTAGGTGGATCTCCCTTTGCAGGGCTCCTCAATGAGAGGGACTAGCAGGCTGTGGCCAGTGCTCATTGGCACTTACTCTGGGCACAGTCCCGGGCATGGGGGAAACTATTGGAACTGACACAGGCCACATGTTGGACAGTGTCCCCTAAGACCCTGTGACCAAGTCCGGGAGCACAGGGGAATCTGATTAACCAGCATTGAAGGGTTTGGACAAGTTTTACCTGAGGTGCCTGTGGGTAGATTGTTGGGAAGTAGAGTAGGGTCATATTAGGAGACTGGAGAGAATACATGTCTGTTTTCCTTTCTAGTTTGAAACTCCTTGAGGTCAGGGGTCATGTCTGCCTCTCCAGAGGAGAGGATTTTTTTAATCTTTGTCTTAAGAGGTGGGTAGGAATTTCCCAGGTGGAAAGGAGGAAGAGTGTTCCATACAAAAGGGACAACCTCAAGCCAAGGCACCGGGCCATGAAAGTGTGAGATGTTTGGAGGTTAATGAGAAACTGGTGAGGCTGGAGGGGGAGCTGGGAGGGGACAGGGATTTAGGCTGGAAAAATGGTTTGCATCCTGATTATAAAGGGCCTTGAATATATACTGAGAAATTGGATTTTATCTTAAGGGCAGTGGGAAGCCATTAGGGAGTTTTAAGCCAGGAAGGGACACATTGATCCAGGACTCAAGTGGTTAGCAGTGGTGGGAACTTGCAAAACTTACAGTTTCTGCATTGTAGAAGATGTCCTGGAATGAGGGGAGACACTGGAAGCAGAAAGACCGTGGAAGAGGCTGATACAGTTGTTCAGAAGAGCAACGTAGAGGCCTGGGCTAGGGCTATGACTATGGGGCCAACTGGAGAGACATGTCCTAGATAGTGAGAGGGTAGTGGAAGGGAGGAGTTAAATATGACTCAGGGGTACCTTTTGCCTGATTGGGAGTAGGAAGGTCCAGGAGGGGCAGGTTCAGGCAGAAGTAATAAGTTCTGCTTGGACAAGTTGAGTTTGTTTGGGGGCCAGTCATATGATGTCTAAGCAGGGAGCCTGCATTAAATATTTGGAAGTTAACAATTTTTTTTTTTTTTTTGAGACGGATTCTCGCTCTGTCACCAGGCTGGAGTGCAGTGGCATGATCTTGGCTCACTGCAACCACTGCCTCCCAGGTTCAAGCGATTCTCCTGCCTCAGCCTCCTGAGTAGCTGGGACTACAGGTGTGCGCCACCACACCCAGCTAATTTTTGTATTTTTAGTAGAGATGGGGTTTCATCATATTGGCCAGGATGGTCTCAATCTCTTGACCTCATGATCTGCCTGCCTCGGCCTCCCAAAGTGCTGGGATTACAGGCGTGAGCCACCATGCCCGGCCGGAAGTTAACAATTTTTAGGGTATAGATGGAGACTCAGGAATAGGAGAGATCTCCTTGGGAAAATGTACATGGGGGAGAGAGCAAGCGTGGAGGACCAATTCCCCTGGGACCCCAGCATTTAAGAGAAGGAGCCAGCAATGGAGCTTGAGAAGGAACAGCTGTAGGTAGGAGGAGAACCAGGGCAGAACAGTGTAGTGGAAGATGTGTTCACTGCATGAGTAAGGGCTCTCCTGTCAAAGTGAGCTTCCCTCCTGAGAAGCCAGATATGCCCTGGCTTCACTGAGCGGGTGCCAGGAACTGAGGCTGCTGACTTGCCCATGTGGCCCCAAAAGTGAGGGCATGGGATGGAGGAGGTAGGCAGAGGGTCCAGGGTGACTGGCCAGTTTCATTGCAGGTAACAACCTATATGGGGAGGAAATGGTACAGGCCCTGAAACAGCTGAAGGACAGTGAGGAGAGGGCCTCCTACATCCTCATGGAGAAGATCGAACCTGAGCCTTTTGAGAATTGCCTGCTACGGCCTGGCAGCCCTGCCCGAGTGGTCCAGTGCATTTCAGAGCTGGGCATCTTTGGGGTCTATGTCAGGTGAGCCAATCAGGAGAAGCTCTTTCCACTACCTGCTTGCAAGAGTGCCAGCCAAGTGAGCCAGCCTAGAGGGGAACACTGGAAAGAGTCAGGAATCCTGGGCTTCGGTGCCAGCTCTGCCAATCACTAGCTTTATTACCTGTTTCTTTATCTATTAAATGAGGCCAAGGACCCAAGACCTGCCCACCTTACCAGGGTATCAGATGAAGCCCTGATGAGAAGTCCTTTGCAACCGTGAAGGAAACTCCAAATAGCACCAAGAGGACTCAGAACACATGGTTTGACAACCTAGGACTAGAAGGAGACTCCAGAGAGGCATAGAGACTCTAAAATCCTAGCACTTTCTTGGTATAGACAGTTACCCAGGTACTGCTCAGCTGGGTCCAGGGAAGGTCCTGGGTTTGGGGCTGAGTCCAGGTGATGTGTGTCCCCTGCCTCCATTTCTATAGGCAGGAAAAGACACTCGTGATGAACAAGCACGTGGGGCATCTACTTCGAACCAAAGCCATCGAGCATGCAGATGGTGGTGTGGCAGCGGGAGTGGCAGTCCTGGACAACCCATACCCTGTGTGAGGGCACAACCAGGCCACGGGACCTTCTATCCTCTGTATTTGTCATTCCTCTCCTAGCCCTCCTGAGGGGTATCCTCCTAAAGACCTCCAAAGTTTTTATGGAAGGGTAAATACTGGTACCTTCCCCCAGCTTTCCATCTGAGGACCAGAAAAGTTGTGTCTCCCTTAGATGAGATCTAGACGCCCCCAAATCCTTGAGATGTGGGTATAGCTCAGGGTAAGCTGCTCTGAGGTAAAGGTCCATGAACCCTGCCCCACTCCTGTCAGCCCCTCATCAGCCTTTTCAGCAGGTTCCAGTGCCTGACTTGGGATAGGACTGAGTGGTAGGAGGAGGGGGAGTGGAGGGGCATAGCCTTTCCCTAATTCTGCCTTAAATAAAACTGCATTGCTGATTCAGTGATGATTCCTTACTTCGTGCATAGAGGGGAGGCGGGAGCTGTAATCTACGTTAGCCCACTTAAGATGTATTAGAGCAGGGAAGTGACTGGTCTGTAATCAGGGTCCCCCTAGACCAGTCTCTACAGGTGGAACCCTGAAGTTTCAATCCTTAGCCACCCACTAATGCTCTTACTGGATCACAGGGAGGAATGAGAGTCCCTGGCAGGAGCCCAGGAGGGAAGGCAACCAAGATGGGACATACATAACAGTTGTGAACTGGCTTCAGTCACTTTCCTGCTTAGCTCAGGGGCTTGTCAAAGGCCCTGTCAGTGAAGCCTCCTTCGCTCTGCCCAAACCAAAAGTTCTAGAAGGAAGATATTGGGGATAGTCCTAGGAAATACCCCTCCCTTCCCATCTGCCACACAAATCAGAGCCACTAATGAATATACAGCCTCAGGGCACAGATACCTAAGAAAACAAGTCACCACTTCTTGAGATCACAGGCTTTATTCCTACAACCACAGGGCTTGAGCCTGACTGGGGCAAGAAAACAGAGTTTCATCTGAGAATGTCTCTTATGGGCTGGGTTCTGTTCAGGGGAGGGTGGGAACAGAGGACAAGGAAGACAAGCTCCTCTGGCCCTAGGAACAAAACACATTTACTCCTTCAAAGAAGCAGATGATCTGAATACCCTCTGGAGACTGAATCTGCCCATACAGCCCCTGGAGCCAATGGGCAGACAGTACTGGCATCTGGCACAAAAGGGAATTCAGACCCAGAACAGAAGCAGCAAAATATTTTAAAAATAGTAAATTGTTCCTGGACTCACAAATCATTGTTTTTAAGGGCAAGTGCATGCCCAATATAAGTACTGGGGCTTCCTAAGAGAGCTGACATAGGATTACACAGCTGCCTCCCTGCTTCAGTGGAGGCCCTCACATCCCCTTTGAACACTTAACTTGGGTAGGAGAGGTAGCCTTTTCGTCTCTGTTCTGGGTTCTGAGAGCTCTGCAGTCTGGAGGCACAGCAGACTGAGGCTGACCTGGGCCCTGTCCTTTCTGCCTGGCAGTCACAGGATGTTGTCTCTACCTGGAGACAAAGCTGGTTTCCGGTCCCAGACAGCTGGTCAAGGGAGGGTAGTGTGGGTCAACACTGGCCCTCAGCACTCCTGAGGGGGCAAAGAGGATGGGCAAAGTTTGGAGCAGGAGGAATCCTAGGTAAAGGTCAGGATCATGTTCACTGGATGGTCAGGCAGCGGTGGCTGAAGAGGTGACTGATGACAGATGGGTCAGCCACAGTAGACATGTCCCCGAGGTCATGGTCATTCTGAGCAATCTTCCGAAGCACTCGCCTCATGATTTTCCCTGGGGAACCACAGACCTCTAGTTACTTGGTGAAAGCACTGACCCACCCTAGCCCTGCCAAAGGCTTTCATCCACGCACACCCCACCACCACCAGGCCTCAGCCCATCCCAATCCATGGAGGCCTCTGAACATACCTGAGCGGGTTTTAGGCAAGCCAGGTGCATTCTGGATGTAGTCTGGTGTGGCAATGGGGCCAATCTTTTCTCTAACTGTAACCAACAAATCATCAAGCATTTCTTCAGCACCCTTAGCCAGACTTTTCAAAAATCAAAGTAGAGATGGCTTTGTTCCCCACCTGTTTCCTCCTCAAGTCCCTGCCCACAGAGACAGCCTCAGGTTCACTGCTTCTCTTGCTCTCAACACACTTGTCTCTTTACTCTCTCATTTTATCTTATGGAACTCAGGCTGTAGAATGAGCCTGCTAGAGTTTAAATGCCACCTTTCTAGCAGTGTGGCCTTGGGCAAGTGATTTAACTTCCATGAGTCTCAGTTTCATCATCTTTAGCATGAAGGTAACAATAAGATCTGTTTCATGGAGGTGACTCTAGGGATTAAGTGGGGTAATTCATTTAAAGCACTTAGCCTAGCGGTGGCACAAAGTATTCTAGAAATGTTGGCTATTATTATTATCCTAGTGGGAGACTAGTGGAGACTGAACAGGAAGAGGGCAATCAGCCCATGGGGCCCCCTGGAATCTGTTTGTGGTTTGGGGAGCAGCTTGCTCTAGCCCCTCCCCAACAACTTGCAGTGATAACTGGGCCTCCAAGACAGACCCTATAGTCCCTGCCCAGGGAGGCTCCTTACTCTGCTTCTTGAGCTCCTCGGTGAGCTTGGGGCTGAAGGTGTGGCCATCACACAAGGTGACAAAGCAGTAGAGGCATTCACCCTTCACAGGATGAGGGTGGCCCACCACAGCTGCCTCTGCAACAGCCTCATGTTCCACAAGTGCTGACTCCACCTCTGCTGTACTCAGCAGGTGTCCTTGTCAAGGGAAAGGAAGTGCCATGAGAGAGATCCCAGGCTCTGCCCCAGCCCATGCTCCATCTGTACCCATGGGGCAGTCCTGGTCTGGCCAAATGGAGAAGACCCTTCATTCACTCCTCAGATGACATGCTTTCAGTCACCCCACCATCCAAGTTCCCCTACTCTAGGCACATTCCAGTGTTCATTACTCCTCTAAAACCTGGGCCCAGAACTGAATGCTACACTTAGTACATGGTCTGGCCAAAGGACACTCCTGGGCTCTTGCGGAAGGCTTCGGCTGGGTGTTGTCAGAGGAGCAGAGTTAATAAGATGGGAAGGTGGCCCCTGGCCCTCACCAGATACATTGAGCATGTCATCAATCCTGCCAGTGATCCAGTAATAGCCATCCTGGTCCCGCTGGCAGCCTGGGAAGAAATGCAAAACCTAATAAATAAAAACCCTACGGTAGGATACCTGATCCACATTACCAAACTGCTACACCTTCTGCAATAGCCTTCTAACAAGTCTTCCTGCTTCCACTCTTGCCCACTGTAGTAGCCAGCCTCCAAGAGGGCACCACTGATCTCTGCCTCTTGGTATTCATAGCCCTGCAGTCCTCTTTCTCATTGTACTAGGGTTAGTCTGTGTCATCATAGGATTTGGCAGAAGTGATAGGATGTCACTTCTGAGATTAGGTTGTAGAAGACACCTAGCTTGTCTCGGTTGCATTGTCTCAGATCATTTGCTGTAGGGTAAGCTAGCTGCCATGTATTGAGTAGTCCTATGGTGAGGTGAGGAACTGAGGATTCCTGCTAACAACCATGCGAGTAAGCATGAACGTAGGTCCTCCAGGCTCACTCAAACCTTCAGATGACTACAGGCCCTACCAACAGCTTGACTGAAACTCACAAGAGACCCAGAATGAGAACTACCCAGTGAAACTGTTCACAGACTCCTGATCCTCAGAAACTGTGTGAGATAATATTTGTTATTTTAAGCTGCCAACTTTTGGGATAATTTGTTCCATGCCAATAGTATACTCACCTAAACTCTATTCTCCATAAATCCAGCAAAGTTATTTTCTAAACAGTAAATCAATTCTTAGCACTCCCCTGCTTAAAACCCCAAAAGGTGGCCAGGCATGGTGGCTCATGCCTGTAATCCCAGCACTTTGGGAGGCCAAGGTGGGTGGATCAGGAGTTCGAGACCAACATGGCCAACATGGTGAAACCCCGTCTCTACTAAAAATACAAAAATTAGCCAGGCATGGTGGCACCCGCCTGTAATCCCAGCTACTTGAGAAGCTGAGGCAGGAGAATTGCTTGAACCCGGGAGGTGGAGGTTGCAGTGAGCTGAGGTCGTGCCACCGCACTCCAGCCTGGGTGACAGAGTGAGATTCTGTCTCAAAAAAAAAACAAACAACAACAACAACAACAACAAAAAAAAGGTTTCCCACTGTACTTTGAATAAAATTCAAACTCCTCACCATGGCCCACAAGACCCTCCCTGTATTATGTACGTCTCCAACGTCATGTAATATTCTTCCCTTTGCTTGCTACGCTCCAGCCACACAGGCTTCAGTCCATTCTTCAGACATCTCAAGCTGTGTCCCTCTGCACAAAACACTCTTACTCTAGATTTTCCCATGCCTGTTTCCTTCTCACCCTTCAGGCCTCTGCTCAAATGTCAATTCAGAGAAGTCTTCTCCGACGATCCTGTGTACAGTAGCCATCCCTGCACACACTATCATGCTACCCTGTTTATTTTTCTTAACAGCATTTATCTCTATCTAAGATAAGCTTATTTATGTTTGTTGGGTTTGTCTGTCTCCCCTTACTAGAATCCCCATGAGGGAGGAGATTTTGACTACATTATTCATGATCAGTGCCTGGGCACAGGATCACAGTGCTCAGATCTTATGGATGAATGGATTGGTAGATGGATAGATGGAGAAACACAGACTCCAGACATAAAGACAAACATGACATAATAGTCATGCACTGCCACATGCCCCATCTCTTTCAACACAGGAGCATACATTGTCCATCTTTCCTCATACATCAAAGTTCGGATGGCACCATTCTGAGACCCCTCCTGCTATACTCATTCCTGCCCTTACAGTCTTTGTAGCTCTGCGTAGAAACCAGATACTGACATGTAGGACACATTCTTCTCTAATTTTCTTTACCCCTAACCAACTGATATAGTTTGGATGTTTGTCCCTTCCAAATCTCATGTTGAAATATGATCCCCAGTGTTAGAGGTGGGGCCTGGTGGGAGGTGTTTTGGTCAAGGCCGGGGAGGTGGGGGGGGCGGGGGGGACAGATCCCTCATGAATGGCTTGGTGCTGTACTTGCAGTAACTCTATGAGTTCATGTAAGATCTGGTTGTTTAAAAGAGGCTGGTATCTCCTCCCTCTCTCCCTTGCTTCCTCTCTTGCCATGTCAAACACTGGCTTTCCCTTTGCTTTCTGCCGTGATTGGAAGCTACCTGAGGCCTCACCATAGGCAGATGCCAGCACCATGCTTCCTGCACAGCCTGAAGAATGATGATCCAAAATAAACCTCTTTTCTTTATAAATCACCCAGTCTCAGGTATTATTTTATAGCAACACACCAACTCTTCCTGAAAATGGAAGTGGAAGGTACATGTCTTAGTGGGAGGTGCAAGAGGGGGATAGCTAAGGCTCACCATCTCCTGTAACATAGTATCCAGGAAACTTCTTAAAGTAGGTTGTCTCAAAGCGTTCGTGGTTCCCATAGACTGTGCGCATGATCCCTGGCCAGGGCTGCTTGAACACCTGGGGAGTGAGGAAGGGACAGTGATCACATTTGCTATGCTGTCTCACTGGAAGATAATTACAGCTTTTCTAAATGTGGGGGAAAGTGTCCTGAATGAAGTACAGGCTTTGGAGACAGAGGATCCTGGCTTGGAATCCCAGCTCTACCACTTACTAGCTAGGTGACCTCAGAGAAGTAACTTTACCCCTCTGAGCTTCAGGATCCTCATCTGTAAATCAGAGAAAATACTTTCTGTCTTCCAAAGTTATTGTGAGGATTAAATTAATAGTATATGGAAATTGCCTAGCACGGTGTTCTATTATTGATAAGTGTTTAGTAAATTTGTGTCTCCTTTTGGGCAATCCTTGAGGAAAGCAGGTCCAGTTTGATACAAATGAAAACACTCATTTAAAAAACAGTGGTGCCCACACACCAAGTAAATAATTATTGCCCAATCAGTAACATTCTTTGGCAGCAGATCGATGGAATGGATGGAATTCTAGGCTGAGTCAGAAGGCCTGGATGTAAGCCCTGTCCCTGTTACTAACTTGCTCTTGGGAAAGTGAAATGGGGTGGGGTTGAAGGGACAGGTGAGGCTCCTGCAAGTATGAATACAATAATCACAACAGCTAATGTTTATCAAGTACTAATTGTTAGTTTCTCTGCTAACCCCTTCATGTGGATTATCTAACTCAATCAAGCAAGCAACCATAGGAGACAAAGGCATTATTTTTTTCTGAGACGGAATTTTGCTCTTGTTGCCCAGGATGAAGTGCAATGGCACAATTTCGGCTCAATACAACCTCCACCTCCCCGGTTCAAGTGATTCTCCTGTCTCAGCCTCCCGTGTAGCTGGGATTACAGACGTCCACCACCACGCCCAGTTACTTTTTGTATTTTTGGTAAAGACGGGGTTTCACCATGTTGGCCAGGCTGGTCTTGCACTCCTGGCCTCAGGTGATCCGCCCACCTCAGCCTCCCAAAGTGCTAGGATTACAGGTGTGAGCCACCGTGCCCGGCCAGAGACACCACTTTAACCCTATTTTACAAATTAGAAAATGTAGATTCAGAGGTGTTAAATAACTTATCTGAGGTCACAGAAGAGGCAGAGCTAGGATTCGAACCCAGGCAGGGTGACTCCAGATCCTACGTGATTTTCTACTATGTTATAAAGCCTCCTTTCTGTAGAATCTTTGTCAAAAGAAGATGGGACTTAGTCTTCCAGACCCAAAAAGGTACCATCAGGAATCTGAGCAACTCTTAAAACGCCCTTAGGAGACTTATGGCCCAAAAGGAAGAGATGCAGGCAAAGTATCGAGGGTCCCCTCCAGGGTCTCTCAGTGAGCAAACCTCCAACCATGAAGTTTCAGTCCTAAGCAGCTACCAGGAGAGATTAGGTTATTAACTCTAAAGCAAAGTACCCTTGGCAGACCCTTTCCCTCTCTCCTTAAAGACTCCCAAGGGCCAGGGCCTCACCAGATAACCTTCAGCTTCACCTTCCAACTCTTCCCCGGACTCATTCAGGATTGCAGGAGCTACACCAAAGAATGGGAAAGTCTAGAAGCAAACGGGAGACAGAACCCAAGAAGAGGAATGAGGCAACTCTGACTCAACTCCCAAGGGGCCCCAGAACCCCAAATTCTTCACACATGTCAGTCCAGTTCTCCACTATCTAACTAGGCCAAGTGCCCCAAGACACCATCCCTGCCTAGCCCAAGACCAGCCAGGGAAGCATCACTCACAGCAGAACCGGGTTTCATGGGTGTGGCACCAGGAAGGGGAGTCAACATGTGGCCACCCTGGGGAAGTCAGAGATGAGAAATTTGAGTCAATCTTCCCACATTGTCCCTGGGCCCCAGCCTTCTGTACCCTTCACTCACTGTCTCTGTTTGCCAGAAGGTGTCCACGATGGGGCAGCGCTGGGCACCTACCACCCGGTGGTACCATAGCCAGGCCTCAGGGTTGATGGGTTCACCCACTGTGCCTAACACCTGCAAGGATGCCCGGCTATGCCTGGGGCAGGGGAATGGGAGAGAGGAAGGCTCTGAGTACTACTGGAAGACACACATACCCAGGCTTTTCTCTTGCCCCATCCTCTATTCCAGGTCAGAGAGTTGGGACAATGGAAAAGAAGAGACTGTACAAAGGCCAGCACCCAGCTCTGAGGGATACCCACAGGGCAGCAACTGGGAAGAGGTCTCACTTGGTGACAGGCTCATCTCCAAACTTCATGAGCAGACGGATGGCTGTGGGTGCTGTGTAGAACTTGGTCACCTTGTATTTGTCCACAATGCTCCACAGGCGGTTCACGTCCGGATATGTGGGAATCCCCTCAAACTGACCCATGAAGGCTGGTCATTCCCAGTCTTTCCTAATAGTCCTTCTATTCATCCCCCTACCATTCCCTCAGGTTCAGTATTTTGCCCTTTCTGACCAACCATATCTTCACTCCCTGGCCAGACAAGCCAAGATACCATCCTAGTCAGGATACGCAACCCCCTCAGGACTTCTCTTTCTCCAGAAAACAGATGATTGTATAAGTCCCCCTCCCTCTAGACCAAGCAGCCTTGGGAGGTAGTCACCCAGGATAATCTTGTCCATCCCCCAGCTAGGCCAGGTGGCTCCCTTCTCACCAAAACACTGGTGGCACCATTGGCCAGTGGCCCATAGGTGACGTAGGAATGACCAGTGATCCAACCAATGTCTGCCGTGCACCAGAACACATCCTCTGCATGGAAGTCAAACACATACTTGAAGGTTGTGGCTACATAGAGCATGTAGCCCCCAACTGTGTGAACCACACCCTGTGGGAAGAATGGGGAACAGGTTAGGGTCTTATGCCCACCCCTACTGACCACCAAATGGAGGCTGGGCAGAGCTGGAGGAAGATCCTCCTCAGGGATTCCAGCCCTGCCAGCACCCTTTTCACAGCATCCATCTCCCTTCCATCTCCTTTTCTCCATGCTCCCATCTCATCTCCTTTATCACACTCCTGATGACACATATGTCTATCAGGCCATCATTCATACCAGCACCCTCAGATGGTATTTCAGAGCCACCCACATCACTCACACATGAGCACTCATAGCACACTCATAATAGTCCCTCTGTTGTGTATTTGTGCCCACACACTCAATTACACACCATCAGAGTGAGTGGGAAAAAAAAGATAATTCCCTTTGCTTATTCCATCCCTACCCCCATCTCTATGAAAGAGAGGCCAAAATTGTGTTTCTAAAGACTTATTGAGGGATATTCCAAAGCATATGGAGATAATTTAGGGGTGGAGTGGGCAGAAGGTAGAGTGACATAGCTTTCAAGTCAATGGAAGAAACAGTTTTCTTAAGTGTTTCCGGCTCCCATGGTGTGTGCTGGCAGAGGACTACATGTTAATAGTGTGCCAGGTGGAAGGAATTGAACTCTAAGAGTTATGGTCTTAGAAGCCTGAGAGGGATCTCTGTGCCCACCCTTGGCCTTGAGTTAACAGAATAGCTCTCCTTCAACCAAACCATGGGTGCATAGGGAAAGAACATCCATGTCAGCTGTATGAAAACCCTCCACCTGAACTGTCTCACCCTGGGCCTCACCACCTATAGATTGAGGATTTATGTCTTAATTTGATTTAGAAAAGACAATGCTACATTTCCAAAACTCAGGGTTGTAGGAAAAAAATAATTTCATTACTTGTTTCCTCAGAAACTTACTTCTTACCCCTACATAATACACACACACACACACACACACACACACACACACACACACACACTTGCCTTGGGTTTGCCTGTGGAGCCACTGGTGTACAGGATGAAGAGTGGGTCCTCGGCATCACACCACTCGGGCTCACACTCATCCCCTGCCTCTTGCATGAGCTCATGCCACCACAAGTCAATCCCTTGGTTCCATGAGATCTGCAGGGATGGGCAGGGAAGAACTGTGAACAGCTCAAGATGGGGACAAGATACACCCGTACCTTGCCCCTGGAGGGAATGAGGTGGGACAGGCAGGTAGGAGTACAGGAAGGGAGAGAAGGCCCTTCAAGGATGGAATGGAACAGAAAGAACAGGAGCAGAACCCAAGCTTACTGAGTACTCCAACCACCCTGCCATCCTACCCCCATCTCTACCCCAGAACTCCTCTCACCTGGCCTCAGGCTGAGGAGGAACCCTTGGCTGGTCCCTTCCCATCCTTCAATTCTGAGCTGAAATGTCACCTTCTTGGAAAGCCTTTACCTGAACAGTATCTGATAGATTGCTACCCCCAACCCTGCTATTATTATTGATCACAACACCATGTTTCTTTCCCACACAGTACATATTTCCTGTTATTTTGTTTAGTTGTCTACTTGATTACTGTCTCCCCATCTAGATAGCGACATCTATGAAGGAGGTGAAATGTCTTTCCTCCCGACCCCTGCCATATCTCCCAACACCTAGCAAAGTGCCTGGCACTCAGTCAATTTTTGTTGGATGAATGACTATGCACACACAGGTCTACATACATACATATGTACTTATGGGACTAGGCTCATTAGCAGGGATGCGGACACCACACAATTCAGAAATGCAAAATTAGTCAGAGCTTACAGGTGAGGTGGGCACCTGACCCTGTTAGTAGTAAAATAAGTCAACAGATCTTGGTCCAAGCACTTTTGCCTACATGTCCAGACCCAATCCACATCTGCGTGTTTCCTACCCTAGCTCTGCTCCTGCCTTTACACCACTGGTACCAATAGGGTTTCCCATAGAGACTTTTGCTTGAGGGGACAGGTTCCATTCAGCAGGAAGCTTTGCTTCAAGTTGGTGAAGAAGGACCAAGGTGGACTTCTCCCAGTAGAAGGATGTCCCCCTATGCCTTTGATAATTACTTCTGGATCTGTCATCCTGAAACTTCTCTAAATTCTCCTTTGAAACTGTTTTACTTTTCTGTCTATATCACCTCTTTGAACACCAATTTTGAGTCTACCATCTGCTGAATGAAGTTAGATCCCTTGAATTTGTCCAAAATCTTCAGTGTACTTCAATACCAGTTCTGCCACTTCCTAGCTATATGACCTTGGGCAAATCACTTTACCTTAAGTCTCTCCTTTTACAAATGAGGACAGTCATTCTTGCCTTAACAGACTCACAGGATGTGGTAAACACCAAAAGAAAAAAGTATTATCTAGTAAACATCAAGCCTTGGATTGCCCCAAGGGTAGAGGTTGGGGTGAGATGAGGAAGACTGATGAATGTCAGGAGAGACAGAGGTTAGTTCAGTGACTACTGGGAGTTAAACTTAAGAGTGTGGGGCTGGGCGCGGTGGCTCACGCCTGTAATCCCAGCACTTTGGGAGGCCAAAGTGGGCAGATCACCTGAGGTGAGGAGTGAGTTCAAGACCAGCCTGGCCAACATGGTGAAACCTCATCTCTACTAAAAATACAAAAAGTAGCCAGGCGTGGTGGTAGACACCTGTAATCCCAGCTACTTGGGAGGGTGAGGCAGGAGAATCACTTGAAACCAGGAAGCAGAAGTTGCAGTAAGCCGAGATCGTACCACTGTACTTCAGCCTGAGCGACAGAGTGAGACTCCATCTCAAAAAACAAAAACAAAAACAAAAACAACAAAAAAAACCCACAAAAACTTAAGAGTGTGATGATAGGAACTGTTTGGGGTTTGCTTTAGCTGTCACAAAGTCCTTTCATATTAATTAGATTCTTGTATGTTCAATGGCCCTGGCTGGCAGGTAGACATGATGGTGTAAGATAAATGCCATTCTCCCATTATAAGGATATATGCTAATTTGTTGTGTGCATATTTGGTTAAAAAAACTTCTGGAGTGTTAGATATATAGCTTGATAAATTAGAAAATGACTCTCTAACCACTCCGTTCTTTCTGTACCACCTGCCCCTTATGGTAGAGAATTTGAAATTTCTGGATTATCAACATCATAAAAACGACAAGCCTAGAAAAAGGAAGAAGAGAGAGAAAGCTGCCTACGGTTAGAAAACATAAGAACACACCTGATTTGGTCTATCCATATGCATCTACACATACATTGTCACATGGGTACTTTTTTTCCTGCCAAATGATCACTTGAGATGGGGGCACTAAGGTATTCAACCAGAAGTATCAATACTGCTTTGGACAAATGGTGCTGGTCTACAGCACTGTGAACTGCCACAGAACAGGCACTAAGTACATGTAAGGACAAGGCATAGTTACAACTGTGGCTCTGCAATGAGGGCACTCTTATAATCTTATTATTTCTTTTGTGGGTGGGTGTGTATATAGAGGTGGAGGGGTCAGAGTACTCCAGGTGTGGAACTGATAACTAGCACCAGGAAGCAGAGTGAACTCAATTAGCAAAGCAACCTTTGATTGTGAATTAGGTGTGTGCCTATGAGGCCCCAGGCTCTGCACCAGGAAAAGGTCTGAATTTTCTAAAATAAGAATTGAGGAGTTGGCCTTTGTCCTTGGACCAGGATAGTCTCAAGGAGGGCAGCTGCCATGTACGGGAGAGGAATATGAGGGAGCTCATAGACGATATGGTTGAGGAGGGTCCCTGCAAACCCTGCCAGGATCTCCCTGGAAGATTGTTTAAGGATAAAGGGGTTTGGAGCCCTGCCAGGATTTTTGCAGCTCTTTTGAAAACTATTTTTTAATTTTTAAATATGGGGCCCATTGTCAGAAAGATTTTTGCAGCTTTGACTGCAATTCTCAGACCAACAACCTGGACTTTTTAAGCCTATTTTTATGCTCTTTGGTATTTTGGAAACTGGTTATTTTCACCTCCAAGAAACAAAAATCCAGTAGCCTTTGGCCTGAAGGTCTCTGGTATTAAGAATTACAAGAGTTTGTTATTTCTTTTCTGGTCTCTGTTTTAGAAATGCCAATCTGTCTGTTGCATTAAGGGGAAGGAAAAAACAGCTAACATTTATTGAGTAGTTACTATGTGCCAAACACCTTACATATATTGACAAAACCCGATAACATAGGTATAATTATTATCCTTATCTTACAGATGGAGAAACAAGCGAGAGAGCTTAAGTAATTTGTTCAAGTTTACACAGCAGCAGATGGCAGAGCCAGGATTTGAACCCAAGTAATCTGGCTCCAGAGATTACAATTTAAGCCACTAAGTTTGTCACCTCTTTCAAAAGAAAGGGTGTAGGTCCTGCCTGAGTTTTAAAAGGAAAGCAGTATGCCCTAGGAATCAGATCTGTCTCCGCCATGCTAATGAGAATAGAGAAAAGGGGCTTATATCTACCATTGGCCTAAGAGGTTAATCATAGCAGATTTAGAGTAAGACACCCTGTGAAGATGGTAAAATCCAGAGGAATAGTGAGCTTTATGTGTTGTTTTAGGAAGGGAAGCTGTTTCCTTTTATAACATGTGTTATCATCTCTCCATTACTGATAAGGAAACTGAATCCCAGAGGGGAGAATTGACTTACTCAAGGTCATACAGCTAAAAATTGGTCTCTGGACTTCAGGCCCACTCTTTCCTCGATACTAATCTGCTTTGAGCACCCCCTTATGGATCTCCCTTCTTAGAACCACCTACAATATGACTTTTGTTCAGTTTAGCACTTAATCATATTACAAAGTTATATGCAGTTTATAAATCCCAAAGCACTATATAAATGTATTTAGGAATCTCCTCTGCTGTCCTGTATAAAACTTAGATTTTCCTTTGTATTAATAATACATGTCTAACTCCCCAACTTGACAGTGAATTCCCAAAGTCAGGGTCTGAACCTCCTCCACCTCCTCCTCCTCCTGTCTCTCGGCTCTGCTCCAGCTACCTGCACAGTAAATGTTTTCTGACAGGTTACCTTGTCCCCTCTCCCACAAAGGTCCTGAGTATCAGGATAAAATGTGTTCTGCTGTTACCTCTCTAAGATCCATACTCTATACCAATTCACAGAGGCAGTAACGGACATTTAATTTCACCACCCTTCAGTGGCTTAGATGTCAAGTTGCCCAGGGGCA
Organism: Homo sapiens; assembly: GCF_000001405.40. Taxonomy (NCBI): domain Eukaryota; kingdom Metazoa; phylum Chordata; class Mammalia; order Primates; family Hominidae; genus Homo; species Homo sapiens. The sequence goes on along the minus strand of NC_000020.11, from coordinate 34,915,372 downwards.
AGGGGAAGGAGGTTAGGTCTGGCAGCCACCTCAATGGGGCAAACAGGCAAAGGGCAGATGAGCACACAGACAAGCAAACAGAGAAGCGGTGCCCACGGCAGTGCAGAAATGGATACCTGGGGCTGAACACGCTTGGATTTCTCTTTCAGTTTACCCTGTTAAGAGCCCAGGATGAAAAGGGTAGTGAGGAGGGTCCAAGTATACAGGGAGTGGGAGGAAAGGGTCAGTGTGTCATAAACCCCAAACTCCCTTCTCACTGGTCCTCCCAGCTTCCATTTTCCTGATCCTGATTCCAGCCCCTATATATGTAAAACCCCTAACACTGATTGGGCTTTCCAACTTCCCTAAACTAGACTACAGCCTCTCTAGCCCTAAGACCCCTCAGGGAGCCTCAAGTCACAGACTCTTACTCAACCCCAGAACTTTGATCCCTCATGCTGCTCAGCCTGGAGGCCATCACTGGGCATTTCTACCATTCCCACCAGAAGCCTGGGGGTCCAAAGCTAACAAAGGCCATATTGTGAGGGCTGGACTCTGGTCCTTCCAAGGTGGGCATCCCTTAGGCCACAAAGATAGCCCACCCCACATCACAGCCTAGTAATGGAGATGACTATATATTGTCACTCAAGTTAGACATTTCTAACACAAGCCTAGGCCCTGAGGATCCCCTGTGCCCACAAGGATACCCCAACCAGCATAGGAGTCTCCCTTACAATCGCTTGTGCTATGTTCTCAAGGTACAAGGGCCTCTCTACCCACAGTCAAGGTCAAAGTCTTCCAGTTCCCACCTAGCCCTGCTAGAGGAGGCATTCCTAGAATTGCTCCTGGATCCTCAGTATACTGATGAGCAGGCAAAGAAGGACATCAAGAATTTTCTAGGCAGGAAAAGTGAAGGAATTTGAGCCTGGAGAAAGGCATAGCAGTGCCAGACTCACCTGCACATCTGGGCATGACCTCTTAATTGGGGGGGACTGGCTGGTGGAGTCACCCATGCCGAGCTCTGCCCGCCCCAGGTGCTTGACCACAATGCAGCATCTTACTGGGAAACCCCTGGAGAAGAGAAAAGCCTAAAGTGGTAGCCTTGTTGGCTCAAAGGGAACTTGGCAAGACCCACCCATGTCCATTTAGGGTAGAGGGGACAAAGGGAACCTGGCACTGGGGAAAGGCTCAGTCAACTCAGACAGTAGCCAAACACACTTACTTCTCCTGACACTTCTGCAGGGCCTCGTCAGCCAGCTCCTTCAGGTTCACAAGCTTTTCCCCCCTGTAGAAGGCATCTTTGGGGAGCAACAGACATTCCAGGCCTTAGTAAGCCCCATGCTGCCTAGTGGGCACAATGTCCATAGGGCCCTTCCTGAGTAGGCCTCTTAACTCTGGCTCTTCCAGCTGATTCGAGCTGACAGAGGGTCAGCTGAGGTGGGACCAGGAGAGAAAAGGCAGGCAGTCTCTACCCTCTATGCTGAGTAGCCCCAAATACCAATGAGCTGATTGGAGACCAAGGCTTGAGGTATGGGGGGTTCTGGAGAAGAGGTGAGAGAATTAGTCACCTGTAGTGATGAGAAGACTGCAGCTGGAATCCAAGATCCGTTCACATAGAGACTCTGAAGAGAAGCCTGCAAACTAGGGAAGGGAAGAAAGTCTGAGGGAGAGAAGAAAGCCCCAGGGATTGAGTGAATGAAGAAAGGGGTTGCTCATGGAACTTTCAGGATCTCTAAGCCAGGGTCCTAGAAGAAACTGAATAACTAATATGGACCTATGACACAAACCTTCTAAGCTCCTTAGTTTGTTATTTAAGACCCTCCATCATCTAGGCCCAACCTACTTCTCCAGAGCCCCACCCCCCCGCCTGCCCCTTTTCACCAGCCCAAACTCCTACCACAATGGAGTGCAAAGCCCCAATGCGGGCACATGCCAGCATGGCCACCACAAGCTCTGGGATCATAGGCATGTAGATGGCCACTCGGTCCCCCTTCTGAATGCCTGCAGGTAAAAGCACAGAATATGAACCATGAACCCTTCTTGCTGCTACTTGCTCCCTCCCATCCAGCTGGCCTCCCTCCCAGCTGACCTGTTCTCTTCCTCTGTTACCAAATTCTTTCCATCCCTTGCCCTCTCCCCATAAGTCTCAGATACTCAGATACCCCAAGGCCAGACCCCCAGTCCTTTCCCACACCCCCACACTCACCCTGTTTTCGGAGAACATTGCTGAACTGACACACTTGGACCAGAAGCTGATGGTATGTGATCTGAGTGGTCTCCCCTGGCTCATTGCCCTCCCTGAGACATACCAGAAAGAACCAGTGATTAGGGGTATAACTTCTTCCCCAAACAAGAAACAGGCAGAGTCATAAAATCCATTCAGTGACACTAAGGCCTGGAACTGTTCTATGAGGATGAGCTATCTGCCCACCATCAATCTTGCCATCACCAATCTTGAGCTGACGGGTCAGATACTTTGGCCATTCAAGATATTTTATACACATGTTGTATGTCATTAGAAAATGCACTGTCCATCTCTGATCCTTGATGAAATGGAGTGACGGCCCCTTCTCTTCCATCCTAGTAATGTATTAAGGAGAAGTGAAATCACAGATGTGATTCCTTCTGATGAGGCATCAAGACTGCATTATTCAGAGTAGGGTCTCCAGATCACTTGTGCCTAAATCATCTAGAGGATTTGTAGATTCCTGGGCCCCAGCTCAAACATACTGAATTAGAATCACAGGGTCCAAGGATCTGCTTCTTTATTACAAGATGGTACAAGGAATTAGTAGGGGATTCTTGAGAATTGGCCAGGCGCGGTGGCTCACGCCTGTAATCCCAGCACTTTGGAAGGCCAAGGTGGACAGATCAAAGGTCAGGAGTTTGAGACCAGCCTGGCCAACATGGTGAAACCGCGTCTCTACTAAAAATACAAAAATTAGCTGGGTGTGGTGGTGTGTGCCTGTAATCCCAGCTACTGGGGAGGCTGAGGCACGAGAATCCCTTGAACCCAGGAGGCAGAGGTTGCAGTGAGCTGAGATCACACTACTGCACTCCAGTCTGGATGACAGAGTGAGTTTCCATCTTGAATAAATAAATAAAGTTTGAGAATCGCCATCCTTTATCAGGTGATTTCTGTCTACCTCCTCAGCCTTGCCTCCCACTCCTTCCTAGGCTTTAGCCTGGTTTACTTCAGTCATTCCTTCATGCATTCATTTGCTTATTCAACAACTACTATGTGCTATCTACATGTATAGAAATAAGGCACCAATGGGCGGGGCGTGGTGGCTCTTTCCTGTAATCCCAACACACTAGGAGACTGAGGCAGGTAGATGACCTGAAGTCAGGAGTTTGAGACCAGCCTGGCCAATGTGGTGAAACCATGCCTCTACTAAAAATACAAAAATTAGCTGGGTGTGGTGGCACACGCCTGTAATCCCAGCTACTTGGGAGGCTGAGGCAGGAGAATAGCTTGAAGGGAGGTGGAGGTTGTGGTGAGCCAAGATCACGCCACTGCACTCCAGCCTGGGCGACAGAGTAAGACTCCGTCTCAAACAAACAAAAAAAAGAAGAAATAAGGCACCAATGAACAACATAAGTAAGATACCTGATATCATGGAGCTTATATTCCAATGATAGTGTGGGTAATAAACAAATAACAAATATAACCAGGATAATTTCAGATTATGATAAGCATTATAAATAGAGCAGAATGATATAAAAATGAGTGACTAGGGAGAAATACTTTTAAAAAATATACTATCTTGGGTCAGGCACGGTGGCTCACACCTGTAATTCTAACACTTTAGGAGGCCAAAGTGGGCCCATCTATTGAGGCCAAGAGTTCAAGACCAGCCTGGCAACATAGCAAGACCGCATCTCTAAAAACATTGAGCTGGATCCGGCTGGGCACGGTGGCTCATACCTGTAATCCCAGCACTTTGGGAGGCCGAGGCAGGTGGATCACGTGAGGTCAGGAGCTCAAGACCAGCCTGACCAACATGGAGAAACCCCGTCTCTACTAAAAATACAAAAATCAGCTGGGTGTGGTAGTGCATGCTTGTAATGCCAGCTACTCGGGAGGCTGAGGCAGGAGAATCACTTGAATCTGGGAGGCGGAAGTTGCAGTGGGCCAAGATTGTGCCACTGTACTCCAGCCTGGGCAACAAGAATGAAACTCTGTCTCAAAAAAAAAAAAAAAAAATTTTAGCTGAGTGTGGTGTCATGCACCTATAGTCCCAGCCACTCAGAAAGATGAGATGGGAAGATCTCTTGGCTCATGCCTGTAATCCCAACACTTTGGGAGGCCAAGGCAGGAGGATCACCTGAGACCAGGAGTTCAAGACCAATCTGAGCAACACAGCAAAACCTCATTGCTAAAAAAAAAAAAATCGTTTTCAATTAGCTGAGCATGGTGGTGCACACCTGTAGTCTCAGCTACTCAGGAGGTTGAGGCAGGAAGATCGCTTGTACCCTGGAGGTCAAGCCTGCAGTGAGCTGTAATCATGTCACTGAACTCCAGCCTGGACAACAGAGTGAGTCCCTGTCTCAAAAAATAAATAAATAAATGTTTCCCTTAGTGGTTTTTTTCCAATTTTATGATTTTTTTGAATAAGTAATACATACAAGTGGGACTACATAAAAAGATACATAATGAGAAGTGTTCTCCCCACTCCTATCTCCCAATCACCCTGCCTACTGGCAAACCACAGTTTGGGTTTTGTGATTTGTTTTTTAGAGACAGGGTCTCACTCTATTGATAGGCTGGAGTACAGAGGCACAATCATAGCTCACTGCAGCCTCCAACTCCTGGGCTCAAGCAATCCTCTTACTTCAGCCTCCTGAGTAGCTGGGACTACGGGCACATGCTACCACACCTGGCTAATTTTTTTATTTTAAAATTTTTCATAGAGGCAGAGTCTCGATATATTGTCCAGGGTGGTCTCCAAACTCCTGGCCTCAAGCAAAACTGCTTCAGCCTCTCAAAGTGCTGGGATTACAGGCGTGAGCCACCATGCCCAGGGCAAAACAGTTACCAATATTCTGTGTGACTTTCCAGAAACAATCAATATTCAGACAGGACCATTCTTTGTAGGACACAGGGCTAGGGTAATTCAACTAGTGTGGAATGACCAAAATAATTACTTTGCAAGAAGTCTGTATCATTATGATCTTTAATAAGACCCTTGAGATATCATTGAAGACCAAAATTTGAAAATTGAATGTTAAAAAACTGAATTTTACAGGAGGCTGAAGCAGGAGAATCGCTTGAATCCGGGAAATGGAGGTTGCAGCAAGCTGAGACCGTGCCATCGCACTCCAGCCTAGGCGACAAGAGTGAAACTCTGTTTAAAAAAAAAAAAAAAAAAAATTTGGCCAGGCACAGAGGCTCACACCTGTATTCCCAGCACTTTGGGAGGCCAAGGCAGGCAGATCACCTGGGGTCAGGAGTTTGAGACCAGCCTGGCCAACATGGCAAAACCCCATCTCTACTAAAAATACAAAAATTAGCCGGGCATGGTGGTGCACGCCTGTAGTCCCAGCTACTTGGGAGGCTAAGGCGGGAGGATCATTTGAACCCAGAAGGTGAAGGCTACAGCGAGCGGCGATCACACCACTGCACTCCAGCCTGGGAAACAGAGTAAGACTTTGTCTCAAAAAAAAAAAAAAAAGGATTTTAATGTTGTTCAGAAAAGAGATGAACACCTCATAGTCCCCAGTCAAGCACAGGGTAACAGGGGTAGGAAGAACTGCTCTACTTAAGGGACAGGTCTGTCAGACAAGCATATATACTACATGCATTTGTTTACATAGTCTCATTTTTTCTACACAAATGATGGCATACAATACACACTATTCTGTATCTTTTGTTAATTATTATATGCATTCAATAAAATGCACAAATCTTATGTGTAGAAATTGATCATCTTGATTTTTCAAATTTAACAATATACCTTGATATCATTCTTCACCAAGACTTAAAGAACTATTTCTCTTTTTTATTTGTTGTTGTTGTTGTTTTTGAGACAGGGTCTCACTCTGTCACTCAGGCTGGGGTGCAGTGGCACCATCACAGCTCACTACAGCCTCAACCTCCCAGACTCAAGTGATCCTCCCACCTCTGCCTCTTGAGCAGTTGGGACTACAGGCCAGAGTCACCATGTCTGGCTACCTTTTTTTTTTTTTTTTTTTTTTTGCAAAGACAGGATCCTACTATGTTGCTCAGGCTAGTCTGGAACTCCTGGCCTCAAGTGATCCTCCAATCCTCCTGCCTCAGCCTTCCTTCCAAAGTGTTGGGATTACAGGTGTGAGCCACGGTGCCAAGCTTAAAGAGCTATTTCATTATCTTTCTCAGCTGCAAAATATTCCACTATTTGTATGTACTGTAATTTATTTAACAAATAAATGCTTCAATGAATATTTTTATTTTTATGTCACTTTACTCACCTGCAAGTATATCTGTAGGATGAATTACCAGAAGTGGACCTGTTGGTTCAAGAGATGTGTGCTTTTTTTTTTTTTTTTTCCCAAGATGGAGTTTTGCTCCTGTTGCCCAGGCTGGAGTAAAATGGCGCGATCTTGGCTCACTGCAACCTCCGCCTCCTGGGTTCAGGCAATTCTTCTGCCTCAGACTCCTGAGTAGCTGGGATTACAGGCGTGCACCACCACACCTGGCTAATTTTTGCATTTTAGTAGAGATGGGGTTTCACCATGTTGGTCAGGTTGGTCTTGAACTCCTGACGTCAGGTGATCCACCTGCCCTGGCCTCCCAAAGTACTGGGATTACAGGCGTGAGCCACCGTGCCTGGCTGATGTGTGCATTTTAAATATTGATAAATATTAGGGAACAACTACTTTAAATAAGATGGTCCTGGAAGGCCTCTCTCTGGAGAGGTGATATTTGAGCCAAGACCTGAATAATGAGAGGTAGGCAATCATACTAATTCTTGGGAAGAGTATTCTGGGGAAAAGGAGCATCAAGTGAAAAGGCACTGAGACCTTTTCAAAGAAAGAAAGAAAGACAGTATGGCTAGATTTCAGTGAGCAAGAAGTTGGGTAAGAATGAGAGGTAGGCAGCAGCCAAATCACGTAGAGCCTTGTAGGCAATAGTAAGAAGTTTGAATTTTACTGTAAGTGGATCCCTGGTTTCCCTTGGCAAGTTCAGGTCCACCTCCACGCTTTTGGCCACATCATTGCCCCTGCTCAGAATATTCTCCCTCCTCCTTCAGACACCAGCACCATCTGGCTCTCCCTTAGCACCACAGACCATTGCTTCCCCTCTCCTTCCTTACTGCACAGAGCACTTATGAAGGAGGTAACTGAAACCTAGAGAGATTATTGGTCACACAATAATAAGTGGCAGAGCCAAGAATAGATGCTCAGGTCTTCTGATTTCAAGTCAGGACTCTCCCTCATAGTGTGAAGGACAGGGACTGGCAGGGAAGCCAGGCCTTTTCTTACTAACAGAGGTCACACAGAAGATTATCAGCCTTTTTCCAGTTCCTGGCTCGATGAGTCAGTAGGCTTTAACCCTCCTAGGGATGAGAGAAGCCAAACACAGGGAGCTTACTAAAGTGGGAAAGAACAGGGAGAGAGGAAGCTGGCAAACGGCCCTGAATGCCAGAGGCAGAAAAGCCATTTCCTTAACTGGCTCACTGACAAGTGCCACAGGAACTTCAGAACGTCTCCGGTTATGGCTGAATGCCAACATATACATACCCAAGCACATGTGTCCCCATATGCAAACCACATACCAACTCACCTATGTGCGCTCACTTGTATAAAATCACATATAAATATACAAACATTCTAGGCATAAAAGCTGCCCATCTGCACACATAGGCACAAACAAGGATAAATATATGCACCCAGGATTCAAACATGGACTTATCTGTATCTGCAAGTACAACCACCATATACATGTAGCCACCTATGTGCACAGTGTGCCCCTTCAGAAACTCTCTATCAAATCATTCTGTTTTGCCAGGTGCCACACATGTAATCCCACACTTTGGGAGGCTGAGGTGGGTAGATCACTTGAGGCCAGGAGTTTGAGACCGGCCTGGCCAACATGGCGAAGCCCCAACTCTACTAAAAAGACAAAAATTAGCCGGGCATGGTGGCGCATGCCTGTAAACCCAGCTACTCAGGAGGCTGTGGTGGGAGGATCACCTGAGCCCAGGAGATGGAGGTTGCAGTGAGCTGAGATTGCGCCATTGCACTCCACCCTGGGTGACAGGGCAAGACTGTCTCAAAAAAAAAAAACACATTCTGTTTTATTTTTTTCATGAAACGTTCCATTATTTGAAATTATCTCATGTATGTTAATTACTTATATATTATCTGTTTTCTTCACTGGAATATAAGCTCCATGATAGCAGAGATCTTTTTTTTTTTTTTTTTTTTTGAGATGGAGTCTCGCTCTGTCACCCAGGCTGGAGTGCAATAGTGCGATCTCGGCTCACTGCAACCTCCGCCTCCAGGGTTCAAGCAATTCTCCCTGCCTCAGCCTCCCAGGTAGTTGGGATTACAGGCACCCACCATCACACCTGGCTAATTTTTGTATTTTTAGTAGAGACGGGGTTTCAAGATGTTGGCCAGGCTGGTCTCACACCCCTGACCTCAGGTGATCCGCCTGCCTCGGCCTCCCAAAGTGCTGGGATTACAGGCGTGAGCCACTGCACCCAGCTGACAGCAGAGATCTTATTTGTTTTCTTCACTGCTACATCCCTAGCACCTCAAGTACAGCCTAGTACATAGAGAGTGCACAAGAAGAAATAAGCACAACCTATGCAAGTACAACTTATTTGAGCCCACTTCCAACCGTGAAACACACACACACACACACACCACAGTGTGCATTCCTCTCCTTGGCTATGGGCTCAAGTTATACATTATTGATATAAGCACCTTACTCATTCCAGTGTCTTCTTTCTCTGACATACACACCAGGCTGGGGCCCCTGGCTGGTTGGGAAAGGTGAGGGGCAGGGTATTGGCCTACTGCAAAATCCCAAGCCCTCTAGGATATCAGAACTCTTTTTTTTTTTTTTTTTTGAGACGGAGTCTTGCTCTGTTACCCAGGCTGGAGTGCAGTGCCGCAGTCTCGGCTCACTGCAAGCTGTGCTTCCTAGGTTCACGCCATTCTCCTGCCTCAGCCTCCCGAGTAGCTGGGACCACAGGCGCCTGCCACCACGCTCAGCTAATTTTTTGTATATTTAGTAGAGACGGGGTTTCACCGTGTTAGCCAGGATGGTCTCAATCTCTTGACCTTGTGATCCACCCGCCTCGGCCTCCCAAAGTGCTGGGATTACAGGTGTGAGCCACCGCGCCCGGCCAGGATATCAGAACTCTTAAAAGAACATCCAATTTAGTCTCTTAACTCTGAGATCCAAAGAGGCTATTAGCTATGCTTGGCATCACAGGGTGGGTTACCACAGCAGAGCAGGGACCACGACTTAAGGTCCAGGCCTCTTTCCTCTACACCAGGAGCTGCAAGCTCAAAAATTGGCAGGATCTAGGCACGGAATGTAAATAAGTGGACCACATGAAAGAAAATATATGATAAAGATAAGAAATAGTTCCCTTTCCACTTCCCTATAAGAAAACAGCAGCACATGTATAATAAACCTTAGCCTCAGTTTCAGGGGAACAATAGGGAAGGGGAAGGACAGGAAAACTGGCAAATGCATGCTCTGGCAAAAGGAGGCATCTAGTACCTAAACTTGGTTCCTGTCAGCTTTTGCTTGCTAGGAATCAGGGCTCAATGTTGTCAATTTTTTCGATTTTTCAATAGCAGCCTGGAATCTATTTTTGTCAAAACTTTTGAATTGGCCAGGCACGGTGGCTCACGCCTGTAATCCCAGCACTCTGGGAGGCTGAGGCGGGCGGATCATGAGGTCAGGAGATCGAGAGGACGGTGAAACCCCATCTCTACTAAAAATACAAAAAATTAGCCGGGGGTGGTGGCGGGCGCCTGTAGTCCCAGCTACTCGGGAGGCTGAGGCAGGAGGATGGCGTGAACCCAGGAGGTGGAGCTTGCAGTGAGCCAAGATCACACTACTGCACTGCACTCTGCACTCCAGCCTGGGCGACCGAGCGAGACTCCGTCTCAAAAAAAAAAAAAAAACTTCTGAATTTATATGTGTTGACCACTAATTTTTTTAAAGCTTTAAGGCCAGTTGCAGTGGTTCATGCCATAATACCAGCACTCTGGGAGGGCAAAGCAGGAGGACTGTTTGAGGACAGGAGTTCAAGACTGGCCTGGGCAACATGGTGAGAACTTGTCTCTACAAAAAATTTTATAATTAGCCAAGCATGGTAGCTAATGCCTATGGTCCCAGCTACTCGAGAGGCTAAAATAGGAGGATCACATAAGCCCGGGAGGTCAAGGCTGCAGTGAGCCACGTTGATGCTACTATACTCTAGCCTAGCAACAGAGACCCTGTCTCGCCCCTGCCTACCAAAAAAAAAAAAAAAAAAAAAAGGTTTAAACACTGTGAATCAAACAAAACTATTAATGAGAAATTTAGCTGGTGGGATAACATGGGGAACCCTTGGTATAAACCAAACTACTTTTCCTTCACCTGGAGGCCATATGGTTGGTGTGACAACCCATGGTACACAGTCACTAGTCCTTCTCATCTTCTTCCCCTAGGGAACCTCCTCCAAGGAGTCTTCTCCAACTACTTCATTCTCACACTCTCGAAATTTACTTTAACCCATTATTGATTCAAAATCCATTTAGAATTAGACTACCTCTCTTCACATCTATTTCTACCATCCTAGTCCAAAACTACCATTAGGTAGTTCAGATTATGTCACCCTTCTGCTCAGAATGCTCAGATCACTTCCCATTTCATTTTGAGTAAAAGTCAAAGTCCTCACAATGGCCTACATGATCTAGTCCCTCATTTCCTCTCTGTCCTCACATACAACTATTCTCTCTTCCTCTCCCTTTCCCTCTGCTCCAGCCAAACGGCCTCCCCAGTGTTTGGCAAAAGCACCAAGAACATTTAACCTCAGAGCCTTTGCCCTCTACTTGGAATGTTCTTTCCCTAGATAGCCACATGACTTATTCCCTATCTTTGAGTCGTTGCTCAAATGTTGGCTTCTCAGTAAGGTTATCTTTGATCACCACATTAAAAAAAAAAAAATACTCCCTGCGCTCCTCTCCAGCCCCAGGTTCTCTGAATTAACATTTTCCATGAAATTTTTGTTAGTTTCTCTTTTTCTCACCTACCCAAAAGCTAAAAGTTCTTTCTTCCTCCCAAAGCCCTTTATCTCACTTTCTTTGTGATCTGTTTTTCTAGCTTTTATTATATTTATTTGGGCCTTATCTTTCCCATTATACCCTGAGCTCTTGGAGGGCAGAGATCATGTCTTCTTCTCTGTCTCCTCCAAGCACAATTGGCACAATAGGTATTCGAGGGTCATGGTTGAATAATTGAAAGACTGGTAATTGACTAATGACAGGGAAGACTGGTGCTACCCCCCAACTTTTTTTTTTTTTTTTTTTTTTGAGACAATGTCTCACTATGTTGCCCAGGCTGGTCTTAAACTCTCGGGCTCAAATGATTCTCCCACCTCAGCCTCCAGAGTAGTTGGGACTACAGGCATGCACCACTGCACCCAGCTCCCCTCTTTATATGAGAACGATAGTCATTGAATTGAAGATTTTAATTCCCTAGAACTACAAGCAAGGCACAGGATAGGAAGAAACAGCTGAGGGAAAGACTGAGTTCTTTACAGAGGAATCAGATGGAGGAGAAACAGGAGGAGAAACACCCAGGTGAGAAGAGACACCAAACCTGTTATGAGAGGAGATGAGAGGAACACTGAACTGTTTATTTTGTGGAAGAGAAGATATTGAGAGATGTGATAGCAAGTCTCAAAAATCTGTATCTTCATTGTCTCCACCCCGGTCAAGCTACCTTCATCTCTTGCCTGGATGACCACAATGCCCACCTAACTGGTTTCCCACTTCACTCTTGTTCCCTTCCAGTCCACACATCACCCAGCATGATCTGTGATCTTTTTTTTTTTTTTTTTTGAGAGAGTCTCAGTCTGTCACCCAGGCTGGAATGCAGTGGTGTGATCTTGACTTACTGCAACCTCTGCCTGCCGGGTTCAAATGATTCTCCTGCCTCAGCCTCCCAAGTAGCTGGGACCACAGGTGCATGCCACCATGCCTGGCTAATTTTTGTATTTTTAGTAGAGATGAAGTTTTACCATGTTAGCCAGTCTGGTCTCGAACTCCTGACCTCAAGTGATTTGCCTGCCTTGGCTCCCAAAGTGCTGGGATTACAAGCATGAGCCACTGCACCCGGCCACAGAATGATCTATTAAAAACATAAATTGGCCAGGCATGGTGGCTCATGCCTGTAATCCCAGCATTTTGGGAAGCCAAGGTGGGAGGATTGCTTGAGCCCAAGAGTTCGAGACCAGACTGGGCAACATAGCGAAATGCTCTCTCTACTAAAAAAAAAAAAAAAAAAAAATAGCCAGGTGTGGTGGCACATGCCTATAGTTTCAGCTACTCAGGAGGCTGAGGTGGGAGGATCACTTGAGCCCAGGAGGTGGAGATTACAGTGAGCTGAGATGTTGCCACTGCACTCCAGCCAGGGCAATAGAGCCAGACCTTGTCTCAAAATTAATTAATTAATTAATTAATTAATTAAACAACAATAAAACAAACCACAAATCAGATCATATCACCTCCTGCTTAAAACCCTTTAACAGCTTCCACTGCATATAGAAGAAAATCCGCACTCCTGCTATGCCTTGTATCCTCCCCAACTTCATCTTGTGCCATTCTCCTATTCTGCCTACTAGGCTCCAAACATGCTGGCCTTCTGACTGATAGAACATGCCATATTCTTTAACTATCTTTCCCCAACTCTTCTTGTGTTTCAAATCTCAGCTTAAATGTCACTTCCTAGTGAAGCTTTCCCTGACCACCCTAAGTAGATCAGCTCTTCTTGTTATTCATCATAACACTGCTTATTTTCTTCACAGCATTTTTCTCAAACTATACTTCTTTTGTTATTTGTTTACTTATTGTTATTGTTAATATTATTAATAGAATTAATATTACTTGTTTACTTATTATTATTTTTGCTAATTTCCTATCTTCCCTACTAGACAGAAGACAGTTTCTGAAGGCAGAGGCCAAGTTGGTCTTGTTCACTGCTGAATCCCTCATTGTCTCGTACAGAACCTTGTATATAATAGGTGTTCAGTAAATTTTTGCTGAATGAATGCATGAATCTAAAGGATCATTATGGGGAAAAGTAGACTAATGTAGTATAACTATAAATGGAAAATCTACATCAATTGGGAGAGCTCCATATTAAAAAAAAAACCTTTCTGTTAGAGATGTCCAAAGATGGAAGGCACTCCTTCAGGAGTTTCCTGACCCTGGAGATATCATGTTGAATCTGGGATTTGTAGCGATACCAAAGAGCAGCCTCCACAATATGGCTGGGGACCAAGCAAGACCAGTGTTTCTCAAAGAGTGGTCAGATAGTGTTAATAATGCAGTACCAAGTTCCCATGCAGCACAGGATTGTTCAGGTTGGGCCAGGGTAACCCTGACACCTACTTCTACTAGATTATTCTCCAGGGAGTGGGGCCTTGAAATTTTCATTGCATAAGCTCCCCATATAATTCATGGTTATTGAAGTTTGAGATGACCTTTACAGCCCTTCCAACTTTGAGATTCTTTGATTCTATAAAATGAAAAAACAATGTGAAAGAGTTCTGTGATCCATAAAGCACTGCACAATTGTGGAGCACTCAAGATATAAGTATACCCACAAGTCAATTTCCCTTTCACCAGGGAATGGGAGCAATGTACCTTGACTAATTAGCAGCCTAATGTTCCCTCTGGGTGCTTCTGCCCTAGCTGCAGTAAGTATCAAGAAGGGCTGAAGGAGGAGGTAGATGGAGGCACACCCCAAAAACTGAACCACAGATTACTCAGAATGCCAGAGGAGGGCCAGATATGGTGGCTCATGCCTGTAATCCCAACACTTTAGGGGCCGAGGTGGGAGGATCACTTGAAGCTAGGAGTTAGAGACTAGACTGGACAACAAAGCAAGATCCTGTCAAAAAAAGAAAGAAAAGAAAAGAGAAAAAGAAAGAATTCCAGAAGAGGATGGTACTTTTGAGACTCACCACTCTTATTTACCATTGAGAAACCTATGGCACAGAAATAGAAAGTGATGACCTCAAGGTTACTTACAAATTAGTAGCAACACTATTCTAAAGCACTGTTGTCCAAAATGGTAGTCACTAGCCACATATAGCTATCAAACACTAGAAATGTGGCGGAAGAACTGGATTATTTATTTTACTTAATTTTAATTACTATAAATATCAATAGTTACATGTAGCTAGTGGCTTCCATGTTGGATAGCACAGTTCTTGAGTCTAAATGTCTAGTTCAGGGCCTTCTCCTCCTAAATGACATGGCCTCCAAAAGGGGGGTATTGTTTCCAAATTCAGAATTAGCATAAGGAAAAAAATAAAAATGTAGGAACTCTGAGAACTGTGAGGTTGACAACTACCAAGGATGGAATTTTAGTGTACTTAACAGAAATTCATCATTCTGTTTGGTTTTCCCTTAGTTCCTTAGAAAAAGTTCCTTTTGAAAACACCACAGATTTCTGGTTTCAAATGATATCTAACTTGTAGACCCTAATGCAGCCTCACTCAGCTCCTGATTCAAAAACTGGAATCAACTGTCATCCTATCACCCAAATTTGGACGGGCTTTTCACCAACTCAAAACTGATGAAACTAGAGTAAATAGCCTCAATCAGTGGACTATTTATGAAATTTCTCCCTAAACATTGATTCCTCACCTATTGAGGGAGCCAGGACTGTACCGGCCAGTCTTCAAAAGGCAGTTAATGGGCCAGGTGCAGTAGCACATGCCTGTAATCCCAACATTTTGGGAGGCCAAGGTGGGAGGATCACCTGAGGTCAGAAGTTCGACACCAGCCTGGCCAACATGGCCAAACCCCATCTCTACTAAAAAAAAAAAAAAAAATTTAGCCGGGCATGGTGGCACGCACCTGTAGTCGCAGCTACTTGGGAGGCTGCACATGAGAATCTCTTGAACCTGGGAGGCAGAGGTCGTAATCAGCCAAAATTGTGCCACTGCACTCCAGCCTGGGCGACAGAGCGAGACTCAGTCTCAAAAAAAAAAAAAAAAAAAAAAGGTCAGGCATGGTCAAGGAGATACAAATCAAAATAACAATCAGATCCCACTTCACACTCACTAAGATGGCCATAATCAAACAAACAGACAGTAACAAGTGCTGACAAGCATGTGCAGAAATTGGAAACCTCATACATTGCCGGGAATATAAAATGGTTCAGCTACTTTGGAAAACAGTCTGGCAGTTCCTCAATAGGTTAAATATAGACTTACCATATGACTCAGCAATTAAACTCCTAGCTATATACCCAAGAGAATTGAAAACATACATCTACACAAAAACATGTACCCAAAGGTTTGTAGTAGCGTTATTCATGACATCAGAAAGTGTAAACAACCCAAATGTCCACCAATTGAGGAATGAATAAAGAAAAATGTGGGGCCAGGTGTGGTGACTCATGCCTGTAATCCCAGCACTTTGGGAGGCTGGGGCGGGTGGATCACAAGGTCAGGTGTTCAAGACCAGCCTGGCCAACATGGTGAAACCCCGTCTCTACTAAAAATACAAAAATTAGCCGGGCGTGGTGGCCAGTGCCTGTACCTCAGCTGCTCGGGAGGCTGAGGTGGGAGAATCGCTTGAACCCGGGAGGCGGAGGTTGCAGTGAGCCGAGATCATGCCATTGCACTCCAGCCTGGGCGACAAGAGCAAGACTCCATCTCAAAAAAAAACAAAAAAGAAAGAAAAGAAAGAAAAAGAAAGGAAGGAAGGAAGGAAGGAAGGAAGGAAGGAAGGAAGGAAGGAAAGAAAGAAAGAAAGAAAGAAGGAAAGAAAGAAAGAAAGAAAAAAATGTGATAACGTTGAGAGGTGACAGCGTGCTGGCAGTCCTCACAGCCCTTGCTCGCTCTCGGCGCCTCCTCTGCCTGGGCTCCCACTTTGGCGGCACTTGAGGAGCCCTTCAGCCCACCGCTGCACTGTGGGAGCCCCTTTCTGGGCTGGCCAAGGCCGGAGCTGGCTCCCTCAGCTTGCAGGGAGGTGCGGAGGGAGAGGCCCGAGCGGGAACCGGGGCTGCGCACGGAGCTTGCGGGCCAGCTGGAGTTCCGAGTGGGCGTGGGCTTGGCAGGCCCCGCACTCGGAGCAGCCGGCCGGCCCTGCCGGCCCCAGGCAATGAGGGGCTTAGCACCCGGGCCAGCAGCTGCGGAGGGTGTACTGGGTACCCCAGCAGTGCCAGCCCACCAGCACTGCGCTCCATTTCTCGCCAGGCCTTAGCTGCCTTCCCGCGGGGCAGGGCTCGGGACCTGCAGCCCGCCATGCCTGAGCCTCCCCCACCCCCACCGTGGGCTCCTGTGCGGCCCGAGCCCCCCCGACGAGCACCGCCCCCTGCTCACGGCACCCAGTCCCATCGGCCACCCAAGGGCTGAGGAGTGCAGGCACACGGCGCAGGACTGGCAGGCAGCTCCACCTGCAGCCCCAGTGCGGGATCCACTGGGTGAAGCCAGCTGGGCTCCTGAGTCTGGTGGGGAAGTGGAGAACCTCTAAGTCTAGCTAAGGGATTGTAAATACACCAATCTGCACCCTCTGTCTAGCTCAGGGTTTGTGAATGCACCAATGGACACTCTGTATCTAGCTACTCTGGTGGGGCCTTGGAGAACCTTTATGTCTAGCTCAGGGATTGTAAATACACCAATCGGCACTCTGTATCTAGCTCAAGGTTTGTGAACACACCAATCAGCACCCTGTGTCTAGCTCAGGGTTTGTGAATGCACCAATTGACACTCTGTATCTAGCTACTCTGGTGGGGACTTGGAGAACCTTTGTGTTGGCACTCTGTATCTAGCTAATCTGGTGGAGATGTGGAGAACCTTTGTGTCTAGCTCAGGGATTGTAAACGCACCAATCGGCACCCTGTCAAAACAGACCACTTGGCTCTACCAATCAGCAGGATGTGGGTGGGGCCAGATAAGAGAATAAAAGCAGGCTGCCCCAGCCAGCAGTGGTAACCCGCTCAGGTCCCCTTCCACACTGTGGAAGCTTTGTTCTTTTGCTCTTTGCAATAAATCTTGCTGCTGCTCACTCTTTGGGTCCACACTGCTTTTATGAGCTGTAACACTCACTGTGAAGGTCTGCAGGTTCACTCCTGAGCCAGCGAGACCACAAACCCACCAGAAGGAAGAAACTCCGAACACATCCGAACATCAGAAGGAACAAACTCCAGACGTGCCACCTTAAGAGCTGTAACACTCACCGTGAGGGTCCACGGCTTCATTCTTGAAGTCAGTGAGACCAAGAACCCACCAATTCCGGACACAATGTGATACAGTTATACAATGCAACATTATTCAGCAATGTAAAAGGATGAAGTACTGATATATGGTATAACATGGATGAACTTTTTTTTTTTTAAGACAGTCTCACTTTGTTGCCCAGGCTGGAGTGTGGTGGCATGATCTTGGCTCACTGCAACCTCCGTCTCCTGGGTTCAAGCAATTCTCCTGCCTCAGCCTCCCAAGTACCTGGAATTACAAGCATGCACCACCATGGCCGGCTAATTTTTATATTTTTAGTAGAGATGGGGTTTCACCATGTTGGCCAGGCTGGTCTCAAACTGCCAAGCTCAGGTGATCCACCAACCTCAGGTGATCCACCCACCTCAGCCTCCCAAAGTGCTGGGATTACAGACATGAGCCACTGCATCCGGCCTATAACATGGATGAACCTTGAAAACATTATGCTTAGTGAAAGAAACCAGACACAAAGGGCCACGTGTTATATGATTCCATTTATATGAAACATCCAGAATAAGGCAGAGCCTTAGAGACAGAAAGTAGATTAGTGGTTGCCTAGAGCTGGAGGAGAAGAAGTTGGGGGAAAATGAAAAATGACTGCTAATGAGTATTGCACTTCTTTTGGGGGTGATGAAAATTTTCTAAAATTGAAAGTTGTACACCTTTGCAAATATATTAAAAATATGAATTGTATACTTTAAATGGGTGAATTATATGGTATAAATTATATCTCAATAAAAAATATAATTGCAATTTTGATTGGAATTGCAATAAATGTACAGATTAATTTGGAAAATACAGACATCTTTACAAACCTTCCTTTCCAGAAAGGTTGTAACTATTCATTCATTAGAAAGATTAAGCACTATTCATTCATTCATTCTTGCCTCTTTCTATTTTTTTTTTTCCTTTTTTTGAGACAGTCTAGCTCTGTTGCCCAGGCTGGAGTGCAGTGGTGCTATCTCGGCTCACTGCAACCTCCGCCTCCCGGGTTCAAGCAATTCTTATGTCTCAGCCTCCCGAGTAGCTGGGACTACAGGCCCCCGCCACCACAGGCTAATTTTTATATTTTTAGTAGAGACAGGGTTTCACCATGTTGGCCAGGCTCTTGACCTCAAGTGATCCGCCCGCCTTGGCCTCCCAAAGTGCTAGGATTGCAGGCGTGAGCCACCACGCCCAGCCTGTTTATTTCTAAAGACAACACTTGGGCACTTATTTTTTTCTAGCACTAGAGTCCTATGTAGACATCTGTTTCCCTCACTGGATTATGAGTTCCTTAATGGCAGACAGGATATCTTTTTATATGTTTTCTCCTTAGTGCTTACCACAAAGGCCAATACACAGTGAGCACTTAATACATAATTGTAAAATGAATAGATAAAAGAATGAATAAATAAATGAACAAACTTATCTCTGCTTATATGACCAGCTGGATCCAAGATGATCAAAGAGAGAAAGTATGGAAGGAGAGGGGATAAGATAGGATACAGATAAACAAGATAGATGCTGGACAGGCAGAGGAAAGACAAGAGTGGAATTTGTGGAATGGATTTTGGAATCATGTCAAGAAGTGTTTCTTGAGATCCTACAGTGGGCTCAGTCTGGGACTCTGTGAAGAGGCTGGAAGAGAACCCTGGAGCTGAGGTTCAGAGTATGGGACTCCTGCCCTGCAGTCTGGGCTATTATTGTACCCTGTCCTCTTGCCAGCTATTTTCAGGCCTTGATCCAAATACCTTTTGCATGTTCCCCTTGGCCAAAGTGGCTTTGGTGCCCGATGGATTGTGTACCTCTTCTCTTTTCTCACTGCCTACATGCCTACTTACAGGAGGGGAATCACACACTTGTTCCTACCATCCTGTGTCCCATGCTGGCCTTACCTATAACAAGTGAATGAGGGCAGAGCATTTGGAATGCAGCCCAAAAGAGGAATATGCCTAGAGCAGAAACAGAAAGTGGAAAGAAAATCCAGGGGCATCATTTTATGTGTACATCAAGTCTCTCAAGTATAATAGACACATGCAAAAATATTCATTACAATGGTTCTCTATTATCTAGGTCAAAGGCAGTTTAAATCATTAGTCCTCAATCTACGGTACTCTATTCCTGTGAGTACCTGCACAGAAAAATATGAAGAGAATAAATGTCTAGATCCTCAACTTCCATATGTAATATTTCCTAACAATGATCTGTCTGAGTTGGTTCTTCTTTCTCACTCTCTTTTACAATTACCCTTCTCCCACGTTAAACAAGAATGTCATAGCTCTCTCTTATCTCAAACTTTATTATGGTACAATGACAGGGTATGAACAAAGTGTTAAACAAAGGGACAATTTGAGAATGTATAACTTCTGAGGGAGAGCCCCAAGAAAGCAAATCAATGAGAGCTTCTCTGAGAAATCAGTATTGAAAGAATTGGCATCTTAATTCATCCACGTAACAAACTCATGGCAAGACTACTTGCCTTATATCTCTTAGAATTACAACTCAGAAGTGAAACAGTTATCACAGAGTCATATATTAACATATTTATCTTAAGAAAGAAGTTAGGCAATTTCTAACACAGTAGATCTGATTTGGCTGATTATGTTGGGTGATAACTGGCTATGCAAAACAGGTTGTATGGTAGATGTCTTCTATAAATTATATGAGCTAAATTTGCAGTGCCAATGTTTTGAAAGAGGTATAACCTATATGTGCATATATATATATGTGTGTATATAATATGTAAAATGTTTTGGAAATTCGATTTTTTGCAATTTTTAAATCTTATGATAAAATTTTTAGATATGAACATTATGTCAAGAGTTACATAATTTTTCAAAATTCTTTTAGGTATATAATTTTAAGAGTTTAAGGTTATTAATCTAAATAATTTTTCAATGGTACTTTGTCCCTCCCCCCAACATCAGAATTGTCTGAGGAGGTTACAAAAATACAAGTCAGAGGTCTTATCCTCTGGAGATTCTAACTCAATAGTCTGGGATAGGGTCCAGAAATCTGGATTTCTAACGACATCCTCAGGTAATTATTTACATAAACTAAAATTGGGAAACCCTGGCTCTGAATATGGAGTCATCAGACTAGATTGTTTACCCCTAATTCAATGTATAATTTACACAAACTTTCCCCTCTCTCTGAGCCTATTCTTGTGGTCTTAGCAAGTACAGCATGGCTATCCATATAAATAAAATTAGATTTCTGTCAGTTTGTTTCCCATCATATGAAAACAACTAGACAGATTTTTAACAAATCCAGATGTTGTATTAGGACTCCCTAACTTCTTTTTTGAGACAGGGTCTCACCCAGGCTGGAGTGCAGTAGCACGATCACCGCTCACTGCAGCCTCAACCTCCCAGGCTCAAGAAATCCTCCCACCTCAGCCTCCCAAATATCTGGGACCACAGGCATGCATGACCATACCCAGCTAATTTTTTATTTATTATTATTATTTTTTGAGACAGAGTCTCACTCTGTCACCCAGGCCGGAGTGCAGTGGCATGATCTTGGCTCACTTCAACCTCTGCCTCCCAGGTTCAATCGATTTTCCTGCCTCAGCCACCCGAGTAGCTGGGATTACAGGTGTGAGCCACCACGCCTGGCCTAATTTTAAAATTTTTTATAGAGATGGGGTCTACCTGTGTTGCCCAGGCTGATCTCAAACTCCTGAGTTCAGTGATCCTCCCTCCTCAGTCTCCCAAAGTTCTGGGATTACAGGCATGAGCCACTGTGCCTGGCAGATTCTCTAACTCACTATATGTGGCAGTTTGGAGGACACCTCAAGTAACCATCCTCAAAAGCAGCTCAGAAACTAAAGTTCAACAAGAACCCTCTGTGACTGCTCCTTTGGATAGATTTTCATGTATTAAAATATCATGGTCAAAAAGAAGCAAACGTTGGTTTCAAAAATTAGTCTCTGGTCAAAAAAATCACACTTAGAAATGCAGGTGTTCATATGCTCTAGAGATGTTTTCTGTACGGGCAACTCTGTGTGTAAAGTATTCCAGGGTGAATAGTTTCAGGGTTGTATTTATTTTATTTAAATAAAATAATGATGCTCCAAGATGGTAAAACCATAAGGTAACCATGATAATAAACCATGATAGTAAAACCATAAGTAGACCAGACCTTAGAACCCTAGAAGAGGGCTGTTCTAAAAACTTTATATCCCAAAAAGAGATAATAGGTAGTCCAAGGCCCTCCTATATCTGAGATTTTGCAGTCTTCTCTTGTACCTTCTCTAATTCAAAATTCCAAGCTGGCCAGGCACAACGGCTCACGTCTGTGATCCCAGCACTTTGGGAGGCTGAGGCAGGAAGCTCACCTGAGGTCAGGAAGTTGAGACCAGCCTGGCCAACATGGCAAAACCACGTCTCCACTAAAAATACAAAAAAAAAAAAAAAAAAATTAGCTGGGCATGGTGGTGTGTGCCTGTAATCCCAGCTACTCAGGAGGCTGAAGCAGGAGAATTGCTTGAACCCAGGAGGCAGAGGTTACAGCGAGCCAAGATCACACCATTGCACTCCAGCCTGGGCAACAAGAGCAAAATTCTGTCTCAAAATAAAAATAAAAATAAAATTCGCTGATTGTGTTGGTGCATGACTGTGCTCCTAGCTACTCAGGAGGCTGAGGTGGGAGGATCACTTGGACCTTGGAGTTTGAGGCTACAGTGGGCCACAACTGCACCACTGCACTCCAGCCTGAGCAACAGAGTGAGACAAACAAGGGAAGGAAAGGGAAGGAAATGAAAGGAGAAAGAGGAAAAAGGAAAAGGAGAGAGAAAGAGAGAAAGAAAAGGAAAATCTTAAGTATTATGAGAGATTATAAACTGACTGGAGAGTGTGGCTGTCAATGAGGCTAATATAATCTTAGATATGTAAAGTGAAAGAATGGTAATAGTACCCTGTTCAAGTCAGACCATAGCTGGAATACTTAATGAGAGATATTGGCCAACTAAAGTATATCCAGGGGAGACCGACATGGTTGTTTAGGAAGCCACATCATATGAGGAACCTGAGACTGTGGACTCAGTATCACTTCATTTATAAAACAAGAACACTGGACTAGATCAGGGGTTTTCAAACTGAGCTTTGCAAATCCCTAGGGATTCCAGACACACACCTCACAGGGAACACAGTAACAGGGTGGAGAAGCCTACAGAATGTGGCTCTAGGCCTCCCATCCATGCTCCAACCAGATCAGCACCGCTGTTACCTGTTTTAGGTATAGGGTTTTGGCATAATAATAAAAATAGCTAATACACTTTTTGCCAAGCACTAAGCCCTTTATATAGATTATTCCAATTCTTCCTTACAACAATCTATGTCACAGGACTTATTATTTCCATTTTACAGACATGAAAATTGAGGTTTAAAGAGGTGAGGTAACTTGCCCAACTAGTAAGTATTAAGGTAGAGATGTAGGAATTGAATGAGAATGACCCAGAATCAGAATGATAACTTATGGGGATTGTTAGGGATTGGGATATTGGTACTACAATTCCTGATTTGTGTGGGAATTGGACCAAATGACCTCTAAGGACTGAAACTGAGAGTCTTGAATTCTCAGAGGTTCAAGATGTGAGACACCGGGGATCATTACCAGTGCCCAACCTCTCCCAAACCAAATCCAGGAAGTGGGGGAAGGCCCATCCTCAACTCCACGCCTTCTGAGTTAATTGTTATAAATGTGGGGCTGCCATAAGGCAAGAACCCCTGCTCCCATCTGACCACCTAGTATCTTCAAAGGAGAGGAGGCCAGTTCCTCCTCTCCCCTAACTTCTCCCAGAAATGTAGAGAATTTATCCAGGCAGTTCCCTGCATTTGTGACAGAAATTCTGAAGGTCAGTGCCAGAAGTAACTTAAAAAAGAGTCTTGTACATCCCTAACAGTTTATAAGTGGGAAAAAGAAGGCTTAGAAAAGGGCATTAACTAAAGCCATTCTTTTCATTAAATGTTTACTGAACATGCCAGTATAAGAAGTTGGCCCAGACACAAACTCAGGTAGCTGATATGAAGCTCAGGACACTGAAACAGGCCTCAAGACAGAGTCTTCAGAGCAATACATTTATTATTCATATGCCACCTACTTCCAAAAAAAGTGACTCGGAAAGTACAGCCTACTTGTCTCATTTTCACCACTTTAGGGAGGTGTTCTGTAAAGTGTCAAGGGTCATAAAACTCAGGGAGAAATGAGAGAAGCAGGTTAGAAATCCACCTTAAACATGAAATCCTCCAGCTCACCTCCACAATCTGCTCACCTCATTCAAGTGGAGAAAGACTGTTCCCAACAACAGGTATTTCCCATGTATCTCCCATTAGCTTTGAGTATTTATGCTACCAGCCACAAACAACCCTCAGGCAAGAGGAACAGACTCCTTCCTCAGCCCCTTCATTCCAAACCTTCTAAAATTCTTGCTTTATGGTGTCAACATCATTATAGAAAATAAATTAAATAAATAAATAAATAAACAAAATCCTCCCTCTTTCTTACCATCTCAACAGAAATTCAACCCGCCTACTGAGTCACCACAGAGTCACTACAGGTTGCAACAGAACTTCTAAAAACTGCTTCCTCTCTTCAGAAACAGTCATAGAATTCTGGAAGATTAGAGATGAAAGGGACCTTGCAGAGTATCTGTAGTTCATTTCCCATCATGCCCACAAAGAGAAGGCCCAGAGAGAGGAAGAGAATGGTCTGAAGTCATCTTTCTCAAAATGAGTGTTTTTCTTTACCAAATATATCTTAATCAATAGATATGCTGTTGTGAAACTAGTAAAGATATAGATGTAGTGTGTGTATTTGAGAAGGTGGGGATGGTTGAGAAGGTGAGGCAAGCCCATGTTTTGTCAAGGAGATTTGTCAAGGTGATATGGAAAATCAGAGCCCTAGAGTATATTGTCCTATCATTCATGTCCAGGGACTCTAAATTATCTAGGTCCATATTCTGGAGTTCACTTCAGTGACATGGGGAGGTAGGGACTTTTTTTTTTTTTTTTTGGCCTCAAATACACACACACACATATGCCTACAAGGATCTGGGGAGCTCCAAATATCATACTATGGAATTCATATTCAGGAGCATACAAGGATCCTGAGAGCAGAGCTTCTGTCCTAGGGTCAATCCTAAAGTTGCCTTATTCTCAAAAGCTCCAGTTCCTGAAGAAGGATTGAAATATACTGAGAGCCATGAAGAGACAGTAGTGATTTCAGCTGAGGGTGAGAATTTAGGTGGCTCAGAGATAACCACAGCCTTAGGCAACCCAAAGCAAAGCAAACAATGGAAGGAATCAACGATACCAAATGTGTTGGGCTTTGGTTACTGGGGACTTCTAGAAAAAGTAGAGACTGAGTAGCTAGTATAAATGATCAGAATATCAGCCATCAACCACTCTTTCCACCCTCTCCTTATAAACCTTTTACTTAATCCCCCAAATCCCCGACAGTCCTCCAGTGTTCCTTCAACTAGCTAACTCCCTTCCACTCCTTCAGCTACCTCTAACACCCTCACTGACTCTCTCTCCCTGAATGACTATCCCAATACCTTGTCACTGATCATTTTCCCATACATATACACATGCACCCCCACTAACATATTTATCTGCCACACCAGGGGGAAGACAGCATGAGAAAGTTGGAACCAAAGTCTGTATTTTGCAGGGAAAATTTAGCCCTTGGAGCAGATGAACGTGTGCCTTCAAAAGAGGCAGTGTTTATATAGACTAGGAGAATCCTTGACTCTTTCCTTTCACTTTCTCCCTGTCTCTCCACCATCTACACACCTAGTTACCTGTGCTGGTTTCTTTCCATAATGAAAAAAATAGCTAATACACTTTCTGCCAAGCACTAAGCCCTTTATACAGATTAAATTACTGTAAAATTATCAAATCACTCTAAAATGTCATTGTTCCATTCCATTCCCACCAGCAGCATCCTAGTTCAGGACTGAATAACAAACTCTCAGTTCTCTGGCTTCACATTCCCATTTCCATATGTATCCAGATGAATCCTCTTAACCTCTGCTGCGACTTCCGCTGCATGCAATCCTTTCACAGATCTCCAAAAATAGTCAAGATCTCCCATACCTGGACCTCATCCGCTGTTGATGACAACCGTAACTCCTCTTTCACTCCCCAGACCCAATCCAAGTCAGCAAATTCCATAGGTTCTTCATTCAAAATAGATCCAGAATTTGACCACATCTAACCATCTTCATGACTACTACTATGGTCTAAATCACCACAATCTATCACCTGGATTTCTACAATAGCCTCCTAATTGGTTACCCTGCTTCTACTTTTCCCCTTCTACAGTCTCTTCTTAATATAAAAGATAGAGCCTAAATAGAAGCCAAATCATTATCACGTCTGTGCTTAAGATTGTCTAGTGGTGTGGGTGGGCATGGTGGCTCACACCTGTAATCCCAGCACTTTGGGAGGCCGAGGCGGGCGGGTCACAAGGTCAGGAGTTTGAGACCAGCCTGGCCAACATGGTGAAAACCTGTCTCTACTAAAAATACAAAAATTGGCCAGGCGCAGTGGCACACGCCTGTAATCCCAGCACTTTGGGAGGCCGAGGAGAGTGGATCACGAGGTCAAGAGATAGAGACCATCCTGGCTAAAATGGTGAAACCCCATCTCTACTAAAAATACAAAAAATTAGCCGGGCATGGTGGCGGGCGCCTGTAGTACCAGCTGCTCGGGAAGCTGAGGCAGGAGAATGGTGTGAACCCAGGAGGCAGAGCTTGCAGTGAGCGAAGATTGTGCCACTGCACTCCAGCCTGGGCAACAGAGCGAGACTCCATCTCAAAAAAAAATAAAATAAAATACAAAAATATAAAAATTAGCCAGGCATGATGGCGGGTGCAGTGAGCCGAGATCGTACCACTGCATTCCAGCCTGGGCAACAGAGCGAGACTCTGTCTCAAAAAAAAAAAAAAAAGATTGTCTAGTGGTTTCCCATTTTACCATGAATAAAAGGCCAGAGTCTACATTGGCTTTCAAGATGTGACATGATCTAATATCCTGCTGGTGTCAATACTACTCTCTCTTCCCTAGCTCACACATTTTAGCTACACTAACTTCCTAGCTAGTCTTCAAACACACCAGGCAGCAGCACATTTGTTCTCCACCTACCTGGAACATTTCCCCTCCCTACCCCAACTATCTGCGTGGCACACTCCATACTTTCCTTCAGATCTCTGCTCAAATGTCATATTTATCAAAAGGTTCTTTCCTTATCAGCTCCCACTCTGCACTGTCACTTCCCTTTCCCCTGACTCTGCTCTATATTTTTCTATAGTACTCATCACTACCTGTCATATACTTACTGGTTTCTATGTTTATTGTCTGTCTCCTCAAGCTGGACTATAACCTCCATGAGGGCAAGAACTTTGTTTAGAATAGTGCCTGGCACTTAATAAGTTCTTAGTAAGCATTTATTGAATGAATAAATTGTTCCCTGCATAAACCTTTTACTCTAAACATGCTTGGTCTTCTCACTGTTCCAATATAAATAATTGTGGTGGCTAATATTTAAGTGCATTCAATGTGCCAGGAATTTGACATGTTTTTTTTTATCCTATTCAATCTTACAAAACTGACAACTCCATGAGATAAAAGCTATTTTTATCCACGTTTAACAGTTGAGAAAACTGAGGCTCAAAGAGGTTAAGTAACTTGCCCAAGATCAGACAGCTAATTAGTGGCAAAAATAGGACTCAAACTGGGTTAGTCTGACACCAAAACACCCATTCTCCTAATCTTTATATTATCCTGCCTCCCTATAAGGCTTTTTCCTTTCTGTGAACTATTTGTGTAAGTAGCTCTTTGCAGTTTGGCCCATAATTCTTTTCAGGCTTTTTTTTTTTTTTTTTTTTTTGATGGAGTCTTGCTCTGTTGCCCAGGCTGGAGTACATTGGCTTGATCTCGGCTCACTGCAACCTCTGTCTCCTGGGTTCAAGCAATTCTCCTGTCTCAGCCTCCCAAGTAGCTGGGATTACAGGAGTGCGCCACCACACCTGGCTATTTTTGTATTTTTAGTAGAGATGGGGTTTCGTCTTGTTGGCCAGGCTGATCTTGAACTCCTGACCTAAGGTGATCCGCCCGCCTCAGCCTCCCAAAGTGTTGGGATTACAGGCGTGAGCCACTATGCCTGGCCCAGGCTGTTTTTATGTAGATCTATTTGTTTTGTTTTATTTTGTTTTTGAGATGGAGTTTCGCTCTTGTCGCCCAGGGTGGAGTGCAATGGCACGATCTCGGCTCACTACAACCTCTGCCTCCTGGGTTCAAGCCATTCTCCTGCCTCAGCCTCCCAAGTAGCTGCAATTACAGGCACCTGCCACCACATCCAGCTGATTTTTGTATTTTTTAGTAGAGACAGGGTTTCACCATGTTGGCCAGGCTGGTCTCGAACTCCTGACCTCAGGTGATCCACCTGCCTTGGCTTCCCAAAGTGCTGGGATTACAGGCATGAGCCATTGTGCCCGGCCAATCTATTTGGTCTTTCCAAATAGAATGTAAATTCCATGAGACTAGGGTCTGGGACATTTAAACCTAATAACACATTTTATCTGGTATTTTAAAGTTAATTTAAATCAGTTTGGCTAATGTGGCTAATTTCTCTTTTTATCTGTCACAGCCAAGTGCTGGACTACTAGAATAATGAGGTAGTGTCACGAGTGAAAAAAAATAGTTGACTAGGAGTGAGAGTATCTGGAGATTAGTCTCAGTTCTGTCTTCAAACAGGTGTATGACCCTTAGGCAAATCACTTAGCTTCTTTGTCCCTTAATCTACCAATCTTTGAAGAGAGTTGGCCTAGATGGACTCTAACGGTCACTTCAAGTTCTAAAAATACTACTATTCCGTGAACATTTGCAATGTGTCAAGCCAAAAGTAAAAGGCCAAATTATTCCTTAATATGGTTCTATTTTGGATAATGGGAGTACTTTCCTAAGAGCACCATTTCCTTTGTGGATAATTTCAATGACTACACAATGTATGTTCCAAAACAAGAAACTAGCTACAAATGTGGCTTGTTAATGCCACCATAGCTGTCTAAATGACATAAAGTTAAGAAGAAAGCCATAATGTGTTTCTATAAGAAGTATATCAATTGGAGCGAA
Source organism: Homo sapiens (assembly GCF_000001405.40). Taxonomy (NCBI): domain Eukaryota; kingdom Metazoa; phylum Chordata; class Mammalia; order Primates; family Hominidae; genus Homo; species Homo sapiens. The sequence goes on along the minus strand of NC_000020.11, from coordinate 34,886,823 downwards.
TCACAGAAAAGATGTCATTTTTAAAAGCATTAGTAAGAATTAGAACAGAAAGAAGTGAGCTCCAAGAGGGAGAACTTTGGGAGGAAAAGGAGGATTTCATATGATAGTGAGATTGGAAAATATTAAATATATGATAAAGGCTTAAATAGTACAAAAAGAAAAACGGTAAGCAATTATTATTATTACTTTTATTGTTTTTTGAGACAGAGTCTTGCTCTGTCACCCAGGCTGGAGGGCAGTGGTGTGATCTTGGCTCACTGCAACCTCTGCCTCCCAGGTTCACGCGATTCTTCTGCCTCAGCCTCCCAAGTAGCTGGGACTGCAGGTGTGCACTACCATGCCCAGCTAATTTTTTTTTTGTATTTTTAGTAGAGATGAGGTTTCACTATTTTGGCCAGGCTTGTCTAGAACTCCTGACCTCAGGTGATCTGCCCGCCTCTGCTTCCCAAAGTGTTGGGATTACAGGTATAAGCCACTGCACCCAGCCCAGTAAGCAATTATTAACTTCAGAGTAAATAAAAATCCGTACATAAAAGGAAATATAACCACAGTATGCTATTCTTATGTAAACTGATTTTAAATTAACTAGAAAACAGCTATAATTATATTGAGAAGAAGAGAGAAGGAAGTTAGAGAGGTATATAAGAACTAAATTCTTATCTATCGTAGTAAGAAATCAATACTTTCTTTAAAAATGATGAAAAATAGCAGTATAAGCATATCATTTAAAAATATAGAGGCAACAAAGGGATGTAACCACATATCCGGCATATTTGCACTTTACTTTCTTATAATAAAATGCAATTTATTTGTATTTTGCTTTTGCTTTACTATAAACATAAAATAATTAAATAGTAATTGCCTATATGGTACTTGTCTCCTGCCTTTTTACCCCCATATCCATAATGCCTAATGCAGCCCTGAGTATCCAATATCTTTAACAATTCTTGTTGAGGGAGTGACCAATGTAAAAATGGAGTGAGGATGTCTTGTTTTTGAGTTACAGAATTTTGCACTGGAAGTAAATTTAGAGATTATTTAATCCAGTGCTTCCCCAGTGGGTGTTCCATGGAATACTGCTTCTTGTGATATCAATAGCATGCTGGCAAAAAGTGTTTGGGGCTTCAATAAATTCAGGAAATCCTATGTTAAACAAAATTAATCAGGTATCTCTAATATAGGACATCTTGGAGATTTTACTATGCTAATACACATTGGGAATCTCACACAAAGGCAATTTATTATGTAGTGTTTCTCAGACTCAATCATTTTATGAATTAAGAAGCCCCCTACTAATATCTCCAGTAATTAGCAGTTCCTGAAGCATTCTTTGGAAAATGCTGATCTAGTCTACTCCTCTCATTTTACAGATGGGGAAAGAGAGGCTCTCCAGAGCCTGTTCAGGTAAGGGTGGTAGGGGAACTGGTGTCTCTAGAAAGAAAGGGCCTCAGGATTCTGGAAAACTCTCCAGTGATTGAAAACTCTGGCCTGTGTATTCTGTTTTCCATTAGGCACCTGAGTTCTTTCAAACCAGGGAACAAATTCAGATACAAGCATTTCCTTTTATGATCTTTTTTTTCCTCTTTTTATTTTTCTTATTTTATTTTTATTACTATTACTTTTTGAGACAGGGTCTTGCTCTGTTGCCCAGGCTGGAGTACAGTGGTGTGATCTGTGCTCACTGCAACCTCCGCCTCCTGGGCTCAAGCAATCCTCCCACCACAGCCTTTCAAGTAGGTGGGACTACAGGCGTGCACCACCATGCCCAGCTAATTTTTGTCTTTTATGTAGAGAGGGAGTTTTGCCATGTTGCCCAGGCTGGTCTCGAACTCTTGAGCTCAAGCAATCCACCTGCCTTGGTCTCCCAAAGTGCTGGGATTACAGGCATGAGGCACCATGCCCAGCCTATTTCTTTCTTTTTTGTGAAATAGAGATGGGGGTCTCACTGTGTTGCCCAGGCTGGTCTCAAACTCCTAAGCTCAAGCAACCCTCTTGCCTCAGCCTCCCAAAGTGCTGGGATTACAGGCATGAGCCACCATGCCCGGCCTCCTTTGAAGATCTTTAAAGGTTTTCTGATCTTTAAAGAGCCTGGGAAATGAGCCCAAGTGTTGGCTGGAGCTCAAGCATAAAGCTCTAGAGCAGAAGCTAAAGAGAGTCTCAACAGACACAATGGACAGTGAATTTCAGTGACAAACTGGCCCCCAACTAAGCAATGGTAGTATAATAATAGACCACTCACACCTATACAGTGTTTTCCAATAAACAAATAAGTGCTTTTACAACGTTATCTCATTTGATTCTTACAACAATCTAGAGAGAAAAACAAGGATAGAATTATTATCCCCATTTTATGGAAGAGGAAACTGACTCTTAGTTAAATGCCTTGTCTGTGGTTATATAACATGTTAATGGCAGAGTTGAAAGGAGAACCTAAATTTCTTGTCTCTCAGGTTAAGGCTCTTCTCAATATATCACACAAACTGGGCAAAGATATTGAGTGAGTTTCAATTTAACTCTCCCATGAAGCATCCAAGCTGCTCCTATTGGCTAGCTTAAATAATTAATCAGGCCAGACATGGTGGCTCACACTAATCCCAGCACTTTGGGAGGCCAAGACAGGTGGATCGCTTGAGTTCAGGAGTTTGAGAACAGCCTGGGCAACATGGTGAAACCCCATCATTACAAAAAATACTAAATACAAAATACAAAAATTAGCCAAACGTGGTGGTGCATGTCTGTAGTCCCACCTACTCAGGAGGCTGAGGTGGCAGGATTGCTTGAGCAGGGGAGGCAGGGCAGAGGTTGCAGTAAGCCAAGATCATGCCGCTGCTCTCCAGGCTGGGCAACAGAGCAAGATCCTGTCTCCAAAAAAACAAAACAAAACAAAACAATACAAAAACAATAGATCAACTCTGAGTGCTCATAGATTGTGGCAGAAGCAACACCCCAATTATTGGAATTTCTAAGTCCTATTTGGATTCGGTATAGTAGTATCTCCTAGACAGCTAAATTCCTGGGAGAAGCAGTCTTAGAAATTTCCTGCTGGGGAGGCTGCATGGCCTAGTGGTACAAGCAAGGAGTCAGGCAGACTTGAATTTGAATCCTGGCTCTACCACTTATTCACTCTATGACCTTATTCACTACATAACCCTTCAATGCTTCATTTGTTCACCTATAAAATGAAACTAAGAATTCCTATTTTACAAACCTGTTGAGAGGCCAAGGTAAGGAATTAGAGGAATAATAGAGTGTCATGGTTGTGTGTAAGCTCTGTAATTATACTGCCTAGGTTTGAATCTCAGCCTTGCTTCTAGCTAGTTGTTTCACTTCAGATATGTCACTTGACTTCTCAGAATTTCAGTTTTCACCTATGTAAAATGAGGAAAACAAATAGTGCTTTCATAATTATTATAAGCATCAAAGGAGATAGTATTTGTTAAGCACTTAAGCATAGTTTCTGGCACACAGCTCTGTAAAAGATAATGATAATGGTAGTGGTAGTAGTGGTGGTGAAAAACCCAATACTATTTGTCTTCCAAAGCAAGAATGAGGAAGAAAGCTACTCAGTCTTGTTCTCTTCCATTTGCCAATGCCCTTTCTCCCTCTTCAACTACAAAGCCAAGAACACTAGACTAGAAGTCAGGACACTTGGCTTTGAATGTCAGCTCTGTCACATACTAGTTATGTGATCTGAAGGAAGTCATGTAGCTTCCTTGAGGTATTTTTCCTCACCTGAGGCATTAAGTTGATGACACTTTGCTTACTCTACTGGGTTGTTGTAAGTATCAAATGAGTGTTTTTATCTGCCACCAAGTATAAGATAGATATTTTTACCAGTAAAAAGCAACTTTATCTCCAAGCTTTTTCTCATGGACATTTCGATCCAGTACATTGTAGCAGATGTTGGTAGTTGCTCCTTTCATCCACTCAATGAAGATTTTCCCTTTAGTCACATCAAAGTTGTACCGAAGGAATGGGCCAGGGCATGGAGTCTTCCAGTAAAATTCCTTGGCAATGTCTCCCCAGAATTCTGCAACAGAAATGGAAGCCCAGATATCATTAATCTTCTGAGACATATTTAGCCTCAGAAGGCTTACCAGTCTATACACAGGACCAAATTATAACTTCCTTGCCCTAGGACCCACCACCTGGGTCCCTTCTTTACCTGTCTAATCTTAGCACCCACCACTTTTTTTTTTTTGGAGATGGAGGCTCACTGTGACACCTAGGCTGGAGTGCAGTGGCATGATCTCGGCTCACCACAACCTCTGCCTCCCCGGTTGAAGCAATTCTCCTGCCTCAGCCTCCCGAGTAGCTGGGACTACAGGCGCGTGCCACCACGCCTGGCTAATTTTTGTATTTTTAGTAGAGACGGGGTTTCACTATGTTGGCCAGGCTGGTCTCGAACTCCTGACCTCGTGATCCGCCCGCCTCGGACTCCCAAAGTGCTGGGATTACAGGCTTGAGCCACCGCGCCCGGCCAGCAGCCAACACTCTTCTAACCCATCTTCTATTCTCTTGGGCTGAATCTTGACTCAAATTCTTCCTCCTGTCCTCAAGACTGCCTACTCACTTTTTACCATCTATTAAAATCAGAGCCACCTAGTACTAGCACAATGCCTAGCACAAAATAGGCAATCAGTAATTTTTTGTTGCTGTTGCCCAGGCTTGTCTTAAACTCCTGGACTCAGCTGTCCTCCTGCCTCAGCCTCCCAAGAAGCTGGGATTATAGGTACACACCGAGTTCTGCTGAAATCAGGTACAATTTTTTTCACCATCTGTCTAACTAGAAAGTAAATTTTTTAATGAAGTAATTAGTAAAAAGAAAAAATTCTTCACCCACAGAACCTTCCATGACCAACTCTTTCTTCTCTTAATTCGTGCATTCTCTCTCAGCAATTATATATTGAGCATCTCCTTCTCCAGCTTCTACTTATATAAGTGTTATTCACTATGTGCCAAATGTTTCTTTAAGCTTTTCATATGTATTATCTCATTTAATCCTTACCACAACTCTAGAAGGGAGGCTTTTCTCATTTTATAAACTTGAAAATCAAGGCTCAGAGAGGTTAAATAACTTGTCTAAGGTTACACAATTACTAAGTCAAGATCTAAACTTCCTTGAGACATTTTTGCTAAAATCTGAAAGATGAATAGAAGTTTTTCTCCACTCCCATATGAAAAAAAGAGACCAAGGGCATATGTTAGGAGGAACTCCTTGAGGCTGAAACACTGAGAATAAGGGAAAGAATAGCAGGAATTGATGCATAAACTGGGCAAATCATGCAATTCTGTGTATAATAAGGAATTTGGTATATATCCCAAGAGCAATGAAAATTCATTGAAGGGTTTTAAGCAAGTAACATGATCAAATTTACATTCTTAAAATATCTGCCTGGCTATTCTGCAGAAAATGTACTCAACAGGTAAAACATATGAATGCAGAGAATTTAGGATAGTCTGAGTACTGAATCAAGAGTTAGAGGATGCCAGGCACTGTGGCTCACTCCTGTAATCCTAGCACTTTGGGAGGCCAAGGCGGGCGGATCACCTGAAATCAGGAGTTCGAGACCAGCCTGACCAACATGGTGAAATCCTGTCTCTACTAAAAATACAAAAAAAAAAAAAAAATTGCCAGGTGTGGTAGCGGGTGCTTGTATTCCTAGCTACTCAGGAGCGTGAGGCAGGAGAATCGCCTGAACCTGGGAGGTGGAGGTTGCAGTGAGTTGAGATTGCACCACTGTACTCCAGCCTAGGCAACAGAACAAGACTCTATCTCAAAAAAAAAAAAAAAAAAAAAAAAAAATTTGGAGGAAAGAGAAGCAATTAGAACCGTAACAATGGAAGTAACCTTACAGATTATCACCCCCTCATTTCATTTCATAAGAAATAAAATTCATAGAAGCTAAGTCATTTGTTTCAGGTTACACAATTTAGAGCTTATACAATCTAGTTGGAGAGATAAGATTAACACATGAAATATTTTTTAATGTACAAGACAGAATATAATTGAAAGCTAAATCACATAGTGTACAACGTTGTAATGTATTAAAGAAATCCAAATTAAATCAACCCCAAGGTGCCATTATATACCTAGAAAACTAGTAAAAATTTAAAAAAATTATTAAGCCCAATGTCTGGGTGGCCCTGGGAAAACAGATACTCTTACACAATAATGGCATTGTAAGAAATTGGCGCAGTCTTATTAGATTGCAAGGCAATGCATGACAAGAGCCATAAAACTTTTTTTTTTTAATTTCTATTATTATTATTTTTTTAGCTCGGTGTCTCGCTCTTTGTCACCCAGGCTGGAGTGCAGTAGCATGATCTCAGCTCACTGTAACCTCCATCTCCCTGGCTCAAGTGATCCCCCCATCTCAGCTGTACCCCCTCCCCCACCAGTAGCTGGAACTACAGGCGCACATTGTTTGTTTGTTTTGTAGAAACAGGGTTTGGCCATATTACCCAGGCTGTTCTTAAACTCCTAAGCTCAAGCTTTGGGAGCCCACCTTGCCCTCCCAAAGGATGCTGGGATTATAGGTGTGGGCCACCACGCCCAGCCCATAAAACTTTTTATACCCTTTTCTCTGCTATCTCAACTATAGGGAATAGACTTCAAGAAAATAATCACAAAGAAAAAAAGTGATTAGTAAAGAGATGTTTATAGCAACACTATAATAGTGAAACTGGAAACAACCCAATAGCCCAACAATAACAAACTGATGAAAACTAGTAATACAAGTAGTAATACCATAGAATAATAAATGGCCATTAAAGAGAAAGCAAATGAGAGCTAGTATTTAGTAAATGCCATTCATGTATCAGGGACTGGACTAATCTCATTTAATCTTTATGACATTATGGTCTTACAAAGTATACATTAATTATCCTAATTTTATAGATGAGAAAACTGAAGCTCAGGAAGCACAGGAAACTCTGCCAAGGACCACGCAGCTAATAACGAGAGTACAAATACTCAAAAATATTTTCAAGTGATAATAGTAGGCATATAGTATATAAAACTATTTATAAACCACATTTATGTCCATCAACAAAGAATGAAGAAAGCTGAGGTGTTTTTGTTTTTGTTTTGAGACAGGGTATCGCTGTGTCGCCCAGGCTGGAGTGCAGTGGCACAATCTTGGCTCACTGCAATCTCCGTCTCCCGGGTTCAAGCAATTCTCGTGCCTTAGCCTCCTGAGTAGCAGGATTACAGACGTGCGTCACCATGTTTGGCTACAAAACTGAATTTTATGCACACTTAGTTTTTCTGGGTTTTTTTGGGGGGGGTAGGGGTGTGTGTGTGTGTGTGTGTGTGTGTGTGTGTCAGAATCTGGATGAGTGGCATAGTTTCTAAGTACTAAAGATATTCAGAAGAGGAAAAAGGTGAGCATAAATTGGGATGATCAGTGAATGCTCTATTGGAAGTGGTGGAGTTTGACTAGGTAGAGAGAAGCAGAAGGAAATGAACAAAGGCAAGAAGGTGGGAATAAATGTGTATCCAGGATATCAAGGAGAATGATCTATCTAGAATGAGGGGAGTGGTAGCAAGTAGTGGGAGATAAGAATAGAGAGGCAGGGTGGAGCTAGATTATCTGGAGGTCTTAAAAGAAAAGCAGAGGCCGGGCGCGGTGGCTCACGCCTGTAATCCCAGCACTTTGGGAGGCCGAGGCGGGCGGATCACGAGGTCAGGAGATCGAGACCATCCTGGCTAACACGGTGAAAGCCCGTCTCTACTAAAAATACAAAAAATTAGCCGGGCGTGGTAGCGGGCGCCTGTAGTCCCAGCTACTCGGGAGGCTGAGGCAGGAGAATGGCGTGAACCCGGGAGGCGGAGCTTGCAGTGAGCCGAGATCGCGCCACTGCACTCCAGCCTGGGCGACAGAGCGAGACTCCGTCTCAAAAAAAAAAGAAAAAAAAAAAAAAAAGAAAAGCAGAATTTTAATTAGAAACTGCCAGAAACAGGGAACCATTGAAAGTTTTTGCAGTGACATATGAAAGCATATTTCCATAATATCAATCTAATGGTGTCTTGATAAATCTACTGGAAAGACTCAAGTTGGCGAAACTAGGCAAGAGAGGACAAATTAGGAGGCTGCTTCCCTGGTAGAAATTCTGTATTTGATGGAATTTGGTGAAATGCATTCTGTGGGGTCATGGAAGAGGAATAGCATTGCTATTAGGATATGGATTCTGCAGTCAAACTGTCTTGGTTCAAATCCCAACTCCACCACTTTACACTTGATTGAATCCTGTCTTGCATTACTTGGTAATTGCTTGATTTATATTGTATCAGACTAACTACTATTTATTGAATGTGTACTGTGCATCAGGCATGTTATAGCGCATACTTATTACACACTTTAGACCTCATACAAACCCATTAGGCAAGTATTACTAGACCTATCTTATAGATGGAAGAAAAGGAATCTCAGACAGGCTTAAAAATTTGCCTAAGACCCCACAGTAAATGAACAGCAGAGCCAGGGTCTAAATCTAGATTTTTCTGGATTTGATTCGTGGCCCATGTTTGTCCCACAACCAAACATCATGCTGCCTCCCAATGGGGGTGCAATTTTGACTCCTTGGCTAGGCGCAGTAGCTCATGCACATGTAATCACAGCACTTTGGGAGGCCAAGTAAGGAGGAAAGCCTGAGGCCAGGAGTTCAAGACCAGCCTGGGCAACATGGCAAAACCTCGTCTCTCCAAAAAATACAAAAAAGTAGCTGGGTGTCATGGCGTCCGCCTGTAGTCCCAGCTACCCAGGAGGCTGAAGCGGAAAGATCGCATGAGCCCAGGAGATGCAGGCTATAGTGAGCCTAGAACGGGCCACTGCACTCCAGCATGGGTGACAGAGCAACACCTTGTCTCAAAACAAACTATCTATCTATCTATCTATCTATCTATCTATCTGTCTATCTATCTGTCCTTTACCCAGACTGAGGGCAAGGGTAGGGGGATTTTCCTTATACCTTTTTTTTTTTTTTTTTTTTTTTTTTTTTTTGAGACAAAGTCTTGCTCTGTCGCCCAGGCTGGAGTGCAGTGGTGCTATCGTGGCTCACTGCAACCTCTGCCTCCTGGGTTCAAGCAATTCTCCTGTCTCAGCCTCTCGAGTAGCTGGGATTACAGGTGCCCGCCACCACACCCGGCTAATTTTTGTATTTTTAGTGGAGACGGGGGTTTCACCATGTTGGCCAGGCTGGTCTCGAACTCCTGACCTCAAGTGATCCGCCCGCCTCGGCCTCCCAAAGTGCTGGGATTACAGGCGTGAGCCACTGCTCCTGGCCGATTTTCCTCATACATTTTAACAGACATGGAACCATCTATCAGAACTTCTGAACTATTACTAATACAATCCCAGCCCAAGTTAAAAAAATAAATAAAACAACTTGACATCGTAGTAACTCGTTCAGTCTTATACCGCGTAATTTCCATTAGGATGTCCGATATACTAAAAATAGATCGGGGACTCCATTACTAATCTGAGGACCCCAAGATGGGAACCAGACCCGTTATTGCCCTCAACAGTTCACAGGTTAAGGGTCTCAGGAGGCAGTGGCTGAGCTGGTGTGAAAGGGAAGCAAAGAAAGTTCTATTCGTGGCCCTCCTCCCTTCAAGGCTCCCGTCGCCCCTTAGAGACCCTCTTTTCGCCTCAGGAACTCCCCTTCTCTTCCCATGAAACTTTCACTCTCTTGGCCGACCTCCCCGTCCCAATCTCAAGGAACCTCACTTCTTCCCTCACGGAATCCCGCGTCTCCTCGCAAAAACCCGCATCTCCACCACGGACCCTCCAAGTCTGCAGGGAACTCCCCAGCTCCCATGGAACCCTCGTCTCCTCCCGGAATCCCTTTTCCATTTTCAAAGAACCGCAATTCTTCCTTCACAGAACCTCCATCTCCTCACCCACCCCTCAGCTTCCCAAGGGAGCCCCCGACTCCCCCAGGGAGCCCCCACTCTTCTCCTCACTGACACCCCAGGCCCGCCCGGGCCGGGCCTCACCCCGCGGCTCCTCCACGGAGCGCCGGTGCAGCTCGCGGTAGCGCTGCAGCGAGGGGACGTGCGCGGAGCGGCTGACCTCGGGCGGCGGAGACCAACTCCGCGCCCGGCCTCCGGCTCCAGCTTCCTCCTGGCCCCGGCTCCCGCTGCCGCTCCGGACCCGCTCCTCAGGAAGCCCCATCACGTCAAGTTCCTAGAACCGCGGCCGCCTTTGCGGTCGCGGCGGGTGCCGGGACTGAGAAAACAGGCCGAACTAGAGGCGGGGCCTCCGTAGAGGGGCGGGGCCTGGTGAGTGGGGGAGTGGCTTAGTCTGGCGGGTGGGCGGTGCCAGAGGGGGCGGGGCCGTGTCTGGTTGGGGAGGGATCGAGGTTGGCAAGGACAGAAATACTATAAGGAAAAGTCGAGGGATAGGGGTGGAGCTGACTTGCCGGAAGGAGTGACGCCGTCGAGTGAAAGCAGAAGGGGCGGGGCCGGGTGTGACAAGGGAGAGGGTGGAACCGTGGAGTGCCAAGGGAGGGGCGGGGCCAGGCGGGACAGGAGAGGAGGTGGGCCCATGGAGTGATGGGGAGTAACCCGGCTGGTTGTGACAGGAGAGGAGGCAGAGCCATGGAGTGACCAGAGTGGGGTGGGGTCTTGGAGTGACAGATAAGGGGTTGGGTTAAGGCAAGGATCGAAAGGGAAAGGGATGGACTAAGGAGAGGAGTTGAGTAAGGTCCATCGCGGAGCCGCCCCGTGATCTGATTGCACAGTCCTGACTATCACCAGTTCCTTCCAGGTGACACCCTTCCCTCCAGGTCCCCCCTCTCTGAGCCACACCCACATTCTCGTCCTCCGGAAAAACTTCTCCCATGACCTTGAGGGCATGCTCTGGCGACAGCACCTCCTCTCTGCTCACCCTGGAACCAGCTCAGATTTTCTCCCTCTTATGAGGACATGTCTTCAATCTCCTTGCCTTCACAAATCTCCATCCAGATCTAAAGTACAAGACTCAATAAGTGAAGACTAGGAGACACCTTCAGGTTTTTTGTAATAAGCCCACCTCCTAATTGCACAAATGGCAAACCCAGGAAAGGGAAGGAACTGGTGCACAGTCAGAGAGCAAATAACGACCAAGTTAGGGCCAAAGCTAGGTTCTTTGACTCCAGATTTGGTTTTACTTCCTCGTCAGGCTTGAAGCTAAGGCTTGTAAAATATCAAAGTCTGTGCAAATAGGAAAAATCATTCACATTCTCTTTTTTTGTTGTTGTTTTTGTTTTGAGATGGAGTCTCTCGCTCTGTCGCCCAGGCTGGAGTGCAATGGCACAATCTCGGCTGACTGCAACCTCTGCCTCCTGGATTCAAGCAATTCTCCTGCCTCAGCCTCCCGAGTAGCTGGAATTACAGGTGCACACCACCACACCCAGCTAATTTTTGTATTTTTAGTAGAGATGGGATTTCACCATGTTGTCCAGGCTGGTCTTGAACTCCTGACCTCAGGTGATCTGCCCGCCTTGGGCTCCCAAAGTGCTAGGATTACAGGCGTGAGCCACCACACCTGGCCCACATTCTCTTCTTTCCTTCACAATCTCTTTACTCCACCAAGGGAAACCCCCACCACCACCACCACAACCTGGGCTTAATTACCTCTAGCTTCTCTCTAGCCCCTCCACCCCAGAAAGAAGTCAGGCAGGACCCTCCTCCATCTCTCACCTGCACTCACCACAAAGAAGTGCCCACCTCACCATCATTTCACAGACTGGCTGTCAAGGCAGGAAGGATTCTTAAATATCTAACTCCAAGAGTGATTCTGAGGCCTGAAGCGGGCAGCTCCCACCTCCTGAAGCCTACACAGGCCTTGTGACCCCATCTAGCCCAGCCTCCCTTCCCAGCTACTTCCCTGCACTTTGCCCAGCTGACTGTAAACCTTGCACACCCTAAGCTGAAAAAAAATCTCTCTATGGGAGACCGAGAGTCTGCCCAATCCCAAGGAGGGCGGGAATCTGAGGGCCCACTGAAGGAGTACAGACCTCTTGGGGTGGACATAGACCCCACCAAGGGGTCAGATACTTTCATAAAGGAGATATTCACTGCACCGAAGGGACACACACTTCACTGACAGTACATGGACTCCACTAAGGGAGCACAGATGTTGCTGGGGGTTCTCAGATCTGACTGAAGGGCCCTGGGCCCTGCTAATAGGACATGAATGGCTTTGAAGGGCACTTACCCTAGTGAGGAGACATGGATTTCCCCTAAGAGATACAGAGGATATAGACTTTACTAAGGAGACGTGGACCCTACCAGAGGACTCAAACTCCAGTGAGGAGCTGCCAACTACACTGTGGGAGTGGACATCACTGAGAAGGTGCAGACCTCATCAAGTGGGGAAGGGTCCCACCAGAGGGATTAGACCTCAGGGTAGTGTAATAGACCCTACAAACATCACTGAGGAGATAAGAACTCTCTGGGGTGGGGAAAGGCACAGACAATGGGTACACTTTTTGGTGATAGACTGTTACCCTCCCTGGGCACTCTTACCACACAGCTCTGAGTAGCCCTCTCCTTCCTATCCTCTCTCCCAAGTCCTACACCCAAACCCCAGAGCTGTTCCCGACACACTGCTTCCCCCTCCTGTCTATAGTTGCTACTGCAGCTGCTGTGTATATAGTAGATTTTTCAAGCACTTCAGGCCATCCCTGAGACTGGTCTGGGGTTGGGAAGAGAAAGGATGTGTGTATAGAGGCTTCACCAGCCCCCCTCTCTTCCTGTGGACTTCACAATGAAAGTTTGGAACAGAGACCTCGTAAAAGAAGGAACCTCCCTCATCCTTGGATATGGAGAAGTAGTACAAGCTGTAGTGTGGTTGGAATTTTGGAGTGGAGAGAGGATGGATGAGTTTGGAGGGAATGAATCTACCAGATTAAGGCAATGATGATGATGATGATGATGCCATTTATTGAGTAGGTGCCAAGCCCTATACTAATCGCTTTCCATTCTGTTACTTAATCCTCATGACAACCCTCTAAAATGGGTACTATTATTCTTTCCATTTCACAGATGGGGAAACTGATAGAGAGACTAATTGTCTTGCCCAAGATTACACAGTGTTTGAGCGGTGGCAGAATAGAACCCAGACATCCAGAATATGGAGACCTATTCCCCACCTTGCCCCACTCCTGCCCTACCATCACTACCACCACTCCTTCTTTCTCAAAGTGTCCTTTCCAGAACCACATCAAAAACTCTTAAAATGATGGTAAATATTCAGGTTCCAAGGACCTCATCCCAGCCTACTGAATCATGATCTCTGGAGTGGAATCTGGGGATCCGCTTTCAAAGATCCTAACACACACTAAAGTTTGAGAATGCGGTTGAAAGAGGAGTCAGAAGTGTCGGGGTGCGGGAAGGGATCTGAGGTCAGAGGAGGGATCTGTTGTCCAAAGAGGCGTCTGCAGTCAAAGAGGCCTGGAGATGAAGCATGGGCTGGGGTTTTCAAAAGGGTTTGGGGGTGAAGACAGAGTCTGAAGTCGAAAAAGAGGTCTAAGGTCGGAGGAGGAGTCTAAAATCGGAGGAGGAGGATCTCGGAATTCAAGGAGGGGTCTGGGGTCCGAGGAGTTTGGGGTCAGAGACAGGATCTGGGGTCGAGAGGGATTTGCGGTCAGTGAAAGGGTCTGGGGCCCGAAAAGGAAGCCTGGGATTTGAGGAGGACACTAGCTGTATTCAGGCTGGAAGGAGGAAGGGGTTTGGTCCCTGAGCTGCGTAAAGTGCAGAGCCACTGAAGTCTCGCTTGCCCCGCGCTCTCCCCTCGACCCTGCGCTGCCTTCCTGGCTGTCCATCTACACGCACCTGTGTGCCAGCTGCAGGCTGATAGCGCTGAGCAGACGGGGGCGAGTCAGACCGGGACACGGCCGAGGGCTGGGAGAGGCGCCCCCTCCCGGCTGTCGCGAAGATCAGGCCCCGCCCTCCGCCCTCCCACTCCCCCGCCGCAGCCACTTCCGGCAGGCGCTGCGCTGCTGGGGGGCGCGGGCGAGGATGGCGGCGGAGAACGAGGCCAGCCAGGAGAGCGCCCTGGGCGCCTACTCGCCAGTGGACTACATGAGCATCACCAGCTTCCCGCGGCTGCCCGAGGACGAGCCGGCGCCCGCGGCCCCGCTGAGGGGCCGCAAGGACGAGGACGCCTTTCTGGGAGACCCCGACACCGGTGAGGCCCGCTGACCCCGTCCCTGCCCTGCCTTGGGAAGTCCCCGGTCTTCCTTCTTCTGTGTCAAGCATCCACCTCCAGCTCCATCTCCTTAATTCATCCCCATCTTCTTGGATCTCTCCCTTCTTCTCCCTTGTCTCTGTTAATTATTTGGTGAGGAAGGGGGTGCATTTCTGCCTTGGAGGCGTAGGATGCGACAACGGAGAGGATGCTAGGGACTGCAGTAGAAGGGATTGGGCTTACCTTCTGGGAAGAACCAACTAACGATGAAGGAATGTTGAAGGGGAGATCCTAAGGAACCGCTGTGATCACCCAGAAGAGGGCTTTCTCTAGCCACAGAGGACAGGATAGGAGAAACCAAGTCAGAGACTGCAGCAAGAGGGATCCAATCTGTGCCTTAAGAGAAGTTCCCCACAGCCAGGGATTGTGAGAAGCAGAGGGTCTGGGAGAAGCGGAGAATCTCTTCATGTCTAGGGAGGGGTAAAGAGAATATGATTCCCCTCTGTTGGGTGTTGGGAGACGGAGGCATGGACTGCATGACCTCTCAAAAGTCCTTGGGGACTAGAACGCCTTCACTCTCCTGTGGATTACCCCACCCCTCCCTGAGCCATGGATCTGGCCGGGGTATTAGTAAGGTACTCTGCTCCCTAGGAAGCAGTCTCCAGAATTTTACTGTGTTCCCCTCAGCCCTCTGCTGGAATTGTGAGAAGTGGGGGTAAGAGAAGGAGGAGACAGGGATTGGAAGAGACCTGGGGGCAAAGAGCTCTCTGTGCATTCCTTCCCTGCTGCTCTTCCTCCTAGCCATGTGGCCCAGCTTCATCCTCCCCTCCATTCTTCATCCTTCATCCCCCATCCCTCTGTCCCTGCACGTCACTTCCTGGCATTAGAGCATCCTTCTACCTCACTCTCGCTTCCTCGCAGTGCCTGCACTTGAGCCTTGTCTCTTACCAGCCTGGCAGATGCTGCTTTTCCGGCTTGGCCCTTCCCTAGCTGCTCCCAGCCTGAAAGCCCCAAATTCTCTCCTCCTCTACACTTTCTGGTCATCTGGCCCTGACCAGCAGCCCTTGCCAACCTGACTGGACTGCACTCTGTATGGGGTGGGGGTGAGGAGATAATGAAGATGGAGTTTAGAGGTTTATGGGCGTCAAATGTCAGGGCTGCGGATCAAAACTTATTTTCCAAAGGGAGTGGAATCAGGAGGTAGCAGGGAGAGGAGTGGGAAGATGTGTCATGATGGATATCAGCCTGAAGCTAGGCCTTTTATTCAGTAGTCAGGAGTGAGACTTCTGGTCCTAATACAGCCCTGACTCACCAAGCGACAACAGGCACACCTACCCTGTCCTGGGCCTTAGTTTCCTCTTCCAGCTCAACAGAGAATGCCTGTCTCTCTTGACCTAGAGATTGGAACTGCCTGACATGTTTTCTTCTGGCCCTCTGTAAATGTCTTAGCATTTACCAAAATCTATGATTATTTATTTGTGCAATTATCTGATTACTCCCTGTCTGTAAGCCCCATGAGGGCAGGGATCATGATTGTTTTGTTCACTCTCCTTTCTCCAGCATCAAGACCTTATCCATAGGCCGGGCGCGGTGGCTCATGCCTGAGGTGGGTGGATCACTTGAGGTCAGGAGTTCAAGACCTGCCTGGCCAACATGGTGAAACCCCATCTCTACTAAAAATACAAAAATTAGCTGGGCATGGTGGTGGGTGCCTGTAATCCTAGCTACTCGGGAGGCTGAGGCAGGAGAATCACTCGAACTGGGGAGGCAGAGGTTACAGTGAGCCGAGATCACTCCACTGCACTCCAGCCTGGGTGACAGAGTGAGACTCAGTCTCAAAAAGAAACAAAAAACAAAAAACAAAACAAAATACACTGGCCGGTGTGGTGGCTCACACCTGTAATCCCAGCACTTTGGGATGCTGAGGCGGGTGGATCACCTGAGGTCAGGAGTTCAAAAACAGCCTGGCCAACATGACAAAACCCCATCTCTACTAAAAATACAAAAAAAAAAAATTAGCCAGGCCTGGTGGCAGGTGTCTGTAACCCCAGCTACTCAGGAGGCTGAGGCAGAGGTTGCAGTGAGCGAAGATCGCGCCATTGCACTCCAGCCTGGGCAACAGAGTGAGACTCTGTCTCAAAAAAACAAACAAACAACAACAACAAAAAAAACCCTCATCTCTATTTATTTATTGGGCACTCAATAATTGTTGAATGAATAAATGCATGAGAGAGAAGATCTCAGGATGAAAGAATGGTAGGAGAGAGGATGAAAGAATGGTAGGAGAGAGCAAGTTCCAAAACCTCAGGGAGTATTTTGGGAAGTTCAATACAGGCTCTGCCCTCACCCCTGTATGGAAATCCAGCAGAGATCCTAGTCATCTGAGCTTCTGGGAGTTTATACCTTATGCCAAATTTATGTGTCAGGTTTGTGTGTTGCCATCATTTCAGTGTAATCATTTGAATGCCATATCTCCCAATCCTACTTCCAAGCCCCAAGGCTTCCTCGGTTCACCTGGACCAGACTACAGGCTGACATGGCCTCCTGTGTTCTCAACCTGGTGGTACCATCTAGTGGCACAGCACCATCCTCTTAGCCAGGACCTTGGTTGTGCCCAGCTAGCCTCTAGCCTGCCATTCCCTAAACCCAAGTGCCAGGCACCCCACATCAGGCTCTGTGGGAAAGAGAGCTAGACAGTGATCATTCCAAGGTTGGGAAATACTTTCTTTCTTCTGAGCTCCAAGCCCTTGTGTTCCTTTCTCTCCCAGGCCTGTGTCTCCAGATGTCCTGCAAGTGCCTCATCTATAGCATGTTCTATTTTGAACTCATCATATCCCTTCCCCATGCACCTGCTCTTCCTCCACTGCCATTCTCCATTAATGACACTGCCAGTCACCCAGTCTCCCAATAATGAATGGCATGCTGGACTCCTCCTTTTCTTCTCATTTCCAAATGGTGATCAAGTGCTCTCTGCACCCCTCCTAAGTATCTTCCAAATTCCTACTCATCATCCCTGTCATCACCACTGTAGACTAAGCCACCAACCTCTCTTATCAATATTATTTATAGGCTTCTAGCTACTCCTCCTGCCTCCTCCCTCTTGCCCAGTCCCCACCCCAATCCATCCATCGCTTCTGGTCATGTCACTCCCTGGTTCAGACATCTTTGGTGATTCTGCCGGGCATAGTGGCATACACCTGTAATCCCAGCATTTTGGGAGGCTAAGGTGGGCAGATTGCTTGAGCTCAGGAATTCAGAACCAGCCGGGGCAACATGGTGAAACCCTGTCTCTAGAAAAAATACAAAAATTAGCCAGGTGTGGTGGTGCATGCCTGTCTGTAGTCCCAGCTACTCGGGAGGCTGAGGTGGGCAGATGGCTTGAGCCCTGAAGGTTGAGGCTGCAGTGAGCTGAGATTATACCACTGTACTCCAGCCTGGGCAACAGAGTGAGACACTGTTTCAAAATTTTATATATATATATATTTATTTATTTATTTATTTTAGTGATTCTCCCCTTAAGGGAATAAACAACAAGCCAGGGATGACCCTAGCCTCTAGCCAAGATCACTCTCCTAAACTCTGGACTTGTATAATCAATTTTGTTCAGGATTATTTTGTTATAAACCCAGTTTAACTGAGCTACATCCAAAAAGAGAATTTTACTGGGTAGCATAACTGAAAAGTCCAGGGATATGGGGTTTCAGGCATAGCTGGATTAAGGTACCTAAAAAGGAATGGACTTTTCTCCATCTTTTGCTCTGCCTTCTTTTGGTGGGCTTCATTGGCAGAAGGCCTCCCATTTTATTAGGGGCAAGATGCCCCCAGCAGCTACAGGCTTACATCCTACCAACTTAGCAACTTAAGTGTAATAGAAAGAGGAGCCTTTCTCTTTCCCAGTAGTTCCAGCAAAATAACAAAGTTTGGGTCTTATTGGCCTGGCTTTGTTCACATTGCCTGTTACTGCACAGAGGTACCTGTTCTGACTGGCCAAGTCTGAGTTATATACTTTGGTCAGGGATGAGGGAGTTGGCTGAGAGAGGAGAGAGAATGTTCCTTAAAAGAAAATTGAATGAGAAGTGGTATCCAAGCAGATACCAGGGATGAGCCCTGAAGGTAAAAATTAGATATCTACTAGGCCAACTGCCTCCAGACAGCTTCTTATGGTGTCCCACAAATTTATAATAACCAAAATTGAACTTGTCATCTTTCTCCCAAAAGACTTATTCCTTCTGGTTGCAAATTAATCTTTTTCCAGTATCCTGCTGTTGCTCTTCCCTATCAGTAAAATCAACACTGTTATTGCCCTAGCTGTTCCACAGTGCACATAGTAGGTACTCAGTAAATATTTTTATTGTATAAATCAATAACTTTATGATGGACTGGTGGAGTAGAGAGTCTTGAATAGCTATGATAGGGACATGTCACCTTTACCTCCTGGATCCTTATATCTGACTGGAGAAAACAAATTAAACCATACCTAGGGCCGGGCACAGTGGCTCACGCCTGTAATGCCAACACTTTGGGAGGCCAAGGCGGGCGGATTGCTTGAGGCCAGGAGTTTGAGACCAGCCTCATGGCCAACATGGTGAAGCCCCATCTCTACTAAAAATACAAAAATTAGCTGGGCATGGTGGTGCATGCCTATAATTCCAGCTTCTTGGGAGGCTGAGGCATGAGAAATGCTTGAACCCAAAGGCGGAGGTTGCAGTGAGCCGAGATTGCGCCACTGCATTCCAGCCTGGCAGGAAGATTATCTCTCAAAAACAAAGCAATAAGTACCAAGAAATAGCAACAAAAATTAGCTTGTAAGGTTGGTTTCTGAGGGTAGAAATGGCTCTTGATGCCATGTGGAGCAATGGGAAGGAGGCTTTCTAGTTACACAGACTCTTGGTCCTGCCACTTATTCATTTTATTTTATTTTATATTTTACTTTAAATTTTTTGAGATAGGGTTTCACCCTGTCGCCCAGGCTGGTGGGCAGTGGCTCACTGCAGCCTCGAACTACCAGGCTGAAGTGATGCTCTTACCTCAGCCTTTCGAGTAGTTGGGACAACAGGTGCACACCACCATTCCTGGCTAATTAAAAAAATTTTTTTGTAGAGACAGGAGTCTTGCTATGTTGCCCAGGCTGGTCTTGAATACCTGGGCTCAAACAATCCTCCCACCTCGGCCTCCCAAAGTGCTGAGATTACAGACGTGAGCCACCAAACCTGGCCCACTTACTCATTTTATGACCTGAGATGGGCAATATCACCTTTCTTGGTCTTAGTTTTCTCATCTGTAAAGTGGCGAGAGTGGGACTTATTTCATAAAGTCTTGGGAACACTTCAATAAAGGAATATATGTAAAATGCTTAATATGTAGTCAGCATCAATAAATATAAGTTCAAAACCCTTTCCCACACTTCTTTTGAAACTTCTAATGCCGGGTGCTGTGGCTCACGCCTGTAATCCCAACACTTTGGGAGGCTGAGGCGGGATGATTGTTTGAGCTCAGGAGTTTGAGAACAGCCTGGGGAACATAGCAAGACCTTGTCTCTATTAACAACAACAGCAACAGCAACAACAACAACAACAACAACAAGACATTTCTAGGGGCCAAGGAGAGTTCTGTGCCTACAGTGGGTGTTTAACGTCTGTTTGTTTGGATGAATTCCAGTTTTATTTACAGACTCTGTGATGCTGATGTTGAGGGTTAGAGGCAAGCATTATGAAGTGAGGGAGAGTCTCAGAAGATAACCTTTTTTTGAAAATAAAGTTTAAAAACAGCAGGGTGCGGTGGCTTATGCCTGTAATCCCAACACTTTGGGAGGCTGAGGCAGGCAGATCACCTGAGGTCAGGAGTTCAAGACCAGACTGGCCAACATGGTGAGACCCTGCCTCTACTAAAAATATAAAAAATTAGCTAGGCGTGGTGGCATGTGCCTGTAATCCCAGCTACTCAGGAGACTGAGGCAGGAGAATCACTTGAACCTGGGAGATGGAGGTTGCAGTGAGCCGAGATTGCGCCACTGCACTCCAGCCTGGGCGACAGAGTGAGACTCTGTCTCAAAAACAAAAACAAAAACAAAAATTACATGTTCATGATAAAAAAAAAAAAAGCAATAGTGAGGAAGAATAAAAAAGTCCCCTTTCCCATTCCTATCTCCCTGTAATTTTTCCTTTTCATTTCAAAATATATGTGTTAATTTTTTTTAGAGACAGGGTCTATCTATGTTGCCCAGCCTGGAGTGCAGTGGCTATTCATATTGCAATCATACTGCAGCTTTGAACTTCTAGACTCAAGTGATCTCCTGCCTCAGCCTTCTGAATAGCTGGGCTTACAGGCATGCACGAGCACTCCCGGTTTATGTATTGATTTCTAAAAAGGAAATAGATATAAGTGGTAAAAATTTCAAACCAAAAAAACTCCCACCCCATCTCATTCCCATCTTCAGTATCCTTTCCCAAGAGTAACTTCTGTAATAATTTATAAACATTTCTTGCATATATCATCATTTTATCTATATATTTGGTTTCTTATTTACACAAAAGATGGGACTGTGGATCATGAAGGTCTTTAAACACCACAAGGAGCTTAGATGTTTATTATGTTGGCATCAGTGAACCACGTATTTTAAACAGAACAATAAAATGGTCAGTTTTTAATATTATCACATAGACTTTTAAAGGGGTTATAGTCCTAGTGCATAGTAGCAGGTACTAAAAAAATTGAATGAATAAACTTTAAAAAACATATTGTGAGTACAGCATGAGGTCAAGGTAAAGTAAAGACTATTTCTTTACTGTTCACAAACACCTAGGACCTTTAGGCCATTTAGGGACCTGGGTTCACAGCTAATAACACTCAGAGGAGGGAGCTATGGGATGGAAGAGGGTCTCAGCCCTGGTCAAGGTGGAAAAGGAATAGAAATAACTTGGAGTGAGTACCTACAGTGCACTGGGTGCACATCACCTCATGGAATCCTTGTACCCCTATCCCACCAGTTAGGGATTAGTTCCATTACTAGAATGAGGAAGGTGAGGTGCATGACTTGACTGACTTGTCCATAGCCACCAGCAAATAGTGAGCTTTCAGTTCTCTCCTACCTCCACTCTTATCGTCCTCCAGTTTGTCTCCAGACAGTAGCCAGAGGGATCATTTTAAAACACAAAACAGGCCGGGCGCAGTGGCTCATGCCTGTAATCCCAGCGCTTTGGGAGGCTGAGGTGAGTGGATCACTTGAGGTCAGGAGTTTGAGACCAGCCTGGGCAACATGGCGAAATCCCATCTCTACAAAAAATACAAAAATTAGCCAGGTGTAGTGGGGCATGCCTGTAGTCTCAACTACTCAGGAAGCTGAGCTGAGGTGGGAGGATGGCTTGAGCCTGGGAGGCAGAGGTTGCAGGGAGGCAGAGGTTTCAGTGAGCTGAGATGGTGCCACTGCACTCCAGCTGGGGTGACAGAGCCAGACCCTGTCTCAAACAACAACAATAACACACAGAACAGATGGTTTCACATTCTTGCTTAAAACTCTCTAGTAGTGGGCTGGGTGCGGTGGCTCACACCTGTAATCCCAGCACTTTGGGAGGCTGAGGCAGGTAGATCACCTGGGGTCAGGAGTTCGAGACCAGCCTGGCCAATATGCTGAAACCCTGTTTCTACTAAAAATACAAAATTACTCAGGCATGGTGGCATGTGCCTGTAATCACAGCTACTGGAGAGGCTGAGGCAAGAGAGTCGCTTGAACCCAGGAAGCGGAGGGTGCAGTGAGCCAGGATTGTGCCATTGCACTCCAGCCTGGGCAACAAGAGCGAAACTCCATCTCAAAAACAAACAAAAATAGCCTCTCGAGTAGTGACCTCCCATAGTCCTTAGGGTAAAACCCAAGCTTCTCCCCAGGCTAGTAGAGCCCCACATATCTTCCTTTTTTTTTTTTTTTCTTTTGAGACAGAGTCTCACTCTGTCACCCAGGCTGGAGTGCTGTGGCGCGATCTCGGCTCACTGCAACCTCCACCTTGTGGGTTCAAGTGACTGTCATGCCTCAGCCTCCCAAGTAGCTGGAATTAGAGGCACACATCACCATGCCCAGCTAATTTTTGTATTTTTAGTGGAGCCGGGGTTTCACCATGTTGGCCAGGCTGGTCTCAAACTCCTGACCTCAAGTGATCCACCCGCCTCGGCCCCCCAGAGTGCTGGGATTACAAGATTGAGCCACTGCGCTCAGTATGTATCTGGCCTAGCTTCCACCCTTACTACTCTTTCCCCATGCCTGCTACACCAGAGCCGCCCAGGCCTTGGTTATTTTTTTTTCTAATGTGCCAAGCTCATTCCCACTTTAGGGCCTTTGCATCCACTGTTCCCTCTTTCCAGAACATTCCACACACATACTCTTTGCTCTACATTATAGCTGGCTCCTTCTCATCCCTTAGTTTTCAGCTTAAAAGTCACTTCCTGAGAGGCCTTCCCTGATTTCTGCAGCTAAGGAATCCTCCCTCCCCTACCACCATTATTCTGTCATTTCCTCCTTTTTCTTCATAGCACCTGCCACAACTTGTAATTATAGACTCCTTTGCTTATTGGCTTTTTCTTCCAGGGCTCTATGAACCACATGAGGGCAGGAACTATCTGTTCCCGTCCCCTGGCACCTAGCATAGGGCTCTCCATATTTAAGGAATGAGTGAGCTGATAACTGAAGTGAGGTTGGAAGGCAGGGTCCCTCCACTCTGTTTATGTAGCTGCCTCCTTGCATGGAAGGCTGGGCCCCAACTGGGGCAGGATCCGATTTCCACTGAGGGCTGGAACCCCCACCCCACCCCCCAGGAAGTGTTCTCAGCCCTGGGCCCTGGGTGCCAGGAAATTTGGCCTAGGTATCAGGGAGGGGCGGGAATCCAGCCTCCCTGCTGCCCAGCTGGGGAGGTCCCTGTCTCTTCCTAGCCGGGCACCGTTGCCCCGCCTGTCCTGGGGTGCACGCGAAAATGAGGAAAGGTGAGTAGTGCTAGCCAGTGCGGGGATTGTGTGGCAGGGGCGGGGCAGGGAAAGCGCTGAATAGTCCCACCTGGAGGGTGGGCAGGGCCAGATAGGAGATGCCCAGACCGACCCCGGCTGCCTGCCCGCAGACCCGGACTCCTTCCTGAAGTCTGCACGGCTGCAGCGGCTGCCATCGTCGTCGTCGGAGATGGGCAGCCAAGACGGGTCGCCGCTACGCGAGACGCGCAAAGACCCGTTCTCCGCCGCAGCGGCCGAGTGCTCCTGCCGCCAGGATGGGCTCACGGTCATCGTCACGGCCTGTCTCACCTTCGCTACCGGTGTCACCGTGGCGCTGGTCATGCAGATCTACTTCGGGGACCCCCAGGTGAGGGGGACAAATGGGGAGGGGGAGGAAACTGGGGAGTGGGGAGTGGGGTAATGTTTGAGGAACTGTGGAAACTGGGGAATGGCTGAGTGGTAGAAGGGGAGAGAGGGTGGTGACTTGGGAGAGGAAGGTCCCAAAGAGAGGAGCTCCAGGGCATGAGGGAGACAGAACAAGGAAGAATAAGGACAGATCCATTAGGAGGCACTTGGGGTAATGAGGGCAGAGTCAAGGCAACAAGGGGGCAGGGCTTCGACCTTCATGCCGCGTAGAGTTCTAGGGCTAGTGGAGGTGCCCTAGGGAGGTGGACAGCTCCTCCTGCCCCCACCAAGTCCTCTTTCCCCTCCCAGATCTTCCAGCAGGGTGCCGTGGTGACCGATGCTGCCCGCTGCACTTCACTGGGCATCGAGGTGCTCAGTAAACAGGGATCTTCTGTGGACGCAGCGGTGGCAGCAGCCTTGTGTTTGGGTATCGTGGCTCCACACAGTTCTGGCCTGGGCGGGTAAGGAGCAGTGGAGGTCGGGGTCCCCCAGGCCTACTTCTTGCCTCCAGGTCTGTAGGCCTCATGTGCAGCACTCCTAACTTAGGGAGAGGGGCTTTTGGGCCCCAACTCCTTGCATTTTCTCTTTCTACACCAAATTTCACCCCCTTCTCCCTGGATGGAGTCAGAAGAGCAAAGCTACCTTATGGAAAACCTGAAAGTGTTTTCAGAAGCTTTTTTTTTTTTTTTTTAACTAGAAAAAGAAATTTGTAAACCATAAATTAAGATGCACAGGTGGAGGTATACTGTCATCAATTAAGGCAGAGATATTTCAACTTCTAGGATCATAAATCCCTATGGGTCTGATGAAAAGCCTTGCACCCTCTGTCCTCCAAAAATACACCCTGCACTAAGAACTCTTAGAAGTTACAAGCTGGCCACCCATGGGCAACACCCAGCACACAGACTGGTTTGGTTTAGACACTGAACTGTCTTAAAATTTTGTTTGCTTTTGTTAAAAAGTTGAGAATTTTCATAAAAATCCAGATTTCCAACATCTCTTGAACAATCGGGAAATCCGATAACAACTTGGGCCCGCATTCTCACATGGCTGAAGTTACCTGGCGTGGAATAGAAGCTGCTTCCCATGATGGGCATGCACTGTCCAGTTTGCCGTAGTTTCTACCACTTCCTCTTCTCTGTCCTGCTTGCCTTAGTTTGTCATTTGGCTGTGGGCATTTAAGTTTGCAGCCCCCATCTTAGACGTAAATAAGCTACAGAAAAGGAACAAGCTGACAAAGTTCCTATCTTGGCTCCTGTAAGACCAGCTCTCCAAGCCGTACCAAAGAAATTCCTCTTTTGGTTTTGCATGTTCTATCCTTACATAATCCAGTCCTGGGGGAGGGGCAAGGGACATACCAAGTAGACAGGTGCAGGAAGCTGGCAGGGGTCCAGCTCTGGTCCAGGGTGGGGGCATGGGGCAGAACATCCTGTTCTGCCAGTCTCTGGGCTTTTCCTAATCAGGGATTAAAGTCTCCAGTGACAGGATAGAAGAGGTCCATGGACCCTGGGTCTCCAACCCTCTTGGTTTTGCTCCCATCCTCTTAGGGTGGCTGAGTCTGTGAATCCATGCTGGGGAGGGAGCTCAGACACCTGACCCCAAATGAAAAACTGAGCCTACAGCTCTCACCACTGGGGGTGGAGGGGCAGCAGATTCATTGTACAGAGGGGTAGCATGTTATCATCACACTTCCCCTTCTGTGTCTCTCCCAGTGGGGGCGTGATGCTGGTACATGACATCCGACGAAATGAGAGCCACCTAATTGATTTCCGGGAGTCCGCACCAGGGGCCCTCAGGGAAGAGACCCTGCAAAGATCCTGGGAGACCAAGGTGGGGACCCTGGTGAGAAGAGAGAGTTCAGGGGAGTCTCTCTTCATTGCCCTTCTGCTAACCCAAGCATTAATTTGCTAAGTATTTACCAGGGGAGTGGGAAAAAGAGTTGAGCAGGATTCTCTTAGGCTATGAGAGAGTCAGGCAGCCCCCAAGATAAAATAATGAACTAGAAAATCTGGAACCTTACTTCTCTGGGAATCTTACCTATCTGGCACGTGGGAAGGAAGAAAAAAGGCTACTGAGTACCCTGAAATGTCACGAAGTTGATGCAATGAAACTCACACATCTCACTCTGAGCCAGTTGACTATAACTTTCCCAGCCCTTGATATATTGGAAGATTAGAGGGGAATTGCCAGAAGTAAACCAACTGTCTGCTGAAAGAAAAAGAAGATATCGAATAACTTGGAAAAATGGGTACTTAGTGCGGTGGCAAAAGCCAAACACACCCCTGAGTCTTCAGAGCTCAGAGTAATGGTGGGGTGAAACTGAATAGGTTAAATGAAGGTCCTTTGTCCACCGTTTTAAAAGGTAGGGTTGCCTGGGCACAGTGGCTCACACCTGTAATCCCAACACTCTGGGAAGCCAAGGCAGGAGGATTGCTTGAGGCCAGGAGTTTGAGACCAGCCTGAGTGACATAGTGAGACTTTGTCTCTACAAAAAATGCTTTGAAATTAGCCAGGCACAGTAGCATGCACCAAGGATCGCTTGACTTGAGCCCAGGAGTTGGAGGCCACAGTGAGCTATGACTATGCCACTGTACTCCAGCCTGGGTAACAGGAAAAAAAAAAAAAAAAAAAAAAAAAGGCAGGGGTTGGTGAAATCCAATGTAGACAGGTGTCTTTCTACACTGGTTATGTCCTGGCTCTTAAAAGAGTTTTGCTTAATTTATAAATCCCCCAACTACGGCAGCTAAAAGAGGCCTTTCTGCATTTGCTGATAGGAAGTCAGGGAGATGGGAGGGGTGCCTGCTTGGGAAAGCTTGTCCCTCCCCTGGGATACTTGGCCTGTGTCTCTCCCCTGTGCCAGCCATCCCTGGCTTGGGGCTCTGCGGAGTTCAGCCCAGCACCCCCCTTCCAGTGACCTGGTCTCCTCTCTCCCTCGCCTACCCGCCTTGCCCAGCCTGGGCTCTTGGTGGGGGTTCCCGGAATGGTGAAGGGGCTACATGAAGCTCACCAGCTCTATGGCAGGTAACAACCCTCCCCCTGGGGACCAGGGACCCCCGTTTGCATCTCTCCTTGGGTGGCCTTCTCCTACTTCCCTGGATTCTTCCTTTCCCAACTCCCCCTCCTAATATCCCCTTCCCTTGCCAGGACTCTCCTTCCCAGGAACCCCCCTCCCCCCGGACCCCTCCTCATTCCCCCAGGACCTCCTCCACCCCCTGCTCTCCGGCCCCCCCAGGCTGCCATGGTCCCAAGTCCTGGCCTTTGCAGCAGCTGTGGCCCAAGATGGCTTCAACGTGACTCATGATCTAGGTCAGTGGGGCCTGGGGATTTGGGAGAGACATGAGGTTGATGGAGAAGGGTAGAATCTTTGAGATTTGGAGCCCAAGCCAGAGAGGCCCTCTCTTCCAGTTTGCTCCTCAGACCCCCTCCCCACCTTATCCCACCCTCACCTGGAGGCGGCCTCAAACGAGGGGGTCTGGGAAGGGCCCTTAGACATCCCTGCCTCGCACTTAACAGGCTCCTGGGGGTCAGGGCACTTAGGGTGGGCCACTCAGCCCCCATCTACCCCATCTATTGCGCGTCTCATCCGGTCCAGTCCTGGCGTCCCGCCCTGCCCAGCCTCCCGTCCCTGCCCCTAGCCCGTGCCCTGGCTGAACAGCTGCCACCCAACATGTCCGAGCGCTTCCGGGAGACGTTCCTGCCATCGGGCCGCCCGCCACTACCTGGCTCGTTGCTGCATCGGCCCGACCTGGCTGAGGTGCTGGATGTACTTGGCACCTCCGGCCCGGCTGCCTTCTACGCAGGTGGCAACCTCACACTGGAGATGGTGGCCGAGGTAAGTGCTCGTGTTGTGCGGGTGGGGGCATGCCCCAAGGTCCCTATTGCAGGACATCCGCGTCCGCATTTTTTCCTTCCTTCCCTCCCTCCCTCCCTTTCTTTCTATATTATTTACTGTGGATTATGTTCATTTGAAATTCTAGAATAGTCAAAACTAACCTCTAGTGACAGAAATCAGATCAGTGGTTGGTGGGGCTGGGAGGAGCTGACTGGGATATGACATGAAAAACCTCCTGGGATGATGGAAGTGTTGTCTTTTTTTTTTTTTTATGAGACGGAGTCCTGCTGTGTCACCCTGGCTGGAGTGCAGTGGTGCGATCTTGGCTCACTGCAACCTCCGCCTCCCAGGTTCAAGTGAGTCTCCTGCCTCAGCCTCCCGAGTAACTGGGATTACAGGTGTGCACCACCACACCCAGCTAATTTTGTATTTTTAGTAGAGATGAGGTTTCACCATGTTGGCCAGGCTGGTCTCGAACTCCTGACCTCAAGAGATCCACCTGTCCTGGCCTCCCAAAGTGCTGGGATTACAGGTGTGAGCCCCCATGCCTAGCCAGAAGTGTTCTGTCTTGATTCAGAGGTACCTTTGGGCTTCTCAGGGGTGATGCCAGCCTGTGCAGGGGCTTGTCATGTCCCTCCCAGGCCTGGTGGAGACCCAGTATCGGCCTCAGCTTCCCTAAGCTCACAATCCTTCCCTGCTTTTGGGTTTTCTAGGGACTGAGGGAAGCACCTCTTTCATTGTTGAGTATCAAGACTGGGGAGATTGACACAGAAGTTTACCATCCAATCCCAAAGAGTCCCAGTCTCAGGCAGTAACAGATGTGAGAACTGTCATTAATAGTGCAAAAGTCCTAATGGAAAATTAAGTTCATGGTAAGGATGCATAGACCAACTCAGTGGTTCTCTCATCTGAGCAATGGGGATGATTATATCTGTCTCTGCCATACAGTTGTGGGAATTAAATAGGTCTGTTATTCATTCAACATTCACAGAGTGCCTGCTCTGTGCCAAGCCCTATGCTGGGCACTGGATGTGGCGATAGACTCAAACAGACTTAACTGGAAAGTCCAGGAGATTACTGGCTTTAGATTCTTCTGTGTCCAGATTATCAATCCACTGTGTTAGGATTTGCTCTCCCTCTTTCTCTTTCTCTCTCTCTCAACTCTACTTTCCTTTGTTTGGATTCACTCTCAGATCCTTTCCACCTGCTCCCCACCAGCCCATATCAGGCCATCCTTCCAGCAAGCTATCCCAGAGAAAGAGCATTTTTCCTTCCCAGTAGTTCCAGCAAAAGCCTCCAGGTTGTGTCTTATTAGCTCATCATAGGTTTCATGACTATTCCCAAATCAATCACTGTGGCACAGAAGGGAATGCCCCAATTGGCCAGGCCTGGGTTGTGTGCCCTTTCCTGGAGGTGGCAAAGGGAATGCAGGAGATTGTAACAAAGACCATCAGATCTTTGATAAAAAGAAACCCAAAGTTGAGTTTATTAACTTGCCAGAAAAAGGAACTCAAGAATTCAAATGGGCCAGGCCATGGTGGCTCATGCCTGTAATCCCCACTTTGGGAGGCCAAGATGGGTGGATCACTTGAGCTCAGGAGTTTGAGACCAGCCTGGGCAACATAGTGAGACCCCATCTCTACAAAACATACAAACATTAGCCAGGTGTGGTGGCATGTGCCTGTAGTCCCAGCTACTCAGGAGGCTGAGGCAGGAGGATCATCTGAGCCTGGGAAGGTTGAGGCTACAGTGAGCCATGATCGTGCCACTGCATTCCAGCCTGGGCGACAGAATGAGACCCTGCCTCAAAAAAAAAAAAAAAAAAAATCAATGTGTAATTCTCTGAAGATAGATAACTCAAGGGTTTCAAGTACTATAAGGTACAAAAAAGGAAAGGATTCAGAGTGGTTATGCTAATTTAGGGTTGACAGCACACTGGATAGGATGGAATGAGCCCATTGGTTTGTACAAGATTGGTTCATTGGTCAATAATGAGGGCTTGGTTATGTCCAATAAGGGTCAGTCCTTCTAGGATCACTCAAAGTCATGGTTTTCTAGTGGCTTTAGTTGGTTGTGGTGAGATGCAGCATTCAGTTTTGGTATCTCCTAGGCAAGTGTGCCATAAGTAGAAAACCTTCCTTTTACATAGGCAGAGAGAGCAGCAGGTACAAAGACACGAAGGCATGAGTTCAGGAACTGCAGGTCACTCTGCAGCTGCATAGAGCTCACTGGGGAACAGCAGGACATGAGGTGGGAGGGGTAGGCTGGGGCCAGATCACAAAAAGTCTTGAATGGCAAGCTAAGGAGGTCATTCATGGAATGTACCCAGTGTGATGCCTGGCACATGATAGGTGCTCAATGTTAGTGCTTTTCCCCCTTCCTTTTTCCTGAGGTGTCTAGGGATAATGGGGTCTCTAAAGGCCACGATGGGGGTTGCAGAAGGCACAGAAGTTATAAACAGCTGATCTGTCTGTGATCCAAACGTGTTATAGGCCAAAACCACCATGTCACAGTGGTGGGAGGTCATTCCCTCATTCTCTTCCCTCCAGGCTCAGCACGCAGGGGGTGTCATAACCGAAGAGGACTTCAGCAATTACAGCGCCCTTGTGGAGAAGCCTGTGTGTGGCGTGTACAGAGGTGACCTCTCCCCCGGCTCCCAGGGTCCCCCCTCAGGAGAAGCCTCCCAGTCCATGGCCACATCGTTTTGGCCTAGAGACTCCTCTCCATTTCACAGGAGAGAAACTAAGGCAGTGAGCTACCTGGGCAGTCAACTGTTGAAGCAAACCAGAGTCAGCCCACCTTCTGAAAAGTAGCTGTGGGGTCAGTTACCCCAAGTATTTAGGATATTGGGGGGTGGACCTGGTCAAAGGGTCCAACCTGGAAGTTGGGGTTCTGGCCATAGGTTTTCTTGATTTGGGCTCTGTGTTGCCTCTGCCCTTTCCCCAGCAGCGCTGTCACTGCCCTGTACTTCCTAAGAATTTTTAAGACAAAGTCCATCCAAGCTTCACAGTAGAATGAACCTTTCAAGACAGTCATAGACCCAGCTCCTCATAGTGCCAAAAAGAAATTGAGGCCCGAGGAGGGAATATAACAACTGGCCAAACTCAAGAAAACCAACAGGGAACCCAGAAAACCAAGCTTATGACATGGGTGGGGTCCATGTTTACTGAACCCAAGGTGGTAGGTGCTGGATTTCTCAGAAGATTCTCAGGTTCTTTCCCTTCTAGGAGAGCCAGATCACATCAAGCCCCAGGAAAGGGTTTCTCTGAGTTCAACTTTCCAGGCCTCAATCTCCAACCTGATTCCTCTGCCAGAGGCAGTGGAATATGAAGCAATGGAAAGAGCCTATCAGCTGGGTGCAGTGGCTCAGGCCTATAACCCCAGCACATTGGGAGGCTGAGGCAGGAGGATCACTTGAGCCCAGGAGTTCATGACCAGCCTGGGCAACATAGTGAGACACCGTCTCTATAAAAAATTTAAAAATTACCCAGGCGTGGTGGTGTACCTATAGTCCTAGCTACTCAGGAGGTTGAGATGGGAGGATTGCTTGAGCCTGGGAGGTCAAGGCTGCAGTAAGCATGATTGTGCCACTGCACTACAGCCTGGGTGACAGAGTGAGACCATTATCACACACACACACACACACACACACAGAAAAGAAAAAAGAACAAGCGTAGCGTTGGAGCTAGGAAGACCTGGGTTTGAGTACCAACTGTGCCATTTACCTTGAACAAGCTACTTCCCACTCTGAGCCTTGGTTCCCTCCTTAAAATGGAAATAATAATAGTGCCTACATCTTAGGATGCCCATAAGGATTTGATGAGATGATGTAGGAAGTTGCCCTGATCAGAGCATGCACTGAATATAGATTTTCCATTTCCCCTTCCCAGCCTGGGTTGTCTCAACAATGCTAGTACCTTGAGTGCTCTGGATTCCCCTTGTCTCTCTGTACCACAGTTTCTGGACCTATCAAATATGTGTGATAACAGTAGCCACAGTGAGGACTAAATGAGTTAATGTTAGTGTTATGCATCAGCTATTATTCCTTTGATGTCCAAACATCTAGTAACAGAATAGGAAGAGAAGGTTGCTGCTGCCAAGAAGTTTGGGGCTGGATGAGACCATCAGGAGTCATGGATAATATCCTGGCCTATGGGAGAGCTAAAAGGAGACACATGACAGGCCAGGAATATGAACATCTGGTCACCTGTTTCTGCTGTGCTCTGCTGATAGCCTGCAGTGTGACTCTGGGCAAGCCACAGCCCTC
Organism: Homo sapiens; assembly: GCF_000001405.40. Lineage (NCBI taxonomy): Eukaryota > Metazoa > Chordata > Mammalia > Primates > Hominidae > Homo > Homo sapiens. Next base: position 34,855,175 of record NC_000020.11, on the reverse strand, counting down.
TTGAGCCTTAGTTTTCTCAAATGGCAGAGGAAACTGAAGACCAGTGTTCTGAGTTCAAGTCCTGGCCCTGCCCTTGACTTGCCATGTGAACTTGAATGAGTCTCTTTGCCTCTCAATGTTTCAGTTTCCCCATCTGGTGAGGGAGTTCAGCGCAGTGGTCTCAGTGTGTGATGGTGGAATGTGGAGATGGGATGTGGGATGTGAAGGTGCCTTGACCCCTACCCTGCCATCAGTCACTTCCTGTCCTTTCAGGCCACCTGGTTCTTAGTCCCCCACCTCCGCACACGGGCCCTGCCCTCATCAGTGCTCTCAACATCCTGGAGGGCTTCAATCTCACCAGCCTGGTATCCCGAGAACAGGCTCTTCACTGGGTGGCAGAGGTAAGGCTGACCCGTCTGCCTTTCCCTGGATTTAAGGATATTAGGAGTGGGGAGATTGGGTACTGCCATAGGGCAGGACTAAATCCCCTCCAAGTTTTCTCACACACGAAAGTCCACTGGGTGTGGGTTCTGGGAGGGGCCTGGCAGCCTCTTCCATATCCCTGCTGTATTTTCAGACCCTGAAGATTGCATTAGCCCTGGCCAGCAGACTGGGAGATCCCGTCTATGATTCTACCATCACTGAGAGCATGGATGACATGCTCAGGTGGGTCTTGGGCAGGACCTGGGGGCTACAGAGGCAGCGGTGGGTGTGGGGAAAGGGTCAGGAGAAAAGCAGCTGGTATAGCAATAAAGGCCTGAAATCCTAAGTCAATTTCAGCTCAACCCCAACTCACAACGTGACACTGGGTGCCTCTCCCTGCACCTCACCTTTCCTATCAGCACAATGAGTTGGCTTACTTCATGTGGCTCTTAAATTTTTTTGAGGCTAGCATAGCACCTATATAAGCCCATCTGCTCCTCCTTTTGAGTAGGAAAAGAAAGCTCAATACCAAACAAAAGCCAGGCACGGTGGCTCACGCCTGTAATCCCAGTACTTTGGGAGGCCAAGGCGGGTGGATCACCTGAGGTCAAGAGTTTGAGACCAGCCTGACCAACATAGTGAAACCCTGCCTCTACTAAAAATACAAAAATTAGCCGGGCGTGGTGGCGCGTGCCTGTAGTCCCAGCTAGTCAGGAGGCTGAGGCAGGAGAATCACTTGAACCCGGGAAGCAGAGGTTGCAGTGAGCCGAGATCATGCCACTGCACTCCAGCCTGGGTGACAGAGTGAGACTTTGTCTCCAAAAACAAACAAACAAACAGTCTCCAAGCAAATACTGAAGGTGGTGGTAATACAGCTTCATTAGCAACATAACATAGTAGTAGCTTGTGGGCTCTGGTGAGACTGCCTTCATTCAAATTCCAGCTTGACCCTTCGCTAGCTGTGCAGCCTTGGGCAAGTGGTTTAAACTCTCTAAATCTGTTTCTACAAGGGGGCTTGACAATAATGGTATCAACCTTGTAAGGTTGTGGTAAGGACTAAACAAAATCATACATGTAAAGCTTTGTTTGGTTGAAAATTGAATAAATGTCTTCAAGTAATCTTTGGTAACTTATTCTCTAATCAGCTATGGATAATCCAACACATAGTTATTAGGTAAGAAACCCTCAGTTGAATTTTTTTTTTTTTTTTTTGAGATGGAGTCTCGCTCTGTCGCCCAGGCTGGAGTGCAGTGTCATGATCTTGGCTCACTGTAACCTCTGCCTCCCAGGTTCAAGCAATTCTCCTGCTTCAGCCTCCCGCCTCAGTTGAATTTTTAAAAGTCTGGAGCATTACATATTGTTTCTAAGGTCAATGCAAACTTTGCTCTAAAACACACACACACACACACACACACACACACACACACACACACCTATATGAAATCTATTCAACCAGTTCATCCAGTAAATAGTTATTGAGCACTTACTCTGTGCCTTGGGAAAAAACTCTAAAAGAAAGTAAAGATCCTGACTGGATGTGGTGGCTCATGCCTGTAATCCCAGCACTTTGGGAGGCCGAGGTGAGTGGATCATTTGAGGTCAGGAGTTCAAGACCGGCCTGGCCAACATGGTGAAACCCCGTCTCTACTAAAAAAAATTAGCTAGGTGTGGTGGCAGGTGCCTGTAATCCCAGATAATCGGGAGGCTGAGGCAGGAGAATCACTTGAACCTGGGAGGCAGAGGTTGCAGTGAGCTGAGACAGCGTCACTGCACTCCAGCCTGTGTGACAGAGAAAAACTCTATCTCATTAGGAAGAAAAAAAAAATCCTCATATACAAAATCCTCCCCCAACTAAACTCTTAATAAAACTTTAGACTACAAACATTAGTTTAAATGAATCCAGTTTGTTAATTCAAAGCAAATATTTTCTGATCCATTATGCACCAGGCACTTTCATAGAAAGGATTAAGAAGTCAGATAACTAAAAGGCTCTTGATTTAAACATTAAATAAAAGTTGGTTCCAGAAAAGAATCTAAATAATACCTAAATACATTCAACAGCTATTTTCTGGGTATTTCTTATGTGCAATTAATGAGCTTCTGCACTCATAGACCTAGTAGTCCAGTGAGGGAGGTAGATTTCATCAAATAATTACACAAACACCACAAAAGTGAGGTAGGTGGGGTGTATTGAGAGCCTGTTGTTTGCTCATCTCCCACCCCTTGTCTTTTCAGCAAGGTGGAGGCCGCCTACCTCCGGGGCCATATCAATGACTCCCAGGCAGCCCCTGCCCCACTCCTGCCTGTCTATGAACTAGACGGAGCTCCCACGGCTGCCCAGGTGCTGATCATGGGACCTGATGACTTCATTGTGGCCATGGTTAGGTATGCCAGCTCAGACTCAGAACCTGGAACAAGGGATCCTCTGAACCAAGAGGGGGTGGGGGCTGGGTAGAGGTGAGGATGGGCCAGGGCTCACCCAACCCCACCTCGGCCCCCAGCTCCCTGAACCAGCCCTTTGGCAGCGGCCTTATCACCCCCTCGGGGATCCTGCTCAACAGCCAGATGCTGGACTTCTCCTGGCCCAACCGGACAGCTAACCACTCTGCACCCAGCCTGGTAGGATTTGCTTCCCTGCTTTCCTGGGGACCCTGAGGCCTATAGGTAGGAGGTGCAATGGCATGGCTGCCCCTTTCTCCCTACTTTCTCCAGAATCTTCTAGTATAAGGAAGCCTAAAGAAGAGGTTCACCTCATCCCTAGCCCTGCTAAGTCTGGGACATGGAGCCTGGTGGGTCTGAAGAACCCTTGTCCCATTCTGTCACTGTCTTACTGTGTGACCTTGTGAAGATCTTGCCCTCTCTGGGCAATTTCTTCACCTGTACAATGAGGGTTTTGGCTCCTATTTGATGTTTTGGGCATTTTCCAGCACTAGCGGTCTGTGACTATGTGAGCTTGAGCTGATGGGGCTCAGCCCTATGGTTGGGCACCAAAGAGGGACCCAAGGAGGAAGGATTTAATAATTTTTATCTAGTTAAAAATCAGCACTCTTACACCCCGCCATCTGGGGCCCCAGCAGGGCAAAGACACATAGAGATGATCAGGGTGGGGTTATCCTGTTCTTCCCCATTGCCATCTTTCTTGGCTTGGTCCTTTCTCCTGTGACCCGTAGCAGCCTCATAGCTCAGTGGATGTACTTATCACTCCCCCATCCACCCCACCCATCCAGGCACCCTACCCATTTCACAGATAGCAAACTGTTGTCTGGGAAGGGACCAGTCTCCCAGGAAAACTGGGCCTGTGGAAGATGTAGAAGAGGGAGAGCAGTTGGAAGGGTTGTGGAGGGGCCCTTTCCCGGTCTTGTCCCACCCCACCTGCCCCTTGTGGTCTCTGTCCTCTAACAACAGGAGAATTCAGTGCAGCCAGGGAAGCGGCCACTCTCTTTCCTGCTGCCCACAGTGGTCCGACCCGCGGAGGGGCTCTGTGGAACCTACCTCGCTCTGGGGGCCAATGGAGCTGCGCGGGGCCTCAGCGGCCTGACACAGGTGAGGTTTACGCCATGGTTGGCCTTTTTCAGCCGGGAGCCAAGCTGTGGCCTAGACTGCAGATGCCTGTCATATCTGTGGCTTGTTTCCATTCCTCATGCGGCAAACATGGGCTGAGGCTGTTTTGTGCCAGGCGCATCCTGGGCAATGTGGACATGGGCTGCGCTGAGTTTCTTAGTGAAAATGGAGCCCTGATGCTCCCTGTCTTTCCCGGTTGCAGGGGAAATGGCAGGGTCAGTAGATTGAAAAGTGGGGTTAGCATCTGGGTGGCCTGGGTTCTGTTAACCTCAAGTCCCATTATACCTCTACCCAGCATCTGAATAGACAACCAGCCCTCTTTAGGGTGGGATTTGAAAGGAAGGGCCTGCTTTTCTCCAGAACACCTCAGAATGGCTCCATGAATGTCTTGAGAACCTGATATATATGCCAGGCACCTATTTTGGCAGGTGGTGAGTTAACGATCTTAAGTTCTGGAATCAGACACTCCTGGGTTCCGGCCCAAGTGCTACCAATTTGTAACTGTGTGATGCTGGAGCATTCACTTAACAGCTCTGAACCTCAGTCTCTTCATCTTTAAAATGGAAATAATAACAATAGCTAACATTTAAAGAGTTCGTACTAAGTGCTGGGCACTGTGTTATGTGTGTTAACCATTTTAACCTTCCCAGTTCTGGAGAGAATCCTTATTTCTATTTTATAGATAAGGAAACCGAAGCCCAGAGAGGTTAAGACTTTAGGTCAAGTACCTTCAGCTAGAAAGAGCAGGGAGGCAGTTTGGTTCCAGAGCCTACGCACACTCCTAACCACTAAGTTAAAAGCACCCACATTGTGCCCTAGACCACTCCTAGCTATTAACCTTGCCCTATCCAGAGAGAAAAGAAGGGAGCCCCGGGCTAGATTAAAGAGACTTGGTTCTAGTGGTGTATCTTCCCTGGCTTCCTCTAAACTCTGGAGTAAGTCATTTTCCTTGCTGGACTTCACTTTCCCTCTCTGTGAAATGGAAACAGTCATCACAGGCCTGCCTGTCTTCCAGGGCTGTTAGGAGGCTCAGATGACACCCGGTGTAAGAATTCTCAAGACTAAGGAGCCTGGACCAAGGGTGAGAGCTGAGGAATCCTGGACCATCACCCCTGGGACAGCCCTGATTTTTCTGTACCTTGGCTACCACAGGTTCTGCTGAATGTCCTGACCTTGAACCGGAACCTGAGTGACAGCCTGGCCCGCGGCCGCCTACACCCGGACCTGCAGTCCAACCTCCTGCAGGTGGACAGTGAGTGCAGAGCAGAGACCTCGTGGGGCGGGCACAGGGACAGGTAGAGAAAGGACTCCTCCCAAGGGTGCCCATGCCTCAACCAGCACCAACTGCCAGTGAAGTTTGGTTTTATTTGGCAAATTTCTATTGGAGCAGTGAACGATCTGGGGATTGGAACCAGTCTTGCCATTTCCTGGTTGTGTGGCCTTGGGAAATCCATGTCTCAACTCTGAGCCTCAGTTTTCTCATTTGTAAAATAAGACACAGTTGTTCATTCTTCAAACTTTCATTTACTCAACAGTTTGTATTGAACACGTACGTGTTCCAGGCATCATCCTAGGTGCTGGGGATTCTGCATTTACAGGCAAACAAGAAAATAAGTCATCAAAGAAATATGAGACAAATAAATGCTCTGCCAACTGTCAAAGCAGGGTGATATAATAGGACGGACTCAATGATCAAGGAAGACTTCTCTTTGGTGGCATTTAAGCTGAGATCTAAAGAGTGAGAAAGAAACTGGGTGCAATGGCTCAGACCTATAATCCCAGGCTGAGGTGAGAGGATCGCTTGAGGCCAAGAGTTCAAGAGCAGCCTCAGTAACATAGTGAGACCCCCCTCCACCCCCCCGTCTCTATAAAAAAATTTTTTTAAATTAGCCAGGCATGGCACGTGCCTGTGGTTCTAGCTACTCGGGAGGCTGAGGCAGGAGAATTGCTTGAACCAGGGAGGCAGAGGTTACAGTGAGCCAAGATCACGCCACTGCCCTACAGCCTGGGTAACAGAGTGAGATCCTATCTCCTAAAAAAAAAAAAAAAAAGTAAGAGAGAGCCCACTATACAAAGAATTGGTGCAGAGCTTTGTAGGTCAGGGGAGCAAGTACAAAGAACTCAGGGCAGGAGTGGGTTTGGTGAGTTTGAGGACTAAAAAGGAGACCAAGGTAAGCAAGGATGAAATTAGATCAGAGAGGCAGGCAGGCGCCGGATCGTGGACCTTAGGGTGAGGAGACGGACTTTCCTCTAAGAAAAGGGCTTAATTTTGGCACAGCTGAATTTTATAAACAGGAAAGTATCTGCACCTTTGAGGAGTTTTTATTATAACAGACAATGTATTAATATGACACGAGTCCAAAAGAATACAGAATTGATTGAGACACAGTCCTTGCCTGTTCAATATTATTATCCCCATTCTATAGAGGAAGAAACTGAGGCTCACAGAAGTTATAAACTAGTCAAAGATCAACCACTAAGTGGCAGAACTTCAATTAGGACACACACCTGGCTGATACCAAAGACTCTATTCTTTACTGCACAGCTCTTGATATCTCCTGGACTGAATCACATTAGAAGCAGAGACCGCGATCTTCAACAATCACATCCTGTGGTTGGCCAGCGACACTTGGATCCCAGCTGATAGATGACAAGGCCACATCCTTGAAATTGAATTTTGTTCAACAAATATCTGCTGGTCTCTGTTGAATGTGAGGCTCTGTGCTAAGTTATTTGGGCTCAGCCCAGTCCTGCCTTCAGGGCCTTAGTGTAAGATGGAGGTACAAGGAGTGGGGGCTTGGTGAAGGGAAAGTTCATCTACCTGAGGCCCTGGGGAGGCTTTATGGAGGAGGTGACAAGTAGCTTGGCTTTGAAGTATGAGTAGGAATTTGGTATGTGGAGGTAAAGGACATTCTGGACAGGAGGAACAGCCTAGGCAAAAACCAGAATGAATGGCTCAGAGAGCAGCCAGGAGGCTAGCTGTTGTTTCCTAGAGTTCTCAATTTACCCAGCACCTTTGTGACTTTTGCCACATTTGCACACCATCTAAACCAATATGTACATAACATGTCTCTCTAAATGAACTTCCTTTTTAGCCTAAATGTATTTTATTATTTTTTTGAGATAGAGTCTCACTCTGTCACCCAGGCTGGAGTGCAGTGGTGCGATCTCAGCTCACTTCAACCTCCACCTCCTGGGTTCAAGTGATTCTCGTGCCTCAGCCTCCCGAGTAGCTGAGAATACAGGTGCACATGCCACCACACCCAGCTAATTTTTGCATTTTTGTAGAGACAGGGTTTCACCATGCTGGCCAGGCTAGTCTCAAACTCCTGACCTCAAGTAATCCGCCTGCCTCGGCCTCCCGAAGTGCTGGATTTACAGGCGTGAGCCACCATGCCCGGCCCTAAATGTATTTTAAAAATAGACCTTATATCATAATCACAAATGGAAAAATGACATCATTTGCCACAAATAGATGACAAATAGCTATCATCTATTTGTTAGCTATACAAATAGATATGTGTAGTTTTTAGTTAAATATTGTTGCCCATGGAAGGCTCTGAGACTGCTTTCTCCATTAAAGAAGGAGATTAGGAAGCGTTAGAGAGCAGACTGAAACTTGTTCCTTGCCATAATCAAAAGGATTGAAAGTGAACCACAAAGGAAATAGATTTTCGATTAAGTGATTTAATGCTATTCAAGATTGGGTCTTCATCTCAAGAGCTACCAAAAGTCTTCCTATTAGGGAAAGAAGAAGACTAGATCTTTATTGAGAAGCGGTAGGATGTGGAGTTACAGGGCTTCTCACAGAGGTCAGCCTTAAGATTATCCAGTTGGGAAGGGGAGACACATGACCTGATTTGTCTTATTTAGGGGAGGTAGATTGAGGGGAGGAGAATTTAAGTCAGGGAAATATGAGAAGCAGCTGGGATATGGCCCAGGCAAGAGATGATGAGGGTCTGAACTTATCCAATGGGATGGGGATTTGTTCATCTATGTAGTAAGTATCTGCTCAATATTTACTATGTACTGACCCTGTCACTGGAGATCAATAGCAAACAAGACAACGTTCCTAACTTCAAAAAGCTTATAATCTAGTGGAGGGAGACACAGTAAATAAATAAACAAATACAGGTAGCAGTAAGTACTTTGGAAGAAAACCAAACAAGGTAAAGATGGTAGGGACTGCTGTTTTAGGTAATGGTGGAGGAAATTCTTGAAGAGGTGCCAAAGACTGGATAGCAGTAAGGGGGCCAGCAGTGTGACTTTCTAGGAGAGCATTCCAGGCAGAAAGAACAGTAAGTGCAAAGGCACTGAAGTAGAAACATGTTTGGCCTTCTAAAGGGACAGCAAGGAGGTCAATGTGGCTGGAATACAGTTAAGCAAGGTGAGAAATAGAAGGAAATGAGGGGAGGAATTTAGAGAAGTAGCAAGGTCCCAAGCAATGTTGGGCTTAGAGGCACCTTGGTAAGGACTTTGGATTTTATTCTAAATTCCGTTGAAGCTGTTGGAGGGCTTTGAGCAGGGGAGGTGACAAGGTCTGACTAATGGTTTAAAAGGATCCCCTTGGCTGCTGTTTGAACAGGCTATAAGAAAGGCAGGGGGCCAGGCGCGGTGGCTCACGCCTGTAATCCTAGCACTTTGGGAGGCTGAGGTGGGCAGATCACCTGAGGTCAGGAGTTCGAGACCAGCCTGACCAACATGGATAAACCCCCACCTCTACAAAAAAAAAAAATAGAAAATTAGCCGGGTGTGGTGGCGCAAGCCTGTTATCCCAGCTACTGGGGAGGCTGAGGCAGGAGAATCGCTTGAACCTGGGAGGCAGAGGTTGAGGTGAGCCAAAATCGTGCCATTGCACTCCAGCCTGGGCAACAAGAGTGAGACTCCGCCTCAAAAAAAAGAAAGAAAGAAAGAAAGGAAGGGAGGGAGGGAGGGAGGGCTGGAAGCAGGGAGACCAGTAAGGAAGGAAGGAAGGGAGGGCTGGAAGCAGGGAGACCAGTTAGTGGATTATGCAGAAATCCTGGCAAGTAATGATGGCAGCTTGACTTTGGCAGGTGGAGATGAAGACCCACAAAGCCCCTTTTTCTTTTTTCTGCCTCCCTCCCTCCCTCCCTTCCTTCCTTCCATTTTCTTTCTTTTCTTTTTTTGGAGACAGGGTTTTGCTCTTTTGCCCAGACTGGAGTGCAGTGGTGCAATCTCAGCTTACTTTACTGCAACTTGTGCCTCCCAGGGTCAAGCGATCCTCCTACCTTAGCCTCCTGAGTATCTGGGACTACAGGCATGTACCACCACGCTCAGCTAATTTTTAAATTTTCTGTAGAGATGGGGTCTCCCTATATTGCCCAAGCTAGTCTCAAACTCCTGGGCTCAAGTGATCCTCCCACCTTAGCCTCCCAAAGTGCTGGGATTACAGGCATGAGCCACTGCACCCGGCCTGTCCTGTTTTCAATATTAAGAATGACTGCATATTATTGATCACTTACTGTATGCAAGGTTCAGTGCTGTGTGTGCATTATCTCCTTTAGTCCCTGCAACTTCATGTTCTCATATAATCCCTATTTATGCATGAGGAAACTGAGGCTCAGCAAGGTAAAGTGATTTGTCCAAGGTCATACAGCTCTGTGGTGGAGCAGCCAGGATGAGGACTCAGGTCTGACTGTAGGACTCTTGAACTAGTGCTCTGTACATTCTGAATGTGTATATGTCGGGGATGGTTTTCAGGTGAGTTCACAGAGGAAGAGATTGAGTTCCTGGAAGCCAGGGGTCACCACGTGGAGAAAGTAGATGTCTTATCCTGGGTCCATGGCAGCCGAAGGACCAACAACTTCATCATCGCTGTTAAGGACCCTCGGAGCCCAGATGCAGCTGGAGCCACCATCCTGTAGAGCAGCGGGGTGGGGCGGGGTCTCTGCTCCCCCACTTTGCATGTTCCCAGAGTCCCTCCTTCTCCCAGGTTTGGTCTCAGGGGGACCCCAGGGATGCCCCAGATCAGGGGCCAGAGGGGATGCTTAGCAAACCCAATCCCAGAGTAACTGGAAAATTCTCCATCAGGAGGCCTGTGGTGGTGGTGGTGGTGGTGGTGGTGGTGGTGGTGGTGGTGAGTGTCAGCATCTACAGTACAGCCAGGCAGGCAGGACCTTGAGGAATCAGACTATCTGTCTGTGTGTCACCTCTCCTCCTTCAGCCATGCTGGCCCCGAGCTTAGGGATGTGCTTGCAAACCCTTCTCAAGGGTCTCACAACCCCAACATCTTCAGACTGGCCTGACCTGGGCCTTGTCTTCCAGTTCCTTTCTCCCATTCCCAGCCTCATTTCTTAAATGACTAGGAATTTTTTAATGGACCATCATAGGGAGGGGGTGCTCCTCTTTTCCCACCAGGTTGAGGTGGGGGCCTTGCATCGGGGGTCCCCAGGGTATGGGGTAGGGGTGGGGGTGGGCACCAGCTCAGGGGCTTCCATTTGCAAAGGGAAATTAAAGAAAGAATGTTGCTTAACCATGGCTCTGGTTTAATTTATATTTAACTGGGTTGAGAGTGGGAGTGGGAGAGGAGACCTCGGCTCACCCTGTCCCAGTAACCGATTCAAGAGTAACCTGGAGTCAACGTTGAAGGACTCATAATAATATCTGTCCAGCTAAGACATGCACCAATAATAATAATTCATAACACCAATAACTATAATATATAGCATCTAATCTTTATTACAAGCCTCATGAAGTAGGTACTAATATTATTGCCATTTTACAGATGGGAAACAGGCCAAAAGAGGTTAAGGGACTTGTCTAAGGTTCTTCATCTATTAAATGGAAGAACTGGGGTTCATCTCAGCATGTCCAACTCTGGAATTTGTGCTCTTAACCAATTCCACACCTATTAGTTGAACTCTTTGTTATAAAGTATACGTCATATAGTATATATCAGACAATAAATACCTTTTATAGATAATATCATTCATGCATACATTCTTCTATCCATTACATTCCAGGTACTTTGTTAGGCACTAGAGATTCAGCACTGAACAAGACAGGCTTTTCTTTTCTTTTTTTTTTTTTTTTGAGACAGTTTTGCTCTTGTCACCCAGGCTGGAGTGCAATGACGTGATCTCAGCTCACCGCAACCTCCACCTCCCCAGTTCAAGCGATTCTCCTGCCTCAGCTTCCTGAGTAGCTGGGATTACAGGCGTGCACCACCACACCTGGCTAATTTTGTATTTTTAGTAGAGACAGGGTTTCTCCATATTGGTCAGGCTGGTCTTGAACTCCCGACCTCAGGTGATCCGCCCACCTCAGCCTCCCAAAGTGCTGGGATTACAGGCATGAGCCACCGCGCCTAGCCAAGACAGACTTTTTAATGGGTTTGCAGTCTATCGGGGCAGTCAAATGTTAAAGAAATAAGAGCACAGATAATTCGGGTAATTGCCATCACAATAAACTCTATGAGGGATACTAAGAGAATGTATATCAAGAAAGTTAATCTAGTTTGAGGATCCGCAAAAGCTTCCCTGAGAAGGTCATGAGAATGAATAGGATTGACAGGAAAGGATTAGATATGGGATGTGGGAATGTCATTCTAGGCAAAGGGAACAGTATGTTCAAAGGTATTGTGGTGAGAAGGAATGTGTCATGTTTTAGGAGGTGAAAGAAGGCCTATATATTCTTCCTAGAGCAGGGGTTGGCAGAGTTTTCCTACAAAGGACCAGAGAGTAAATATTTCAGATTTTGTAGGTCATATGGTTCCTGTAGTAATTACTCAACTTTGTTGCTGAAGTGCAAAAGCAGCCATAGACAATGTGTAAGACAACATCCTGATGGCTGTGGATGTGTTCCAATAGAACTTTCTTTTCTTTTTTTTTTTTTTTTTTTTTTTGAGACAGAGTCTCGCTCTGTTGCCCAGGCTGGAGTGCAGTGGCGCGATCTGCAAGCTCTGCCTGCAAGTGGAGCTCACTGCAAGCTCCGCCTCCCAGGTTCACGCCATTCTCCTGCCTCAGCCTCCCGAGTAGCTGGGACTACAGGAGCCCACCACGCCCAGCTAATTTTTTTTTTTGTATTTTTTTTTAATAGAGACAGGGTTTCACCGTGTAGCCAGGATGGTCTTCATATTCTGACCTCGTGATCCGCCCACCTCGGCCTCCCAAAATGCTGGGACTACAGGCGTGAGCCACCGCGCCCCGCCAGAACTTTATTTTCTGAAAACAGACCCCTTCACGCCTGTAATCCCAGCACTTTGGGAGGCACGAGGCGGGCGGATCACGAGGTCAGGAGATCGAGACCATCCTGGCTAACACAGTGAAACCCTGTCTCTACTAAAAGTACAAAAATTTAGCCGGGCGTGGCGGCGGGCGCCTGTAGTCCCAGCTATTCGGGAGGCTGAGGCAGGAGAATGGCGTGAACCCGGGAGGCGGAGCTTGCAGTGAGCCGAGATTGCGCCACTGCACTCCAGCCTGGGTGACAGAGCGAGACTCCGTCTCAAGAACAAACAAACAAACAAACAAAAACCAGACCCTTACTGCTATAAGGGCAGTAGTGTGCTGACCCCTACACTAGAGCACCCCGAGGGGATGATGAGATGAGATGAAACTGGTGAGATAGGTAGCTCATTCTTATGAGGCTGGTATTAATTCCCCCATTTTATTGATGAGAAAATTGAGAGACCCGAAGCAACTTACCAGAGATCACCCAGCTGGTAGTTGGCAGATGCATAATTCAAAAGCAATCTGTTTGACTCCATAGACTATGTCTCTTTCTTTCTTTCTTTTTCTTTTCCTTTCCTTCCTTCCTACCTTTCTCTTTTCTTCTTTTCTCCCTTCCTTCCCCTCCTTTCACAGATCCATGATTCAAAAGCCATCTGTTCGACTCCATAGACTATGTTTCCCTTCCCTTCCCTCTCCTCCCCTCCTCTCCCCTCTCCTTGCTCTCTCCTTCCCCTCTCCTTCCCCTCCCCTTCCCTTCCCCTCTGTCTCACTGTCTCTCTTTTGCTTTCCTTCTTTCTCTTTCTTCCTTCCTTCCCTCCCTTTCTTTCCCCTTCTTTCCCTTCCCTTCCCTCCCCTTCGTTTCTTTATCTTTTTTTTTAGAGATAGGGTCTTACTCTGCCATCCAGGCTGGAGTGCAGTGTTGCAATCCCTGTTCACTGTAGCCTCAACTTTCCTGGTCAAGCAATCCTCCTGCCTCGGACTCCCAAGTAGCTGGGACTACAGGCGCATACCACCACACCTGGCTAATTTTTCATTTTTTTGTAGAAACAAGAGTCTCACTATGTTGCCCAGGCTGATCTTGAACTCCTGGCCTCAAGTGATTCTCCTGCCTTGGCCTCCCAAAGTGCTGGGATTACAGGCTTCAGCCACTGTGCCTGGCCACTTCTTTAAAAATTTTTAAATTATTTTATTGGATTGCAGATATAACAGTTTTTCAAATATCAAATACTTTATAGATATATAATGTATATCTGTAATCCACCCCTTCAAAATCCAAACCCTCCAAAAATCTCATTGTCAATAATTTAATACACATTCCTCCAACTTTTTTCTGTACACTAACATATATTCTGTTTAAAAAGTAAAAATGGGACTATATTTTCACACTGTCTACAACTTCCTTTTTTTTTTAACTTACCAATAGAGCGTGGGCATTTTCCCCTGTTAATATATATGGATCCACTTCATTATTTATAATAATGCATCGTAGTTCACTGAAGGGTTTAACCAGTTTCCTTTTGATGGATGTTTGGGTGATCCTTGCCCTGATATCTTTAGGTGCCTGAGCCATGCCTGTAGTCATACCTACTCTCCCAGGCTGTCTTTCAAGTGACAGAGTGTCTTAGTTCATTTGGGCTGCCATACCAAAATATCATAAACTGGGTAGATTGGAGCAGAGATTAGTGAAATAGAGAATAGAAAAACAATAGAGAAAATCAATAAAACCAAATCCTGGCTCTTTGAAAAAATCAACAAAATTGACAAACCTGTCCCAGATTGATCAAGAAAAAAAGAAGACTCGAAATTACTAGAATCAGAAATTAAAGATGGGACAGTACTTACAATCTTACAGAAATAAAAAAGGATCACAAAGAAATACTATGAACAACTGTATGTTAATAAATCAGATAACTTAGATGAAACATAAAATTTCCTAGAAAGACACATACCAAAACTGACTCAAGAAGAAATAGACAATCTGAGGAGATACATAACAAATAAAGAGATTAGTAATATATACTAAAAAGCAAACTACTTACAAAGAAAAGCCCAGGTCTCAGACGGCCTCACTAGTGATTTCTACAAAACATTGAAAAAAATTAATACCAATTCTATAAAAAAAGCTTTCAATAAATAGAAGAGGAAGAAACGCTTTCTAGTTTATTCTGTGAGGCTAGTTTTACCTTGAAATTAAAATCCAACAAAATAAGACCTAATAAGAAAACTACAGACCAATATTCTTTTATGAACATGGATGTAACATACTCAACAAAATACTAGCCAACAACATATAAAAAGAAGTATACACTGCCTCAGTGGGATACATTCCAGGAATTCAAGCTTGGTTTACTTTCAAAAATCAAGTATTGCATTATATTTTTTTGGTAGAATAAAAAACAACACATGATCATCTCAATAGATGCAGAAAAGGCATCTGACAAAATCCTACCACCCCTTCATGATAACAAACAAACAAAAAACACTCAGCAAACCAGGAATAGAAGGGAACTTCTTCAACATGATAAAAGGCAAATATAAAAAACCCTCAGTTAACATCATACTTAATAGTTAAAGATTGGATGCTTTCCCACTAAGATTAGAGCATACCCATTCTTGCTACTTCTATTCAATATTGTATTGGATGTTCTAGTCAGGGCAATTAGGCAAGATACAGAAGTAAAAGGCCTCCAGATTGGAAAGTAAAAAGTAAAACTATTTTTATTTGCAGATGGCATGATCTTGTATACAAAAAATCCTAAGAAATCAATGAAAACAATGACAGCTAACAAAGGAGTTCAGCAAGATTGCTAATACAAGATCAGTATAAAGTTTCTGTACACTTGCAATAAACAACCTGTAAATGAAATTAAGAAAACAATTCTGGCCAGGCACAGTGGCTCCCACCTGGAATTGCAACACTTTGGGAGACTGAGGCTGGAGGATTGCTGGAGCCTAGGAGTTGGAGACCAGCCTGGGCAACATGGTGAAACTTTGTCTCTACAAAAATTAACTGACAGTGGTGGTGTGTGCCTATAGTCCCAGCTCCTCGGGAGGCTGAGGTGGGAGAATAGCTTGAGGCCAGAAGGTGGATTGATGGCGCCGCTGCACTCCAGCCTAGGTGATAGAGTGAGACCCTTAAAAAAAAAAAAAGAAAAGAAAAAGAAAAAAGAAAGAAAACAATTCCATTTACTGAAGCATCAGAAAGAATAAAATACTTAGGAATAAATTTTATAAAAGAAGTATAAAAATTAAAACTATAAAACATTGTCGAAAGAAATGAAAGAAGACCTAAATAAATGTAAAGACATTCTGTGTTTATGAATCGAAAGATTTAATTTTGTTAAGATGACAATACTTCCCAATTGATCTACAGATTCAATGCAATCTGTATGGAAATTCCAGCAGCACTTTATTGCAGAAATGAATATGGATGATCCTAAAATTCATATGGAATTAATTGCAAGGGACTCAGAATAGCCAAAACAATCTTGAAAAAGAACAATGTTGGAGGACACACATTTCCCGATTTTAAAACTTACTACAAAGTAATCAAAACAGTGTGGTAGGTATAAGGATAAACATATCAATGGAACATAATTGATAGTCCAGAAATAAATCAATATATCTATGGCCAATTGATCTCAACTAGGGTGCCAAGATCATTCAATGAAGAAGGAATATTCTCTTTAACATATTCACATACACAAAATGAAGTTTGAACCTTGCCTCACACCACATACAAAAAGTAACTCAAAATGGATCAAAGACACAAATATAAGAGCTAAAACTATAAAACTCTTAGAAGGAAACATAGGGGTAAATCCTCATACCTTGGATTTGGCAAATGGTTTCTTAGATGTGGCACCGAAAGCACAGCAACAAAAGCAAACATAGATAATTGGATGTCATTGAAATTAAAAAGTTTTGTACATAAAAGGACAATCTTGAGTGAAAAGACAGTCCAAAAAATGTGAAAAGTATTTGCAATCTTATATCTGATCTGAGTACTTTATATAGTACCCAGAATATATTAAAAACACTTCAACAACATAAAGACAAACAACTCAATTAAAATATGGGCAAAGGACTTCAATAGACATTTCTTGGCAGGGTTCAGTGGCTCATGCCTGTAATCCCAATACTTTAGGAGGCCAAGGTGGGCAGATCGCTTGAGTCCAGGAGTTCAAGACAAGCCTGGGCAAAATGGTGAAACCCTGTATATACCAAAAATATAAAAAATTAGCTGGGTGCTGTGGCACGTGCCTGTAGTCCCAGCTACTGGGGAGGCTGAGGCAGGAAGATCCCTTGAACCCAGGAGATCGAGGCTGCACTGAGTTGAGATCGTGCCATTGTACTCCAGCCTGGGTGACAGGAGTGAAACCCTGCCTCAAAACAAAACAAAACAAAAAGGACACTTTTTTTTTTTTTCTGAGACAGAGTCTCACTCTGTCACCCAGGATGGAGTGCAGTGGCACCATCTCGGCTCACTGCAACCTCCACCTCCCAGGCTCAAGAGATTCTCCCACCTCAGCCCCCTGAGTAGCTGGGACTACAGGTGCATGTCACCACACCCAGCTAATTTTTGTATTTTTTGTAGAGATGGGGTTTTGCCATGCAGCCTAGGCTGGTCTGGAACTCTTGGACTCAAGCAATCCTCCCATCTTGGCCTCCCAAAGTGCTGGGATTACAGGTGTAAGTCACTGTGCCTGGGCTTCAACAGACATTTCTTCAAAGATAAGTCTATGATAAGATGCTGAATATCATAATCACTAGGGAAATGTAGATTAAAACAGGTCAAAATCACCATGAGATACCACTTCACAACAATTAGACTGGCCATAAATATTATTTTTATTTGTTTATTTACTTAAATGTTATTTTTTATCTTTTATTTAAATAGAGATGGAGTCTTACTATGTGGCTCAGGTTGGTCTCAAACTCCTGGCCTCAAGCAATCCTCCTGCCTCAGCCTCCCAAAGTGTTGGGATTACAGGTGTGAGCCACTGTGCGCCCACAACAATAATTTTTTAAAAAGGAAATAACAAATGTTGCTCAGGATGTGAAAAAGTGGAATCTTCATACGTTGTTGGTGGAAATGTAAAATGGTACAGCAGCTATGGAAAACAGTTTGGCATTTCTTTAATAAGACAAACCAAATTACCATACGACCCAGCAATACCATTCCCAGGCATAAACCCCAAATCACTGAAAACAGGTGTTCAAAGAAAAACTTGTACATGAATGTTCATAGCATCACTATTCACAATACCAAAAGGTAAAAAACAACCCAAATGTCCATCAACAGACAAAAAGATAACAAAATGTGGTATATTCACATAATAATACATATTATGTTATTCAGCTATGAAAAAGAATAAAGTACTGATACTGATACATGCTACAATATGGATGAACCTTGAAAACATTGTGCCAAGTGAGAGAAGCCAAAAGGTCACATATTGTATGATTCCATTTATATGAAGTATCCATAATAGGCAAACTGACAGAGACAAAGTCAATTAGTGATTCCTTAGGGCTGAGGGAATGGGGGGGTTGGGGAGAGGGAGATACCTAAAGATTATAGAGTTTCTTCTGAGGCAATGAAAATGTTCTAAAATTGACTGTGGTGATGGTTGCACATATCTGTGACTACACTAAATACCATAGAATTATACTTTTTTTTTTTTTTTTTTTGAGACAGGGTCTGGCTTTGTAGCCCAGGCTGGAGCACAATAGTGCAGTCTTGGCTCACTGCAAACTCCGCCTCCTGGGCTCAAGTGATCCTCCCACCTCAGTCTCCACAATAGCTGGGACTGCAGGTATAAAGCACCACGTCCGGCTAATTTTTGTATTTTGGGTAGAAATGGGGTTTCACCATGTCACCCAGCCTGGTCTCGAACTCCTGGACATATGTGAGCGAACCGATTCAACCTCCCAAAGTGCTGGGATCATAGGCTTGAGCCACACACCCGGCTGAATAATACACTTTAAATGAGTAAATTGTATAGTATGTCAATTATATCTCAAAAGCTGTTTTTTTGTTTTGTTTTGGAAAATTGTTTTTTGTTTGTTTTTGATTTTTGTTTTGAGACAGAGTTTCACTCTTGTCACCCAGGCTGGAATGGAATGGCGGGATCTCTGCTAACTGTTACCTCCACCTCCCAGGTTCAAGCAATTCTCCTCCCTCAATCTCCCGAGTAGCTGGGATTATAGGCACCCGCCACCACGCCCAGCTAATTTTTGTATTTTTAGTAGAGATGGGGTTTCACCATGTTGGCCAGGCTGGTCTCAAACTCCTGACCTCAGGTGATCCACCCGCCTCAGCCTCCAAAGGTGCTTGAATTACAAGCATGAGCCACCGTGCCCAGCCTGTCAATAAAACTGTTTTAAAAAGACATAGGATTTGGTAATATGAGCTAAGAGCTGAATGCAAACTCTATGACCCAGCAATCCTAGTCCTAGGTTTTTATCCAGCAAAAAATTGTACACATGTTCATCCAAAGACATGCACAAGAATGTTCATAGTAGTAAAATTTAAAATAACTCCGGCCCGGGTGCGGTGGCTCACGCCTGTAATCCCAGCACTTTGGGAGGCCGAGGTGGGCGGATCACTTGAGGTCGGGAGTTTGAGACCAGCCTGACCACCATGGAGAAACCCTGTCTCTACTAAAAATATAAAAAATTAGCCGGGCATGGTGGTGGGCACCTGTGATCCCAGCTACTCAGGAGGCTGAGGTAGGAGAATCGTTTGAACCCAGGAGGTAGAGGTTGCAGTGAGCCGAGATCACGCCATTGCATTCCAGCCTGGGCAACAAGAGCGAAACTCTGTCTCAAAACAAAACAAAAAAAGCTCTGGCCAGGCGTGATGGCTCACGCCTGTAATCCTAGCACTTTGGGAGGCCGAGGCAGGCAGATTGCCTGAGCTCAGGAGTTCGAGACCAGCCTGGGCAACACAGTGAAACCCTGTCTCTACTAAAAAATACAAAAGAAATTAACCGGGCATGGTGGCGTGCACCTGTAGTCCTAGCTACTCGGGAGGCTGAGGCCAGAGAATTGCTTGAACCAGGGATGCGAAGGTTGCAGTGAGCCGAGATCGCACTACTGCACCCCAGCCTGGGTGACAGAGCAAGAGTCCATCTCTAAAAAAAATAAATAAAATAAAATAAAATAGCTCCTAAGTGGAAACCCACATGCTCATTAACAGTAGAATGGATAAATTATGGTGTATTCAAACAATAAAATGCTGGCCAGGTGTGGTGGCTCACATCTGTAATCCCAGCACTCTGGGTGGCAGAGGTGGGAGGATCACTTGAGCCCAGGAGTTTGAGACCAACCTGGGCAACATGGTGAAACCCCGTCTCTACAAAAAATACAAAAATTAGCATGGTGTAGTGGCATGCACCTGTGGTCCTAGCTACTAGGGAGGCTGAGGCAGAAGGATTACTTGAGCCTGGGAGGTCAAGGCTGCAGTGACCTGTGATCCCACCACTGCACTCCAACCTGGGTGACAGAGCAAGACTCTGTCTCAAAAAAATAAAAAATAAATAATGAAATGCTACCCAGCAATGAAAATGAACATGCTACAACTACATGCAACAATGTAGATGAATCTGTAAGTTTAACTCCTGGTGAGACTAATCTATGGAGTTAGAAGTTAAAATACTGTTTAACCTTGGGGGCTGTGGGTAATGACTGGAAGGGGCTTCTGTGGGGCTGAATGTTCTATTTCTTGATTTGGGTGTTTGTTAGACATGTGTGTTGGCTTTGTGGAAATTCAACAGGCTTTACACTTACGATTTCTGTACTTTTATGTCTTTATATTATACTCTAATAAAAAGCTTTAAAATTTCAGAATATTTTTGAAAACAGTTTTTTTTTTCTCCCCCACCCCCACCTTTTTGTGTATGTATGGTCACTTGATATTCTTCCACTTTTTAAAATTGTGTAATTATTAGTCTATTTCTTCTATTTTTTCAATGATTTTTTTCCTGAAGAGCAAGCCATGGCTTGCCCATAGTAAGCCCCCACCCCACCACCGCTTTTTTTTTTTTTTTTTTGAGATAGAGTCTCACTCTGTCATCCAGGCTGGAGTGCAGTGGTGCAGTCTCAGCTCACTGCAACCTCTGCTTCCCAGGCTCAAGTGATCCTCCCATCTCAGCTTCCCATGGAGCTGGGACTACAGGCATGATGCACCACCACGATTGGCTAATTTCTGTATTTTTTTGTAGAGACGGGGTTTTGCCATGTTGCCCTGGCTGGTCCCTAATTCCTGGGCTGACACAATCCACCTACCTCCACCTCCGAAAGTGCTGGGATTACAGGCATGAGCCACTGCGCCTCGCCATAGCATGTCTTTATGCAAAGCACAAGTGACCCCCTCCTCAAGGCATTTTATTTCCATATATCTGAAAATTGTTACAACGAACAGATTCTGAAATAACAAGGCATTTTACTGCCATCTACTGGTAAATTATCATAATAAATTTGCAAATTATAATGTCATGTGAATGGTGTCCACTTAAAAGTGATATCCTTCAAGACTAGTGAACAATACAGTCAGGATGGCTAGAAGTGACCCCAGGAAACTAAGGGGCAAGATGTCTGCTTTTGCCTTCTTTGTGCAGACGTGCAGAGAAGAGCATAAGAAAAATCCAGAGGTCCCTGTCAATTTTGCAGAATTTTCCAAAAAGTGCTCTGAGAGGTGGAAGACAATGTCTGGGAAAGAGAAGTCTAGGCTGGGCACGGCGGCTTACGCCTGTAATCTCAGCACTTTGGGAGGGTGAGTTGGGTGGATCACCTGAGGTAAGGAGTTTGAGACCAGCCTGGCCAACATGGTGAAACCTCGTCTCTACTAAAAATACAAAAAACTAGCCGGGCGTGTTGGTGGGCGCCTGTAATCCCAGCTACTGGGGAGGCTGAGGCAGGAGAATGGCTTGAACCCAGGAGGCAGAGGTTGCGGTGAGCTGAGATCGTGCCACTGCACTCCAGCCTGGGCAATAAGAGCAAAACTCCATCTCAGAAAAAAAAAAAGAGAGAGAGAGTCTAAATTCGATTAAATGGCAAAGGCGGATAAAGTGCACTGTGATAGAGAAATGAAGGATTATGGACCAGCTAAGGGAGGCAAGAACGATCCTAATGCCCCCAAAAGGCCACTGTCTGGATTCTTCCTGTTCTGTTCAGAATTCTGCCCCAAGATCAAATCCACAAACCCTGGCATCTCTATTGGAGACGTGGCAAAAAAGCTGGGTGAGATGTGGAATAACTTAAATGACAGTGAAAAGCAGCCTTATGTCACTAAGGTGGCAAAGCTGAAGAAGTATGAGAAGGATGTTGCTGACTATAAGTCGAAAGGAAAGTTGGACGGCACAAAAGGTCCTGCTAAAGTTGCCTGGGAAAAGATGGAAGAAGAAGATGAAGAAGATGGGGAGGAAGAGAAGGAGGATGAATAAATAAACTGTTTGCCTATAAAAAAAAAAGGTGATATCCTTCTGCAGGGCAAAATTCATCCAACTAAATGTGGTAAGTTTGTCATTTGGCACTGTTGTGACGAACCCTGCAGACAGTAAAATGTTGACACTTTCTAGATGGTTTTGTTCTTTCTTTTTTCCCCTGTTTTATTATTGTTTTTCTTAAAGACATCATTGAAGTATTCACTGTCAGTCTTATCACTGCAGAGCTTGAGCCTGTTTGGACACACATGAAAGTAGAAGTCCAATAAATACAAATCAAATTATCAAAGAACAATTGATTTGCTTTTTCTTCACTCTAGTCCAAATCTAGAACAATCCTGGATGTTTTAGGACTGTTTTTCTTGCTCAAAACATTTTATGAAATAGCCTGACCACCTCTTCAGAAGCCTCTCTCAATCTATTGCTTGTTGAGACTATCATAAGCACTAAGCTTTCTCCTAAACATTTATAGGTATAAATTCATTAATATGCTTGACAACCTTATGAAGTAGGAGCCCTTATTCTCTGCATCCCACAGGTGAGGCAACTGAAGCACAAAGAAGTTAAGTTACATTTCAAGTGAGGATATTACAAACATAGCTTCCTTGGGGAGCTTACAGTCTACTGGGGATATAGAATGAAACAAAACCCATGTAAAGATTTTTAAACAATATAAATGAGAAAATACTTTGGACCCTGTTGGACAAGTCATTTATCTCCTTTTGGTTGCAGTTTCTTCACATAGCTAATAAATGGCAGAGCTAGAATCTGAACTTGGGTGTTCAGATTCACTTTGGCTTCAGAGCCCAATATTGTAATCATTATGCTATACTATCTGCTAGTTTATGGCCTGTTTTTGTTCTTTTGCTGCCTGCCTGCAGGCAACAAGTATTTGTGTTGCCTAGGCTCCTGCTATTTTTACCTACAGGATCTGCAGGTGCCCAATGCGCCCCTGTCTTCTCAGCTCTTTGCATTCTTGCAGATCCCAGGAACACCCATGACCCTTGGCTTAAGGACATGGACAACAAGGTGAAAAAATTAGGATAGTGGCTCTGGAATCTTTTGTGCGTGTGTATGGTAAAATACATATATAACATAAAATTTGCCATTTTAACCATTTTTAAGCATATAATTCGGTGGCATTAAGTATATTCACATGCAACCATCACCACCATCTACCTCCAGAACTTTGTTTTCCCCAACTGAAACTTTGTATTCATTAAACACAAACTTCCCATTCCCTCTCCCTCTAGCCCTTGGCAACCACTCTACTTTCTGTCTTTATGAATTTGACTACTTTAGGAACCTCATATAGGAGGAATCATACAATATTTGTCTTTTTGTGACCGACTTATTTCACTTAGCATAATATCTTCAAGGTTCATCTGTGGTGTACGTCGGGTCAGAATTTCCTTCCTTCATGAAGGCTGAGCGATGCTTCATTGCATGTATAGACCACATTTTGCTTATCTATTCAACTGTCTATAGATATGTAGGTTGCTTCCACATGTTGGCTATTGTGAACAATGCTGCTGTGAACAGGGGTGCACAAATATCTCTTTGAAACTCTGCTTTCACTTCTTTATTTTTTAAATTTTATTTCGAAACAGGGTTTTGCTCCATCACCCAGGCTGGAATGCAGGAATGGAAACATGGCTCACTGCAGCCTCAACCTCCTGGGCTCAACTGATCCTCTCGCCTTAGCCTCCTGGGTAGCTGGGACCACAGGTATGTGCTGCCACACCTGGCTTGTTCATTTATTTATTTTTAAACTTTGAGACAGGGTCTCATCTGTCACCCAGGCTGGAGTACAGTGGTACTAATGTGATTTCACTTATTTTGGATGAATACCCAGAAGTGGAATTACTGGCTCATAGGGTAATCCTATGTTTAACATTTTTTTCCTTGAGACTGGGTCTTGCTATGTTGCCCAGGGTGGACTCAAACTCCTGGGTTCAAGTGATCCTCCTGCCCTAGCCTCCCAAGTAGCTGGGATTACAGGGGCGCCTATGTTTAACTTTTTGAGGAAATGCCAAACTGTTTTCCACCATGGCTGCATCAATTTATATTCCTGGCTGGGCGCAGTGGCTCACGCCTGTAATCCCAGCATTTTGGGAGGCCAAGGCAGGTGGAACACTTGAGCCCAGGAGTTTGAGACTAGCCTGGGCAACAGGGTGAAACCCTGTCTCTACAGAAAATGCAAAGATTGGCCGGGCATGGTGGCGCATGCCTGTAATCCCAGCTACTCTGGAGGCTGGGGCATGAGAATTGCTTGAACCCGGGAGGCGGAGGTTGCAGTGAGCCGAGATTGCACCACTGCACTCCAGCCTGGGTGACAGAGCGAGATCGTCTCAAAGAAAAACAAAAAACAAAAACAAAATACATTCCCACCAGCAATGCATAAAAGTGCTAATTTCTCCGCATCTTTGCCAAAACTTGTTATTTTCTGCCTTTTAAAAAAATAACAGCAGCTGGGCGCCGTGGCTCACGCCTGTAATCCTAACACATTGGGAGGCCAAGGCAGGGGGAATGACTGAGCTCAGGAGTTTGAGACCAGCCTGGACAACATGGCAAAACCCCACCTCTACTAAAAATACAAAAAATTAGCTGGCCATGGTGGTGCGCGCCTGTAATTCCGGCTACTTCAGAGGCTGAGGTACAAGAATTGCTTGAACCTGGGAGGCAGAGGTTGCAGTGAGCTGAGATCGCACCACTGCACTCCAGTCTGGGCGACAGAGTGAGATTCTGTCTCAATAAATAAATACATACATACATAAATAGGGTATGAATTGGTATCTCATTGTGGTTTTGATTTGCATTTCCTTAATGACTACAGAGATTGAACATCTTTTCATGTGCTTATTAGCCATTTGTATATCTTCTTTGAAGAAATGTCTATTCAAGTCCTTTGCCTTTTTTTTTTGAGACAGGGTCTCACTCTGTCACCCAGTCTGGAGAGCAGTGATGTGATCTTGGCTTACTGTAGCCTCCAATTCCCAGGCTGAAGTGATCCTTCCACCTCAGTCTCATGAGTAGTTGGGATTACGGGCACACACGACCATGACCAGCTAATTTTTAAATTTTTTGTAGAGATGAAGTCTTACTGTGTTGCCCAGGCTGGTCTCAAACTCCTGGACTCAAGCAATCCTCCTGCCTTGGCCTCCCAAAGTGCTGGAATTACAGGCATGAGCCATAGCACCCAGTCTTATTGCTGAGTTTCTGGAATCTTTGAGAGCTTTCTTATCTCTAGAAGTCTTTGTGGGTTTGGAAATATGTCAGTGAGGTCTTCTCAGCCTCTGGGCTGGCTGTTGTCAGGACCTCTGTGTCTGTAGGATGAAGTAGCCAGAGCTTTTCATTCAGTCTTTCAGGTTAATTAATCAAGTCATTCATTAATTGTATCTTTATCCAAAAAATCACCCTTTGGCTATGTCAGATTTCCAGGCTAACACAAGAGTACAAACTGTATGGTTCTGTTTCTATGGAGATCAAAAACTGTCAAAGTTAATCTACGGCTGGGCGTGGTGGCTCATGCCTGTAATCCCAGCACTTTGGGAAGCCAAGGCGGGCAGATCACAAGGTCAGGAGATCGAGACCACGGTGAAACCCCGTCTCTACTAAAAATACAAAAAATTAGCCTGGCGTGGTGGTGGGTGCCTGTAGTCCCAGCTACTCAGGAGGTTGAGGCAGGAGAATGGCGTGAACCCGGGAGGCAGAGCTTGCAGTGAGCCGAGATTGTGCCACTGCACTCCAGCCTGGGCGACAGAGCGCGACTCCATCTCAAAAAAAAAAAAAAAGTTAATCTATGGTGCTAGAAGTCAGAATAATGGTTACATCTGGGGGAGCAGGTATTTATTAGAAGAGAACATACAAAAGAGAACAAAAGGGAACTTTCTGGGTTGATAGATCTATAACTTGATCTAGGTGGTGGTAACACAGGAATGTAGGCAAAAAAATTATTAGATATACACTTAATAGTTTTTCATTTTATTGTATATAAATTATATTTCAGTTTTTAAAAGTTAAAATAAAAAGCTTCAGAAAAGTTTTTTTTTCCAGGATATTTTAAATTTATTTGGTGTTAATTTCATAGGCTCAAAGGTCTAAGGTGCCCCCCTGTTGCGGTTGCCTGTGGTTCTCTTTGCTCCTGTCTGCCCTCTTGGGCCCAATACCTAGTATTGTGCTTAGGATTCACAAACGCAACAAATACTTACTGAGCACCTACTCTGTGCCAGGTGCTGTGCTATATGCTGAGAAAACAATGTTAAACAAGATGGATAAGGTTTTCTTCCTTATGGTGTCCATAGTCTAGTGGCAAAGACAGGTAATAATGACTCAGTGTATTCTACTAAGGACAAGCATATCGTGCTAAGAAAACCTGTGTGGGAATGGGTCAGGGAAGGTATCCTTGGAGTAGCCCCGTTTGAACTGGGATCTGAAGACTGAGAGTTATCTAAGTGGGGAGAGCATTGCAGGCAGGGGGATCAGCATGTGCAAGGGTTCTCAGAAAGGAGGGAGAACAATGTGTAAGAAATATCACTGTAGTTGCAACCCAGAGAAAGGGGAAGAGGGCCCTAAGATAAATCTAGAGATGTGGGGAGGCCAACATTTATTTGGTCTTTATCTTTTTTTTAGAGACGGAGTCGCGCTCTGTCGCCCAGCCTGGAGTGCAGTGGCGCGATCTCGGCTCACTGCAAGCTCCGCCTCCTGGGTTCACACCATTCTCCTGCCTCAGCCTCCCGAGTAGCTGGGACTACAGGCGCCTGCCACCACGCCCGGCTAATTTTTTGTATTTTCAGTAGAGACGGGGTTTCACCGTGTTAGCCAGGATGGTCCGATCTCCTGATCTTGTGATCTGCCCGCCTCGGCCTCCCAAAGTGCTGGGATTACAGGCGTGAGCCACCGCGCCCGGCTTGGCCTTTATCTTAAGAGCAATGTAGAGCCATCAGATTTTTTTTTTTTTTTGAGACAGGGTCTCACTCTATTGCCCAGGCTGGAGTGCAATGATATGATCTTAGCTTACTGCAGCCTCAACCTCCCAGGCTCAGGCAATCCTCCCACCTCAACCTCCAAAGTGGCTGGGGCCACAGGTGTGCAGCACCATGCCTGCTATGTTTTTGTCTTTTGTTGTCTTTTTGAGACACGGTTTCCCTTTGCCACCCAGGCAGGAGGGCAGTGGTGTTATCTCGGCTCACTGAAGCCTCCACCTTCCAGCTCAAGTGATTCTTGCCTCATGCCTCAGCCTCCCGATTAGCTGGGACTACAGGTGTGCACCACCATGCCCAGCTAATTTTTGTATTTTCAGTAGAGATGGGGTTTTGCCATGTTGCCCAGACTAGTCTCGAACTTCTGAGCTGACGTGATCCACCCACCTCGACCTCCCAAAGTGCTGGAATTATAGGCATGAGCCACTGAGCCCAGCCATTTTTGTATTTTTTGTTGAGACAGCGTTTGCCATGTTGCTCAGCCCGGTCTTGAACTCCTGGGCTCAAACAATCCACCTGCCTCAGCCTCCCAAAGTGTTGGGATTACAGGTGTGAGCCACTGCACCTGGCCATCAACAGATACTTTTAAGTAGAGTAGTGACATGATCATATTTCTGATCATTAGAAACATTACTCTGACAGCAGGGTGGAGAATAGATTAGAGGGCGGTCAGGGTAATGTGAAAAGATGGTGGGTATCTACTACACCAGTCCAAGCACACTGTGTGTACTCAATAAATATTGATGGAATGAAAGGGTTCCTGACTCCCTTTCTTCTATGGGATCAGTAGGACTGATTTGTTTAATTAGTTTACAATCCACCTGCTCATCCTCTATCTCCTGGGATGCTCAGAACAGACCCCAACTCCCATTTTACAGATGAAGATGCTCAAGTTCAGAGAGGCAAGGACAGCTATCAAGAGCGAAAGCCAAAGAGAGCTGCCATACAATCCAGCAATCCCATTCTTAGGTATACACCGGAAAGAAAGGAAATCAGTGTATGGAAGAGATCTGCACTCTCATGTTTACTGCATCCCTGTTCACAACAGCCAAGATTTGGAAGCAACCTAAGTGTCCATCAACAGATGAATGGATAAATAAAATGTACATATACACAATGGAATACTATTCCGCCATTAAAAAAGAGTGAGATCGTGTCATTTGCAACAATATGGATGGAACTGGAGGTCATTATGTTATGTGAAAGAAGCCGGGCACAGAAAGACAAACTTCACATGTTCTCACTTATTTGTGGGAGCAAAAAATTAACTATTTTTTATTTTTTTTTGAGACGGAGTCTCACTCAGCCACCTAGGCTGGAGTGCAGTGGCGCGAGCTAGGCTCACCGCAACCACCATCTCCCAGGTTCAAGAGATTCTCCCGTCTCAGCCTCCTGAGTAGCTGGGATTACAGGCACCCGCCATCATGCCCACCTAGCTTTTGTATTTTAGTAGAGACAGGGTTTCACCATGTTGGCCAGGCTGGTCTTGAACTCCTGACCTCAGGTGATCCGCCCATCTTGGCCTCCCAAAGTGCTAGGATTACAGGCGTGAGCCACCATGCCGGGCCAGGAGCGAAAAATTAAAACAATTGAACTCATGGAGATAGAGAATAGAAGGAGGGTTACCAGAGGCTGGTAAGATTAATGGGGAGGTAGGTGGGAAGTGGGAATGATTAACGGGTACAAAAGAATAGTTAGAAAGAATAAGACCTAGTATTTGCTAGCACAAGAAGGTGACTACAGTAAAAAACAATTGGCCGGGCGCGGTGGCTCACGCCTATAATCCCAGCACTTTGAGGGGCAGAGGCGGGCGGATCATGAGGTCAGGAGTTCCTGACCAGCCCGGCCAATATGGTGAAACCCCATCTCTACTTAAAAAATATACAAAAATTAGCTGGGCGTGGTGGCATGCGCCTGTAGTACCAGCTACTCAGGAGGCTGAGGCAGGCGAATCCCTTGAACCAGGGAGGCGGAAGTTGCAGTGAGCTGAGATCGCGCCACTGCACTCCAGCCTGGGCGACGGAGTGAGACTCCGTCTCAAAAAAACAAAAATAAAACAAAAAACAAAAAAAAAACCACACACACACAAAATTTACTTGTACATTTTAAAATAACTAGAGTATAATTGGGTTATTTGTAACACAAAGGATAAATGCTTGAGTTGCTAGATACCCCATTTACCATGATGTGATTACACATCGCATGCCTGTATCAAAATCTCATGTACCCCATAAATATATTCACCTACTACGTACTTACGAAAATTTAAAAAATACATCAGTGTAGTGTGGGAAAAAACAGAAAATTTTTAAAAAAGAGTGAAAGCCAGATATGAATCCAGGCCTGTATGACAGACATGAAGTCCAGTGCTGAGGAGGCCTTTCTACGTTTGGGAAGAGGGGAGGGGCCACACTCGTTCGATCAATAATTCTATTTACTGAGCATTTTAGCTTGCTAGGGAGGTAATGATGGGAAAAAGAAGAGAGGGATTTAGAGGCAAATAATAATGAAAGCTTTTATCTATATCCCATTAAGCTTATTATTAGACAGTATGTGTCAGGCACGGTGACAAGTGCTTTCCAAGCCCACCTCCATTTGCTCTTCACAAGCACTATGATTTTCCCCATATTTCAGATGGGTAAACTGAGGCTTGGAGTTGCCATGTCCAAGGATACTCAGAGCGCTCGCAAAAGACTGTGCAATGTGTGCTTCCGAAGTGGGACTCACTGGCGAGAGAATAGCCCTGGAAAGCCGACAGAGACCCACGAGATCCCAGCACTAAGCACTCAGCACCGAAGGGAGCTGGCGCGCGCTCCACCTCGCGCTCCCGGGGACGTCTGGTCACGTGGGCAATGCCCCGCCCCTCGAGTCCGCCCCGCCCCCTCTCGCGCTCCCTCCCTCTCTCCCTCCCTCCCCCTCCCTCCCCGGCCCGGTCCGGCCCATCCCCCTCCCCGCCGGCTCCGTGAGGCCCTGCCGGGTCGGGCTGCGGGCGGCCGGGCGCGGGCGGCGGGACAGACGGGCGCACGCGAGGACTGACGGACGGACGCACCGAGGGCGGCGGGCACGCACGGCCCGGGCCGGCGCTCCAAGGCCCGCCCGGGAGGGCCGGGGCCGCGCTCAGGTGAGGGGACGGCGGCGCGGGCCCGTAAGGGGTGGGCCCGCCGGGCGTCCGCGGTCCTTGTCGGGCTGGCTTCGCGGGGAGGAGGCGCCGCCCGGGCCCGCGCGGAAAAATGGCGCCGGGCGACCGAGTGGCACGGTCTGAGAGCGGGCCCGGCCCGGAGCCGCCCCGCCCGCCGCGCTTGTGTCCCCGTCGCCATGTTGGGGAGCGGGCCCCAGGCCTGCGGGCGGGGGCGCTGGAGGGAGCGGCGGCCGGGCTGGGTGGGGAGGGTGCTGGGCGCGGGGGCCGGTGCACTGAGGGAGTGCAGGGCTGGCCGGGGTCTGCACGGGGTGGCGCTCCAGGCCTGGGGAACAGGCGGGAGCCGGTCGTGGGGTCGTGGTCAGGGTCGCGGAGAAGGAACACTGGGTCCGAAGGGAACCGGGATTGGGGTCTATGGGCTGAGAGGATGGCAGGACGTGGAACTGGGTTAGGCCTTAGGCGGTGTTAGAGCCCTAATGCAGGTAGGACCTGGGGATTGGGGTGGAGGCATGGGGGCCAAGCTCAGGCTGTCAGGGCTGGAGCAGTTCTTTGCTGGGAGGGAAGGAGGTGATTGATGAGGAATGAGGGCCCTTTGGGTACAGACGCTGGTTCAGATTGGGGCAGTCCTTGGGGTACTGGGGCTGAATTGCAAAGCTGTATAACTCCCAAGGCTCTGAAGACTTATGTCCCAAGCATCCTCCACCCCCTCTTGGGGGAAGCAACAGGAAAAAGGAGGTGTTTGATGAGAGAAAAGGGGGACAAAGGGAGACTGAGGTTTGGGTGCAGGAGCTGGCCAGCAAAAGAGGCACAGAGAGTGGAACTGGTTGGCAAGGAAGGAGAGAACCTTTATCAACTTAGGGAGTTGTGTGTGTCTTTAAAAGGAGGGACCTGGCTGTTTGGGGGCGGTGACCCAAGGTGTCTTCCCTGGAAGGGGACAGCCCACAGCTTAAGAGCAGAGTCACCTGGAGAGGTCATCAGAAAGGCGTTATTGAAGCCAGTAAAATGGTGAAGAAGAGTGAATGTATAAAAACTACAAAGGCCTGAGAGATCAAGTAAAGATTTCAAATCAGGTAGTGATTTTAGCTGAAACATAGAAAGGTAAAGTTGACTTTTCAAGATCTTACAAGTTAGTGGCAGAGGGGTACTAGAAATTGTCGGCTGCTTCCTCACTAAACACATTGCCTTAAAGGAATTTGCTAGCTGGGAGAAAGGTGTTAAGAAATGAAGCATAACATTCTTGTGATGAAACTAAAAGCAAACAAACAAAAACAACAAGAAATGAAGCATAACAGTATATACCAGATAACTATTAAATTTGTTTTCTTCCTGTAATGAGTGTGGCAATACAAAGGCTGAAGGGAATACAAAAAAGTATAGGCAGCCAGTTATTTGGTATTTCCTGGTTCATCTCTAATTGTGCAAAGAAGTTATCTTTGAGACCTTCTAACTTTCTAGAGTTTTAAGAGGTGCTCCGGCCAGCCACAGTGGCTCACGCCTGTAATCCCAACACTTTGGGAGGCCAAGGTGGGAGGATTTCTTGAGCCCAGGAGCTGGCAGACCCCATCTCTACAAAAGAAATAAAAAAAATTAGCCACCTGATGTGGCTTGTACTTGTAGTCCCAGCTACTCAGGAGGCTGAGGTGGGAGGATCGCTTGAGCCTGGGAGGTCAAGGCTGCAATGAGCCATGCTATGGTCATTCCATGACATTCCTGCCTGGGCGACAGAGCAAGACACTGTCTAAAGAAAAAAAAAAAAGAGAGATGCTCCTTCTCTTCTAGGTGTTTACCACAAAGGAACACAAAATCCTAAAAAAGAAAAGTGAAAAATTGTAGACACCCAGAGTCTCTATTTTATTAATTGAAGTTGGATCATGTTAGAGAAGAATTCAAAGTTCGCATGGGCTATGGGAGAGTTCTGAAGGAAATATGCAAATTAGTCATGGAAAATAGGTCCAGGGCCCCATATAATCAAAGAGAATTAGCGAACAAAAATATTATGCGGGCATATATAAAATAAAACTGTCAATACCATATGTATATACAGCAACACAATTCATTTGTTCTGGGTTTTTCTTTTCTTTTCTTTTCTTTTTTTTCTGTTTGTAGAGTTGGGGTTTCAACATGTTGCCCAGGCTGGTCTTGAAATCCTGAGCTCAAGTGATCTGCCCACCTGAGCCTCCCAAAGTGCTGGGATTACAGGCGTGAGCCACCGCGCCCAGCCTATTCTGGGTTTTTCTAATGCAGGAAGACCTGACCTTATCTGTGCCATGGACCCCTTTCAGAATAATATTTTTTAATTGTATAAAATAAAGTACATTGAATTATAAGGAACACCAATTATATTAAAATACAGTTTCCAAAATATACAAATCTAATATGCATATACTTGTTTATCAGCACGTTAAGAAATCAGATTTAGTGATGGATCCGATAATTATAATTTCAAAGACATGATGCGCATAAAGGCTACTTCAAGATTATATGCAACAATTGTAGTATGATATAAAGATATTTGAGATTTCTGTTGTTACAGAGTCACAGAACTGCTAATACTAGAATGGTATGTTACCTACACTCATATTTGAATAGAATGGTAATTTTCAGTTAAAAGTTAGTAAAAGAGATTTTTTTCTCCCTGTCCAAGTTCACAAGCCCCACTGAAGTCCTATCTATAGACTCCTGTCTATGAACCCCAGGTTAAGAAACCCTACTCCTACTGCCAGGCATGTCTTCCATTCAGCAAACGTTTACTGTGCCTCAAGGCATCTACTGCATATCAAGCATTATACTGGGCTCTGTAGCTTCAGAAGTTTTTAAGGCAGAGTCACTTCACTTTGGGTATGCAGCCCCATGAGTGAAGTAGACATGTGAACAATCATAGTTCAGGATGGTCGATGCCAAAGAAGAGTTATTAAACGCTATAAGGACACGGAGATGGGTGTGTCTGCTCAAAGAATCAGGGAAGGTGTTGCGAAGGGGTGACATTTGAGATGTGTCCTAAAAGATACAGGAATTTGCCAGTGAAATGGAGAGAAGGGCCTTTCAGGTAAAGACACGTTTTCAGGGAATGTATTAATAACTGAATGTGGCTGGAGCATAGAATGTGTGTGAAAGCATGGCCAGAGATGAGACTAGGAAGACCATGTTAGGAACCTGGTTGTGAAGGACCTTGCTAAGGAGTTTGGACTGAATCCTTAGCTGAGAGAGGCATTCAAGATCTTCGAGAAGGGGAGTATGTGGTGGAGGTTTAATTTCTAGGAGATAAATGGATGTTCTTTGGAAGGAGGGTAGACTGAAGACCAGAGAGGTAATGAGGATCTGAACTAAGGCAGAGACTGTGGGCACTGAGCAGAGTTAGAAGTAATGAGGATCTGAACTAAGGCAGAGACTGTGGGCACTGAGCAGAGTTAGAAGTAATGAGGATCTGAACTAAGGCAGAGGCTGTGGGCATTGAGTGGAGTTAGAATTTGCAGGTGTTGATTATTGACATTGTGAGTGGCTTAGGGGGAGTTTTTTAAATTTCTGGTTTGGGGTGGTGTCTGTCAAAGAGGTTTAAAAAAGTGAAAGGAAGTCTGGGCGTGTTGGCTCACGCCTGTAATCCCAGCACTTTGGGAGGCCGAGGCGGGCGGATCACGAGGTCAGGAGATCGAGACCATCCTGGCTAACATGGTGAAACCCCATCTCTACTAAAAATACAAAAAATTAGCCGGGCGTGGTGGCGGGCGCCTGTAGTCGCAGCTACTCGGGAGGCTGAGGCAGGAGAATGGTGTGAACCCGGGAGGCGGAGCTTGCAGTGAGCCGAGATCGCACCACTGCACTCCAGCCCAGGCAACAGAGCGTGACTCCGTCTCAAAAAAAAAAAAAAAAGTGAAAGGAAAATGAGGGGAGAATTCTCATTGATAATAAGGGCGAAAAGGTTTTTTTGGCAGAGTAATAGAGTTTTGGAAACCATTGCAAAGCTGTCAAGTGTGGTGTAGTTTTTGGTTAAGGAAATCAGAGGTGTCAGCAGACATAAAAGACAGGGGAAAACATGGGAAGTGTCCTACCTATAGTGTAGAAAAAGCACAACTATCTATGTCAGAGGTCGACAGACTGTGGTCCATAGGTCAAATCTGGCCCACGATCTGTTTTTGTAAATAACGTTTTATTGGAACATAGCCACACTCATTTATTTATATATTGTCCATATCTTCTTTTGTGGTACCAATAGCAGAGTTGAGTAGTCGTGACAGAGATGTGTTGTGTCAGCTCACAAAGCTGGAAATACTCTTTACAAAAACATTTGCCAACCCCTGATCTATGTGTTTGAGTGTTGGATGTTCAACCTCTAATTTGCCATCCAATGTCTATATGATGATAGAGAATGAATAAACGTCTTGGCTCTGCCCTTTGGGCTGGATTACCCATGCTCTGTGTACCTGCAGCATAACACAGACCCCTGAATATTTATATCAGTCAGTGATGGCAAGGTCTATTGTTCTGGAGTGTACTGTGTGGTAACTGTGGTAGTGCCAGCTTTACACGGATTAGATAATGCTCGGGCTTGTTTTGCCATTTTTTTTATTGGGTTGTCTTTTACAAAAGATTTATTTATATATTCTGATTATTAATCCTTTGTTGTTGGTAGATATTACAGATGTCATTTCCCAGTTTCTTGCTTATTTTAATTTTTTTTTTTTTTTTTTTGAGATGAAGTCTTGCTCTGTCGCCCAGGCTGGAGTGCAGTCGTGCCATCTCAGCTCATTGTAACCTCCGTCTCCCAGGTTCAAGTGATTCTCTTGCCTCAGCCTCCCAAGTAGCTGGGACTACAGGCATGTGCCACCACACCTGGCTGATTTTTGTGTTTTTAGTAGGGATGGGGTTTCATCATGTTGGCCAGGCTGGTCTCAAACTCCTGACCTCAAGTGATCCACCCGTCTTGGCCTCCTAAAGTGCTGGGATTACAGGTGTGAGCCACTGCGCCTGGCCTGTTGCTTATTTTAAAACATCTGTTTTAAGGTGTCATTTGTTAAAAAGTTCTGAATTTTAGTATCAACTTTATCAATCTTTTCCTTTAAGATTTGCAGTTATTCTTTGTTTTGAGGCAGGGTCTCGCTCTGTCACCGAGGCTGGAGTGCAGTGGTGCGATCTCGGCTCACTGCAGCCTCAACCTCCTGGGCTCAAGCAACCCTCCCACCTCCCATGCCAGTTGAGACCACAGGCATGCGCCACCATGCCCTGCTACTTTTTGCATTTTTTGTAGAGGCGGGGTTTCGCCATGTTGCCCAGGCTAGTCTGGAACTCCTGAGCTCAAGCAGTCCACAAAGTGCTGGGATTACAGGTGTGAGCTACTGTGCCCAGCCTGCAATTATTCTTTATATTCTGGAATACCTACTGTTGTTTTCAATGGTTAGATCTTTAATGTATCTGGAATGGATTCTTATGTGTAGTGTAAGGTCGGGTCCAGTTTCATTTTTTTTCCCTATGTATAACCAGTGATCCCAGCATCATTTATTGAATGGGGCTTGCTTTCAAATTGTGAGCTCTTTTTGGTGGAGTCTGTCTCAGGTCCTTATTAAGCACTGCTGCTTGCTGATTGTGTGACCTTGGACAAATAAAACCTCATTGCGCCTCAGTCTTTAAGGATAATAGTAATCTCATAGGGTTTTGTGAGGATTAAATGAGTCAATATACATAACGTGTAAAACAGTGCTTGGCACCTAGAACATGCTCAATAAATATTAGCTGTACTTTAGCACTACTGTTCATTTCTGATTCCTCAGCACCTGGTACAGAGCAGGGGCTCATTTTGCTCAATTAAATTGCCAAATTAATTTGGTTTTCAGGTCAATCAGAATGGTGAGAGTTGGGCTGAGTGTTGCAGGAGATGCTTCCAAGGAGCTACTTAGTTTTAGGGGCTGCCTTAGATTATCTGCTAGGATAGAACTCTTCTCACGCCATCACTTTTGCAGAGAACTTCTGTAGCAGAGGTTGCAAACTGGCAACCTGTGGTTGGATTTGACCTGTATAAGTATTTTGTTTGGTTTACACAATATTTTTAATGTCTTAAAAATGTACACAGACCTCTGAGTTTCTGACTTAACCTTGAAAAATTGGAAGATCTGTCAACAGCAAGCCCATATTCATTTATAGCGGTAACCAGCTGAAACTTTTAGGTGAGATGTGTTTCCTAGTTCTCCATAGTCTGCCTTGCTGTCTTGCTTTGCTCTTTATTTTTATGGCCCTGCAGACATTTAATTTTCTGATTCTTACTTTATTGAGGTATTGAATATTGTCTCCCCCAAACCAGTAAATGACATATTGGGATGGTGGGGGGGATGGCCAGAAATTGACAGATGAGTTTGTGGGCAAGTAAATACTAAAACCTATTTCTAAGGATGAGCCATACTTGATCATAATGAATAGAATGATAAATGAAATTAAAAGATGAGGTGAAATTCAGCTTAGCTCCTTGAATATTTAGGCATCTACTATGTATTAAGTACTGTATTAGAAATTACCACATTGGTGATAGAAAATTAGCTGGCCAGCTTTATGAAATACTGTAGAAGAACTCTTTTTACTTGTATTGTGGAGCTGTTGTCTAAGAGAGTGGTTGGACGAGAAAGGAAATATAGGTATTATTTTCTCAAACATTTGTTGAGCCCTACCATGTATTCTGGAAACTGGCTAGAACTCTGCAAGATACCAAGATGAATCTAGCCAAGGTTTCTATGCTGAGGAATGTCTGTAATGTGTTATGGAGCTGGGATACTAGAGAATGGTACCTGAAAGAGGTGGTCTGTGAACGAAGCTGCCAAGAATAGTTAGTATCTTAATACTTGGAGATGAGACAGTGCTGTATTTTCCAGGCTGAGTGAAAGCATAAACACAGAGGTGGGTATTTAGGAGATGGTAAAGAGTCCACTTTGCTTGGAGAAGAGGATTGTTATAAGGGTGTTGTTGGAATTAAGGGTGGAAATGGAGATGAACAATAGTAACAATAATAGATAAAACCTAAAATAAATAAAACTTAAAAAAATTAATAGTAGTAGTGGCTTTTCTTTCCCCCCAGTGTTCTTTGGGTAGGGTTTTTTTGTTTTGTTTTGTTTTGTTTTTAAATAGAACCAGGGTCTTACTCTGTTGCCCAGGCTGGAGTGCAGTGGCGTGATTATAACTCATTGCAGTCTTTAATTCCTGGGCTCAAGTGATCTCCTGCCTTGGTCTCCCAAATTGCTAGGATTATAGGCACAAGCCATATGCCTGGCCAATGGCTCACATTTTTTGCATGCTTACTATTTGCAAGATAATGTGCTAAGTATTTCATAAGTAGCATTTTATTTAATCCTTACAACAACCTGATGAGGTAGGCACTGGTTTTTAATCCCTTTTTACATATAAAATGAAGAAGAGAGCTAACAATTGATACAGAAAGTATTTGAGTCCAGGTAGTCTAATTTCAAAGCCTGCCTTCCTAATCTCTGCATACCATATAATCAAATCATGGAAGGCTTTGAATACCCATTTCTATTCCAAGCTGGGAAGTTTGAACTTGATTGACTAGGTAGTGGGAAGTCATCAAATGTTTTTCGCCAGTGATGTGATGAAAGCTGTACGTTAGGAAAGGAAGCCTGATTGTGAAGTGTAGGATCAGCATGGGGAGAAAGGAGAGATATGGAGCTAGTTTACTCTCTTACTTCTCACTAGATTGGGTGAGTGCTCCTTTAGGACTGGGCTGGTGTCTGTCTCTGCCTTCCCCCTTCCCTCCCTTCAGCTCCAGTGTCTGCCTATTTTGATGTCTGGTATATTCATTTATTTTTTTAAATGTGATCTTTTTCTACCTCACCTTATTCTAAAAAGGACATAAAGTAGCTGCCTAGGAGCTCAATAAACATTCTGAGTTAATTAGTAAATAACTAGAGTTACATTTAGATGTATACACAAATGAAATACTATGGCTTTGATGGAAGGAGGAATGCAGCCCTAGAGTTGGTCATATGCTTTATTTGATATACAATCTCTATAAAGCAGAAGGCCAGGACCATACCTTTACTTTGTGATGAATTGTGTATTCTATGTCAGTTATAATATTCATTATCAGTTAATAAATTAACTATATCAGTTAATATTAATGAGCACCAAATTCAGAGGGCATTCATACTTTAAACAGATATTTCAGTTTGTATTTAGCATTAACCAGCTGCAACCCCTCCCCCTCCGTCACACACACAAAGGCAACAAAAGTTCCCATTAATCAGCTCCTTTACTGATATTGAATCTGTTGAATATCAGTTCCGTAGTACCCATTTATATACATTTTCTTTTGCTTTTGCTTTTGCTTTTTTGTGTGTGTGTGTGATGGAGTCTCACTCTGTTGCCCAGGCTGGAGTGCAGTGGTGAGATCTTGGCTCATTGCAACCTCCGCCTCCTGGGTTCAAGTGATTCTCCTGTCTCAACCTCCTGAGTAGCTGGGACTACAGGCAACTGCCACCACGCCCAGCTAATTTTTTTGTAGTTTTAGTAGAGATGGGGTTTGACCATATTGGTCAGGCTGGTCTCGAACTCCTGACCTTAGGTGATCCACCTGCCTCGGCCTCCCAAAGTGCTGGGATTACAGGTGTGAGCCACTGCACCCAGCTGCTCTTTTTTGTTTGTTTGTTTGTTTGTTTGTTTTTGGAGACAGCATCTCACTCCCTTGCCCAGGCTGGAGTGCAGTGGTGCAAACTTGGCTCACTGCAACCTCTGCCTCCCAGGTTCAAGTGATTCTCCTGCCTCAGCCTCCCAAATAGCTGGCTCATACCTGTAATCCCAACACTTTAGGAGGCCAAGGTGGGTGGATCACTTGAGTTCAGGAGTTTGAGACCAGCCTGGCCAACATGGTAAAACCCCATCTCTACTAAAAGTACAAAAATTAGCCAGGCGTGCTGGCATGTGCATCTAATCGCACCTACTTGAGAGGCTGAGCCTTCCATCAATTCTTGGTGCTCCTTGGCTTGTAGCTGCATCACTCCATCTTTGCCTCTGTTGTCACATGGCGTTTTCCCTGTATGTCTCTGTGTCCAAATTTCCCTTATAAGGTCACTAGTAGGTCCCACCCTACTCCAGTAGGAGTAACTTCATCTTAATTGATTACCTCTGCAGCGACTCTGTTTCCAAATCAGGTCACATTCTGAGGTACTGAGAGTTAAGACTAACATATTTGGCAGGGATGGGATTGGGGGGCACAAGTCAACACATAACAGGTAGTGTTTGAGATAACATAGAGGCATTAAATTAAAATTTATTAAAATGGAAGGGTAAGATTGCAACAAATGGGATTAAGGAGAGAGTAACCAAAGGAATGATGGACATAGGAAAATGTAAGGAATATTTAGGTAATGAAATAGTGAGAAGTCTGATTTGCTGGTTTGTTGAGGAGTTGTGGAGAAGTGAAGCCGACGTACTTTCTTGGGGCCCTGGATGCCAGGTCTAAGACATTTGAATGTTGCTGAGTGACCAGTGTGTGGGAGCAGGATGGCACTGCGGAATTTTGAAATGGTAGATAATTGATTCAAGCTTTGAGTAACTGAGTCAAGTTTTAGAGACATTCTAATATGATCAGGTGATCATGGATAAGTAAACACCCTGTAGAAAAACAGATGGTCAATGACAACACACCCAGCCTCCCTCATTTTCCTATGCCAGTAACTTTTGCCAGCACAATAAAGAAATCTCTCTTCTGTAAAACAACAAACTTTGAGGGTTTTGTTAGCCCTCTCTTCTTGGTGAGTCATCTGTGGGCATTGAGAGATACATCAGCTTTTCAGGGTCTCCATTCAAAAGCCTCCCCATGGATATTTCAGTGTTAATAGTCATGTCACACTTCATTTGATTTCAAACCATTCTTCAAAATTACCTCTTTTCCATCCTATTCTTTACCTCTTGGTTTTTCTTTGAAACTTCTTCAGTTTTTCCATAATTTAAAAAAATATTGGAAAGAATTGAGGAAAACTGAGTATTGTTTTAAAATAACAAATAGAATTGAGGAAGACTGGGTACTGTCCAGGCTAATGATATGCTCTTTTTCTGTGTCTTTTTATTTTTAAATTATTATTTAAAAAAAAAATAGAGTCTCGCTTTGTCACCCAGGCTGGAGTGCAGTGGTGTGATCATGGCTCACTGCTGCCTCAACCTCCCAGGCTCAAGCGATCCTCTTACCTCAGTCTCCTGAGTGAACACGTGGGACTACAGGTGTTCACCACCTCACCTGGCTTTTTTTTTTTTTGGGGTAGAGAATGGGTCTTCCTATGTTGCCCAGGCCAGTCTCAACCTCCTGGGTTTAAGCGATACTCTTGCCTCCCAAAATGCTGGGATTACAG
This sequence comes from Homo sapiens, assembly GCF_000001405.40. Classification (NCBI taxonomy): domain Eukaryota; kingdom Metazoa; phylum Chordata; class Mammalia; order Primates; family Hominidae; genus Homo; species Homo sapiens. The sequence goes on along the minus strand of NC_000020.11, from coordinate 34,815,119 downwards.
GCGTGTGCCACTGTGCTCAGCCTGTGTCTTTTTAATGGTAGCAATGTTGGCCTTGCCCAGGATAGTACTGTATTTAAATTGTGAATACTCATTTGAATTGTGGTCAGTAATAGCCCTCAGGTGCTTTCTTTATTTGTGCCCAGGCAGTTCTTCCTGATTTTATATTTGCATTGTTTATACTTTTTCTAATAGCACGTGTCCCCATGAAATTTTAAAAATTATGTTTAAGGCTGTACACTGTGGCTCACACCTGTAATTCCAGCACTTTGCAAGGCCAAGGCGGGTGGATCACCTGAGGTTAGGAGTTCGTGACCAGCCTGGCCAACATGGTGAAACCCCGTCTCTCCTAAAAATACAAAAATTAGCCTGGCGTGGTGGCGTGCGCCTGTAATCCCAGCTACTTGGGAGGCTCAGGCAGGAAAATTGCTTGAACCTGGGAGGCAGAGGTTGCGGTGAGCCAAGATCATGCCGTAGCACTCCAGCCTGGGTGACAAGAGTGAGACTCCGTCTCAAAAAACAAAAAAAAATTATGTTTAAATACCGCAAGTACATAACTTCTGAGTCATTTTCATATTCATACAGTCTTTACAAATTTAATTCATATAAAGGTTTTTTTAGTCTTTTTTCATTTGGCAATATATTGACGTACTTTTCTACACATCTGTATATTTATCATTTTTAATGGATATATGACAACCAAAGTCTAAAATACTCTGGTTATTTGGCATTTGGGTGATTTTCAGTTCGTTTTTATTTATATTTTACAATTTTTTTTTTCCCCAAGATGGAGTCTTACTCTGTCACCCAGGCTGGAGTGTAGTGGCGTGATCTCAGCTCACTGCAACCTCCACCTCCCAGGTTCAAGCAGTTCTCCTACCTCAGCCTCCTGAGTAGCTAGGATTACAGGCATGCGCCACCATGCCTGGCTAATTTTTGTATTTTCACGGGATTTTGTATTTCATGGGATTTCACCGTGTTGACCAGGCTGGTCTCGAACTCCTGACCTCGTGATCTGCCCGCCTCAGCCTCCCAAAGTGCTGGGATTACAGGAGTGAGCCACCATGCCCAGCCCTATTTTACAATTCTAAATTGTAGCGCTGTTACATCTTTTTATAAATCTTTTTTCTTCCAGTTTTTTTCTTAGAATATATTCCCTAAAATGATTTCATTAGGTCTGAGGCTATCACTTTTTAGCCACATTGTCAGATTATTCTTCAGAACAACTACCAGTTTATAGTGCCACTAGCTACTAGTTAAAATTGAATTTCATAAATTTTTTCTTCTAGTATAATAGCAGTTCTTCAGTTTTGTGGGCTTTTTTTGATATTTTAAATGTTTTATTAAAACTTTAAAACATAGAAAAAGCCCCAGGAATAATAGTACAGTGAACCACCCTTATACTCACCATCTATATTCAACATGTTGTCATATGTTTAATAATATGTTTATTATGTTAAACTTTTTAAAAATAAAGATATCATGATACTATGCCTTTAATATTTTAGCACACATCACCTGCAAGTAAGGATATTCTTCTACATAAACACAATACCATTATTAACACCTAACAAAACAGTAATTTCTTAATATTATCTAACATTAAGTCTGTAAGTTTCTCCAGTTGTCTCCAAAATGACCTTTTTTTTTTTTTTTTAAGACAGAGTTTCACTCTGTTGCCCAGACTGGAATACAGTGGTGCAGTCTCAGCTTACTGCAGCCTCTGCCCCGTGGGTTCAAGCGTTTCTCCTGCCTCAGCCTCCCAGGTAGCTGGGATTACAGGTGCCCGCCACCATGCCTGGCTAATTTTTATATTTTCAGTAGAGACAGGGTTTCACCATGTTGGCCAAGATGGTCTCGAACTCCTGACCTAAAGTGATCCACCCTCCTCGGCCTCCCAAAGTGCTGGGAATACAGGCGTGAACCACTGCACCCAGCCTATTTTTTTGTTTTTTTTTTTTCTGAGACAGTGTTTCACTCTTGTCTCCCAGGCTGGAGTGCAATGGCGTGATCTCGACTCACTGCAACCTCCTCCTCCCGGGTTCAAGCAATTCTCCTGCCTCAGCCTCCCTAGTAGCTGGGATTATAGGGGTGTTCCACCATTCCCAGCTAATTTTATATTTTTAATAGAGACAGGGTTTCACCATGTTGGCCAGGCTGGCCTCCAACTCCTGACCTCATTATAGGTGGTCTACCCACCTCAGCCTCCCAGTGTGCTGGGATTATAGGCATGAGTCACTGTGACCGGCCGTAATTTTTAAATTTTTTTTGTAGAAGTGGGGTCTCCCTATGTTGCCCAGGGTGGTCTCAAACTCGTAGGCTCAAGCAGTCCTCCTGCCTTGGCCTCCCAAGGTGCTGGGATTACAGGCGTGAGCTACCACGCCTGACCTCTTCTAGATTTTATTTCTGTTTTTGTATTATTCATTTGTAATTTTTTTTCTCTTTGTTGCAATTTGGGCACAGATTTATTTCTTTGTTTTTTTTATGTAACAACGTGGGAAAAATCTCACTGAGCCTCTGACTTACGGTTTATAATATGTTTATAATATGTGTTGGGATGAGTGGTTTTGGAAATCTCAAGTTTCATGTTTTACTAATTTATCTTTTGTTTCTTATACTAAGAAGTTAGGATTGAAGTTTAAAAATTAATGTTAATATTTCCTAATCCCTTAAATTGTCTATTATCCCTACCAAGAGCAAACCAGGGTTGTTGTATTGAAATGCCAATCACCTTGACAGGCATTTTGTTGATCCTTTCAGAGCATTAAGTTTCTCTGATTTGGCTGGAGAGCTGCACAAATTTTCCCTTGGGAGCCCCAGATCTGAGAATAAGCATGAAATAGTTTTTTTGTTGTTGTTTTTTTTTTTTTTAAGACAGAGTCTCCATCTGTCGCCACACTGGAGTGCAGTGGCGCAATCTCAGCTCACTGCAACCTCTTCCTCCCTGGTTCAAGAGATTCTCATGCCTCAGCCTCCCAAGTAGCTGGGACTACAGGCACATGCCACCACGCCCAGCTAATTTTTTTTTTGTATTTTTAGTAGGTACAGGGTTTCACCATGTTGGCCAGGCTGGTCTTGATCTCTTGACCTTGTGATCCTCCCACCTCGGCCTCCCAAAGTGCTGGGATTACAGGCATGAGCCACCGTGCCCGGCCACCATGAAATAGTTTTATAAGGACCTCATGAAAGGGTATAGGGAGGATGAAATTGGATCTTATAATAGTTATGCCTAGGCAAATTGTCTTTAACAGTGAGCATTTAACTGTTTATTTAGACACTTTAACAATGTCTTATAAGTTATCCTGAAACATTTAAGGTTGTGTGGTTACAAGGCCAACTTAATTTTTTAAATACTATAAGTGTAATATTCAGATGGAGGCATTCATGAAATAATGTTGTTTCAATTAACCATTCCACAGTCTTTTTGTTCTTGTATAGTAACTTCAGGAGCAGGAAAGTGCCTAGCAGAGTGCTAGTAGGCAGTTGGTAAAGGGTAGTCAAATAAATGCATCCATGGAAAGTTTTCAAATTACAGTAGATTATTAGAAATTAAGAAAGACTTCTGTTACATATTGAGAGATACATATTTCTCATAAAAATAACTCATGTTCTGTAAATCTGAAATTGATTCATAAAATGAAGTTTTTTAAATGCAGGCAAAAGAGTCTCATGATGATAAAGAATCAACAATGTTATTATTAGCCAACTGAGAGGGAGAGGTTGTTGCACCTAGACAACAGATCAGAGGTTTGCATTTGATACAAGCTGAAGAATATGCTTGTATTTATGAAGCAGGTGCCAGAGGAATTCTAGTATTTTTATTTTACAAAGCTACTTTAAACATATTTGAATAGAGATAATCATTTGTAAAATGCATTTTGAAAGCATATATATATATATATATATATATATATATATATACACGTTGTTGTTGTTGTTGTTAAATAGTCCTTGAGTTTTCTTAAACCTGGAAGGAACCTGAGATTCTGTTTAGTCCTAGCTCTGGTGTTCATCCTCTCATTTTAATACTCTTAGACCAGAGAGATTTATGTCTTGCCCTAAATCATAAAACAACTTTATGGGACAGCCATGACTAAAACCCACTCTGCAATGCTCAGCCTAGCCCTTTTTCCGTTCTATCACCCTATATTTTCATATCAAAAATAATGCTAGTCTATCTGAATAGGTACACAGTTGATTTTACTACTAATAGTTTGACATATGTCTACATTGAAAGCATTTGAAAAAGGATATTGAGGTTAAGAAATGGTTGCACAGAGTCCGGGCACGGTGGCTCACACCTGTAATCCCAGCACTTTGGGAGGCCAAGGTGGGCAGATCACAAGGTCAGGAGATCGAGACCACGGTGAAACCGCGACTCTTCTAAAAATACAAAAAAATTAGCTGGGCATGGTGGCGGGCGCCTGTAGTCCCAGCTACTCGGGAGGCTGAGGCAGGAGAATGGCGTGAACCCGGGAGGCGGAGCTTGCAGTGAGCCGAGATTGCACCACTGCACTCCAGCCTGGGTGACAGAGCGAGACTCCGTCTCAAAAACAAACAAAAAAAAAAAAAGAAAAAAAATGGTTGCATGGGCGTTAGGCTTTATTTAATTTCCTCATATGGATGGTACAATAGCTTCAATAGTGCACAGTTATGAACCCAGGACATGTGTTTTCTATTTACTTGTTTGCTTGTTTTTTGCAGTTCTCACTTGTAATACTTATTTTTTTCATAGTCTTAAGTAGGAAAGTAATGTTAAATTAAAAAGTATAATAATATCAACATATTTACAATTTATAACAGAAAGAGTAGGAAAGTGATATGAAGGACTTCATTTGTAGCTAACTATATCTGTGACCTAGGACAAATCATGTAACCTTGACTATTTCTGATACCTGCTTACTTAGAATCTTTCAGAGATTCTGCCCAGGACAAATGTATCTATTGTAAAAATGTGTTAATTGATGTGTAACATACAAAGAAAAGCACACAAATTATAAGGTTAATGAATTATAAAATTAACACACTTGTGTAACCACTACTGTGGTATTTCAAAAGTATATTGAGCCTCTTTGATGATTATAAGCTTTCCTTAATAAAAGCCACTGGACTAGAAATTGTAGATAGGTCATCTGTCTTTTACAACTCTTTTTTTTTGAGACAGTCTAGCTCTGTCACCCAGGCTGGAGTGCAGTGGTGCAATCTCCACTCACTGCAACCTCTGCCTCCCAGGTTCAAGTGATTCTCCTGCCTCAGCCTCCCGAGTGGCTGTGACTACAGGAGTGCGCCACCATGCCTGGCTAATTTTTTTTATTTTTAGTAGAGATGGGGTTTTGCCATGTTGGTCAGGTTGGTTTCGAACTCCTTACCTCAGGTGATCCACCCACCTTGGCTTCTCAAAGTGCTGGGATTACAGGCGTGAGCCACAGCACCTGGCCTTTTACAACTCTTTCTAGAGTAAAATTAGCAGAAACAGTGGTAGAGAGAAGGAATTTGGCCAATCACAAAAATTTATTTTGAATAGGTTTATAAGGGTTTATATGTAGTCTTTTCTTCTGATGTTTCTCTTCTTCCTCTTGCCCTTTTTCTTTTTTGTTTAGGTCCTGGGAGGAATGGAGAGGGGTCCCACTGACTAACTTTTCTGAGAGTGGTCAGAGAGTTCTTAAGCAGGTCTGTTGATTCTGTAGAATACATGAAATTCAATTTATAAAAGGCCTAATTTCAACTTAAAGGATTGGATTATAAATAGACTTTACTTTTTAAAAAGGAGGCATTTTGATCCTAATGTCCATAGGGTATTTTACTTTGGCAAGCTGCATTTGGCATGTGGGTTGGATCAAAACTGACTAAATTAAATAAGATCTGCTTAATAAAAAAGCATTCAAGTCATGTCTTATTAGTTATGTTGAATACATGTAATATGGCAGAATTCTTTATTGGTTCCATGAAAAGTACCAAGAAAAGACAAAAAGGTGAATTTCTCACTTGTTCATAATTCTGGAGGCGAATGGAGGCATGGATAAATCCAAAAAGCAAAATAAGCATTTATTTGGCCTTCTCTCTGATATTTTCAGAATTCATAACTTTGCAGGGGGAAATCAAGGCTACCTTACGATCTCAGAGAAGGGCAGGTGTATATAGTTAGTTTCATTCAGCTGCCTCTCTCTCTGTCATCTTGAATTAGCTTTTTCTTGATCACACAGATAAAACTTTAGCTCAGTGATTTCCCAAACCTGTCTTCACATTGAAATCACCTGTGGAGCTTGGACAACTGATGCCATTGTCCCTTTCCCTTCCCCAGCAGATTGTGATTTGATTGCCCTGGGAGTATGGCCTGGACTTTGGAATTTTTAAAAGATCTCAAGAAGATCTAAAGTGCAGACAAGGCTGGGCACTGTGGCTCACGCCTGTAATCCCAGCACTTCGGGAGGTCGAGGCAGGCGGATCACCTGAGGTCAGGGGTTCAAGACCAGGCTGACCAACATAGAGAAGCCCTGTCTCTACTAAAAATACAAAATTAGCCAGGCGTGGTGGTTCATGCCTTTACTCCCAGATACTCGGGAGGCTGAGGCAGGAGAATCGCTTGAATCCGGGAGGCAGAGGTTGCAGTGAGCCAAGATCGCACCATTGCACTCCAGCCTGAGCAACAAGAGCGAAACTCCGACTCAAAAAAAAAAAAAAAAAAAGCACAGACAAGTTTGGGAACCACTGCTAGCTAAAGCAGAACTGGCCACTGTGTGACCTGTGACTTTTTTCCCCCCATAAATATTTGGATAAATATTTATAAATAGAGGGAAAAATATTTTGATTTAAGAATCCTGGCTGGGCACAGTTCCAGCACTGTGATTTGATTTAAGAATCCTGGCTGGGCAGAGTTCCAGGGAAGGTAGGGCAGGAGGACCGTTTGAGGCCAGGAGTTGGAGATCAGCCTGGGCAACATAGCAAGACACTGTTTCTTTTTTTTTTTTCTTTTTGAGACGGAATCTCGCTCTGTTACCAGGCTGCAGTGCAGTGGCACCATCTTGGCTCACTGCAACCTCCGCCTCCTGGGTTCAAGCGATTCTCGTGCCTCAGCCTCCTGAGTAGCTGGAACTACAGGCGCCTGCCACCACACCCAGCTAATTTTTGTGTTTTTAGTAGAGACAGGGTTTCACCATGTTGGCCAAGGTGATCTCAAACTCCCGACTTCATGTGATCCACCCTCCTCGGCCTCCCAAAGTGCTGGGATTACAGGCATGAGCCACCAGGCCCCGCCAGCAAGATACTGTTTCTACAAAAAAACAAAAACTAAAAAAAAAGGCCGGGCACGGTGGCTCATGCCTGTAATCCCAGCACTTTGGGAGGCCGAGGAGGGCGGATCATGAGGTCAGGAGATCGAGACCATCCTGGCTAACACGGTGAAACCCCGTCTCTATTAAAAATACAAAAAATTAGCCAGGACTAGTGGCAGGCACCTGTAGTCCCAGCCACTTGGGAGGCTGAGGCAGGAGAATGGTGTGAACCCAGGAGGCGGAGCTTGCAGTGAGCTGAGATTGCACCACTGTGCTCCAGCCTGAGCGACAGAGCGAGACTCCATCTCAAAAAATAAAAAAGGAAATTGCCAGGCAGTTTATTCAGCAGGATTTCCATGTAGGGTACAATAGTTATTTATTGTTGCATAACAGATTACCACAAATTTAGTAGTTTAAAACAACATACATTTTTATTATGGCATGGGTTTCCATGGGTCAGGAATCGGCATAGCCTAGATGGGTCTTCTGTTTCAGGGTCTCTCACAGGAGGTAGTCAAGGTGTCAGCCAGGGCTGGTGTCTCATCTTAGCGCTTGGCTGGGGAATAATCTGTTTCCAAACTAACTTGGTTGGTGACAGAATTCTCTTCTTGAAGGGATGTTGAATTGAAGGGCTTGGTTTCTCACTGGCTGATGGCTGGAGGTTGCTCTGAATTCCTTTCCATGTAGCTTCTTCAACATCACAAAGCTGAGAAAGGAATAGCAAGTCTCCTAGGAAGATGGAAATCACAATTTTTTATAATCATGGAGTGGCATCCTATCACATTTTCCATAGTCCGTTAGTTAGAAGCAAATCACCAGGCCAGTCCATACTCAGGAGGAAGAGATTACACAAAGGCATGAACACCAGGAGGCTGGAGTAATTGGTGGCCATTTTACAAGTCTGTCTACCACAGACTTCTTTAGAAAAAACAATCCTAAAATTTGTATGGCAGGCACCACAAAAGACCTTGAGTAGCCAAAGCAATCCTGAGCAAAAAGAGCAAAGCTGGAGGCAGTACACTTCTTGACTTGAAAGTATACAAAACTATTGTAACCAAAACAGCATGGCACTGGCATAAAAACAGACACATAGACCAATGAAACACCATAGAGAACCCAGAAATAAATCCACACGTTTACAGCCAACTGATTTTCAACAGAGACGCCCAAAACATACATTGATAAAAAGACAGTCTCTTCAATGCATATGCTGAGAAAACTGGATATCCACATGGAGAAGAATGAAACTAGACCCCTATCTCTCACCATATACAAAAATCAACTCAAAATGAGCTAAAGACTTAAATGTAAGACCTGAAACTATGAAACCACTAAAAGAAAACATAGAGGAAACACTTCAGGACATTGGTCTGTGCAAAGGTTTTATAGATAAGACCTTAAAAGCACAGGCAACAAAAACAAAAGCTGGCAAATAGGATTATATCCAGTTAAGAAAGCTTCTGCACAGCAAAGGAAACAGTGAGGAGATAACCTGCAGAATGGGAGAAAATATTTGCAGACTATTCATGTGACAAGGGATTAATATCTGGAATAAAGAAGGAACTGAAATGTTTCAACAGTAGAAAAACAGTCTGACTTTAAAAATTGGGTACTTGATCTGAATAGACATTTCTCCAAAGAAAATGTAAAATTGTCAGCAAGTATATGAAAATCTGCTTAACATTACTAGTCATCAAGAAATGCAAATCAAAACCACAATGAGATATTATTTCACCCCAGTTAAAATAGTGGCTATTACCAAAAAGATGGAGAAAAGGCAACTATTATATACTGTTGATTGGAATGTAAATTAGTACAGCCATTATGGAAAATAGTTATGGAGGTTCCTTGAAAAGCCAAAAAGAGGGCTGGGCGCAGTGGCTCACGCCTGTAATCCCAGCACTTTGGGAGGCTGAGGCGGGTGGATCACAAGGTCAGGAGTTCGAGACTAGCCAGGCTACTATGGTGAAACCCTGTCTCTACTAAAAATACAAAAATTAGCTGGGTACAATGGTGTGCGCCTGTAATCCCAGTACTAGGGAGGCTGAGGCAGGAGAATCTCTTGAACCTGGGAGTTGGAGGTTGCAGTGAGCCGAGATCATACCACTGCATACTAGTCTGGGGCCTGGGCACCAGAGTAAGACTCCGTCTCAAAAAAAAAAAAAAGCTAAGAAGAGAACTACCATATGATCCAGCAATCCCACTAATAGGTATATATTCAAAGGAAAGGAAATCAGTATGTCAAAGAGACATCTACATTCTCATGTTTATTGCAGCACTATTCACAATAGCCAAGATAATCAACTTGTGTCCATCAGTACATGACTAGATAAAGAAAATGTGGTATATATACCATAAAAGAATGAAATCTTGTCATTTGTAGCAACATGCATCAGCCTGGAGGACATTATGTTAAGTGAAATAAGCCAGGCACAGAAAGATAAATGCCATATGTTCTTATATGTGGAAGGTAAAAAAGTTGATCACAATAGAAGTAGATCGTAGAATAGGCCAGGTGTGGTGGATCACACCTGTAATCCTAGCACTTTGAGAGGCCCAGGTGGGTGGATTGCTTGAGCCCAGGAGTTTGAGATCAGCCTGGGCAATATGGCAAAACCTCATCTCTACTAAAAATATACAAGAAAATTAGCTGGGCGTGGTAGTGCGCGCCTGAAAATCCAGCTGCTAGGGAGACTGAGGCACAAGAATTGCTTGAAACCAGGAGGCAGAGGTTGCAGTAAGGTGAGATTGTACCACTGCATTCTAGCCTGGGTGACAGAATGAGACTGTCTTAAAAAAAAAAAAAAAGGGTATAAGAAATAGAGAGTAGAACAGAGGTTACTAGAGTCTGGGAAGAGCAGGGGAAGGATAAAAAGAGACTGGTTAATGGATACAAAATTATAGCTGGATAGGACGAATACGTTCTAGTGTTCTCTAGCACTGTAGGATGACTATAGATAAAAATAATTTATTGTATATTTTCAAATAGCTAGAAGAGAGGATTTTGAATGTTCCCAACACAAATAATAAATGAGGTGATGGATGTGCTAATTAATTACTCTGATTTGATTATTACACATTGTATACATGTATCAAAATATTATACTGTACCCCATGTATATATACAGTTATGTGTGATTAAAATAATTTTTTTGAAAAAGAAAGCGGAAGTAACATGTTTTATATATTTTATATTTAAAATATAAATATTGCTCATGATGTTAAATATTCTCAAAAACATTAGTCTCAATGGGAAGCAATATTTGAGTATATTTAAATTGTTTAACCACTTCTGTTGTTGAACCATCAACAGAATATTTTGATGAACTTTTTTTTTTTTTTTTTGAGACAGGGTCTCACTCTGTTACCCATGCTGGAGTACAGTGATGCAGTCATGGCTCACTGCAGCCTCAACCTCCCAGGTCCAAGCAATCCTCCCACCTCAGCCTATTGAGTAGCTGAGACCACAGGTGTGCCACCACACCCAGCTTGCTTATTTATTTATTTATTTATTTATGACAAGGTCTCCCTCTGTCACCCAGGCTGGAGTGCAGTGGCGTGATCTCGGCTTACTGCAACCTCCACCTCCTGGATTCAAATGATTCTCCTGCCTTAGCCTCCTGAATAGCTGGGACTACAGGCACCTGTCACCACGCCCGGCTAATTTTTGTATTTTTAGTAGTGATGGCGTTTCACCATATTGGTCAGACTGGTCTCCAACTCCCGACCTCAGGTGATCTGCCTGCCTCAGCCTCCCAAAGTGCTGGGATTAAGGCATGAGCCACCACGCTTGGCCTAAATTTTATTTTTGTAGAGATGGAATCTCACTGTGTTGTCTAAGCTGTGATGACGGTTTTTTGTTTTTTTTTTTAAACGGTGTTTCTCCCTGTCACCCAGGCTGGAGTGCAGTGGCGCAACCTCCACCTCCCGGGTTCAGGCATTTCTCCTGCCTCAGCCTCCTAGTAGGTGGGATTACAGGTGTGTGCCACCACACCCAGCTAATTTTTTGTATTTTGGGTAGAGACGGGGTTTCATGATGTTGGCCAGGTTGGTCTCTCGAACTCCTGACCTCAAGTGATCCGCCTGCCTCAGCCTCCTAAAGTGCTGGGGTTACAAGTGTGAGCCTCTGCACCCGTCAGTGATGAACTTCTTTGAATATAAATCTTTGACCACAAAATCAGTTATTTCATTAGGTTAGATTCCTAGATTGTTAAGCTTATGGTTAAGATGTTAAGGATAATTCTATTTGCTTATATTTAAGCAAAATGTAAATGTTAATCTATTTCATTGTACATTGCCACAATTATTTTATTTTTAAATCTTCCAGTTTGATGAAAAAAGACACATTTCACTTTGTTTTTTTGTTTTTTTTTTCTTTTTTTTTTTAGACCAAGTCTTGCTCTGTCACCCAGGCTGGAGTACAGTGGTGCCGTATTGGCTCACTGCAACCTCTGCCTCTGAGTTCATGTGATTCTCCTGCCTCAGTCTCCCGAGCAGCTGGGATTACAGGTGCAGGCCACCACACCCTGCTAATTTTTGTATTTTTAGTAAAGACGAGGTTTTACCATGTTGTCCAGGCTGGTCTTGAACTCCTGACCTCAAGTGATGCAGTCGCCTTGGCATTCCAAAGTTCTGAGATTACAGGTGTGAGCCATCATGCCTGACCTGTTTTTCTTTGATTACTTACGAAGTGTAGCAAGCTTTTTGATCATTGATTATTTTCATTTCTAATTTTATAAATCGCTGGGCATGGTGGCTCATGCTTGTAATCCCAGCACTTTTGGAGGCTGAGGTGGGTGGATCACTTGAGCCCAGGAGTTGGAAACCAGCCTGGGCAACATGATAAAACCCTGTCTCTACAAAAAATACGAAAATTAGCCGGGCATGGTGGAGGCTGAGGTGGGAGGATCACTTGGGTCCATCTACTCGGGAGGCTGAAGTGGGAGGATCACTTGGCTGCATTGAGCTGGGAATTGTGCCACTGTCCTTTAGCCTGGGCAGCAGGGTGAGACCCTGACTCAAAAAACTAAAACAAACAAAAATGTGTAACTCTCAACTTGCATTTTGCCTTTCAGTTCATGTGCATTTTGACTTGCAAAAATTTTAAAATAATGTAATTATATAATTAAACCTATATTTTGCTTAGTTGTTTCGAACAGTTCATGAACTGATATATTTTAATATGTAACCAATATATGATCATAGTATTATTTCGTTTTTATATTTTCACCAATTTTTTTTTTCTTTTTTTTGAGACGGAGTCTTGCTCTGTTGCCAGGCTGGAGTGCAGTGGTGCAATCTCGGCTCACTGCAACTTCCGACTCCCTGGTTGAAGTGATTCTTCTGCCTCAGCCTGCCAGGTAGCTGGGATTACAGGCATGCGCCACCACGCCCAGCTAATTTTTGTATTTTTAGTAGAGACGGGCTTTCACCCATGTTGACCAGGATGGTCTCGATCTCCTAACCTCGTGATCCGACTGCCTCGGCCTCCCAAAGTGCTGGGATTACAGGTGTGAGCTACTGTGCCTGGGCTAATTTTGTATTTTTAGTGGAGATGAGGTTTCTCCATGTTGGCCAGGCTGGTCTTGAACTCCTGAACTCAGGTGATCTGCCTGCCTTGGCCTCCCAAAGTACTGGGATTATAGGCGTGAGCCACCGCACCCAGCCTATGAATGATTTTTTAATGTGTTGTTTAATTTGATTTGTCAGTATTTTGTTGAGGATTTTTGCATTAGTGTTTATCACTGTGTCTATCATCTTTTTTTGATGTTTCTTTGCTTTTGGTATCAGGGTAATATTGGCCTTGTAGAATGAGTTTGGAACTATTCTCTTCACTATTTTTTGGAATAGGTCGAGTAGGATTGGAATTAGTTCTTCCTTAAATGTTTGGTAGAATTCAGCAGTGAAGCCATTGGATCCCAGGCTTCTTTTTTATTGTGGCTTTTACTTATGGCTTTGATCTTGTTTTTTGTTTTGTTTTGTTTTGTTTTTGAGATGGAGTCTCTGTCGCCGAGGCTGGAGTGCATTGATGCAATCTCGGCTCATTGCAACCTCCACCTCCTGGGTTCAAGTGATTCTCCTGCCTCAGCCTCCCGAGTAGATAGGACTGTAGGCACGTGCCACCATGCCTGGCTAATTTTTGTATTTTTAGTAGAGACAGGGTTTCACCTGATCTTGTTACTTGTTACTGGTCTGTTCAGGTTTTGGATTTTTTCATGGTTAATCTTGGTAGATTGTATGTGTCTAAGAATTTGTTTCTTCTAGGTTTTCCAATTTATTGGCATATAGTTGCTTATAGTAGCCTCTAACGATCCTTTGAATTTCTGAAGTATCAGTTGTAATGTCTCCTTTTTCATCTCTGATTTTATTTATTTGGGTCTTCTCTCTTTTTTTGTTAGTCTGGTTAAAGGTTGTCAATTTTGTTTATCTTTTCAAAAAGGCAGCTTTTCATTTCACTGATCTTGTGTATTCTTTCAATTTCATTTATTTCTGCTCTCATCTTTATTTCTTTTCTTCTACTAATTTTGAGTTTGGTTTGCTCTTGCTTTTCTAATTCTTTAAGATACATTGTTAGGTTGTTTATTTGAAATTTTTCTACTTTTTTAATGTAAATGCCTATAGCCATAAACTTCCCTCTTAGTCCTGCTTTCACTGTATCTCACAGGTTTTGGTATGTTGTGTTTTCATTATAATTTATTTCAAGAAATTTTCCAATTTCCTCCTTAATTTCCTCATGGACCCACTGGTCATTGAGGAGCATAGTGTTTAATTTCCATGTGTTTGTATAGTTTCCAAAATTTCACTTGTTATTGATTTTTAGTTTTATTGTGGTCATAGAAGATACTTGATGTTATTTCAATTAAAAAAAATTTTAATACTTGTTTTGTAGCCTAACATATGGTCTGTCCTTGAGAATGATCCATGTGCTGAGGAGAAGAATGTGGATTCTGCAGCCATTGGATTAAATGTTCTGTAAATATCTTATTAAGTTCATGTAGTCTGTAGTGCAGATTACATCTGATTTTTCTTGGTTGATTTTCTGTCTAGATCATCTGTCCAGTGCTGAAAATGGGATGTTAAAATCTCCAGCTCTTACTGTATTGGGGTCTGTCTTTCTCTTTGGCTCTAATAATATTTACTTTATATATCTGGGTGCTCCAGGATTGTGTTCATTTATATTTATAATTGTTACATCTTCTTGCTGAATTGACCCCTTTATCATTATATAATAACCTTCTTTGTCTCTTTTTTATAGTTTTGTCTTGAAATCCATTTTGTCTGATCTAAGTATAGCTACTCCTGCTCTTTTTTGGTTTCCATCCCTTTGTTTTCAGTCTGTATGCGTCTTTGTAGGTGAAGTGTGTTTCTTGTAGTCAACAGATCATTGGGTCTTGTTTTCTGTTGTTGTTGTTCATTCAGCCACTTTCTGTGTCTTTTCATTGGAGAATTTAGTCCATTAACATTCAATGTTAGTATTAATAAGTAAGGACTTATTCCTGCCGTTTTGTTATTGGTTTTCTGGTTGTTTTGTGGTCTTCTTTTCCTTCTTCCCTTCCTTCCTGTCTTTCTTTTAGTGAAGGTGATTTTCTCTAGTGGTATGTTTTAATTTACTTTTTATTTCTTATCTGTTGTATTTTTTTATTTGAGTTTATCATGAGGGTTGCAAATAATATCTCATAACCATTATTTTAAACTGATAACAACACTGATTGCATAAACAAAGAGAAAACTAATAAAAACTCTACATACTAACTTTGTTCCCCCCACTTTTAAACTTTTTGTTTGTATTTTTATCTTATTGTACTGTCTGGAAAAGTTGATGTAGTTATTATTTTTAATTGGTCTCTTAGTCTTTCTACTTGAGATATGAGTAGTTTATACACTACAATTACAGTGTTATAATATTCTGTGTTTGTCTGTGTACTTACTATTACCAGTGAGTTTTGTATCTTCAGATGATTTTTATTGCTCATTAACGTCCTTTGCTTTCAGATTGAAGAATTCCCTTTAGCGTTTCTTGTAGGACAGGTCTGATGTTGATGAAATCCCTCAGCTTTTGTTTGGGAAAGTCTTTATTTCTCCTTCATGTTTGTAGGATATTTTCACTGGATATACTATTCTAGGGTAAATTTTTTTTCCTTTCGCACTTGGAATATGTCATACCACTCTCTCCTGGCCTATAGGGTTTCCACTAAAACGTCTGCTGCCAGATGTATTGGAGTTCCATTGTATTTTTTAAAATTGTTATTTGTTTCTATTGTCTTGCTGCTTTTAGGATCCTTTCTTTATCGTTGACCTTTGGGAGTTTGGTTATTAAATGTCTTGAAGTAGTACTCTTTGGGTTAAACTGGCTTGTGTTCTATAACTTTCTTATACTTGAATATTGATATCTTTCTCTAGGTTTGGGAAATTCTCTGTTATTATTCATTTGAATAAACTTTCTGCCCCTCTCTTTCACTCTACCTCCTCTTTAAGGCCAGTAACTCTTAGATTTGCCCTTTTGAGGCTATTTTCTGTTAATAGATCTTGTAGATGTGCTTCATTCTTTTGTCTCCTCTGACTTTGTATTTTCAAAGAGGCTGTCTTCAAGCTCACCATTTTTTTCTTCTTCTTGATCAATTCTGCTGGTAAGAGACTGATGCATTCTTTAGTATGTCAGTTGCATTTTCAATCCAGAATTTCTGCTTGATTTTTTTAATTATTTCAGTCCCTTTGTTAAATTTATCTGATAGGATTCTGAATTCCTTCTGTGAGCTATCTTGAATTTCATTGAGTTTCCTCAAAACAGCTGTTTTGAATTCTCTGTCTGAAAGGTCACATATCTCTGTCTCTCTGGAATTAGTCTCTGGTACCATATTTAGTTCATTTGGTGAGGTCATGTTTTCTTGGATTACCTTGATGTTTGTGGATGTTTGTTGGTGTCTAGGCATTGGAGAGTTAGGTATTTATTATAGTCTTTACAGTCTGGGCTTGTTTTTACCCATCTTTCTTGCGAAGGCTTTCCGAGTATTCAAAGGGACTTGAGTGTTGTGATCCAGGTCTCTTGTCACTGCATTTGTATCTACATTAGGTGGCACCCCAAGTGTAGTAAAACTGTGGCTCTTGCAGACTCATAGAGGTACCACCTTGGTGGTTTTAGGTAAAATCCAGAATAATTCTCTGGATTACCAGGGAGAGACTCTTGTTCTCTCCTCTTACTCTCTCCCAAACAACTGGAATTTGTCCGTCTATGCTGAGCTACCTGGAGCTAGGGGAGAGGTTACACAAGCACCCCTGTGGCCACCCCACCACTGAAACTACACTGGGTCAGACCTAAAGCCAGCACAGCACTGGGTCTCTCGCCCAAGGCCTGTAGTAACTACCACCTGGCTATCACCTGTGTTCTTCACTCAAGGCCCTAGGGCTTTACAGTCAGCAAGTGGCAAAGCCAGCCATGCTGTGTCCTTCCCTTCAGGGCAGCAAGTTCTCTCCAGCCCTGGGTGGGTCCAGAGATGTTCGGAAGCCAGGGCCTGAAGTCAGAAACCTTAGGAATCTATCTAGTGCTTTGTTCTGCTGCAGCTGAGCTGGCACCCAAGTAACAAGACAAAGTCCTTCCCGTTTTTTCGTCCTCTTTCTGCAAACAGAGGCATCTTTCCCTACGGCCGCCACCACCCCAGACCTGTGGCAAGCACCACCTGGCTACTGCCAGTGTTCACTCAAGGCCCGAAGGCTCTTGAGTTAGGTTGTGATGAATGCTGCCAGGCCTAGGACTCTCCCTTCAGGACAGTGGGCTCTTGTCTGGCCCAGGGCAGGCCCAGAGCCTCTTTGAAAATATGCAGTCAGAGGAAACAAAAGAAAAAAGAATGAAAATGCCATCCAAGAACCAAGGCCTGGAATTGGGGACCCCGAGAGCCTGCTTAGTGCTCTACATAGCCCAAATAGTAAAGGGAACTTTGTCTTGTAGCTTAGTGTCTCTGGTACCTAAGCTGGAAGCTCTGTCTCCCAGGCTGGAGTACAATGGTGTGATCTTGGCTCACTGCAGCTGCCGCCTCCCAGGTTCAGGTTCAAGCAGTTCTTCTGTCTCAGCCTCCCGAGTGGCTGGGACTACAGGCATGCACCACCACGCCCAGCTAATTTTTGCATTTTTAGTAGAGATGGGGTTTTACCATGTTGGCCAGGCTGGTCTGGGACTCCTGACCTTAGGTGATCTACCCACCTCGGCCTCCCAAAGTGCTGGGATTATAGGCATGAACCACCATACCCGGCCCCTTTACTCCTCTTTCTTTTCTCAAGCAGAAGGAGTCTCTCCCTGTAGCCACCACAGCTGGGAATGTGCTGGGTCATGCTTGAAGACAGCATGTCTCAGTCTCACTCATGGCCCCACAGCAAATACCACCTGGCTATCAGTGCTGATTATTTGGGGCCTCATGGGTCTTTAATCAGCAGGTGATGAATGCTGCCAGGGCTGAGTCCTTCCTTTCAAGGCAGTGGGTTCCCTTCTGGCCCAGGGTATGTCTAGAAATGTCATCCAGGAGCTAGGGTCTAGAATGGGGACTTCAGGACTCTGCCCTCTCCTACTGTGGCTGAGCTGGTATCCAAGTTGCAAGACAAAATCCTCTTTTACTCTTCCCTCTCCTCTCCTCAAGCAGAGGGAAGGAGTCTTTCCCGGAGCTGTGAGCTGTGCTGCCTGGGCTTTGGGAAGAGGTGGCACAATTACTCCTTGGCCATGCTGGCTGATGGTCCAGGTTCTTATCATGAGTCAAATGACTCGTGGGGAAATGTAGCCAGAGGAGCCCCCTTCAAAAAAGGAGATAAAAAGCAGGAGACATTTTTGTTGTTGCATATCTGAGATGGGGTAAGAGTAGAAATATTGATACTAAGCGTTTAAGAGGTTTTATTTATAGCTAACTTTTGTTTTCAATAGGTAATATATTCACATGGTTCAAAAGAAAAACATTATTCAAAAAGATACATAGTGAGAAGTCTCGATCTCACCCTCAGCTCCCATGGACCTTTATGGTCTTTTTCTTCCAACCTTTTTTTTTTTTAATTTGAGACGGGATGCTAGCTTTTTTGCCCAGGCTGGAAAGCAGTGGAATTCCGGCATGCTGGAATGCTGATCATGGCACACTGCAGCCTCAGTCTCCTCAGCTCAAGTGATCCTCCCAATTCAGTCTCCTGAGTAGCTACAAAACCCAGTCAATTTTTTATTTATTTTTTTTAGTTGAAACAATATCTCACTGTGTTGCCTGGGCTGGTCTCGAACTTATAGGCTCAGGCTGGAGCTCAGTGGCACAATCACAGCTCGCTGTAATCTCTGCCTCCCGGGCTCAAGTGATTCTCTCACCTCAGCCTTCTGAGTAGCTGGGACTACAGGCACACACTACCACACCTAGCTAATTTTTTGTATTTTTTTGTAGAGGCAGGATTTCACCATGTTGCCCAGGCTGATCTCAAACTCCTGGGCTCAAGCAATCTGCCCTCCTCAGCACCCCCAGAGTGATGGGATTACAAGCATGAGCCGCTATACCTGGTTCTAACTTTTTTAATATGAAATATTTCAGGTCGGGTGCGGTGGCTCACACCTATAATCCCAGCACTTTGGGAGGCCGAGGCAGGAGGATTGCTTGAGCCTAGGAGTTTGAGATAAGCCTGGGCAACATAGGGAGACCCTATCTCTACAAATAATCAAAAAATTAGCTGGGCATGGTGGTTGTGCACCTGTAGTCCCAGCTACTCTGGGGCTGAGGTGGGAGGTTACTTGAGCCCAGGAGTTTGAAGCTGCTGTGAGCTGTGATCATGCCACCGCACTCTAGCCTAGGTGACAGAGCAAGACTCTGTCTCAAAAAAAAAAAAAAAAAAAAAAAAATTCAAACATATAGAAAAGTTGAAACAATAATACCATGAAGACCATGTAGTTTAAACAAGTGTTAACATTTTGCCATATTTGTAATATCTACCTTTGTTGAATAATTTGAAAACAAGCTGCAGACATAATGACACTTTATAACCCTGTGCTTTAGCATGCATCTTCTAAGAATAAAGAACATTCTCTACCTAATTACAAATAACATTACCACACCCAAGAAAATTAAAAATAATGCCCTAATACCTTCTACTCAGTTCACATTCAGTTTCCCCCAGCTGCCTAAAAAATTATTTCAAACTGTTTTCTTCAAACCAGATCTGAGTAACATTTCTGCATTGCAGTTGGTTGTTGTGACTTTCAGTCTCTTTTAATCTAGAACTCTATCCTTCCCCTATTTTTTCCCCCAAGATTTTGGCTTTTTGAAGAGACCAGACCAGTTTTATTGTAGCAAGTTCCATATTCTAGTTCTGTCAGATTACGTTTTCTTGTGATTTTTCTTGTTGCTCTATCTCTTGAATTCCTGTGAAGGAGAAATTACGTTGAAGACTTGTTTAGACCTAGGTTAGGCACTTTTGGTAATAATACATCATAACTTAGTCTGTGTATTTAAAGTTACATCACATCAAGAGGCATAAATGAAGAGTCTCACTCTGATTGTTGCTGAGTTTGATCACTAGGTTAAGCTGGTGACTGTCACATCTTCCCATTATAATGGTACTCAGTTTTTCCCCTTTGCAATTCGGAAGTAATCTCTGGAATGATCCTTTGGCACTGTGGTAACCTGTTTTCCAACAATTTTCGATCATGCAAAAATGATTTTTAGCAACCTGTGATCGTCCTTGCCTGAATCATTTATTTCATTTGGGGTTGCAAAATGGTGATTTTGAAATTCTTTCTTTGCTTCTACATTTATTAACTGGTAGTCTTCTGTAAGAGAGCTTTGCCGCTCTACCGAGGATGAACCCTTCTAAAAAGGCTGTAAATTGCTTATTTCTTTCTCTTTAATTATCAATCTTCAGAATAAGTCATTAATGTCATAGTTACCTCCAATGATGGGAAGAAGTGTTTTTTTTTAAAGTTTTTCACTCTCTGAGTTATTGCTGGAGATTCATGGATTCTTATTCATGATATCAATTTTAGTAATTATTCTCTTTTGGTACTCAAATTGTCTCAAATTTGCCCAGTGGAAAACCCTTAAAACTGGCTCCTGTGTTCTTGTAACACACTCCTCATTAGTGTGAGTGCTTCCTTCCCTCTGGTATAACATCATTTTTTAAATTCACCTTGTAAGATAACCATTTTTATTGGTCTTATATTTCTTTCTAGAGTATTTTAGCACTAGCATGTATAAAATATTTTTTCTCCCCTTTCCCCAAAAAAAGTAGCACAAGGTACTCAATGGTTTACTCTGTTTTTTTTCTCTCAAAAATATATCTTGGAGATCTTTTTGTGTCAGTACACAGACAGCATTTTCCTTCTTGCTGTGTTTCTTTTTTTTTGCATTTCATTTTTAAGGATGTTCTATAATTTAAATCAGTCCCATTGATGGACATCTGGGTAATTTCCTAACTTTTCTATTACAAGCAGTGCTGTAGTGCATAACACTATACATACGTCATCTTATATGATGATAAGTGTATCTGTAGGATTGCTATCCAGAAGTGGAATTGCTAGGTTAATAGTTTATGCAATTGTAATTTTTTTTAAGAGATGAAGTTTCACTGTGTTGCCCAGACTTGAGTGCAGTGGCTATTTACAGATGCTATTATAGCTCACCACAGCCTTGAACTCCTGGCCTCAAGTAGTCCTCCTGTCTTAGCCTCTCAAGTACCCAGGATTACAGGTGTGTGCCAGCACACCCAGCTTGTAATTGTGATTTTGAAAGACATTACTTAATTGCTGGTGTACCAATTTGCACTACCGCCAGCAATGAATAAGAGTGCCTGTTTCACCATAACCTTGCTGGGAACAGTAAATTATCAAATTTTTGGAGTTTTGCTAATCTGATGAGTGAAAAATTGTTTTTTGCTTCTTTTGTGTGAGGGTAAACATCTTTTCATATGTTGAATGTTCGTTTGTATTTCTTTTTCTGTGAATTTTCTGATCATATTCTGTGTCCATTTTTATACATTTGTCCAAATTGATCTTTTTATTTTATGTGCCTGTATAAGCACATATACATACACATACCTATGCATATTTTTTTCTATATCATTCTATATAGGGAGATTTGTTCTTTTATCACTGATATGATTGCAAGTATTTTTTTCTTAGTTTGTTGTTTTTTTGACTTACAATGTTTTTTGCTTTGCAGAATTGATTTTTTTTTGCATTTGAACTTATCAATCTTTTCTCTTATGGCTTTATTATTATTTTTTTTAGAGACAGGATCTAGCTTTCTTGCCCAGACTGGATTGCAGTGGCATGATCATAGCTCACTGTAACCTCAAACTCTTGACCTCAAGTGATCCTCCTGCTTTAGTCACCTGAATAGCTGGGACCACCGGCATGCACCACCATGCAAGTTCCATGCATAAGTTTTATATCTACAGTAAATATTTCAAGACTTAAACTGAAAATTTAATGAAAAATATAATGTATAGATATTATGGATAAAATAGGAAAAAAACTTACACCTAAAACTTTGTCAAGTTTAAAAAGCTAAATTTGAAATCCTGTTAGAAAAGCGGGTCTTGTATTTTGTATGTGTACAAAATATTTTGTTTTGGGCTCTAAGCATATGCAGATAGTGTGACCTGATGTTAATTAATCTGGACAGAATTAAGAATGAAGGTATAGAGAGGGCTCTAAGGCTTAAAGTGACAGTTTTATGATTCTTAAGTGATGCTTGTATAAGTCTGTGAGTTTTGCTTCTACAATCTTTGAATGCTTGCTGATGAGTGGCCTAAAATCTCAAAAAAGGCTGGGGGCAGTGGCTCATGCTTGTAATCTCAGCACTTTGGGAGGCTCAGGCGGGTGGATCGCTTGAGCCCAGAAGTTCAAGACTAGCCTGGGCAACATGGTGAAACCCCATCTCTACCAAAAAAAATACAAAAAAATTATCCAGATGTGGTGGCATGCGCCTGTGGTCCCAGCTACTTGGGAGCCTGAGGTGGGAGGATTGCTTGAGCCTAGGAGGTTGAGCTGCAGTGAGCTATGATCTGTTACTGCACTCCAGCCTGGGTGACAGAGTGAGACCCTGTCTCAAAAAAAAAAAAAAAAAAAAATCAGAAAAGATAATCTTTGTAGACTTAATGAAAACCCTGTTTTAACATTCTCTAAAGATGCCAATGCTGACTTGATAACTTGTGATATTTACATTGACTTTTGTTGAAAAGATAGGTTATGAAATTAAAGAAATCTTTAATTTCTATATAATACTGTGGTTTTATTTTATCTCTCTCTCTCTTTTTGTTGTTGTTGTTGTTGTTTGTTTTTAGAATTTTGATTTGGCTGCTGGGCTGCTACCTTGAAATCCAAGCCCTAAAAATGCCAGCTTCTTTGGACTTAGAAGATGACCTGGATAAATGATAAAAATTAAGAAAGAGATTTTGGTGAGTGAAACCTTATGCGAGAGAGTTAATAAAGCCAACTTAATGCTTATTCTTTTTTTTTTTTTTCTGATACTGTCTCTCTTTTGGAAAAACTGTGTAGAATGCATTTATTATTCTTGGAGACATTTAATAAAATACAGATGCTATTCTTCTGTTTTTAAATGGGGTTTTTACTACAAACTATGTAGTTTCTCATCTTTTTTATAAATGATAATCTTAGGTTTCACTGTAGAAGACAATGAAAGACCAGTAAACAATACTTATTTTTAGAATTTATGTTGATTAAAATGATAATAGGATATTGTACTTCAAATAAATACCTTTGATTAAAAATAGAAATATATGTTGAAAGTTGCAAACTCAACATAACTCTAGTTTGATGCTGTATTTAGATCTGAGGTGAGCTAAAGCCCAGAAAAAATTAGACTGTTTTTATCTTGAAATTTCTATTTCCCTCCCTCCTAGCTTTTGTATAGCACTCCAATAACAGATCCTGGCAGTCCCCCACTGGGAGGTATGTCATAATGGGTTTAAATTGGCACAGGGGACTCTTCAGAAGTGCTTCATAAGCCCATGAGAAGTTGCTAATATTAGAACATTTTTGCATCATCTCCCTGCCCTCTCTCCTTCTTCTTTTGAGAATTTCCTTCATGTACAGTATTATGACAGGGGTTTGGGTATGTGCCTTGGTGCCCTAACATCCTTAGATTTTTATCTCAGTTTGTTGAAGTGACTACTCTGGCAAGCAGTCATTGTTTACATTAAATGTAATTTAAGAGTTTATTGCTGGTTTTCCTTAAAGACACTGACATTTGCAAGTTACTGAGAAGTAGTTTTTGTATCTAGAAAGTTTTTTTTTCTTTCATTCTGAGACTTAAGAGCTTTGTGCCAGGAGCAGAAGGCCGTCATTTCTGCCAGGGTGAGCAGTGCATTGAGGTACGACCAGTCCTTCACTCCCAGATCCTAGGAGGAAAGAAGGAGTGCTATTAGGAACAAAGAAGGAAGCAAGCACTGTAGAGCTGTTGCCACAAGCAGCTACTCTTCTATGTAAATCTTTATCTGACTGACAAAGACTGCTGCTCCCTACTTAGAGAATACTCATGATGGGTGCACAATTGACATTTTAAAGCAGTAAAAAGATACAAGAAAAATTACCTAGGGAAAATACTTTTCTAAAAGCATGTTTCGAGAAGAAATTAAATGTGCTACTTTCTGTATGGAGTGGGCTGAGTTCTGAGTTGTTAAAAATGCATCAGGTTGAAATGCACGTAACATAAATTAGCCATTTTAAAGTGAACAGTTCAGTGGCATTTAGTAGATTCACATTGTACTACAACCACCACTTCTATCTAGTTCCAAAACATGTCTGTCACTCCAAAATGAAACTTCATAACCATTAAGATGTCCCATTCCCCATCCCCTATACCTCCCGCTCACAACCACTAATCCGTCTGTCTGTCTCTGTGAATTTACTTATTCTAGATATTTCATACAAATTAGACCGGGTGCGGTGGCTCACGGCTGATATCCCAACACTTTGGGAGGCTGAGGCGGGTGTATCACTTGAGGTCAGGAGTTTGAGACTAGCCTGGCCAATATGGTGAAACCTCATCTCTCCTAAAAACAAACAAAATTAGCCAGGCATGGTGGTGCGTGCCTGTAATCCCAGCTACTTGGAAGGCTGAGGCAGGAGAATCACTTGAACCTGGGAGGCAGAGGTTGCAGTGAGCCAAGATCACGCCACTGCACTCCTGCCTGGGTGACAGAGCCAGACTCCGTCTCAAAAATAATAATAGGCCAGGCGTGGTGGCTCACGCCTGTGGTCCCAGCACTTTGGGAGGCCGAGGCGGGTACATCACGAGGTCAGGAGATCGAGACCATCCTGGCTAACACGGTGAAACCCTGTCTTTACTAAAAATGCAAAAAAATTAGCTGGGCGTAGTGGTGGGTGCCTGTGGTCTCAGCTGCTCGGGAGGTTGAGGCAGGAGAATGGCATGAACCTGGGAGGCGGAGCTTACAGTGAGCCGAGGTCACACCACTGCATTCCAGCCTGGGCAACACAGCGAGACTCCATCTCAAAATAATTAAATAAATAAATAAATAATAAAATAAATAAATGGAGTTATGCAATATATGACCTTTTATGTCTGGCTTCTGTTACTTAGCATATAGTTTTTGAGGTTTATCTCCGTTGTAGCATGTATCAGCACTTCATTCCTTATTATATCTAAATAATATTCTATCTATATGTATCTACCACAGTTTGTTTATCCATTCACCTGTTAATGGACATTTGAGTTTTTGGCTATTGTGAATAATGTTGCTGTGAATATATGTGTAATTTAGAGTTATTCTTAATTTTTTTTTTTTTTTTTAATAGTAGAAATGGGATTTGCCACGTTGGCCAGGCTGGTCTCGAACTCCTGACCTCAAGTGATCCACCCGCCTTGGCCTCCGAAAGTACTGGGATTACAGGTGTGAGCCACTGTGCCCGCCCGGCCTTTCTTAAATTTTGTTTTTACATTAATGTTTTTCAGTGAATATTCTTCCATTTAAGGCAGGAATAATTGCCGTGAAGAATATTATTTTATTGTTATGCTGTGTGTGACTATAACACTTTGACATTTACCGAGTATTTATAGTCATTTTTAATTTTTTTGAGACAGAGTCTCACTCTGTTGCTCAGAGCAGCAATAGTGCAGTAGCACAATTTCAGCTCACCACAACCTCCACCCTTCCCCTCACTCCCCTCAGGCTCAAGGGATTGTTTCACCTCAGCCTCATGAGTTGCTGGGACTACAGGCACACACCACCAGGCCCAGCTAATATTTGTATTTTCTGTAGAAATGGGGTTTCACCATGTTCCCCAGGCTGGTCTCAAAAGCCTGAGCTCAAGCCGTCTGCCCACCTCGGCTTCCCAAAGTGCTGGGATTACAGGTGTGAACCAGCACACCTAGCCATAGTAAGCCTTTATGCAAAGTTGGAGTAGGAACTTGGGGAACTGCTGATAAACCTGTGACACAATATCAAGATACCTGTAAATACAATGTCAGGCATTTGATGCCTCAGTAATCAGAAAAACTGTTGGATTTCCTCCTTGTAGGGCTTTACAATAACCTTTTTATCCTTATATTTTTCTAAAGGTAAATTATTTGTTAGATGAGTAAGAAAGATACCATTGTTGTCATTGGTTGACTTCCATAGATTGAAACTTGAAGAAATTGCATTTGATCACTGCTATTTACTTAACTTTTCTCATTACTACTACCATAGTTCCCTCAAAGTTTGTTGAATAAAGCTTTCTAGATGCTGCTTCATACAGCACTTAGATGAATTGTTGATTTCCTAATATCAGGCTTCCACGTAACCTATAGTATATACTTTTTTGTAAGTTGTAACTTGAAATTTTCAGATGCTTTGAACTTGACACATAATCTAGCAATTCATTGGCACACCAAGGCAAAACATCAACCTGCTAAAGAGATTTATTTATTTATTTATTTATTTTTGAGACGGAGTTTCACTCTTGTTACCCAGGCTGGAATGCAATGGCGCTATGTTCACCGCAACCTCGGCCTCCCAGGTTCAAGTGATTCTCCTGCCTTAGCCTCCCAGTAGCTGGGATTACAGGCATGTGCCACCATGCCCGGCTAATTTTGTATTTTTAGTAGAGACGGGGTTTCTCCATGTTGGTCAGGCTGGTCTTGAACTCCTGACCTCAGGTGATCCGCCTGCTTCGGCCTCTCAAAGTGCTGGAATTACAGGCTGTTTACTTAATCTTCAACTTTAAAACCTATATGTCCTTCAGTTAAGCCTAAATATGAGGTAGGAGGTGGAAATTGACTCCAGAGGCAGGGCTTGAACACCAGACCAAATTGAGGACTGCTAAAACAGGGATGGGGCAGGAGCAGCTTTCCATAAGACACATCCACCAGTGTGCCATGTCAGTTTACCATTACCATGACAACACCCAAGACTTACCACCCCTCTCCGTGGCAATGACCTGACTACCCAAAAGTTACCATACTTCTGCTAGCAATTTCTGCATAAACCACCTGTTAATCTACATGCTTAAAAGTAGGTATAGGCCAGGCACGATGGCTCACGCCTGTAATCCCAACACTTTGGGAGGCCGAGGCGGGTGGATCACCTGAGGTCAGGAGTTCAAGACCAGCCTGGGCAACACGGTGAAACCCCATCTCTACTAAAATGTGTCACTGCACTCCAGCCTGGGCGAGACAGAGCTAGACTCCATCTCAAAAAAATTAAAATAAATGAAATACATAAAAGTAGATATAAATATAACTGCTGGCCAGGTACAGTAGGAGGCCAAGGTGGGCGGATTGCTTGAGCTCAGGAGTTCGAGACCAGCCTGGGCAACACGGTGAAACTCCATCTCTACTAAAATACAAAAAATTAGTCAAGCGTGGTGGCATCTGCCTGTAGTCTCAGCTAACTGGGAAGCTGAGGCAGGAAAATTGCTTGAACCTGGAAGGCGGCGGTTGCTGTGAGCTGAGATCACACCACTGCACTCCAGCCTAGGTGACAGAGCAAGACTTCATCTCCAAAAAAAAAAAAAAAATTAGGTATAAATATAATTGCAAAACTGCTCTGAGCTGCCAGTCTCAGCACACTGCCTATGGGGTAGTCCTGCTCTGCAGGAGCAGTCACAGAGTTGTAACACTGCAGCTTCAATAGAGCTGTTTTCTTCTACCCTACCCTGGCTCACCCTTAAGTTCTCCTGGGCGAAGCCAAGAACGCTTGAAGGCTAAGCCCCACTTTGGAGGCTTGCCGGTCCTGCATCAAATACAGGTTAATTTGTAAATGGCAAAGTTTGTTTTGAGGTTTTTCCTCAATAACTTGTTTCCTAGGCCTATTAAGCCATCTCCAAAATTGATCTCTTTTAATTTTTTTTTTTTTTTTAAGAGCGGGAACTTGCTCTCTTACCCAGGCTGGAGTGTAGTGGCACAATCATAGCTCACTGTAGCCTTGACTTCCCAGGCTCAAGCAGTTCTGCCACCCTAGCCTCCCATGTAGCTGGGACTACAGGTGTGCATCACCACACCTGGTTAATTTTTAAATTTTTTTTGTAGAGTCGGGGTCTTACTGTGTTGGCAGGAGTGGTCTCAAAATCCTGGGCTCAAATGATCCTCCAACCTCAGCCTCCCAAAGTGCTGGGATTACAGGCCTGAACCACCACACCTGGCCTATTTTGTGTTTTAGAAAGATCCCTGTGGCTGCTGTCTGGAGACAGATTGGAGGACAATAAGATTGGAGGCAGGGGAGACCTGAAAGCGCACTTTTTAATGGGGTTGTTTTTTTTTTTTCATAAATTTGTTTAAGTTTCTTGTGGGCCCTGGATAT
The DNA here is from genome assembly GCF_000001405.40 of Homo sapiens. Classification (NCBI taxonomy): domain Eukaryota; kingdom Metazoa; phylum Chordata; class Mammalia; order Primates; family Hominidae; genus Homo; species Homo sapiens. Next base: position 34,787,085 of record NC_000020.11, on the reverse strand, counting down.
TAGACCTTTGTCAGATGGGTAGATTGCAAAAATTTTGTCCCATTCTGTAGGTTGTCTGTTCACTCCGATGATAGTTTCTTTTGCTGTGCAGAAGCTCTTTATTTTAATTAGATCCCACTTTCAATTTTTTTGTTGCAGTTGCTTTTGGCGTTTTTATCATGAAATCTTTGCCCATGCCCATGTCCTGAATGGTATTGCCTAGATTTTCTTCTGAAGTTTTTTAGTTTTGGGTTTTACATTTAAGTCTTTAATCCATTTTGAGTTAATTTTTGTAAGGATGGCGTAAGGAAGGGGTCCAGTTTCAATTTTCTGCATATGGCTAGCCAGTTCTTTCAGCACCATTTATTAAATAGGGAATCCTATTTAGTCATAACAGTCTCTCAGATCATAGCACAATCAAATTAGAACTCAAGATTAAGAAGTTCACTCATAACCACACAACTATATGGAAATTGAACAACCTGCTCGTGAATGACTTTTGGGTAAATAATGAAATTAAGGCAGAAATGAAGAAGTTCTTTGAAACTAATGAGAACAGAGACAACATACCAGAATCTCTGGGACAGTGTTAAACAGTGTTAAGTGGGAAATTTATAGCACTAAATGCCCACATCAAAAAGCTAGAGAGATCTCAAGTTAACAACCTAACATCTCAACTAAAAGAACTGGAAAATGAAGAGCAAATAAACCCCAAAGCTAGCAAAAGATCAAGAAATAACCAAGAATAGAGCTGAACTGAAGGAGATAGAGATGTGAAAAACCCTTCAAAAAATCAGTGAATCCAGAAGCTGGTTTTTTGAAAAAAATTGATAGATCACTAGCTATAATAGATCGCTAGCAGGTCTAATAAAGAAGAAAAAAGAATTAAATAAGCACAATCAGAAATGATAAGGGGGCTATCACCACTGACCCCACAGAAATACAAACAACCATCAGAGAATACTATAAACACCTCTATGTACATAAACTAGAAAATCTAGAAGAAATGGATAAATTCCTGGACACATACACTCTCAGCTGAACCAGGAAGACTGAACCAGGAAAAAATTAAATCTCTGAGTATACCAATTAACAAGTTCTGAAATTGAGGCAGTAATAAATAGCCTACCAACCAAAGAAGTTTCTTTAAAAATTATTTTTTCTGGAGGGAAAGCCAGCAATTTTTCATAGACTGACTTTCAATTTCTCTCTGTTTTTTTTTTTTTTTTTAAGTACTGTGTAATGCCCATAGTATTGTTAAACTGACAATTCCTGTATCTGCCAGTAGAAGATTTTCCAGATCTAGATACATAGTCCTCATGTCATGACCAACGACCTGTTTAGGGAGACTATCAAAGTCCAGGCTTTTTAGTTAGTCTCCTTTCTGGTTAAAGATTCTTTTGGAAAATGTTTCTTAGATTTTAAGATGTTTTCTTGCAGTTGTTCCAACTTTGGAATAGCTGCTAAATAGTCATAGTTTTTTAGGCAGTCATCATTTTTCCTGCTAAGCAGCAACTTTTAAGCCCTAAAAATCTTCATTAGTTTTGTTTAATTACCTCTAAAGTTTATTAAAAATCTGTAAAATGCAGATGGCAATCAAATAAGGGCAGTGGTATTAATTTGAGATTTTCTGACTGCTGTTGTATCTTTTTTTTTTTTTTTTTAATTTTTAAAAAAATTGAGACATGGTCTCGCTGTTACCTAGCCTGGTCTGGAACTCCTGGGCTCAAACAGCACTCCTGCCTCTGCCTCCCAAAGTGCTAGGAATACAGGTATGAGCCACTGACCCTGCTGTTGTTTCTTAACCACCCAAATCAGTTTCATTGTAACAGTCATAGCACTAGAAAAGGATATAATTGCCAGAACACAAGGTGCTCTGCTCAAATTTGGAAGTATTTTTGCCATATTTACTTATAACAGAAGAATTTTTCCCCCAAGGATTGCTTAGGTTGGTTTTTGGAAAGCCTTTGCTGTTGAAGTTTAGTCAGTAGTAATTTTTTTATTTTATTTTATTTATTTATTTTTGAGATGAAGTCTTGCTCTTGTCCCCTAGGCTGGAGTGCAGTGGTGCGATCTCAGCTCACTGCAGCCTCCGCCTCCAGGGTTCAAGTGATTCTCCTGCCTCAGCCTCCCAAGTAGCTGGGATTATAGGCGCCTGCTACCATGCCCAGCTAATTTTTCTATTTTCAGTAAAGACGGGGTTTCACCATGTTGACCAGGCTGGTCTCGAAATCCTGACCTCAGGTGATCTGCCCACCTCAGCCGCCTAAAGTGCTGGGATTACAGACATGAGCCACCGCGCCCAGCCTATTTTATTTTTATTTTTAGAGACAAAAATGTTGCTATCACCCATACTGGAATGCAGTGGCACTATCGTAGCTCACTGCTGCCTCGAACTCCTGGGTTTGAGGGATCCTCCCGCCTCAGCCTCCTGAGTAGCTGGGGCTATAGGCATGCACCACCACACCCAGTTAATTTTTTTATTTTTTGTAGAGACAAGGTCTCACAGTGTTGCCCAGGCTGGTCTTAAATCGCTGCCCTCAAGCCATCCACCAGCCTCACTATTTAAAAAAGAAAAATTGGTTGGACATGGTAGCTCATGCCTGTAATCCCAGCACTTTGGGAGGCCAAGGTGGGAGGATCACCTGAGCCTAAGAGTTTGAGACCAGCCTGGGCAATATGGCAAGATCCAATCTCTGCAAAAAATTTTAAAAATTAGCTGGGCACGGTGGTACACGCCTGTAACCCCAGCTGCTTGGGAAGCTGAGGCGAGAGGATCACTTGAGCCCAGGAGGTTGAGGCTGCAGTGAGCCATGTTTTTGCCACTACATTCCAGCAACAGAGAAAGACCGTGTCTCAAAAAAATAAATTAAAAAAAAAAAAGTTAAACGGTGTTTGAGTTACTTTTTTTCATTTATGCAAGGAATATAACCATATTACAGCAGTTTTGTATTTCCTAATGATTTGCAGCATATTTGGAAAATAGGAAAATAAAATTTATCAATGATCCTACCAACCTAATATAGTTGCTTTTTAGGGGATTAATTTTCTTATCCATCTTTTTTTTAAGAAACTTGTAATTATAGTTATAAGTATAAAGTAATAATTCGTAATACTTTAATAATATAAATAAGTGCCATAAATAAAGGCTGGACATGTGCCATAAATAAATAAGTGCCATAAATAAATAAAAGGTGGCTCACGCCTGTAATTCTAGCACTTTGGGAGGCCAAGGTGAATGGCTTGCTTGAGCTCAGAAGTTCAAGACCAGCCTGGGCAACATGGCAAAACCCCATCTCTACTAAAACTACAAAAGATTAGCCAGGCATGATGGTGCTTGCCTGTAGTCCCAGCTACTCGGGAGGCTGAGGCAGGAGAATTGCTTGAACCTGGGAGGTGGAGGTTGCAGTGAGCCGAATTGTGCCACCGCAGTGCAGCCTGGGCAAAAAAGTGAGACTCTGTCTCAATCAATCAATCAATCAATGTTGTATTATAGTTAAAATTATAAGGAATTATTTTATTAGAACATTTGTGGGAGGTTCTTAGGTTTCCATGCCATTTTTGCTTACCGCAAATGCTGAAAATTAATGTTCATTCATTTACTTTTGGGTTAAGTATGTGATCTTCAATCCCCAAACTAACAGAGGAAATGGCCACACTGTGTGATCTTTAATACATGTACTCTTTGGTAAGCAGCATACCTGAAGATAGCAGAAAATGTAACTTCTTTATATCTAAAATTTAGGAAGCAATTTAATTCTGTCCGGAACACAGTTCTTTACCTCCATAAAGATTACCTGTCCATATCAACCCCCTTTTTTTTTTGAGACGGAGTCTTGCTCTGTTGCCCAGGCTGGAGTGCAGTGACGCAACCTCGGCTCCCTTCAACCTCCACCCTCCTGGATTCAAGCAATTCTCCTGCCTCAGCCTCCCTAGTAGCTGGGATTACAGGCATACACCACCATGTCCAGCTTATTTTTGTGTTTTAGTAGTGGCAGGGTTTCATTATGTTGGCCAGGCTGGTCTCAAACTCCTGACCTCAAGTGATCTGCCCACCTTGACCTCCCAAAGTGCTGGGATTACAGGTGTGAGCCACTGCGCCCAGCCCTTTCATATAAGAATTTTTAAGTGTTTATTTCAGAATCATTATTTTCAGCCATTCCACTGTTAATAACCCTTTAATAGTTGTTTAAAATGGTTCATGAAAGACTTCAGAATTTTAGGTAATCATCCAGTTGCTATTAGTCAGGTCTGGTTGTGCTTTGTAGTTTGGAGAAAGAAGAAGGCTTTAGAAACCTTGGCTCCTTTTAAGCTTTTGTCAAGACAGAAGTAGGGGGAGTCTTGGGGAGCCCCTTGCTCTGTGGGGTCAACCAAAGGCCTATAATTCTCAAAAAGTATGTACTTGTTTTATTTTCTTGTGATCCTTTCTTCCCTTCTCCTGACATTCTAGCTTATAAAAAAGTAGCATATAACATAATAAAAAGAATGTTAAATTTAAGACTAGTGTATTTTTATTTTTGGTAACTGTAAGAACTAATTGTTTTAGAATGTCATAATTAAAATAGCTTATCTTCTCTGTAATTTCTTAATTTTTATAGTATTTTCTTATTAAATAAATTATAATTTTCATAGAACTATGAATTATACATTGTTGAATGCATAACTATGCATTGTAATGCTCTTTTGCATCTTCTCTTTTCAGAAGTTTTCTTATTGTCCTCTTGGCATATGCTTCTGGAATAATATTCACCATGGTTTTGGATGACCTTCCAAACTTAGAAGACATCTATACTTCCTTGTGTTCATCAACAATGGAAGACTCAGAGATGGATTTTGACTCTGGACTAGAAGATGATGACACAAAAAGTGATAGTATTTTGGAGGATTCCACAATTTTTGTGGCCTTCAAAGGAAATATAGATGATAAAGACTTCAAATGGAAATTAGATGCAATATTGAAAAACGTGCCCAATTTGTTACACATGGGTAATTTGCTTTAATTATTTTTTCTTCCTGTTACTGTTTTTGAAATGTTTGCCCTTCCATGGTTATCTTGAGTTTTACAAAACAAGCTTGTTAAATTGGGTCAAAAGGCTGAATTTAAGCACAGAGGTGGAATTTTAGGATTTTAAAAATATACATGTTTTCTTTCTTTTTAAGTACATAGAAGAACTGAACATAAAGTGTTGCTTATTATGGTAATTGTTGAATAATCTTCTCTAGTGGATAAAAGTAATTCTCAAGACCCAAATTTATTTGTTTTTAACTCTCTGGTTTTCATTTTCCTTACCTGTAAATTGAAAAGGTTAAACTGAATCTTTAAGGACCCTTAAAGCTTAGAAAACTTATTATTCCATGAATCTGCTTATAATATACTTTAAATTTATTCCTTTAACTTTTATGTCAGAAGTCACTAGCTAACAGCTTGCTGGATCCAGTCTGCAGGCATTTGTTATTTGGCCCACGTTAGTGTTTGAGATTTAGTTTGTTTTCAGTGTTTGAGTTTCATTGCCAGTGCTTTAAAAATTGAGTTATATTGCATGAAAATCCGGATTTTTACATTTGTCTTTAAAAATAGGAAGATCTGATAACATTGAGTTCTCCCTCTCTCCCAGATGGTACGAAGTAGCAGCTGCTTCTGAGAGCAGCCCCACTTCACCACAGTTCCCATCTGGCTTCTTCACACATTTAGATTACCTGTCCATATCTTACGGGCATTTGTGGTTTTGAACCTTGATTTAGATGTTCTCTATTCTAGTTAGCACAATTATCTAATCCCTTCGGACATAGTGAAAAGCCTAGATTTATTCCTTTTATCACAAATCCTAAATTGATCAAGAGCTAATTAGCTTTCTTTTAAGGCTTGGGGGTTTTATCTTTTGAGATTTGTTATCTGGACGGAAGCTGTTGTTTTTTCAACTGCTTTTCACTGTGTTGTACAAGGTTCTCCATAGTTATGCGTTATTTAGCATACAATTAAGAATTTTTCATGTAGTTATCAACATCATTGTAACCATAATCATAGTTATATATTATAAAGGTCTTGCTGGGCCTGAAATTGTTCATTGCTCTTCATTAATTACCACATTTTTCTGTTGTTTACATATTGCTAATTCAATTTATTTATGGCTTTCAAATAAATTACCAAACCTAGGCCAGGCACAGTAGTTCATGCCTGTAATCCCAGCACTTTGGGAGATTGAGTTGGGTGGATCACTTGAACCCAGGAGTTCAAGACCAACCTGGACAATATAGAGAGACCTCATCTCTACAGAAAATACAAAAATTAGTTGGGTATGTTGGCATGCACCTGTAGTCCCAGCTACTCGAGAGGCTGAGGTGGGAGGATCACTTGAGCCCAGGGAGGTCAAAGCTGCAGTGAGCTCTAATAGTGCCCCTGCACTCCAGCCTGTGTGACAGAGTGAGACCCTGTCTAAAAAAAATAAATAATAAATAAAGGTGGGCGCAGTGGCTCATGCCTGTAATCCCAGCACTTTGGGAGGTCGAGGTGGGCGGATCACTTGAGGCCAGGAGTTTGAGACAAGCCCGGCCAACATGGTGAAACCTTGTCTACTAAAAATACAAAAATTAGTCAGGCGTGCTGGCAGGTGCCTGTAATCCCAGCTACTCGGGTGGCTGAGGCATTGCTTGAACCTGGGAGGTAGAGGTTGCAGTGAGCCGAGATCATGCCACTGCACTCCAGCCTGAGTGACAGAGCGAGACTCTGTCTCAAAAAAATAAAAATAAATAAAAAATAACCAACTCTAGATTTATGGTGCTATCAGATTATATTCTTGGTCCAAAAAATATTTTAAGTCAAATCTCTCAAATATGGAAGTTTAAAAAGATTTTGATAAGATATAACTGTTATGAATATGGATTTTTCTGCAAGCATATTACAAGTGTTAATACCATAAGCAAATTTGATGTTTGTGTAGAATATGTACAAGATTCCAACATACTTCAGAGTGGGAAGAAGTCCTGCAGTGTCTATGATTGGTGGAACCAGGATCCCCAAACTTCCTGCCTTTTGCTGTTTGGAGGCCTACATGTAATGGAAAGGAAATTGCCCTGAGAATCAGAGCTGGGTTTTAATGTCATCTCTGATGCTACTGGTTAGCCACAGGCTTCTGAGCAAATCACTTAGCCTTTCTGGGCCTTGGTTTCCTCTCCTGTAAAATGGTCTTGGACTAAATATTGTCTAATCTTTTCTAAATTCCTATGATTGTGTTATCTCATTCCTTTTAGCAAGTTTTCCCTGTTTTTTTTTCCACATTAGAACAAGTGAACTCCATGTCTGGAAAAGTTAACATTCAATGTACAATGGTTTAAGAGCTGGAAGGGGCTTTAGGCAACATGTAGGCACTTTCCTCTATCCTTAGATATTTCTCATTTTGAGAAAGCATATTCCTCTATGACCATTATCTCTTTTTTCCTTCTTTTCACAGGTGTTGAATGACCATTATCTTAATATTAGAATGTATAACTGAATGAAGGATACAGAAGTTTAAGTTTAGCTGAGTTAATAACAAAAGAGAAAATTGTTTTGCCTGAGGTTGTTGAATAACTTTTTTTATTTTTTATTTATTTTTTGAGGCAGTGTCTCACCCCATCACCCAGGCTGGAATGCAGTGGCATGATCTCAGCTCACTGCAGCCTTGATCTCCCAGGCTCAAGCAATTCTCCCACCTCAGCTTCCCAAGTAGCTGGGACTACAGGCGCACGCCACTGCACCCAGCTAATTTTCTGTTTATTTTTTGTAGAGATGAGGTCTCACTATGTTGCCCAGGGTGATCTCAAACTCCTGAGCTCAAGTGATCTGCCCGCCTCGGCCTCCCAAAGTGCTGGGATTACGGACATGCGCCACTGCACGCAGCCAAATAACTTTTTTATCAGCTAACTGTGCCTGGGATTTGCTTTCCAATCTGTAAAATGTAACTACAATTAATAATACCTCCTCAATTACTTAACTTTTTTAAAAAGTATTTTTTATTGTATAATACATGTAACATAAAATTTACCATGTTAACCATTATTAAGTATACAGTTTAGTGGAAATTAAATGTACTCATAATGTTGTGCAACAATCACCACCATGTGTCGCCCTAAGTCTTGTCTTGTCTTTTTTTTTTTTTTTTTTTTTTTTTTGAAACGGAGTCTTGCTCTGTCACCCAGGCTGGAGTGCAGTGGTGCGATCTCGGCTCTCTGCAAGCTCCGTCTCCCGGGTTCACGCCATTCTCCTGCTTCAGCCTCCCAAGTAGCTGGGACTACAGGCGCCCGCCACCACACCAGGCTAATTTTTTGTATTTTTTAGTAGAGATGGGGTTTCACCGTGTTAGCCAGGATGTAACTCTTTTCATCTTGTAAAATTAAACATCTCTGGCTGGGTGTGGTGGCTCATGCCTGCAATCCCAGCACTTTGGGAGGCCGAGGCAGGTGGATCACAAGGTCAAGAGATCAAGACCATCCTGGCCAACATGGTGAAACCCCGTCTCTACTAAAAATACAAAAATTAGCCGGGCATGGTGGCAGGTGTCTATAGTCCCAGCTACTCGGGAGGCTGAGGCAGGAGAATTGCTTGAAGCCGGGAGGCAGAGGTTGCAGCGAGCCAAGATTGCGCCACTGCACTCCAGCCTGGCGACAGATTGAGACTCCGTCTCAAAAAAAAAAAAAAATTGAACGTCTCTAACCATTGAATAACAACTCACCATTTCCTCCTTGCTGCTAGTCCCTGGAAACCACCATTCTACTATCTGTTTCTATGATTTTGGACTACTCTACTTCCTTGATATAAGTGGAATTTTGCCTTTTTGTGACTGGCTTATTTCGCTTAGCGTAAGATGCTCAAAGCCCATTCATGTGGCAGGATATCCTTCCTTTTTAAGGCTTAATAATATTCCATTGTGGCTGGGCGCAGTGGCTCACGCCTGTAATCCCAGCACTTCGGGAGGCCGAGGCGGGCGATCATGAGGTCAGGAGATCAAGACCATCCTGGCCAACATGGTGAAACCCTGTGTCTACTAAAAATACAAAAATTAGCTGGGCGTGGTGGCATGCACCTGTAGTCCCAGCTCAGGATGCTGAGGCAGGAGAATTGCTCGAACCTGGGAGGCGGAGGTTGCAGTGAGCCAAGATCATGCCATTGCACTCCAGCCTGGTGACAGAGCAAGATTCCGTCTCAAATAATAATATAATAATATTCCATTGTATGTATATACCATATTTTACTGATTCATTCATCTGTCAGTAGACATTGGGTTGCTTCCATATCTTAGCTATTGTGGGTAATGCTGCTATGAATATGGTGTACAAATATCTCTTTGAGACTCTGCTTTCAGTTCATTTGAGTGTGTACTCCGAGGTAGAATTGCTGCATCATGTGGTAATTCTATTTTTAATTTTTTTTGAGAAACTGTCGTTTTCCGCAGCAGCTTGTATCCTTTTACATTCCCACTGACAGTGCGCAAGGGTTCCAGTTTCTTTTTTTTTTTTGAGACGGAGTCTTGTTCTGTCACCCAGGCTGGAGTGCAGTAGTGCATTCTGGGCTCACAGCAACCTCCGCCTCCTGGGTTCAAGCGATTCTCTGGCCTCAGCCTCCTGAGTAGCTGGGACTACAGGTGTGCACCACCATGCCTGGCTAATTTTTGTATTTTTAGTAGAGACGGGGTTTTGCCATGTTGGCCAGGCTGATCTCGAACTCCTGTCCTCAAGTGATCCACCAGCCTCAGCCTCCCAAAGTGCTGGGATTATTGGGATTATAGGTGTGAGCCACCGTGCCCCGCAGGTTCTATTTCTCCGTATCTTCACCATTGTTTATTTTCTGTGGTTTTGATAGTAGCCATGGTAATGGTGGTGAGGTGGTATCTTATCATTATGATTTGCATTTCTCTAATGATTAGTTATGTCAAGCATTTTTTCATGTGCTTATTGGCCATTTGTGTATCTTTTCTGGAGAACTGTCCTTTACCTTTTTTTTTTTTTTTTTTTTTTGAGACGGAGTCTCACTTTGTTGCCCAGGCTGGAGTGCAGTGGCGCAGTCTTGGCTCACCACAACCTCTGCCTCCCGGGTTCAAGCAATTCTCCTGCCTCAGCCTCCCGAGTAGCTGGGACTACAGGTGCATGCCACCATGCCCAGCAAATTTTTATATTTTTAGTAGAGACGGGGTTTCATTATGTTGGCTGGGCTATTCTTGAACTCCTGACCTCGTGATCCACCTGCCTCGGCCTCCCGAAGTGCTGGGATTATAGGCATGAGCCTATTCTATTAATTTAAACTTAACCTCTCTCTTCTTTCTTATGGTCCTTTCTCCATCTTACGGCTTTCCGTTCATTGCCTGTGGTGTGCCAGGTACTATGCTAGATTTTTTGCATATATTATCTAATTTGTACCCAAAAATCATATGAAGTAGTTTTTTCATAGTTTTAGAAAAGAAAAAGATAAGTTTCAGAAAGGTTAAATAGCTCGTTCATGGTCACCCAGGTGCTAAGTGGCAAAGCTAGGATTAGATTTGAGTCTGTAGCTCCAAAGCATATGCTCTGTTAGCTATTCCAAGCTGGTGCTCCACCTTATTCTTTTGCTCTTTTGGTTTGTTTTTTAATTCCATCTCCTCTGGTGGCTAAAAGATTATTAATATAATTCTTTTTCTTTCACAATCAAGAGTCCAGCAAGCTAAAAGTACAGAAGGTGGAGCCCTGGAACAGCGTGCGTGTGACATTCAACATCCCCCGGGAAGCAGCGGAGCGGCTACGGATCCTTGCTCAGAGCAACAACCAGCAGCTTCGGGATTTAGGGATTCTCTCCGTTCAGATTGAAGGTCTTTTACTTTGCCATGTGCCCATCTAGACCAGAATCATTACAACAGTAGAATATAGCATGATTTTCTGTGCTGCTTTGTCTGTTCCTCTGCTCTTGTGTTTCAGAATGCCAAGCAACTCATGTAACTTGTACTTTGCTTTGCAGCACCTTAGGATGAAGAGGGACTGACTGAGGTTATTGCTGGGTCCTGATGGTCTTTAGCATCTGTAGCCTTGGACTCCATTCCTTTGGCTAATTTTGACCATCAGTCTTTCAGACTTTGATTTTATTGGCATCCTGACCAGGAATTGATTTGTCTTATTTATTTATTTAGTTGTGTGGTTTTCTTTGTTATTGTTGTTATTTTTAGAGACAGTGTCTTTCTGTGTTGCCCAGGCTGGACTCAAACTCTTGGCCTCAGATGATCCTCCCATCTCAGCCTCCTGAGTAGCTGGGACTACACCTATACCACTGTACCCAGCTTAACATATAATTTAATTTGCTTCCTTCCTTCCACCAAATAAACTTTAGTATTTTCTTTATTCGTCTAACAGATTATGAAGCCTTCAACAGTCCTTTCCTTTTGTAGCAGCATTCATTTTCTTTTCTTTTTTTTTTCTTTTTTTTTTTTTTTTTTTTGAGACAGAGTCCCAGGATGGAGTGTAGTGGCATGATCTCAGCTCACTGCAACCTCCACCTCCCAGGTTCAAGTGATTCTCCTGCCTCAGCCTCCTGAGTAGCTGGTATTACAGGCATGTACTACCATGCCCAGCTAATTTTTGTATTTTTAGTAGAGATGGGGTTTCACCGTCTTGGCCAGGCTGGTCTCAAACTTCTGACCTCAGGTGATCCACCCTCTCGGCCTCCCAAAGTGCTGGGATTACAGGCCATCACGCCGGCCCGCAGTGTTCATTTTCAGTATTTTTACCAGAATGATCTTTTTCAAAATGAGAATTTGATGAGCACGTGCACGCACGCACAGACACACACACACACACACACACACCTACACCCCTATAACCCTACACCCCTAGATTAAAATCCTGCTATCTCTTGGTATTATTCAAAGAATGAAGACCAAACTCCTTACCATGACCTCAGGCTTTGCATGGTCTCACCTCTACCTTCCTCATCCAGCCTTATCTTGTGTAACTTTCCTCCCTTGCCCCCTGTGTTCCAGCTTCTCAGCTTTCTCTTCCTCCTGCCACAGGTCCTTTGCATTGATGTCTTCTCTAAATGAAATACTATTCCCTACCAACCCCCTTCCCCTAGTTCATGCCTGCTCAGCCTTCAAGTATCAGCTTAAATCTTGAGGATGTATTTTCTGAACTCCTTTGGCAAGTCAGAGTCCTTTGCTATGTGCTCTCACAAAAGTTTGTTTCTCTCCCTCAGATCATTTATCTCACACTTTCATAGAGCAATTATTTGATTATTGTTTTATCCCCATAGACTATAAGCTTTAGCATTTGGAATACAATGATAAATATTGTCCTTATTGTTATAAACTCGGAAGAGCTTATGACTTTAGTAAGGAAGACAAACCTGTGAGAGATGTAAGTACCTACCATGTGTGGGGGAGCTCTTTGGAAGCTCAGTGAACTAGAACCCTCTCTTCCCCTCCTGTGTTGATACAGCCAGGTGACAACCAGCAATTCCAGCTTTCCCTTCCACTTTAGTCCAGGTCCTCCTGGCCCTGTGCTTACGTAGAACCTAATTGCTCCATGAAACCTGAGCAGTCGAGGTCATTTTGTTTATAGGAGTGAGACACATTTTATGCAGTCTAGCATTGTAGGTTGCTGTGCCCTCAAAGGGGCAATACCAACAAACAAATTATTTAGAAAGGGTTATATGTAGATTGAGAAATGGGATAATTTTCACCATTTGATAAATGAGAGAATAGTGGCTTAAGCAATACCACTTTAATTTGAAAAATGTGGAACTATCTAAAAGGATCCAGAAAAGTACAATTAATTCACAGCAATCTGTAGGATGAACTATTAGGAAAAGTGGAAGTCGAACAACTATTGGATAAAATAACAATATGTGGGCTGTTTATACTTTAAGGAATACATAAGTGGTTTCTTTAAAACCCCACATGTTTTTTGGTCTCTGTTACCTATTTAAAGGCTTCAAAACCTTAATTGATAGTGTTTTTCACTGGAGAAAGAAGTACCAGTTTTATTTCTTAAGCAGACCTACTTCCTAAAACAATATAATGCTGGTTCTCCCTTAACATTATAGCCATAAATTTAAACATGAGTACTAGCAAGGAAGCAAATAGATAACATATTTTAAGAAATTATGAAATTCACATATGACAATGATTATCACAATACAGAAAGAGTTCTTTAACTTTTAGGCTACATGTGTGTCCCAGATGATCTCTGTTCCCATGCTCCTGGGAATTCAGCAGGAGTGAAAGTGATGGCAGCAGCTATTGCTTTTGTGGAACTGGGCTGTTGATTTTGTAAGTTGTAAGAAGAATGTTGGCCAGCCACGGTGGGTCACACCTGTAATCCCAACACTTTGGGAGGCCAAGGTGGGTGGATCACTTGAGGGGAGGAGTTTGAGACCAGCCTGGCCAACATGGTGAAACCCCGTCTCTACTAAAAATATAAAAATTAGCCGAGCATGGTGGGGCGTGCCTATAGTCCCAGCTACTCGGGAGGCTAAGGCAGGAGAATTGCTTGAACCCAGGAGGTGGAGGTTGCGGTGAGCCGAGATCATGCCACTGCACTCCAGCCTGGGTGTCGAGCAAAATTTTCCTGGGTGGAGGTTGCGGTGAGCCGAGATCACGCCACTGCACTCCAGCCTGGGCGACAAGAGCAAAATTTTGTCTCAAAACAACAACAACAAAAAAGAAGGAATGAAGCAATGTTGCCACTATCGTGTCTGCTGCAAGGCTTGAGGGACAGGTTCTCCCAACAGTCCGTTCTCCATTGACAAATACTTCCTGTACCCTTCCTTTTTTAAGTTTTGGCCAGGGAATTGGGGAAACATCTTTTTTGAGGACATTTTGTGCCCCCTCTGTAAATTCATGGTGATCTAAAGAGTAGTCTGCTAACTTTTTCTGTAAAGGGCCAAGAATAAATATTTTTGGCTTTGCAGGCCATAAGATCTCAACTCAACAAGTACTCAGTTCCATCTTGTAGGGCAAAAACAGCCATAGGCGATATGTAAACAAGTAAACATGGCAGGATTTCAGTAACACTTTATTTAAATAAACATGCAGTGGGCTGCATTTGGCCCACAGGACGTAGTTTGTGGACCCCTAATTGGCAAGTTTGGGAGCCGGTAGTGTTCTCTTTGACACAAATTAGCATATATGCAGTTGGTAAATAGGGGAATGATAGCAGTATAGTGTGGAAATTCTGTTTATTAATATGTGATTTTTTTTCTTAGGTAAGAGGAGCTGGAATAGTAGAAATAGAATTATAATTATCAACAAGAAAAAGCTTTTCACTCAGCTGTTGCATGTGTGGGAGTCTTTTCAGCTCTATTAAAATTAAGAATGAGAGTGTATATTCGTATGCCTTCCTGACGTGCATCCCCCAGCCTTGTGTGGCTCTCAGTTCATGACAGGTTGCATTTCTTCCTGTGCCCACCATAATGGCAGCCCCGCTGGCTCAGAACTCCACTACATGTGCATTATCTCAGCACCTTTAACCAGGCATTTCTGCTGCATTTTTTTCTGGCATTTTGCCTCCACCAGTTATTGTTTTTATTAGAGCTCTGGTTACAAAGTCTCACAGGTTTTCAGTTTGCCCTAACCCTGTTATTGTCAGTATGAGATTTGATAAATGTGAGGTTTTCCAGGAAGTAATTTGTCATATAGAAAAATGCTTATAATTCTTTATAAGGTTATAAGATGACCATTATATTTAATAAATAGCTAATGAGCATCTGCCACGTACCAGGCACTATTTTATGTATAAATGATGTATTATAGATAGTCATATAATTTATCATCTAAATTAGGACACTTTTTTTTTTTTTTTGAGACAAAGTCTCACTGTGTTGCCTAGGTTGGAGGGCAGTGGTACAAACACAACTCACTGTAGCCCCGGCCTCCTGGGCTTAAGCAATCCTCCCATCTCAGCCTCCTGAGTAGCTAGGACCACAGGTGCGTGCCACCACGGACCTGACTAATTTTTTATAGAGACGGGGTCTCACCATGTCGCTAGTCTTGAACTCCTGGTCTGAAGCAATCCTCCCACCTTGGCCTCCCAAAGTGCTGGGATTAACAAATGTGAGTCACCATGCCTAGCCTAAATTAGGACATTTCTGAAAGTGAAAGAGAATGCTATTAATTATGCTGGAACAACAGATGTGAAGGAACAAGGACAGACTTGTAATTAACCCTGTATAGTGATGGGGGAGGCAAGCAAGAAAACGAGTGAGTGAATGATTACATGGAATGTGCTCTGCAGAAATAACAAGATGTTCTGATAAAAGTTACCTAACCTTGGATAAGATGGTTGGTAGAGGCCTTTTTGGGCATGTGACACTTAAGATTACATGAAAATTGAGAAGCTAGCTATGCGAAGAGTGCAGAGAACTGTTCTAGGCAGAGGAAACCGCATGAGCAAAGGCCTTGGGGTGAGAAGCAGCCTTGTGTGCCTAAGAAACTAAAAGGAAACACTGGGGCTGAATCCTTGCTATTGAAGGAGAAAAATAGCATGAGATGAGTTTAAAGAGGTAGACAGGGCTAAATATGGGCAGTCCAATATTGGTAGCCACAGACTGTATGTTGCTTTTAGGCACTGAAAATGTGGCTAGTTAAAACTGACGTGCGCTGTAAGTATAAAATACATATTACATTTTGAAGATTTGGTATTCCCCAAAGGAATGTAAAATATCTCAATAATTCTTACATTGGCTGGGCTGAGTGGCTCACACCTGTAATCCCAGCACTTTGGAAGGCTGAGGCCAGGAGGATTGCTTGAGCACAGGAGTTTGAGACCAGCCTGAGCAATATAGTGATACCCTGTCTCTACAAAAAATTTAAAATTTAAAATAAAAAAATTAGCCAGGCATGTTGGCATACTCCTGTAGTCCCACCTACTTGGGAAGCTGATGTGGGAAGGATCACTTAAGCCCAGTTAGGTCAATGCTGCAGTGAACTGTGATCTCACCACTGCACTCCAGCCTGAGCAACAGAGTGAGACCCTGTTTCAAAAAATAATAATAATTTTTACATTAATTACATGTTGAAATAATACATTGAATGTATTAAGTAAAATAAATGATAATTTCATCTGTTTCTTACTGTGGCTTCTAGAAAATTTTAAATTGCATATGTGGCTCATATTATATTTCTGTTGAACAACACTTGGCTAGGTAGATAATTTAAGGCCTTGTATAGGCTAAGAAGTTTGGCCTGGCCTGGCACGGTGGCTCATGCCTGTAATCCCAGCACTTTGGGAGGCCAAGACAGGCGGATTGTCTGAGGTCAGGAATTCGAGACCAGTCTGGCCAACATGGTGAAACCCCGTTTCTACTAAAAATACAAAAATTAGCCGGGCGTGGTGGCAAGCACCTGTAATCCCAGCTACTCGGGAGGCTGAGGTAGGAGAATCGCTTGAACCCGGAGGCAGACGTTACAGTGATCCGAGATCGCGCCATTGCACTGCAGCCCAGGCAACAGTGAGACACTCCGATTCAAAAAAAAAAAAAGAAGTTTGGCCTTTATTTCTAAACTAGTGGGAAGCAATGGAACTGTTTTTAAGGAATGATACGAACTGATGTCCTTTTCCAGAACAATATTCTTTCTACTTAGAATGTCTTAACAAATTTTGTATATTAATAGTTCCCTTCCTTTAATGGAAACCCTCATGACCTGTATTCTGTTTCTCTTTTTACGCCTGACTTCTAGAGGCAAGCTATAGCATCTGGTAGCTCCCAGTGATTGCTTCCTTTTTGGTAGGCTGTTTGTTCCCTGTGACCAGTGAACCTCCCTGGTTAAAATAGACATAGAAAGCTGACCTAGCCAGGCATGGTGGCTCACGCCTGTAATCCCAGCACTTTGGGCGGATCACAAGGTCAAAAGATCGAGACCATCCTGGTAAACATGGTGAAACCCCGTCTCTACTAAAAATACAAAAATTAGCTGCTTGTATTGGCACGTGCCTGTAATCCCAGCTACTCGGGAGGCTGAGGCAGGAGAATCGCTTGAACCTGGGAGGTGGAGATGGCAGTGAGCCGAGATTGCACCACTGCGCTTCAGCCTGGCGACAGAGCGAGACTCCATCTCAAAAAAAAAAAAAAGGAAGGCTGACCTAGATCAGTGACAGAACAGAGGAAACTGCCATACCTCATTAACTTTCTGTTTTACCATCAGACCCTGTGAATCAGAACCCTACAGTTTAGAAGGACTTGGGTGAGTGCAGCCTTTCAGCTCAGCAGCCACAGACTAGCTATATTTTAACTCTCCACAAGGTGGTGCTCTCTTACAATAACAATAGTCAAAATTTTGGATTAAGTGCAAGAAACATTCTGTTGCTTGTTTCAGAGACGTTTTTATCATTGGACCAAGTAAGATTTAAGTTGCCTCTAAGTTTAGAGTCTACTTAATTGGAACACTTCTAGTAACATTACCTATGAGGGTACTGTGAAGCTCAAATAAGGTAAAATTAAAAATCCTATGCAGGCTGGGCACCGTGGCTCACGCCTGTAATCCTAGCACTTTGGGAGGCCGAGGTGGGTGGATCACGTGAGGTCAGGAGTTCGAGACCAGCCTGGCCAACGTGGTGAAACCCCGTCTCTACTAAAAATGCAAAAATTAGCTGGGCGTGGTGGTGGGCGCCTGTAATCCCAGCTACTCGGAAGGCTGAGGTAGGAGAATCCCTTGAACCCAGGAGATGAAGGTTGCAGTGAGCCAAGATCACACCACTGCACTCTAGCCTGAGTGACAGAGCAAGACTCCATCTCAAAAAAAAAAAAAATCCTATACGTAGCCGGACATAGTGATGTGCGCCTGTGGTCCCAGCAACTCAGGAGGCTGAGGCAGCAGGACCCCTTGGGCCCAGGAATTTAAGGTAGTGGTGAGCTATATGACTGTGCCACTGCACTGCAGCCTGGGTGACAAAGTGAGACCCCATCTCAGAAAACAAAAACCTATAAAAGTATTGGTCCTGTCATTAGGTGTCTCAGAAAGTAGATTTGTAGCAACCTATCTCCTCTTCATTGCATGATTTTTTTCCTGCTGGAAATATGTTTATATTGCAGTTATTGAATGGAATTGGTATTTTGTTCACAAGTGTTAGTGTCCCCACACCAGTATAGGTTCTTTCTTCTTTAAACCTACTTATATTTAGTGTCTACCTTCTGATCATAAATTACCAAAAGGAAGTCTAGGATTTTGAGAGTTTTTGAGAACATTTTCTTCCATTACACACACACACACCCCACACACACACACAATTGGTAAGATGGTTGAAAATAAATATTCAGAGTTCCAGGATCTCTGTTGATACTAAGCATCATTCATGGTCACCCTGCTTCCCTATTACAAGTAAGAATTGGTTATATCTCCTTGTGCTTCATGAAACCTGCTTAGATGGGTTGAAGAAAGACCCATCTACATTGAACCCACCATTTTTCTGGTGGTAAACTAACCATAATTCTTCAAAAGCACAGAAAACTAAAGCACTTATATAGCTGTCTATAAACAAAATTTGCATTTTATTCTAATGATTTCCTTTTTATCACTTGACTCATTTTCAGGGGAAGGTGCTATTAACCTGGCTTTGGCTCAGAACCGAAGCCAAGATGTGAGAATGAATGGACCCATGGGAGCTGGAAATTCAGTTAGGATGGAGGCGGGATTTCCTATGGCAAGTGGTCCAGGTAAGACCTCCCACTCAATTGTATGACATTTTACTAGTTTCCTTTTTTGGCTTATTTGATCATTTGAGCCCTGCAAGATAGGTGGGGGTTCATGGCATACTTAACATCTCTATTTGCTGAATCAGGAAAGCTAGACATGAGTCCTTCCCGGAGGCTAGAGGTCACAGCATGAAGCATCTTTGCAATCTTTTGGTCTCGTGCTTAAAGGTTGATGAACACTGAGCCATGCAGCAAACATTTATTGACTTCCTGTTGTGTGACATGACCTGTGCTGTTGGAAATAGAAATAAGTGAGACATTTTCTACCCTCATTATTTTAATAGTACAATGGAGAATGTAGCTTTCCAACTCCCACTTTCTCTGAGGCAGAGAATATCTGTGAATTGAGTTCTTGTGTGCTTATGTGGAATCTGAAGATGTATCTGAGAGAATATGTGTTTTTATGTATTTAGAATTTGAGAGTTATAAATTGCTTCCTTTTCTAGTAATCCTGAAATTTCTTCTTCAGAGATTGAACTCAATATTCTGAGATTGAATCTCAGAATATTAGAATTGAGTTGGCTGTCATTTAAAGCAGAGGAAGCTGTGGAACTCACATAAAGGAAGTGATTTGCCCAGGGTCAAGGAGCGATAAACTAGTATCACAGATCTTCTAACTCCCAGTTCAGTGCTTTTTTCACTGCACTAGTGGCTTTCCAATTTTTTCAGCTTCAGGACCCTTTATTCAAATAAAACAGAAAAGCACAGCTGCTGTGGTTGAAGCAGAGTAAGAACCTGCTTACCCAGTCATTCCCCTCCCACTCTACCAGAGTAGCTGTTGGAGAAATGCAGCAGTATAGAGGAGCTCAATTTATAAGATGCTAGTCTTGGCCGGGCACGATTGGTCATGCCTGTAGTCTCAGCACTTTGGGAGGCCGAGGCAGGTGGATCACCTGAGGTCAGGGGTTCGAGACCAGCCTGGCCAAGATGGTGAAACCCCATCTCTACTAAAAATACAAAAATTAGCTAGGTGTGGTGGCAGGCGCCTGTAATCCCAGCTACTTGAGAAGCTGAGGCAGGAGAACCAGTTGAACCTGGGAGGTGGAGGTTGCAGTGAGCCGAGATCGCACCCTGCACTCCAGCCTGGGCAACAGAGTGAGACTCTATCTCAAAACAAAACAAAAAAAATGCTATTCTGAACTGTAGCTAATGAACTGATCATAGAATTGGAACTAGGTTTTCATTCTGGTACTACCATTTACAGGTTACCTCAAGCTAGTTACTGTACTTCCCCAAGCAATACTTTCTTCACATATAAAATGAAATAATAATACCTACCATCTTTTGAGCTCATGCTTGAAGGTAGAAGAGCCCTGAGCAGTGTAGCAAACATTTCCTAAGTTCTTGTTAGGACTTAGGAAAATATATATGTCAGGACCTGTGCTGTTGGGCTGTTGTGGAATACCATAAAATAGATGTAAAATATCCAGCCTGGTATTGTGTACATAGATGTAGTTCCCCACAGAAGTCTGAGCATTTGGTGTTAAGGTAGCTTTATGAGAAATGATAGATGACACTGTTGCCACTACTGGAAGGACATGGGCCAGAAGCAGAGTGGGAAAAGCCTAGCCAAGTTAGATATAGTTAATGAAAGAATGAATAAACCTGGGATGAGCATCAGGAAATCTGGGTTCTAATCTCAACTCCTGGCCAAAGGACTTAATATGTACTGACTCTAGTTGCCTATAAACATCTTTATGTTCTGGAAACAATGCTAGAGATCCCTTCTAGGCTTAAAATGTTAAGACGCCACTTAACTGTTATTAGTACCCTAATTAAAAGCTCTCTTGGGCTAGTATCTGGCAAATAGCAAGCATGTTTACTAAGTATCTCTAAGAAGTGCATGTAAATTATAGTGCTTTTTTTTTGAGACAGGGTCAAGTGTTCCTCCTGTCTCAGCCCTGCAGTAGCTGGGACTACAGGCGTGCACTACCACACCCGGCTTATTTTTGTTTTGTTTTGTATTGTTTTTTGTAGAGACAGGGTTTTGCCATGTTGACCAGGCTGGTTGAACTCCTGGGCTCAAGTGATCTGCCCACCTCAGCCTCCCAAAGTGCTGGGATTACAGGCATGAACTGAGCCACCGTACCCAGCCAATTATAGTGCTATAGTTGATTATCAACCTAGGAAACTGAGAAGCTTTAGGTTGAAATCAGATTAGATTGGTATTTAATGAAGGACTCAGATTGTGATAATGTATATAGTATAAAGTTTCAGGAATAATCAATTAGTAATGACCTGTAGTAACAGTAACATCTTAACCCCCAAGATATCTCTCTTTACTGCCAAGCATATTTTAGGATTGCTTTTCTCTGTTGTCTATTGAGACTTGAAGGATGCAAACAAAGTTTAATATTAGGTTAAACTGAACAGCTAAATTTTTCTAGGGAAAGAGACCTTAAATCCCCTCTAAAACAATAATAAGTAACTTTAGAACTGTGTATCTACAACAGTTGGTTTTTCAATTATTCTTAGTACTGCTTTCTTCTCTTAGCATGGGCAACAGAAAGTTAGCTAATAAGCAAGAGTCTTTTGCAACTAAAACTAAATCCATAGCCTGTTTTTTTTCATAGCCTTATAGAATTCCAAGATTTGTGGGGATACTATAGTAGTCATTTAATTCAAGTTTCTCAACTTCAACACTATTGATGTTTGGGGCCAATAATTTTTTGCTGTGGGAGGCTGTCCTGTGTGTTGTGGGATGTTTAGTAGCATCCCTGGCTTCTACCCACCAGATGCCAGTAGCACCACTACTTCCCTGCATTTGTGCCACTTAAAATGTCTCCAGACATTACCAAATGTCCCCCAGGGGACAAAATTTCCCCTAGGTGAGAACCTTGGATCTTGTGCAGATTCCCATCTAGTACTGGAATGCATGTTATAGTGTCACTATTGAACATGTAGTCAGCATATACTTGAAATTTTCTGGGATTAGGAAGCTCATTATGGACCAAGAAGACCTGTTTCTTTTTTTTTTTTTTTTTTGAGACGGACTCTCGCTCTGTCGCCTAGGCTGGAATGCAGTGGCACGATCTCGGCTCGGCTCACTGCAAGCTCTGCCTCCCAGGTTCACGCCATTCTCCTGCCTCAGCCTCCCATGCCACCATGCCTGGCTAATTTTTTTTTTTGTATTTTTAGTAGAGACGAGGGTTCACTGTGTTAGCCAGGATGGTCTCGATCTCCTGACCTTGTGATCCACCTGTCTCGGCCTCCCAAAGTGCTGGGATTACAGGTGTGAGCCATCGCGCCCAGCCAAAAACCTGTTTCTTATCTCATGAGAGCTTTCTCTTTTTTTTTTTTTCTTGTGAAGCAGTCTCACTCCATCACCCAGGCTGGAGTACTGTGGCATGATCTCAGCTCACTGCAACCTGTACCTCCTGGATTCAAGCGATGTCTCACCTCAGCCTCACGAGTGACTAGGATTACAGGCAGGTGCCACTATGCCCAGCTAATTGGCTAATTTTTGTATTTTTAGTAGAGATGGGGTTTCACCATGTTGGCCAGGCTGGTCTTGAACTCCTGCTCTGAGGTGATCCACCCACCTGGGCCTCACAAAGTGCTGAGATTACAGGTGTGAGCCACCGCACCAAGCCCTCATGAGAGCTTTCTTAACTGTCTAACTACCATCTTTAAAAAACCAGGTGCGATTCCTCAGAAACAGATCCAGTTTCAACAGATAAACATTAGCCTAACTGTCCTCTCCAACTACAAAACTTAAAATATAACTTTTTTTTTTTTTTGAGACAGAGTCTCGCTCTGTCACCCAAGCTGGAGTGCAGTTGCGCGATCTTGGCTCACTGCGAGCTCTGCCTCCCAAGTTCAAGCAGTTCTCTGCCTCACCCTCCCTAGTAGCTGGGATTACAGGTGCCCACCACCATGTCTGGCTAATTTTTGTATTTTTAGTAGTTTCACCATCTTGGCCAGGCTGGTCTCGAACTCCTGACCTCAAGTGATCCACGCGTCTCAGCCTCCCAAAGTGCTGGAATTACAGGCGTGAGCCACCGCGTCCGGCCTATAACATTTAATACGTAGCTGGGCAGCCGGGCGCTGTGGCTGACACCCGTAATCCCAGCACTTTGGGAGGCCAAGGTGAGCAGATCACAAGGTCAGGAGATGGAGACCATCCTGGCTAACATGGTGAAACCCTGTCTCTACTAAAAATACAAAAAATTAGCCGGGTGTGGTGGCGGACGCCTGTAGTCCCAGCTGCTCAGGAGGCTGAGGCAGGAGAATGGCATGAACCTGGGAGGCGGAGCTTGCAGTGAGCCGAGATCGCGCCACTGCACTCCAGCCTGGGTGACATAGCAAGACTCCCTCTCAAAAAACAAAAAAAAAAAATGTAGCTGGGCTTGGAAGCAGAGGGATGGGGAAAGAAAGTAGAGGAACTCCCTAGGGCAAAAAAAAAAAAAAAAAAATGTCAAAGGTGAATATTTAAACGGCAGTAAACAAATGAGATTCTGCAGGGTCCAAAGCATTTGGGTTTTAATGGCCGGGAAGGGATAGAAGATAAAGCCTTGGGTCAACAGGAAGAAGCAAGTTAGAATTCAGAATTCTTCATGAAGCCAGAATTTTCAGTGAAAGATAGATTAGGAAAATGTCACTCTCTGGCATAGGGAAATTAATGGGAAATTTGTCTGTGTTCGCTGGGGCTCTAGACGTTAGGTGGGAGAATGGGTGTTGTGGAATTGTCTTCTCTACCCTCTTGCATTTTGGACATTTGATATGTTAGTGAATACCCATTAATAGCCAGGCTAAGTCATTAACATTAGGTAGGTCTAGACTGGTGATAACTGTTGAAGCTGTGGAGGGGCGTATTTTCTCAACCCAAGTCATTGCATACTTCTCCTAGTTAAAGCCTGATATAAATGAGCTTATATTCTGAATTTATACAATTTAGGATTAGATTCCCTCCCTCTAAAATTTTAGGTAATAGGAATGTCAGAGTATTAACAATTATGAGAATCATAAGAAAACAAGACACTATCAAACATAAGGAGAGATGGGGGGAACAGAACTTACAGAAATTTAAAAATCATCAAAGTGGATAACTTATTCAGCAAATTAGAAATAGGTGGATTGGAAGGTGAATTTGAATAAATCACTCAGGATGCGCAGAGAAAAAGAGATGGAAATATGAAAGAGGTCAAGAGACAAGAAGAATAAAATGAGAAGGTTTAACATATGTTTGAAAAGAGTTCCTGAAGAAGATAAAGAAATTGAGGAGGGATGACAGTCAAAGAAAGAATGGCTAAAATTTTTTCCAGAATGGATGAAAGACGTAAGTCCTCAGATTCAGAAGCCCAGTATTCCTGAGCACTACAAAATAAAAATAAAACTACATCTAGACACAATATTGTAAAGCTACAGAACATTGAAAAACAGAATGTTAAAAGCAACCCAAAAGAAAAGACGTATTATTTACAAAGGAAAGACTATCAGCTTTTCTTGATTTCTCAACAGCAGCATTGGAGGCCAGGAAGCATTGGAATAATTTTTTCAAAGTGCTGAGGATATAATTGACAGCCTAGAATTTTAAACATAGCTATACTATCAAGAGTAGTATGAAATAAAGAGCTTTTCAAAGAGACTAAGAGAATTTACCATTAACAGACCCTTGCTAATTGAACTGCTCAAGGATGTACTTCAGGAAGAAGAAAATTGAACCTAAGATGGAAGAAATAAGATCTAAGAAGGAATGGTGAGCTAAATAATTGATAAGCATGGGGTAAATCTAAATAAGCATTGACTTATTTAGTAATAATGATGATCATATATGTCTTTAAACTTTAAGTCAGGTATGTCTGCTGACATTTTAAAGATACCAGTAAAATAATATGAATGGAATATATAACTTCTAAACTAGTAGTGGAGGATTAAAGAGGATGACCATGATGAAAAAAAATTAATCCAGTAAAATTCAGGAAAATAGGAAAACAGAATAGAAAAAAAGGGTAAATAGAAATCATAAAATGACAAAAAAATCAAAATATACTAGTAAACAATAAAGGTAAATGGATTATGAACACTGATAAAAAGGAAATGATTAATCAGAATAGTATTCTCAGGTTTACCTATGTGCTGTTACAGGAAACACATAAAATATAAGGACTCAGAAGGTTCAAAGTTAGAAAGATAGAAAGATTAACAAGGTGATTATTAACCAAGAAAAGCATAATAATATTTTTACCAGATAAAGCAGACATTAAAATAAACAGCATCACTGAAGGTATATAGGGCCACTATATAATGTAAAAGGAAAAATTCACCAGGAAGTTGCTAAACTCTTACGTATTTAACAACCTAGCCTCAAGACATTTAAGAATTGCATGTAAACAGCAAACCTTAGGGGAGATTTAATACACCTCTGTGAGTAATTGATGGCCAAGTTTGTAAAAAATTAGTAAGGATAAAGGAGAGCTTGAATAACAAAATACTTTTTATATAATGGACATATATAGAAACCATGCAGTCAGCCGGGCACGATAGCTCACGCCTGTAATCCCAGCACTTTGGGAGGCCGAGACAGGCAGATCACAAGGTCAGGAGTTCAAGACCAGCCTGGCCAACATAGTGAAACCCCGTCTCTACTAAAAATACAAAAATTAGCCAGGCATGGTGGCGTGTGCCTGTAGTCCTATCTACTCGGGAGGCTGAGGCAGGAGAATCACTTGAACCCAGGAGGCAGAGGTTGTGGTGAGTCAAGATTGCGCCACTGCACTCCAGCCTCGGCAACAGAGTGAGACTCCATCTCGGAGAAAAAAAACAAAACAAAACCATGCAGTCATAATTCAAGAATTCTTAATATTTCCAAGCATAAATGGAAAATTTATACAAACTGACCAAGGATTATTCCAAGAGCACGTTTCAGTAAATACCAAATATTAATATCACATAGATTCTGTTCTCTGACCATAGTGCTGTTAGGTTAAGTCAGTGGCAAAAAAAAAAAAGCATAACCAAAATATCTCATATTTTTGGAAACGTAAAAATGCATTATAAATACTTAGTGATTTAAAAAAGCAATCCTGATGGAAATTAGACAATATTTAGAATGGAATTATGAGAATAATATATACTGAAATGTGTGAGATGTAGCCAATACAACACTTCAAAGAAATGTTAAGCCTTCAGAAATTTATATTAAGAAAGAACACCAACTGAAAATTAACAAGCTAAGTGTCTGACTTAAGAATTGAGCAGAGCTGTAAGTTATGAGGGAAATAATACAGATAAGAATAGAGATAAGTAAAATATGAATCAAAAAAACAACAGAACAGCAAAACCAAAAGATTCTCCTGCCTCAGCCTCCTGAGTAGCTGGGATTACAGGCGCCCACCACCACGCCCAGCTAATTTTTGTATTTTTACTAGAGACAGGGGTTTTACCATGTTGGCCAGGCTGATCTCGAACCCCTGATCTCAAGTGATCTACCTGCCTCAGCCTCCCAAAGTGCTGGGATTACAGGTGTCAGCCACCGTGCCTGGCCCAAAAGATGTTTCTTTGAAAGGACAGCTAAAACTGATGAATGTGCTAAGACCACCAAGGAAAAAAAGAGGGCACAAACAATGTAAAGAATGAAAAAAGTACAAATTTTAAAAGGTGAATATTATAGTATATGAATTATATATCATTTTTTAAAAAGAATAGAAAAAATATATTCCACAATTAACTATGCTAATAAATTTTAGTGTTGGCAAAATTATAATTTAATAAAAATTGACAGTAAGACATTGAAAACTTGAAAAGTCTATAGCCATTTAAGAAATTGAAATAAAAATCTGTTTCCCTGTAAATCAATTAGTATGACCTATAGGCCCAGATGGTTTTACAGGAAAGTTTTCTCAGACATTTAAAGAACAGATACACACATTCTTCCAGAGCATAGAAAAAGAAGAAAGATGCTTTCCAACTCATTTTGAGGTTATTTTCACCTCGATGCCAAAAATCAAAATGTCACAAAATCTGCCCTTCAAGCTAAATGTCATCATTTTCTTTTTAGAATTTTTCATTGTTCTCTTATTCATACCTCAACATTCCTAAAAGTGTGCTTTGGCCAACTTAGTCCTGCAAGATGCTCCATGACAGAGAATTCTGTAGCCAAGGAAAGGAAAAGAGAATAAGTATAGGCGTTGTCACTTTTTTTTCTTGAAGACAGGCTCTTGCCCTGTTGCCTAGGCTGGAGAGCAGTGGCATGATCATAGCTCACTGCAGCCTCAAACTCTTGGGCTCAAGTGATCCTCCTGCCTTAGCTTCCTAAATAGCTAGGAATCCAGGCGCTTGCCACCACACTGGCTGATTTTTTTATTTTTTGTAGAGATGGGGTCTTTCTATGTTGCCCAGGCTGGTCTCAAACTCCTGGCCTCAAGCAGTCCTCCCACCTTGGCCTCCAAAAGCTCTGGGATTACAGGCATGAGCTACCATGCCTGACCTATTCTCACTTAGGAGCATAGATGATAAATTCTGAAAAGTTTAGCAGTATCAGAAATTTTCAGATATGGAGAAAGAGGAGTTCTCAAACTGCTAGTTTGAGTATAAATTGGTATAACCACTTTTGAGAGCAGTTTACCAATATCTAGTAAAATTAAAGATGCTTAGACTTTAAAACCTAGCAATTCTAAATATATAGTCTAAAGACACTCTCATGTATCCACAAGAATTCATGACAAATACACAACATTGCAAAATTATAAGAATAAAGGAAAAATAAAACCTTAGTATTCATCAGCAGAAGGGTGGATATATGCTTCTATACAATGGAACCCTTATAACAGTCAAGAGAGATGAATCTCAAAAAATACATTAAGTGAAAAAGGAAGCTGACAAAGAATGCATATAGTAAGGTGCCATTTATACAAAGATTAAAAGCATACAAAAAATGTTTATCTACAGAAAAAGTGCAGTTTACCTACAGATACAGAAAAGGTCAATAAACAAGAACAGAACTGTTAACCACAATTGCAATAAGAGGGAGGAAGTGGAATGGAAGGAGTAGGGGGCTTCTGCTGTATCTACATATATATCTGAAGGACATAAGAGCAAATTTTTTAAATTTTAAAAAGGTAGATGGTGGGTGTAGAAACTTCCAGGCCGGGTGCAGTAGCTCACGCCTGTAGTCCCAGCACTTTGGGAGGGCTGGGCTGGAGGATCGCTTGAGCCCAGGAATTTGAGACCAGCCTAGGCAACATAGCGACCCCATCTCTATAAAATATAGAACGATTAGCTGGGCACAGTGGTGTGTGCCTGTGGTCCCAGTGGCATGTGCCCATGGTCCCAGCTATTTGGGAGGCTGACTCAGAAGGATCACTTGGGCCCGGGAAGTCGAGATGGCAGTGAGCTGTGATTGTGCCACTTGGCAGACTGGGCAACAGAGCGAGACCCTGTCAAAAAAAAAAAAACAAATTTTCCATATCTTTTCATATTCTTGAAATAACTCATTAAAAAACAAAAATTGTGCCAATTCCAGTACTCTATTTTAGGGATCTTTTTTCTAGGAATAATAAGGATGAACAACCCTGCCACTGTTATGATACCCCCGGGTGGAAATGTGTCATCTTCCATGATGGCACCAGGCCCCAATCCAGAGCTGCAGCCCAGGACTCCTCGCCCTGCTTCTCAGTCAGGTAATGACTTCCAATCTTTGAGGATGAAGAGTCTGAAACTTTCTGCACAGATCATTATAAAATTCAGTTATCTCTGATGCTGAATTTCTAATTTCCAAACTCACAATGTCAACCTTCTTTACAAAATCTGACCTGATTTCTTCAAACTAAATGTCATTATTTTCTTTTCAGAATTTCTCATTGTTTTCTTATCAATTATACCCCAACATTTCTAAAAGTGTGCCTTGGCCTGCGTAGTCCTGCAAGATGCTCATTACATAGAATTCTGTAGTCAAGTAAATTTGGTAAATGCATCATTCTTTACCCTCCCTCCTGGAGATTCAAAAGTAACATATTGGAGGCACTGAAAGTCCTACAGTGAAGAAACGCATCTAAGTTTGTTAGGTTCAGTGTTTCCCAAACCTAATTGTTTTGTTTTCTTATAATGCTAATTAACATAGTTCTCCAGAATATGATTTGGTAAATACTGGTCTCCATGTTTTACACTTCGCTCTTAATGTCCACTACTGACCAAGCTCTTTTTAAGACAGAATTCATCATCTTGGTATGTTGCTTCATACATAGAAGGTATTCACAAGCATTTATTTTATCGAATAGTACCAGCAGATTTTGCTCTGTATATCCAGAATTACAAAGGCCACTTCTCTAAGATCTAGATTGCAGTAGGTTAATTATTGCTTTGTTGACTATCTTTAAACAGATGCAATGGATCCACTCCTCTCTGGGCTCCATATACAGCAGCAAAGTCATCCCTCAGGATCTTTAGCTCCCCCACATCACCCAATGCAGCCTGTCTCTGTGAACAGACAAATGAACCCAGCTAATTTTCCCCAGCTGCAGCAGCAGCAGCAACAACAACAACAGCAGCAGCAGCAGCAGCAGCAGCAACAACAGCAACAGCAGCAACAACAGTTGCAGGCAAGACCCCCACAGCAACATCAGCAGCAACAGCCACAGGGAATTCGACCCCAGTTTACTGCCCCAACTCAGGTGCCTGTTCCTCCAGGCTGGAACCAGCTGCCTTCTGGAGCCCTTCAACCTCCTCCAGCCCAGGGTTCTCTGGGCACAATGACTGCAAACCAAGGGTGGAAGAAGGCTCCCTTGCCCGGCCCAATGCAACAGCAACTCCAGGCAAGACCATCCTTAGCCACGGTACAGACGCCTTCCCACCCTCCCCCTCCATATCCCTTTGGCAGCCAGCAAGCCTCACAAGCCCACACAAACTTTCCTCAGATGAGCAACCCAGGCCAGTTCACAGCTCCTCAGATGAAGAGTTTGCAGGGAGGGCCCTCTAGGGTCCCAACTCCCTTGCAGCAGCCCCACCTCACCAACAAGTCTCCTGCCTCCTCACCCTCCTCCTTCCAGCAGGGATCCCCTGCATCCTCCCCAACGGTTAACCAAACTCAGCAGCAGATGGGACCAAGGCCACCTCAAAATAACCCACTTCCCCAGGGATTTCAGCAGCCTGTCAGCTCTCCGGGTCGGAATCCTATGGTTCAACAGGGAAATGTGCCACCTAACTTCATGGTGATGCAGCAGCAACCACCAAACCAGGGGCCACAGAGTTTACATCCAGGCCTAGGAGGTGAGGAACACTGTAGCTATTTGTGTTGGTAAATTTGCTGGAGCTAGATCTTAGTAGAACTTCAGTTTTTAGAGTTAATGGAGGGAGTGGAGTAAGGATATAATTATTTGGTTTTGTGGATATGGTGGTGACACTTGATATAACTTAAAGTTAACTTGATACGTTATGCAGCATCTTACTGGTTAAATTTAAGCTAGCTCTCTGGACTAAAATTCAGGTAAAATTCAATGTAGAGATGTTCATTTTGTTTTTCAAATTATTTTTGCTTGATCTTGTACTAGTAAATTAAAATGTCCAGAAGAAAAATGCATTTTGTTAACAATTTAAACTTCTCAGTTGCTGAAAAATTAAGATTATGCAATAGAGCAAAATAAAAAGAACAGGGTCTCATTGAAGAAAAGGCCCTTTTAGTTATCAATTTTGATAATCCTAGTTAATAAAATAGTAAGCATGGTACTTGTTAAGTTTGGTTAAAGTATTAAAGGGGAATAAGTTCAGAAATCATTGACTTTTATAGTTTTATAATGCCAATGCCTGCTCCTTAGAGAGGGAATTCCACCAGTTATACCTAAAGGAGATTTATTTATTTATTTTGTAAGGTGCCTCTTGTATGAAGAAAAAGCAATGGAGCTTAATGTGTGAGAGGTAAAACGATTACAGTAAAACTTATCCATCTCCATGTTTATTATTTATTCTTATTAATCATTGATCTAGTGCACATGAATGTGCTTGGAGCTTTTCAGTAAGGTATAGAGTATCAGTAATACTGTCATCTGATAAACATACTCCCCACCAAAAGACACCCATTGCCTACCCAGAAAAAACCCCTTGCATCTTTAGTGCAACATAGCAAAGGCATGTTCCCATGGTTTCTGATGAAGTTAAGTTGCTCATCAGCCTTTTACTCTCTTGTAATTAATTTTGCTGACATGCAGGCTCTAATATTTGAATTGTAAGAAGTTCTTAGAAAATGCAAGGATGTTTCAGCTCCAAATTTCACTGTTCTGGGTATCTACCCCAGATCAGTGGAAGCTGGGTAGTCCCTCCTGCAAATGTGATTACTGATTTAATTACAGTGGGAGCATGCAAATGGGACTTGTCACTGTTAAAGAAAGGACAAATGCATATTTGTCTACTAAGAGTTTTTCAGGACATTGAAAATTTGGCCCTTAAAAAAATAAATGGCCAGGCGCAGTGGCTCACGCCTGTAATCCCAGCACTTTGGGAGGCCAAGGCGGGCAGATAACCTGAGGTCAGGAGTTCGAGACCAGCCTGGCCAACATGGTGAAACCCCGTCTCTACTAAAAATACAAAAATTAGCTGGGTGTGGTGGTGCACACCTGTAATCCCAGCTACTTGGGAGGCTGAGGCAGGGAGGATTGCTTGAACCTGGGAGGAGGAGGTTGCAGTGCGCTGAGATTGCTCCACCACACTCCAGCCTGGGCAACAGAGCGAGACTCCATCTCAAAAAATAAAAATAAAAGTAAATAAATAAATGAATGAATGTAATAAATTTTTAAGTGAGTTTAGGTCTTGATGCTTTCATAGAGCAGATGATATGCTCACCTAGGTGATCTGGCCACATCAAGGCCTGTGTTGTAAATGATAAGTGGGTTCTGAGATTCTCCTTATTACAAGTTTTCTAAAATTAGCCCTTCCAAAAAGGAACTGATACTTGAGAAAGATTCCATTAGAGTATGGTTTTTGGTACCAAACCTGTCAGAATCACAGCAAACCTTATGAGGGGAAAGCATAATGATTTAATACAGCATCACTTTGAAGCTCCCATGAACTGTTTCTAATCTCCTGTCTCTTCCAAAGAGACAAGCGCAATAATGGGGGGAAATTTTCTGCAAAGGAGATTGCCATCAGTTTCCCTCAAAGGAAAAATAATCAATCTATCCTTAATATCAGGACCCATCTCTTTGTTTTATACTATTTCACATCAATTTGTTTGAAATGAGAGAATTTAGCATATTCCTTTGGTGCCTGTGTTAAAATAACTAAAGTTTTGGGGTCCATTGTTAATTACAGAGAAAAGTGAGCCCTCAAACCTTGCTGTGGCGTGGCCTCAGATCACATTTAGGGAGCAGATTGCCATCTTTTCCTTGGCATGTTCTAAGTGTAAGTTTTTTAGTATTTATTTTTCATTTTGACAATGCCTCATATAAGAGATTGTGTTGATTTTTTTAACCATCTTTCCCAACCTTATTATTAAAGATCCTACCAGTGTGACAGAGAGAGCTAAGCCAGTGGAGACTTCATGCAGCTCATCCTTCCTTATTCATTCCATATCTAAGCAAGAGTATAAATTTGCTAGGTAACTGCCTTACTCATTGTTTTCTATTAAGGAATGCCTAAACGCCTCCCACCTGGCTTCTCAGCAGGACAGGCCAATCCGAACTTTATGCAAGGTCAGGTGCCTTCGACCACAGCAACCACCCCTGGGAATTCAGGAGCCCCTCAGCTGCAAGCAAATCAAAATGTCCAGCATGCAGGTTTGTTTTCTGTGATTTGTTTAGCCAGCATTTATTGAGCATTGTGTCGTAGACTTGATAGACAACAGGAGTATACAGATAAGTAATAAGTCTTGGTCTCTCCCCTTAATTTCAAGCCCATAAATAATTATTCTTTCAGGGCAGTAACTTTTGTCAATATATCAAAAGTAGGTAAAATGTCACAGGAACTCAGAAACATCTAAGAGGAGATGGAACTTGAGTTAGAGCAGGAATCAGCAGTATTTTTTTTCTCTGAAGGGGCAGATAGTAAATATTCTTGGCTTTTCAGGTTATATAGTCTCTTGTTGGAGCTACTCAACTTTGTTATGATAGCACAGAAAGTAGCCATAGACAATACATAAACAAACAAGCATGGTAGCATTCCAAACACTTGTTTATTTACAGACCAGCAGAGGGCCATAGTTTGCTGACCCCTGAGTTAGAGCTTGCTCAGGTAGTAAAAGGCAAAAAGGCATTTCTGGCAAATGAAAACCACAGACACAAAGGCATGGAGGCATGTTTGGACAACTGCAACTTTTTAAATCTCTACGTGGTACATGTTAAGCTTTGTTTATGCTGAGTGTCTGAATTCTGGTTTACAGTGTGATATTTTTCAAACTTCATCAGTTCACGTTTACTACCAACAGTGTACTGCAAAAAGAAGAAATTTTGGAGAGGAAATAAGATACAGGGGAATGGCTAAAAAGTATTTGCAAAGCAGTAATGTATAAGCTCAAACTTCATGTTTCTGGTTGCTTAAGGACCACATGACTAATCCTCTTACCCTTTCTCATTGAAGCAGTTTGGACTGAGATAGTGCAACTAGTTTCTGAATTCCCATCCCTCCTGGAGTTAATTTAGTAATGTGACTCCAACTTTAATTGTAAATCACTAAGGAATGAGACAAAAATCTGACTTTTACAAAAAAAGTTCACACTATTTCTGGCAGGGTAACAGAAGGGTAGTGCAAACTGCTTGAATTTCTCTATCTGCTAATGCAAAACTGCATTCCTGAGTTATATGAATTCATGTTTGTTTTTTTTTTATTTTGTTTTGTTTTTTGAGACGGAGTCTTGCTCCGTCGCTCAAGCTGGAGTGCAGTGGCTCAATATCGGCTCACTGCAGCCTCCACCTCCCAGGTTCAAGCAATTCTCTGCCTCAGCCTCCTGAGTAGCTGGGATTACAGGTGCCCGCCACCATGCCTGGCTAATTTTTGTATTTTTAGTAGAGACGGGATTTGACCATGTTGGCCAGGCTGGTCTTTGAACTCCTGACCTCATGATCCACCTGCCTTGGCCTCCCAAAGTGCTGGGATTACAGGCATGAGCCACTGTACCCAGCAAATTCATGTTTTTTTATAGGAAGTTTTAAAACAGGCCAGGTGCGGTGGCTCACGCCTGTAATCCCAGCACTTTGAGAGGCCGAGGCAGGTGGATCACTTGAGATCATGAGTTTGAGACCATCCTGACCAACGTGGTAAAACCCTGTCTCTACTAAAAATACAAAAAACTAGCCGGGTGTGGTGGCGGACGCTTGTAATCCCAGCTACTTAAGAGGCTGAGGCGGGAGGATCACTTGAACCTGGGAGGCAGAGGTTGTTGCAGTGAGCTGAGATCACGCCACTGCACTCCAGCCTGGGCGACAGAGAGAGACTTCATCTCAAAAAAAAAAAAGTATGTTTTAAAACAATGACAAAGTCATTTCTCATTCTTGTACCCTATCACAGCTATTTTGTGTTTTTATATGGTACCTTCCACATGTACATGTTTTTTGTTTGTTTTCTTTGTGTGTGTTTTTTTTTTTTTTTGAGATGGAGTTTTTGCTCTTGTGCCCAAGCTGGAGTGCAGTGGCGCAGTCTCGGCTCACTGCGGCCTCTGCCTCCCAGGTTCAAGCGTTTTTCTGTTTCAGCTTCCCAAGTAGCTGGGATTACATGCCCTGCTATTTTTTTAATTTTTAGTAGAGATGGGGTGTCACCATGTTGGCCAGGCTGGTCTCGAACTCCTGACCTCAGGTGATCCACCCACCTTGGCCTTCTAAAGTGGTGGGATTACAGGCCTGAGCCACTGTGCCCGGCCCACGTGTACATGTTTTGGTTTCCCCATTTATCCTATCTAAAGTAGCTCTACTCTTATCTCTTACTTTCTCTTCTCTCACCCTACTTTCTCTTGTTAGCTTTTACTGCTTCCTGAAAAAATACTTGTCTGTTTGTTAGTTGTGTCTCTTGCCAGTTAGACTGTAGGCTCCAAGGATGCAGGGATTTGGTCTGTCTTGTTTATTGATGTTACCTCAGCACCAAAGTGCCTTCTATGTATCAGGTACTTAATGAATAATTGTCAGTTGAATGAATATACACAGTATATTTATTGTATACAAGCATATACAATGGTCATGGAGTTCCACTTTGAGTTTATAAGGCTGGTTTAGAAAATCTTCCTTAGAGTTCAGGAGAAGTCTGGATAGTGTGAACAAGGTAGTTTGCCCCCTGCCTTCATAGTTGGAGCATGGACTGGCTTCATAACTTCATTGTAGGGGATTTTCTAGTCCCCATTTAAAAGTGAAAAATAAGGCCAAGTGCGGTGGCTCAGCCTGTAATCCCAGCACTTTGGGAGGCCAAGGCGGGTGGATCACCTGAGGTCAGCAGTTCGAGACCAGCCTGACCAACATGCTGAAACCCTGTCTCTACTGAAAATACAAAAATTAGCCGGGTGTGTTGTTGTGCGCTTCTAGTTTCAGCTACTGGGGAGGCTGAGGCATGAAAATCACTTGAACCCAGGAGGTGGAGGTTGCAATGAGCCGAGGTTGCACCAGAGCCAGATTCTGTCTCAAAAACAAAACAACAAAAAAAGTGAAAAATAAAAGGGACAAAATTAACTACAAAGTTATTCAGTTAAACGGGGAGATAATGCAAGTAGCTATAGGAAAATCCCAAAGACCCAGTAAATAAATAAGCACTACAGCAAGGCGGGTAGCAACTTTTGTCTAAGTTAGAAATAGCTGAGAAGACTAAAACATGTGCCACATGATTCACCAGGGACTGCGCAGGAGAGGGTCACTGAGGTTTTATTATTCCTCTATTTGCAGCTTCCAGATGGGTCATCTAGTCAGTTGGCTCCCACCAGAGGCTCAGCTTCCAGATCAAGATTAACTGCTTTTTACCACATCAGGGCAGAGGACACCTGTCCTTGGTGTTATTTTCTTTGAAGTGCAGCATCCACATATCACACACATAGCTTTTGAGAGTCATTATTATTACAGTTTTCCAAGAAGCATTTTTAAATGTCTTCTCATGATTGTTGAGGTTTTCCTAAGAGGACACTTCACATTCTTTTTTTTTTTTTTTTTTTTGAGACGGAGTCTTGCTCTGTCGCCCAGGCTGGACTGCGGACTGCAGTGGCGCAATCTCGGCTCACTGCAAGCTCCGCTTCCCGGGTTCACGCCATTCTCCTGCCTCAGCCTCCCGAGTAGCTGGGACTACAGGCGCCTGCCACCGCGCCCGGCTAATTTTTTGTATTTTTAGTAGAGACGGGGTTTCACCTTGTTAGCCAGGATGGTCTCGATCTCCTGACCTCGTGATCCACCCGCCTCGGCCTCCCAAAGTGCTGGGATTACAGGCGTGAGCCACCGCGCCCGGCCGACACTTCACATTCTTATAGCAGAGTTATTTCAGTAGCCCATAGTGCTTTTTGAATTTAATTTAATTTAATTTTTTGAGACGGGGTTTCACTCTGTCACCAGGCTGGAGTGCAATGGCATGATCTTGGCTCACTTCAACCTCCACCTCCCAGGCTCAAGCAATCCGCCTGCCTCAGCCTCCCAAAGTGCTGGGATTACAGGCATGAACCACCCGAGCCTGGCCACTACAAGTCATTTTAAAACAGTGAGATGCTGCCTTTCTCATTATTTAATCTGAAAGAAAGTAAACTTTCTTGATCTTTGAAACGTTAAATCTTTAAGATACCATATGGGAATGTAGAAACTGTTTCTCCTTCTCTATTATATGGTCATTGGGAATGTAAGCAGTTATCCCACAGCCACATCTTTGTAGTTTAGAAAACTCACAGGAAGTATGTCAACAGCATATTTATGTTGGTCAGTGGATATAAGGGTGATGGATGTCTTTCTGAGTAATGTAACTTGAGTATCTTAATACCAATAAGATAAAAATATTTATTTCTGAAACTGTGACTTTTTTTTTTTTTAAGGTGGTCAAGGAGCTGGTCCTCCTCAAAACCAGATGCAGGTGTCCCACGGGCCGCCAAATATGATGCAGCCCAGCCTCATGGGAATTCATGGCAACATGAACAATCAGCAGGCTGGTACTTCTGGGGTTCCTCAAGTGAACCTCAGCAACATGCAAGGCCAGCCCCAGCAGGGCCCACCATCTCAGCTGATGGGCATGCACCAGCAAATCGTGCCCTCCCAGGGCCAGATGGTCCAGCAACAAGGAACCTTGAACCCTCAGAACCCTATGATCCTTTCAAGGGCCCAGCTTATGCCACAGGGCCAGATGATGGTGAACCCCCCGAGCCAAAATCTTGGGCCCTCGCCCCAAAGGATGACCCCACCCAAGCAGATGCTTTCCCAGCAGGGCCCACAAATGATGGCGCCACATAACCAGATGATGGGGCCTCAGGGGCAGGTTTTGCTCCAACAGAACCCAATGATAGAGCAGATTATGACCAATCAAATGCAGGGGAATAAGCAGCAGTTTAACACTCAGAACCAGTCCAATGTCATGCCGGGACCAGCCCAGATAATGAGGGGACCAACTCCAAACATGCAAGGAAATATGGTGCAGTTTACGGGACAGATGTCAGGACAGATGCTGCCCCAGCAAGGGCCTGTGAACAACAGTCCATCTCAGGTTATGGGCATTCAGGGACAGGTCCTGCGGCCACCAGGGCCCAGCCCACACATGGCCCAGCAGCATGGTGATCCTGCTACTACAGCAAATAACGATGTCAGTTTATCTCAGATGATGCCTGATGTTAGCATTCAACAAACCAACATGGTCCCCCCTCATGTGCAGGCCATGCAGGGAAACAGTGCCTCGGGAAACCACTTCTCAGGCCATGGGATGTCTTTCAATGCACCTTTCAGTGGAGCTCCCAATGGAAATCAGATGTCCTGTGGTCAAAATCCAGGCTTCCCAGTCAATAAGGATGTCACGCTAACGAGCCCATTGTTGGTCAACTTATTGCAGAGTGACATATCTGCAGGCCATTTTGGGGTAAACAATAAGCAAAATAATACCAACGCAAATAAACCGAAGAAGAAGAAACCCCCTCGGAAGAAGAAAAATAGTCAGCAAGATCTAAAGTAGGTTGTGATGGTTTTGCCTCAAATTTTATTCATTTGTTTTCTGTGTGGATAACTTTTTTGATGGAAAATTTTACAGAATATAAAACTAGAATAGTATAATGAAATCCCCCTGCTTCAATAATTATCAACTCATAGTCTGTCTTGCCTTCATCTGTACTCTCTTCCATTACCCTTTTGAGTATTTCAAAGCAAATTCGCTGGGTAAATATTTCAGTGTGTGTCTCTAAAAGATAAGGACACTTTTTAATATGCCCGCACAATATTGTTAGCACACCTAGAAAACTAATACTTCCTTAGTACTCTCATATCCAGTGTTCAAACTTCCCTGATTATCTCAAATTTTTTTCTTACAATTTGTTCAAATAAGGATCCAAACAAGATTCATATGTTGCAATTGGCTGGTATATCTCTTAATTTTACAGTGTCGGGGGGTTTTGGCAATCAGAGCCTGAAAAGTAACCAGTGCTACCATATGGCAACTCCACAAAGCACTGACTTTAGGCTTATGATGGCTATTGGGGAACCAGAGAGGCCAAATGTGTTTTGGAAATTAAAACTACTGCTGTCTCTCAAATAGAAATGGTTTTTTTGCACAGGTGCCTTTCCTTTAAAGGCTCTTTATCATCCCTAGAAGCTTAAAACCCCACGCTAAGATGATTGGACCTTTTAAATCAGTTACCCTTTCAGTAAACGTTCTCCAGGTGAGTTATTTTGCAAGATCATAGCAGGAAAGGCAATTAACAATTTATATTTCATTTCCTGAAGCTAAGTATTAATTTGTGTTTCTGGGTTTGATAAAATGTTTCCAGAAGGAATATTCACTGAGCTATATTTTGTGCCTTTAATCATAAAAAAATAATAAATGAGGAAATAATGGCTAATGAATGTAAAACAGGTTAATTGAAATAAATTGTTAGAATTATAGAAAAAGAATCAAGAAACTTTATTTCAACCAGCTTAAATATTCAAAATTAAACCAACTACCTTTATCCCAGCCTTCCCACAACATTCTTTGTACTGTATTATATCATGCTCACTTGCCTCTTCTTGAATCTTATGCTTTAAAAGCTAATCATGGTGTATTATTAATGATAACCTATATTTTCCTGAATTCAAAGTTAATTATCTAATTTTTCTGATAGCTCTTTCTCAGTTAAATTCTTTACTAGCATCAACCTATGGGAATAATTATTTAATAAATATTTTATTCTCTCGGTAGTCTGGGAGTAAAATTGCAAGGTTATTCAGTTGCCTCTAGTGTGTATTTTTTGCCATCTTCACCAGCCCTTAGGGAAATTGGTTACTTAGGTCTACAAATTGTGAAAGGGACCTTACACAGCATCAGGACTCCCAGGAAAGGGAGACAGTGGATTTACAGGAAAAGTACCTGCTTCCAGCTCTACCACTACTTCACTGTGGAATCTTGGGCCTGTTTCATACACCTTTTTGGGCCTTAGTTTTCTCATTCATAACATGATGGGGCTGGACCAGATATCTGAGATTTCTTATCTCTACAATTTTCTGAAAGTAAAGGTTACCACTGAATTCTTGCCTGTAATTTAAAGTGAGAGAGAAGTCTTACAAGGAGCAAATTGTTATAGGTCTGGATGTGCTGACGATCTGCTTCAGGTTCTAAATTTCCATTTGCTGGGAGGCTTTTAAAGTGGATTTTTGTGGCTTATGAAACTGTACAGAGTATAATGAGACAAAACACTACCTAAAAGTGGGTGAACAAAATCAGGGCAAAGGGAAACTAAAGATAGAAAAGAAAAGTACAATTAGTACTGAGATTACAAACAAAATGAGGCCCGTGACCAGTCTTGTTCTTTGAGAATGTGGGTGTTAGTAGCTACAATTTCTTCATTTTTTTCTTCCTTACTAAAAATTTTAAGCTACACCCAGGTAAAAGCAAAGGCATCTCAAAGCAAATAGAGATGTCTGCAAATTCTCATTCTGCAGCAAAATCTTTGTGGTGGTGGTCTCAATCTTTCTTTGTTCTCTGAATACCATCAGCCAACCTATACAACCTTTTGCAAGGTGTTATGAATTGAGCCCCCACTGTTATATCCACAAAAAAGAAACAATCAGACCCCCTAGTTGAATTTGATCGCTACATTGAAGATAGTGTGGTTTCACAGGAACAGTACCTTGTAACATTGATAGTCCTATGATCAGGTCTTAAAACAGCTAAGGAATGGGTGATTACATGAAAATTATTGCACCAGGAATTTGTGGAAAGCATTCTGAGTAAATACAGTGCTGTTAGATTAAATGGATTTTAACATTTAATGAAATTGCCAGATTATTTTTATGCCAATATTTAATATTTTATCTAGACTAGAGAGAGATGAATAATGGTAATGCAAACATTTTAGTTCTTCAGAAATAGGGGAAGGGTTAAGCTAGTTTTGTGTATTTTCTATACAACTTATTCTAAAATATGTCACTTTTTTTTTTTTTTTTTTTTTTAGCACCCCAGATACTCGCCCAGCTGGTCTGGAAGAGGCTGATCAGCCACCGTTGCCTGGAGAACAAGGAATTAACTTGGATAACTCAGGCCCTAAACTGCCAGAATTTTCAAACCGGCCACCAGGTGATAAAATGTTAGCTAGATTATATACTTATTACATGTGCATGTGGCATTACAAGGCTTCCATGTCTTCAAGGAAACAATAGTATTTTATTTTATCTGCTAACTAGTCTACTTCAGTGATTTAATGTGTCTGGTATTTGGAAGCTTTGCCTTGATATTAAGTAAAAATTTCAAATATAACTTTTGAAGGCACATACACACACACATTCTATTCAAATTTGTCTTTGTTATTTTAAGTCCTCATAAAATCGGACTGAAATGTGGTTGGGCATGATGGCTCATCCACCTGTAATCACAGCACTTTGGGAGGCCAAGATGAGCAGATCGCTTGAGCGCAAGTGTTCAAGACCAGCCTGGGCAACATGGTGAAACCTTGTCTCTACTAAAAATTTTTTAAAAATTAGCCAGGTGTGGTGACACGCACCTATAGTCCCAGCTACTCAGGAGGCTGAGGTGGGAGCATCACCTGAGCCCAGGAAGTCGAAGTTGCAGTGAGCCATGATCATGCCACTGCACTCCAGCCTGGGACCCTGTCTCAAAAAAAAAAAAAAAAACCATGAAATGTGAAGTGCCTCTTTATTCTTGTCAATGTCAAGATTCTAGTTGGCATCAGAACAGGATAAGATTAAATGGAGAGATGATTTCACTCTAATCCTGCTTGCCTGCCTTTCCTGCAGCGTTTCTTCCTGGGGCTTCTCAAAGCAGGGAACTACCAGGGTTTAAAACAAGATGATCTTTTTTATAGAAGTTTCATTAATGAGTCTTTAAAATATAAAGAAGATATAAAGAATAAAAGAGACACCCATGTATCTACCACATAGGTTAATAATTTATAATAAATAGGACCAATATTGGAAGCCCCCTTTGTTGTATCCTCTCTGATTATAAAATAATACTATCCTTTAAATGTTGAAAAATTATGTCAAAGATGGAAAAGCTCCTAAAATTAATTCATTCAAACCTAGATATTATAGAACCAAGGCCAGCTGCCACAATATCTCTATACCTGGTTATCTTGGCCTGAGCAATGACTTGTAACTTTATTCCCCTATGACACGGTTGAAGATACACAACCCTTCACACTTAGGCCACTCTCCCCTGTGTGTACAGAGGGTATGTTTTGTTTCTTCCTCACTAGTTATTTCAACTTCTTTTTGGCATGAAAATGAGAGCGACATTATTTTAGGAGTAACCTTTAATCTACCCCTAATTTATGTATTTTAAAATTGAATCCAAACAAAAAGCTAAATCCATCATGATATCAATACTTTGTGTTATTTATTACAAATTATTTGGGCATATCACACTTCCCGTCAGTGAGATGCAGCAGCATAGCTGAGACTGGGAGGTCATCAGTCTTTGGGGAGTATGTCCAGAAGGCATTGAGAGCAGGAACATGCCTGCTTGCCTCAGACACATCTGAACTCTTCTTATAAGAATCCCAGGGGTCTTTGTATACATTTATTGCCTTCTTTCTGCAAACTGGGGGCCTGCAGGCTGAATTTGGCCTATAATGGTTTTGAGTTGCTATGCAGTGTCTTAAACAAAAGTCCGAGTTTAAATGCCTTTAAATAGGGCATCTGCTCTGCAGTTTGGCACTGTTGACAGGACTCCTGCTGTCTTATACCAGTCCACTTCTATTCTCTACTACCTGCCTGGCCCCTAAAGGCATAGGAGTTTGCATTCCCTGAGTAATAAATTCAGTTTGTGATTGTGTTATGGGCACTATGTGTGTCCTGGCTTTCCCTCTTCACCATTCTGTCACGTCAGCCCCAATCTGTCTTATCATTAGTGCCTTTTGGACTGCTGCCTCCAGCTTCTGGACTCTGTAGCAGCCATGCCCTTAACTGTTACTTTTGAGAGGCTGCTATATTGTCTATGCTGTCCTCTTTGGTATTTACTGTCTGGTGGGCTGATTTTAAAGATAAAAGGCATCCATGTCATAACCCTGACATCAACAGGCTTTTGTAGCAATTACAAATTTCTTAATGTGGGAACCCCAGACTGAATGTGAAAAATAGGAACCCACTGTATTTGACTATGTAGTCGAAAGGACAGTTGAACCATAGAAATGCCATGTTATTGGCTTTATAAAGGTGAAGAAGTTACTCGGGCCTAAAATAAAAAAGGATTTTTTTAAAAATCTTCAAAACTGGATTCTACACATTGTATTCATTGATACCATGGAAATCTTTGGCCAGAAGACATTAATTGAGTGCTGAGTCTGACCCACAAAATTTGGTAGCTGCTCTATGAAAATGTTGAGTCAGCATTTCTTTTGACTGCCAGAGCCAGTTGTTCTTATTCCTACACCTTCTTAAAACCTCCCTAATGTACTCTTCATGCAACAATGGAATAAATCTAGTTTGTGGAACTGGAATTGTATCCCATATATGCCCAGCTGTATGCCCACTTTTTCCCACAGAACCACCGTTATTCTTGGTTTGCGTATCTTTTTATCTTTTCTGATTGTAAGGTTTTGGTTCTAAAATGCCAAGTAAAATCTTCACAAAAAAAGAGAATAATTTGAGATGTTGCCCTCTGCATATCTAGAAGACATTGTCCTTCAGAGTTCTTTTCCCAAAATTATTTTTTATTCCTGAGGGCTATGCTTCTGCCTTACTTATTCTCCAGCTGTGGATTCATGGAAAATATTTCTCCAAATAGAGATTTGCATGTAAGAAAGTAAGTGCAAATTAATATCCATAAAAACTTCAATGCCCTAATTTTATTTTCAATGTGTATATCAGCTTCCATTAGCTCCTACTGTTTATTAAACTGATTTACACCTGAAGGGCAATTTTAATTCAGTCGGTTTCCCCCAAAGGATTAAGCCTGAAGGATGCGGCGTAGTGTATGGAGCCAATGAATTGGAATAATTTTAAATTCCTCTTTCTTAAGGAACTGAATCCTAGAATTTTATATTTTACTTCTGTTGAAAGAATAAAAAGGCTGTCTTCAGTGCTGTTATTTTCAACAAAACCACATCTTAAAAAAATTATTCCTGTGCTAACAGAAGAAGTGAATCCTAAATGCTTTACTTCATTCACAAGTACATTGAAATATTGATTATGACTACATGAGACCTGAATCTTGGGTGGCCAGGCACTTGATGTTGATGGAGTTTTTCTCATTTCATCTGAATGTTTGGCTGGTATAGACACAGCCATTTTCAGTGCATAGCACAGAAAATCAGGCTCTTAGTACAGTCATGGCTCATTCAGATCCTACACACCGAGGAGCTCCAGGTTTTTTGATGCTTTGCTTTTTGCTTCCTTAAGCACTGTGCCCCTTTTGCTTATGTCAAGTAATGAGGGGCTGCCCCCTGCCCCAGGAGTGGGCATGCCTGAGCTGTTTGTGCATAGTCTGTGCCACCTAGATGAGTATTGCTTGGCTATACTCTAAAGGTAGCAACATTTTCTTGCTGAAAAATCTAACTTCCCTAATTTGGGGGGC
Organism: Homo sapiens; assembly: GCF_000001405.40. Taxonomy (NCBI): domain Eukaryota; kingdom Metazoa; phylum Chordata; class Mammalia; order Primates; family Hominidae; genus Homo; species Homo sapiens. The sequence continues at coordinate 34,743,350 of NC_000020.11, read as the reverse complement.
TTGTTTTAGGTTATCCTTCTCAACCAGTTGAACAGAGGCCACTTCAGCAGATGCCTCCTCAACTCATGCAGCATGTGGCACCCCCACCACAGCCACCACAGCAGCAGCCACAGCCACAACTGCCTCAGCAGCAGCAGCCACCACCTCCCAGTCAGCCACAGTCTCAGCAGCAGCAGCAGCAGCAGCAACAAATGATGATGATGCTCATGATGCAGCAGGATCCCAAATCAGTTAGGCTTCCAGTCTCTCAAAATGTCCATCCTCCAAGGGGCCCCCTGAACCCCGACTCCCAGAGAATGCCCATGCAACAGAGTGGCAGTGTGCCTGTCATGGTCAGTCTGCAAGGACCTGCCTCCGTGCCACCATCACCTGATAAACAAAGAATGCCAATGCCTGTGAATACTCCCTTGGGAAGCAATTCAAGGAAAATGGTCTATCAGGAGAGCCCGCAGAATCCTTCCAGCTCGCCACTGGCGGAGATGGCCTCACTCCCTGAAGCAAGTGGCAGTGAAGCACCATCTGTCCCAGGAGGCCCAAACAACATGCCTTCACATGTAGTACTTCCCCAGAATCAGTTAATGATGACAGGGCCAAAACCTGGACCATCGCCCCTTTCAGCAACTCAAGGTGCAACTCCCCAGCAACCCCCTGTAAATTCCCTGCCCAGCTCTCACGGCCACCACTTCCCAAATGTGGCTGCGCCAACCCAGACATCTAGGCCCAAAACACCAAACAGAGCCAGCCCCAGACCCTATTATCCTCAGACACCCAACAACCGCCCTCCCAGCACAGAACCTTCAGAAATCAGTCTGTCACCAGAAAGACTCAATGCCTCCATAGCAGGACTCTTCCCTCCACAGATTAATATTCCTTTACCTCCTAGGCCAAATTTAAACAGGGGCTTTGATCAACAAGGCCTAAATCCAACAACTTTGAAGGCCATCGGGCAAGCACCTTCAAATCTTACCATGAATCCTTCCAATTTTGCTACCCCACAAACTCACAAATTAGATTCTGTGGTAGTGAATTCTGGAAAGCAGTCTAATTCTGGAGCAACAAAACGGGCAAGTCCAAGCAACAGTCGCAGGTCTAGTCCTGGGTCCAGTAGGAAAACCACTCCAAGCCCTGGGAGGCAAAATTCAAAAGCCCCTAAACTTACTCTGGCCTCTCAGACAAATGCAGCCCTATTGCAGAATGTGGAGTTGCCGAGAAATGTATTGGTCAGTCCCACTCCTCTGGCCAATCCCCCTGTACCTGGGAGCTTTCCTAACAACAGTGGGCTGAATCCTCAGAATTCTACTGTGTCTGTGGCTGCAGTTGGGGGTGTTGTTGAGGATAACAAGGAGAGCTTGAATGTGCCTCAGGACAGTGATTGCCAGAATTCCCAGAGTAGGAAGGAACAGGTAAACATTGAACTAAAAGCAGTCCCTGCCCAAGAAGTTAAAATGGTTGTCCCTGAAGATCAGTCCAAAAAGGATGGGCAGCCTTCGGATCCTAACAAACTTCCCAGTGTCGAAGAGAACAAAAATTTGGTGTCTCCTGCTATGAGGGAAGCACCAACATCGTTAAGTCAACTTCTTGACAACTCTGGAGCTCCCAATGTGACAATTAAACCCCCTGGGCTTACAGATCTGGAAGTAACACCTCCAGTAGTTTCTGGGGAGGACCTCAAAAAAGCATCTGTCATTCCCACACTGCAGGATCTGTCTTCTTCTAAAGAACCTTCTAATTCCCTAAACTTACCTCACAGTAATGAGCTGTGTTCATCCCTTGTGCATCCCGAATTGAGTGAGGTCAGTTCTAACGTTGCACCAAGCATCCCTCCAGTAATGTCAAGACCTGTTAGCTCTTCCTCCATTTCCACTCCCTTGCCCCCAAATCAAATAACTGTATTTGTCACTTCCAATCCCATCACAACTTCAGCTAACACATCAGCAGCTTTGCCAACTCACTTGCAGTCTGCATTGATGTCAACAGTTGTCACAATGCCCAATGCGGGTAGCAAGGTTATGGTTTCTGAGGGACAGTCAGCTGCTCAGTCTAATGCCCGGCCTCAGTTCATTACACCTGTCTTTATCAATTCATCCTCAATAATTCAGGTTATGAAAGGATCACAGCCAAGCACAATTCCTGCAGCCCCACTGACAACCAACTCTGGCCTGATGCCTCCCTCTGTTGCAGTTGTTGGCCCTTTACACATACCTCAGAACATAAAATTTTCTTCTGCTCCTGTACCGCCTAATGCCCTCTCCAGTAGTCCTGCTCCAAACATCCAGACAGGTCGACCTTTGGTCCTTAGCTCACGAGCCACCCCTGTTCAGCTTCCTTCCCCTCCTTGTACGTCTTCTCCAGTTGTCCCTTCTCATCCCCCTGTGCAGCAAGTGAAAGAATTGAATCCAGATGAGGCTAGCCCTCAGGTGAACACCTCAGCAGATCAGAACACTCTTCCCTCTTCACAGTCAACCACAATGGTTTCTCCCCTTTTGACCAATAGTCCAGGGTCCTCTGGCAACCGGCGAAGCCCAGTCTCGTCTAGTAAGGGCAAAGGAAAAGTGGACAAAATTGGCCAAATTTTGTTGACCAAGGCATGTAAGAAAGTTACAGGCTCTCTTGAGAAAGGGGAAGAACAATATGGTGCAGATGGAGAGACTGAAGGCCAAGGGCTAGACACCACAGCTCCGGGGCTCATGGGAACAGAGCAGTTATCCACAGAGCTGGACAGTAAAACCCCAACGCCCCCAGCACCCACTCTGCTAAAAATGACCTCTAGCCCTGTGGGCCCGGGCACTGCCTCAGCAGGACCCAGCTTACCTGGCGGTGCTCTCCCCACCAGTGTACGCTCGATAGTAACCACTCTGGTACCCTCCGAGCTCATCTCCGCCGTACCGACCACAAAAAGCAATCATGGTGGCATAGCATCTGAGTCACTTGCGGGTGGCCTAGTGGAGGAGAAGGTGGGATCCCATCCAGAACTTCTACCCAGCATAGGTATGTACTTGGGGCTTCATCATCTCTTTGTGTCAGTTTTTTGATGACCTAATCCCACAAGAGAAAGCATGACTCCTTTTTTACTTGGAGGAAAGAGAATGGGCTAAATGGCAATAGCAGTAGTTTTATTTATTGAAAGTACGTTGGAAAATATGCTTTTAAATCCCATGTTAAGTTTGCATTCATTAAAGAGAGCTAAGGGCCAGGTGCGGTGGCTCACGCCTGTAATCCCAGCACTTTGGGAGGCCGAGGTGAGTGGATCAGTTGAGGTCAGGAATTCGAGACCAGCCTGGCCAACATGGTGAAACTGCATCTGTACTAAAAATTCAAAAATTAGCCAGGCATGATGGCACACACCTGTAATCCCAGCTACTCAGGAGGCTGAGGCATGAGAATAGCTTGAACCTGGGAGCAGAGGTTGCAGTGAGCTGAGATCATGCCACTGCACTCCAGCCTGGGCAACAGAGCGAGACTCTGTCTGAAAAAAACAAAACAGAGAGCTAAGGCTCTCAAAACAAAGAGTTCCTGAAATAATGATACCTTTCATTTATATAAGTTTTTCAATTTATAAGGAAGCATTTTTACATATGTTGTCTTGCATCATCTTTATACCAACTATGTCAGATATTCTTAACCCCATTGTATGGGTGAGAAGATTGAAGCTCAAAGACGTTCAGTGTTTGTTCAGAGTCTATACTGTGAACCTCCCATTTAACACTGTGCCTTAAGTGTGAACAGCAGCTTCTGCAGATTCTCTTTACCAGGGTGAAGATTTGCTCATGACTATTTCAGAACAATGGGTCCTCATAGCCCCATTCTCACTGTACTCTATCTCAGGAACCATTCTTTTTTTGTCTGGGCTACTCTAGAGGAGAGCTGGAAGAAAACTGGGTTTCATGATAATGGACACAGTAGAAACAAAGTGGTCAAGAGCCAGTAGGCTTGGGTTGGTATTATAACACCAGCATTTACCAGCTATATGGGCTTGGGCAAGTTACTTGACCACTCCAGACTTTGGTTTCCTCCTTTGTAATATGGAACAATAATAGTTGTAAGAATTCAATAAGGTAGTACATATAACATTCTTAGCACAGAACCTAGCATATAATTATTATTCAATAAATGGTAAAAATTGTTATTCCCAGTTTCTTTTTGATGTAATCTCTTTGTTGATTGGTACATTCCATTTGTGTATCTAGTTCAGGCTATTTCCTATGTACTGTTAAGATGGGCTAATGATGGAAGCATAGGTGTCCTTACAACCGCCCCTCCTTCCCTTCTTCCCTTCCCTGACATGTTCCTCCTCCTGTGAGGCTTAAGTGAAGAAGCTCTATTTCCCCAGAGTGGAGTCAGTCACACACTGCTAGAGCTGGGAAAGACCTTTACGATATCCTAGGCCAGCTAATTAAGTGCCTATCTTATTTATGCAGCTAAAATGCTTCGAGTGCCTACCACTGAGTGGTAAGCACCCAGGAGGAGAGGCAGAAAGAACACAAACTTCAGGGTAAGATCAGAGTTCAAATTCTAGCCCACTGGTTACCAGTTACAGTTGATACGTTCCTTAACCTCTCCTAAGCCATGTATTTCACTTGTAAAATGGAGATCGTACATTCTACCTCCCAGAATTTAGGATTCTGAGAGAGGACTCAATGAGAAGATTTGTCAAGTGGCCAACACACTGCCTCACGCAGAGCTCTGGAAAGGTTAATTCCCCTTCTCTCTGCCTCTTCACCTCAGTGTTAGAGAGATGGGGGCAGGATAAAGGCCTTCAAGAAGTCTGCTGCTCTTACAAGAGACAGTCTTCACAAGACTGGGTGCTTATTGTATATTGTTCTAGTTCTGTTGGTGTAGATGAACCCTAAGAATTAAAAGGGAACCTGGTGTAAATTAAGTATATCCTTCACTATTAAGTATTTCCATTTCTCCTTCTTTCAGGAGACTTTTCCCTCTGGTATCAAGAGAAAAATGATGAAGTAATTAGAAATTATTTTTATCTGGATCATATATTATACTAGAGAAATATGTGGGCCTTGAGGAGATGAACCAGCACTTGGGAAAAGTTCTCAATTTTAGTTAAGAACACTCACTTTGCTTATAAGTGATTGTTTCTGTTCTTTTTCAAGGGGCTTCTGTGCTTTTACTTTGAAAATATGAGAAATTGGCCAGGCACGGTGGCTCATGCCTGTAATCTCAGCATGTTGAGAGGCCGAGGCTGGTGGATCACTTGAGCCCAGGAGTTTGAGACCATGCCGGGCAATGAGGCGAAACCCTGTCTCTACAAAAAAAATATGTAAAAATTAGCTGGGCATGGTGGCATGCACCTGTGGTCCCAGCTACTCAGAAGGCTGAGGTGGGAGGATTGCTTGAGCCCAGGAGGCGGAGGTTGTGGTGAACCGAGATCCTGCCATTGCACTACAGCCTGGGCAACAGAGCAAGGCTCTGTCTCAGGAGAAAAAGAAAAGGAAATTTGAGAAATGAACACTAAAGTTAAAAGTAGAAGTTAAGATATAGTTTTAAGCTTTATCAGATAAGCATCCAAAATAAATTCTTAAACACAAATGCATAATTTACTGCTTTGCTAAGCAGGGAGGGAAATATACAAAATTCAGTTTCCACAAGAGAGTAAAACATGTTGTTGCAGAGTTTATCTAGGATTTTAGACTGAGATGTCAAGATGTGACTGTGGCATATCCATGCCATAATCTTTATCTTCCAGGATGGTTCCCTTCTAGAGGGCATTACATATTTTATTCCATTCCTTAAGGGCCTAAGTTCTCTGTGTCCTTTGAAGCCTGATTCTGATGTTTCTCCCTTTAATGTACCTTCAGATTTCTCAACCTAGAATTGCTAACTCTTGCTTTGGACTTTTGTAGTATTTTATACTTTGTGACTCCTTCATATGACATCAGAGTGCACTCAAGTGCACTACATGTATATATCTTATCTTTAATACTAGACTGAGTTCCTGATGTGCAAGAGGATATAGTTTGGTCTCTCAGGGTACCTGGCACAGTGCCTTGCCCCTAGTAAGTTCTTTGCAACTATTTGTTAGATAAGTAAATAACATATCAAATTTATTTATTTATTATGTATGAATTGAATGCCTGCTTTATGCCCATCACTTTTGCTAAGTGCTATAGAAAAGTACAAAATTATGTGACCATTTCCACTCTCATAGAGTATAGTCTTTAGGGAGTGAGGCTAGATTTTTTAAATGCTGAGGGGAATGGTATAATTGTACCTCTATGGTTTGGGTTGCCTACTAAGATATGCTTTGGGGCTTTTTCAAGTAGTGGTCAGGACCTGACCCCAAGAAGCAGAAAATGTGAGTGCTATGTTCTTATAGCCATCTCTTCCCCTTATTATTATACATACAAAAAGGAAGAGCCTATACCCCTAAATGGTAGTCATTGGTACTGGGTGTTATGGTAATTAATTTTTGTAGTAAGTTTTAAAATGTACTTGTAATTTCGAGGCCAATTTTGAGTACTGCCCTCTAAGAGTACATTGTTTCAGCAGTTACTTAGCCCTTGATTAGGTTAATGCTTTCTTTTTGTTTAGAAAAGAAAGTAAAAGGTCTGTAATTTTTTTTTCCTTGCCTTAGCCCCGTCGCAGAATTTAGTCTCAAAGGAAACTTCAACCACAGCACTGCAGGCCTCTGTTGCCAGACCAGGTAAGGCGTACTTTGGAAAAACTTCTTGGAGTGGGATGGGTTACATGTGAAGGAACTACTGCTGTCCTCAATGTCGTGTGTTCTTATGCCAGGAAGTGACAGGAACTATTTTATCTGTTTGCTTCAGAGCAGACTTTGGTTGAGTGACAAAGCTTGTGCAGTTCTACTTGAGATTATTTTCCCCCCGACCAGCTTGCTCTCTCATGCATTCATAGTGTCAGCTAGGGAACTCAAGAAGGGCAATTCCGTGCCCATTGTCTGTCTGCCACCCAGCCATGGGTTTCTGTTGCAGAGTTTTCCCTGTTCTGTGACCCTGGCACCCATGGTTGGCAGCTGAATAGCTGGCATATGGTGACTTACTGGGCTGGCAAGCATTAACGCACTTTGTAATTTTATTATGACAGTAGTGGAGTCTTGTTCATTGAGTCTCTGCCACAATGTGATAGCCATTCCTCCAGGGAGGCAGAGTCATTTCAGTCGTCTCTGGGTGGCATTAAGTTTCTCCCCATGACCAATATATTGTAAATAGCACAAGGGATGATATTTCTGGAAGTAGGATCCCATGGTAATCTGACAAATAACTGCTGTGGGATCAGGGTCAGCTCAGAATACATGAGGATGATGGCAGCCACAGCCCTTGTTTTGCCTTTATAGACTATGGAGGCAGATAAATATCGCAGATATGGTACAGTTTAGTTTCGCCTGATTCTTTGTCACTGTAGATCATTGAGGAGTTAAAAAAAAAAAAGTATGACTGGTCCCCACAGAGGTAAGAATCTCATTGAAACTACAATTCACACACTTGACAAAGTTAGTAAGAAAAAGCAATAGTAGCCATGCTTAATTTTGTGAATCTGAGCCAGTAAAAGTAAGGTATAGTTTGTGATTATTTTAAAACCTACTTCAGAATGCTACATCCTGTGTGACTGATAGGACTTTCTACTGCACACTCTGAATAAAATCAGGCCTCTGAAAATAGTGTGCGAGCAAAAAACATTTCAGCCACCTAGAGTCTTTTTTTCTTTTTGTTTTTCTTTTTTTTTTTTTGAGATGGAGTTTGCTTTGTCACGCAGGCTGGAGTGCAGTGGCGCAATCTCGGCTCACTGCAAGCTCTGCCTCCTGGGTTCACACCATTCTCCTGCCTCAGCCTCCCAAGTAGCTGGGACTATAGGTGCCCGCCACCAGCCTGGCTAATTTTTTGTATATTTTGTAGAGACAGGGTTTCACCATGTTAGCCAGGATGGTCTCGATCTCCTGACCTCATGATCCACCTGCCTCGTCCTCCCAAAGTGCTGGGATTACAGGCATGAGCCACTACTTCCGGCCCAGCCACCCAGATTCTTTCTTTGCTGCCAATTGCCCACATGATACCTGACATTGTGTTGGATATTTGAGAAGGGTAGGAATGGAGCACGTTATTTAAAGGAGGGGTCATACAGCAAAACTCATTTTTGGTAAGAAAAGGAGTAACTCTAAAGGGAAAGGGAATTCCATTTCCTGCCCCAACCCTACTCTAGAAAATAGGATTTACCATATCATTTTTCCCCCTTCTCACAGTAATTGGCTGAAGAATCCTCTTCCATTTGGAAGTCTGGCGTAAATGAATCTCCTTATCCTTAACATCCCTCAGAGCCACTGATTACCTTCATCAAACCTTCTTGATCTCTACTTGTGAATCAGCAGTGATAGTGTTAAGATTCTCAAAAGCATCAAACTTTTTCTTGTTTTAAAAGAGCAAACTAGGCCAGGCGCGGTGGCTCACACCTGTAATCCCAGCACTTTGGGAGGCCGAGGCGGTCAGATCACCTGAGGTTGGGAGTTTGAGACCACCCAGACCAACATGGAGAAACCCCAAACTACAAATACAAAATTAGCTGGCTGTCGTGGCACATGCCTGTAATCCCAGCTACTTGGGAGGCTGAGGCAGGAGAATCGCTTGAACCTGGGACGCAGAGGTTGCGGTGAGCCGGAGATTGCGCCATTGAACTCCACCCTGGGCAACAAGAGCAAAACTCTGTCTCAAAAAAAAAAGAAGAGCAAACTAGGCCGGGTGTAATGGTTCATGCCTCTAACCCCAGCACTTTAGGAGGCTGAGATGGGAGGATTGATTGAGCCGAGGGGTTCAAGACTACCTTGGGCAACATAGTAAAACCCCATCTCTACAAAAAATTTTTAAAAATTAGTTGGGCTTGGCATGCATACTACTTGGGAGGCTGAGGTAGGAGGATCACCTGACCCCAAGGAGGTTGAGGCTGCAGTGAGCTGTGATCCCATTGCACTCCAGCCTGGGAGACAGAGTGAGACCATCCCCCAAAAAATAAAAATAGGCCAGGTGCGGTGGCTCATGCCTGTAATCTCAGGACTTTGGGAGGCCAAGGCGGGCAGATCACTTGAGGCCAGGAGTTCAAGACAAGCCTGGCCAACATGGCGAAACCCTGTTTCTACTAAAAATACAAAAATTAGCTGGCCTGGTACCGCGTGCCTATACTCCCAGCTACTCGGGAGGCTGTGGCAGGAGAATCGCTTGAACCCTGGAGGTGGGGGTTGCAGTGAGTGCCACTGCACCCCAGCCTGGGGGACAGAGTGAGACCCTGTCTCAAAAAAATAAAAAACAATGAGGGTGAGCACTTCTTTTGACTTGAGTCATTTTCATTTTTGAGCACACATTACCTGAGTTTATACGTTCCAGCCAAGCCAGCAAAGTAGCAGAGACTCAGTGAATTGGTATCTATTTTTTGTGGATGGGTTTTCAGGCTTTGTGGGTACAAATACAGGAGGCTAAACAGCAATGAGAAGCAAAGATTCCCTTCCTTTTTTTTTTTTTTTTTTTTTTTTTTTTGGGACAGAGTCTTGCTCTGTCACCAGGCTGGAGTGCAGTGGCATGATCTCGGTTCACTGAAGTCTCTGCCTCCTGGGTTCAAGGGATTCCTCTGCCTCAGCCTCCCATCAAAGATTCCCTTCTACTAGCACCTTGCATTAAAGGCAGAGTAGTCCAACCTCCTTACATGAAAGGCTGCATCAATCTGATCTTCATAGCAATAATAATAGCTAATAACATTGAGTTATGACTAAGTGTCAGGTGCCATACTAAAATTTCTACATGCATTATTTCATCTCCTTAACTTTGAAGTGGGTAATGTGATTATTCCCATTTTTTAGGTAAGGGATTGAGCACAGAGATGTCAGATAATTTACCCAAGGTCACATGGCTAATAAGCATTGAAGTCAAAATTTTGAACCAGGCACTCTGACTTCATTGCCTTTAAGGTTACCATGTGATTAGTAGAGTAGGTTAGACATGTACACTGAGTAATGAGGTGCTGACTTCCCTCAATGGGGGAACAGGAATAGGGCTGTGGGAGGCCAGAGGCAGGATAGATCACTGCTATCTGGTACATCAGGGAAGGCTTTTGGAAAAGATGGAACTACCTAAAGGCACATAATAGAGAAAGCAAATGTTTTTCTGCTGGTGCTGAGGAAGAAGTGCATGGTAAACCCAGAGTGTGCTCATTGATGGAAAACCCTGCTAGACAGATTACTAAGATTTTCCTTGCTTGGAGGGCATTGCTGGGAGGTTGAGAAAGAAAGGAATAGAATGGGGTGTAAAGGCAATATCTGAAAGCAAAGCACTGTGCCCTCTAAAACTCAGTGAGGAAGTCCTTTGGAGAAGAATGCATCCTTAATAGATGTTCAAGACATATTTGAAGATTGCTTTTTTTAAAAAAGTGGCAACAAGGTGGATGGAGATGTTTTAAAATGAAAACGGTCTCTTCCACATGAGAGGAAGAGACTTATTTTGCTAACCTGGTTGTAACTGGATGAAATATGAACAAGGAAGGGTGAACTTAGTTCTATTAATCCAAACAGATTATTTCACCATGTGGAGTAGAAATAAAAATAGACCAAGTGTCTTATGTCCCAAACAAACCAAGTTGTATCTGTGCCAGCTTTGTCTCCATACCATGTAGGGTGAGAATCCTGCTGGGCACAGGGACACTTTAGCCTAAATAGGGCATAGAGAATTCTTGTAGACTCCTAGCTTCTCTCTGTGGCAGCTCCCACATTTCATTTCTATCCTTTATATTTTTTTGCAGAGCTGGAGGTAAATGCTGCCATAGTCTCTGGACAAAGGTAAGATGATCATTTCTGCAGACGTAGCATGAACACAGCATAAGCCTCTTTGAAAGGTATCAGCTGTCTCAGTCTTTAAACCTCTCTTCACCTTGTCCTTTTCCTTCACTCTTGCACCAGTCTGTTTTTACTGCTAACGTAGAGAGCTGTCATGAGTCCTAATCCCTCAGAGGTAACATTTCTCTTAATAAAAGCTGGAGGCCAAGTTTCTACCTTTTATGGTTGTTTTCAAAGCTGAGTGAGATAACATGTTCTGCATAATGAGGAAATAGTAAATGTTCAATATATGGGAGCTGTTGTTACCATTGATATTAATATTAATAATAGTCCTTGCAGCTGTCTTCTAAAGAACAGTTGTTTGACCCTGAAAGCAAAAGAAGGAGAAAGCCAGGCAGGATCTGACCCAAAACCTATGCTTTTTTCTGTTACACTGTGCTGCTCCACATAACCCTACAAAATGACATACATCTATGGCTTCAACTTCATTAGCTCTGTGGAGAGGAATATTACCATTTTCCAAAAGTCATGCCTTTTTTTGGAGACAGAGTCTTGCTCTATCACCCAGGCTGGTGTGCAGTTGCACGATCTCGGCACACTGCAACCTCCACCTCTGGGGTTGATGCAATTCTCCTGCCTCAGCCTCACAAGTAGCTGGGATTACAGGTATGTACCACCACACCTAGCTAATTTTTGTATTTTTAGTAGAGACGGGGTTTCACCACATTGGCCAGGCTGGTCTTGAACTCCTGACCTCAAGTGATCCACCCGTCTCAGCCTCTGGGATTACAGGTGTGAGCCACCACACACAGTCTTGTCTCTTTTAGTGTAGGAATGCACTGGATAATATTTTAAAGAACTTCTCATAATTGTACAGCAACTTCATAAGACACTTTCACAATATTTTTTTCATTTAATCTTCATATCATCCCTGTGAGGAGGTTAATAGCCACCATTTATTTGAATGTTGTTCCATGCCATGCATCCTTAATAGATTGAGCTACAAGTGCCCTAGATGTGTTATCTCATCTAATTTTCACAGTATCTATTAGGAAAGTAAATTCTGTCTTATAGATGAGAAATCTAAAGTTCAGAAAGGTTAACTAAATTGCCCAAGGTCACAGAATTAGTAAATGGTGAAGGTTAGATTCAAACCCAAGCCTTCTGACTTCAGAGCCCTGATATTTAACCTATGTATTGCAACAGACAAGATGGGATTTATAGATCAAGAATCTAGAATGAGGCTGGGTGCAGTGGCTCACGCCTGTAATCCCAGCACTTTGGGAGGCCGAGGCAGGCAGATCATTTGAGGTCAGGAGTTCGATACCACCCTGGCCAAAATGGTAAGACCCCGTCTCTACTAAAACTACAAAAATTAGCCAGGCATGGTGGCGCATGCCTATAATCCCAGCTACTTGGGAGGCTGAGGCAGGAGAGTCACTTAAACCTGGGAGGCGGAGGTTGCAGTGAGCCGAGATCATGCCACTGCACCCCAGCCTGGGCGACAGAGTGAAATTCTGTCTAAAAGAAAAGAAAAGAAAAAAGAGTCTAGAACGGCCGGGCTCAGTGGCTCACACCTGTACTCCCAACACTCTGGGAGGCCGAGGTAGGCAGATGGCTTGAGCCCAGGTGTTTGAGACCAGCCTGGGTAACATAGTGAAACCCTGTCTATACAAAAAATTAGCTGGGCATAGTGGTATGTGCCTGTAGTCCCAGCTACTTAGGAGGCTGAGGTGGGAGGATCACCTGAGCCCAGGGAGGTCGAGGTTGCAGTGAGCCATGGTCGTGCTCACTGCACTCCAACATGAGCAACAGAGTAAGACTCTATCTTAAAAAAAAAAAAAAAAAAGTCTAGAACATAGAGCATTAAATAGCATAGTCAATAAATGCATAGCTAAGACTTCACCCCTGTTCATCTCATTCCAAATTCATTGCTACTCCTACTATACCACTCTGCCTGTCTGATTTTATTTGGATTGGGCTAATGTTTGAATTCATCTGCATTTCTCAAGCATGCACCAGCTATTTGTCTAGAGAAAGAAGCTAATCAGACCAAAAATACATTTGGGGTGTTTGTTTCCAGAGATACCTGAGCATTGACCATAAAAAACAGGATAGTCTTGCTGTGGCTTTTGTTTTGCCAGGAGAAAGAGGCACTTTCATTAGGAATCATCTAGCCAGGTACAGTGGCTCATGCCTGTAACCCCAGCATTTTGGGAGACCAAGGAGGGAGGATTGCTTGAGCTTAGGAGTTGCCCAGCCTGGGCAACATAGGGAGACCCTGTCTCTATGAAAAAAAAATAAAAAATAAAAAATTAATAAAAAATTAGCTGGTCATGGTGGCACTTGCCTGTAGTCCCAGCTACTCAGGAGGCTAAGGTGGGAGGATCACTTGAGCCTGGGAGGTCAGGGCTGCAATGAGCCATGATTGCACTACCCACACCCCAGCCTGGGGGACAGAGTGACATCCTGTCTCAAAAAAAAAACAAAAATTTTTTTTAAAAAAAGAACTTTCTTTCCTCAGAAGCTTTGACCATTTTCTGAGCTCCTAGCCAGAAAGCCATCTTCACCACCTCTCAAAGGAGGTATAAATCCCCCTGACTTGTAATTCCACCCCAGCTCCAGCCTCACCTCTCCTTGACTTACCTTGGCTTATGGTTGGGTGTCGGGCGGCTGTTATACATAAAGCTATGGGAGTGAATGGTGTGTCCCAGTTCCCAACCACGGTGCTACTAGCAAAGGGTCCTCTGGCAGGAGTGAACAGTGGAAGGGTAGGGATAGTTGACAGTCAGGTTATGGTCTGTGTCCTTAAGAGGTTCACAGTCTAGTTGAAGACACAAAACATTAAAATAGAACACGATGTACAATCTGATGGGTGCTCTAGAATGCCAGATAAAGACTGTGAACCCAAGAGACAAAAGAGACAGCTCTACTTGGGAAATGAGATCATGGAAGACTTCCCAGAAGAGGCAGCCTTTTGACCAGTATTGTTTTGTTTTGTTTTGTTTTGTTTTGTTTTGTTTTGTTGCATTATTTTTATTTGTTACATGTCTTGCAAGCAAATTTAATTTTCTAAAGAATTTTTTTTCTGATCATTTTAACATGCGTTTTTGAACCATGAAAGTGTAAAAAATTATTAAAGAAAACCAGAAATTCAGATCAGAGAATTACAAAGAAGAAAATAACTCACCAGTAAACTAGTATTCCTACAACTCAACAATATTCACTGTACATATATTTTAGTTCATCTGCTTCTAGTCTTTTTCACACAGTGTGCACCCAAATATATTGTGTCAGATTTATGTGTATAGGGCTGGGCGTTGTGGCTCACACCTGTAATCCCAGCACTTTGGGAGGCCAAGGCAGGTGGATCATTTGAGGTCAGGAGTTCGAGACCAGCCTGGCCAACATGGTGAAACCCCATCTTTACTAAAAATACAAAAATTAGCCAGGCGTGGTGGCGCATGCCTGTAATCCCAGCTACTCAGGAGGCTGAGACAGGAGAATTGCTTGAACACAGGAGGCAGAGTTTGCACTTTGCTGAGATCCTGCCACTGCACTCCAGCCTGGGGCACAGAGCAAGACTCCATCTCAAAAACAAACAACAACAACAAAAGATTTATGTGTATATAGCTCATATTTATTCATATGTAGTTACATATATACTCAACACATACAACAATGAAAATGGAATTATACTGTTCATTGTGTTGGTAAGTTTTTCCCACTTGGTAATGTGTCATAAATCGTTTTGTCATTAAATAATCTACAACATGATTTTTCATGACTCCATATGGATGTGCCATGATTTAGCTAACTAATCTACTATCGTTAGGTATTTAGGTCTTCTGTTTTCACTAGTACAAATAAAATGTTTTAACTTCCTTATGTGTGGAGCTCTGTAAAAAGATTTGTTTCCTTAGGCACCTAGAAGTGGGATTGCTGAGTCAAGGGTTACACCAGAGTTTCTCAGCCTCAACATTATTGACCTTTGGGGCCAGATAACTGTTTGTTGTGTGGGGCTTACGTTTAGTGGCATCCCTGGCCTGTACCCAAAAGATTCCGGTAGCACCCCTCTCCCCAAGTTGTGACAATCAAAAATGTCTCCAGATGTTGCTAAATGTCCCCTAAGAAGCAAAATTGCCTCCTTTTAAGAACCACTGGGTTATACAATTTACACTCCAGTTAGGAGTGTATGTAAATGTTTTTGTTCCTGTATCCTCAATAACAGTGAATATTACCAATTTTAAATCTTCATATACTAAGAAAAGGGGGTTGGGGTGTGGACAATCAATATACCTAGCAGTGTATTGTGAATTATCCCCATACTGTGGCTTCTAATATGCTGTTATCTGACTCTACCGGGATCATTAGTAAATGCCAATATATGTTAATAATTTCCTAGGTTTATATACTATTTTGAGTTAATAGCAATTTTCAGACATCTTAAAGACCATTTTCATGATTCTAAAAAATTACAAAATCCAAAATGTTTTAATTTTTGAAGGGAACTATTACCTTAGGAAAATGGGTGAGGGGCCTGGTGCAATGGCTCACGCCTGTAATCCCAGCACTTTGGGAGGCCGAGGTGGGTGGATCACTTGAGGTCAGGAGTTTAAGACCATCCTGGCCAGTGTGGTGAAACCCCCATCTCTACTAAAAAGACAAAAATTAGCAGGGCGTGGTGTCACATGGCTGTAGTCCCAGCTACTCGGGAGGCTGAGGCAGGTGAATTGCCTGAACCCAGGAGGCAGGGGTCGCAGTGAGCTGAGACAGCGCCACTGCACTCCAGCCTGGGCGACAGAGTGACACTCTGTCTGGAAAAAAAAAAAAAAGAAAAGAAAAGAAAATGGGTGAGGAATTAGGGGAGTTTTGTTCCAATTTTTTTATGTCTTTTACCAGTTTTTCTACAATTTCACCAACATTATGCTTTACTATTTTATTTTTACTAATGTAATAAGCTAGACTCACTTTTAAACCCCCAGTAACATAGAAGGCAATAGTGCTTATTACCCCAGGTTGAACTGCTTTCTCTCCAGAATAACTATATAGTTCTTAGTCTCCTACTTTACGAATGAAACTATCTGAAGAGCCCGTTTTTTGTGTGGCCTGGTTCCCTCACCTGCTTGGAAACTTTTTGCTTCCCTCTGTCAGCAGTGAGCCCAAAGAGATAGTTGAAAAGTCCAAAATCCCAGGCCGAAGAAACTCCCGAACTGAAGAGCCAACTGTGGCCTCTGAAAGTGTGGAAAATGGACATCGTAAACGATCTTCTCGACCTGCTTCAGCCTCCAGCTCTACTAAAGGTTAGCAGTGGGATGTGGGTGCTATTTGTGGGTCAAATAGAGGAATAGAGTTCTTACCACAGCAGTAGAAGACTTTGTCCTTCATCATTGCTTCTGTTCCTGAAGTCTGTCAAGTGTCTTTGTCTTCTACTACCTGTTTGGTCCTTCCTTTATTTGTTCATTTAACTGTATGTTTTCTGTGTGTGTACTCAAGAGCAACAAGCACTGCTGGAAAAAAGAACATAACAGGGCAGATTTATTCCACTGGTTTTTGGGTTTTGGGTTTTTTTGTTGTTGTTGTTGGTTTTTGTTTGTTTGTTTTTTTGAAACAGGGTCTCACTTTATTGCCTGGGCTGGAGTGCAGTGGCACAATCACAGCTCACTGCAGCCTTGAATTCCTGGGCTCAAGTAATTCTCCTGCCTCAGCCTTCCAAAGCTGGAATTGCAGGCATGAGCCACCACACCTGGCCTTGAGTCCACTTTTTTTTTTTTTTTGAGATGGAGTCTCATTCTGTTGCCCAGGCTGGAGTGCAGTGGCGTGATCTCAGCTTACTGTAACCTCCGCCTCCCAGGTTCAAGTGATTCTCCTGCCTCAGCGTCCTGAGTAGCTGGGATTACAGGTGCGTGCCACCTCACCTGGCTAATGTTTCTATTTTTAGTAGAGACAGGGATTCATCATGTTGGCCAGGCTGGTCTCGAACTCCTAACCTCAAGTGATCTGCCCATCTCAGCTTCCTAAAGTGCTGGGATTACAGGCTGAGCCACCACGCCCAGCTGATTCCACTTTAAATTCATGATCACCCACTTCAGATAGGTCCTGAATATGGCCCAGCTATCTTTCCATGTTTCCATGGTCAACTATCTTTCCCACTCTATTCTTTTTAAACCTCTGGTCCACACTTTCTCCCCCTCTCTCTTGGTAGAGACCCTGACCTCTTCACAGAGAAAATAGAATTCCCTCAGCTTCCCACTACCAAGAAATAAATCTACCAGTATCCTCCTTTGTGCTTTCTATAATAGAGCAGCTGTCCTTCCTCAAGTCTAAGGCCAGTTTCTCCATCTATGCCTTTGATCCCATCTCCTCTGACCTTCTTAAGAACCTTACCCTGTGAGTGTTCTCTGTTGACTACTATCTCCTTTTTAAATTAACTTTTCCCTTGGGTTCTGTGACCAAGAACTCTCTGTTGTCTTCTGCTACCACCTCTCCAGCTGCTCCTCCTCAGTCTCCCTTCCCAGCCATTAGATGGTGACCTTCCTCAGACTTTGATCCTGAGTCACCTTTTCTCTTCAAATTCGTATTTTCTCCCTAATGGATCTCAGTCATGCCCCTCTTCTTTAGTAACAGCCTTTCACAGATGACTTGTAAATTTGTATTTCTATTTCTAGTACAGACCCCTAGAGATCTTAGACAACTGCATGCACATCCTTACTGGAACCTCAGACTCAACATATCTAAAACCAAACTTGTGATTTTTCACCTCCAACAGTGAGGTCCTCTGCCATTGTACCCCATCTCAATAAATGGCACCACCATCTATCCATTAGACAAGTCCTCCTTGATACCTCTCTCCCTCACCCTTATATCAAACTCGTCACAAAAAACTGCCCATTTTATCTCAGGTGGCCCTTTTCCATCTTCACTACTACCCACTAGCTTAAAACCCTTCAATGATTTACCATTGTAATTAGGATTAAAGTCCAAAAGCTTCAACCTACCCCACAAGCTTCTGTGTGGTCTCGGCCCTGTCATCTCCCAGCCTCATCCCACTTCCCTTAGCAAGTCGGACATGCCGTCCTCATTCCTCTGATCACAAGCCTGTGCATATGTTGCAGCTACTGCAGGGAGTGCTCTTCTCTCTGCCCACCTCTCTTCTCCTTAACGTCCCACCCTTCCTACTTATCTTAGCTCAGTTGTCACTGCTATGGGGAATCACAGCACCAGGTTCTTCTTCATAATACCACAGCTATAACTATGCCAGTTTGTGACATAGGTAATTAGTATGTATACTTGGTTAGGGCAGGAGATTATGTCTGATTTTGCGAACTACTGTATCTCTGGTGCCTAGTATGGTGCCAAATACAGAGATGTACCAATCAGTAATTATCAAATGAATAACCATCTATCAAATATGTATTAAATATTTACTACATGTCAGGCCCTGAGGTTATAATAGTGAAAAGACAGAGCCTCAGCCACGTGCAGTGGCTCACGCCTGTAATCCCAGCACTTTGGGAGGCCGAGGCAGGTAAATCACCTGAGGTCAGGAGTTCGAGACCAGCCTGACCAACATGGTGAAACCCCCTCTCTACTTAAAATACAAAAATTAGCTGGGTGTGGTGGTGGGCGCCTGTAATCCCAGCTATTCAGGAGACTGAGGCAGGAGAATTGCTTGAATCCAGGAGGCGGAGGTTGCAGTGAGCCAAGATCGCGTCATTGTGTTCCAGCCTGGGCAACAGAGTGAGACTCCATCTCAAAAAAAAAAAAAAAGTCTCTGTCTTTACCACATTGAAAGACGAATTCTAATACTCTGTGTTAAATGTTAAATGCTATGATAGCAAAATTACATGGCACTATAAGAGCATATAGCTGAGATACCTTGCTCTTCTGCCAGGTCAGAGAAGGCTTTCTAGAAAAAAATGACATGACATTTAAGCTGAGACCTGAAGAATGAGGAGGCAGTGACCAGATCATTCTCTTAGGAAATGTGCTGAGCTTGAGTAGTTCAGTTTGGGTAAGGTAAGAGCTGGGATCCTGGCTGAGTTCCTGATTATCAGCAGGACTGCTGAGAAACGGTCAAGTATCATTGGGATGCCAGCCTAAAGACCAGGCAGATTCTGGTGCACCCACACTAGACACTAGACACGGATCTGAGGACTCAGCTGCTGTTGGCAGGTTATGTCTCTAGGCAAGAATGTCACGATGCCTCACAAGAGCCTCTGGGAATAGGCCAGAGGTCATATACAGTTAAAATTGAGGTGTACAAAGTACCATCACCATACTCAGCCTGCTGGAGAGTTAAGGGGCAAAGGTGAGAGAGGCCTTCTTTCTTTTCCAGGAATAGTGTATACACCACAGTCAGGGTCTCTTAGGTATCCTCATTTTAGGTGGAGATATGAAGCCAATAACTTCATTCCTCCTCTCTGGGAATCATCTCTAGGCAGAAACTAGTTTGGAAGGGAGTACACTTTTCAGTATATTGAAGTACTACACTTAAAGCATAAAAGGGAACATGCCTAGAGTTCTATGGGAAAATCTGCTTCCCCTCAGTTCTGCATGTTCTTGTAGCCTTTCACTTTCCCAAAAGAGTAAGATCTTCTAGGCTATAGAATATGGTATGTAATTACCTTTAAAGCGGGGAAAAGGTATTGGCCTTTAGAGATGTCACACACCAGATTTTTGGAACCTTGACCTCAGCCCAGAGCCTCAAGGTACTAAAGGGTTATTTACAGGGCACCAGAAAGAATCTAAGAAGCAACTGGGACAGTTAAGAAGAGATGCTCAAACTAGAACCGCTCTGTAGAGAACTACCAGCCAAGAAGAGATGGAAAGCTAGAACCTGTTTTTAAGGGGTGTTGGGGATGGGGAATAAGCCTGTACACTTAAACTGAACATTGTCCCACCGTGGCAGTGGTGATGTTGGAAAGCCTGGCACATCCTTGCTCTGAGGCTTAGCAGTTGGCTTAGAAGAGGCCATAATGACTCTCAGGCTTTGTGATCTTGCATGGAGGGGTGCTAAGTGTCTCCCTAAAGAATGGCATAGCTCTGGCCTGTCCCTGGAATCACAGTCATGTATAGATATCCGCATCAGTCGCAAGACCTCAGGCCATCATTCTCTAACTGTCTCTGGTTAAGTTACTGTGTATGAGTAGAAAAACAGACTCAGTTTCTCCTGCTATACTCTCACAACACGCTTCTGACACAAGATGTAAGGTGTTTTTTTCCCCACACATCAAGCAAGTCATCAGTTCTGCCTCAGACACCAGCTGGGTGTCCTCCAATTCAATTCTGACACTATCTGCCTGGAGATAGTATCAGATCCACAGGTTTGAGGGCTCAGTCCCACAAGACTGCTGCCCACTTCCAATGCCAGGTGCAAGCCCCAGGTTGTTTTACCTGTGCTTCTGACTAGCTGGCTAAAAATTGGAGTTTCCATGAACCCCTCGTAACCAGGTCCAGTTAATTTGCTAGAGTGGCTCATAGAACTCAGGGAAACATGTTTACCAGTTTATTATACAGCTTTTTCTTTCGTTTTTTCTTGCTTTGTTTTGTTTTGTGACAAAGTCTCACTCTGTCGCCCAGGCCAGAGTGCAGTGGCACAATCTCGGCTCACTGCAACCTCCACCTCCCAGGTTCAAGCAATTCTTATGCCTCAACATCCCAGGTTGCTGGCATTACAGAGGCTTGCACCACCATTCCTGGCTAATTTGTGTGTGTGGGTGTGTGTGTATTTTTTTTAGTAGAGATGGGGTTTCACCATGTTGGCCAGGCTGGTCTCGAAGTCCTGACCTCAAGTGATTCACTTGCCTCGGCCTCCCAAAGTGCTGGAATTACTGGTGTGAGCCACTGTGCTTGGCATTTTTTTTTTTTTTTTTTTCATTTGAGACAGGTTCTTACTGTGTCACCCAGGCTAGAGTACAGTGGCATGATCATGGCTCACTGTAACCTTGAACTCCTGAGTTTAAATGATCCTTCTGCCTCAGCTTCCCAAGTAGCTGGAACTACAGGTGTGCATCACCATGCCTGGCTAATTTTTTAATTTTTTTGTAGAGATGGGGTCTCCCTGTGTGCCCAGGCTGATCTTGAGCTCCTAGCCTCAAGTGATCCTCCCACATTGGCCTCCCATATGAAAGTTTTTTTTTAATTTTTACTTTTATTTTATTTATTTATTTATTTATTTTTAGACGGAGTCTCACTCCATCGCCCAGGCTGGAGTGCAATGGTGTGATCTTGGCTCGTTGCAACCTCCGCCTCCCAGGTTCAAGCAATTCTTGTGCCTCAGCCTCCCAAGTAGCTGGGATTACAGGCGCGTACCACCACACCCAGCTAATTTTTATATTTTTAGTAGAGATAGGGTTTCACCATGTTGGCCAGGCTGGTCTCGAACTCCTAACCTCAAATGATCCACCTGCCTCGGCCTCCCAAAGTGCTGGGATTACAGGCATGAGCCACCATGCCCAGCCGGCTTTTTCTTTTGCTTTTTTTTTTTTTTTTTTTTTTTTTTTTTGAGACAGGGTCTCACTGTGTCACCCAGGCTAGAGTGCAATGGCACTATCATCACTCACTGCAGCCTCAAACTCTTGGGCTCAAGCAAGCCTCCTGCCTTAGCCTCCTGAGTAATTGAGACTGCAGGCACATATGACCATGGCTAGCTAAATTCTTTATTTTTTGTAGAAACAGGACTCACCATGTTGCCCAGGCTGGTCTAGAACTCCTGGGCTCAAGTGATCCTCCCACCTTCGCCTCCCAAAGTGCTGGGATTACAGGCGTGAGCCACTATGCCCTGATATTTTAAAGCAGTGGTCCCCAATCCCCGGGCCATGGACTGGTTGGTAGTGGTCTGTGGCCTGTTAGGAACTGGGCCGCACAGCAGGAGGTGAGTGGTGGGCAAGCGAGCATTACTGCCTGAGCTCCATCTCCTGTCAAATCAGAGGTGACATTAGATTCTCATAGGAGTGTGAACCCTACTGTAAACTGTGCATGCGAGAGATCTAGGTTGTGTAGTCCTTATAAGAATCTAACTAATGCCTGATAATCTGAGGTGGAACAGTTTCATCCTGAAACTGTCTCCCCCGCAACCCCCAGTCCATGCCAAAAAGGTTGGGGACCACTTTTAAAGGATAGAAATGAACAGCCAGATGAAGAGATACATAGGGCAAGGTCTGGATGGATCCCAAGTGTAGAAGCTTCCATCCCTGTGGAGTTGGTGCACCACCCTCTTAGCAGGTAGATGTGTTCTCGTTCACCTTCTGGGAAGCCCCTGAATTCAGTCCTTTTGTGGGTTTTGCGGGTTGTTTTTTTTTTTTTTTTTTTTTTTTTTTTTGTATAGAGGAAGAAGGGGAAGGGGAGATAGGTCCCTTTTGGGTTTTTAGTGGGGCTTCATTACATAGGCATGATTGATAAAAGAGTTGGCCATTTGTGATCAACTCAACCTCAGAGCTGTTTCAGGAACCATGGGCAAAAGGCCAAATATTTTAACAAAAGATGGCTCACTTAGGAAATTACAAGAGTTATAGGAGCTGTGAGCCAGGAACGTGGGACAAAAACCAAAAAATATATATTGTAGTATCACAGTTACCTTTTAAATCAGAAATGAGTACTGTAGCTCTTTTGGTTTTTCAGTATTAAAGCTCTTGGAGCCAAATTAAAGAATAATTATGCATATTTTTGGCCTGTATATTGTATCCAAAAATGTGAACCAAGTTATAAAATAATTTACTGTGATTGTATTTAAACCCATACCCAGAATGTGATCACCAAATATCAAGCTGGTTTCTAAAATGGATGCACCTCAAATGTGGGGACATATGCAGTGCTGGGTACCTGAAATATGAGTGAAGTATCTTCCTGCAGAATCAGCACTGTGTAAAGTTTTGAGGGGGAAAGAGGGCTTCTTTTTGCATTTAATAAGAGTTTGGTCATATATATCATATGCAAACAAAATCAGAGACATTCTGTGTTTTTCATGAAAATCTCTGAAGCTGAGAAACACTATGAGCAGTTTGTAATTAAAAGTGTTGCTGTTTGTATTGTTGGAGAACCAGTGACATTAATCATGCTCCTGCTGCGAGAGCCGAGTTTGCTTACATCATGCTGGCCAAGGCCTGCCAGACTGCCAGATCAGAGCAGGTGGGATGGATGATTTCTGGGCAAGTCCAGGAAGGCCCACATGGTTTTTGGTCATTCTTTGGTCCATTGTTTTTGTTGGTTGGGTCACTTATAATTACACAAAAATTAGCTACCACAAATCACTTTTTAAAATTGCACCTGATCAGATGTGTTGTTTACAAACATGCAAATGAGTAGTTTTCCTTCCTGACATGATGAATTTGCCACAAAAACACAAATGATTTTTCTAGCTTGCTTTATCATTATTTACTCCTCCATTTAGAATAGTTGTTGTTATATTTTCAACTGGGAAAAAGGTAATTATTTTTTTAAAAGGTAGTTAAAAATATGAAGTTCAAAGCTTTAAGTTTGGAACCAGGAAAATATGTTAATTTAAGGAAAGTTCAGAGCAATCTGTAATTATCAGCAGCCCTGGGTGTCCCTCTGACAACAAAGTAGGTGATAGCCCCACCCTACCCACAGCCAGTGAAGAAACTGTCTAAAAAAACACAGGGTATAAAGATATACTGAATTAAAACAGAAGTATTACTGTAGATATGCAAGTGAACATACATTTATAATGTCGTGGGAGAAAACCCTGAAGAGTAACCACCTGAAACTGTAGTAGCTTCATTTTGAAACCAACCATGCAAATTGTGAAGGAAAATTTCCAGAATGTTTTTGTTTGTTTTGAGACAGAGTCTTGCTCTGTCACCCAGGCTGGAGAGCTCCCTCCAAAATGTTACCACTTTTACTACTCTAATGAATAGGCAAATCACCTTTTTTTTTTTTTGAGATGGAGTCTTGCAAATTACTTTTTTTTTTGAGACAGTCTCGGATTGTCGCCCAGGCTGGAGTGCAGTGGTGCGATCTGAACTCACTGCAACCTCTGCCTCCTGGGTTCAAGTGATTCTCCTGGCTCAGCCTCCCGAATAGCTGGGACTACAGGCATGCACCACCACTCCCGGCTAATTTTTGTATTTTTAGAAGAGATGGGGTTTCGCCTTGTTGGCCAGGCTGGTCTTGAACTCCTGACCTCAAGTGATCTGCCGACCTCTGCTAATCAAAGTTCTGGGATTACAGGTGTGAGCCACCGCATCTCGCCGATTTCCAGAATTTTTTACAATTACTTAGACGTCTCGGATAGAAATAGTACAGTGAAAGGCACAATGATGTGAGCAAGGTCAAAGTCCATTTCTAAAGCTCCTTGGATGGTAGAGGTCACATACTAGAGGATTAAGTAGAGCCTTGTACTGTAGATTTGGTCAAATTTGCTTAAGGTCAAAATGAGGCAACCAGGCTGAAAAACAAATCCCTTTATTAGGTTATAAATTTAAATGTTCCCCCAGTGACATAGTTGGACAGTCACTTAAAAGACTATTATTGACCCAGTTCTTTACCACCCAGTTGGTTCTAAGACATGGATATAAATGATTTGACTACACTGCTAGAGTTTGAACTATTTGTCTATCTGTTAAGAGACACTAATTTTGTAAAATCCCTGATAGTTAAAAAACTGAAGGTAGGTTCACAGTCAGGCCAGGCAGCCTTTAGGAACAGCGTGCCAATCACAGTCTGAGGTACACCCTGACTGGATCATTAGCCTCTACATCACTTACCTAGAATTTCTTACCTTAAAGTAATTTGTGGCCAGGCTCAGTGGCTCACTTCTGTAATCCTAACGTTCTGGGAGGCTGAGGCGGGCAGATCAGTTGAGGTGAGGAATTTGAGATCAGCCTGGCCAACATGGCCAAACCCCATCTCTACTAAAAATACAACCATTAGCTGGGCGTGGTGGTGCATGCCTGTAATCCCAGCTACTAGGGAGGCTGAGGCAGGAGAATTGCTTGAACCCAGGGGGTGGAGGTTGCAGTGAGTTCAGATCGCACCACTGCACTCCAGCCTGGGCGACAATCCGAGACTGTCTCAAAAAAAAAAGTAATTTGCAAGACTCCATCTCAAAAAAAAAAAAAGGTGATTTGCCTATTCATTAGAGTAGTAAAAGTGGTAACATTTTGGAGGGAGTAGAAAATCAACTACCAAAACAAAAAAACTCATCAAAAGATGTTTTTTTCAGACAGATTTTTTTCAGACATGATGGGGAACAGTGGCAAAGGACCTCACTGTTGGAGGTGAAAATCCCAAGTTTGGTTTTAGACATGTTGAGTCTGAGGTTTGCTCTATGTCTCAGATTGACTGGATTTATCCAGGGAAGGTGATAGAGACTTCAAACTCAGTTTAAAATTTATTTTTTTCCTCATGGAAGTATGAAAGTTTACATCCTTCTCCCCACCAACCACAGTATCCAAAAGATGAGGGTTTTTAATGGTGTGTTTGTGGGTTTTTTTGCAGTTTCTAGCACAAGTCATTTGTTTATTCCTGACCCCACTCATTGATTCACGCTCAGAGGCAACCTACCAGTTCATTGGGTGCTTCGGAGCAGTGACAAATGGGAACAAGCAAGGAAGGAGGGGGAGCCTGAGGTTGCTTCTCCCCCACACCCCACTACCCACTTCTTTTCCCAGCCACATATGTTTCTCAGACATACCACTTGATCCTTCATATCACAACAAGGGAAAAGCTTCCAAAGTTGACCTAGTTAATGAATGTTTTGCTGAGGATGAACACTGTCAAGACAAAAACCCTGCCTATTTTTACTGCAAATGACAAATTTGCTGCAGTGAAAATAACGCTTGAGATTTGGACCTGAAGAGTTGATTTTAGGGAGTTATGTGGGCTGTGTGAGACTCTTTAATTTACATGAATTAAAATAAAGAACACCATTATTAACATCCTGGCAGATTAACTGTCTTCTGATTAGTAAAAGACTAATGAGTAAATCAGAAAGACTGATTCTACCACATGGCACAAAAAAAAACATGACCTTTGAGAAGACAAACATACTGAAATTTCCACCAACAGAGGCTTGAATGAAATTACTGTACTGGGCACCTCTTGGAAATTCATCTAGACCGCACTTCTTTTTATTTTTTTATTTTTTTTGAGACGGAGTCTCAATCTTGTTGCCCAAGCTGGAGTGCAATGGCGCAATCTCGGCTCACCACAACCTCCACCTCCCAGGCTCAAGCAATTCTCCTGCCTTAGCCTCCCGAGTAACTGGGATTACAGGCATGCACCACCACACCTGGCTAATTTTCTTTATTTAGTAGAGATGGGGTTTCTCCACGTTGGTCAGGCTGCTCTTGAACTCTTGACCTCAGGTGATCCACCCGCCTCAGACTCCCAAAGTGCTGGGATTACAAGCATGAGCCACCACGCCTGGCCTAGGCCTCACTTCTTAGCAGTCACCTTAGCTAACAGAGTAGTGAAATTTTTCCTTACAATCTACATATTTATTAGAGTCTGGGTTCACAAAATATTATGATACAAAAGACAAAGGAAAATTTGCCTTGAATACAACCTAACATGCAGTATCAGAAAATTCAGCCTAGTTACCAGAAATGGGTAAATCTGATTCATCTTTTGTATTGATATATTAGAAGCATTTTTTTTCTCCTTGATGAGAAGTAATTTTAGAACATTATTTTCATATTAAAACCAGAATATGAAATAAAGGTGACCTTTTGAAGTCAATATGAGATTCTAAAGAAGTGTTTACCTTTGGAGAGCTTCAGGCTATTCACTGTACTCTGCCATAACTTTGTGTAGAATTTTTTTTTTTTTTTTAAATAGAGATGGGGTCTCTGTCACCCAGGCTGGAGTACAGTGGCATGAACATAGCTCACTTCAGCCTTGAACTCCTTCAGCCATGAACTCCTGGGCTCAAGTGATCCTCCCACTTGGTCTCCTGAGTAGCTGGGACTACAGGCATGTGCCACCACACCCAGCTAATTCTTTTCTTTTTGTAGAGATGGGTTCTCACCATCTTGCCCAGGCTGGCCTCAAAACTTCTGGGCTCAAGTGAGCTTCCTGCGTCAGTCTTCCAAAGTGTTGGGATTACAGGGGTGAGCCATCACACCTGGCCAAAACGTTTTTAAGAAACACAGTTTAAGTCTGGCATAAGATTAAGTTAAAACACTGATAGTACAAGAGAAACTAAAGGAATCAAAACATAGTCATTTCCCTGTATGTCACTGTCATTCTGTGTGTAAATCACTCAGTTCCCACCTCCTCCATGAAGCCTTCAGGCTCACTTGGGCTCAGAGCAGGCCGTTGCTTATTCTGAATTGCATTCATGACTGTATGTATCCACAGTCTTTTTTTTTTTTTTTTTTTTTGAGACGGAGTCTCGCTGTCTCCAGGCTACAGTACAGTGGTGGGATATCGGCTTACTGGAACCTTCACCTCCGTAGTTCAAGCAATTCCCCTGCCTCAGCCTCCTGAGTAGCTGGGATTAAGGCACACGCCACCACGCCCGGCTAGTTTTTCGTGTATTTTTAGTAGAGATGGGGTTTCGCCATGTTGGCCAAACTAGTCTCAAACTCCTCACCTCAGGCAATCCGCCCACCTCGGCCTCCCAAAATGCTGGGATTACAGGCGTGAGCCACCACGCCCAGCCTTCCACAATCTTGATATAACTGGCTGGGCCATAGTAGACCCTCACTGACCAAGGCCCATGGTCATGTTGTTTAGACCTTGACTATAGCATGACAAAAATGGTTCCTTACTGTGAAACAATAGCTTGGCTCCAAAAGGGATCCCAAGGCAGGTTTTTTTTTGCATTCTAACAGAATTTACTCATTTGCTTATGGCATTACTCGTTGATTTCTCACCAAAAGCATTGTCAGTCTGTCTATTACACTTCGTTTTATGATGAGAACTGGTGAGGGAAACAGTGGGTGAATTGCCCAGCTACAAAGGCTCTCTCCACCCTGCACTTTCTCTAGTCAGTGTGCTTCATCGCCACCACCTCTGTCACATTCCAATTCTGCCCAATGCAGGACCACACCCTCTTCCCACGTAAGTCATCAAGCAAAGCCTGTGACTCTCTCCATTCAGAGCACCCCTTAGACAGATTCTGAGTTGAGTAGGGCTCCCCTTAGGTCTGCCCTGCTTGTTGTGGACTGTCTAAAGGGCACTGCTGTAAAGAGTTACTTCCACTGAACATGTCCTTTCTTTCCCCCACAGACATAACCAGTGCGGTGCAATCCAAGCGAAGAAAATCCAAGTAAACAAGCAGGACTGCGACTTGATACTTGGAAATGTGTGTGACTTTTACAAAGAGCAATTTTGAGCTGTGACTTTTTTAAATCAATTTCTGTACAGTTAGTAATTTTAATAATGTGGCCCTTTTCCTAGTCCCTGCAACCTGTTTCATAAAGTGCAATGGGGAAAGCAGGACTGTTGAGCCCTTTTGGTGTTGCGAGTTGAAGTTCAAGGTTTCTAAAATGTTGTCTTGTATTGAAAGGAGCTAATGCCATTATAAATGTTACTAGTTTTCACATTTCCTAAGCAGCCTAGAGTACAGGGTGAGCATTTTTAGATCTCCTAATGATGTATTGTGCCGTGGAAGTACTGTGTGTGAATAGCAGTAGTGGGGGCAAAAGCAATCTTCTCATTTGGAAATGTTGTAAATAATTTTATTATATAGTGTTTTGGATGTATTTGTTGTAGAAATGGACCAGTGAATAAAGAGAATCTAAGGATTTGTACAATGTGAAATAACGTGTTAAATAAATGTCATTGTCATAGAACATAAAGTTATGTTATTGGTAAGGGATTTTTGGGTGATCAGCTCTTTCTTTGGACCTTAACTAAGCAGACACAGCCTTGTGGATGGAATTCCTATCTAGTCCTCATTGAACCTGAGATGCCCGCCTGGCAAGTTGAGGAAAATGTACATACTTGCTCCCTCACCTCATTCTTGGCTTTGAAGAAACTAGCCCTGTTCAGCACTGTGCCAGGTATTTTGATATATATTGCTCAGATTTCTTTTGATGCAAATAACAAAACCAACTTAGAGATCAATGGCCACCCAGGATTTTCTAGGGACAGGAAGCTGTCAGCAGCTGAGATGGCACTTTTTCACCATGTCACATATCTGCTCCTCCATTTGCATGGTGGATTGCTCCAAAACAATTGTGCTGACATCTCCTCCTTGCAGGAGGTAAGCCCAAACTGGCCTGTAAGATTGTGCCAGCATCAAGAATCTAGTCCAGGGCCGGGCATGGTGGCTTACACCTGTAATCCCAGCACTTTGGAGGGCCTAGGCGGGTGGATCACCTGAGGTTGGGAGTCCGAGACCAGCCTGACCAACATGGAGAAACCCTGTCTCTACTAAAAATACAAAATTAGCTGGGCATGGTGGCACGTGTAATCCCAGCTACTGGGGAGGCTGAGGCAGGAGAATCGCTAGAACCCAGTAGGCGGAGGTTGCGGTGAGCCGAGATTGCGCTATTGCACTCCAGCCTGGGCAATGAGTGAAACTCCGTCTCAAAAAAAAAAAAATCTAGTCCAGTTTAGGTCAGGTTTCCACCTTTAGTTCTGTGGTTAGACAGAGCAGCTCCCAAATTAAAGGGGTCATTTTGTGCTGTATATTTCAGAGATGTCCACTACATTTCACTCTGGCTGTCCTTCTTCAAAATGTGTGTAGTCTCCAAAGCCAGCTGCTTCTGCCCCACCCTACCTGCAACTTGAGGAGACTCTGATGCTTGGGGCCCTGGCCTTGTCTCAGCCTGGGCTTCAGCCTTCTGCTGCATCTCCCCCAGGATTAGACTTCATCCTTTCCCCTCCAGTGGCTACTTGCCCTTGCTCTAACCCAGTGCCTGAGACCACAAGGATGAGTTTGGTCATTCTGTCATGCTGTTATTCTCATCTCTATTTCAGCTGTCTTCATGTATGTGTCTTGCATTGTAAGGATCCTCTAACAGTAGTCATTTATGAGTCAGACCCCATTGTCTGGCTCTGTTCCCAGTAAGCTTATCTCCCCTCTTCCTCTCCCATATGACACACACACCAGAACCAAGGCCAGCTTTATCATAATATCCTATGCCACTACTGTGCTTAAGATTACAAGATGCTTCTCATACTTAAGCTCAACTCAGGCAGAAAGGATCATGTGCTTTAAATATATTTTTATTTGTTTTTCTTTATATTAATTTTTTTCTCCCATAGAGGAATAGCATTACAGTCTAACAATCAGAATTCTGTTACACACATACACAGGCATGCCACATGACCCAGTTGAGGTGGTTGTCTCCTTGAGTCTGTTGACACGTCACATGGTCAAAGTCTCCTCATTTCAGCCAGTCTCAACACAAAACACCCAACAGGGATGCACTCAACTTGTTGGTTCCATGTGGAACTAGGTGGCAGGGCGAGAGGGAAAGTAGTAGAAGGGGGCTATGGTGTGTCTGCATTCAGTCCCCTCACATAAAGCCACATGGATCTAGGGGGGTATCCAAGAGCTCTGGTGGGGTCCGTGTTGCACCTAAGACATTATAGGTCAGAGCAAGTTGCTCAGAGGGTTCCAGGCAGGGGGCTGGGGAGCAGGCATACTCTAAAACAGCACCAAACTGCATTCATACACGGTGCCCTGCTGGGGCTAGACTGGCAAAGGCTGGAAAGACACCCAGCTTGAAGGAACCACTCAGACTTACTGGGGAATAACTGGAAGTCACTGTTTGATGTAACTGGGACTCACTCTAGAAACGGGTCCCTCTGACAGTTTTGGCAAAGTGCTGGTAGTACTGACATTAATACTCACAAATTGATACAAACTCCTCTAGGGCCTCAGAAAACATCAATCAAAACAGACTCTCTAACCCCCTCCTAAGGTTGCATAGGACTTTGAACTCTGGTTCCCTCATGTATTCAAGTTCTGTGGTTTAAAAAAAAATCCTGAAGCATGCTCAAGGTGAAAGGCACGTACACAGTCAATACAGTATGACAAGGGCTGATGCTTCAGGAGTCAGACTAGCAGGAGACTGAGTAGTGTTGGTTCTTAGAAATCTATACACAATTAAAATATTGCCACACTCAAATGCTACAGAATCTATAGGAAAGGTACAAAAAAATATGAGCCTTGCAACCAAGCAGGTGAGAGATTGGGTTCTAGAATACAGGAGCCTCCAGAAATATAGGTAAACAAAAGGCCTTTTAAAATTTGAGCCAAATGCCCTATAACTTAAACTCTTCCCCCACCAGAAGGATCATGGGCACCACACAGGACTGAGCCTAGGTCCCAGCTGGCAGTGAGGAGTAGGCAAGAAGGGTTGGAGGGAGATTCAGCTCTTGGAGGTGCCGAAGACCCTAGGCTGGCTGTGAAGTGCCCAAGTGGTAGCTGGAAGAATAAAAGCAACTAGGTTCTGAAGGAGAACTTGGGAGAGGAGCAAGGCTGTCAACTACTGGGGCCCTAGTGGACTGGCGTGGGAGCTTTGATCCGTTTTTAGTGTTAATTTGGCTTATTCCCTGGAATAGGAGACCCCATCAGGTCTTCCTCTGTCCTCATCCCAGCATCCATGGGGATACCCCATCCCTTCCCCACATACCCCCCATGAGGCCTGGGGCTATAGGGTCAGGGAGGGCAGCTGCCTTTGCCCTCATGGGAATGCAGAGTTTTCTCCAAGCTTCAGCTTGGCTGTGAGGCCTGGAAACCTAGAGTTGGGGTGAGGGGAGGACCTATGTTCATAGGTACCAAGAAGTCTTAAAAGTTCCTAGGAAGAGTGAGCACACACTAGAAAAGGACGGCTAGAAAGAGGAAATGGGAAGCAACTCAGGGCATCCCAAGAGGCTGTTGCTGGTGTCTGAGCCCAAAATTCAGTCTCACCACAAGAAGGGGAGGCTGGTGGCCCCTGCCCCTTCTGTCTCCCCCAGGGATTCAGGTTCCCTCTTCCAGGTATTTACTGGAGGAGAAGGGGAGGGGGATCATAGGGTACCCATTTCTCCCCAGCAACCTAGAAAGAAAGAGAGGCCTGTGGGAGAAAATGAAAAGAGGCCCCCTGAAGGCCCTGAACCTGGATAGGAACAATTTGCAGATTGAGACAGTGGGAGTCCTGGACTCCTACTCAGGACTGCTGGCTAGCCATACTGAGCAGGGTGTGAAATACAAGGCCAGAGGCAAGGTGAAGACTGAGCTGTCAGCCTTGGGATGGCTTCACCCCATGGTGTGTCCTCCAGCATCACTGCTCTGCACGCTGACCTAGGGTGTGTGCCCTTTCCCTGCCTAGAAGCCCTGTGGCCTGCATGTCTCCTAAGCTAGTTCTAGCACCTTGGGCTTGTGAACAGACGGCCAGGATGGTAGGGCCTTGCCCAGCTTCTACTCGGGTGACGTGTTGGGGGTAGAGTGGCAAGGTACTAACTAAGCCCTTCAGATTTCAGGGCCTGCAGAAGGGTGGATTATAGAAAAGGGAAGTGGGGGCAGACTCCAGGCTTCAGCCTGGGAGCAGGGTTTGGCCTCTCTGAGCAAGCACAGTGCACACTCCCTTGGTGCCCTGCTCCCTGCAGCTTCTCAACGTGTCTGTCCTGTCCGCATCTCCAATAGGCTGCCTCGTTCCCTAGATTCCCTCCATCTTCTCCCTCTAACTCACGTCTCACAGTCCTCTTCTACATACTGTACCTTTCCAGGCCTAAGCAGCTCCACAGAGTACCGCCCCCAAGGCAGAAGGAAGGGGAGACTAAAAGCAAAACCCTGAGCCCTTACTGGAGGGCAATGACAGCAGCCCAGGCTGCACAGGCTCTACCTGGTCAGAGCTGGGCTCAGGGTCCCCACCATTTGGTAGGGAATTACTGGGAATGAAGAATAAGGGAACAGGAGTGAGTGTAATGCCAACCATGGGATAGTGTGAGACATGTAAGGTGGGAGTTGAAGGTGGGGAATGAGCCAGATCAGGGACTGGAAGAAGCTTTCAGAAATAGGGGCAGGCCAGAGGTAGAGGACTGGAGGGCAAGGGTGAAAGGGAGAGACAGGGATGGGGACCAGAGAAGAAAGGATGGAGGGGCCAGGAGTAGGGGGCATGGATGATTAGATGCTGGGTATGGGGACCAGGAGTGAGGGTGAAGGGTGAATGGGTTCAGAGGCAGATTAGAGGATCAGAGATGGGGAAATTGAGGGTGTCGGGGAAGGAACGGCTATCACCCAACCTCACACGCTTTAAGAAGGGAGGTTTCGGTGTCCAGCCCGAGGAGTCGGAGGAGCCCGACAGGGATCGGGATCGGCAAGGGGTTCGTGGCGCGGCCGGTGGACGCTCAGTAGTTGAACTGGCGCTGGCACGGCTGGTAGATGAAGCTGCTCTGGTTCTTGGACCGGCGCGGACGGCTCTCGCGGGCTCGGTTCTGCCGCTGCACCGCCTTGGCGCTCAGCGCGTGGCGCTCTGCCCGCTGCCGGGCCCGCTGCAGCCGCCGCACCTGGCCCGCCTTCTCCAGCAGCGCCGCCCGCGCTGGGAGAGGAGCGGCGTGGCGCGCGGCCCGCGGCTCGCGGCGGGCGGGCGTCAATTCCCTGTGAGGACAGAGCCAGGCTCGGTCAAGCCGGGTAAGCTGGGCGGGGGGTCTAGAGGGCGCTGCCATCTCCCACCCTTGCTTCGGCTCAGTTCTGTGTCTGTTCAGATTGGGGTGCCCGACGCCCTTCTTGTGGGTACCAACCCGGAGGTGCCTCCTCGGTTCTAGCCCTTAACAGGTAAACTGGACCTCGGGGGAGACTGGACCCCCACCCCCTATTCCACCCTTGCCTTTCTGTTTAAGTCCCACTCCCTAGGCGCTCCAGCCACGCTCCTCAAGCCTCCAACCCCGGCCCCAGCCTCTTGGCCACGCCCCTCCCTCTCAAGCCCCGCCCCTCCGTCCTCAGGCCCGCTTCTAGCCTCGCCCGGAGGCCCACCGGCCCCCCACTTTGTCTCAAAGGCAACCCTCCCAAGGCCGCTACCCCCTCGAGCGCGGGGCGGGCTCCTGGCCCCACTACCCCAGCCTCCTAGCCTGGACCCTGGCCTCCAAGATCCGTCTCCCTGGGCCTCCAGGCTCCGCCCCCGGCCCGCTCACCCTTCGCTGAGGTCGCCGTCAGGCAGGGCCGCGTCCGGGAGCGGGGAAGGGGACCCGGGCTCTAGCACTATGGTGCTGCCGGTGACGTAAACGGACATGCTGGGGTGCTCGATGAGGAGGTCCTCCAGGGGACTGCTCTGGAGGCGGGCGGGACCGAGTCCAGGCCCCTCTGCCGTAAAACAGGCGGGAGGGGTAACAAACCAGCTCTCGTCCATCAAGGAGGGCGCGGGCGGAGGGCGGCCCGCGGGGGCAGGGGCGGCCCCGGGGCTGGGTGGAGCCGCGTAGCTGTCTACGGGGCGCGGGATGGGAGCCGTGCAGAGGAGGGGAGCAGCGAGGAGGCACACACACACACACACACACACACCGGACAAGGGGGCGGGGAGAGAAAGGGCATCGTTAGTCAGACCCGCAGCCCGTCCGCAGCGCCCCGGGGCACCCACGGGCCAGGCGTCTCGCCCTGCTGCCCTAGGGGACCTGACGTGCGGGCCTCTCCTGGGCCGCCAGGAGAGAGCCCCGGCTTTCATGGGAAGGGGCCCCGTGACCCCACCTCCAGTAGGCTTGGGGGACTCCCCCGTCCCCCAGCAGCGCCCTTCCCCTCCGCTGCTAGGCCATCTGCCCTTAGAATGACTTCACAGGCCCAGGAGACAGACCCAGGCCTCACCCGGCAGGTCAATGATGAGCCAGCCGTCCACTTCATCCTCCTCCGACACGAAGGCGCGGGGGCAGTCGGGGTCTTCGGGGGGCGAGGGGGTGCTGAAGAAGAGGCTGGAGAGGCGCTGGAACATGGTGGGGGGCGAAGCGCCTCACGGGGGCGCCCTATGGCAGTGCAAAAACCTGGGAATCAGAAGGACGTGAGAGCCACCACTGATTGAGGTTCACCCCACTCCTGGCCTGGGGAAGAGGCCAGAAGATATCACCCCCAGAGCAGGGAGAAGGGTACACACAACGGGGATGTGTGCGGACGCTTTGGGAAGATGTGCTTTCTGCATTCAAATCCAGGGTTTTTTTTTTATCTTCTGTATGATTTTAGAAAGTTATTTAACTTATCTGTGCCTTAGTTTTCTCATCTGTCAAAAGACAATGATAATAGTACCTTCCTCCGGGCTCTTATAAGAATTAAATAAGCTAATAATAGTATCCTCCTCCAGGCTCTAATAAGAATTAAATGAGCTATACCAAAGTTATTGAATGAGAAAAAAAGATGGAGGAGGAAGAATTAAATGAGCTAAACACTTATAAAGTGCTTAGAACTGTCTGGGCATATGGTAAGCACTCAACAAACTAATAAATTAGTTATTATTACAGGGTGCTTTAGGAACATAGAGTGACACATGACACAGCTCTGCCAGGGAAGGTCTCCAGAGAATTGGACATCCAAGCTGCACTCTGAGGAGTAAATAGGAGTTCTCCAGGCAGGGAGGAAATTGCCCATATTGTCTGCTTGTTATCATTATAATATAGCTAGGCCGGGCACAGTGGCTCACGCCTGTAATCCCAGCACTTTGGGAGGCAGAAGTGGGTGAATCACTTGAGGCCAGGAGTTCAAGACCAGCCTGGCCAACGTGGTGAACCCCATCTCTACTAATAATACAAAAATTAGCTGGGCGTGGTGGCAGGTGCCTGTAATCCCAGGCTGAGGCAGGAGAATCACTGGAACCTGCGAGGTGCCACTGCACTCCAGCCTGGGTGACAGAGCGAAACTTGGTCTCAAAATAATAATAATGATATAGCTAACATTTATGTTCCAGGCACTATGCTAAGCAGCTTTACCTATATTACCTCATGTAATCCTCACAACAACTACAGGAAGTGGATAATTACTGTCCTTACTTTACAGTTAAGAAATTGAGGCTCAGAGAAGTTAACTGTCCCAAAGTCTCAGAGCTAGTAGGAGACAAAGGTGGGATTGAATCCACACAATCAGATTCCAGAGGCAGCACCCAGAATCACTATATTCTATTGCCTTTTCTGGGTGTCTGTCTGAATTTGATATTTTCAATTTGGTGGCCAGGGGTCATGGTCCATGTGTATTTTTCTGGGAAAAAGGACCTTGGTTTTCATCATGATTTCCTAAACAGCAATCTTTGACCCCAGAGATTAAGAACCACTCCTGGAGCCTGTGTGGTTTGAAAAGCACTGGCCAGCAGAAATCCCATAGAACTGCTACCATCTTACCATGTGATTTGGCACACCTCGGTTGTGTCTGTCATATGAAGTGTAAAGATGGCATGCCGGCAGGCCCTCCCCCCTCTGACCCCCTTTTCCCAGGCTCCTGTTCAAGGGCAGCATCCAGGGGTAGGAGGAAGATCAGGTTGCTTGGGCTCAGTGAGACAGCAGGTCAGTGGGAGGTGATGATGAAGGGAGGGAGCTGTCAGTTCCCAGGAGCCCTTAAGGATGAGCACTGAGGGTTGGACCCAGACCGAGGTAAGCCCTTAACCAATCCTTCCCTGGGTGAAGATGAAGAGGGAGGCCCCCTACTGCAGAAATGGAAACACCAAGGTGGTAGCTCTAGATCTACCCCCTCCCCATGCCAGCCTACCTCAGGACTAGAGCTTGGCTGGGGGCTGCTGGCCATACTCCCCCAGTACCTGAAGCCTGACTGACTCTCCACACCTGTTCCCTAAAGATGCTCAACGGTTTTGCTGCTGAGACACTTGTCACCATTCTCTAAGGGTGTTTCCACACTTCCTGTAGAACTTCCTGGGGGCATGTCCAGACTTCCCTGAAGGCATTTCTCCTCTTTCTGCTAATCCACCTGCAGTATTGCCATGCTTATTGCTACCTCCCCCATTCCCTAGAAATGTTTTCACACTTGCTGCAGAATCACCTCACTTCCATACCCTGAGAATATTTCCACATCTGCAGACTCACAGTAGGCTTAAGATGCTGGCTTCTCTGGTGGGATGGGGGTGGGAGATCTACAGGGATTAAGAAGGTGGGGCCACCCCCAACTAGTGTCCACCCAGCACAATTCATGTATCCCAACCCATATGTAGCCACAGGGAGCTAGTGACTCCATTACCAAAAGCCCAGAAAGTTTGGCCCCTCTTGAAGGAAGGGAATATCGAGGCCTTGATGAGGCACATCCTCCTTCCAAGAACCTACTAATTCATGGAATATGAAAGAGAAGTT
The DNA here is from genome assembly GCF_000001405.40 of Homo sapiens. Classification (NCBI taxonomy): domain Eukaryota; kingdom Metazoa; phylum Chordata; class Mammalia; order Primates; family Hominidae; genus Homo; species Homo sapiens. The sequence goes on along the minus strand of NC_000020.11, from coordinate 34,706,392 downwards.
AAGAGCTGTTTCAGGGACCATCATATTCACCCAGCCCATTTTAAAATCTGATGATCAGAAAGAAGACATAAATCTATCCAAAAATACATGGCTAGATAGTGGCAGGGCAGACCTAGTCCCACGTTACTGTGCATCCAGTCCAGAGTGTACACAGTCAGGAAAGACTCAGCAAACAATCCCCAAGAATACAATGATGCAGGGGTACAGGGAGGTGAAAAAGACCTTGACCTAGCCACACCACCCCTCGCCTAGCTACAAAAGGGTCTGGGGTTACTGGCACCAAGATTTAGCATGCATTTACTGAAGACCCACTGTGTACCAGAGCCTGCACTGTGCCTCCCCAAATTTCAGATAGGTTTAGGGGAGGGAGGCTCAGGGGAAAAGCTCCCTGCCTGAGGTCACACAGCAAGTCAGTGACAGCCAGGAGTGAAAGCAGTCACCAGCCAGCCAGTGCCTGCCCCCTCTCCTGACCACTTGGGGAGCCTCCCAGATTTCCTTTCCCAGCCCTGCCAGCTTCCTGGTTCTCACATTCCCAGTTCTGCTCCAGGGAGAACCATTCCCTTTAATAACTACAGCAGCTCTGCCCAGAATAGCATTTGTGCCCTAAGCCACCCCTACCCCCAGCCCATCCTTGAGCAAACTCCCAGCAGGAATGGAGTTCCTGGTTCAGCCTCTAGGCCCATCCACTTGTTAAGTCAGAAACTCTCCTTATCCTATCCCTTCTCCTATACTCTCTGTGGGCAGAGGTGACGAGGGAGCAGCAAAACACCTGCAATTGTCTGCACTAGGCCAGGTCAGGCCCTTCCTAGCTGACGACCTAGGAAGTTGGGAAGGTAAAGGGCCAATAGAGGGAACCCTCACCCCACCCTCCACCCCAACATCAGCCCTGGAGACACCCCGAGGCAGCCAATGACTCACCTCTCTGTGATCCAAACAGCTGGGAGGCAGCGATTTTATTGGACTCTAGGACTTCAAGGTACAGTGAGGACAGAAGGGGTCAGGACCACAAAAGGTGAACCAATCTCCAGAGATTCCCTGGAAAAGGGTCCAGGAGTAAGGACACCTAGGAGCCTATCAAACCGTGATAAGGCTGAGCCCAAGATCGGGTCCCCAGTGGAAGGAGGATGTGTATCTTACCACTTGTACTGAGCCCCTATTATGTCTTTGCCCCTGGCTAATAATCCATCTGTCACTCAGTGAGCATGACTCTAATTGGTTATGTGACCTCGAGAGAGCTAATCCTCCTCTCTGGGCCTGTTGCCCCTTCCATGCACTGGGGTCTAAGACCCTTCATTTTGGGTCTAGGAGTGACATCAGCTAAGGCGCTGCACACAAATCAGGGATTAGGAGGATGTTATTCTGTTAGTCCCTGGGGGCGGAGTCTGGAGCCGGAGGGAGGGGATCCCACCACCATCTGGTGCTGTCCCAACCACCTGGAGTCCCATGCAGCCCTGAACTCCTGACGACCCCCTCAACCTAGGCCCAGCAGCGCCGTCTGACTCCTTCTCAGGTTGCAAAGAGAAAGTAGGGGATCAGAGGCCTGACCCCAGCCCCTGGATAAGCCTAGGAAATCGCCGATCCCCCTGCAGCCCCCTTTGGATTGCAGCGTCTCACCCAGGGCCCAGCCCCGACACAGCGGCTACCGGGTCACGGGAGGACAAGCGACCCGAGCCTGTGGGGGCGGTACCGGCCTTGGTGACGTCTCAATGTCATATGCAAATAGAACGACGTCATGGTCTACCGGGCGTGCGGCAACCAATCGGGAGCCGGGAACGCGGCCCCGGCGGCCGCCGGCGGAGACAGACAAAGGCCCGGGCGCGGGGGGCGCAGGGCGTGTCCGTGGCAGGGGAGCCCCCAGGCCCACCCGGGTCGGGACTCACCTGGGGGCGGGAGGGGGGCGGCACGGCGTTGAGGTAGTTGTGCGGCGGGGCGTCCCAGGGTCGCCGGCCGCTCACAGGCCGGGCCGCATCGCCGGGACTCGCGGGGGAGGCGGCGGGGCCGCGGTCGCTCCGGGCTGCTGAGCTCGCCCGCGGGGCTTTGAGTCTGTGCGGCCGCTGCGGCGGGGCTCACGGCACAAATTGGAACGTTCAAACAGCTGATTGTGACGTCACAAAGGGGCCCGCCCGCCTCGCGTCACCGGCTGGCGGGGCGGCGGCCAATCCCGGGCTGCGGATCCCCCCCTGCCCCTCCCCTCCCCTCCCCTCCCGGTTTGCGGGCCGGGCGCTCGGGCCGGGAAACGTTCTCGGAACCGGGAGGGTGAGTGTTCGGGGAGGCAGCTGCGGGGAGCTGGGAGCCCTGCGCCGCGGCGAGCTCTCCGCGAGGAGGATCTCCACTCCCTCCTACCGGCTCCTTATTTTCCTGATTCTTCCCGGATCGCAGCGCCCTCACCTCTCCCACTGCTCCCCAAATCCTTTCACTGCATCCTATATCCAAGTCCCCCGATGCGGACCCTGTTCTCGACCCACACCACGTCCGTGCACCTGCATTCTCCCCACTGCCCTTATTCCTGCTCTCCCTCCCCCCTCTGGCTCACCTCCTCAGCCTTACACACTCTGCTTTCCCACCCCGTTTTTCCTCAGCTCGGCGGGCTTGAGAAAAGAGGGACATCCCCAACCCCCGGTTCCCGGGGAGCATCTGGGAATGTAGAGAAGTTAGTGAAGCTGACGTGAAATTTCGCAGAGTAGGACTTGGAGAGGAATTGCCCTGGGCTGAGTAAACATTGACCTGAGACGGCTCCGCGCTTGAACGTTTACATACCTTATTTAATCTATGTTGCTACCGGGGCTGTAAAGAAGTGGCAGGACAGGGACTGATTATGAGTCCTGATTTACACGTGGGAAAGCTGAGTCTCACAATCTCACTGTTAGCGTGTGAACTCATGTTCAACAATGCATTCAACATTTATTAGGCACCTACTATTGCACCACCATACCACTAGCTGACATGTATTGGCACACTTACTGTGTGCCACGACCTGTGCTATGGGTGTGTTTTTTTATCTTCACAACAACCCAAAAGGTAGATATTGTCCCGTTTAACAGTTGAGGAAACAGACTCAGAGAGCTCAAGTGACTTTCTTAGGTCACAAAAGTACAGTCAATGGCAGAGCCAGGATTTGAACCCATAGCTCCCAGCCCTGACCCTCTCCATTCTCTACATGAACCAGATGGTCTAAACCTCAGGGCGCTTTAGCCTCCCCAGAGTCCTGGCTTTCAGTCCTGACTGTGCCCTAGACTTGCTGTGTGACCTCAAGTCATGTTACCTCTCTGGGTCTCAGTTTGTCAAACAAACATATCCAGGCTTCCCTCTAGAGCTGCCATTGTAAGATTCTTCCACACTCTCTGCCCTCAGGATTCCACCCACCCCACGCTCTAGGCCCCAGCTCTCCCAGTGGCCTGGGAGATGCCCGAGAAGAGACCACAAATACACATATCAGAATCTCCAGGGCCAGAGGTTCTAGGTCAGCAGAGCAGGGCTGGTGGGGGAGGGTCCGAGAACTGCCCACCTAGCCCAAAAGGAGGCCGGAGGTGACCTAGGCCAGAGGTTAATGATCTAGTGATAAAACTTTTTTTTTTTTTTTGAGACGGAGTCTCGCTCTTGTTGCCCAGGCTGCAGTGCAGTGGCACGATCTCGGCTCACTGCAAGCTCCGCCTTCCGGGTTCACGCCATTCTCCTGCCTCAGCCTCCCGAGTAGCTGGGACTACAGGCGCCCGCTACCACGCCCGGCTAATTTTTTGTATTTTTTGTATTTTTGTATGTTTAGTGTTAGCCAGGATGGTCTCGGTCTCCTGACCTTGTGATCTGCCTGCCTCGGCCTCCCAAAGTGCTGGGATTACAGGCGTGAGCCACCGTGCCCGGCACTCTAGTGATAAAACTCTATCCCAGCCTCATCTGAAACCCCCAAGGGACTCCTTAACCCTAGCGACAGGGGAAGAAGCCAGAAAAAAATAACCCAAGGCTGAGGGGTGGAGAGGGGAGTGGCATTGTGGCCCTTGGAGTGTTATACCCAAAGTGTCCTCATTCCATGCAACTCTGAGCCTCTGCCCATCACAGCCACTTCCTGCTAACCTCATACCCTTTCAGACCTACTTGCTGACTTTAATTAAATAATCCCTAACACGTCTCTCCTGTCAAGCCACTTGTTTGTTCTAAAACCTGATGTGGCTCCTAAAGCCCCACACTCCTAACACAGAACTCATGCCCCCCATGCTCCGGCCCCAGTTCTCTCCAGCTTCACCTCCCCTTCTCCTACACGCATCTTGTGCTAAAGTCAAACTCCTTGTTGACTCTACAGCACTCTCCCACCTCCACCCTTTTGCTCAAGCTGTTTCCCCTGCCTGGAATGCCTTCTTCAGAACTTTCTGAAATCCAGATCTTTCCTGTCTTCAAGATTCTACTTGGCCAGGTGTGGTGGCTCACAGCCATAATCCCAGCACTTTGGGAGGCCAAGGCAGGAGGATTGCTTGGGGCCAGGAGTTTGAGACCAGCCTGGCCAATATAGCGAGACCACTTATCTGCAAAAAATGAGAAAATTAGCCAGATGCCATGCACCTGTAGTCCCAGCTGCTTAGGGAGGCTGAAATAAGAAGATCACTTGGGTTTAGGTTACAATGAGCTATGATCAAGCCACTGCATTCCAGCTTGGATGACAGAGCCAGACCCTGTCTCTTAAAAAAGAGAGAGAGAGGGAGAGATTCTACTCACCCTTTCTTCCTCTAGGTAGCCTTCCTTGTCCCTACCCACGAGTTGATGGCTACCTTGATGGACGTTTATTTGTCCATAAACAGTAAGTGATGATGACTCATTGTATGTGTATGTGTCTTCTCAAGTGGATGGTTGGCATCCCAAGGGCAGAGTCTTTGTCCCTATACTGCCCGCACCCAGCTTGTGGGGGTCTGGCATAGAGTAGACTTTCATCACAGGCTCAGTAGTTATAGCTTGAAGCTTAAGAAGGGTGGCTGGGGGCTGGGCACGGTGGCTCACGCCTGTAATCCCAGCACTTTGGGAGGCTGAGGCGGGCGGATCACGAGGTCAGGAGATTGAAACCATTCTGGCTAACACGGTGAAACCCCGCCTCTACTAAAAATACAAAAAATTAGCCAGGCGTGGTGGCGGGCGCCTGTAGTCCCAGCTACTCGGGAGGCTGAGGCAGGAGAATGGCGTGAACCGGGGAGGCGGAGCTTGCAGTGAGCAGAGATCGTGCCACTGCACTCCAGCCTGGGCGACAGAGTGAGACTCCATCTCAAAAAAAAAAAAAAAAAAAAAAGAAGGGTGGCTGGTTCAGGAGTATACACCTGCACTCTCTACCCTGTGTACAGGCAATGGTCTGTTGAACACATGGTTCTGGTTCCCCAAGCCCAGAAAAGGGGGCTCTTGGCTACACTCTGGTACCTTAAGTGACCGGACTCTGTTCCCAGAATTAGCTGAACCCCATTTCTAGGCTGCTAAGTCTTTCTAGGCTGCTAAGTCAGATCTCAGTCTTCCATTTCTCTGTAGAGTCAGAGGTACCCATGGAAGTCCCCTCCTGAAACCCCTAGGACCTATTCCTCCTGTCCACTACAAAGATTTATTACCTGGGCTGGAGGAGGCTTCAGACCTCAACTCATCCAAACCCCTCATTTTATAGGTGAGGAAACTGAGGTGCACTGAGACACATGCAGGTCAAGATACTTGCTTAGAATCATACAGCAGCAAAGCTATCTACTGACCCTGGCCCCAGAAAGTGGGCTTAGTATTCTGAGACTCTGGTCTGGGCCGGCAGGCTGTAAAAAGAGGCAGCAGAGCTGGGCGCGGCAGTGCAGGCCAGTAATCATAGCACTTTGGGAGGCCAAGGCAGGAGGATTGCTTAAGCCCAGGAGTTCGATACCAGCCTGGCCAACATGGCAAAATCCTGTCTCTATTAAAAATACAAAAATTAGCTAGGTGTGGTGGCCTGCACCTGAAGACCCAGCTACTCAGGAGGCTGAGGTGGGAGGATCAATTGAGCCTGGGTGGTTGCACTTCAGCCTAGGCAACATAGGGAGACACTGTCTCAAAAAAAAAAAAAAAAAAAAAAAAAAAAGGCAGTGAACATCATGCTGGGGTAACTCTGGAGTCTCATTTCCAATCAGACAGAGGGTGCCATTCCTATGCACACACATGGATAATCATGGGTATCTGTGCATACAATGAAGGCATCCATATATAAACATATACACACATGCACATGAGCTCATACTCAGAGTTACTAGGGACCCACGCCCATCTAACCCATGCCCAGGTGTGAGTACCTGCCCAATTTCATGGGCTGCAGGACTGGAGGTCAAGAGGCCACCCTTCAGGCCGGGCGCAGTGGCTCACGCCTATAATCCCAGCACTTTGGGAGGCCGAGCCAGGCAGATCACCTGAGGTCAGGAGTTCGAGACCAGCCTGGCCAACATAGTGAAACCCTGTCTCTACTAAAAAATACCAAAAAACTAGCCAGGCGTGGTGGCATGCACTTGTGGTCCCAGCTACTTGGGAGGCTGAGGCAGGAGAATTGCTTGAATCCGGGCGGCAGAGGTTGCCAGTGAGCAGAGATCACGCCACTGAACTCCAGCCTGTGCAACAGAGCAAGACTCCATCTCAAAAACAAAAATAAAAAAAAAGAGGCCACCCTTCTATTCCTCGGGCTTGCCCTCACCTGGGGGCTCCCCACTGGCTTGCCACTCCCACTGCCTGCCCCCCTCCGTGCCCCCTTAAAGTGATGTGTCAGCCTGGGTGTGTCGCTCAAGGGACCTTGTGTGTACTTGCAGGTATGGGCCAGTCTGTGTGCTTAGCTGGAGGACTGGCCCACCACTCCTTTCCTTCCCCACCCTCCCCTGCCCCCCGACCTGAGATAGAGAGTGAGGCTGAGAGGAATCCCTCTGACATAGATAATAAATTCTTCCTATCTTACCGGTGAAAAAACTGAGACAGAGAGGGGAAAACATTTAATTGGTAAAGCCAGCTAGAGCAGGCATAATCCCCAAATTCCCCCAACAGATGGGCCTACACATTAACAAGAGGCCATATTCCAAGAACTTCTATTCAAAAAGCTTTGTTGTGGCCCAGGTGTGGTGGCTTACACCTGTAATGCCAGCACTTTGGGAGGCTAAGGCCGGCACACAACTTGAGCTCAGGAGTTCAAGACCAGCTTGGCCAACATGGTGAAACTAAAAATACAAAAATTAGCCAGGAGTGATGGCAGGTGCTTTTAATCCCAGCTACTCGGGAGGCTGAGGCAGGCGAATCACTTGAACCCAAGAGGTGGAGGTTGCAGTAAGCTGAGATCGCACCACTGCACTCCAGCCTGGGCAACAGAGCAAGACTCTGGCAAAAAAAAAAAAAAAAAAAAAAAAAAAAAGCTTTGTTGTTCAACCCACGATGTCTGAATTTGAGCGTAACTCAAATTGTGGGGTGTGTGTGTGTGTGTGTGTGTGTGTGTGTGTGTATAAACCCTGGGCTGATTGTCAGATTTCAGTCTTGGTCTGTCCTGGGCTCACTGCCTGAGCCTGGGCAAGTCACTTCCTTTTTCTTTGCCTCAGTTTCCCCATCTGCAGAATGGCTGGCTCCATGCTCCCTTAACATACCTCCCAGTCTCAACCTCAAGGCATCGTGGTTTGTTTGTGTGAACTGCGCTTAATGGCCCTGTCAGCAAGGAGGTGATGATCAGGACAGGATTCACTTCAGAGAGAAGAGGCAAGTGGCAGAAAGCCAAAAGCCTGGCTTAGTTTGAGTCCATCTGCCCATGGTGTGAGGGTGGGACAGTGACTTTGGGGTCCCAGGGCTATATTTGTGAGTGTGGACAAGTACCCAAGTGAGCTGCTGTAGTTGAGTGCCCAGCATGATTTCCCACATTTAGAACTTTATTTTTCTAATTTTTTTTTTAGAGACAGGGGTCTTCCTATGTTGCCCAGGCTGGTCTCCAACTCCTGGGCTCAAGCAATCCTCCTACCTCGGCCTCCTGAAGTGCTGGGATTAGAGGCCACCGTGCCCAGCCCTATGTGTAACATTTAAAAGAGAAATTGCTGTATCCCTCCTTGACCATTGTGGTGAGAAGGGATAGCTTTGGGGCCATTCAGGAGCAGAAAGAAAGGAACTGGCATCTGGAGTCGCACCCTGTCTGTCTTGTCCAGACAGGGCCAGATTCTGCAACTCCCTCCTGGGTCTCTGCTTGGGAACTGGGTCCTTAGCAGGCTTTGAGGCTAGGGAGGAGAGGGTGCAGAAGAGAAGGGGGTTCTCTCCTGCTGAGTCAACCACTCTACTAGGAGCAGATAAATTTCCCGAAGCTTAGACCACTTCCCTCTCCAACTCAGAGCTCTTCCTTGGCTCCCTCCCACTTCCAGGCTGAATTCACACTGCTGGCCGGGCACCCTTTCATGGTACTGGGTACACAGTAAGCATCCAGTAAATTCTGACTGGAGGGATAAGCAAAACTGTGTTCACCTACTCTTTCAGCGTTCTCTGTACACACGCACACACACACCCTTCACAAATAAACCACCAGCTTTCCTGCTTCCAAGATTTGGCTCTTGCAGTTTTCTCCATGTAGGGAACCCTGTCCCTCACTCATCTAATCTCACTGTGTCTAGACCCTGTCTATTCGTTAGAACTAATGTAGGCTTGGTGTGGTGGCTCAAACCTGGAATCCCAGCACTTTGGGAGGCAGTGGATGCCCTGGGGTCAGGAGTTCGAGACTAGCCTGGCCAACATGGTGAAAACCCGTCTCTACTAAAAACACAAAAATTAGCTGGGCGTGGTGGTGTGCACCTGTAATCCCAGCTACTTGGGAGGCTGAGGCAGGACAATCACTTGAACCTGGGAGGCAGAGGTTGTAGTGAGCCGAGATCACGCCACTGCACTCCAGCCTGGATGACAGAGCAAGACTCTGTCTCAAAATAAATAAATAAATAAAATTTAAAAATTTTTAAAAAAAGAACAAATGTAAACAGCAGCTTATATTTATTGATTGTTTTTCTATGTGCCTGTAACCCTCCAAGATGGGCATCGTTGTTTTCCCAGCTTTACAAATAAGGAAATTGAGGCTCAGGCTGCTTGAAGAAATTGCCCACAATCACAGAGCTAAATAATTGGTGCATGTTTCAAAAATGTATAGTATTTTTACCTAACAGAATCATTTTTTCCAGCAGCTGGTGCTCCCATGAAGGACCAAATGCTATGTGTGGAGAGGGCCACAAGAGGAGGACCCAAGAGGGACCTCTACAAGCTGAGAGTTGAGAGTGGTCCCCTGCCAACAGAAAGTGAGAAAACAGGGCCTTGCTAATATGGTCACAAGAAAATGAATTCTTCCAACATCCAGAGGGAGCTTGGAAGTTGATCTTTCTCTAGTCAAGCCTCCATATGAGGACACACCTGGCCAACACCTTGATTTCAGACTTGTGGGATCCCAAGCAGAGAACCCAGATGTGCCTAGACTTCTGACTTAGAGAATTGTGAGCTAATAAACAGGTGCTGTCATGAGCCCCTAGGTCTGTGGAGGTTTTGTTTGTTACACAGCAATAGAAAATCGATACACGCAGGCTTCACGCCTGTAATCCCAGAACTTTGGGAAGTCAAGGTAGGAGGATTGTTTGAGGCCAGGAATTCAAGACCAGCCTGGACAACATAGTGGGACCCCTTCTATACAAATAGTTTTTAAAAAATTATCCAAGCCTGTGCCACCATGCCTGGCTAATTTATTTTTCTTTCTCTCTCTCTCTCTCTCCCCCTCCCTCCCTTCCTTTCTCTCTCTCTCTCTCTCTCTCTCTCTCTCTCTCTCTCTCTCTCTCTCTTTGTTGCTCAGGCTGGTCTTGAATTCCTGGGCTCAAGCAGTCCTCCCACTTTGGCCTCCTGAAGTGCTGGGATTACGGGTGTGAGCCACTGCACCTGGCCTTCACTTTTTTTATTTTTTAGAGATGGGGTCTCTGACACCCAGGCTAGAGTGCAGTGGTGTAATCGTGGCTCACTGCAGCCTCGAACTCCTGGGCTCAAGCAATCTTCCTGCCTCAGCCTCCTGAGTAGCTGGGACTACAGCACACACCTCCATGCCCAGCTAATTTTTAAAATTTTGTGTACAGACCGCGTCTCACTATGTTGCCCAATTCCTGGTCTCAAGTGATCTTCCTGCCTTGATCTCCCAAAGTGCTAGGATTATAGGCGTAAGCCACCACAGCTGGCCTGCCCATCACTTTTTAAGGAGAGCTCTGTCTTGTCTGCCTTTCTAGGCTTTTGAGATATGGAACTGAGATAACAGGGTAACAGGGACAGGATGGAGAGGTGAGAGGAAAAAAAGAAAAAAAGCGAGGCCTGAGGGAAAGGGCCTAGGGGTACAGTTTTTGATGAAGAGTAACAGGTTTGGTGAGTGAAGGCCACTGAAAGGCAGTGGTGGGATATGAGAGATTGGTGAGAACCAAAGGGATCTTAAGGAGTGGTTGGCATAGATCGGAGGCCCTTTGATTTTTTTTTTTTTTTTTTTTGAGACGGAGTCTCGCTCTGTCGCCCAGGCTGGAGTGCAGTGGCGCGATCTCGGCTCACTGCAAGCTCCGCCTCTCGGGTTCACGCCATTCTGCCTCAGCCTCCGGAGTAGCTGGGACTGCAGGCGCCGGCCGCCACCACGACCTGCTAATTTTTTTTGGCATTTTTAGTAGAAACGGGGTTTCACCATGTTAGCCAGGATGGTCTCAATCTCCTGACCTCGTGATCCGCCTGCCTCGGCCTCCCAAAGTGCTGGGATTACAGGTGTGAGCCACCGCGCCCGGCCGATTTTTTTTTTTTTTTTTTTTTTTTTTTTTGAGAAAGAGTCTTGCTGTGTTACCCAAGTGCAATCTCGGCTCACTGCAACCTCTGCCTCCTGGGCCCGAGCAATTCTTTGTTCCTCAGCCTGCTGAGTATATGGGACTATGGGCATAAGCCACCATGCCCGGCTAATTTTTGTATTTTTAGTAGAGATGGGGTTTCACCATGTTGCCCAGGCTGGTCTCAAACTCCCAGGCTCCAGAGATCCAATTGTCTCAGACTCCCAAAGTGATGGGGATTACAGAGAGATTAAATCTCTTTTTTTTTCTTTAATTAGAGATGAGGGTCTCACTATGTTGCCCAGGCTGGACTTGAACTCCTGGGCTCAAGTGGTACTCCAGCCTCAGCCTCTTGAGTAGCTGGGACTACAGGCTTTTCATGTAATATCTCATTACAGCCTCACAACAGTCCTATAAAGGAGCTACTCTTATCTCCATCTTGCAGATTTGGAAACTGAGGCACAGACAGGTTATTTGTCAAAGGTTCAACAGCTGCTAAGTGACAGATACGAATCTGTCAGCCTGCAGCCTGGCTCCAGTGCCCACATTCTTTTTTTTTTTTTTTTTTTTGAGACGGAGTCCTGCTCTGTCACCCAGGCTGGAGTGCAGTGGTGCGGTCTTGGCCCTGGGTTCATGCCATTCTCCTGTCTCAGCCTCTGCAGCAGCTGGGACTACAGGTGCACGCCGCCACACCCAGCTAATTTTTTTGTATTTTTAGTAGAGACGGGGTTTCACCATGTTAGCCAGGATGGTCTCAATCTCCTGACCTTGTGATCTGCCCACATTGGCCTCCCAAAGTGCTGGGATTACAGGCGTGAGCCACTGGGCCTGGCCTTTTTTTTTTTTTTTTAAGATGAGGTCTCACTCTGTTGCCCAGGCTGGAGTGCGGTGGTGCAATCACAGCTCACTGAAGCCTCAACCTCCTGGGCTCAAGCAATCCTTCCACCTCTGCCTCCCCATTAGCTGGGACTACATGCATGCACCACCATGCCTGTCTAATTTTTGTTGCTGTTGTTGTGTATAGAGACGGGGTCTCCCTATATTGCCTATGTTGGTCTTGAGCTCCTGGGCTCAAGCAATCCTCCTGCCTGGGCCTCCCAAAGTGTTAGGATTACAGGCATGAGCCACAGTGCCCAGCCTCAGTGCCACGTTCTTAAGCCCTTTGTAGCATTGCCTATCAACATGACTGAAGAGTGATAGCAAGGCCTTTCTGCCTCAGGATCTCTTCTCCACCGGTGCTAGGAATTCCATCATTATTGTGTGTTTCCTCATAGTTAAGCATCGTCCTTTTTAGATGCCTCCTAAAATACAATTAATGTAGGAACATTAAATCCCTGCACATCTAGTTGATGGGTTTTTCAGATGCCTCCTCTCCACTGAATGAGATGAGACAGAAATATAAATTGGGGTATGAGGAAAAAGGTAGTGGAGTATCAAAGGGAAAGAATATTCCAAGTAACTGCCAAAATCTATAAAAAAAAAAAAAAAGGGCAAGCCGGGCACGGTGGCTCACACCTGTAATCCCAGCACTTTGGGAGGCTGAGGCGGGTGGATCACGAGGTCAGGAGATCGAGACCAGCCTGGCTAACACAGTGAAACCCCATCTCTACTAAAAATACAAAAAATTAGCTGGGCATGGTGGCGGGCGCCTGTAGTCCCAGCTACTCGGGAGGCTGAAGCAGGAGAATGGGGTGAACCTGGGAGGCGGAGCTTGCAGTGAGCTGAGACCGCGCCACTGCACTCCAGCCTGGGTGACAGAGCAGACTCCGTCTCAAAAAAAGAAAAAAAAGCCGGGCTTCGTAGGAGAACAAAGAGGTGAGAGGCCAGAGGCAGATGTTCCATGTTTCCTGGGCTGGCTCTGCCCAACCTGACATCGATGGGGCTTCTGGAGATACAACCCAATAGTTAATCTGTGCTGCTTCTCAGCCCAGCCCAGAACACTGGTGACAGGGAGCCAAGTGGGTAAGAGGTGACAAGAGAGGCTCTCTGGAATGATGCCAGGAGTAGCCCCGGTGCCTCCACTGAGCCAGGCTGTCCTTGGGGAAGGCAGTGGGACAAAGAGCACAACATGAATACTTCCCTCAGAAGGAGGAGAGTCAGCCTCATTCCTTTGCCAGGCTGTGGTTGTGTTCCATCCACCTGAAGCCTACTTTTAAAGATTAAAATGGATTTTAAATGATGTAACAGGCTGGGCACTGTGGCTCACGCCTGTAATCCCAGCAGTTTGGGAGGCCGAGGTGGGCAAATCACTTGAGGTCAGGAGTTTGAAACCAGCCAGCTGCCTGGCCAACATGGCAAAACCCCATCTCTACTAAAAATACAAATATTAGCTGGGTGTAGTGGCAGGTGCCTGTGATCTCAGCTACTCGGGAGGCTGAGGCAGGAGAATCACTTGAACCCAGGAGGCAGAGGTTGCAACGAGCCGAGATCGTGCCACTGCACTCCAGCCTGGGCAACAGAGCTAGACGCCATCTCAAAAAAAAAAAGTAACAATTAACAGAAAGATTATATAAAAATCTAAGCAAGGCTAGGCATGGTGGTTCATACCTGTGATCCCAGCTCTATGGGAGGCTGAGGCAGGAAGACTGCTTGAGCCCAGGAATTCAAGACCAGCCTGAGCAACATGATGAGACCCCTGTCTCTACAAAAAATAAAAATAAAAATAAAAGCGACATGTGATGACATGCATTTGTAGTCCCAGCTATTCCAGAGGCTGAGGTAGGAGGATTGCTGGAGCCTGGAAGGTTCAGGCTGCAGTGAGCCATGATTGCACCACTGTACTGCAGCCTGGATGACATCTCAAAACAAATAAACAAAAAACTCCAAAACAAACAAACACAAAACCCCAAAGCAAACAAACAAAAAAAGCAAAGCAAGACCCTGTATGTTAAAAAACAACAACAACAACAACAACAACAACAGGCCGGGCGCGGTGGCTCACGCCTGTAATCCCAGCACTTTGGGAGGCTGAGGCGGGTGGATCAGGAGGTCAGGAGATCAAGACCATCCTGGCCAACATGGTGAAACTCTATCTCTACTAAAATGAAAAAATTTAGCCGGGCTTAGTGGCACACGCCTGTAGTCCCAGCTACTTGGGAGGCTGAGGTAGGGGAATCGCTTGAACCTGGGAAGCGGAGGTTGCAGTGAGCCGAGATTCTGCCACTGCACTCCAGCCTGGAGACAGAGCAAGACCCCGTCTCAAAACGGACAAACAAACAAAAAACCCCAACAACAACAAAAAGATAAAGTCAAGGTCACCCTTGACCACCCTTTGTTATCCAGTCCCAGAAAACTTCTGCCACTGCCACCAGTCTGAAGTGTATCCTTCTTTTCTTTTTCTACACAACATGTGTATGTACATATAGAAAGTGTTTTGTACAGCTTGTTTTGCTTCCAGTTTTACAATTATGGTTTAACATTTTTTACTTCCTTACTTAATTGTAAGGAAATAGTTCAAAATTACAAAGCTTCAATAGGGAGTACAGCGTTTGCAGGTGTCCTTCCCTTCCCAGTTCCCAATTATTGGTCTCCTTCCTGGAGGTAACCAATTCCAGTTCCCTGTGATTCCTTCCAGAGGAATTCTATGCATTTCAAATCCAATGCAGAGTGAGCATGTTGGCTCATGCCTGTAATCCTAGCACTTTGGGAGGCTGAAGCGAGAGCATCACTTGAGCCCAGGAGTTCAAGACCAGCCTGGGCAACATGGTGAAACCCTGTTGTTACAAAACATACAAAAATTAGCTGGGCGTGGTGGTGTAGCCCTGTGGTCCCAGCTACTCAGGAGGCTCAGGTGGGAGGATTGCTTGAGCCCAGGAGGTTGAGGCTGCAGTGAGCCATGATTGCACCACTGCACTCCAGCCTGGGTGACAGAGTGAGATGTGAGATGCTGTCTCAAAAAATTAATAATAAAATAATAAAATCCAACATATAATACATGTATTTTTCATAAACATAGAGACACTATTCTGCACCTTGTTTTTTCATCACTTCATACTCTATCTTGCAGACCTTTCCATATCGATATGGAGAGCAGCCTCATTCTATTTCAAACCTGCATAGTATCCCATCAAATAGATGCACTCTATATATCCAGTCTCATAAGGAGAAAAAGTTTGTTTCCAATATTTTGTTATTACAATGTGGCAATTAATATTTTTACCCATTATTTTGCATATTTATTTGTAATATAAATATCTATTAGTGGGGATTAGTCAGTTGAGGTTATTTTAAAAGTTTAAATAGCATTTTAAAAGTTGACTTAGGCTGGGCACGGTGACTCACACCTATAATCCCAGCACTTTGGGAGGCCAAGGCAGATGGATCACCTGAGGTCAGGAGTTCATGACCAGCCTGGCCAACATGGCGAAACCCCTTCTCTATTAAAAATACAAAAATTAGCTGGCCGTGGTGGCACACACCTATATTCCCAGCTACTCGGGAGGCTGAGGCAGGAGAATTGCTTGAACCCGGGAGTGGAGGTTAAAGTGAGCCAAGATCACGCCACTGCACTCCAGCCTGGGTGACAGAGCAAGACTCCATCTCAAAAAAAAAAAAAAAAAAGGTGACTGATATTACCAAATAGCCTCCATGATGTACCAATTTACACTGCTTATAGGTTTGTCTGTTTTCTTGATATTATACACTCTGTCTTACAGACTCACAGCAACATGTCTTGGAATTCCACTTATGTCAATATACATAGATCTACCTTATTAAAAAAAAAAAACATGCCGGGCATAGTGGCTCACACCTGTAATCCCAGCACTTTGGGAGGCTGAGGCAGCTGGATCACCTGAAGTCAGGAGTTTGAGACAAGACTGGCCAACATAGCGAAACCCCATCTCTACTAAAAGTAAAAAAATTAGCTGGGCGTGGTGGCAGGCGCCTGCAATCCCAGCTACTCAGGAGGCTGAGGCAGGAGAATCACTTGAACCCGGGAGGCAGAGATTGCAATGAGCCGGAATCGCGCCACAGCACTCCAGCCTGGGTGACAAGAGCGAGACTCCATCTCAAAAAAAAAAACCAAAAAAAAACATAGGCCAGGTGTGGTGGCTCACGCATGTAATCCCAACACTTTGGGAGGCCTAGGTTGGAGGATCTCTTGAGCCCAGGAGTTTGAGACCAGCCTGGGCAATATAGTGAGACCTCATCTCTACAAAAATAAAAAGTAATTAGCCAAGTGTGGTAGTGTGCACCTGTAGTCCCAGCTACTTGGGAGGCTAAGGTGGGAAGATCCTTTGAGCCCAGAAGGTTGAAGCTGCAGTAAGCCGTGATGGCGCCACTGCAGTCTAGTCTGGGCAACAGAGTGAGACCCTGTCTCAAAAAAACAAAAATAAAAGGCTCACAGTTTTCCACTGTATGACTTGACTTTAGAGAATTTATTTAGTTATTCTTATTGACAGACATTTGGGTGGTTTTCAATTGTTTGCTGCCACAAATAATGCTACAGTGACTATCCTTGGATATACAGAATAGTTTCAGAGAAGTGAACTGCAAGATTGATAGGTATGTACATTTCAAATTTAACAGATGCTGTCAAATTACTCTCCCAAAATGCTGTACCACTTTAGACTTCCACCCTAAGATGAGCCTTAGGGTGTCATCTGGAACTGGCCCGTGTGCTTCCCTCTGAGTCAAAGCTCAAAGTCTCAGTTATTACTGGGATGTCTAGGCCTTGAGCCCCCTTCTGCAGAATCTGGATGGACAAGCTAAGTATTGGGAAGGTTGTACATAAATGAGGGGCAGGCTGTCCCCCATTAGCCCGGTGGTCACTCAGGTCACACACCCTCTCTAAAGGAAAGAGGCCACCTTGGGAGAAAGTGAGCTCCCCATCATTAGAAGTGACCAAGTGGAGGTTCAGTATCAACAAACGCACTGAGCATTTACTTTGTGCCAGATCTTGGGCCTGGTGTTTTGTCCCAGAGATGAGTCAGCCTTAGTTCCTGACCTCCCAGAGCTTGACACTCATGGAGAAAATAGACAAGTAAACAGACAGTTGTACTAAATACTGAGTTGGACTTCCTTTTCTGACAATATCAGGAACTTCCTGCTACACAACCCAAGGAGATGCTGGAAATAAAAACAACAAACATCCTTTAAAAGGCACAACTGAATCTGCAATAGCTTGTGTTTTTAAAGAAACATTTGGGGAGTTGAAGCTTTGGGCTTATATGAAATTAGAGGTTGCAACTGAGACCCTTGATAAATCTAGGACCCTTGAAGGGCTACACCCACAGTGAAAGAACAAACTAGGGGAAAAACCAACACCTACTAGCGAAGGGAGACAAAAAGGATGTGTCCATCTTGACCTGGTCTTTGGGTAAGAGGGAAAATAATCTCCTGAGAATTTGAAACCACATGCCTACCCTCCATGAGTCTGGCGTTCACATTTGCATCACCTGCATGGCTGGGAATCTCGAAGCTGAGAAATTAATATAAAAAGCGACCCACTCTGAAATGATCTCTCAGATGCCTGGAAGAAATAAATGTAAATCCTCTCTGGAGTGGCTGCTTCTGCCTTGCTCCCCACAACCCCACTGCAGGCTACACAAGATTCCTATATATAAACTAATTGATTGGAAGTCAACTGTACTGTTTAATACTAAAAGAACATGATCTTCTTCAATAGGCAGAAACGTACCGGCATAGCCATACTACATCTACAAAATGTCAGTATCAAGCAGCAGCTTCAAATCCAAAACGGTGAATAAAGTGAAATGGTAGTTGGCGTAGAAGGCAGCAGGAAAGTTGAGCCAATGATGATGTGAAGTCTATAAAACCCTGTGGCTATAAAGAATGTTGAGCTGTACACTCCGTCGGAGATAGTAAAGATTGTTGCAAAGTATTCTGAGGCCCGTAGGAGTGTGAAGTAAATGACTAAGGCAACTGTAATAGATAATGCTTGGAGTATATGCTTTCTTTTTGTTTCTTTTGAGACAGAGTCTCGCTCTGTCACCCAGGCTGGAGTACAGTGGCACGATCTCAGCTCACTGCAACCTGTGCCTCCTGGGTTCAAGTGATTCTCATGCCTCAGCCTCCCGAGTAGCTAGGATTGCAAGCATGCCACCAGGCCCAGCTAATTTTTGTATTTTCAGTAGAGACAGGGCTTCACCATGTTAGCTGCCACAATGAATGCTACAGTGACTATCCTTGGATATACAGAATAGTTTTCAGAGAAGTCAACTGCAAGATTGATAGGTATGTACATTTCAAATTTAACAGATGCTGTCAAGTTACTCTCCCAAAGTGCTGTACCACTTTAGACTTCCACCCTAAGATGAGCCTTAGGGTGTCATCTGGAACTCGCCCTTGTGCTTCCCTCTGAGTCAAAGCTCAAAGTCTCAGTTATCATTGGGATGTCTAAGCCCTGAGCCTGATCTTGAACTCCTGACCTCAAGCGATCCACCCGCCTCAGCCTCCCAAAGTGCTGGGATTACAGGCGTGAGCCACCGTGCCCGGCCTCAGAATTATGGTTCTTAAATTAAGTGCAATGGAAAGCCAATGAAGAGTTTTAAGAAAGGAATTAGAGATATTCATTCATTCATTCATTTGCACATTCATTCATTCATTCAGCAAATCTTTGAGTTCCCCTTTTTTTTTTTGTTTGAGGCGGAGTCTCGCTCTGTCGCCAGGCTGGAGTGCAGTGGCACAATCTCGGCCCACTGCAACCTCCACCTCCCGGATTCAAGAAATTTTCCTGCCTCAGCCTCCCGAGTAGCTGGGACTACAGGCGCATGCCACCACGCCCAGCTAATTTTTGTATTTTTAGTAGAGACAGGGTTTCACCATGTTGGCAGGATGGTCTCCATCTCTTGACCTCATGATCCGCCCACCTCGGCCTCCCAAAGTGCTGGGATTACAGGCATGAGCCACTGTGCCCAGCCATCTTTGAGTTTCTAATGGATGTCAGGGAAAGGGGGAATGGATACCAGGAAGCAACAAGCAAACCTATCTCCTTTCTCAGAGCAGAGAAATGTGTGTATATTTGGGGGATGGGGATGAGAGGCCTGGATGCACAGTTGTAGGGAGTGTGGCTCCTGGGGAGTGAGAGGGATTCAGAGAAAGAAAGTTGGAGGTGCAAGAGCCTATCTACAGCTTTCCAGTTTTAGGCCAAGTTTACATTTTGGTCTTGTTGCTACAGGATAGCTTTTACAATAGTGGGTATTTGTGAGTAGGGGACAGGAAGGAAGGGTTTCAGAAATCTGTCCTCAGGGCGTTATGTAAATCCAAATCCTTCTTTTGGGCCCTTACAATACTTGGGTCTCAGATTGAGGAGGGAGCTGGTATATGGGTCTCCCAGTGGGCCTCACGGGAGACTCCAGCCCAGGACCAGGAGGCCGTTAGTATAAAAGGCCGATAGTGAGAACCCTGGTTTCTGGGCCAAGTGCCACTATTGACTTGCTGTGTGATCCTGGGCCTGGCACTGCTCCTCTGGGCTTTATTTTTCCCAATCTGTACAATGAACTGGATCAGGCCCTTTTTACTTTTGCGACCTCAAAGAAGCCTTTAATGACCTTTTCGTACATGCTACTGACT
Source organism: Homo sapiens (assembly GCF_000001405.40). Classification (NCBI taxonomy): domain Eukaryota; kingdom Metazoa; phylum Chordata; class Mammalia; order Primates; family Hominidae; genus Homo; species Homo sapiens. The sequence goes on along the minus strand of NC_000020.11, from coordinate 34,687,064 downwards.
TCCACACCCACCCACGTGGTTGTTACTGTTTGTTTTTAAATTTTTATGTAGTTTATTGTCTTCTGGTAAAAAATCCGCAGTCACACAGATCAGGCCTTTGCTGTGTCTTTTTAAAAATTTTTTTTGAGACAGGGTCTCACTCTGTCGCCCAGGCTGGAGTACAGTGTGGCACGATCATGGCTCACTGCAGCCTCGACCCTCCAGGCTCAAGTGATCCTCCCACTTAAGCCTCCCAAGTAGCTGGGACCACAGGTGTGCACCACCACACCTGGCTAGTTTTTTTTTTTTGTTTTGTTTTTTTTTTTTTGGTAGAGATGTGGTTTTGAAATGTTGGCCAGGCTGGTCTCAAACTCCTGGGCTGAAGCAATCCTCCTGCCTCAGCCTCCCAAAGTGCTGTGACTACAGGCATGAATCACCATGCCCAGCCTTAGAGGCATATTTTCTTTTCTTTTCTTTTCTTTTTTTTTTTTTTTTTGAGACAGAGTTTCACACTGTTTACCCAGGCTAGAGTGCAGTGGCGTGATTTTGGCTCACTGCAACCTCCACCTTCCAGTTTCAAGCGATTCTCCTGCCTCAGCCTCCCAAGTAGCTGGGATTGCAGGCGCCTGCCACCATGCCCGGCTAATTTTTGTATTTTTAGTAGAGATGGTGTTTCACCATGTTGGCCAGGCTGGTCTTGAACTCCTGACCTCGTGATCTACCCACCTGGGCCTCCCAAAGTGCTGGGATTACAGGCGTGAGCCACCGTGCCTGGCCAGAGGCATATTTTTAAACTTTAAATGATGATTATGTTCCAACTCAACTTGAAACCCTTCCGTGCACTTCCCATTTCTCTTAGAATAAAAATCCAACTTAGCACCATAGTCCACCAAGGCCATCTGGCCCTTGCCTGCTTCTCCAGTCTCACATCTTGCTCGTATCACTCCGACTACATTGGCCTCCCTCATTACAAGCTGTTTGTAACCTCCATCCCCTCCTTCCAATACATACCACTGCCAACTCTTTACATCAATGGCTCCTTCCCATCCTTTGGGTGTCAGCTGAAATATCACCTCTTCAGAAAGGCTTTTCTTGACCATCCAATATACAGTAGGTCCTCCATTATTCATTATCATTCTTCCTGGTCTTTTGCCCTCACAATCCCTACTTATTTTGGTGTGGTCACAGTCCCTAATTATTTTGTTTGCTTACTTCTATTTTGTATGACTCCCTGCTAGACTATAAACCACAGTACAGGGAGGCCTGGGTCTGTCTTTGTCATCACTATTATTATTAGCAGGTTCACAAACCTAGATGGTAAAGCCTACTACGCACCTAAGCTATATGGTATAGCCTATTGCTTGCAGGCCACAAACCTGTACAGCATGTTACTATACTGGATACTACAGGCAATTGTAACACAGTGGTAAGTATTTGTGTATCTAAACATATGGAAACATAGAAAAGATAACAAATTAAGCCACGATGTTATGATGGCTACAACATCAGTAGGCAAGAGGAATTTTTCAGCTCCACTATAATCGTAGGGGACCACTGTGGTATATGCAGTCCAACGTTGACCAAAATGTCTTTATGCAGCACAGGACTGTACCCTTTCGCCTTCCTCGAACTGACTTCATCCAATTGCCTTTAGGGTGTGCTGTCCTCAGGCGAATATGGTAAATTCATCATCTGACTTCTCACAGATACACTTTTCTGGCTGATTAAGATTGGGCACAAGACCTAATCTTAATCAATCTTGCGCTTTTTCCAAGAATGCTGATTCTTGAATGGAAAGATGCAAGGTCATTAAAAACTGATTGCAATTCACTCATTCCAGTGGTTACTTAGTATCTTAGCACCTCAATTTCTTCCTCTCTAGGTAACCCACATATCACAGGAATCTCTGGTGTCACAGGAAAAAAACAAAACAAAACACCATGATTGCTCCTTTATTATCTCCTTCCTTTCTATTCCCTACCCTTCCTTCTCAGCTACAACAAGAAAGCACCCCAATCCAACCCAACACAACCCAACCCAACCCAACGCAACCCAACCCAACACAACCCAATCCAACACAACCCAAATTCTTCTCATTTTCTCAGGCAGAGCAGCTTGACCACAGTATCTAGAGCTAACAGACAGATCCTGGTTCTGCCACTTACTAGCCATGTGACCTTAGGCAAGTTACTAAACCTCTTTGTGCCTCTGTTTCCTCATTGGTGATGGAGAAATAATAGATAGCACTTGTAACGGTACATGTACTAAATGAGATAATATGTGTAAAGCACTTAAAACAGTACTTAGCACCTAGTAAGCACTCAATATTTGCTAGTTATCATTACTATATTCATCTTTTTTTGTGTAAGCTACTGGACACCTACGCCTTCAGGGTTATTTTTTTGTTTCCCAAGGTATGGCTTCTGAATCACAAACATTAGAATTACCTGGAGAGATTAAGAATGTAGATTCCTGGGCTCCACACCAGGCCTAGTCTCTAGGTCAGAACTAGAAAATTTACACTTCAAAAATCTAGGCTGGTCATGCCAGTAATCCCAGCACTTTGGGAGACTGAGGCAGGAGGATCGCTTGAGCCCAGGCGTTCAAGACCAGCCTGGGCAACATAGCAAGATCCCATCTCTATTTATGAAAAATAAAAATAAATAAAATAAAAAATACATCTCCCCCGTGATTCTGATGCTTACTAATTTTTTTTTTTAAGATGAGGTTTCACTCTTGTTGTCCAGGCTGCAGTACAAATGGCGTGATCTCAGCTCACCGCAACTTCTGCCTCCCGGGTTGAAGCAATTCTCCTGCCTCAGCTTCCCAAGTAGCTGGGATTACAGGCATGCGCCACCACACCCAGATAATTTTGTATTTTTAGTAGAGATAGCGTTTCTCCATGTTGGTCAGGCTGGTCTTGAACTCCTGACCTCAGGTGATCCACCCCCGCCCTCAGCCTCCCAAAGTGCTGGGATTACAGGCATGAGCCACCGCACCCAGCTGAAACTCCGTACCTATTGGCAGTCATTTCCCATTCCCTACTCCCCCAGTCACCACCCCCAGCCCTAGGCAAGCACTAATCTACTTTCTGCCTCTATAAATTTGACTCTTCTGGACATTTCTCTCTTTTTTAATATTTTTTGAGGAAGAGTCTCACTGTCACCCAGGCTAGAGGGCAGTGGCCACAAACACGGCTCACTGCAGCCTCTACCTCCTAGGCTCAAGTGATCCTCCTGTCTCAGCCTCCTGAGTAGCTAGGACCACAGGTGCCTGCCACCATTCCTGGCTAATGTTTTACTTTTTTTTTTTTTTTTTTTTTTTTGAGGTGGATTCTTGCTCTGTTGCCCAGGCTGGAGTGCAGTGGCGTAGTCTCGCTCACTGCAACCTCTGTCTCCTGGGTTCAAAGTGATTCTCCCGCCTCAGTCTCCTGAGTAGCTGGGATTACAGGCACATGCCACCACACCCGGCTAATTTTTGTATTTTTAGTAGAGATGAGGCTTTGCCATGTTGGTCAGGCTGGTCTCGAACTCCTGACCTCAGGTGACGCACCCACCTTGGCCTCCCAAAGTGCTGGGATTATAGGGGTGAGCCACCGCACCTGGCCATGTTTTACTTTTTTATAGAGACGGAGTCTCCCCTATATTGCTCAGGCTGGTATCAAACTTTGGGGCTCAAGCAATCCTCCCGCCTCAGTTTCTCAAAGTGCTGGGATTACAGGCATGCGCCACCACGCCCACCCATGGACATTTAATATAAATGGAATTACATAGCATGTGGTCTTTTGTGACTGGCTTATTTCATTTAGCATAATGTCTTCAAGGTTCATCTATGTTGCAGCATGGATAACTACTTCATTTTTTTTTATTGTCCAGTTATATTCCATTGTAGGTATACCACATCTTGCTTATCCATTCATTTGGGTTATTTCCACTTCTTGGTTTTATGAATGAGCTATGAACATTTGTGCATAATTTTTTTTGTGGACATACGTTTACATTTCTCTCAGATATATAGCTAGGTGTTGAGTTGGTGGGTCATAAGGCAATTCTGTTTAACATCTTGATGAAATACCAACCTGTTTTCCAAAGTGGATACAATATTTTATGTTCCCACCTGCCATGTATAAAAGCTCTAATTTCTCCACTTCCTTGTCAACACTTGTTACTGTCAGTTTTATTTTTATTTTATTTTTTGAGATGGAGTCTTGCTCTGTCACCCAGGCTGGAGTGCAGTGGTGTGATCTCGGCTCACTGAAACCTCTGCCCCCTGGGTTCAAGCAATTCTCCTGCCTCAGCCTCCTTAGTAGCTGGGCTTACAGGCGTGTGCTACCATGCCTAGCTAATTTTTGTATTTTTTGTAGAGACGGGGTTTCAACATGTTGGCCAGGCTGGTCTTGAACTCCTGACCTCAAATGAACTGCCCGCCTTGGCCTCCCAAAAGTGCTAGGATTACAGGCATGAGCCATCGCGCCTGGTCTACTGTCAGTCTTTTATTATAGCTATCCTATTGAGTTTGAAATGGTATCGCATTGTGGTTTTGATATGCATTTCCCTAATAACTAATAATGTCGAGCATCTTTTTACATGCTTATTGGCCATTTGTGTATCTTCTTTGGTGATATGTCTATTCAATTCCTTTCTCCATTTGGGTATTTGTCTTTTATTACTGTCTTTTTATTACTGAGTTGTAACAGTTCTTTAAACATTCTGGATAAGTCCCTACTCAAATATATAATTTGCAGATAATTTTCTCCCATTCTGTGGGTTTTCTTTTTTCTTTTTTGAAGGGGTCTCACTCTGTTGCTCAGGCTGGAGTACAGTGGCACAATCTTGGCTCACTGCAACCTCCGCCTCCTAGGCTCAAGCAGTCCTCCCACCTCAGCCTCCCGAGTAGCTGGGACTACAGGTGCATGCCATCATGCCTGGCTCATTTTTGTATTTATTTTTTCTTTTTTTTAAATAGAGATGGAGTTTCGCCATGTTGCCCAGGTTGGTCTCCAAATCCTGAGCTCAAGCAATCCACCCACCTTGGTCTCTCAAAGTGTTGGGATTACAGGTGTGAACCACTGTGCCTGGCTTTTTTTTTTTTAATTTTTTGTAGAGATGGGGGTCTTATCATGTTGCTCAGGCTGGACTTGAACTCCTGGGCTCAAGTAATCCTCCCACCTCAGCCTCCCAAAGTGCTGGGACTACAGGCCTGAGCCAGTTTTCATTTCTCTTTTTTAAATTTTTTTTTCTTTGAGATGGAGTCTCACTCTGTTGCCCAGGCTAGAGTACAGTGGCATGATCTCAGCTCACCGCAACCTCCACCCCCCAGGTTGAAGCGATTCTCCCACCTCAGCCTCCCAAGTAGCTGGGATTACGGGTGCCTGCCACTGCGACTGGCTAACTTTTGTATTTTTAATAGAGATGGGGGTTTCACCATCTTGGCCAGGCTGGTCTTGAACTCCTGACCTTGTGATCCACCGGCCTCGGCCTTCCAAAGTGCTGGGATTACAGGCGTGAGCCACCGCGCCCAGTCTTTAAATTTTTTTTTTTTTTTTGAGACAGAGTCCTGCTCTGGTGCCCAGACTGGAGTGCAGTGGCACCATCTCGGCTCAATGCAACATTAGCTCCTGGGTTCAAGCAATTCTCCCGTCTCAGCCTCCCGATAGCTGGGATTGCAGGTGCCCGCCACCATTCCTGGCTAACTTTTATATTTTTAGTAGAGGCGGGGTTTCACCGTGTTGGCCAGGATGGTCTCAAACTCCTGACCTCAAGTGATCTGCCCACCTCGGCCTCCCAAAGTGCTGGGATTACAGACATGAGCCACCGTGCCCAGCAGTTTTCATTTCTTGATGGTGTCCTTTGGAACACAGAAGTTTTTAATTTTGACAAAGCTCAATTTACTTATTTCTCCTTTTGTTGCCTGTGCTTTTGGTGTTGTTATCTAAGAAACCATTGCCTAATTAAAGGTCATAAAAGTTTACTCCTATGTTTTCTTTTATGAGTTTTATAATTCTAGCTTCTGTATTTGGGTCTTGTGTTTTTTTATTGAGAACCACTAGTTGTATTCATACTTCATGCACACTCATTTTGAGAACCACTGGTTTGGGTCACATCTGTCTACAATGGCTAATCACTGTTTTTCCCAAAGACAATCCTCACCCTAAGATAAATTTTTAAGTCATCTGTTAGAATGATGTAAATAATATAACAGCTAAGTAACCTTTACTGAGCACTGGGTATGTGCTAAGCATTTTACATTGTATAACCTTGCTCAATATTCACTATGAGGTTAGTGTTACAATTACTTCCACTTTTTATGATGTAATACACTTCACTGTAAGATGATGCAACACATATATCTCCTTTTATGTAAAAGGGGATACAAAAACCCACATCTTTAAGAAGGAAGGCTGTGCAGACTAAATAAGCTCATGTGTGTTAAGCATATGGTACACTACTTGGCACACAGCAGGGGCTCAAAGGATGAGTGCCCCTCTAATTTCTTCATGATCCCCTCCCCCAAAGGAGACCCTACCCCTTTCACTGGTCCAGAAAGCTATCAGCCCCAGGGTTTATTTTTGCATTCTTTTAGAATCCCACTCCCATTTTTTTCTTTTTCTTTTTTCTTTTTTTTTGAGACAGTCTTGCTCTGTCGCCCAGGCTGGAGTGCAGTGGTGCAATCTCGGCTCACTGCAACCGCCGATCCTCGGGTCGAAGTGACTCTCCTGTCTCAGCCTCCCAAGTAGCTGGGATTACAGGTGCCCGCCACCTTGCCCAGCTAAATTTTTTGTATTTTTAGTAGAGACGGGGTTTCACCATGTTGGCCAGGCTGGTCTCGAACTCCTGACCTCAAGTGATCTGCCTGCCTCGGCCTCCCAAAGTGCTGAGATTACAGGTGTGAGCCACTGCGCCCGGCCATTTTTTTTCTTTTTTCTTTTTTTTTTTTTTTGAGGCAAGGTCTTGCTTTGTCGTACAGGCCTGAGAGCAGCGGCGTGATCTTGGCTCGCTGCAGCTTCAACCTCCCAGGCTCAAGTGATTCTCCCACCTCAGCCTTCCCAGTAGCTGAGACTACAGGCATGCGCCACCATGCCTGGGTAATTCTTATGTTTTCTGTAGAGACAGGTTTCACCATGTTGCCCAGGCTGGTCTCAAACTCCTGGGCTCAAGCAATCCTCCCGCCATGGCCTCTCAAAGTGCTGAGATTACAGGCGTGAGCCACTGCGCCTGGCCCACTCCCCCTTTTCTTTCTCTCATTAAGGTTTGTGATTTTTTTTTTTTTTTTTTGAGACGGAGTCTTGCTCTGTCGCCCAGGCTGGAGTTATGGTTTGTGATTTTACTTATGTTATTCTTTAACTATTTTATCTCTTCAACTGCTTTCCAAGTTACATAAGGGCAAAGGCAGATGGTGCCATTTTGTCACTGCAATATTCCCCAACACCCAATAGAGGGCTTGTGGGAATATAGAGATGTTTGAAAAATGTACACCTGTTCACATCATTTCTGGTTTAAAATTCTCCAATGGCATATGGATTGCACTTTGAATAAAGCCCAAATTCTCAAGCATGGCCAATAGGTCCCTACCTGATTGCCCCCCGTCTCTCCATCCACAGCTTCTTCTATTCTCTCCACTTGAGCCATACTTGTTTTCTTTCTGATCCTCAAACATACCTTGCTCTTTCCCCACTCAGTCCGTTCCTTCTGCTTGGAGGCTCTGATTAATTTCTCATCCTTTAGGTCTCAGCTCAAATATCACCTCTTTCTAGAGTCTTCCCTGATCACCTTGTCTAGTGTTACCACCCTTATTATTACACCAGCAGTTATTCTCAGTCATACACTGTTTCGTTTTCTTTCTTCTCTCTCTTTCTTTTTTTGAGACAGAGTCTGGCTCTGTCGCCCAGGCTGGAGTGCAATGGCGCTATCTTGGCTCGCTGTAGCCTCCGCCTCCCAGGTTCAAGTGATTCTCTTGCCTCAGCCTCCTGAGTAGCTGGGACTGCAGGCACAGGCCACCATGCCTGGCTAATTTTTGTAATTTTAATAGAGACGAGGTTTCACCATGTTGGGCAGGCTGGTTTCAAACTCCTGACCTCAAGTGATCCGGCTGCTTCGGCCTTCCAAAGTGCTGGGATTACAGGCGTGAGCCACTGCGTCCAGCCTGTTTCCTTTTCTTCACAAATATGAAATTTCCTTGCACATTTAATATTATTATTGCTAATATTTAAGCACTTACTATACATTAATTAATGAAGTGTGCTGCTTAATGCTTATCAATGGGCTCTCCAAACCCCAAACCCCTGATTTGTAGTGTTTGCTGATTCCTGTGGTGTAAACACTCGCATTGGGAGGGATTTTCAATCTATCAACCTGAGGAAACTGAACACCACCATTTGGGAAGAGAAAGAGATAGTATTTGCTGTACTGATACAGCGGTGGTAAATAATCTCAAAAGCACATATAAAAAAAAGTGTAGTAAAATAATTAGAAAGTGACGTGTTGAATATGTATTCCGTTGTTTTCAATATAAGTTATTTAACTGTAGGTTTATATGTCTTAATTTTCAAAAATGCCTGTGTTTAAAAGCGACTGGCAAAATTTCTAAGCCTTCCGGCCAGGCACGATGACACAAGCCTGTAATCCCAGCACTTTGGGAGGCCGAGGCAGGCAGGTGGATCGCCTGAAGTCTGGAGTTCGAGACCAGCCTGACCAACATAGAGAAACCCTGTCTCTACTAAAATTACAAAAAATTAGCCGGGCGTGATGGCGCATGCATGTAATCCCAGCTACTCGGGAGGCTGAGGCAGGAGAATCGCTTGAACCTGGGAGTCGGAGGTTGCAGTGAGCTGAGATCGCGCCATTGCACTCCAACCCGGGCAATAAGAGCGAAACTCCGTTTCCAAAACAAAAAAAAAATTTCTAAGCCTTCCTCAACTGTCCCTAGTTAGCCTATAATCAGCACATTTTTCAGCACACAAGGGTTAAGCGACTTGTTGAACTAGCTAATAAATCAGTCTACTACTCCAAAACGCATCTGTAGAACCTAACATAGTGCCTGGAAAATAGTTGGCGTTTAACAAACAACTGCCAGAATAAATTTTTTAAAAAATACACATTTAACACTCTTTAAAAACATAAAAGGTACCAGCCTGGGCAACATGGCGAAACCCCGTCTCTACTAAAAGTACAAAAACTTAGCCGGGTGTGGTGGCGCGCACCTGTGGTCCCAGCTACTCTGGAGCCCGGGAGGTCCAGGCTGCAGTGAGCTGAGATTGCGCCACTGCACTCCAGCCTGGGCGACGGCACTGAGACCCTGTCTCAAAAACAAAAAACATAAACATTTTGGGCAGGGTGCGGTGGCTCACGCCTGTAATCCCAGCATTTTGGGAAGCCGAGGCGGGCGGATCACCTGAGGTCAGGAGTTCGAGACCAACCTGGCCAACATGGTGAAACCCCATCTCTACTAAAAATACAAAAAAAAAAAAAAAAAAAAAATAGCCGCGCGTGGTGGTGGGCGCCTGTCATCCCAGCTACCCAGGAGGCGGAAGTTGCAGTGAGCCAAGATCGCGCCACTGCACTCCAGCCGGACGACAGAGCGAGACTCCGTCTCAAAAAAAATAAAAATAAAAATAAAAATAAACATTTTGGCATTGAAAACATACACGCAAGAGTGAATTTAACATCTGTTTAAAAGTCTCTCACAATCCCAGGAAGGCGACTACTTCCGCTTCTACTTTCAGCAGCGTTTCAGCCCCGCTATAGCGGCGCGGCTTCACAAAACACCTGCGATCGTAGAAGGTTTCGCCCCACCTTCTGCATACGCAGCTTGAGGCGCCCGCTTTCCGTCGCTCCGGCCCGCCTCGCCGCAAGGCTTTCTGGGAGCCGTAGTCCCCACGTCTGGCCTCTCCGGCGCCAGCGGCAGCGCGCGCCCACCCGCGGAACTACAGAGCGTGGCGCACAGCGCGCGAGGCTCCTCCGCCTCGCCTTCCCTCCCCGCCCGCGCGCCCGCCCCAGTTATCATGGCGGCTCCCTTGGTCCTGGTGCTGGTGGTGGCTGTGACAGTGCGGGCGGCCTTGTTCCGCTCCAGTCTGGCCGAGTTCATTTCCGAGCGGGTGGAGGTGGTGTCCCCACTGAGCTCTTGGAAGAGAGGTGAGGCCACTGGCTCGAGCAGACTGTCAGGCCCCACCTGCCCTCCCGCGGCCTCTGTGAATGGGAGGCGGGGGCAGTGACCGCCAGCGCGCGGTTCCTAGAGAACTAACTGACTGTCTCGTGGGGTTCTTGGAGAGGGCGGGGCCTGAGGGCGGGGCTGGTGAGGGGAGGGGGCGTGGGGACCGGGGCGTGGGGACAGTGTCGTGAGGTTTGGGCCCTGGGGGCCGGACCACCTAGTGGTGGGGATCTGAGGGGGCGTGTCCCATTCAGTGTCCTGAGCCGAGGAGTGTGGTCTGTGGGAAGGGTTGGAATAAGAGGAGGAGGTGCTTGTGGAGCGCGGCTTGCAGAGGAGTTTGGGATTTGGGGCGGGATCGCCAGGGGTGCTCCCTGGGATAAAAGGTTATGTGTGAGGGGGTCCGGGATGAGGGGACCAATTTTGCTTAAGCGAGGAGAGTGTGCGTGTGCTTTAGACGTCTCTTCTCAGTCTGGGACTTGCAGGGCAATTTTTGTTACTGTTCCTTACTAAGTTCTTCACCGAACATTGTTTTATACTAACGCCTACAGCGAGAAAGCGAAGTTGGCCTGAAGTAGCTGCACAGGCTAGTGAGGGAGACAAATCGTTATAATAATTCATGAAAAGTATACTTTATGTGTCCACCCAGTTCCTTCCTTAGTATTCTGACCCTGAATAAACTATCCCCTACCTTTCCAGTTTTCCAGAATGTGGGATTTGAGCTGACTCTTGAAGGATGTAGGGTTTTGAAAGGGAGATTAGAGAAAAGGAGAGTTCCAGGTAGCAGAAAGTAAATAGGATGAAGAAACGTTCAAGGATGTGAAATGTCCAAAGCAGGGGAGTAATGGGGTGGAAGCTAGGTTTAGGCCAGAGTTTGATGATTAAAAAAAAACAAACAACTTTTTTTTTTTTTTTTTTACTGAAGTACAGTATACATACAATGCATATTAAGTAAGTGTAGAGTTCAATGAATTTTTAAAAACTGTATTCACTCATGTAGCCAGCACCTAGTTCAAGAAACAGTATCAGCACCCCAGAAGTCCCCTTTGTGTCCTTTAAATGCTAAAGTTTTTTTGTTTTTGTTTTTGTTTTTTGTTTAGAGACAGGGTCTTTCTATGTTGCCCAGGCTGGTCTGGAACTCCTGGACTCAAGCAGTCTCACTTGGCCTCCCAAAGTGCTGGGATTTCAGGCGTGAGCCATGGCACCTGGCCAAGGCTAACGTTTTGATGTTATCCCATAGAATGTTGGTATGGGGAACGGCATAATGAATGGGTGTTTTATGAATAGAGTTAAGGTTTCTAAAAATGGTAACATATACCTTTTCTCATTTAGTCCTCACATTTATTTCTATGTGATAGATGGTGTTATTTTCCCCCTTTTACAGATGAGGGAACTGAAATTTAGAGAAGTTAATTTGCCCAGGTTTCCTAGTTGGGGAATGGTAATAAAGATAGTAATAATTCATGTCTGAGATTGTAAGAGCTTGGATTTGTTACCTCTGCGTATTATTTTTCTGTTGAAATGAATCGAAGCCATTTGGTTCCTGTTTTCTTCTGGATAACTGAAAACCTGAGGCAGTATTAGGCCCTTCTTCCTCTACACCCTACTAAGAGCATTTCTTATCTCATAATTACCTGTTTATATCCGGTTTTTCCACATTTTCTCTCTCTCTCTTTTTTTTTTTTTTTTTTTTTGAGATGGAGTTTCACTCTCATTGCCCTAGCTGGAGTGCAATGGTGCGATCTCGGCTCACCATAACCTCCGCCCCCTGGGTTCAAGCAATTCTTCTGCCTCAGCCTCCTGGGCAGCTGGGATTACAGGCATGCACCACCATGCCTGGCTAATTTTGTATTTTTAGTAGAGACAGGGGTTCTCCATGTTGGTCAGGCTGGTCTTGAACTCCCGACCTCAGGTGATCTGCCTTCCTCGGCCTCCCAAAGTGCTGGGATTACAGGTGTGAGCCGCCATGCCTGGCCTCTTTTTTTTTTTTTTTTTCTTCAAGAGACAGGGTCTCACTCTGACACTCAGGCTGGAGTGCAGTGATAATGGGTCACTGCAGCCTTGACCTCTCGGGCTCAGGACATCCTCCCTCCTCAGCCTCCCAAGTAGTTGGTAGCTGGGACTACAGGCATGTACCACCAACCCTACTTGTTATTATTATTATTTTTTTGTATTTTTTGTAGAGATGGGGTTTCACCATGTTGCTTAGGCTGGTCTCAAACTCCTGGGCTCAAGTGATCCGCCCATCTGGGTCTCTCAAAGTGCTGGGATTACAGGCATAAGCTACCACACCTGGCCTTTTCCACTATATTATGAGCTCCTTGAAGGATTCTGTTTTATTCATTCCTGAATTCTTTTATGTCTGGCATACAGTAGGTGTGTAGTTACTGTTGAATAAATGTGGAAGAGAAGAAAGCATAGGATCTGGTTACTTACAGGAGGTTACTTACAGGATGGACAGGTGAAGGATCCAAAGATGAGACAGTGTTGTTTGGTAATTAAGAGTGCAGGGTCTGGAATCTCAGAAAAGGTTTGACTCTTTCTCTAGTTCTGCAACTTATAAGCTGTATGAATTCTTTTTTTTTTTGAGACAGAATTTTGCTCTTGTTGCCCAGGCTGGAGTGCAATGGCGCGATCTCGGCTCACTGCAACCTCCGCCTCCCAGGTTCAGGCTGTTATCTCGTCTCAGCCTCTTGGGTAGCTGGGATTACAGGTGCCCGCCACCATGCCCAGCTAATTTTTGTATTTTTAGTAGAGATAAGTTTCACCATGTTGGCTAGTCTGGTCTTAAACTCCTGACCTCAGGTGAGCCGCCCGCCTTGACCTGTGAAAGTGCTGGGATTACAGGCATGAGCCACTGCGCCAAGCTTTTTTTGTTGTTGTTGTTTTTGAGATGGAGTCTCAGTCTGTTGCCCAGGCTGGAGTGTAGTGGCATGATCTTGGCTCACTGCAACCTCTGCCTCCCAGGTTCAAGCGATTCTTCTGCCTCAGCCTCCCAAGTAGCTGGGACTACAGGCACATGCCACCATGCCTGGCTAATTTTTGTATTTTTAGTAGACACGAGGTTTCACCATATTAGCCAGGCTGGTCTTGATCTCCTGACCTCGTGATCCGCCCGCCTTGGCCTCCCAAAGTGCTGGGATTACAGGCGTGAGCCACCACGCCCGGCCAAGCTGTATGAATTCTAACGTCAGTGTTTCCATCTGTAAAATAGGAAATTATGTATCCTGTTCAACGAGATAATCCATGTTGAAGCTCAACACAATAATGAAAGCCAAAAAGGTGAATTCTAAGGTTTTGAGTTGAGATATTAGGAAAAATAGTGCTGACATGGGCTGAAATAGATGAATCAGAAAGGACATAGTAGTGTTTCATGTGTGTATAATGTGATAGTACAATACTGACAGGTTTAGGTCTGGAGCTTGAGGCCAGTGTCAGGACTAGAAAGAGAGAGAGATTTGTTAACCACCCATCATCTGGATCTGACTAAATCAGCATGATTATTTGTATCATTTGGGAGGGAAGGTACAACATCTGTAAGCATTACTTTTCTTCAAAGGGTACCTTAAATGGGATATTTTTTAAAGCAGCTGATTATATAAACCCTAAAAGGCAGGAATTTAAAAATAGTAAAGTAGGACTCCTTCTGGTTTCACATGACATTTTACATTTTTTTTTTTTTTTTTTTTGAGACGGAGTCTCACTCTGTCACCCAGGCTGGAGTGCAGTGGTGCAATCTCAGCTCACTGCAAGCTCCGCCTCCCGGGTTTACGCCATTCTCCTGCCTCAGCCTCCCGAGTAGCTGGGACTACAGGCACCCGCCACCACACCCGGTTAATTTTTTGTATTTTTAGTAGAGACGGGGTTTCACCATGTTAGCCAGGATGGTCTCGATCTCCTGACCTCGTGATCCACCCGCCTCGGCCTTCCAAAGTGCTGGGATGACAGGCGTGAGCCACCACGCCGGGCTGACATTTTAAATTTTTGAATGATCAGTTCTTTGGGTAAAGGGGCCCTGGATCCAAATCCAAATAGATTTTGATTGGCTATAGTATGGACTGATTTTTTTTTTTTTTTTTTTTTTTTGAGAGACAGGGTCCCACTCTGTCTCCCAGGCTGGAGTGCAGCGGCATGATCATAATTCTCTGCAGCCTCATCCTTCTGGGCTCAAGAGATCCTCTTGACTCAGCCTCCCAAACAGCTGGGATTGGTGCATGCTCCCACACTTTGCTAATTGTTTTTTATTGTTTTTTGTAGAGATGGGGTCTCAATATATTGCCTAGGCTGGTCTTAAGCTCCTGGCCTCAAGCGATCCTTCTGCCTTGGCCTCCCAAAGTGCTGGGATTATAGGCATGAGCCACCATGCCTGACCTCTTTTTTTTTGAATAAGTGCAACGAAAGCTCTGGAATTAAGTCACATTGAACTGATTTGGGTCATATACCAATTCTTCGGTCAATTACTGTAGTCTGCCTGGGTCATGTATCTACCTCTTTGGAAAGGAGGCAGTCTCACCCAAAATGTACACAAGGGGGGTATCCCATAGGAAAAATTAGGGTGCTGTTACCAAAAGAAGGGAAGATTGATGTTGGGCAGGCACAAATAACATATCCATTTCAACAGGAAAAATATCTTTTCTGTTACCTATTTCTACAAATCCATCGGTTTATTTGATAGTGTAACTAAAATACATATAAATTTCCAGGCCGGGTTTTGTGGCTCATGCCTGTAATCCCAGCACTTTGGGAGGCCGAGGCGGGAGGATCACTTGAGCCCAGGAGTTTGAGACCAGCCTGGGCAACATGGCAAAACTCTGTCTCTACAAAAAAATACAAAAATTAGCTGGACATGTTTGGCCCATACCTGTAGTCTCAGCTACTCGGGACGCTAAGGCAGGAGGATTGCATGGGCCCGGGAGGCAGAGGTGGAGGGTGCAGTGAGCCGAGATCGTGCCACTGCATTCCATCCTAGGTGACAGAGTGAGACTCTGCCTTATAAAAAAAGAAAATTTTTTTTTTTTTGAGAAGGAGTTTCACTCTTGTTGCCCTGGCTGGAGTGCAATGGCACAATCTCAGCTCACTGAAACCTCTGCCTCTCAGGTTCAAACGATTCATTCTCCTGTCTTAGCCTCCTGAGTAGCTGAGATTACAGGCATGAGCCACCACACCTGGCTAATTTTGTGTTTTTAGTAGAGATGGGGTTTCACCATGTTAGTCAGTCTGGTCTCAAACTCCTGATCTCAGGTGATCCACCTGCCTTGGCCTCCCAAAGTGGTGGATTACAGGTGTGAGCCACTGCGCCCGGCCAAGAAATAAATTTTTAAGGAATGAATTTCCTGTTTGACAAAAGCAGGAGCTTCTAAAAAATTAATAAGAAATTAACAGGCTGGGCACGGTGGCTAACGCCTGTAATCCCAGCACTTGGGAGGCCGAGGTGGGTGGATCACCTGAGGTCAGGAGTTCGGGACTAGCCTGACCGACATGGAGAAACCCTGTCTCTACTAAAAAAATACAAAATTAGCCGGACGTGGTGGTGCATGACTGTAATCCCAGCTACTTGGGAGGTTGAGGCAGGAGAATCACTTGAACCCGGGGGGCAGAGGTTGCGGTGAGCCGAGATCGCGCCATTGCACTCCAGCCTGGGCAACGAGCAAAACTCCGTCTCAAAAAAAAAGGAAGAAGAAAAGAAAGAAATTAACAATGATATGATGCTTTTTACATGCCTGGTATTGTTCTAAGCACTTTAGGTGTGTTAATGCACTAATTTGATCTCTAAAATGGCAAACTGTTATCAACCCCATTTTATAAATGAGAAAATTGAGGCATGGAGAGATTAAGTCATTTGCCCAAGGTGACCTCGCTAATAATATTTTGTATGAAGAGCTAGCAATCTTTAGGTATGGCTGTTCCACCAGTATCATCTTGTTTAGATATCTGTCAGGAATAATGTTAGAAACTTTCTGCCATGTTTTAGTCTTTCCTGAGGCTTTCACCCAAAGATTGACAGTTCGTATAGGCTTAGCTTTTTGAGTTCAGGGTAGAGCCCAAGCTATTAGTACTTATCTAGAAACCCACCCCTACTACAGCTATGAGAATCAGGGTTGCTGGGCATGGTGGCTCAAGCCTGTAATCCCAGCACTTTGGCAGGCTGAGGTGGGCAGATCACTTGAGCTTAGGAGTTTGAGACCAGCCTGGATAACATGGTGAAACCCCACCTCTACAAAAAAGAAATACAAAAATTAGGTGGGTATGGTGGCGTGTGCCTGTAGTCCCAGCTACCTGGGAGACTGAGGTGGGAGGGTGGCTTGAGCCCAGGAGGTGGAGGCTGCAGTGAGCCAAGATTGCACCACTGCACTCCAGCCTGGGCGACAGAACAAGACCTTGTCTCAAAAATAAAAGAATCAGGGTCAGGAAGAGCACTTCTGATACCACTACTTAAAAAAGCCTTTATGGCCAGGCGAGGTGGCTCACACCTGTAATCCCAGCACTTTGGGAGGCTAAGGTGGGAGGTGGGTAGATTGCTTGAGCTTGAGTTCGAGACCGGCCTAGGCAACATGGTGAAACCTTGTCTCTACTAAAAATACAAAAATTAGCTGGGTGTGGTGGCAGGAGCCTGTAGTCCCAGCTACTCAGGAGGCTGAGGCAGGAGAATCACTTGAACTCAGGAGGTGGAGGTTGCAGTGAGCTGAGATCATGCCACTGCACTCCAGCCTGGGCAATAGAGCAAGACTTTGTCTCAAAAAAAAAAAAAAAGCCGTTATTACAAAATTAAACAGAATTTGTAAGACACACATAACAATGTATTCTATGGTGAATTATTGTAAGGTGAACATTTTTGTAACTGTCATCCAAGTCAAGAATCAGAACTTTGCCACTCACTTCAGAAGCCCCCCTTCGTCACAATCCCCTCACTCTTTTCATAAGTAACTATTATCCTGACTTTTATATGTAATGACATCTTTGTATTTTTAAAAGTTTTATTACTCAAATGAACATCCCTAGTTCATTTGCCGTTAGGCTTAGTCTTGCCCCTAAGAAAAAAGTTTTTGTTTGTGTTTTCAATCTCTCTTAATTTTTAGGGTCCCAGGTTCCCTTTCTCTTCCATAGTGTTTATCTATTGAAGAATCCAGACAGATCTCCCATAGTTTGAATTTTCCTGATTATATATCATGATACAATTTAACATGTTCCTCTATCATCTCTATTTCCTGCAAATAGGCAGCTGGATCCAGAGACTAGATACCACTGTTTTTTGTTTTTTACTTTTTTTTTTTTTTTTCAGCCAGAGTCTCACTCTGTTGCCCAGGCTGGAGTGCAGTGGTGTGATCTTGGCCTACTGCAACCTCCACCTCCTGGGTTCAAGCAATTCTCTTGCCTCAGCCTCCTGAGTAGCTGGGATTACAGGTGTGTGCCACCACACCCAGCTAATTTTTGTATTTTTGGTAGAGATAGGGTTTCACCATGTTGGTCAGGCTGGTCTTGAATTCCTGACCTCAAGTGATCTACCTGCCTCTGCCTCCCAAAGTGCTGGGATTACAGGCATGAGTCACTGCACCAGCCTGTTTTTTAGCTTTTTACTTGAAATCATTTTAAACTTACAGAATACTTGCAAAAATATTGCAGAGAGATCTGTATACCCTTCACCCAGCTTCCCCCAATGTTAATATCCTACATAGTCATAGTACAGTGATCAAAACTAAGATGATAGCATTGGTACAATACTATTAACTAAACCATAGTTGTTAAGATTTTACCATTTTTGCTGGGCACAGTGGCTATGCCTATAATCTCAGCACTTTGGGAGGCTGAGGCGAGGGGATGCCTTGAGCTCTGGAATTTATGACCAGTCTGGGCAACATAGGGAGACTCCCTCTCTACATAAAATTAAAAAAGAGTTAGCTGGTTTGGTGGCGCACACCTGTGGTCCCAGCTACTTGGGAAGCTGAAGTGGGAGGATTGCTTGAGCCTGGGATGAGGAAGCTGCATTGAGCTATGATCATGCCACTGCACTGTATGTAGCCTGGCACCAGAGCAAGACCCTGTGTAAAAAAAAAAAAAAAAAAAAAAAAAAAAAAAAAGTTTTACCATTTTTTCACTAATTTTTTTTCTGTTCTATGATCTAATATTCCATATTGCATTTTTATTTTTATTTTATTTATTTATTTATTTATTTTTTTGAGTCAGAGTCTCGCTCTGTCACCCAGGCTGGAGTGCAGTGACACGATCTTGGTTCACTGCAAGCTCCGCCTTCCGGTTTCATGCCATTCTCCTGCCTCAGCCTCCCGAGTAGCTGGGACTACAGGTGCCCGCCACCTCGCCTGGCTAATTTCTTATATTTTTAGTAGAGATGGGATTTCACCATGTTAGCCAGGATGGTTTCGATCTCCTGACCTCATGATTTGCCCACTTCAGCCTCCAAAGTGCTGGGATTACGGGTGTGAGCCAGCACGCCCGCCCCCCCCTTTTTTTTTTTTTTTTTTTTTTGAGACGGAGTCTCGCTCTGTCACCCAGGCTGGAGTGCAGTGGCGAGATCTCGGCTCACTGCAACCTCCACCTCCCAGATTCAGGAGATTCTCCTGCCTTAGCCTCCCGAGTAGCTGGGATTATAGGTCCCTGCCACCATGCCAGCTAATCTTTGTATTTTTAGTGGATACGGGGTTTCACCATGCTGGCCAGGCTGGTATCGAATTCCTGACCTCAGGTGATCCACCTGCCTCGACCTCCCAAAATGCTGTGATTACAGGCATGAGCCACCGCGCCTGGCCACATATTGCGTTTAGTTGTTATATCTCCTTAGTCGTTTATCTGTGATAGTTCCTTAGCATTTCCTCATCTTTTATGACCTTGACACTTTGAAGAGCTCTGGTCAGGTATTTTGTAGAATGTCCCTCAATTTGGTTTTGTCTAATGTTTTCTTGTGGTTTGACGGAGGTAATGGATTTTGGGGAAGAATACCCCTGAGATGATATGGTCCTCTCAGTGCATTGGATCAGGGGTGCATATTGAAATGCCCTAATACTGGTGATGTCAGCCATAATCCCTTGGTTAATGTAGTGTCTGCCAGATTTCTCCACCATAAAGTGACTGTTTCCCTTTGTAATTAATCAGCATTTTAGGGGCTATTCTTTGGAGCTCTGCAAATATCCTGTTTTTAAATTTTTGCCTACTAATTTTTGCATTCATAGGTTAATCTTGCCTGTAACAGTCATTACTCAGGTGTTTCAATGGTGACTTTTCTGTTTCTCTCATTCATTTTTATTTAATAATTAAAATTCTTCTGTAAGGAAGAGTTGTCATTTCTTTGCATTTATTTAACTATTTATGTCAGTATAGATTTGGATATTTTATACTCTGGACTCTGTATACTATATTCATTCTGTTGTTTGGATTATTCTAGTTTTGGCCATTGGGACCGCTTTCATCTTGACCCCTTTGTCCTTTTGCCATACCTCTATCTCACTTTTTTTTTTTAAAAGCACTTTATTACATTCTAGAACTATAAGATGATCCAGGTTTATCTTGCTTAGTTCAGCCCTGGAATTGACCACTTCTTCAAGGGCCCTGGCTCCTTTTATTAGAGAATGTTATTTAGAAACAAAGTTCTGAATGCTAGGTGTGTTCATTGCAGCTGGAGTGATGCTGCTTCTTAGGCCCTCAGCTAGAAGTATAGGGACACTACTGCTTTTGAACAAGCTTTTGTCCTTATTGATACGGGAAACTGAAAAATAATATTTGTCTTATACAGGATGATATGCTTTTATTATCACCCATAGGAAAAGTATACCAAGGTAACTAAGAATTATTGGCCAGGCATAGTGGCTCATGCCTGTAATCTTAGCACTTTGGGAGGCCAGGGTGGGTAGATCGCTTGAGGCCGGGAGTTTGAGACCAGCCTGAGCAACATAGCAGGACCCCATCTCTACAAAAAATAAGAATTAGTCAGGTGCTGGCTGGGCGCGGTGGCTCACGCCTGTAATCCCAGCACTTTGGGAGGCCGAGGCGGGTGGATCACGAGGTCAGGAGATCGAGACCATCCTGGCTAATACGGTGAAACCTCGTCTCTACTAAAAATACAAAAAAAATTAGCCTGGCGTGGTGGCAGGCGCCTGGAGTCCCAGCTACTCGGGAGGCTGAGGCAGGAGAATGGCGTCAACCCGGGAGGTGGAGTTTGCAGTGAGCCGAGATCGCGCCACTGCACTCCAGCCTGGGTGACAGAGCGAGACTCTGTCTCAAAAAAAAAAAAAAAAAAAAAAAAAAAGAATTAGTCAGGTGCAGTGGTGCACTCCAGTAGTCCCAGCTACGTGGGAGGCTGAGCTTGAGCCCGGGAGGTTAAGGCTGCAGTGAGCTGATTGTGCCACTGCATTCCAGCCTGGGCAAAAGATTAAGGCCCCTGTCTCTAAAAATAAATAAATAAATAAATTAATTAATTAAATAAGCTTGCTTCATGGGTTAGTTATCAGTTAAGAGTTGAGAGTCTTTATCAAAAAAAAAAAAACTTACATTTTACAATAGTTGGCCATAATTATTTAGCTCTTATATTAGTTGTTAGATAATAGTCCCATGAAGTGAGAAATGTTACTTGGATGCTCTGGTGTATTTTCACAGGTTTTATTTTTGGAGGATACTCCAGGAAAAAGAAAGGCATAAAGTTGAGTTCTATGGGTATCTTTATTGTCTTTTTGTTTTTTCCCCCTAATAGGCACTTTGTGAAACTGACTTTAAAGTGTTTTCAGCATGATATTACTGGAACTTTTTTTTTTGAGATGGAGTCTTGTTCTATCGCCCGGGCTGGAGTACAGTGGCACGATCTTGGCTCACTACAACCTCCGCATTCTGGGTTCAAGCAGTTCTCCTGTCTCAGCTTCCCGAGGAGCTGAGACTACAAGTGCATGCCACCATGCCTGGCTAATTTTTATATTCTTAGTAGAGACGGGGTTTCACCATATTGGTCAGGCTGGTCTTGAACTCCTGACCTCAGGTGATCCACCCACTTCGGCCTCCCAACGTATTGAGATTACAATGCTCAGCCTATTGGAACATTTTTATATATATTAGAATTTGACAGCCCTGATTATTCTTTTCTATGGAGAGTAGATTCACTATTTTAAAGAGGATGTTGGTACTCTTGTACCAGTATGTTTTATGTGCCTTAGATGTACATAGATGAAACATCTATGTACCTTAGATGTTTCCAAATGCACTGCAGACCAGGTCACAGTTTTTAATCGTGTGCACCAAAATTAGAAAAGTAAGGATAGTAATAAGTTTATCATTAAAACTAAATGTATTCCATTAAAAATATTCTGGGCCAGGCGTGGTGGCTCCCGCCTGTAATCCCAGCACTTTGGGAGGCTGAGGCGGGCAGATCATGAAGTCAGGAGTGTGAGATCAGCCTGGCCAACATGGTAAAACCCCGCCTCTACTAAAAATACAAAAAAAATTGGGCCGGGCGCGGTGGCTCACGCCTGTAATCCCAGCACTTTGGGAGGCCGAGGCGGGCGGATCACGAGGTCAGGAGATCGAGACCATCCTGGCTAACAAGGTGAAACCCCGTCTCTACTAAAAATACAAAAAATTAGCCGGGCGTGGTAGCGGGCGCCTGTAGTCCCAGCTACTCGGGAGGCTGAGGCAGGAGAATGGCGTGAACCCGGGAGGCGGAGCTTGCAGTGAGCCGAGATCGCGCCACTGCACTCCAGCCTGGGCGACAGAGCGAGACTCAGTCTCAAAAAAAAAAAAAAAAAAAAAAAAAAAAATTGGCCATACATGGTGGTGTGCATCTGTAATCCCAGCTACTCAGGAGGCTGAGGCAGGAGAATTGCTTGAACCCGGGAGGTGAAGGTTGCAGTGAGCCAAGATCATGCCACTGCACTCTAGCGTGGGCGACAGAGTGTGAGACTGTCTCAAAAACAAACAAACAAAAAATATTCTGAGTTTATGTTCTTCCTATACTTTTTTTTTCTTTTTTTGAGACGGGGTCTGGCTCTGTCGCCCAGGCTGGAGTGCAGTGGCACAATCACAGCTTACTGCAGCCTTGAACTCTTGGGCTCAGGTAATCCTCCCACCTCAGCCTGCTGAGTAGCTGCACTCTCCACCATGCCTGGCTAATTTTTTGTATTTTTGGTAGAGACAGGGTTTCACCATGTTTCCAGGCCAGTCTCGAATTCCTGAGCTCAAGCGATATACCCTCCTTGGCCTCTCAAAGTGCTGGGATTACAGGCGTGAGCCACCATGCCCAGCCATATACTTTTTTTTGTTGGTTTTTTATTTTTTATGCTTTGAGACGGAGTTTTACTTTTGTTGCCCAGGCTGGAATGCAATGGCACAATCTTGTCTCACTGCAACCTCCACCTCCCAGGTTCAAGCGATTCTTCTACCTTAGCCTCCCAAATAGGCTAATTTTTGTATTTTTAGTAAAGACAGGGTTTCACCATGTTGGCCAGGCTGGTCTTGAGTGCTTGACCTCAGGTGATCCACCCGCCTGGGCCTCCCAAAGTGCTGGGATTACAGGCGTGAGCCACTGTGCCCGGTCAACTGTTTAATATTGTAGTAAATGGTAGGGTTTTTAAAAATGTTTTTACCAGCCTGGGCAATATAGCAAGAGCCCGTTTCTACAAAAAAAATTTAAAAATTAGCTGGGTGTGGTGGCATGCACCTATAGTCCCAGCTACTTGGGAGGCTGGGGTGGGAGGATCACTTGAGCCTGGAAGGTTGAGGCTGCGATGAGCTATGATCAAGCCATTACACTCCGGCCCGGGCAACAGAGTGAGTCTCAAAAAAGAAAGACAAAAAAATGTTTTACATGTTTTACATAGTCTGACCCTTTGCCCAGATCAGTTATCAATTAAGTAATATGATGCCATATTTAATCATCAATATAGCAGAGCCACACTCCAGGCATTTGCCAGAGAATACACTAACAAATCCACTGATATACAGTATCTAGCAAAAGCATATCTGAGATGAATTACATTTTAGGCAATTGCCTAAAAGTTGTGCAGTCTGTCCTCAAGCTGTGTCTCAAAAATTTCCATCTGGATTAAACCAGACAAGTGGAGAGTGATGTGCCTGGACGGCCGCATACTGGTGCCCTGTAGAGTTGCTTTTTTACTGCTCTGTGGTAGGATGCCATTGGCTAAGATTGAGAAATGCCTTGTGATTTGACCTGATGAATTATCTCCTTGGGTCTCCAGTAAAGCTGTTAGTGAAGGATTTAATAGCTATTACGCAGCAACCTCTTTATGCAGCTCCTTGAGATTTCCTTTTGGTTGCAGTATAAGGACCAGTTACAACGGTCTTGAGCAATATGCTTTGTTTTATTTTATGGCCACCATGAATTATAAAATTGATTATAGGACTACCCTACCTTCTTTAGGGTAGTCTTATAAAGTTTAAAGTCATAATTATAGCCCACTCCTTACAAATATGTAGTGGTCTTTTTTCTTTTCTTTTCTTTCTGTTTTTGTTTATTTGATACAGGGTTTCCCTCTGTCACCCAGGCTGGAGTGCAGTAGCATGATCATGACTCGCTGCAGCTTTGACCTCCTGGGCTCAATTGATCTTCCCACTTCAGCCTCCCAAGTAGCTGGGACCACAGGCACACATCACCATGCCCCAGCTAATTTTTGTTTTTTTATAGAGACAGGGTCTCCTTATGTTGCCCAGGCTGATCTTGAACTCCTTGAATCCCTGCCTACCTATTTTTTAATAGGTAACTCAGTCACATGATTCAAAAATAAAAAGTAGCTAGGTGCAGTGGCTCACGCCTGTAATCCCACCACTTTGGGAGGTCAAGGTGGGAAGATGGCTTGAGCCCAGGAGTTCAAGACCAGCCTGCGCAACATGGCAAGACACTGTCTCTACCAAAAAAAAATTTAGCTGGGTGTAGTGGCATTGGCCTGTGTTCTCAGCTACTTGGGAGGCTGAGGTGGGATGATCGCTTGTGCCCAGGAGGTTGAGGCTGCAGTGAGCCACGTTTGTAATTCCTGTACTCCAGTCTGGATGACAGAGCGAGACCCTGTCTCCAAAACAAAAACAAAAACTACTTCTTTTGAATAATTGTAAAATAATACATCCTCATTGCTAAAGATTCATAAAATGAAGATGAAAAAAATCAAGCATCTTCTGTAATCTTATCACCTAGAAATGGTCATTGTGAACATTTAAATATTTATTTTTCCAGGCATTTCTCATTGAGTACATGTTCATTCTCTCTCTTTCAAATAATTAAATGAATGCTTATAAAAGTTTAAGATAAAACTCTACAAACAAACCTATTTAAAAATGTGCAATTTTGAAAAGCTGAGGCAGGCAGATCCCTTGAGGTCAGGAGTTCAAGACTAGCCTGGCCAACATAGTAAAACCCCGACTCCACTAAAAATACAAAAATTAGGTGGTCTGGTGGCAGGCACCTGTAATCCTAGCTACTGGGTGGCTGAGGCAGGAGAATTGCTTGAACCCAGGAGGCAGAGGTTGCAGTGAGCCAAGATCAAGCCACTGCATTCCAGCCTGGGTGACAGACCGAGACTCTGTCTCAAAAAAAAAAAAAAAAAGGCAAAGGGCTGGGCATGGTGGCTCATACCTGTAATTCCAGCACCACTGTAATTCCAGCACTTTGGGAGGCTGAGGCAGGAAGATTGCTTGAGCCCAGGAGTTTGAGACCAGCCTGAGTAACATGGTGAAACCCCATCTCTACAAAAAATACAAAAATTAGCCAGGCATGGTGATGCACACCTGAAGTCCCAACTGCTCGAGAGGCTGAGGTGGGAGGATCGATTGAGCCTGAGAGGTCAAGGCTGCAGTGAGCCCTGATCATGCCACTGTACTTCAACCTGGGCAATAGAGCGAGAACCTGTCTTGGAAAAACAGTTGGCGGGGGGGCACAGGACATGAACAGACACATCTCAAAAGAAGACATGCATGTGGCCAACAAGCATATGAAAAAATGCTCAACATAATTAGTCATTAGAGAAATGCAAATCAAAACCACAATGAGATACTATCTCAAAACCACAATGAGATACTATCTCATACCAGTCAGAATGACCATTATTAAAAAGTCAAAAAATAATAGATGCTGGCAAGGTTGTGGAGAAAAGGAAACACTTATACACGACTGGTGGGAATATAAATTAATTCAGCCACCGTGGAAAGCAGTTTGAAGATTTCTCAAAGATCCTAAAACAGAACTGCCATTCGACCCATCAATCCCATTACTAGGTATATACCTAAAGGAATAGAAATTGTTCTGCCCTAAAGATGCATGCATGTGTATGTTCATCACAGCAGTATTCACAATAGCAAAGACATGGAATTAACCTGAATGCCCATCAGTGGTGGACTGGATAAAGAAAATGTACATATACACCATGGAACACTATGCAGCATTAAAAAAAAAAAAAGAATGAGCTCATGTCCTTTGCACCAACATGGATGGAGCTGGAGACATTATCCTAAGCAAATTAATGCAAGAACAGAAAACCAAATACAGCATATTCTCACTTATAAGTGGAAGCTAAACACTGAGTACACATGGACACAAAGAAAGTAGCAGTAGATACCTGGGCCTACTTGAGGGTGGAGGGTGGGAGGAGGGTGAAGATGGAAAAGCTACCTGTCGGGTACTGTGCTTATTACCTGGGTGATGAGATTATCTGCACTCCAAACCTCTATGACATGCAATTTACCCATGTAACAAACCTGGACATGTACCCCCTCAACCCCCAGAAAATTTGCAAAGGAAAATAAGTAAAAGCCAAGAGAAATTGCTAAAATAGTCATTTAAAAAAATCACCAAAAAAACCTATTATATTTTATATGCTGTCTTTTGACCTACTTTTCATTTAAGAATATTTTATGGGCTGCTTTTCTTCATTAAATATAGATCTCTAGTGTACTTTTTAATTTTAACTCTTAATTTTAAAATAATTTTAGATTTTCAAAAAAGTTACAAGAGTTCCTGTTTACCTTTCATTCACCTTTTTCTAATGTTAACATTCTACATCACCATAGTGCAATGACCTAAACCAGAAAATTAACATTGATACAATGCTATTAACTAATTACAGGCCTTATTAGAATTTTATCAATTTGCCCCACTAATGTCCATTTCTAGTCCAATATCCAACCTGTGATTCCACTTTGCACTTAGTTGTTTTGTCGCCTTAGTCTCTTATAATCTGGGATACTTCCTCAGACTTAACATTTACAATTTTTTAAATTTAATTTTTATGGATACCTAGTAGTTGTACATAGGCTTAATATTTTTAAGAGTACTTGCCAGTTATTTTATGTCTCCATTTGGGTCTGCCTGATGTCTTCTCACAGTTAGACTGAGGTTATGCTTTTTTGTTTGTTTGCTTTTTGAGAAGGAGTTTCACTCTGTTGCCCAGGCTGGAGTGCAGTGGCACAATCTTGGCTCATTGCAACCTCCGCCTCCCAGGTTCAAGCGATTCTCCTGCCTCACTCTCCCAAGTAGCTGGGATTACAGGTGCGCGCCACCATGCCTGGCTAATTTTTGTATTTTTAATGGAGACAGGGTTTTGCCATGTTGGCCAGGCTGGTCTTGAACGCCTGACCTCAGGTGATCCACCTGCCTTGGCCTCCCAAAGTGCTGGGATTACAGGCATGAACCACCGCCCATGTAAAATTTTATTTTTCCCCTTGCAAATATTCTGTTTCTCATATTTTTGCCCACTAATTTTAGCATCCATTGATGATTCTTGCCTTTTGTGATTATTACTATGGATGGAGTACGCCAAGTGGTGATTTTCTATTTCTTTGTTCCTTCTACATTTGATCCTTAGAATTCTCTGTAGGGAAAAGCTCTCCTTTCTCTTCCACTTATTTATTTATTATTTATTTATTTTTTAAAGCTGTTCTTTTTTTTTTTTTTTTTTTTATTGATCATTCTTGGGTGTTTCTCGCAGAGGGGGATTTGGCAGGGTCATAGGACAATAGTGGAGGGAAGGTCAGCAGATAAACAAGTGAACAAAGGTCTCTGGTTTTCCTAGGCAGAGGACCCTGCAGCCTTCCGCAGTGTTTGTGTCCCTGGGTACTTGAGATTAGGGAGTGGTGATGACTCTTAACAAGCATGCTGCCTTCAAGCATCTGTTTAACAAAGCACATCTTGCACCGCCCTTAATCCATTTAACCCTGAGTGGACACAGCACATGTTTCAGAGAGCATGGGGTTGGGGGTAAGGTCACAGATCAACAGGATCCCAAGGCAGAATAATTTTTCTTAGTACAGAACAAAATGAAAAGTCTCCCATGTCTACTTCTTTCTATACAGACACGGCCACCATCCGATTTCTCAATCTTTTCCCCACCTTTCCCCCCTTTCTATTCCACAAAACCGCCATTGTCATCCTGGCCCGTTCTCAATGAGCTGTTGGGTACACCTCCAAGACTGGGTGGTGGCTGGGCAGAGGGGCTCCTCACTTCCCAGTAGGGGCAGCCGGGCAGAGGCGCCCCTCACCTCCCGGACGGGGCGGCTGGCCGGGCCGGGGGCTGACCCCCCCACCTCCCTCCCGGACCGGGCGGCTGGCCGGGCAGAGGGGCTCCTCACTTCCCAGTAGGGGCGGCCGGGCAGAGGCGCCCCTCACCTCCCGGACGGGGCGGCTGGCCGGGCGGGGGGCTGACCCCCCCACCTCCCTCCCGGACGGGGTGGCTGGCCGGGCGGGGGGCTGACCCCCCCACCTCCCTCCCGGACGGGGCGGCTGGCCGGGCGGGGGGCTGACCCCCCCACCTCCCTCCTGGACGGGGCGGCTGGCCGGGCAGAGGGGCTCCTCACTTCCCAGTAGGGGCAGCCGGGCAGAGGCGCCCCTCACCTCCCGGACGGGGCGGCTGGCCGGGTGGGGGGCTGACCCCCCCACCTCCCTCCCGGACGGGGCAGCTGGCCGGGCAGAGGGGCTCCTCACTTCCCAGTAGGGGGTGGCCGGGCAGAGGCGCCCCTCACCTCCCGGACGGGGCGGCTGGCTGGGCGGGGGGCTGACCCCTCCGCCTCCCTCCCGGACGGGGCGGCTGGCCTGGCGGGGGTTGACCCCCACCTCCCTCCTGGACGGGGTGGCTGCCGGGCGGAGATGCTCCTCACTTCCCAGACGGGGTGGCTGCCGGGCGGAGGGGCTCCTCGCTTCTCAGACGGGGCGGCTGCCAGGCGGAGGGGCTCCTCACTTCTCAGACGGGGCGGCTGCCGGGCGGAGGGGCTCCTCACTTCTCAGACGGGGCGGTTGTCAGGCAGAGGGTCTCCTCACTTCTCAGACGGGGCGGCTGGGCAGAGACGCTCCTCACCTCCCAGATGGGGTCGCGGCTGGGCAGAGGCGCTCCTCACATCCCAGACGGGGCGGTGGGGCAGAGGCACTGCCCACATCTCAGACGATGGGCGGCCGGGCAGAGACGCTCCTCACTTCCTAGATGGGATGGCGGCTGGGCAGAGAGGCTCCTCACTTTCCAGACTGGGCAGCCAGGCAGAGGGGCTCCTCACATCCCAGATGATGGGCGGCCAGGCAGAGATGCTCCTCACTTCCCAGACGGGGTGGCGGCCGGGCAGAGGCTGCAATCTCGGCACTTTGGGAGGCCAAGGCAGGTGGCTGGGAGGTGGAGGTTGTAGCGAGCCGAGATCACGCCACTGCACTCCAGCCTGGGCACCACTGAGCACTGAGTGAACGAGACTCCGTCTGCAATCCCGGCACCTCGGGAGGCCGAGGTTGGCGGATCACTCGCGGTTAGGAGCTGGAGACCGGCCCGGCCAACACAGCGAAACCCCGTCTCCACCAAAAAAATACGAAAACCAGTCAGGCGTGGCGGCGCGCGCCTGCAATCGCAGGCACTGGGCAGGCTGAGGCAGGAGAATCAGGCAGGGAGGTTGCAGTGAGCCGAGATGGCAGCAGTACAGTCCAGCTTCGGCTCGGCATCAGAGGGAGACCGTGGAAAGAGAGGGAGAGGGAGACCGTGGAAAGAGAGGGAGAGGGAGACCGTGGAGAGAGAGAGAGGGAGAGGGTGAGGGAGAGGGAGAGGGAGAGGTTATTTATTATTTATAACACAGTATAATTTTAAGTATAAAGCATTCCATTATATAGAGATATATATTATGTCATAATTCATTGAAATAAATTTTCATTAATGGACATTCAGATTATTTCTAATTGTTCAGTACTCTGAACAGTGTAAGGAACATACCTCTTTGGGTACTTGTCAGGTTATTTCCATAGGATAAACTGCCCTAAGAAGTATCATATCTGGGTCAGAAGGCACACACTTAGAAAGCACATATTGCCCTGTCGAAAAGTTAATACAAATGTCACTCAAATGAGCAGCATATGAGAGTGACTGCCCATTTCCTCACACTATGGCAACATTTCTCACCAGCTTCTAATTTGTTATCTTATTGTGCTTTGGAATGGGGAAGATTAGGCATAAATGAGACATTTTTGAGAGTTGGTAAGAGTTACAAGGAACTAAAAGGAAGCAGATAGTTTAACATAAAACTGTCTTATAATGAGTGCTGCCCACAATGAAAAAGGATGCTGTCCATGAAAGAGAGTTTCCCGTCATCAGAAATGTTCAAGACTTAAAGCCACTTGCTGGGGATGAGGTAAAGGGGGTTAGATAAACGCTAAGGCCCTTTTTGGTTGTGGGGGTATCTAACAATTTGGTCTGTAGCTGCCTGCTTAGTCTGAGTGAACTTGTATATCTAATTTTTCAGTGGTTGAAGGCCTTTCACTGTTGGACTTGGGAGTATCTCCGTATTCTGGAGCAGTATTTCATGAAGTAAGTGTTCTTATTTTCTTTTCTGGGTACCAAGAGTAGTTTACAGTCACAGATACCAAAGCCTAACCTCTGTTTTGTACAAACATTTAAAAAGATGTATTCTTGACGATCATATTTAGAAACAGCCCGTTTTTAGATGTCCTCTGCATAAGAAAGAGGTTTTGCAATTGCAATGGAAATGATCCAGATTAAGATTGTAACTGGGGAAGCAGATGAGGCTTCTGTAGAAGTTACCATTTGTAAAGGCAAATAAGTTGCAAACAGTCCTTAGTCCGCAAATAGGTTGTATGCTAATTAGCATGTAATTTGTTGTTTGGAATATGATTTCCCATGAAAACTACGGCAGTAATGTTGTTTCCTTAGAAAGCCCAGAAAAACTTACTTAACCCATAAAATTAGCTTTTTTTTTTTTTTTTGGCAGGGTCTTATTCTGTCACCCAGGCTAGAGTGCAGTGACACAATCACGGTTCACTGCAGCCTTGACCTCCTGGGCTCAAGCGATCCTCCTACTTGAGCCTCCTTAGTAGGGACCACAAGTGTGCACCACCATGCCCAGCTAATTTTTATTTAAAATTAGCTCTTAAGAATAGTAAAAACAGGCCGGGTGCAGTGGCTCATACCTGTAATCCCAGCACTTTGGGAGGCCGAAGTGGGCGGATCACGAGGTCAGGAAATCGAAACCATCCTGGCTAACACGGTGAAACCCCGTCTCTACTGAAAATACAAAAGATTAGCTGGGCGCGGTAGTGGGCGCCTGTAGTCCCAGCTACTCGGGAGGCTGAGGCAGGAGAATGGCGCGAACCCGGGAGGTGGAGCTTGCAGTGAGCCGAGATCGCACCACTGCACTCCAGCCTGGGTGACAGAGCGAGACTCCGTCTCAAAAAAAAAAAAAAAAAAAATTATAAACAGGCCAGGCGCGGTGGCTTACACCTGTAATCCCAGCACTTTGGGAGGCCAACGCAAGTGGATCACGAGGTCAGGAGTTCAAGACCAGCCTGGCCAACGTGGTAAACCCCCAGCTCTACTAAACATACAAAAAATAGCTGGGCATGGTGGCAGGTGCCTGTAATCCCAGCTACTTGGGAGGCTGAGGCAGGACAATTGTTTGAACCCGGGAGGCAGAGTTTGCAGTGAGCCGAGACTGCACCATTGCACTCCAGCCTGGGCCACAGGGCGAGACTCCATCTCAAAAAAAAAAAAAAAAAAAAAAAGAATAGTGAAAACACTCTTAATTAGGTCCAGATTATCTCTTGTTTACAGCAACAGCTTCCTGACAGGTCTTTTTGCATTCAGTCTTGCTCATTCACTGTATTCTGTAGTCAGAGCCATCTTTCTAAAATGTGAATCTGTTTCTGTCACCGTCTTGCTCGGCACCTTTGAATGTTCACCATTCACCTCAGGATAAAATCCAGATACCTTAGAGGGGCATACAAAGCCCTGAAGACCCTCCTCACCACATCCATCACATTTCTTTCCACTGCCCTTTCCATTCTTTTTTATTTTTTTGAGACAGAGTCTTGCTCTGTCACCCAGGCTGGAATGCAGTGGCACGATCTTGGCTCACTGCAAGCTCTGCCTCCTGGGTTCACGCCATTCTCCTGCCTCAGCCTCCGGAGTAGCTGGGACCACAGGTGCCCGTGACTATGCCTGGCTAATTTTTTTTTGTGTTTTTAGTAGAGACGGGGTTTCATCATATTAGCCAGGATGCTCTCAAACTCCTGACTTCGTGATCCGCCTGCCTTGGCCTCCCAAAGTGCTGGGATTACAGGCGTGAGCCACCGCGTCCCACTGCCCTTTCCGTTCTTATTGGCCATATCATTTTAAAGAAGTTTTCTAATTTGACAATGTACCTTCTAATTTTTTTTTTTTAAAGACAGGGTCTTGCTCTGTCACCGAGGCTGGAATGTGGTGGAATGATCATGGCTTACTATAGCCTCAACCTCCTGGGCTCAAGCAGTCCTCCCACCTCAGCCTCCTGAGTAGCTAGGACTACAGACATGTACCACCACAGCTGGCTAATTTTTAAAAATTTCTTTGTAGAGATGGGGTCTTGCTATGTTGCCCAGGCTGGTCTTGAACTCCTGCACTCAAGTAATCCTCCTGCCTTGGCCTCCGAAAGTGTTGGGATTACAGGCATGAGCCACTGTGCTTGGCCTTAATTTTTTTTTTTTTTTTGAGACAGAGTCTCGCTCTGTCGCCCAGGATGGAGTGCAATGGTGCAATCTCAGCTCACTGCAACCTCTGCCTCCCGGGTTCAAGCGACTCCTCTGCCTCAGCCTCCCGAGAAGCTGGGACCACAGGCACGCGCCACCATGCCTGGCTAATTTTTGTATTTTTAGTGGAGACGGGGTTTCACCATATTGGCCAGGCTGGTCTCGAACTCCTGACCTTGTGATCCGCCTGCCTCGGCCTCCCAAAGTGCTGGGATTACAGCTGTGAGTCACCGTTCCTGGCTGGCCTTAATTTTTATAGTTATCTCTCTCATATGTACTTTGAGAACAGTTTTTTTTTGTTTGTTTTTTGGCTCTTCTGTCTAATCTTTCAAAAGCATTCAACTTGGTCCTCATAGAAATAACAGCTGTCTTTTGCATTTCAATTTTATTATCTCTGGGTTAATATCTAATCAAACTGCAATAACAAGAACTACTGGCAGAAACAGGTTAGGAACAACTTCAGAGACTTTTTTTTTTTTTTTTTTGAGACAGAGTTTTGCTCTTTTGCCCAGGTGGAGTGAAGTGGCGCCAACTCGGCTCATTGCAACCTCTGCAACCCCCTCCCCCTTCCCCCACCCTGGATTCAAGTGATTGTCCTGCCTCAGCATCCCAAGTAGCTGGAGTTATAGGCGTGTGCCACCACGCCTGGCTAATTTTTGAATTTTTAGTAGAGACAGGGTTTTGCCACCTTGGCCAGGCTGCTCTCGAACTCCTGACCTCAGGTGATCCACCTGCCTCGGCCTCCCAAAGTGCTAGGATTACAGGCGTGAGCCACCGTGCCCGGCCAAGAGACTCTTAATAAGCACACAGGGCCGGGCACGGTGGCTCACGCCTGTAATCCCAGCACTTTGGGAAGCCTAGGCGGGCGGATCACAAGGTCGGGAGTTCGAGACCAGCCTGGCCAATATGGCGAAACCCCGTCTCTACTAAAAATACAAAAAATTAGCAAGGCATGGTGGCAGGTGGCTGTAGTCCCAGCTACTCAGGAGGCTGAGGCAGGAGAATGGCGTGAACACGGGAGGCGGAGCTTGCAGTGAGCCGAGATGGTGCCACTGCACTCCAGCCTGGGTGACAGAGCGAGACTCCGTCTCAAAAAAAAAAAAGAAAGGTGTCTCTCATCACCTTAGTCTTCCAAAGAATCTTATGCTTATCCTTTTCCTGGCTCATGTCACACTCTTGAAATTGCCTCTGTGTTTATTTTACTCATTATGATATATTGTCTTCAAAACAGGTGCTGTCCCCTTCTTATCACTTATTCCTAGTGCCTACCTCTATCAGCATATGCATTACAATCCTTCCCTCCCTTCTGTCCTTCCTTTAGTAAAGATTTGTTAAATATTCACTAAGTGCCAGCTACTCTGCTAGGTGTTAGGGATACAAAACAAGACACAGTGCCTGGCTTCATGGTGCTTATACTTCTGAGAGAAACAGACAATAAGTTAGTAAAAAAAAGAAACAAATTTCAGAGCCAAGGGTATCACCAGAGATAAAATACATTTCATAATGATAAAAGAGATAGCGATACTAAATGCTTATGTATCAAATTACAGAGCTTCAAAATATATGAAGACTGATAGAACTACAAGGAGAAATAGATCCACAATTACAGAGATTTCAATATCCCTTTCTCAATGATTGGTAGAACAAGCAGACATAAAATCAGCAAAGATATAAAAGACTTGAATAACAACCAACTTGGGTCAGACATGGTGGCTCACGCCTGTAATCCCAGCACTTTGGGAGGCCAAGGCGGGTAGATTGAGGCCAGGAGTTTGAGACCAGCCTGACCAACATGGTGAAACCCCGTCTCTGCTAAAAATAGAAAAATTAGCTGGGTGTGGTGTTGTGCACCTGTAATCCCAGCTACTTGGGAGGCTGAGGCAGGAGAATGGCTTGAACCTGGGAGGCGGAGCTTGCAGTGAGCGGAGATAGTGCCACTGCACTCCAACCTGGGCGACAAACCTAGACTTCATCTCAAAAAAAAAAAAAAAACCCAACTTGACCTAGTTGTCATTTATAGAACACTCCATCCAACAACAGCAAAACACATAATTTTTTTCAAATGTACACGGAACATTTGCAAGATAGACCACATTCTGGTCTATAAAACAAGGCTCAGTAAGTTTAGAAGGATTCAAGTTATACAAAATATATTCTCTGACCACAATTGAATTAAATAAAAAATACCAGAAAGATATCTAGAGAATCCCCAAATATTTAGAAACTGAGTAACATATTCTTAATTAACCCATGGATCAAAGAAGAAATCAGAAAGGAAATTAGAAAGTATTTTGAAATGAATGAAAATGAAACACAACCCATCAAAATATGTGGGATGTCACTAAGTAGTTCTTAGGGAGAGACTTATAGCACCAAATGCTTATATTAGAAAAGAAGACCTCAAGTCAATAACCACAGCTTCTACCTTAAGAAACTAGGAAAAGATAAAATTATACTCAAAGTAAGCAGATTAAAAGAAATAATAAAGATCTGAGTAGAAACAAAGGGTAGAAAACAAAACTAATAGTGAAAATCACTGAAACAAAGATGGTTCCTTGGGATGAGCATTAAAATTGATAAACTTGGGAATGATGGATATGTTCACTTTCTTGACTGTAATGGTTTTATGGATGTATACATAGGTCAAAATTTGTCAAACTGAGGCCAGGCACGGTGGCTCATGTCTGTAATCCTAGCACTTTGGGAGGCCAAGGTGGGAGTATTGCTTGAGCCTAGGAGTTTAAGACCAGCCTGGGCAACATAGTGAGACTCTGTTTCTCCCCCCAGGGGGAAAAATAAATTAGCTGGTTGTGGTGGTATGTGCCTGTAGTTGTAGTTACTCAGGAGGCTGAGGTAGGAGGATCGCTTGATCCTGGAAGGTCTAAGCTGCAGTGAGCCATGATTATACCTCTGCACCCCAGCCTAGGCAACAGAGTAAAATCATGACTCAAAAAACGAAAATAAAAACAAACCAAATAGCTGGGACTACAGATGCTACCCATGCCCAGCTAATTTTTTTTTTGTAGAGATGGGGGGGGTCTCACTTTGTTGCCCGGGATGGTCTCAACCTCCTGGCCTCAAGTGATCCTCCCACCTCGGCCTCCTAAAGTGTTGTGATTGCAGGTGTGAGCCACCGGAGCTGTCTGGAACCTGGATTTAAATGCGAATCTGACTCCAAAGTCTTTGTTCTTGCTACCATGCTAACTTGTTCTCACTAAAAAGTCTGTCAATAACCTCTCAATGTTATAGGACACATTCATGCATATGGTTTAGTGATGGGAAGAGGTGCTCCTCAGTCATCAGCATGGGCTCGCTAAAACCAGGTCATGCACTTCCCTTCTGGTTCTGGTGGATTGGTGAACGGGCTTGCAGTAGCAGACCAACCTACCTGCCACGAACAACTAGAAAAGCAGGATGAATATGAAAAAAGGAAAAAAAAAACCACATCTGCTGGAAGGCATTGGAAAGTACCAAGATAAGCAGGACTCCAGGGATTAAGATCCCAGAGGGGAAAGTACAAAAAGTAATACGAACAGTCTGAGCTGCTTTGTCCTTGAAGCATTTACCAATTTGTAAGTGACACAGGTGGAGAAGCAGAACAGAAATTGGCTGGCTAGAGACCAAGAAGCTAAGCAGAGCTATTGGCAGTCTCAGGGTGCTGGGGAAATACAAATTGGAGTGCAGGACCAACCAAAATGACAAGGCTCTGGTAAAGGACTTGCCTTTAGGCTGGAACTTCTGAAGGACTACACTCTAGGAGTAAGGGTAGACCAATATAGACTAGTTTTACAAAGACTAAATCCAGCTTCAAATTAGCTCAATCCCTAAAGTGAAACAACTATATTGTAATTACCAGCTTAAAGAAATCTTTTCCAGAAGAAAATACCTTCATCCAAGCTGCTGTAGTTTGTCATACACAATGTCTGTCATTCAATAAAAAATTACCAACCATTGGCTGGGCATGGTGGCTCACATCTGTAATCCCAGCACTTTGGGAGGCCGAGGCTGGCGGATCACCTGAGGTCAGGAGTTCAAAACCAACCTAAGCAACATAGTGAAACGCTGTCTCTACTAAAAATACAAAAATTAGCCAGGCATGGTGGTGCATGCCTGTAGTCCCAGCTACTCGGGAGGCTGAGGCAGGAGAATCACTTGATCCTGGGAGACAGAGGTTGCAGTGAGCCAAGATCACGCCACCGCATTCCCGACTGGATGACAGAATGAGACTCCTTCTCAAAAAAAAAAAAAAAAAAAAAAAAAAAAAAAGAGAAAAAAAGAAAAGGAAAAAAATTACCAAGCATAATAAGAGACAGAAAAAAATAGACAATAAAAACAGATTTACAGGTGATTTAGATATTGAAGTTATCAAACTACTTGGACTTTAAAATAGCTGTGATCAGCCGGATGCAGTGGCTCACGCTTGTAATCCCAGCACTTTGGAAGGCCAAGATGGGCAGATCACTTGAGGCCAGGAATTCAACCAGCCTGGCCAACATGGTGAAACCCTGTATCTACCAAAAATACAAAAACTAGCTGGGTGTGGTGGTGTGTGCCTGTAGTTCCAGCTACTTGGGAGGCTGAGGTGGAAGGATCGCTTGAGCCCAGGAGTTGGAGGTTGCAGTGAGCTGAGATTGTGCCGTTGCCCTCCAGCCTGGGTGACAAAGTGAGACCCTTTCCCCCCTCCCAAAAAAGAAAAATAGCTATGATCAATGATTAATATGTTCAAGAAATAAATAACAGAATAATTTCACCAGGGTATGTAAAAAATGAATCAAACGGAAATTCTAGAAATAGAAAACATAATAAATTAAAAATGTAAGGCCAGGCACGGTGGCTCATGCCTGTAATCCCAGCACTTTGGGAGGCCGAGGCGGGCGGATCACGAGGTCAAGAGATTGAGACCATCCTGGCCAACACGGTGAAACCCTGTCTCTACCAAAAATACAAAAAAGTAGCCAGGCATGGTGGCGGGCGCCTGTAGTCCCTGCTACTTGGGAGGCTGAGGCAGGAGAATGGCGTGAACCTGGGAGGCGGAGCTTGCAGTGAGCCGAGATCGCGCCACTGCACTCCAGCCTGGGTGACAGAGTGAGACTCCGTCTCAAAAAAAAAAAAAAAAAAGAATGTAATAGATGGACCGGGCACAGTGGCTCATGCCTGTAATACCAACACTTTGGGAGGCCAAGGTGGGCAGATCACTTAAGGTCAGGAGTTCAAGACCAGCCTAGCCAACATGGTGAAACCCTGTTTCTACTAAAAATATAAAAATTAGGCAGGCGTGGTGGCATACGCCTGTAATCCCAGCTACTCGGGAGGCTGAGGTGGGAGAATCGCTTGAACCTGGGCACTTGAACCTGGGAGGCGGAAGTTGCAGTGAGCCGAGATCACGCCACTGCACTTCAACCTGGGTGACAGAGCGAGACTCCGTCTCAAAAAAAAAAAAAAATGTATAGATGAATTTAGCAGCAGATTACACAAAGCTAAAGAGAAGATTAGTAATATGGAAGATAAAGTCTGTTGAAAATACCTAGATTCAAACTTGGAGAGAAAAGGATAGAAAACACAGAAAAAAAAAAAAAAAGTAAGAGATCTGAAACTTAGTAAAACAGCCCAAATTATACATCAGTGGAGTTCTAGAATGGGAGAAGAGACAGAACGAGGCAGAATCAGTATTTGAGGAGATTATGGATGAAATTTTTTTCAACATTTACTAAGATTTTTATTCAGGAAGCTCTATAAACCCAAGTAGGAGAAGGTCAAAGAAAAACATATGTAATTTTGAACATAAGTTCAAAATAAAACAGACCGGGCGTGGTGGCTCACACCTGTAATCCCAGCACTTCGGGAGGCCAAGGCGGGCGGATCACGAGGTCAGGAGTTTGAGACCATCCTGGCTAAGACAGTGAAACCCCATCTCTACTAAAAATATAAAAAATTAGCTGGGTGTGGTGGCACGTGCCTGTAGTCCCAGCTACTCGGGAGGCTGAGGCAGGAGAATTACTTGAACCCAGGAGGCGGAGGTTGCAGTGAGCTGAGATCGCGCCACTGCACTCCAGCCTGGGGACAGAGTGAGACTCCATCTCTAAATCAGTCAATCAGTCAATCAATCAGTCACATCTTAGGTCAGGTGCAGTGGCTCATGCCTGTAATCCTAACACTTTGAGAGGCTGAGGCAGGCGGATTGCTTGAGCCCAGGAGTTCAAGACCAGCTTGGGCAACATGGCAAAACTCTGTCTCTACAAAAAATACAAAAATTATCTGGGTGTGGTGGCGCACATCTGTAGTCTCACCTACTCAGGAGGGTAAGGTAGGGGGGTCACCTGAGTCTGGGAGGTCAAGGCTTCAGTGAGTCATGATCGTGCCACTGCACTCCTGCCTGGCCGACAGAGTGAGACTTTGTTTCAGGAAAAAACCCCAAAAACAAAAACAAAAAATTTTGCATATAAGGACACAGAAAGGTGGAAAGTAAAATGACAGAAAAAACTGTATTATGCTGACAGCCCAAAGAGGCTGATGTAACTATACTATCAGATCAAGAATATTTTAAGACAAGAAACCTTACTAGAGATGAAGAGGATTATTTTATAATGATAAAAAGATCACTGCACCCAGAAGATATAGTAATTCTACATAGAACTGCATCTAATTACATAGCTCCAAAATATATAAAGCAAAAATGGCAGTCACAGTGGGGGATTTTTTTTTTTTTTTTTTTTTTGAGACAGGGTCTCACTTTGTTGCCCAGGCTGGAGTGCGGTGGTACAAACAAGGCTCACTGCAGCCTCAATCTCCCTGGGCTCAAGCAATTCTCCCAACTCAGCCTCCCAAGTAGCTTGGATTACAGGTGCATGCTACCTCACCCAGCTAATTTTTTAAATATTTTGTAGAGGCAGGGTTCCACTATGTTGTCCAGGCTGTTCTCAAATGCCTAGGCTTAAGTGATCCTCCCACCTCAGCCCCACAAAGTGCTGAGATTATAGGCATGAGCCACTGTGCCTGACTGGGAGATTTTTAACATACCTCTTTCAGTCAGTGAAAGAACAAACAGACCAAAAAAATCAATAAGGATGTAGAAGATTTGAACAAATCATTAGCAAACTGAGCCTACATGTCATATATAGAATGATGCAACCATAGGTGTTAATATGCATATTTGAATGTACCTGCAGCACTTACCAAAGTTGACCATATAATGGACCGTTAAGCAAGTCACAACACATTTTAAATGATTGCAGTCATATAGTGTATTTTCTATTACCACAGTAGAGTTAAGCCAGAAAGAAATTATAAAAATATAAAAAGAATGGGAGGCCGAGGCAGGCAGATCATGAGGTCAGGAGATCGAGACCAGCCTGGCCAACATAGTGAAACTAAAAATACAAAAAATACAAAAAATACAAAAAAAAATTAGGCCGGGCATGGTGGCTCACGCTTGTAATCCCAGCACTTTGGGAGGCCGAGGCGGGTGGATCACAAAGTCAGGAGTTTGAGACCAGCCTGGCCGAGATGGTGAAACCCCGTCTGTACTAAAAATACAAAAATTAGCCAGGTGTGGTGGCGCGCGGCTGTAATCCCAGCTACTTGGGAGGCTGAGGCAGGAGAATCGCTTGAACCCGGGAGGTGGAGGTTACAGTGAGCCGAGATTGTGCCACTGCACTCTAGCAACAGAGCAAGACTCTGTCTCAAACAAACAAAAAACGGCCGGGCACGGTGGCTCACACTTGTAATCTCAGCACTTTGGGAGGCCGAGGTGGGTGGATCACCTGAGGTTGAGAGTTCAAGACTAGCCTGACCAACATGGAGAAACCCCATCTCTACTAAAAATACAAAATTAGCCCAGCGTGGTGGCTGAGGCAGGAGAATCGCTTGAACCCGGGAGGCGGAGGTTGCGATGAGCTGAGATCGTGCCATTGCACTCCAGCATGAGCAACAAGAGCGAAACTCTGCCTCAAAATAAATATATAAATAACAAAAAAAATTAGCTGGGTGTGGTGGCAGGCACCTGTAATCCTAGCTACTGGGGAGGCTGAGGCAGGAGAATCATCTGAACCCTGGAGGTGGAGGATCTTGCAGCAAGCGAGATCCAGCCACTGCACACCAGCCCTGGCAACAGTGCGAGAGTCTGTCTCAAAAAAAAAAGAAAAGAAAAGAAAACTCCTAAGTATTTGGAAATTGAACATGGTACATTTTAAAGTAGTCTCAAAGAAGAAATGTTACTGGAAGTTAGAATATATTTTCAACTAAATGATATTGAAGAAAATGGCTGGGCACAGTGGCTCCTGCCTGTAATGCCAGCAGTTCGGGAGTCTGAGCCAGGTGGATCACTTGAGGTTAGGAGTTCCAGACCAGCCTGGCCAACATGGTGAAACCCAGTCTCTACTAAAAATACAAAAATTAGCTGGGCGTGGTGGCAGGCGCCTGTAATCCCAGCTACTTGGGAGGCTGAGGCAGGAGAATCACTTGAACCCAGGAGGCGGAGGTTGCTCTGAGCCAAGATCGTACCACTGCACTCCAGCCTGGGTGACAGAGCGAGACTCCATCTCAAAAAAATCCAACGTATCAAAACTCGTGTGATACAGCTAAAGCCATACTCATAGGAAACTTTATTGCTTTAAACAATAAAAAATGAAATACTATGAACAATTTTGTCAGTAAGCTTGAAAATTTAGATGAAATGGACAAATTCCTGGAAAAACACAACTTACCTAAATTGACAAAGTAAAAACAGCAAATCTGAATGTTTTATCTATGAAATAAATAGAATCTGTGATTTAAAATCTCTCAAAGAAAATCCAGGCAGAGATGGCTTCACAGTGAGTGAATTTTCCCAAATCTTTGAGGAAGAAATAACATTAATCTTTCTGAACTAGTCTCAAGAAAATAAATAAAGAAAAAAATATTATACAAACTTATCAGAGAACAGAAGAAGCTCATTTTGTGAGTGAAATGGAATCAGCAATCTTGGTCTGTTGTGGAATTCCCCTCGGCTATTATATATGTCTTAGAACTACAATTCACCTCTTACCTTTAGTGTCTTGACTATATATTTTTTATTTATTTATTTATTTTTTTTGAGACAGAGTCTCGCTCTGTTGCCCACGCTGGAGTGCAGTCGCGTGATCTCGGCTCACTACAAGCTCTGCCTCCTGGGTTCACGCCATTCTTCTGCCTCAGCCTCCCTAGTAGTTGGGACTACAGGCGCCCGCCACCACGCCCGGCTAATTTTTTTGTATTTTTAGTAGAGACGGGGGTTTTACCGTGTTAGCCAGGATGGTCTCCATCTCCTGACCTGGTGATCTGCCTGCCTCAGCCTCCCAAAGTGCTGGGATTACAGGCGTGAGCCACCGCACCTGGCCAGTGTGTTGACTATTCTTTAATGGTTATTTAACACATCAGATTTTATTTCCTTTACTCAATTCAACAGATAGTCCCAGCAGCACAAAATGGTCCGGCAGTACTAAATTATTCTCCCCTATAAGCACACCGGCCAGCTGGCGTAGAACAGTATTCCAGGAAGGAGAATACTAGCATAATAGTTTGCTGACATAATAGTTTTCTCCCCACTCTCTACTCTGGAAACTGATAATAGTAAGGTTTAACTTAATTTTTTTTACATGTCTGTTTTTTTTCTGCAGACTCCATTAATAATATACCTCTTTCATTTCCTAATTGACTATGCTGAATTGGTGTTTATGGTAAGTAACCTTCCATATAAAATTGATATGTATATATTTTTAAATTTTATGGTTTATTGTCTCTCTCTCTCTTTTTTTTTTTTTTTTGAGATGGGGTCTCACTGTGTTGCCCAGGCTGGTCTTGGACTCCTGGACTTAAGTGGTCCTCCCATTTCAGCCTCCTCAGCTGCTGGGACTATGGACACATGACACAGTGCCCGGCTTGTCATCTTGTGTTTAAGAAAAAAACAAAAAACAAAAAACATAGGAACTCAGGAGTTTCTCAGAAAATAAAAGCAAAAACTTATGTCTTTACTTTGAATTCATGGAACTGTGGCAGTATTATGGAAGTGTGAGGAATAGTTTCTGATGTGTAACCAGTTCCAAATACTTACTCTTTTTAGAATTTGGTTTCTGGACTATATATAGTCTTGAATTTTCTAGCTCTGAGATTCTATGATTGGCTTTAATTGTGAAGCCGGCGTGGAGGGCATTCTGAATTTGTCCTAAGCATTTTGCCAAGAGATTCTGTGAGTCATTATGGAAGAAGAGGACACAGGTTTGAGGCTTTCAGGGGCGAGAAGCTTCAGAATTGGGATGACAGGTCTATGTTTTGAGAGCATAGCAATTTGAAACACTTGTCTGGGATTGAAAATTTGAGTCAAGAAATACCCAGGAAGCCCACTGAGGTCTTCCTTAGTAATTATAACAAACTCTATTTATTGAGGACCTACTGTGTGCTAGGCACTTGACATACATCAGGCATGCAAAGCAGTGGGTATTATTTCCATTTTACAAAAAACATAAGTATCTTGCAATTCTAGAGCAGATATGGGCCACTAAACTGAAGTGAACCTAGATGGGTCCTGATCCTCAGGGATTTCCAGTTCACCCTGCCTGAATGGGCCTTATCTTTGGGTAGTCAAAGTGAGGGTTGAAGTTCTACCTGATTGTAAGAGTCCAGTACT
This sequence comes from Homo sapiens, assembly GCF_000001405.40. Classification (NCBI taxonomy): domain Eukaryota; kingdom Metazoa; phylum Chordata; class Mammalia; order Primates; family Hominidae; genus Homo; species Homo sapiens. The sequence continues at coordinate 34,644,327 of NC_000020.11, read as the reverse complement.
TGGTAGTCCATCACTATCTCAAAACTCCAAGCCCTGGTAGCACTCTAGTACTCTTACACTTACTGTGTTCCATTTCCTATTATTTCTCTTTCTTTTGACAGATAACTGATGCACTCACTGCTATTGCCCTGTATTTTGCAATCCAGGACTTCAATAAAGTTGTGGTAAGTAGTTTGTGGGTGGAGCAAAGCTGGTGGAATTTGGTAACCTTCTGGTCTTTGTTATTACAAAGATCTTATACTTAAGGATCCAGATGCTTTAAAGTGCTAGGAAGTGATGGTGAAACTTCTGGCCTGTTCAGCCAGCTCTGGAATGATCAACCCCAAACCCACAAGACAGCTTTACTAACAGATAAAGAAGGGCCAGCTTCATCTATGTAGCTTATTAATAACTATTAATATCCACATACCTGTGCAAGTTCAGACTTCTGGAGTAGTGCTGAATAACAGTTATATTACCTGTCGTTAATGAGGACCCTTAAAAATCTTCTAGTCTTTCACCAGTCTTTTTTTTTTTTTTTTTTTTTTGCATAGGAAGATAAATACAGCTTTTAAGTCACTGTTATGCCTATCTGAGGTAAAATTGGATTCTCAATGTCATTTCTGTCTCCCTGCAGAAAGTAATCTTAATTGGAAAATTTGACATGTATTAAATGCCTGATATAAACTTCAGTCTTAATCCATATGTAATAGCCAAGGAGAATTGCATAGTGGGACCATTCTTCTTTTCCTGGGGTCTGAGAAAGTTAACAGATTAACCATGTGTACTACCCATGTAGTTAAATGGCTACAACACTCCTTGATTGGCTGGGAGCCACTGAGAGAGAAGATTTAGGCTGGGGTGAAATAAGGCTGCATCTCATTGGCATTGTCTGTTTGTGGTTCATTTTAGCTTTTGTTACTAATGAAACCAGAAATAGCAGTGTGCTTTCTGTGTCACTGGTCATCAGTGACAGATGAAGCTGGTGAATTCTAGAATTTTAGACCCCAGAGAGATTTTAAAAAATATCTAGACTGAGGGTTCTTAACTTGGCCTTAATGGGCCTATAAAACTGTGGAAATGGTATGGAGAATTATATGTGTGTGTGTGTATATCATTGTTTCCAAGAGTTCATAGCTGTTATTGGTGTGTGGTCTTTGACTCTTCCTCTAAAATTAAGAACTATATTTTAGGGACTTAGTATCACCAAGACCAGGGAGTATATATCTTAAACTAATGGAGCATATCTTGAAAACTTTAGGGGCTGAGATGAAATGCTTTAACAGGATTCTCTTGAGGGCCGTAGATGAAATAATTGGGCATGGGTTTCATAAGCTGAGGAATTCAGATATAAATTAGCAGTGACTGTTCTCTTCTCCGAAATAGGTTGGGTAGGTAGACAGTCTCTACCAATAATACAAAAATTAGCCAAGTGTGATGGTGTGCACCTGTAATCCCACCTACTTGGGAGGCTGAGGCATAAGAATCAATTGAACCCAGGTGGTGGAGATTGGAGTGAGCCAAGATCGCGCCACTGTACTCCAGCCTGGGCAACAGAGTGAAACTTTTTGAAAGTGAATCTCCAAAAAAAAAAAAAAAAAAAAGACTAGGGAAAAAATAAACTTGTGTGTGTGCATATATATATATATATATATGAGATATGTGTGTGTGCATATATATATATATATATATATATGAGATATATATATGTGTGATATAGATATGAATAGCTGAGGCAGGATTGGTAGCTTTCATCTAAGACCACAATTACCCAGATCTTTATAACCAAAATGTAAAACTGAACTGTGTTTTAATGAAAGTTGATTAGATGCTAATGCCATATGTATTTTTTTTTTCCTGCTCAATTCTCATCAAAAAACCTCTCACACTCCCTAGTTAAAACAATTTTTTGCTTAAGACCAGCCTGGGCAATATAGTGGGACCCTGTCTCTACAAAAAATTCTTTAAAAAATTAGCCAGGAGTGGTGGTATGTGCCTGTAGGCCCAGCTACTCTGGAGACTGAGACAGGTGGATGGCTTGAGCATGGGAGGTCAAGGCTGCAGTGAGCTGTGGTCATGCCACTGCACTCCCGCCTGAGTGACAGAGTGAAACACTGTCTCAAAACAAAACAGTTTTTAATGGTAGGGTTAGTTTATGAGGAAGCAATGAAACTAGGTTTCAGTTAATTGCCTAACAAAGTCAGGCTTCAATGTCAACAGGAGAGATGCCTTTAATTTAGAGCACCAATAATTTGTTTGTTATTGCTGAGTTTATTTGGAAATATATAGAGATTTTTGGGTTTTTTTCTTTGCATGATTTAAAGAGGGAGAGAGAAAGCCAAACGGTGTTGTCAATACCCTGGTTTTTAGTGCACCAAGACATTCTGTTATTACCAAGACTGAAGTAAAATTTGGAATGTTTTTGTTTTTCCACTTTTAGAGTTCAGACTATTAGAACATTAGGTTTCTTCATCAGAATAGAAGTTTTATGTATGCTCTGTCAAAAATTAACTCATTTTAAATGGCAGATTTTGATGATACTAACATACTACTGTTGATTTAGGTAGGATAGCAGCATGTCTTCCTCTAAATCTTCTTCCCTTTGTCAGAAGGGTTCATATCGCATAGTCTGGGAAGTATTTAAATCTTGGTGGGATTTGAGTCTTTTTATCCTTGGTAATGAAACTATGTCTACACACAGATGCATCTGGGAGAACTATAGGGCAGAGAGGGGACTGCACCCCCACCCCCTCTCCAGCTGTTAGCCTGCGGACTGAATGCTGATGGTGACCAGTTGGTTATCATGACATTTTACATCTATCTCACTTGACAAAAACAATGTTAGTCTAGTCTGTCCTTTGCTGAGATGGTGCTTCTTGTTTGGAACTCAGAATTTATGTTAAGAGAGCTGCAGGTGGTTTGATAATGGATGATAAAAACCTGTGTCCCCTTAATATGATTAGAGGGTTGTAAATTTGGAGGCTAGGCTCCTGAATTTGGAATGTGCTGAGGCTAACAGTTGGAGAGGAGTAGGGACAGGGGTGGAGTGTTTCCTCTCCCCGACCCCACCATAGTTTTTGGGGATGCAAATGAACGTAGATGCAGCTTCAATGATTAGAAAAAGCCCTTTATAGCCGGGCGCTGTGGCTCACGCCTGTAATCCCAACACTTTGGGAGGCTGAGGCAGGCAGATCACGAGGTCAGGAGTTCAAGACCAGCCTGGTGAAACTCCAGCCTGGTCAGGAGTTTCAACGTGGTGAAAGCCCGTCTCTACTAAAAATATAAAAATTAGCCGGGCGCGGTGGTGGGCGCCTGTAATCCCAGCTACTTGGGAGGCTGAGGCAAGAGAATCACTTGAACCCGGGAGGCGGAGGTTGCATTGAGCTGAGATCGCAACACTGCACTCCATCCTGGTGACAGAGCAAGACTCTGTCTCCAAGAAAATAAAGCCCTTTATTTGAAGTAGGGGAATTATGTCCTGGCAAAACCTATCTTTCAAGGGACAAGGAAAGGGCTGTATAGAGGAGTGGGTGGAAGGAAAGGAAGACTCTACCCTGGAGATTTTTAAAAATTAAAACATTTTGATTTTTTAATATAACTTACATATGGAAAAGCATACCATCTGTCTACAAGCTGATTAGTGATCACAAAGGTAAGATATCCAGGTCACTACCCTTCACATCACTTTTAATCTCTCCTGTCATTGTTTTAAATCTTATCATTGTCAAGACTAATGAATGTATCTAGAAATATTGATCATCAGATTTTAATATATACCCTAACTTCATTTTATACTTATATTTTCTTAAGGGGTGTGTGTGTGTGTGTGTGTGTGTGTGTGTGTGTGTGCGCGTGCGCACATGTGTGTATAATTTTAAAAATTTCCATTGATTTTAGCCACTTTCCTGTCTCTAGCTGGATGCAATAGGGATTTTTAAAAGGGATTTTGTCTACACTTAGGAGAGCTGATATTGGGCCTATGAGGAGAGCCATAATAGTGCCTGTGCTGCTGAAATTGAGGGAGACTAGAAAGCTGAGAATGTGGGGATTGCTGATCTGTGTGCCTTCCCACCTGGAGACTCCTTTCAGAAGATCTTTCTGTTTTAAAGTATTTGAGAAGATTGTGGTTATAAGGAAGTACTTCCATTGCTGGCACAGTGTCACCTTTGCCCAGGATGTACACATCCCGGGTAGTTGCCACTTTCTCTCAGTGCAGCCCTGCTGGCTGGCTTCCAGCCTGGGGAATGAGGTCTGCATTCCCACCTGTCTGTCTGGCTGCCCCTGGATGAACTCTATTCCTTTCTCACAGCCTTCTTTGTGGATCTCACCCACTCCAGGTGGCCTTGTTTTTGCTGCAGAACTCTAGACCTCTTAGCTAGTGAGGCCTCCTTCCTGCTACCACTGCTGCAGCTGTCCTCACTAAGCACTTGATTGCTGAGCCAGCCCCCTTCTCTGTGATAAAAGCACCTTGGTTTATATTTTGTCCTTTTAATTAAACAACCCCAGCTGTGAATGGCACCATAAATCTTACTGATAATTCCCACCGCTTAACTTGGACTCTGCCAACTGTGAGAAGAACAGAGATGATCAAAGGGAGGTTTTTGAAGTTTGTTGCAGGTTTTCAGATTAAGCCTCTACCTAAACCTGTGCAAGTTTAAACTGAAAGATGGTCTTCTAAAAATATTTTTTGGTTAATTTTTTTTTAATTTTGAAAGACCTAAGACATGCAAAAATAGATAAAGCATAGTACATACTTTTGAACCTATTTTCGGGCTGAAAAAAATTTACTCCTACAGCTCTCTCTCTCTCTCTCATACTTTCATCTCCCTATTTCTCCTCCTACCCAGTACCACTGTTCTGAATCTAGTGGTTATCATCCACACACATGGCCTTGACTTTTATTATATATGTTACTAAATAACACATAGTATTATTTTTTATTTTTTTTGAGACGGAGTCTTGCTCTGTCGCCCAGGCTGGAGTGCGGTGGTATAATCTCGGCTCACTGCAAGCTCCGCCTCCCGGGTTCACGCCATTCTCCTGCCTCAGCCTCCCGAGTAGCTGGGACTACAGGTGCCCGCCACCATGCCCAGCTAGTTTTTTGTATTTTTAGTAGAGACGGGGTTTCACCATGTTAGCCAGGATGGTCTCGATCTCCTGACCTTGTGATCTGCCTGCCTCGGCCTCCCAAAGTGCTGGGATTACAGGCATGAGCCACCATGCCTGGCCCCCAACACATAGTATTATTTTACATGCTTTTAACTTCATATAAATGTCACAATGCAGTATATTTTCTAGTGTGATCTGCTTTTTACATCATTAAATTTTTAATCCTTCACAGTTAAGCACAGCTATCTTGGCTCCTCTGAAATACTGTTTTCTAATAGATAGCAGCATTGATTTTATATTGTCTAAATGAGATTCTTTGATCATTAAATCAACAGGGCCACCGATTTTGGTTTGAGAGGCTTTCTCATCTATATTCTGACCCATGTTTGCTTATAAGATTGCCTACCTTTCTTTCACTCTGGAACACACCCATGAACTTGTTAGGACACACCAGCGGAAGGCAAGAGCTTTCCACCCCCATCCCACTCCCTATTAACTATCCAGCTGCCCACCCACACCCAGCTTTCCTCCTCTTGATCATCATGGCCATTCTACGCCTCCTCTGTGGAAGTAAAACATAACCCAAGATCCTGTGACATTTGGGATCATTCTACCTTGCTTGACAATACTTCTTCATGGATGGAACTTTGGAGTCTTTAGGCCACTGATGATAACTCTTCAAATGGCTATGAACTTTGCTTTGCCAGCAAGTCATTCATTTAGCCATTCAACAGATATTTATTGTTTGTCCACTGTGCCAGGTGTTAGGCATACATGGTAAGCAAATAAACATGGTCCCTGCCCTCATGGAACTCTTAGTCTAATGAGGGAGACAGACATTAGTCAATCATATAAATAAGTGAAAAAGTTACTAACTGTGAACATATGTGAAAGAACATATATAACAGGGGGATTTTACCTGGGTGTGGGGTGGTGAGGGAAAGTGTGCCTTCCTAAGGAAATGATGATTTAACTGAGATATAAGGACCATGTGGGAGTTAACTAGGGAAAGAGAAGAAGAAATTATTCCAGGTCAAATGCAAAGGTGTGGGAAAAGGAGGGACACAGCATGTTCATGGTGCTGGAACCCAGAAAGGGGATGGGGAGGGCCGAGTGTGAGATGAGCCTGGAGAGGTAGGGCCAGACCAGGCAGGGCCATGTGGGCCATGGAAAGGACTTTTGTCTTCAGCATAAAAACAATGGGAAGTGAATTGTTTCATGTGTTTTATCTTTTCCTTTTTTTTTTTTTTCTAGTTTAAAAAGCAGAAACTCCTCCTAGAACTGGACCAGTATGCCCCAGATGTGGCCGAACTCATCCGGACCCCTATGGAAATGCGTTACATCCCTTTGAAAGTGGCCCTGTTGTAAGTATTCCCTGACAAAACAGGCTTAGTGCCAACAAATGCGAGGAAAATCTGATGAGACTTTCCCATGTTGTTTGTTGTATTTTTGGAGATTTGCAATCTTAGTCATCAAGTATTTGCTGTAGTTCTGTTGCACAACTGGGCTCTGTTGTTCTGGCCAGCAAAAGAGACAGAGCCATTCTGTCTCTCTTGGGACAAAGACTCACACAGGGCTGTGTACAATCAAACCCTTCACAAATGCTTTTTGACTCCATGCTGATCTGGGTTCCAGCCTACTTATAACCAGTGTTTCTAAAGTTCTTCAATTGTGATGTATGGATTGAATAAAAGTTTGGTTTTTATGTGGCTGCCATTTCAAGCAGCTCTTATGTTTCGTGTACAGTATAGTCCTCCATTTGTAGCTTATAAAACTGAAGTGCCAAACAGATGCATTCCAGCTGGGTGACCCATGTGGAAGACTGGAACTTACTGAGGCTCTATGAAAGAATTCTCTAGGGTGTACCCAGTGCTACCATTAAGTTGTACTCTTTTGGGTTATTCCCATTTATCTTCCTGAGATAGGCAAATGTGAATAATTATTCAATCCACTAATAGTCATTGAATATTAATAATATACCAGTTTCTAGGGATATACAGTAAACAAGACAAACAAGTTTCCTCGTGGAAAAACACGCCCTTAGAACTTCAGAATTAGAAGGGGCCTTGTGAGACTAGTTTACTCAACCTTCTGCCTTGTGTGTGGATTTCCTATTCCCTATTAGATGTCTATGCAGCTGCTTCTTGAACGTCACCTGCTATTTAGAAATGGCTTTTTTTTCTTCCCACCAAATAGTTTTGGACTATCAGTTCTAATCTATGTATTTCAGAAATATTGGTGGGATCTACCTTAATAGAACCAGAAATTTAGCAACTTTATGAATCTCTTATGGACTTATGTGTGTCCTGGGGGTAGCTTTGTAATAGCAGCAGCTGTTTCTTTAAAGATTATGTAACAAGCCTGTCTGTAATTGCTGAAAAAAACCGCCAGCAATTTCTAGGCCTTTGGCTGTAGAACTGCTAATCTCACAGTCGTGGGAGGTATTGGATTTAAGGTCTTTATTTGTGAATAGTAATCATCATCTCTTCCTGAGACACTGGCATGTTTCTTCCTATCTGATAACCAGAATTATGTAACTAGTCTACCTTTTCACTTTCTCTGCCAGGAAACTCAGAGCCGAATTTGTAGCTGATTACTATAGTGCTGTAGAATATCCATTTGGTGGTCCTTCCATTGCCTTTACTGTCTCCTTTTATTTATGTTTTCCTTGCTCTTGATTATTTATTTATTTATTTGAGACGGAGTCTTGCTCTGTTGCCCAGGCTGGAGTGCAGTGGTGCAATCTCGGCTCACTGCAACCTCTACCTCCTGGGTTCAAGCAATTCTCCTGCCTCAGCCTCCCGAGTAGCTGGGACTACAGGTACCCGCCACCACGCCTGGATATTTTTTTGTACTTTTAGCAGAGACGGGGTTTCACCATGTTGGCCAGGCTGGTCTTGAACTCCTGACCTCAAATGATCCACCCACCTCGGCCTCCCAAAGTGCTGGGATTACAGGCATGAGTTATTGCTCCTGGCCGATTCTTTATTTCTATTTGTACTTTGCTATTATTTTTTATTATCTGTTCTTTGTTTTTTTGAGATGGAGTCTCACTCTGTCACCCAGGCTGGAGTACAGTGGTACAGTCACGGCTCACTGTAGCCTCTACCTCCTGGACTGAAGTGATTCTCCCACCTCAGCCTCCCAAGTATCTGGGACTACAGGTGTGTACTACCATGCCTGGCTAAGGGTTTTTTTATGTTTTTTTTTTAGTAGAGACAGAGTCTCGCCATGTTGGCTAGGCTGGTCTCGAACTCGAGCTCAAGTGATCCACCCACCTTGGCCTCCCAAAGTGCTGGGATTACAGGTGTGAGTGAGCCACCATGCCCAGCCTATTTTTTATTATCTGTTCTTTTTTTTTTTTGAGACTGAGCTTCACTCTTGTTGCCCAGGCTGGAGTGCAATGGCGTCATCTCGGTTCACTGCAACCTCAGCCTCCCGGGTTCAAGCCATTCTCCTGCCTCAGGCTCCCGAGTAGCTGGGATTACAGGCATGTGCCACCACGCCTGGCCAATTTTGTATTTTTAGTAGAGGCAGGGTTTCTCCATGTTGGTCAGGCTGGTCTCAAACTCCCAACCTCAGGTGATCTGCCTGTGTCGGCCTCCCAAAGTGCTGGGATTACAGGCATGAGCCACTGCTCCCGGCTTGTTCTCATTTTAGCTGCCTCAAATCCTTTGTGGAAGCAGGATAGAAATAAATACAAACAATTTGTTATGACTATCTAAGATTTCCCTACTCACAAACATTTTGAATTCATTTTCTCAGTTCATTCCTTCCCATCTCAGGAAAACACTAGGTGTTTCAGCTTATTAACTCCTTCCTAGTGAGGGTCCAGATGTCCTTTGAAGTTCTGTAACACTTGACTTGTTGAGCTCAGTAGATACTTATTCTGTCCTTGGGGTCTGGCTCAGTGGATTCTGTTTAACTGCCAAGAAGGCTACATCTAAGCTGCTTTAACTCTTGGATTGGCATGACCTGTGTCAGGGCTTAGGAGCCTGACTGAGGAAAATGTACTTTCCTGGTTCTCAGAGGTAAATGTAGCTATTCTTGAGATATGTGGCTCTGTGGGAATTGGTAGAATTTTATCATTTTTTGAAATCTGAAATAGTAAAATGAACATTTATAGAGCTAGAAAGACCTGATTTTGGATGTATTTATTAGTTTGTGAGATTTTGGGCAAGTCGCTTTACCATTGAGACTCAGCTGCTTCTTGAATGTCACCTGCAAATGTTTCCTCATCTGCAAAACTGGAATGATGTTATTGTGAGTTACAGGATCTCTGTGATGATTAAATACAACAGTTTTCCATATACTCCATAGAACAGAATAGGCAGTCCATGTTCAGTACCTTTTACTTATCAGCCTCAACCCCCACTCTATTCTCTTTTATTTGGGGGAACTCATTTCTGAGAAGCTGCCTTCCTTTGCGTAAGCTTTTAATAAATCTCTTGGAACTTCCTTGCTGTAATGGCGAGGGCTCCTTGGTCAGGATTACTAATGCCAAATATGTTTGTTCTTCCCCAGCTATCTCTTAAATCCTTACACGATTTTGTCTTGTGTTGCCAAGTCTACCTGTGCCATCAACAACACCCTCATTGCTTTCTTCATTTTGACTACGATAAAAGGTAAGGCCCTGAAAGGAGAGTACAAAGGTCAGTCCCTGATTTATGCAAGATTTTGCAACACTTGTGCTGTGGTTTTGTTTTGTTTTTTTTTTAATGCAACACTTAAAAACATTTTTAAAAATTACACAAGTAATACAAGATTATTTAGAAAATGTAGTCATGGCAAGAGAAAAAAATTAAAACATCTTGAAAACTTAACTTCTCAGACAGTGACTGTTAACATAGCTTTACAAAAAAGTTCTAGGCCAGGTGTGGTGGCTCATACCTGTAATCTCAGCACTTTGGGAAGCTGAGGCAGGAAGATCACTTGAGCCCAGAAGATTAAGACCAGCCTGGGGAACATAGCAAGAGCTTGTCTCTGCAAAACATAAAAAAATTAGCCTGGCACAGTGGCATGTACCTGTAGTCCCAACTACTTGGGAGGCTGAGGCAGGAGGATTGCTTGAGCTTGCAAGTTTGAGGCTGCAGTGAGCTGTGATCATGCCACTGCACTCCAGCCTGGGTGACAGAGTAAGACCTTATCTCTTAAAAAAAATTAAAAAAGGTTCTAAAAGGCTTATGATTAGAATAGCAGCCTTCCTCTTTCTTCCCACCCCTAGTTCAACTTCTTTGAAGCAACTACTTTCTGGCTTTTGCTAGTATTCCATATTTCTAAATAAGACCTTATATTATATTTCCTGAATTATAAATTTTAGACATTATTTGTTGCACTCCCATCATGGACAGTGATAAAGATTTAGCTCTTTGGGGCCAGGTGCAGTGGCTCACTCCTATAATCCCAGCACTTGGAGGCCAAGGCGGTTGGATTGCCTGAGATCAGGAGTTTGACCAGTCTTGCCAACATGGTGAAACCCCATCGCTACTAAAAATAGGAAAAAAATTAGCCGGGTGTGGTGGTGTGCACCTGTAATCCCAGCTACTCAGGAGGCTGAGGCAGGGGAATGGTTTGAGCCAGGTAGGTGGAGGTTGCAGTGAGCCGAGATCTCGCCACTGCATTCCAGCCTGGGTGACAGAGCAAGACTCCATCTCAAAAAAAAAAAAAAATTTAGCTCTTTGGTACCAATATCCCCTTTTCCCCTTTGCCTGATTTTCCTGTAGTAGTTACACCATGGTTTCTTGTTTATTTGTTTTGTTTTTTCTTGTTTTGTTTTTGAGACGGGGTCTCACTCTGTCACTCAGGGCTAGAGTGCAGTGGCAGTCATGGCTCACGGAAGCCTTGACCTCCCCAGCTCAGGTGATCCTCCCACTTCAGCCTCCTAAGTAGCTAGGACTACAAGCACCCTCCATCATGCCTGGCTAATTTTTGTATTTTTTATAGAGACAGGGTTTTGCCATGTTGCCCAGGCTGCTGTCGAATTCCTGGACTTAAGCGATCCACCCTCCTTGGCCTCCCAAAGTGCCAGGACTATAAGCATGAACCACCACACCTGGTCAACATCATAGTTTTTATTGAATCAGTATCAGCACCTATATTTTACAACACTGTGTGTGTTATTCCACTGCTGGGCAAAGTAGTAACTATGACTACTTTTTTCTTCCATGTACTACCTTTTATTTTTCCTGGGGTTAATAATTGTCTTTTATTGCTTGTTTGGTTTTTTGCTTAGTTTGTGGGTGCCAATCACTGTTTTATTCCCTGGTTGCTCCACTAGATCTGTCAAGTACCTAACAATGTTCTTTTTTTTTTTTTCTTTTAACAACACTTAAACACATCAAATAGTTTATAGGTTTTATTGTTTTTCTGGAGATTTTTCTCACACATCTTTTATCCTACCCCAGTCTGTCCTGGTTGTTCTCTGGGCCTGGTATAAAGCTGTCATACTGGAACTTAACTTCATAAATCTCCTGTTCTGTATCCCTCCTCTCCTGGAGTTCCTTCTCTTTTTTATTGATTTTTTTCTGTTTTTCTGAAGTACTTTCTCAGTAGTTGTCTAAGAAAGGGTGTATGAAGGCTGGGCGCAGTGGCTTACACCTGTAATCCCAGCACTTTGGGAGGCCAAGGCAGGTAGATCACGAGGTCAGGAGTTCAAGACCAGCCTGGTCAAGATGGTGAAACCCCATCTCTACTAAAAACAAAAAATTAGCTGGGCGTGGTGGTGGGCACCTGTAATCCCAGCTACTTGGGAGGCTGAGGCAGAGAATTGCTTGAACCTGGGAGGCAGAGGTTGCAGTGAGCCAAGATTGTGCCACTGCACTCCAGCATGGGCGACAGAGTGAGACTCCGTCTCAAAAAAAAAAAAAAGGGTATATGAGATATATATTTTGAGTTATTCCATGTCTAAAAAATATCTTTGTTCTGGTTTAGCACCAAATTAATAGTTGGGTAGGATTAAGAATTTTAGACTCGAATAACTTTTCCTTTAGAATTTTGAAGGCATTGCTTCATTGTCTTCTAGTATCTTGGTAGCTATTGAGCAGTTTTATGGTCATGGATATAACCCAGTTTTTTTTTCCTGAAATATTTAATATCTTCTGGCCAGGCACAGTGGCTCAAGCCTGTAATCCTAGCACTTTGGGAGGCTGAAGCAGGAGGATCTCTTGAGCCTAGGAATTTGAGACCAGCCTGGGCAACGTAGTGAGACCTCATCTTTACAAAAAATAAGCAAAATTAGCCAGGTGTGGTGGCACGTGCCTATAGTCCTAGCTACTTGGGTGGCTGAGGCAGGAGGGTCACTTGAGCCCAGGAGGTTAAGGCTACATTGAGCCAAGATAGTGACACTGCACTGTAGCCTGGGCAACAGAGCAAGACCCTGCCTCAAGAAAAGGAGAAGAAAACACGGTGAAACCCCGTCTCTACTAAAAAAAAAAAAAAAAAAAAAAAAAAAAAAATATATATATATATATATATATATATATATATATATATATATATATATATATATATATATATATGGTTAGCCGGACATGGTGGCTGGCACCTGTAGTCCCAGCTACTCAGAAGGCTGAGGCAGGAGAATGGCATGAACCCAGGAGGCGGAGCTTGCAGTGAGTCGAGATCGCGCCACTGCACTCCAACCTGGGCAACAGAGCAAGACTCTGTCTCAAAAAAAAAAAAAGGAGAAGAAAAATTAAGTGTCTTCTTTTTATCCTGAGCGTTTTGAAATTTTATGATGCTATGTCTGGACATGCGTCTTTTTAAATTCATTATGCTGAGCACTTGGTAGGCCCTTTCAATATGGAAACTAGTGTCTTTAGTTCTAGAGGGTGTTCCTGAACAACTTTTCCAAATTCTACCTCTGTTTTCTCTGTCCTCTTGTTTTGGATGTTTATTGGATGTTGGATTTTCTTGATTGATTAAGTTATGCATATTTTATTTTCTATTGTTTTTCCCATCATTTTTACTTACTTTCTCTTACTTTTTCTGGGACATTTCCTTGTTTTTATCTTCCAGCTCCTCTATTGAGTTTTAACTTTTATTTATTACATTTTTATACATTTTTATCTGGTCTCTGGTTGTTTCTTTGAGGCATCCTATTTTTATTTTATCACCACAGTATCCTTTATTACATCTCTGATTATACATATATATTTTCAGTTTCTATTTGTTCCAAGCATAGTCTCTTTGTCTTCCTGGTATTTTTTTTTAATTGTTTGTTTTGGGAGGATTTCTTCCATATGATTTTCTTATATGTATGGTAATCCTTGCTGTTTCTATTTAAGAGTGAGACATGGCCTGGCACAATGACTCACACCCATAATCCCAGCATTTTGGGAGGCTGAGGTGGGAGGATTGCTTGAGGCCAGGAGTTCAAGACCAGCCTGGACAACATAGTGAGACCTCGTCTCTACAAAAAAAGGAATTTAGCCCGGTGTGATGGTACTTGCCTATAGTCCCAGCTACTCAGGAGGCTGAGGCAGAAGGATTGCTTGAGTCTAGGAGTTTGAGGCTGCAGTGAGCTATGATTGTGCCACTGTACTCCAGCTTGGGTGACAGCCATCTGTAAAAAAAATAATAATAATAAAAAAAAATTTTAAATGAAGCACTAACATATTGACTGGAGACTCCGTGCATGGGCAGGGCTTGTTGGTGGATCATTTTCACTGTACAGGGAATCAGGCAGTGGGCTGGCCTCTTTCTTTGGGTCGGGGGCATTTACAAATGTCATCATCTGCAGGTTTTATTTTCCTTTGCAACTATTCAGTTTTCCCAAAGAGGAATCCTCTGAAGTCCTGTCTGGGGTAGCAGAGTTAGGGTTTTTTTGTGGGGTGGAGGGTGCATAAGACTAGCTGCTGGAGTTGTGAGAGCAGGAACAGGGAAGGTGGCTGGTTTCAGTCTGGAGACTTTATTTAATCTCATTGCTTTTCAGCCCACACCTCTCCTCAGCCCACTACTGTGCAAAGTAGTTCCTAGACTTGTGCCCTTAGTTAGCTTTCTCCAGAACTGAGGTCTTCTGCAGGTAGAGTAGAAAGTTAGAGGGATGGGTTATGCGGGAATGGTCATTTGGCTGCACATAGTTGGGGTAACACCTGTTGTTCTCAGTGGTCTGTATATAAACTTTCAACTTGATTTTTTTCTCTATGCCATACCCCCACCTCCCATAGCACCTGATGCACTCTAGTGCTGAATTTCTCAGAAGTTCTGTGGGGTGAGTTGGCTGATTTTTATTAGTAATCCTCTTTGTAGGCCACTGAGCTGTAATTTCTTCCACATCACCAAGTGATTTATTCTTCTCTCACCTGCTTTGTATTTTTTCACTATTGTGTTAAAGTTGGTTTTGCTATAATCTCCCCTTATTTTCTTTGTGATTTAATATGGTTTTAATCTCTTGTTTTCATTTTAATGAGATTTTTGGAGGGAGAGTTGATAAACACATGTGATCAATCTATTATTTTTAACTAAAAGTTCCTCTGTAAGCATTTGGGTTATATATTTCCAGATTTTTCCAACATTTTTCCCTCCAGACTTTTAAATCTTGTATCAATTAGCTAGTACCACAAAAATGTTAATAAACCATTCCAGAATTCAGTAGCTTAAAACAACAACAAGTGTTTACTTAGATCATACATCTGTAAGTCAGCAAGGAGTCAGCTGATCTAGGTTGGACATGGCTTGTCAGTTGGCTGGTTACATGGGCTTCATTTTCACGTCAGTGGCTGGCTGGAGTTGGCTAATCTAGGTTGGGCTCTGCTCCACATGGTTGTCATCCTCTTGGGCCAGGGGACAGACTTAGGTATTTTCTTTTCATAGCAATGGCAGAAGCACAATAGTGAGCAAGCCTAGTCAGGCATGCACTTTTTAAGTTCCTGGTTGCATCACATGTGCTAATATCCCATTGATCAAAATGTAACATATGGCCCGGCATGGTGGCTCACGCCTGTAATCCCAGCACTTTGGGAGGCTTAGGTGGGTGGATCATGAGGTCATGAGGTCAGAAGTTCAAGACTAGCCTAGCCAAGATGGTGAAACCTCATTTCTACTAAAAATACAAAAATTAGCTGGGCGTGGTGACAGGCACCCGTAATCCTAGCTACTTGGGAGGCTGAGGCAGAGAATTGCTTGAACCTGGGAGGCAGAGGTTTCAGTGAGCTGAGACTGTGCCACTGCAATCCAGCCTGGGCGACAGAGCGAGAGTCCATCTCAAAAAAAAAAAAAAAAGTTACACATGGCTGAGCCCAGGGGTGGAGATTTCCATCCTGTTCACAACAGGAAGGCACGGCAAAGTTATACAGCAAAGGGCCTGGACATGGTGGGGGGAAATTGGGGCCAATAATACAACCTACTACATATAACATATATCAATAAATGTCTGATCTATCTTGTTTTTTGAGACAGTCTCGCTCTGTCGCCCAGGTTGGAGTGCAGTGACATGATCTCAGTTCATTGCAACCTCTGCCTCCTGGGTTCAAGTGATTCTTGTGCCTCAACTTCTCAAGTAGCTGGGACTACAGGCACGCACCACCATGCCCGGCTAATTTTTGCATTTTTAGCAGAGACAAGATTTCACCATGTTGGTCAGGCTGGTCTTGAACTCCTGACCTCAAGTGATCTGCCTGCCTTGGCCTCCCAAAGTGCTGGGGTTACAGGTGTGAGCCACTGCGCCCAGTTCTAGTCTATCATTTTTAATGGCTGCATATTCATTTTATGAATATAGAAATTCTTTAACCAATGTATGTATCATTAAATATTTAGGTGATTTTCCAGTTTTTAGCTGTTTAAATATTACAATTAACTTTCTAATGTACAGCAATTTTTGCACTCATATTTAGTTATTTTCTTATAATGTCCTAGAAATAGAAATATTTGCCACTTTTTAACAATTTCTGGAATTAATTTATTGATTTTTTTTCCTTTTTGTGGATAATGGGGTCTCACTGTGTTGCCCAGGCTGGTCTTGAACTCCTGGGCTCAAGCTGTCCTCCCACCTCTACCTCCTTGAGTGCTGATATTACAGGCATGAACCACCACACCCAGTCAGATTTCTGGAATGTATTGCCACATTTATACTCCCATAAGAAGCGTGTAAGAGTCCTTATATTTGTACACTATTGTTAAATAGTTTGTGTACTCAGGAAGTAAAGAGTAAAAAGTTGTACATAGAACCTTTTACTTACAGTTTGCCTACCTTTTCTGGGGTGGCACCCGAGGATGCCTTAGGTCTTTATAAGAGATTGTTTCTCTTGGAATGCTTATGAGTGGTCTTTCTGTAGGCCTATTAGTTTAATTTATTATTGGATTACTTAAAATGGCTAGATATTGCATAGCCTGAATTGTCTTGTTCTGAAGATCGTGGTGGTCATTTTGTCAGAAATAACTCTTAACAGTAAATACTCTGCTGTCTGTGAACTCTCCCTGCCTTAATCCCTGTTTCCAGAGTGTCAGGTTCAGATAGGTTGTCATTTATCAAGGTGTCTGGTGTCCATTAAAATAAACAATATACGCAGCAGCCTGGCAGAAGGGACCAAGTACTGGCCTTTGGAAATGTCATCTTTAAAATAGCCGAGTGCAAAGATAGAGAAACTGAAGACATGCCCTCAGAAGGTGCATGTTTATTTGTTTTCCTAGGAGTCGCTCGTAAAAATGTAAAAGTATGCCATTAAAAAAAAATATTTTATGACCTGTAAGTCAACGAAAAGGTTTTTGTTTGGGGAAGAAAAACATGTAAGTAAGTTATATGTATCTCTTTCACAGCCATGGTTTTTTTTTTGTTCCACAGAGCAAAAAAAATTTTATATCACTCCAGACTTTTGTTTAATGAATTCATAGACATTTTCGTAATGTTATATACATAATTTTGTTTTACTTTTATCACTTATTTCATATGAATCATGTCTGACATTGGTCACATATTTGTCATTTCCTTTAAATTTAAATTTAATTTTGCAAGTAGTTTAAGCATTTGGTAAGAATAAAAGAAATTCAAACCTATAAATTGGAAAGGAAGTCTTTCATCACTCTGCTGCATGTCCACTTCAGTTCCTCTTGCGTATTTGTTATGAGATCCCAGCGCTTCTCTTTTGTTGGACATTTGTTTTCCATTATTTGCTACTATAAATAGAGACCCTCACAAACAACATTTCTAATCTGTTAAAATATTTGAAGAGTTCTATTTTAGCTAGGTCTCTGAACCACTCCAGCTCTTTGAGTATTTTAGTAATCTCTGCTAACAGTATATATAATATAGTTAGTTCAGTTATAACTTCTGCAAGTTATATTTCTACAGTTCACATTTTACCACATAATATTAATAAAATTATTTAATAAAATTAAGGAATAATTTACTTTTTATCCTAAAAAAGAAAATATTTGAGAAAATTCACAAGAAAAGGAATATAAATCACTGAAAATTATGGAAAAATATTCAACTCATGGATAATTAATAAAGAAAAGGCAAATTGAAATTTAAAAACTTTTGAAAGCTTTTTTTGTTTTTTGCCTCTGAAATTGGTAAAGATTTTAGAAGCTAATTCTCAGTTCTGGCAAATGTTCTATCAAATAGATATTCTCCCACATGGAAGTTGGCTGATAAATTTGTACAACCATGGGCAGTCTTAAAATGTTTGGAGTTTTTTTGGCCAGGCGCGGTGGCTCACGCCTGTAATTCCCAGCACTTTGGGATGCCGAGGCAGGTGGATCACCCGAGGTCAGGAGTTCATGACTAGCCTGGCCAACATGGTGAGACCCTGTCTCTACTAAAAATACAAAAATTAGCAGGGCGTGGTGGTGGGCACCTGTAATCCCAACTACTCGGGAGGCTGAGGCAGGAGAATCGCTTGAACCCGGGAGGTGGAGGTTGCAGTGAGCCGAGATCACGCCATTGCACTCCAGCCTGGGCAACAAAAGCGGAGCTCCGTCTCAAAAAAAAAAAAAAAAGTTTGGAGTTTTAAAAAATTTTATTCATTTATTTTTCTAACACTATCCACCTGGGGATAAAATGTTTGTAGTTTTGATTTTTATTCTACTTTTGAGAACCTATCCTAAAGTAATGCAGAAATAAAGACAGAAAGCTTTATGGTACAAAGTTATTAATCGCAGAATTATTTATAATCACTGGAAAAATTAGAAAATACTTTAGAGAGGAGTGGTTAAGTAAAATATGGTTTACCCATGTAGTAGAATATTATGCACATGATATTTAAATATAATTTTAAACTACATGAAAATAAATGTTTTTTTAAACAATGTAAAATTGTGTATGTGTGTATATATATATATATATTATATATATGTATTTTTTTTAATCTAATTTTGTTTTTTGGAGACAGGGTCTTACTCTGTCACCCAGGCCACTCAGGCTGAAGTGCAGTGGCACAGTCATAGCTCACTGTAACTTCACACTCCTAGGCTCAAGTGATCCTCCCACCCCATCCTCCCATGTAGCTGAGACGACAGGCATGCACCACCATGCCTAGTTGGGTTTTTTTCTTTCTTTTTTTCCTTCTTTCTTTCTTTTTTTTTTTTTTTGAGACAGAGTCTTGTTCTGTTGTCCAGGCTGGAGTGCAGTGGTGCAATCTCGGAATTTTAAAGGTTTTTTGTAAAGACCATATCTTGCTCTGTTGTCCAGGCTAGTCTTGAACTCTAAGCCTCAAGCAATCCACCTGCCTCAGCCTTCCAAAGTGCTGGGCTTACAGGTGTGAGCCACTGTGCCCAGCATTTTAATGAATCTCAACTATGTTAAAGCAACAAAAATAGTTAGAAAATAGATCCCAAAAGGATAATACTTGTTCCTGTAGATTAAGTTCATGGGTGAGTTTTATTTCCTTTTCGTATAGATATGTAGTTTTTTTTTTTTTGTTTTTTTTTTTTTTGAGATGGAGTTTTGCTCTTGTTCCCCAGGCTGGAGTGCAATGGCACAATCTCGGCTCACCACAACCTCTGCCTCCCGGGTTCAGGTGATTCTCCTGCCTCAGTTTCCCGAATAGCTGGGATTACAGGCATGCGCCACCACATCCGAATTTTGCATTTTTAGTAGAGACGGGGTTTCTCCATGTTGGTCAGGCTGGTCTTGTACTCCTGACCTCAGGTGATCCACCCGCCTTGGCCTCCCAAAGTGCTGGGATTACATGCGTGAGCCACCACGCCCGGCCTCATATGTTTTTTTTCCAAAGTTTCTTCAGTGAGTACATAATTAAAAACGAAATTAAATTAACTTGATTGATAAGACGATAGGGGCAGTGGAAGTAAACTTAGCAATGCTCCCCAGACTTCCATGGAGCAGATACACCACAGAAGGGAGTGACCTTGTTTGCTTTGTCCCCTTGACTCTTGCTGCTTGCTTTCCCCTGGCTTCCTTTGTGGCAGCCCAGGGTTGCCTGGGACACTCTGAGAGATGCAGGCCAGGACAAGCCTCGGGCCATTGTATTGTGATGTCCTTATTGTAGTGTTGGCTGGGGAACACAGGTCTTTGGGCAGGTTGATATTAGTTTAGTGGAGCAGCTTAAGTTTCGCTTTGAAGGCTGTTGCTTGGGCAAAGTGTACTCTGCCTTTCAGTGAGCTAATTAAAAACTCCTTCCTTGGGAAGTAGTCTTCATTAGGCTTTAAAAAGGAAAACAGACAAACAGATGCTAATAGATGGTCCTGCTTTTTCACCATTGGTGTTTGTCAACAGCGAGATATTCTTGAAGTTTGCCACCTAAGGGTTCTTCCAGCTTTCCTTATGCCACCAAAAAAGGCCATGTGACAGGACTTGCTTGCCAAGGAGAAAGAAGGATCAGTGCTATCAGAAGGTATTCAAGCATGATTAAGAGCCCAGGCTGCTCTCATGTTAGACAGATCTGGTGGCTAATCCCAGCTCCACTGTCTCCTGGCTCTATCACCTTGGGCAAGTCACTTAACAATTCTAAGCCTCAGTTTCCTTATCTGCAGCATGGGGATGAAAGAGTGTCTGCCTTATAGAGTGAATATAAAGAATGAATGGTATGGAGGCGTGTAATAACTGCTCAGATGGTATTGGTTGCTATTTTTAATAGTATCCTCCCTTTTAAAAGATCCCTCAGATCACTCGAGCCCAGGAGTTTGAGTGTAGTGAACTATGACCGCGTCACTGAGCTCCAATCTAGGCAACAGAGTGAGACCATGTAAAAAAAATTAAAAAATAAAAGAGACCTCATGATTGTTAGCATCCTTATAGGCCTTATAGGGAGACCTGGGAGGTTTCAATGAGGTTCTCTTCCTGGAGCCTAGCCTTAGAGGAACAATGGAAGAGTGATGATCCTGAGGCCTGGTGATCCCATCACTTCGAGTTGAGGTTCCTGTAGGCCAAAGCCCTGCCAATGGAAGGAGTCATAGAGGACTCAAGGACTCAGTTTTTGTCAGGTCAACCCAACTTCAAAGCCTGCTTATTCTAATTACCAGCTCTGTAGCCTTGAGCAAATCATGCAGCCTCAAGAGCCTCAGTTTGATCCCAGAATATCTACCTCCTAGAGATAGTGGAGGAATAAATAAGAAATATAAAATGCTTAGCGTGCTTCCTTAGCAGAATCCACTCAATAACTAGTTGCTCTGCCTATTGTTATTTTTATGGTGCTTGATTGAGATCAAGAGGGTGGCCCAGTGATGCAGTCAGAACATGGGGTCTGAAGTAAAACCATTTGGTTTAAATCCTATTGCTCTCATTCACTAGTTTCGTGACCCCAGACAAATAACTTCTCTGTCTTTCAGTTTCATTATCTGTAAAATGGGGACAGTAATTGTACCCACTTCATGGAATTATTGAGAAGACTAAATGGCTTAAGGCAAGTAAAGTGCTTACAGTCATGGCTGGAACAGAGTAAGTGCTCAATAAATTATCATCGTTATCACTGATATGTACGGATTGCTCTGAGAGAGGCTGCCCCGTTAAAAGAACACACTTGGCAAGGAATGTAATACATTGGCCCTGCCCCCAGGATCTCCTCCTCCTCCTGGGCAGTCTCACTTGTTGCCCCACACCCTGGTGCAACTTCCTTTTCTGATAGTCCTGTGGGACCTGAGCCCTTTTGACTACATTCCAGTGCGTTTCTGCCTGTCTTGGTATAGATCATCACCTGTGACCCAATCTCTTTATTCTCTGATTACTCCACTTGAAGTCCCTGTCCTGAACCAGTCCCCATGGCCCCACCTCATTACATTCCTGCTCACTCCTGTAGCTGTGCCACCCACCCAGGCCCAGATCGCTGTGAGGTGCAGTCCCTGGAGGCAAAGTATTACCCCCGGTCTTGCTGAGGCTTTTGGCCCCCACCCTGACACAAATAGAGAGTTAGAAAACATAACATATTCAAAGCTAGATTGAGTAGATAATGAAATTTCCTGATACTACAGCCAATGTACATACACATTTGACTGATTTACTCTAATATCCCTAGGATAAGGCTAAATATCAAGGCTTATATAGAAAGCCTAGTGCCTGTGCATCTGGGCTGCCCTAGCAAATGGTAGGTTATATCATTTTGGGGTAAAACTCTTAGTCCTCTTGGCACAGTTCCTTCTGGTTAGGCCAGCGTGATGCCCTAGCTCTTGCCCACATGAGGCTGCCATTTCAGACATGATTTCAGGTATCCTGTCTGGGCCTGTAGGTAGATGTTTTTGGATGACTGTGCAAGCTTAGCCCTCCGTGATCTGACTCCTACCTGCTTGCTGAGACTTTTTGGATTGTAACTTTTTTTTTGTTTTTGTTTTTTTTGAGACGGACTCTTGCTGTGTCTCCCAGGCTGGAGTGCAGTGGCGTGATCTCGGCTCACTGCAACCTCCACCTCTCAGGTTCAAGAGATTCTCCTGCCTCAGCCTCCCGAATAGCTGGGACTACATGCGCCCGCCACCACATCCGGCTAATTTTTGTATTTTTAGTAGAGATGGGGCTTCACCATATTGGCCAGGCTGGTCTCGAACTCCTGACCTTGTGATCCACCCTCCTCGGCCTCCCAAAGTGCTGAGATTACAGGGGTGAGCCACCACGCCCAGCCGGATTGTAACTTTTTATTGAAGTATGACATATATACGGAAAAATGTATAACTCATTAGTGTACAGATACGTGAATTTTCACGAAACGTTGAGTAACCAGCACCCAGATTAAGGAAGAGTGGTACCAGCATCCACGGGAGCCCCTTTTGTGTTCTCTTTCCTGTCACTCCTCCCAGCTCTTGCCCTGTTTTGGCTATATTGAGCTAATTACAGTACACACAGCCCCACCCCAGCACACCATTCTCTCTTGCCCTCCAACCTGTGCACAGCCTTGGACTGCCCAGCCTCACCTACTCATTGTTCAAAACTCAGGTGTCAGCTTCCCCTGATGGGCTAGGTCTGCTTCCTTTGTACTTTCCTCCTGTATTTTGTAATTGTTTACTGGGAGCTCCCTGAGGACAGAGACTATCTGAGTCACCAGGTTTCCTGGCACCCATCACACTCTTCGTATAGAGCAAACTCCAGAAATGTTTGCTTATTGCACAGTTTGTTTAAAATATTTGAAGTCACTTCTCACTTTCCTTGATCTTCTCTGACTCTGCCCCAAGCACATATCATTCCTCCTCTGCCTTCCTAACTCCTTTTTACCCCTTCAAGCTTTTTTCAAAACACATAGCCCTTTCTGAGTCTCCTGCCTGCCTCCATACTCACCCTCACTTTTGCTCCGGCTGTGCGTCCGCCCTGTCCACACCTGTCCCAGCATCCCACACTCAGACTTCCCACACACCAACCTACTGACTGTTGCAGCACTGTGTTTCTGCCCCCAGACTGCAGGCCTCAGCCATGCAATAGTTTACTCCACAGAGAGCATTCTCTGTGCCAGCCCTCTGCCACAACAAACCCTCAACCACTATTCTTCAGGCTCTGCTTTATTTGAGTTAGATTTATTTTGTGCTTTGCCTGTGTTCATGACTCTGTGTATTACACTTCATAAGTTTTTCTTCCTCAAGAACATTGGTTTCCTTTAATATTCTCATATTTTTAAAAAGGATTTCATATGTATTGCTGAATGATATTCATTCATTCATTTCTTCATTTGTTCATTTATCACATGTGCCAGGAACTGTACTAGGTGCTGGAGAGCCAAAGTTAAGATAAATGTGTTGCCCTTGAGAAACTCACAGAGAAATGGGGAGAGAGAGAAACATATGCAGATTATTATAAGATAGCATCAGTATTAGGCTTATTAACACAGGGATTAAGAGTGGGTACCGGAGTCAGCTATGTGGTTTTGGTCACATTACTGAAGCTTTCTGTTTCTGTCTTGATTTCTTGACCTGTAAAATGGGTAGAATGTGTGGTTTTTATCTCAGTAAAGCTGTTCTAAGAAGCAGAAATAGAGCTTTCACAGGGCTGTTGTGATGTTTCCTGAGGACCTTTTTGAGTCAGGAACTGTTTTTTTTGTTTTTTTTTTTTTGTTTTTTTTTTGTTTTTTTTTAGGTGGAGTCTTGCTGTGTCGCGTGCAGTGGCGCGATCTCGGCTCACTGCAAGCTCTGCCTCCCGGGTTCACGCCATTCTCCTGCCTCAGCCTCCCGAGTAGCTGGGACTATAGGCTCCCACCACCATGCCCGGCTAATTTTTTGTATTTTTAGTAGAAACAGGGTTTCACCGTGTTAGTCAGGATGGTCTCGATCTCCCGACCTCGTGATCCGCCCGCCTCAGCCTCCCAAAGTGCTGGGATTACAGGCATGAGCCACCGCGCCTGTCCAAGTCAGGAACTGTTCTTGATGCAGAGGATACAGTACAGTGCCTGGCACCTAGCAAGTGATCCATAAATGTCAACTATAATCAACGGTTGTTACCACCTTTGCTTGGGCTCATAGACAAAGTGACCTTTCACCTGGCTATCAAACGAATGCTTTCTACTAGAAAGCGGGCAGAGAAGGATGGCTTGGGCAGAAGGAATAGCCTAAGAACAGACACAGAAGAATGAAACAGCATGATGTTTTCAGAAATTGGGAATAGTCCAGTGTAGCTGGAGGACAGGGCGTGTGTGGAAGAGTGGTGAGAGGTGAAACTGGAGAAATGAGACCCAGTGGTGAAGGGTCTTGTTTGCTGTTGGAGTTTAGACTTAACCTGATAGATGAAATGGAACCATCAGAAGTCTTTAAAGACTGGCTAGCCACAATCTAAACTGTTTTAGAAGGTTCCTTTGGTGCTTCTGTAGATGGACTTGGATGGGAGGTGGTTGGGAGACCGCTAAGGAGGAGGGGGAAAAGCTGCTGGAGAGAGATGACAAGAGCAAGAACTGAAAGGATAAATGCTCCAGGGGTGGATCCACAGGGCTTGGTGACTGGTGGAAGGAAGAACATGGGAGCTGAAGGGTGAAGGGTTGCCAGGGTATCTGGCTAGATGTTGATGCCAGTTACTGACAAAGAATAGCAGGAGGAACAGATTTTTCCTTCCCAAAGACTACTTCAGTCTATGGAAGGAAGACTGCTTCTTCCTGATCCTAGGAGCAAGTATTCTAAAACTCACAAGTCCATTTGGCTAGGCTGTGAGCCTCTTTTTCTCTCTTGGGCCTCATAAACAGTCAGTTTCAGACAAGCAATTATTAACCTCAGGCAATTAGGGCAAGAGATGGCTGTGTTGATTTCACTCCTTGTGTCTCCTCTGGGAGAGACAGGAGAAAGTCATGTGTTTGTTTTCACCATGCTATAGGAATGGATGGAGTTGGAGCATTAGCCTCCATCCTCTAGTAACAGACACATGGGCCTCTTCTCTCGCCTGCTTTCAATCCGTAGAGAACCAGGTTAAGTTAAAAAGTTATTTTCAGTGTTTTCCCTCTCTTGGCCAGTTTCCCACCAAAAAATCATTCAGATTTTTGACCCAATCAAAGAATCAATCCCTAGCCCACCCTAGCTGTTGGGCTCCAGAACAGCACCTTTCCTACTACTGCCACTGCCCTATCCCAGAGTGACCTGGTTCTGAGTTTAGAGTCTGTGGCTCAGCAGATGTGTGCTTGCCACTGCTGGTGTCACAGCTTAGCTGGGCGTGATCCTGTTCCTACACAGTCATATTTATGAGTACCCTGGATACAGGACATCATGACTGGCACTGTCAATATGGCGAGACAGCCCCCCTTCCCATAGAATTCTGTCCTATTACTTCTAGCTTCTCTCTTTCTCTGCCTCCCTTCTACTTTCTGTCAACTAGGGTTGTTCTAGCTGGTGAGTTTCCTTGGTTTGAAGAATAAAGCACACAAAGTTCTTTTCTCTCCACTCTCTCGTCTGTGACATTGTCACATTTATAACCGTCTGTCCTCCAAGGTAGTTTTTAGATGTTTCAAGTATACAGACCACTTTGGTGGTGAAAGATCTCATCAATAATCTCTTCCTGTTTGTCTCTAGAGCTGGATTAGCAGAGGGGTAAAACTCCTTGGACTGGAGTGACTAGTTCCTCCTTTTATGAAACACCATTGAGAGGATGTGTTATTTTTATTTTTTTATTTGAAACAGGGTCTTACTCTGTCACCCAGGCTGGAGTGCAGTGGTTCAGTCTTAGCTCACTGCAGCCTCAACCTCTAGGGCTTAAGTGATCCTCCCACCTCAGCCTCCTAAGTAGCTGGGACCACAGGTGTGTAACACCACACCCAGCTTATTTTTTTATTTTTATTTTTGTAGAGATGGGGTTTTACTATGTTGCCCAAGCTAGTCTGTAACTCCTGGGTTCAAACAGTCCTCCCACCTTTGCCTTTCAAAGTGCTGGGATTACATTTGTGAACCACCATGCCCCGCCTGTTATTTTCAGTAAATAGTTGACCCCACACTAATGAGAGTGAGCATGGGTATTGTCATTTTAAAAAACATCATTACAAGACACCTGTTGGGCTTTATATCTTGGACCATCAGTTGCATCCTACTGATTTCTGGGCCACTTGGAAACTCCTGTTGTAAACTAGGGCTCTCTATCCTTAGTTTTAGAGTATCCTGTTGTCTTAAGCCATCTGAAAGGGAATAGCTATTTTTTCAAAGAAATTAGCTTTTTTCTAATGACAAAAACAAAGCATGTTCATTTTAGAAAGTTTAAAAAATGCAGTGAAGCAAAAATGAAAAATTGTTCATAATTCCACTACCCAGAGATAACCACTATAAACTTTGTGGCCTTAGGTTTTAGTCTTCTATTTATTTATTTTATTTTTTTTGGTAGTCCGAGACTGGGCAATTTACGAAAGAAAGAGGT
Source organism: Homo sapiens (assembly GCF_000001405.40). Classification (NCBI taxonomy): domain Eukaryota; kingdom Metazoa; phylum Chordata; class Mammalia; order Primates; family Hominidae; genus Homo; species Homo sapiens. The sequence continues at coordinate 34,618,055 of NC_000020.11, read as the reverse complement.
TTAATTGAACTTATAGTTCCACATGGCTGGGGAAGGTCTCACAATCATGGTGGAGGGCAAAAGGCATTTCTTACATGGTGGTGGCAAGAGAGAATGAGGAAAAAGCAAAAGCGGAAACCCCTGATAAACCATTAGATCTTGTGAGACTCATTCACTATTACGAGAATAGCATGGGAAAGACCAGCAACTCCCATGATTCAATTACCTTCCCCTGGGTCCCTCCCACATTACATGGGAATTCTGGGAGATACAATTCAAGTTGAGATTTGGGTGAGGACACAGCCAAACCATATCATTCTGCCTCAGCCCCTCCAAATCTCATGTCCTCACATTTCAAAACCAATCATGCCCTTCCAACAGTCCCCCAAAGTCTTAACTCATTTCAGCATTAACCCAAAAGTGCACAGCCCAAAGTCTCATCTGAGACAAGGCAAGTGCCTTCCGCCTGTGAGCCTGTAAAATCAAAAGCAAATTAGTTACTTCCTAGATACAATGGGGGTATAGGCATTGGGTAAATACATCCGTTACAAATAGGAGAAATTGGCCAAACCAAAGGGGCTACAGGCCTCATGCAAGTTGGAAATCCAGCAGGGCAGACAAATCTTAAAGTTCCAAAATGATCTTCTTTGACTCCATGTCTCACATCTGGGTCATGCTGATGTAAGAGGGGGGTTCCCATGGTCTTGGGCAGCTCCACCCTTGTGGCTTTGCAGGGTATAGCCTCCCTCTCAGCTGCTTTCACAGGCTGGTGTTGAGTGTCTGTGGCTTTTCCAGGCCCACGGTGCAAGCTGTCGGTGGATCTACCATTCTGGAATCTGGAGGACAGTGACCCTCTTCTCAGCTCCACTGGGTGGTGCCCCAGTAGGGACTCTGTGTGGGGGCTCCGACCCCACATTTCGCTTCCGCATTGCCCTAGCAGAGGTTCTCCATGAGGGCTCCGCCCCCTACTGCAAACTTTTGCCTGGACACCCAGGCTGGAGTGCTGTGGTACAATCTCAGCTCACTGCAACCTCTGCCTCCCAGTTTCAAGCAATTCTTCTGCCTCAGCCTCCTGAGTAGCTGGGATTACAGGTCACCACCACTACGCCTGGCTAATGTTTGTATTTTTAGTAGAGACGAGGTTTCACCATGTTGGCTAGGCTGGTCTCGAACTCCTGATCTTGATCTGCCTGACTCGGCCTCTCGAAGTGCTGGGATTATAGGCGTGAGTTACTTTGCCTGCTGGCTTTTCGTCTTTTAAAAAATGTTTGTGCATTTTTTTTTTATAAAATAAATGATAATATATGTCTCTTTTATAAACTTCATTTAATAGGATATTATAAACACCTTTCTAAGTCATTGCAAATTCTTAATAGCCTCATGTTTAATGATTCCATAGTAGTCCATTTTATATAGGAAGTGAGGACATTACTAACAAAATTAATATACTTTCATTTGAAAAGAAAAAACGTGACCTAAATTGATGCAGCAGGTAAGGAAGGGCTGTTGTAAAGAGTGATAATGTTGCAACAGTCAAAGGGATGGGTTTCCAGCTCTGGATATCATAAGCAATAATTGTAGGCTTAATAAATTGGTACATTAGATAGGACATGGATGTTAATAGACTTGATCCCTTTATACATCTTCGGGTTGAAATTTTGTAAAATCGTTCTGGGTCTCAAAATTTTATAAGAATTATGCCTGTAGTGTCTCAGGTTGCCAAAGGTAGATGGTTTTGACTTTCTTGGTTTCCTTTCATTGGAAATCAAGCCAAGAAGCTCTTACTGTGTGAATTTGCATAGCACCTTGTGTACCAGGAGGCACTTGGCAGGTGATTATTTGAGCAGTTATGGAAAGTTTTGTGTTGAGAGGGACTTGCTGAGTCTAATCATGATTGATGAGGCTGGATTATTCCATACATTTCTTTCTTTTTACAGGCAGTGCTTTCCTCAGTGCTATTTTTCTTGCCTTAGCGACATACCAGTCTCTGTACCCACTCACCTTGTTTGTCCCAGGACTCCTCTATCTCCTCCAGGTAAGCACTTGCTGGTCAGAAGCCAGCACCCAAGTGACATTTAATACATGGCCTGGTCCCTGCTGGGGGAAAGGAAGGGCACGGGTTAGTAAAGGCAGTGGGAAGCTTGCTCCCAGTTGAAAATATAAACACATAGAAACTTGACTAACTTTAAACAAAGTGGACTTAATTATCATTAAGTCCCAACTACAGTAGACCTCCCCATGTCTGCAGGGGATATGTTCTAAAGCCCCTAATGGAGGCCTGAAACTGCATTTGGTACTGAACCCTACGTATACTATGTTTTTTCTGTCGAATAACTGAGACAACTACTAAGTGACTAACAGGCAGGGATACACTAGACAAAGGGGTGATTCATGTCTCGAGTGGGACAGAGCAGGACGGCGTGAGATTTCATCACACTACTCAGAATGGTGTACAATTTAAAACTTATGAATTGTTTGTTTCTGGAATTTTCCATTTAAGGACCACAGTTGACAACAGGTAACTGAAACCATGAAAAGTGAAACCTCAGATAAGGGGGGCACTACTATATGCATATCCTTGGGAATGTATAAGTGCATTTTATTTTACATATTTGCAAACGCAACTATCTTGCAGTTTTCTTTTCTCAACTAGTGATCCCCTCTGAGCTCATTTCTTTAACTTTTCTTTATAATAACACTCACCTTGTAAGATTCTTATAGGACTTAAATGGAGTATGTGCATCTGAAACAATGCTTGGAACATAGTGGCTGATCAATAAACATTAATTGAAGAATGCAAATTGCTGACATTTACTGAGAATGGATTACATGTCAGGCACCATGCTAAGCACTCTGTAGGCATCGTCTCATTTTAACCTCATAAGAACTTTATGGAGTAGGTCATATTATTAGCCAAATATTAGTCTAGTGTTAGCCATATTAGACAAATGAATTGAAACTAGAATGTTGGGAGGTTAAGTCACTTAAGGTCACAGGACCAGCGAATGACATTGCTAAGATATGAACCATGGCCATCTGATGCCAGAGCGTGCTCTCTAATCATCTTGTTCTACTCAAATGAGAATAGTACATACATGTTTCTTCAAGAGGAAGTAACTGCATGCAGGCCCCACATGGTCCAAATCCATTCTTACAAGATAAATGTTTCTTGAAAGTGTACAGGTGGCAGTGCCAGAAATGTCTGATTTCAGAGCCTTTCTTAATCACAAGCACTGCTAAAGCTGAGTGTGTATTCCATTTATTGAAATAGGCCATATGCATGTTATTTTAAGTGATTTTATAATATTGTGTTGATGCAGACAATGATTCATGGTTTGCTTGATCTTTTTCTTATTTGGGGAATTTGAGATATGTCTTTATTTATGTTTGAGATATGTCATTTATATTGTCACTAATATAAATAACGTAGAAATTTTTTTTTTTTTTTTTTGAGAGCAGGTCCTTGCTCTGTCACCCAGGCTGGAGTGCAGTGGCACAATCTCAGCTCACTGCAGCCTCCATCTCCCAGGCTCAATCGATCGTCTCACCTTAGTCTCCTGAGTAACTGGGACTACAGGTGTGTGCCACCACACCCGGCTAATTTTTTGTAGAGATGGGGTTTCGCCATGTTGCCCAGACTGGTCTCGAATTCTTGGGTTCACGCAATCCATCCACCCACCCACTTTGGTCTCCCAAAGTGCTAGGTTTATAGGAATGAGCCACTTCACCCAGCCAGAAATTTGTTTTTATTTGTTTTCTTTTTCTTTTTCTTATTTTTGAGACAGTGTCTCACTCTGTTGCCCAGGATGGGATGTGCAGTGCCGCAGTCACGGTTCACTGCACCCTCAACCTCCCGGGCACAAGCAATCCTTTCACCTCACCCTCCCAAGTAACTGGGACTGCAGGCATGCACCACCACACCCAGCTAATTTTTGTATTTTTTTGTAGAGACAGGGCTTTGCCATGTTGCTCAGGCTGCTCTCAAACTCCTAGGTTCAAGCGATCCTTCTGCCTTGGCCTCCCAAAGTGCTGGGATTACAGGTGTGAGCCACTGTGCCCAGCTTGAAATTATTTTCTTCAAGTATGTTGCTTTAGCTAAATCACTGGACCCAAGGTGAAAAGTCGTATTGTTCTTATTAGGCAATTATACCAGATTGTTCACCAGAAAGCCTGAGCCAGTTTGCAGTGCCACCATCAGTATCTAAAGAGAAGTGGACCACTTACCTCCTCATCTGCCAGCACTGACTTTTCAAGTTTGATTTATGATTGCCAGTTCAGTAGATGTGTCACCATACAGTGAAGTTATTTTGCTTTGATTTTCTTTCTGTATTCTTGCTGAGTTGAAGCATTTTTCCACATAACAATGTGCTGCTTGTATTTTCTTTTTTATTTCCTATTTATGGCTTATTCTTTAGAAAGTCTAAGCACTAAGAATATATATAGCCAGACTTTTTATACAACTATGTATCAAATAAATAATATAGTATATTCATACACATGGATGGACCAGAAATTTAAAAATGGTTTCTGAGCTTGTCCAACCTGCAAAAAATGAATAAGTAAATAAAAGAAGATAAAAATGGTTTCTTAAGCCAATCTCTATGCACCACTTTATATAAAACAACTTTTGTTTAAAACTAAAGGAAATTTCCTCCTGACACTAGTGGACAGTACAACTGACTCATTAAGTCAAGCAGCTCCTCTACCAATATTTACTAAGTACCTATAGTGTGCTAGATACTATGCCAGACTGCAGACATAAAGCAATTGAAGGATGCTGAGCAGGTGAGTGCTCCAGGAAGATTGCTTTGGCAGCAGCTTGTCGGGTAGATGGGAGTAGGAAGAGCTGAAGTTGGGAAAGCTTAGAACATTGTACTAGATCAAGTCAGAGGGGTAAACTGGGGGCCCAAACCAGTGTCAGAGGAGATGGAGAGATGAGAGACTAGATGCAGGGGAATTCTAGGAGGTAGAATTGGCTGTGCTTGGTAACCGTCTGTATGTGGGGGACAGGAGCGGAAGGAGTTTGAGATGAACTTCAGGATCCCATTTATGCAGAAATTAAAACTCCATTTCCTACTATATTTGTATATTTTTTATAAATATATGAAGTAGCCTGGTGTATTAGTCCATTCTTACGCTGCTATGAACTGCCTGAGCCAGGCGTGGTAGCTTACACCTGTAATCTCAGTACTTTGGGAGGCTGAGGCAAGTGGACCACTTGAGGTCAGGAGTTTGAGACCAGCCTGGCCAACATGACGAAACCTTGTCTCTACTAAAACTACAAAAATTAGCCAGACATGGGGGAGTGTTCCTGTAATTCCAGCTACTCGGGAGGCAGAGGCAGGAACATTGCTTGAACCCGAGAGGCAGAGGTTGCAGGAGCCTAGATCGCACCACCGCATTCCAGCCTGGGTGATGAAGTGACACTCTGTCTCAAAAAAAGAAAAAAAAAAAAAAGAAAAGGAAAGAAAAAGAACTGCCCGAGACTTGGTTATTTATTTATTTATTTGTTTTTGCTGATGGTACATGAAATAATTTTTTTTTAAATTTTACTTTAAGTTCTGGAATACATGTGCTGAATGCGCAGGTTTGTTACATAGGTATAACAAACCTATGTAATGTGCCATGGTGTGCTGCACGTATCAACCCATCATCTAGGTTTTAAGCCCCACATGCATTAGGTATTTGTCCTAACGCTCTCCCACACCTTGTCCCCCACCCCATGACAGGCCCCAGTGTGTGATGTTCACCTCCCTGTGTCCATGTGTTCCCATTGTTCAACTCCCACTTATGAGTAAGAACATGCGATGTTTGGTTTTCGGTTCCTGTGTTAGTTTGCTAAGGATGATGGTTTCCAGCTTCATCCATGTCCCTGCAAAGGACGTGAACTCCTTTTTTATGGCTGCATAGTATTCCATGGTGTATATATGCCACATTTTCTTTATCCAGTCTCATTGCTGGGCATTTGGGTTGGTTCTAAGTCTTTGCTATTGTAAGTAGTGCTGCAGTAAACATACGTGTGCATATATCTTTATAGTAGAATGCTTTATAATCCTTTGGGTATATATCCAGTAATGGGATTGCTGGGTCAAATGGTATTTCTGGCTCTAATCCTTGAGGAATCGCCACACTGTCTTCCACAATGGTTGAACTAATTTACATTCCCACCAAAAATGTAAAAGCATTCCTATTTTTCCGCATCCTTGCCAGCATCTGTTTTTCCAGACTTTAATGATCGCCATTCCAGCTGGCGTGAGATGGTATCTTATTGTGGTTTTGATTTGCATGTCTCTAATGACCAGTGATGATGAGCTTTTTTCATGTTTCTTGGCCACATAAATCTCTTCTTTTGAGAAGTGTCTGTTCATATCCTTTGCCCACTTTTTGATGTTTGGTTTTTTTTTTTTTGTCTTTTTTTTTTTTTTTTTCTGAGACTTGAGTCTTGCTCTGTTGCCCAGGCTGGAGTGCAGTGACACAATCTCAGCTCACTGCAACCTCTGCCTCCCAGGTTCAAGCGATTCTCCTGCCTCAGCCTCCCAAGTAGCTGGGACTGCAGGCACGTGCCACCATGCCTGGCTCATTTTTTGTATTTTTAGTAGAGACGGGGTTTCACCATGTTAGCCAGGATGGTCTCAATCTCCTGACCTCATGATCTGCCTGCCTCAGCCTCCCAAAGTGCTGAGATTACAGGCATAAGCCACCGCACCTGGCCTGTTTTTTTTCTTGTAAATTTAAGTTCCTTGTAGATTCTGGATATTAGACCTTTGTCAGATGGATAGATTGCAAAAATTTTCTCCCATTCTGTAGGTTGCCTGTTCACTCTGATGATAGTTTCTTTTGCTGTGCAGAAGCTCTTTAGTTTAATTAGATCCCATTTGTCAATTTTGGCTTTCGTTGCAATTGCTTTTGGTGTTTTAGTCATGAAGTCTTTGCCCATGCCTATGTCCTGAATGGTACTGCCTAGGTTTTCTTCTAGGGTTTATGGTTTTAGGTTTTACGTATAAGTCTTTAATCCATCTGGAGTTAATTTTTGTATAAGGTGTAACAAAGGGGTCCAGTTTCTGTTTTCTGCGTATGGCTAGCCAGTTTCCCCAGCACCATTTATTAAATAGGGAATCCTTTCCCCATTGCTTGTTTTTGTCAGGTTTATCAAAGATCAGGTGGTTGTAGATGTGTGGTATTATTTCTGAGGCCTCTGTTCTGTTCCATTGGTCTATATCTCTGTTTTGGTAGCAGTAGCATGCTGTTTTGGGTGCTGTAGCCTTGCAGTATCGTTTGAAGTCAGGTAGCTTGTTGCCTCCAACTTTGTTCTTTTTGCTTAGGATTGTCTTGGCTACACAGGCTCTTTTGGGGTTCCATATGAAATTTAAAGTAGTTTTTTCTAGTTCTGTGAAGAAAGTCAATGGTAGCTTGATGGGAATAGCATTGAATCTATAAATTACTTTGGGCAGTATGACCATTTTCATGATATTGATTCTTCCTATCCATGAACAAGGAATTTTTTTCCATTTGTTTGTGTCCTCTCTTATTTCCTTGAGCAGTGGTTTGCAGTCCTCCTTGAAGAGGTCCTTCACATCCCTTGTAAGTTGTATTCTTAGATATTTTATTCTCATTGTAGCAATTGTGAATGGGCGTTCACTCATGATTTGGCGCTTTGCTTGTCTATAATTGGTATATAGGAATGCTTGTGATTTTTGCACATTGATTTTGTATCCTGAGACTTTGTTGAAGTTGTTTATGAGCTTAAGGAGTTTTTGGGCTGAGACGGTGGGGTTTTCTAAATATACACTCATGTCATCTGCAAACAGAGACAATTTGACTTCCTCTTTTCCTATTTGAATACGCTTTATTTCTTTCTCTTGCCTGATTGCTCTGGCCAGAACTTCTAATACTATGTTGAATAGGAGTGGTAAGAGAGGGCATCCTTGTCTTGTGCCAGTTTTCAAAGGGAATGCTTCCAGCTTTTGTCCATTCAGTATGATATTGAGACTTGGTAATTTACAAAGGAAAGAGGTTTAATTGACTCACAGTTCCACATGGCTGGGGAGGCCTCAGGAAACTTACAAATATAGCCGAAGGGGAAGCAAACACGTCCACCTTCACATGATGGCAGGAAGGAGAGGTGCCAAGCAAAGAGGGAAAAGACCCTTATAAAACCATCAGATCCTGTGAGAACTCACTCACTATCAGGAGAACAGCAGCATTGGGGGTAACCATCCCCATGATTCAATTACCTCCCACCGGGTCCCTCTCATGACATGAGGGGATTATGGGAACAACAATTCAAGATGAGATTTGAATGGGGACACAGCCAAATTATATCACCTGGGCCTTGTGGGTCATGGTAGGGTATTTGAAGATCAGTGTAGTCACATCCAGGAAACAAAACCATCTGTTTAAATATGAAGGAGGAGCCAGGTGTAATGGCTCATGTCTGTAATCCCAGCACTTTGGGAGGCCAAGGTGGGTGGATCACCTGAGGTTAGGAGTTCGAGACAAGCCTGGCCAACATAGTGAAACCGCGTCTCTACTAAAAGTACAAAAATTAGCTAGGCATGGTGACATGTGCCTGCAGTCCTAGCTACTCAGGAGGCTGAGGCAAGAGAATTGCTTGAACGCGGAAGGTGGAGGTTGCAGTGAGCCGAGATTGCGCCACTGCACTCAAGCCTGGGTGACAGAGTGAGACTCTATCTCAAAAACAAAAAAAAAACAAAAAAGGTGAAAAAAAGTGAAGGTGGAAACAGAAGAGGAAATATTCTTTTTTGTTTTGTAACAGGGTCTTACTCTGTCAACTAGGTTGGAGTGCAGTGCTGTGAACATGGCTCACTGCAGCCTAGACCTCCTGGGTTCAAGCAGTCCCCCTGCCTCAGCCTACTGAGTAGCTGGGACTACAGTCATGTGCCACCATGGCTGGCTTGTTTTTTGTTTTTTGTTTGTTTGGTTGGTTGGTTGGTTTTTTTTTAGAGACAGGGTCTCACTTTGTTGCCCGGGCTGGTCTTGAATTCTTGAGCTACAGCAATCCTCCCGCCTCAGCCTCCCAAAGTGCTGGGATTAGGCTGAGCCACCACAACCAGCCTAAAATTATTCTTTAGGGCTGAGTTTCTGCCAGACTACTAAGTGGACCCTTTAGAGTTGAGTTTCACAGGGATCCATAGGCTCCAAGGAGAGAAGCTAGAACTAATGGTTAGGTGGTACAAGAAGCTTAGTATAAGGTAGTTCTGTGACAGAATGAGATGTCCTAAGTGAGGTCAGTTCCCTGTGAATCATGGTGTTTAGGCCAGAGGCTGAATGGCCACTTGCTGGGGAGTTGTAGCAAAGCTGTAAGTGCCAGAGTGAGTGGCTGTACCCTGATCGGCTTCAGAATGCTTTCTACTTCCAAATCAAAATGGATTTGATAACCTCTAGGAGCTGACACATCTGCTCTTGACATTATCTTTTTCTCTGAGTTTTTTTCAAGCCCTCTGTAGGCATAGCCCTCTAGGAAAGGTTGTCTAATGTAGTATGTAAGAGCACAGCTTGACTGGGACATCTTGTTACAACAACAAAAAAAAGCAAAATAGTCCTCAAAGTCTTAACAGGACTAAGTCAGAAAAACACTGGTACCAGCTGAAAGGGGCTCATACCACCCAAATTTGGGAATTTCTGAGCATCAAAAGAATGACAACAAGTAATTATAAAACACTGGATAAAAATCCATGTGTTTGGCTGGGCACGGTGGCTCACGCCTATATTCCCAGCACTTTGGGAGGCCAAGGCAGGTGGATCACTTGAAGTCAGTAGTTCCAGACCAGCCTGGACAACATGGTGAAACTCCTTCTCTACTGAAAATACAAAATGAGCCAGGCATGGTGGTGGGTGCCTGTAATGCCAGCTACTTGGGAGGCTGAGGCACGAGAATCGCTTGAACCTGGGAGGCAGAGGTTGCAGTGAGCCGAGATCGCACCACTGCACTCCAGCCTGGGCCACAGTGCAAGATTCTTGTCTCAAAAAAAAAAAAAAAAAAAAGTCATGTCTCCATAGTGATGCTCACTAAAAGGGCAAGAAGAGAAAAAATACATAGACCATCATCAGATGTGGCTATTTTACCAGTTTCTCACTCTGAAAGTAAATAATTAAAAGGAAAGAACTAAGCAATTACTCTGCCTTTTAAAAAGGAATTATAGCTGGGTGCAGTGGCTCACACCTATAGTCCCAGCACTTAGGGAGGCTGAGGCAGGAGGATCACTTGATCCCAGGAGTTTAAGACCAGTCTGGGCACAACTCTGTGCAGTCCCATGGCACAGACTCTGTGCACAACTCTGTGCAGTCCCACAGCAATGTCTAGTGGGGTACTCATGATCCCTGGAGCCACAGAAGTTGTTTGTTACACTGTGCTCTTTCAGCTTTGCCATCCTCTGATGGCTTAAGCATTTCACATCTCAGTATGACAGCCCTCTGTATCCCAACCTCTTGTTTGGCATCCAGGAGGTATCAGGTTGCACAAATGAATTGGAGATGGTAAATGCAGGGGATTTTATTGCTGATGAAAGTGGCTGTCAATGGGATGGAGAGCTGGAAAGGGGATGGAGCAGGAAGGTGGTCTTCCCCTCAGTTCGGTCATTCCTGGCTGAACTCTTCTCCGAGGTCCCGCCATCAAGGTGTCCGTCTGAAATCAAGCTGCTTCCCTCTGACTTCTGGCTGCTGCTTCTCTCTCCCTCTCTGCCACTCCACTGCCAGTGGAGCCTGGGGTTTTTATGAGTACAGGATGCGGGGCAGGCCAGGCCAGGGTGGTTTTGGAAAAGGCAACAGGGATGTGAAGTTCTCACTTTAGGTCAGGGGTCCAGGCTTGAGGGTGGGGCCGTCGCCAGGAACGGCCCTTTTCTACCTGCCTCTTGTGCATATCACATGGATGCTAAAATCACTGGGTGAATGGTTTTTAGAGAACAATGTATTTGCATTTGCATTGTGTCAAAACATTATTCCCTAGTCCCCACCCTCTAGATTCTTTGCTAATAGCAAAGGGAAAAATACATATTTATGGCCGGGCATGGTGGCTCACGCCTGTAATCCCAACACTTTGGGAGGCCGAGGCGGGTGGATCACGAGGTCAGTTGTTCAAGACTAGCCTGGCCAAGGTGGTGAAACCCTGTCTCTACTAATAATACAAAAATTAGCCAGGCTTGGTGGTGGGTGCCTGTAATCCCAGCTACTCAGGAGGCTGAGGCAGAGAATTGCTTGAACCCGGGAGACGGAGGTTGCAGTGAGCTGAGATCACACCAGTGCACTCCAGCCTGGGTGACAGAGTAAGAGACTGTCTCAAAAACAAACGAAACAAAACAAACAAACAAAAATCTTTACAAAGGCATATTCTGTAGCTAAGTAATCCAACTCTTATCACTTATAGTGGAACAACTTGACATGATATATATAGTGCTTGGCATGAGGCAGTACAAAATACACGTTATCAACTCTGAACTATTCTTACCCAAAAAGTTACCCTTAATGAAGCCTTAAGATCTGAGTTTTGGTTTTAGGGAATAAAAGAGCAGAGGAACGAGTTCAATGACACCACAAGGAAGCAGTAAGACAAACCAGAATGTACTATGGTATTTTAAGAAAGCTGGTCTGAGTCTGTTCAAAATGTTAATGTTATGAAAAAGAAAAAGTGGAGAAACCGTTCTGGACTAAAGAGACACAATAACTGAATGCAATGGGAGAGTCTTGATTGGATTTTGGGTTGAAAAAAACAGCTATAAAGGATGTTTTGGGGGACAACTAGAAAATTTTGAAGACAGATTAGATATTAGATGATGTTAGGGAATTTTTTTTTTTTTTTTTTTTTTGAGACGGAGTCTCACTCTGTCGCCTAGGCTGGAGTACAGTGGTGCAATCTCGGCTCACTGCAACCTCCGCCTCTCAGGTTCAAGCGATTCTCCTGCCTCAGCCTCCCAAGTAGCTGGGACTACAGGCACCTGCCACCACGCCTGGCTAATTTTTTGTATTTTTAGTAAAGACGGGGTTTCACCGTGTTGGCCAGGATGGTCTCGATCTCCTGACCTTGTGATCCGCCCGCCTCAGCCTCCCAAAGTGCTGGGATTACAGGTGTGAGCCACTGCGCCGGCTGGGAATTGTTGATTACCTGGATGTGATGATAGTATTATGGTATATAGGAGAATGTCCTTATTTTGCACAACTGTGTGCAGAAGTGTTTTGGAGAGAAATGTCATGATGTGTTCAACTTTTACATGGTTCAGCAAAAATAAATATATGCATGCAGAAAGATAAAATAAGGCAAGGTATTAATATTTAATCTAGACATATATGGTTAATTATTGTATTACTCTTCCAACTTTTCTGCATGTTTGAAAAAATTTATAATAAAAAAGAGGGAAATAGAGTACAGGCTCTGATGTCTTCATTTGGACACTTATTAACTCTGTGACCCTGAGCAAGTGACTATTTAACTTCTCTGCTTCCACAGGGATAATATAATAGTACCTACTGCAAAGGGTTAATACATGTCAAGTGTTTAGAACAGAGTCTGATGAGGGCTTGATAGATATTAGCTATGATTATTAGTATTCAAATGTTCATGAAAGGACATGATCACCAGTATGTGGGGCGATGAGGGGAAAAGAAAATAATTCATCTTTTGAAGTCAAAGGAACTGTAAAAGTTAGTTTGTACTTCCTCCTTTGACACTATAAACATGCCTCCATTCTGCTGGTGGAATTTCTAGAGAGTACTGGTGTCTGATCAGTGCCAGAGGTGAAACTATTCTTCCTTTCCTTCATGAGACACAAGATCAAAGGGAGGGGATGCTGCATCTGGCTCCCTGGTGAATCACTTATGAGAATGGTAGTTTGAGCCCATCTGGTTCCATCCGGCAACTCAACTCTTTCTCTGACCTTGGCTGAGAGCCTAGTTTCCAAATTAGAGAGAGGTTTAAAATGTTATGATTTGATAGCATGCGGAAAAAAATAGCCCTAACATGCTCAGGGGCAGGAGGCTCCAGTGAAGGAAAGCCGAGTGCACAGGACCGAGAAGCTGAAGCTGTAAGGCTTCGAGGGAGACCAGGCGAGGCTTACCGAGATGCTCATGGTGCAGTCTGGGAAGTTTCTAGTTCCCATCTTCCTTTTGCTTGGGATTCCTAAAGCCTTGGATTCCCTTGGATGGTTTGAGGCCTTTATTTTCTTTCAAAGACAGTAGCAGACACTAGGGGAAATTACCCCGTGAGTACTCTTTTGGTTTTGCTTTAATCCAGTCTGACCTTTTCTTGTCTTTGAACTGAAAACGTTAATCCTGTGATTTTTTTTTATCCTTTCTGGAGCTTGGGTCAGGTTATGTGATGGTAGCTTATACCAGAGGAGCCAAACTCAATCAGTTATTTCTTGATAACGGGTCCTTCCCCAAGCCTTCTCTGGGGCCATATTTAGAGTTTTCACACCTTATTTTTTCTTCCCCAGTCACTTTCTGTTATTTCTGCTATGTCCAGGTGTGTGCTAGGGCAGAGGTAGCAGTGCTGTTAGCTTTGTTTCTTTTTGGAATGGGTAAAAATGAAGGCAAGAGCTTGATCAAGCATTTTCAATAAAGTTTTCTACCAGTTTTGTTTCCTCTAATATATCTGTCATGCAAAATATATCTCCTGGATCTCTTCTTGTGATTCCAAGAACTTACATGTAAAAACATTGTTAGGTTAACTCCCTTTAAGAGTTTATTTGGATAACTGGCTTTTTCCCTTTCACATCGTGTCTGAGAAAGGAAATGGTTTCTGTACAGAAAATGCTTTTCTCCCTAGTGCTGTAGAGACTTGGGGAGAGGAAGATAATCTTAATGTAGCTGGGGTTTTTCTGAAGCAGTCTGAGAATTCTTAATTTCCCTAAATATTTTTTATATATTAGCAACAATGTGACTCCTGGAATATTGTAACTGCGAGTTAACATTTTCAGGTTGAGGGTGCACATAACCCTTGGATCACATCTGGCCCCACAGATGTGGTTCATTTGACCCTGGTGTTTGACTTTTTTGAAATTAGTAGTCAGCATTTTAAAAATTCATGTGGAAATTTTTTATTTCTGGCTCCTTTTGAGGAATTGTAAGATCTGTCCCCTTTAGGCAGAGCGTACCCTCTTCAGATTGCCACAGTCCCTGTTTCATTTCTCTCACCTTCACTTGTTTGTTACCTGCCTGGTCCCCTGTAGGGGTGTGGTGTGTGTGTGTGTGTGTGTGTGTGTGTCTGTCCACTAAAAGGTCTAGAAACAATGACCAACCCAGTATGAATGAACATTCTTAGTGCCCAAATTATGATCTTGAAATACCATTTACCCATTTAGAGAAACTGGGGTTTCTTAGGGAAATGGCTAATTCTAGGTTTTAGGGCAGGAAATGTATAGGATGATCCTAGAATGTTGTGATAACAGATAACATGAAAGTTTATCAAAGTCTACTGGAGTCATCTTGAAAGGACTTAGGATCTAACTTGAAGAGGCTCCCACTGACCAAAGAGGGATAATTTGAGTTTCAGTAAGGTAAGAATTGCAATAGATTAAAACTCATAAATATATTTAAATCCAGGCACTCATAATGTTACTAAAAAGGAAACCTACTTGGCTAAATTAGGAGAATTGATAAGAAATCAGTTCATTGTATTGAAAACTGGATAAAGGAAAAAAATAAGTATTTGTCCTGCCTTTCCTGTACCACTAGATAACCATATAGTAGGTGACAGAAATATATCTTTATAAAATTATTTCAACTTACAAATGAAAACAAAATGATAGGATAGCATCATTTTACAACCCCTTATGGTCTAGGTACTGAGCATCAATAACTGCTGACATCAGAAACAAAAACCAAGCCTCCTGACAAAAGAACATTACCCACCACCAAAGTTTGCCAAAAGGATAAAATCCAAAATTGATCAAGCCTCTGGATATAGCTGCAATTTGCAAGAAATACTGAAAACAAGGTACATAATTAGAAAATCCAGATTATGGGATGTTATATGGGTTAAATGTCCCAGATTCTGTAACATATGAATTGTAACAAGAAAAAAAAAAAAGATATGGGCAGGAGTAGGCTGGAGTGGAGGAATTATGAATTAAGAGACTTAAAAATTGTATCAAAAATTTTAAAAATAGGCAAGACCTAAACTATAGAAAGGGATGCACATGTAAGTGGAAAACCATAAAGAAATGCAAGGAAGTGATTATTACCAAAGCCAGGGTAGTGATTACTTTGGAGGGAGGAGGGGATTGTGGTTGGATCAGGGAACATGGAGGAACTTGGGGAATGCCTGGAAAGTTCTTTCTCTCGACCTTGGTAGTGGTTATAAGGATGTTCACCTTACAATCATTCATTAAGCTTTATATTCTATGTAATTTCCTGCATTTTGTGTTTGTAATAAAATGGTTTAAAAAATTGATAGAGTTTTTAGGGCATCATTCTTGTAACCCTTCTACTTACATACATACATACATTTTATTTTTTTGTTTGTTTTTTAAGATGGAGTCTTGCTGTGTCGCCCAGGCTGGAGTGCTGTGGCACAATCTCAGCTCACTGCAACCTCCACCTCCCAGGTTAAAGCGATTTTCCTGCCTCAGCCTCCCAAGTAGCTGGGATTACAGGCACCCACCACCACGCCTGGCTAACTTTTGTATTTTTAGTAGAGACAGGGATTCACTATGTTGGCCAGGCTGTTCTTGAACTCCTGACCTCAAGTCATCCGCCCACCTCGGCCTCCCAAAGTGCTAGGATTACAGATGTGAGCCACCGCACCCAGCCATACATATATTTTATTTTATTTCATTTCATTTTATGATGGAGTCTTGCTCTGTTGCCCAGGCTGGAGTGCACTGGCGCAGTCTCGGCTCACTGCAACCTCTGCCTCCCGGGTTCAAGCAATTCTCCCACCTGAGCCTCCCAAGTAGCTGGGATTACAGGCACCTACCACCACACCTGGCTAATTTTTGTATTTTTAATGGAGACGGGTTTTCACCATGTTGTCCAGGCTGGTCTTAAACTCCTGACCTCAGGTGATCTGCCCGCCTTGGCCTTCCAAAGTTTTGGGATTACAGGTGTGAGCCACCATACCCAGCCCATACATACATTTTACATACACGTTTTAAGTCAGCGTTTGCTGTGGAGCAAAAGAGGTAAGATGAAATCTCACCTGTTCACTGGGAAATTTGCAGTGTGAACCTTGTTGAAGTCAAATAAAATATAGAGACAAATCTCTAATGTTTTATTTGGGAAGCAAGAATTGCAATTTGAGTTATACACACAGACTGGGTGGTCTTTGGTATGTCCAAAGAACAAACAGAAGGTTAGGAGTTTTATTAGAAAAAGAAATAGTATGTATTGCTTTGAAAGAAAGCTCATTGACACAAGTCAAGTTTTTGGGAGCTGGGAATCTCTGATTGGTGAGACAGTGGTAGGTTAAAGTAGTCTTAGAGTCACAGCAGGTCGTTTCAGCAGCTGGGCTTGTGGAAAATCTAATTCTTGGAGCAGGTGCTGTATGCCCTGGGTGTTCTTTCCCCTGGCCCTGATTTCGTTGGACATGACAAGAATGACCCAATTTATATAATCAACTTTTACAACCTCGAGATTAAGTTTGGCTCTAGTGTTTATAAACAACAAGCCATCAGGGGATTGCTGGAGTTTCTTTTTTAGGAATTTTAGATGTGCCTCACTGTGTAACTGGAATAGTCCTGCAAGATTAAGTGCAAGTTCAGTTTTTATAAATAGATGCAGTACATACTTCAAATTACTTTATCGTTTTAGGGCCCTGTTCCCCAAGCAAACCTTGACTCCAAAACCATGTCTTCAAAACAGAATTATACTTAAAATTTATTGCACATCTTGTAACCACAAGTTTGCCAAGAAAAAAAATCATTTTCCAGTCTAACACTGAGAGCACTTTAGGTCGAATAAAACACTGAGAAAAATGGTAGCAAACAGAAACTTGGGGGCCACTAATGGGATTTGCAAAGAGTGAAACCTCATTTCCTGAGTGTGTGTTCAGGACTTGCCTAAGAGAACTGCTTTTTTTTTTTTTCTTTTTTGAGACAGAGTTTCGTTCTTTTTGCCCAGGCTGGAGTGCAATGGCACCATCTCGGCTCACTGCAACCTCCACCTCCTGGGTTCAAGCAATTTTCCTGCCTTAGCCTCCCGAATAGCTGGGATTACAGGCATGTGCCACCACGTCTGGCTAATTTTGTATTTTTAGTAGAGACGGGGTTTCTCCATGTTTGTCAGGCTGGTCTCGAACTCCCAACCTCAGGTGATCTACCTGCCTCAGCCTCCCAAAGTGCTGGGATTATAGGTGTGAGCCACCGTGCCCGGCCAATAACTGCTTTTAACAGCCTACTTGATTCAGTTTTTCATGGCCTTGTTGTTTTATTCCCTGGCATACTTCTTTTTAAATATCAGTAGGGTGGAATGGGAAGACAAAACAATATTTTTACTTTAGAGGGTATTTTTTTTTTCTCTCCTGGGCTGTTTTCTTCCTCTTTTTTTTCTTCCTCCCTTCTTTGCTAAATGGCAGTCTTTTTCAGGAGGAAGATCAAGATGATCAAGGAATTAACTCAGAACCTAAATACTTTCTTCATTGAATTTATCTATGGATGCCTTCTCTTTGTTGAATTCTTTTCTTCTCTTTTCTCTTTTTTCTTTTCTTTTCTCTCTTCTCTTCTCTTCTCTTTTTTCTCTGTCGCCCAGGCTGGAGTGCAATGGCATGATCTCGGCTCACTGCAACCTCCGCCTCCCAGGTTCAAGCATCTCTCCTGCCTCAGCCTCCCGAGTAGCTGGGATTACAGATGCCCACCACCAAGTCCAGCTAATTTTTGTATTTTTAGTAGAGACAGGGTTTCGCCATGTTGGCTAGGTTGGTCTCGAACTTCTGACCTCAAGTGACCCGCCCGCCTCGGCCTCCCAAAGTGCTGGAATTACAGGCCTGAGCCACCATGCCTGGCCTTGAATTATTTTCCATCCCCAGAAATTTATCATTCTCTTGAAACTTTATTCTTCTAGATCAGCGGTATCAGTAGAACTTTTTGTGACCATGGAAATGTTCTGTGTCTGTATTGTCAGTGCAGAAGACACAAGCCACATGTGGCCATCAGGCACTTGAAATTTGCTAGTGGGACTGAGGAACTGAAGTTTTAGTTTTAGTTAAGTTATACTTTATATTAGAATAGCCACATATGGCTAGGGGACAGTACAGTTGCAAGGAGAAGTCAGAGTAGAGCTATGTGTGTAAAGCTTACAGGGGGGGCCATAACGTTGGTCAGATTCCTCTCACCTAAGATCTATTAACAGTAATGCTGTCTCCAGCTTAAAACTCTTCGCTGACTTCCATCATCCTTAAAGTCTTTATCATGGAGTTATGATGTCTGTAATTTATTTAAAAATACTTCTTCATAGACCATCTGATAGTATATATTTGCCAGTTAGTTTCAGCCTCAACTTCAGGGGAATGTGAATTACATTAATGAAGCATCCACATTCCATGATGTCACCTAGCTTTACATCTTCAAGGGTGCACTCTCCAGGGGCTGCCATCAGTGCAGCACTCTCTATAGTTTGATCAACACCTTTACTAGTTAGCATAGTGACTGTCAGAAACAGCTTGGATTTTTTTGTTTTTTTGAGACGGGGGTCTCTGTTGCCCAGGCTGGAGCGTAATGGCACGATCTTAGCTCACTGCAACCTCTGCTTCCTAGGCTTAAGCAATCCTCCTGTCTCAGCCTCCCGAGTAGCTGGGACTACAGGCGCGTGCCACCATGCCTTGCTAATTTTTGTATTTTTTGTAGAGACAGGGTTTTGCCATGTTGCCCAGGCTGGTCTCAAGCTCCTGGATTCAAGTGATCTACTCACCTTGGCCTCCCAAAGTGCTGGGATTACAGGCATGGCCCACTGCACCTGGCCAATTTTTACTGGTGAGATTAGTGTCTTACTGATTAACAAAATGAGTATTAGAAGTAGGCGCTCATTAGTGAAATTGAAGTATTCAAAAGCAGAATTGGGCCAGATGTGGTGGCTTATGAGCTACAGAGCAAGACCCTATCTCTGCAAAAAATGAAAAAATTAGCCAGGCATGGTAGCATGTGCCTGTAGTTCCAGCTACTCGGGAGTCTGAGGTAGGAGGATTATTTGGGCCCAGGAGTTAGGGCCCAAATAATGCAGTGAACTATGATCCTGTCACTGCACCAGCCTGGGCAACAAAGCGAGACCCTGAAATATTCCTATGCTTGCATGAAGAAGGAATATGAATCTAGCAGGGCCTGTAACTTCTTCCCTTGGAGATGGCGCCTGAGGCGTAATTCCTTAATGATCCTTTGGCCTTTGGTTAGGATTTCTGGTTGCCTGATGTGACTCCAAGGGCAACAGAACCCTGCCTCTGGGATATTGTCAGTTCTATTATGAGTGAACCTTTTTCATAAGTGGTGGTTGGAATAACTAGAGGCAGAAAGAGCTGGGACAGCATGGAGCTTCTAGAATAGTTTGTGTGAACTGCTTTGGGCCTGGCTCACTAAGGAATATCTGTTTAATAGATGTCTTTAGGTGTGCTAGAATTTGGTCTGGAACTTGCTTTCTTTGTCACAAGATTGTAAAAGAGGTGCTAACACTCACCACCTGAAACATTTTTCTCAACTGTTAAAGAGCCTATGAGATGTATATTACCAAAATGGCTTAGCTCCTCCTTGACTTGGCTGTTCTCTACCTCTCTATGCTTATCTTATACCACTTACCCCTCACTCCTAAATCTCAAACCACACAGACCTTCTCTGTTCCTCCAGTGTGGCAAGTTCCATCCCACCTCAGGTCCCATACCCATGATGTCCCATCTGTCTTGAATGCCCTTGTGCTTTATAATATTTGCATAGTTTAAAACATAATAAAGCAACACTGTGTTCCACTACCCTGCTTAAGTAATGTAACATTTCTAGTCCTTTAGAAGCCCTGTACGTCCTCCTTCTACACTGCACTCCTTCCCTCTACCTCAGAGGTTATGACTACCCTGAATTTGTTATTATTTATATATTTTTAAAAATATATAGTGATGGGGTTTCATCATGTTGCCCAGGCTGGTCTCGAGCTCCTGGGCTCAGGTGATCCACCACCTCAGCCTCCCATATTGCTGGGATTACAGGCATGAGCCACCATGCCCGGCCTACCGTGAATTTTTTGTTAATCATTCTTTGGCTTTTCTTGAAAGTGTTACCACATATGTATGGCTTGCTAAACAGTGTATTAAATCTTACATTTTCCCAACATTCTGTAATGAAAAATTTCAAAGAAAAAACAAATACGAACACTCATATACCTATAACCTACATTCCTCCATTAATATTTTACCATACTTGCTTTATCACATATCCATCTATCCATCAGTCAGTCTTATTTTTCATACATTTTGAAGTAAATTGCAGATGTCATACATATCCTTGTAAATAATTCAGCATAAGCATCAACTGGAGTTCATTATTTATTTACACTCTTTTTCATTTTAGGTAGAATTTACATACCATGAAGTGCATGAATCTTAATACAAATACCTGTGTAACCCAAACTCCTCTCAAAATACAGAAAGTATCTTCGGGTCCTTTCCCCATCAATTCCCACTCCTATTTCCTCAGACACAACTGTTCTGAATATTGTTTTAACCATAGATTAGTTTGGCCTATTCTAAAACATCATATAAATGGAATGAAATAATAGGATTATTTTGTATAAGGCTTCCTTCAACCAGCTTGTTTTTGAGATTTATCCATGTTATTGCATGTATTCTTTTTTATTGCTGGGTGTTTTTTGTGTGTGCAGCGTTTTGTTTACCCATTCTCCTATTGGTAGAAACTTGGGCCCATTTCCAGTTTTTGTCTGTTACAAATAGACTACTATGAACATTCTGGTACAAGTTTTTTTGTGGACTTAACATTTTTGTTTCTCTTGAGCAGTACCTAGCAGAATTTTTGGGACATTGGGCAAGTGTACGTTTAGCTTTGCTAGA
Source organism: Homo sapiens (assembly GCF_000001405.40). NCBI lineage: Eukaryota > Metazoa > Chordata > Mammalia > Primates > Hominidae > Homo > Homo sapiens. Next base: position 34,597,087 of record NC_000020.11, on the reverse strand, counting down.
ATCCACTAGACAGTTTTTCAAAGTTTTTGCACCATTTTACAACCCCCCCAACCAAATATGACAGTCTAGTTGCCACACATCTTCACTAACATTTGATGGTATCGATCTTTTTAATGTTGGCAATTCTAGTGGTATATCTTCGTGAAGTTCTGCTTGTCTTTTGTTTATTTTGCTTTGTTTTTGAGAATTCAAACTTGTATTTGACTAATAAGATATCTTTAAAATTTAGAAAATAACAATTGACACAGCTAGAAGAAATTGATAAATCAGCCATCGTAATTAGTTTTAACAAATCTCTCAAAGTAAGATTAAACAGCCAAAATATTTAATAACTATGTAAACGATTTGAACATCACAATAACAAGCTTGATTTAATGAAGATTAGAGGCAAGGCAAAGGGCTGATTTTTTTTTATACTGGCCTTGTAGAACGCTCTAATTTTTTAAATTGCTTGTTTATTTTTTTAACCAACCATGTAACAGATGGTTTTATCTCCATTTTTAAAAGTTTTTTATTTTGAATTAATTTTAGACCTACGGAAAAGTTGCAAAAATAGTACAGAGTTTCTTGTATCCCTCACTCCACTTCCGCTAATGTTAACATTTTATATAACCATATACAGTTATCAAGAACAAATAAATTGATATTTATGCAGCATTATTAACTAAACGACAGACCTTATTAGAATTTTGCATTTTCTACTGAGGCTATTTTTGTTTGTTTCAGGATCATATTTAGGTCCCACATTGCATTTGGTGGTTTTATCTCCTTAGTCTGTCCTAGTCTGAGACAGTTCTTCAGTCTTCTCTTGTCATTCATGACTTGTGAAGTTATTTTTGTGAAATGTACCTCAGTTTAGATTGTCATAGTTTTCTCATGACTGGACTGAATTTACATGTTTTTGGCAAAAATGCATATTGTGTCCTCAGTGCACTGTACCGAGGGGTTCATGATATTGCCATATCTTCTCAATGCTAATGTTTACCTTGATCACTTGGTGACGTTAGTGTCTGCCAGGTTTCTCCACTGTAACTTTTTTTGTTTTGTTTTGTTTTTGAGACAGGGTCTCGCTCCATCGCCCGACTGGGCTCAAGCAGTCCTCTTGCCTCAGCCTGCCAAGTAGCTTGGATTACAGGCGAGCACTACCACGCCCAGCTAATTTTTGTATTTTTAGTTGGCCAGGCTGGTATTGAACTCCTGACTTCAAGTGATCCACCCACCTTGGCCTCCCAAAGTGCTGGGATTAAGGCATGAGCCACTGTGCCTGGCCTGTTTTTCATAATTACTTAGATTAGTTCTTTTCTTGCGCCATGTAACCCTTCAGTGTGGTTGTGTTTTTAATTTGTAATATAGTTAGTTTCATTTGTTAGGGTTTATATTCATTTTGGATTCTCCCCACATATTGGTTGATTTTAATTGTTTATTTGAGGAGGGGGTAAGTGAAGGGAATGTAAAATATTACTGTGGTTCTAAGAGTCAGCTGTACAAAAAGAGCAGTATTACTCTGTCATCATTCCTGCTATCCTGTTCTTCTAGTCCCTCCCCTCTCACCCTAGGTAATTACAGTCTTCCCTCGGTATTTGTGGTGGATTGGTTCCAGGACCTCCTGCAGGTACCAAAATCTCAGGATGTACAAGTCCCTAATACAAAATGGCATAGTATTTGCATATAACCTAGGCATATCCTCTCCTATGCTTTAAGTCATCTCCAGATTACTTGTAATACTTCATACAATGTAAATAGTTCTTATACTGTATTGTTCAGGGAATAATGAAAGAAAAACATCTCTACATGTTCAGTACAGACACAATTTTTTTTGGAATATTTCCTATCCTTAGTTGATTGAATCCATAGATGTGGAACCCATGGATATGGAGGGCTGTCTTCTCTTTAGTTTCTGGCTTATCTTTCCTGTATTCCTTTCACACACCAGTGAATAGATACATGTATATATGTATATTTTCTTTTCTTTTTTTTTTTTTTTTTTTTTTTGAGACGGAGTCTTGCTCTGTTTCCCAGGCTGGAGTGCAGTGGCGCGATCTCGGCTCACTGCAAGCTCCGTCCGCCTCCTGGGTTCATGCCATTCTCCTGCCTCGGCCTCCCGAGTAGCTAGGACTACAGGCGCCCCCCACCATGCCCGGCTAATTTTTTGTATTTTTAGTAGAGACGGGGTTTCACCGTGTTAGCCAGGATGGTCTTGATCTCCTGACCTCGTGATCCGCTTGCCTCAGCCTCCCAAAGTGCTGGGATTACAGGCGTGAGCCACTGCGCCCAGCCTATATGTATATTTTCTTGTATGCCTTTATTTATTTAGCGACAGAGTTTGGCTCTTGTCACCCAAGCTGGAGTGCAATAGCACGATCTTGGCTCACTGCAACCTCCACCTCTCGGGTTCAAGTGATTCTCCTGCCCCAGCCTCCCGAGTAGCTGGGATTACAGGCGCCTGCCACCACGCCCAGTTAAGTTTTGTATTTTTAGTAGAGATGGGGTTTCACCATGTTGGTCAGGCTGGTCTCGAACTGCTGACCTCAGGTGATTTGCCCACCTCTTATATGCCTTTCTTATATGAAGGGTAGCATACTTTAGATACTCTTTTGTGCTTTCCTTTTTTTCACTTAACATTATTTCCTGGAAATTCCTCCATATCAGTATAGATAGAATAGAGATTGTCCTCATTCTTTTTTAAGGCTGTGTAGTACGCCATTGTGTGAATATACCATAGTTTATTCAGCCGCTCTCCAGTGTGTGGGAATTTAGATTGCTTACAATATTTTGCAATTACAAGTAATGTTTCAGCGAGTAACCTTGTATATACTTATTTTCATATTGTTGGAGGTATATCTTCAAGATAGATTTCTAGAAAGTGGAATTATTGAAGTATGTATGTAGTTTTGTTTTGTATTGATTTTTTGAGACAGGGTCTCACTCTGCAGCCCAGGCTGGAGTGCAGTGGCACGATCACAGCTCACTGAAGCCTCAACCTCCTGGGCTCAAGTGATCCTCTCACTTCAGCCTCCCTGATAGCTGGGACTATAGGTGTGCACCACCACATAGGGCTAATTTTTGTATTTTTTGTTGAGATAGGGTTTCTCTATGTTGCCCAGGCTGGTCTTGAACTCCTGGACTCAAGTGATCCACCTGCCTCAGCCTCCCAAAGTGCTGGGATAACAGGCATGAGCCACCATGCCTGGTGTTTTTTGTTTGTTTGAGGCAGGGTCTCTTGCTCAGTCCCCCAGGCTGGAGTGCAGTGGCACAATCACAGTTGAGCTTTTTTCTACATCAAAGTTAAAGACAAGTTCACCATGTTTTTTTCTAGTACAGTGCTTTATCATTTCATTTAAAAAATATATTTGGATCCCTAAGCTATTTGGAGTTTATTCTTGTGAATGGTGTGAGAGATAGGTCTAATTCAACCTTTTCCAAATGGTTACCTTGTTGTCCTAGCATCATTGATTAAAAAGTCAATTTTTATCATAGTGATATGCCACCACTGTCATATACTAAATTGCCATATGTATTTTGGTCTAGTGCTGGACTTTCTGTTTTATTCTACTAGTCTACTTCTCTATTAACGAGCCAATATTGCGCTGCTTTAATTATAGAGGTTTTATATTTCAGTGTCTGATAAGGCTAGTCCCCCTTCATGATTTTTTTAATCAGTGTTTTCTTAGCTATTCTTGCATGTTTGTTTTTCCATATGAACTTTTTATCTACGTAAAGTGGCTTGGTGGCTTTTTTTTTTTTTTCTTTAAGACAGAGTCTCGCTCTGTTGCCCAGGCTAGAGTGCAGTGGCACGATATTGGCTGCAACCTTCACTTCCCTTCCTGGGTTCAAGCTATCCTCCCACTTCAGCCTCTGGAGTAGCTGGGACTACAGACATGTGCCACCATGCCCTACTAATTTTTGTATTTGTTGTAGAGATGGGGTTTCGCCATGTTGCTCAGGCTGGTCTTGAACTCCTGAGCTCAAGTGATCCACCCTCCTCTGGTTCCCAAAGTGCTGGGATTACAGACATGAGCCATCACACCTGGGCCAATTTTCTATTTTCTTGTGAATTAATTTTTTCTCTAATTTTTTATTTCATTATTTCAGAAAAATTTAGTACTATAATATTATAAATACCTTTTTAAAGATTCTTCAGTTATCATTTTGCCATATTATGTATATCTATGTAAATATGTTGATTTTTCTTTTTTCCCTTGAATTACTTGCTTGGAAGTTACAGACAAGACACATCAACCCTAATTCAGCAGGTAACTCTTAAGAACTAGGCATTCTTTATATAACCATGATACTGTTATCACCCCTAGAAATTTAACCTTGATAGAATAACATTATCCAATATATTCTCTCCAAATTCAAACTCCCCAATTTATATGTGACCTTTATAGGATTTGGGGGAAGGGATGGGGTTCAGGATGTATTACATTTCATTGTCATGTCCTTTGATCTCCACTTCTTTTTAGTTACACAGGCATTTTTAATCATTTAAATTATTTATATTTTTCATAGAATGTTTCCATTTCACCTTTTTTAAAATACATTGGCATAAGTTTTAAAATATTTTCTCCTCCCTGATACATCTATAGTTATGCTCTCTTTTACATTTCTAATGTTGTTTATTTGTTCGTCTCTCTTTTTTTTTTTTTTCTTAATTATTCTTATTAGAAAGCCATCAATAACATGAGTCATTTCTAAGAACTAGATTTGGTTTTGTTGATTCCTTATATTGTACCTTTATTTTCTGTTTTAACAAATTCTGTTCTTTATTATTTTCTTCCTTCTTTTGGGGTTTATTCTGTTTTTTCTAATATCTTAAAATGGGTGTTTAGCTTATTTATTTTCAATTTTTCTTCTATTCCAAAGTAACTTTCTTTAATATTTCTTTTTTTTTTTTTTGAGACGGAGTCTTGCTGTGTCACCCAGGCTCGAGTGCAGTGGCGTGATCTCGGCTCACTGCAAGCTCCACCTCCCAGGTTCACGCCATTCTCCTGCCTCAGCCTCCCGAGTAGCTGGGACTACAGGCGCCCAACCACCACGCCCGGCTAATTTTTTTGTATTTTTAGTTGAGTCAGAGTTTCACCACGTTAGCCAGGATGGTTTTGATCCCCTGACCTCGCGATCCACCCGCTTCGGCCTCCCAGAGTGCTGGGATTACAGGCGTGAGCCAACACGCCGGCCTACCAAAGTAAATTTCTAAGGCTGTACTTTTCCCTCAGAGTATTGTTTTATCTACATTACACAAATAGTAATATGAGGTATTTTCTGACATCATTTCTCTTTGACTCCTAGGTTATTTGGAAAAGTGTTTTAATTTTTTATAATACAATTCAAGAGATTTATTATGCAACATGACTATAGTTAATAATATATTGTATACTTGAAAATTACTAAGAAAATAGATGTTAAGTGTTCTCACAACAAATAAGTGATACATATGTGAGGTCAGCAAGTTTTTTTCTAATTTATTTTACGTTATCTTTTCATTAATAATTTCTATTAATTCCATTATCGTCAGAGATTGAAGTCTGTATGATAAAGATTCCTTGAAGTCAATGTGGGTTTATGGACTGATTTAAGTATGTGATGTTTTTGTAAATACCCCCAAAATGCTTGAAATGAATGTGAATTACTTAGTTATTAGGTGCCCTGCTCTATATAAGTATGATTTGTAAGATCTTATGAGATTAAACTTGTGAAATGTGCTTCATTTTTTCTATTTGATTACTAATTTGTCTGCTTGATCTATCAATTATGCATTGATGATGGATTTGTCTATTTTTCCTTTGTAGCTTAATCCACTTTTGTTTTATATATTTTGAGACTGTTATTAGTTACATTCAAATTTAGAACTGTTATATTTTTCCAATGAATGGAGCCTTTTATCATTATTGGACTATTTTTATCTCTGCAATACTTTTTTACATAAAAGTCTATTTTATCTGATAATAGTATAACCACACTAGCTTTCTTTTGCTTAATGTTTCCATGGCAATCTGAAAAAGTCCTTTGATTTTCAGCTTTTCTGTGTCTCATATATATATATATTTTTTTTTCTCTTTTTTTCGAGACGGAGTCTCGCTCTGTCGCCCAGGCTGGAGTGCAGTGGTGCAATCTCGGCTCACTGCAAGCTCTGCCTCCTGGGTTCACGCCATTCTCCTGCCTCAGCCTCCTGAGTAGCTGGGACTACAGGCACCTGCCACCACACCTGGCTAATTTTTGTATTTTTAGTAGAGACGGGGTTTCACCATGTTAGCCAGGATGGTCTCGATCTCCTGACCTCATGATCCGCTTGCCTCAGCCTCCCAAAGTGCTGGGATTACAGGCATGAGCTACCGCGCCCGGCCTCTGTGTCTTATATTTTAAGGTATATCTCTTGTAAATAGCATGTAGCTGCATAACTGATTTTTTTCCTAACAACATGATTTATGTTATTTTATTTTGTTGTTGTGTTATGTTATGTTATGTTATGTTATGTTATGTTATGTTATGTTATGTTATGTTATGTTACGTTACGCTATTTTATTTGAGACAGAGTCTCGCTCTGTTGCCCAGGCTGGAGTGCAGCCGTGGTGCAATCTCGGCTCACTACAGCCTCTGCATCCTGGGTTCAAGTGATTCTCATGCCTTAGTCTCCTGAGTAGCTGGGACTACAGGCGGACACCACCACACCCAGCTAATTTTTGTATTTTCATTAGAGATGGGGTTTTGCTATGTTAGCCAGGCTGGTTTTGAACTCCTGGCCTCAGGTGATGTTCCCGCCTCGGCCTCCCAAAGTGCTGGGATTACAGGTATGAGCCACCATGCCCAGTCCCTGACAACATGATTTTTAGTTATACAGTTTTGTTCATTTGAATTGATTGTGATTTGTTTAAACTCATTTCTGTTTTCTCACATACTGGGGTGGTTTTTTTGTTTTCTGGTAATTCTTATTTTCCTTTTTCTTACAACAATAAATTATTTCTCTTCCCCCAGCATCTTTTTTTTTTTTTGAGGAAAACATTTTTAAGAGAGGAAAAATTTAGAAAATGTATAATGATAGCCATATGTCTACTGCCCAAACTAAACAGATATTAAGATTTTTGCTATATTGTTTCATAATTGCTGTTGTCATACTTAATAAAATATGTGAGGCCAGGCGCAGTGGCTCATGCCTGTAATCCCAATACTTTGGGAGGCCAAGGCGGGTAGATCACCTGAGGTCGGGAGTTTGAGACCAGCCTGGCCAACATGGTGAAACCCTGTCTCTACTGAAAATATAAAAATTAGCTGGGCGTGGTGGCAGGCACCTGTAGTCCCAGCTACTCAGGAGGGTGAGGCAGGAGAATCCCTTGAACCCGGGAGGTGGAGGTTGCAGTGAGCCGAGATCACGCCGTAGCACTCCAGCCAGGGCAACGAGCGAAACTCTGTTTCAAAAAAAAAAAAAAAAAAAAAAAAAGCCAGGTGCAGTGGCTCACGCCTATAATCCCAGCACTTTGGGAGGCCAAGGTGGGTGATTCACGAGGTCAAGAGATGGAGACCATCCTGGCCAACATGGTGAAACCCCGTCTCTACTAAAAATACAAAAATTAACTGGGTGTGGTGGTGCGCACCTGCAGTCCCAGCTACTTGGGAGGCTGAGGCAGGAGAATTGCTTGAACCTGGAGGCAGAGGTTGCAGTGAGCCGAGATCGTGCCACTGCACTCTACCTTGGCGACACAGCAAGACTCTGTCTCAAACAAAGGAAAGCAGATAAAGTTGAAGTTTTTTTAACCCAAATTTGGCGTTTTTTTAAAGTCTTTTTTTACTTGTTTATTTCTTTTCATTTTGCATATGAATGCCAGGTTATATGAAGTTTCTTAGGTTCCAATTATATTTTCCTCTCTGGTTCCCAGGAGGCTAATACTATCATAACTTTAGTATATGTCCTTCTAATCTATGTTTTATGAAACTTACAGATGTGTGTGTGTGTGTGTGTGTGTGTGTGTGTGTGTGTGTGTGTGTAAATAATAGTATTATTTGGTATAATCTCAGAACACATAAGTATTTTCATATAATAGGCTTGTTTAGCAATTTTCTATTATAACTAACCTCATATTTTTTAGATCTAGCCATGTTGACATTTATAGATACAATATATTCATTTAACCTGGCAAATAGTATACCATATGTCAATATACCACAATTTATTTGTTCCTCTATTGAAGGATTTTTTCTTGATATTCCAAACAATGGTGCAATGAATCTTCCTCCATTTGTATCTTCTGCAACTTGTCTCCAGGATACATACCTAGAAATGGTGTTACTAGGTCTGAGGTCAGAGGATGCACCCGTAATACCTTTTTAACACTTACATCCTTCTTAGTTAATTAAAGACCAAAGCAAAATTATAAACCTGTGTATCATAGTATGGTTTTGCGGGAGGGATCTTTAAGTGTAAGCTAATAGCTGCCCTCTGTTGTTTACATCCCTAAGTTTATATCACTTTGCCTTCTCTCCAGCGGCAGTACATACCTGTGAAAATGAAGAGCAAAGCCTTCTGGATCTTTTCTTGGGAGTATGCCATGATGTATGTGGGAAGCCTAGTGGTAATCATTTGCCTCTCCTTCTTCCTTCTCAGCTCTTGGGATTTCATCCCCGCAGTCTATGGCTTTATGTAAGTAATGACCACGTTAGAAAATTCTAGAAGCTGTGGGGAAAAGGGAACCCTTGTATACTGTTGTCAAGAATGTAAATTAGTACAGCCATTATGGAAAACTGTATGAACATTCCTCAAACAACTAAAAATAGAATTACCATTTGATCCAGCAATCCCACTTCCGGCTACTTACTTAAAGGATTTTTTTCTTTTTTTTTTGAGACAGGGTGTCGCTCTGTTGCCCAGTCTGGAGTGCAGTGGGGCCATCTCCGCTCACTGCACCCTCCACCTCCTGGTTTCAAGTGATTCCCCTGCCTCAGCCCCCCGAGTAGCTGGGACTACAGGCATGCACCACCACGCCCGGCTAATTTTTGTATTTTTAGTAGAGACAGGGTTTCACCATGTTAGCCAGGCTGGTCTCAATGATCCATCTGCCTTGGCCTCCCAAAGTGCTGGGATTGCAGGTGACTCAAAATTTTTGAAATCAGTTTGTTGAAGATTTGTCTGCACTCCCATGTTCATTGCAGCATTATTCATAATAGCCAAGTTATGGAATCAATCTAAATGTCCATCAACAAACAAATGGATAAAGAAAATTTGGTATATATACACAGGGGAATACTATTCAGTCTTAAAAAAGGAAATTCTGTCATTTATGACAGTAGTAGGGATGGAATTGGAGAATCTGATGCTAAGTGGAATGAGCTAGGCACAGAAAGACAAATACCGCATGTGTTCTCACTTATATGTGGACTCTAAAACAATTACGCTCATAGAAGCAGAGAGTAGAAGGGTGGTTACCGATGCCGGCAGGGTGGGAGAATGGGGAGATAATGGTCAAAGGGGTACAAAATCTCAGGAGGAATATGTTTTTTTCTTTTCTTTTCTTGAGTACTAGCACAGTGTGGTGAATATAGTTAATAATAGAGTATTGTATATACCAAAATTGCTAAGAGAGTAAATTTCAATCGTTCCCACCACAAACAATGTTTAATATTTGAAGTGATGGAAATGTTAACTAGCTAGATTTAATTATTCTACATAGTATTCAGAAATCATAACATCACATAAAATCACCCATAAATTCGTACAACTATATGTTGTCAGTTAAAACCCCCCCGACAAAACTCTGGAAGCTAATTTGGTTTTCATAGCTCTAGCTGGACTCAGAGGGTGAGGGACCACAGGAAGCCTTTATATTAAATAGCAGCGGTTCTCAAACCTTAAGGTGCATCAGAATCACCTGCAGGACTTATTAAAACCCAGATTGCTGGGCCCACCCTCAGAGGTTCTGATTAAGTAGGTCTTGGGGAGGGATCAACAATTTGCATTTCTCCGGTTTCCAGGTGATGCCAGTGCTGTTGGCCTGCTGGTTTAGGGAACACACTTTGAGAACCTGTACTCTGAAACACACCTTTGATATGGTGGGATTAACCCATTTATGCCTAGTGTTCTATTATTGGAACACGAAGCTTGTGGGAGTTATTTACGTCCTACTGCTCAAGGTCATCGCCAAGGTCTGATTTTTCACACAAAAAAATTTGCAACCTCCAGCATAAGTGGGTTAAAGAGCACTCCCTGGGAACATCCAAAGCAAATACCAGCCTCTAACTGGGAGGTTTGGGCTCAATTCTAAACAGGAATGGATGTGTTCCTCTAGTGCAAGAGGGCCTCTGACAGTTTGAAAATAATGCCACCTGCCACACGTCAAACCTTGAGGGAAAACTCAAATGGACTTGAGTATTGCAGGCTTGTCTGAGTTTATATTCATGAATTCTATAAACATTTCCGAATGCCCTCTGCGTGCCAGGCTCTGCATAGGTGCCGAAGACTCGGTTGCTCCCTAAGCTTTGGGGAGCTCACAGCCCAATAGGTGACAGACTCTTAAACCTGTGCATGTGTGGAAGGGATCTGAGTGGCAGAACTCCCATTTGGAATTCTGGACTGCTTATTTGTGTTAAATCCTGGCTGAGCATAACAATGACTTGCTAACTTCAGCTCTTCATGCTCTGCCTTAGATAGGAGTTGCGGTGCCAGGTGAAGAGTTCTTTCTCCTGGGCCACGGATTGTGTTCTTTACCTCATTTCCCAGAAAAGGAGGTATAGTTACAGCAAGAGGCAAAAGTTAACCTGGGCGGAGGCCTCAGTCAGGGAAATCTGACCAAGAGCCATCACTCATCTCTCCCTCTGCGTGCCCTATTTGTTGTCCTTTTTGAATTGTGTATTGAGATCAGTTTCAACTTCATATTTTTTTAAATCAAAAATGTAAACTTTAGGAGAGCCAGAATTGCAGCGAAATATTTGTCTGATTTAATTGGACAAAAAGTTTTCCAGTTAAACCCTAATTTCTCAATTAAGACTGGGACCCTGGGGATCTTAGCCAGAACCCACCGATTGTTCCTAAAGCCCCTAGAAGTCTCACTTCGGTCTCAGGCACTCGGTTTTCTGACTCCTGCTGTGGGGTGTGGAGTAAGAATGGGGAGGAGCAGGATCTTTGAGCGTGGTCCTCTAGGCAGGTCTTTAGAATGCCCAAAATAGATCCTGTGTTTTAAAACTCATTTGTTACAGTACTGGGTATCTCCTGATTTTAAACTGTCTTGCGCAGTAAAACAGGGGTGAGTCTCTTTATTCCTAGGATGAATCCCTGCCTCATTTCAGATTTGTTTGGCTTAGCTAATATTTGTTATGGGTTATCATTATATGTCTCTGCTCATTTTTGTTAATTACCTGTATCCAGGGTACCTAGAGAGCCCTTCCCATCCTGATCTCTCTAGGGAGAAAGTCGTCCTTGGCTGCCCAGCAGTGACCAAAGTCTTCAGGAGAAATCAAGGTCAAAGCAGACAATTTATAACTTTTGTCTTTTTTCTCTCCCTTTGTTTTCTTAATTCCAGACTTTCTGTTCCAGATCTCACTCCAAACATTGGTCTTTTCTGGTACTTCTTTGCAGAGATGTTTGAGCACTTCAGCCTCTTCTTTGTATGTGTGTTTCAGATCAACGTCTTCTTCTACACCATCCCCTTAGCCATAAAGCTAAAGTAAGTGGCTGGACCTGCTGCTGCTGTGTGTACAGAGCTGTCCGAGAAGCCCCTGCCTCTAGTAGCCTTGAGGGTGGCCTTCAAATGTGGAGCACCTGCTGTCAGGTTTAGAGCATCTCACCTAAGGAACCTGCCTTCAGTTGCCGCAGTTGCCAGCGCCATAGCAGGCAATAGAGTCGCATGGGTGCAGGCTGCAGTGAGGGTGCTTTGGAGCCCCAGCATTTTCCCTGGCCTCACTCTGAGGTGCTCAAGTCCACATTGCTGCTGAGCCCATTCACTGTTTTGGACTAGAGCCAGGCGGTGGCCAGGCATGGTGGCTCACACCTGTAATCCCAGTACTTCAGGAGGCTGAGGCAGGAGGGTCACTTGAGGCCAGGAGTTTGAGACCAGCCTGGACAACATAGCAAGATCCTGTATCTACAAAAAATTTAAAAATTAGCCAGGTGGCTGCCTGGGTGCAGTGGCTCACGCATATAATCCCAGCACTTTGGGAGGCCAAGGCGAGTGGATCACCTGAGGTCAGGAGTTGGAGATCAGCCTGACCAATATGGTGAAACCCTGTCTCTACTAAAAATACAAAAATTTGCCAGGTATAGTGGCGGGTGCCTATAGTCCCAGCTACTCTGGAAGCTCAGACAGGAGAATTGCTTGAACCCAGGAGGCAGAGGTCACAGTGAGCCAACATTGTGCCACTGCACTCCAGCCTGGGCGACAGAGCAAGACTCCATCTCAACAAAAACAACAACAACAACAACAAAAATTAGCCAGGTGTGGTGGTGTGCCCCTGTAGTCCCAGCTGCTTGGGAGGCTGAGGCAGGAGGATGACTTGAGCCCGGGAGTTTGAGGCTTCAGCGAGCTGCTTGTGCCACTGCACTTCTGCCTGGATGACAGGCGGAAGTGCATGTCTCAAAAAAAAAAAAAAAAAAAAAAAAGAACAGGAGTTGTGGAGGGGAGTGTGTTTGGAAAAAGTGTATCTGGTGGAATGTCTCCATCAACAGCCCAGTGACAGGTCCTCCACAGGGACTCTGGATGGTTTAGTTGGGAGGCTGGCCACCTGCAACTGTTTAATCTCCTGATCTGTTTCCCTCCAAAGGATGTGTGGAGTCCTCTTCTGCAGTCTAAGAGAGCTGATAGATGTTAGGCCTGCTCCATTCCAGGTGCCTTTCTAGACCCTCTGAAACATAATCATACCTAACCTAGCAACTCCTGGAGGTAGGCGTTAGATTCTTATCACTCCCATTTTATAGTTGAGGAAATCGATGCTCAGAGAGGTGGGATGATTTTCCCAGTCACACAGCTAGTAAGCAGTGGAGCTGGGATTTAGACTCAGGTTTGTCTGGCTCCAGAATCTATGCTTATCCCCCTGCACCATGCCAAGCTCCGGAGAGATTGCTTTTAGTAGCCTCCGGAAATGGTTCTATTATCCTAGCTTCAGATAAGGGAAAACAGACACAGACAGGTACAGATACGCCTAGATGGTCTGGGGAACCTGAAAGAGTTTGATTTAGGTTTCAAGAGCTCAAGTTCTCTGTCCTAACCTTCCTGCCATTCTCCATGGTCTGTGCACCAATGCACGTGGTTCCCATTCTGTAAAATCTCAAAAGCTGATGCTTCCTTCCCATGACACAGCCTTGGCCTGGCTTCTGACAGAACACCCTCCTTCCATGGCCTGGCAGGCTCCGGAACTCTGGCAGCCTTGCCCAGCTGAGCTCTCCAGCTGTCTGTGGTCCACCTTCCCTGTCCTTGTTCCGGTTAGGCCCAGCCATGGGGTGAAGAGGAGCAGGGATCCCAGGGCACCTTTCCGCACTGGCCGTGCAGCCAGCTCTCCGGCAGCTTTTATTGTCTGCATGCAAAGCCACACATTGCTCCTGGCTAGGCAATAATGTCACCATTTTATGACCTAAGCCAGGCCCACACAGTTGTGGGGACAGAAAATATGAAGAGACCTGCTCTCCCTGCTGTCTTCTCTTCTGCCTGGGTATGAAGCTCTACCTAAGCTCTCCTGCCCCCTGCAAGATTTGTTTCCAGTGCCAGCTTTGTAGGAACAGGGCCCTTCAGGCCACCCCAGTCCCTGTGCAGTGCTGCAGGAGGCTGTAGTCTGTTTTTTTGTCACCGCATTTTCACCAGCCTTTTCATAGAAATGTTGCCGTTGTTACCAGCTACCTGAAAAGCCTGAAGCCAGTGATGTGGATTGTGTTTAGGAAGATGTTCACACTGAGCTATAGCTGGACGCTTCTTAGAGGCTACAGGGCTGCACGCCTTTGCCAAGCTGCGTTTCTGAGGCACTTGCTGCACAGCAGCACTGGAGCATTCTGGGTGTGGACATGTTTGTCTGCACATCTCAGATTCATACCCATTGAGTCACCCTGACCTTTGACCTGCAAGACAAAAAGGTCATTAATCTCTGAAGAAAACCTTCATGGGCTAGGCATCTAGGTACTGTGCAGAAGTAGGCCATGTGCATGTGGTTGAAATGTAGCTGAGGAGGGTATAGATCCAGCCTCTCCCTGTTGGCTTCCCTTTAGCACTTGGTCAGCTCTCGGAGGGGCACCGAGATTGAGCTCTGTCCCCCAACTCTCTCCTGACCAGAGCTTGGAAGTGTGATCAGCACTCAGGAGAATGGTATTGGGCGTGATTAAGAGCTCTGGAGACAACTCCATCGCTTACTAACCTACTCAGTCAGTGCACTTCTCTGAATCTGTTTCCTCATCTGTGAAGTACAGGTGAGAGGATTGCCTACTTTTTTTTTTTCTTTTTGAGACAAGGTCTCACACTGTGTCATCCAGGCTGGAGTGCAGTGGTTGATCATGGCTCACTGCAGCCTCAACCTCCTGGCACCAGCAACCCTCCCACCTCAGCCTCCTGAATAGCTGAGATTACAGCCATATGCCACCACACCCGGCTAATTTTTAAATTTTTTGTAGAGATGAGATTTCACTATGTTGCCTAGGCTGGTCTCAAACTCCTGGGCTCAAGCCATCCTCCTGCCTCAGCCTCCCGAAGTGCTAGGATTACAGATGTGAGCCACTGCGCCTGGCCCAGGATTGCCTGCCTTGAGGGGTGGTTGAGATGTGGTGAGGATCACGTGAGAGGATGCAGGAAAAGGACTTTACACAGAGGGAGTTCAGGAGAGGATACCCATTGCTATCACTTATTATTAGGTTAAAATAATAATTGAAACTGCTATTAGTTTAAGTTAACAAGAATAGTCCCAGCCCTTAAGAACTGAAAAGCTCTGTGCAGTTCACAGTTCTCTTCCTGGAAAGAAGTTCATCGCACTATGGGTCTGTAGACCCTGCTGACCATGTTGTTAGAGAAAAAAGGCATCAGCAAGGAGGCACTTCCTGCCTTGCGTCCAATTGTCAGAGGGGCCTCTGGCAAGGGAGGCTGCCTAATTATCCTGCCAAGCAGTCATTTAAGCCCAGTCATAAAGAATGCTGACTTCATTTGTTTTCTTCCTCTGTGGCTCCTAGGGGAAGGCCCAGAGCTGGCAGAGGCAGAGGGGGACTGTTGATGGGAAATGTCTCTGTGGGCTGTTTCCCTAGTGTTTGCCAGGCCCTCCTCACCACCTCTGGGTATTTCTGGGTCCCTGCAGTTTTCTGCTCTGCTACTGGGGCCTGGCCCATGCCTTGTGGATAGCAGAGCCAGCCCCTTCCTGAAGTCCCCTGAGGATTATTTTTGGTTCAAAGGATGGAGTCAGGAGTCTCTAGGGTAGGCCTGGTCCCTGACTCATCTCTCTCTCTCTTTCCCCTGCCCTGCCCCAGGGAGCACCCCATCTTCTTCATGTTTATCCAGATCGCTGTCATCGCCATCTTTAAGTCCTACCCGACAGTGGGGGACGTGGCGCTCTACATGGCCTTCTTCCCCGTGTGGAACCATCTCTACAGATGTGAGTACTCCCGCCTCTGCCACAGATTTGTGTCAGCCTGGGCCTGGATGAGACTGCTGCAGGGAAAAGGAATTCATAGGCATTTACCAGGCACCTGTTATGCTGGCAGCACTAGGAGGGGAGCAGAGGCATGAAGCACAATATCTGCTTCCAGGTGCCGCGGACTTGTGATGATAAAAATAATTGCCATTTATTGAGCACTTACTGTGTACCTGGCCACTGTGGCTCTCACAGTGTTACATGCATTAATTAGCTCATTTGATCTTCACACCAGCCTTTGAGGTAAGTATCCACGTTTTGCAGATGAGAAAACTGAGGTACAGAAAGGTAGAGCCACTCATTCAAAGTCACGTGACTTCTAATTAGAAGAGCCGGGATTGGAATCCAGATCTGTGAACCCCTACCCAGTGCTGTCCAGCAGGGCTTTATGATGATGAAAAAGTCCTCTGTCTGCACAGTTCAATAGGGTAACTAGCCACTTGTGTGCCTGAGAACCTGAATTTTTAATTTAAATTTCAGAAGCCACATGTAGCTAGGCTACCATACTAGACAGCAGAACTCTATGCCCTGGGCTTTGAACCATTCCCCAGCGCTGCACCCAAAGGTTACTAGAAGGCAGAGGGGCAAAGTTAGACTTCCCTGCCCACTGTGACAACCCCTCTAAGCTCTAACCATCCCCTCTTCAGAGGTGGCTTAGTGGTGACCTATCTGTGCTGCCTAGGCCCCCAGTGCTCTTAGCCCTCTATGGTGGGTTCTTTTCATTGTTTGGGGGCTCCGTCAGGGTAGATATCACAACTCATTCACCTTTGTGTCCCCAGCACTCAGGACTGAAGCTGACACATAGAAGACCTTGCAAACATTTGTGGAGCGGGTTTTTAAACCTCCCCAATAAAGAGGCAGTGTCAGTGGCCCAGCACCACCTGATTCTCTAAACGAGGCATGGAAGGGAGCTGTTGAACTTTCCTTGCCTGCTGTGGGTGTCCAGCAAGGTGTCAAGAATGAACTAGGGAGTGCAGGCTTCAGAGGAAGTGAATCTTTGTTGTTGTTTTGGGTGTCAACCAGGAAGTGAAACTGACTAGCTGTGGGAAGCAGCCTACCTATAGGAGTGTGCCTCTGAGTGAAGGTAAACAGTGGTGTGGGCAGCTGAGCCAGGGCTACGCCTGCAGGTGATGGCCTAGTGGGGCTGTGACCCATCTGGCCTGACTGGGAGGAGGAAGCAGTGTCTTCTGTGGTGACATCCTCTCTGCACAGACAAGAGTCACCCAGTCCAGCAGGTTGAGAGTCAGCTTGGGGCCCCTCGGCAGAGTGGCCAGTGACAAACCATGAGACCACCAAAACATGGACATGCCTCAGTTTGTGATAGTGGATTTCAAGAATGTAGAATGGATTTTTGTGGTTGCCCATCCCACACTGGGCACTCTTTCTCTCTCAGTGACTGTCTTTCATCCCATTTGCTGAGCAGTCTGGAGAGTCACTTGACTCCGATTCCTGGCATTGCCATTACGAGCCCCATGTGTTCTTAGGCACATCATTTAACCTTTCTGAGCATCTGATTTTTCCATTAATCAAATAAAGAAAATAACTCATGAGTGTGTTAAGTTTGAGAAAGAATATCTGTAAATAGCACTGCAGTTAGTATCGTGAGTAATAATTATGCAGGGGAGTCTCTCACATAGTTCCGTGATCAGAGCTTCGGGCTTGGTAGCCAGAGTCATCAGAATAAACATATTTTTCAAGACGAATAAACTATTTTATGCCCTCTGGGGTGAGGAGGCACAAAGAAGAAGGATGGGGTTTCCAGAAACCTGAATGATCTAATAGTTGCTTTTGCTGGCTGGCAGGGCACATAGTCTGCAGGTTCAGGTTGTCTGAAGATCCTGCAGAGAACAGTAGCTGTCCACCTTTGCTTCACTGCTCCTGCAGCAGGGAGTACACGTGCTTGGAGAACCTGCTTGGGGCTTGACAACTGTGAATCATTATTAGCTGGGAGCAGCATCAGCCCTGGTCCTTAGGACCTATGAGTGGGATGTATGTGTTGAGACGTGTTTAAGCCTACGTTGAATATATTTAATGTGGCTAGGAATTCCATTTAAACATTAGCTGTCAGCGCTAACATGCATGCTCCCACATTCACCTTTCTGTTTTCCTGTGCAGTGGAGAGGAGAAAAGGAACGTGGCCCCTCCCTGAGTGTAGGTCCCAGACGCTGGACTCTCTGGAGCTTGGATGAGTCATACAGACGCACAATTGTGGTGTTAGGGAACAGCCTGCTGGCAGAACCCATGCCAGCCTGCATGGTACAGCAGAAGGAGCCAGTTACCAAAGGGCTGGATTTGTGTGTGTGTTTGTTTTGTTTTTATTACTATTGTATAGCGATAAAAGAATGTTGATAGATATACATATAAAGAATCATGATAAAATATATTCCCACGTGTTTTGGCACCTCGTTTAAGAAAGGGAATATCACCATGGCCTTTGAAGTCCCCAAATCCCCCCTGTTCCCCTTCTGATTGGACTGGATTTTTCAGGTGAGATTTTCTTTCCGAATGCCTGAGGCTCTGAAGGGAAAGTGGCTTGCCTGAAGTTCCAGTTCATCAATCATGGTGCCAGAGATTGGATAAGCCACCCAGTGAATGTGGTGGGGAACCTGATTCCATCTGGCCTCGCAAGTCTGATGAAGGGTGAAGCCTTTCACCTTGTTAGGCCCTGGTCACCTCTGACGCTTTCTGATGCCTGGAACAAGCTGTCCCGTACCCCAGGTCTCCAGCTCCATCTGCTCTGGCATATATAGCTTTAATCTTCTGGCCTGTCAGCCAGCAAGAGTGAATAGCAGCTCCCCATTCCTGCAGAGGTCACCACAGGCCAGAAGCCAACTGCATGCTGGTGATGGTTCTCTAGCCGCATGGGAATGTATCTTTGCAGCCCTTCGAGATAGCACCCAGAGGCTGCCAGTGAGCTTCTCTCGTCTCTTTGCACTTGGTTTCCTTCCTGTCACCCTGTCTGAAATCTGTGTCCCTGGCTGGAGGCACAGAACAAGAACCACCTGGTCTGGCAGGCTGCAAACATTTTATTTTGGGAATAGTCTGTATTCTTTTCAGCAAAATAATTTCCAGGGGATCAGAAAGAACCACTGAGAAATGTACATAGTGATGTTGGGTTAGAGGAGTGGGAAGCATTTGTTCTCCTTCTTGAGGTAGTAACATGGTTTAATAATAATAGTAATTCTCAGTGAAAACGTCCCTTTGCAAGACTCCTTGTTCCTGGGAGGTCTCAGGAGGCTTGAGTCAGGGTTTTGGCCTCTCATCTTTGAAAACCCAGAATTGAGAAACTTCAGATTAGAAAAGAGGATCTTGCAAGCCCTCCAGGCCAGTGTCCAAATTGTGGGATTTCTTAGACCACTAATGTTTCAATAAACTCGGGTGACAGATTGCCAGCTTTTTATTTTGCTGAAGACATTAAAACAATCAACTACCAGCCATTCTTCCCCATGTTATAAAATGAAGGACTTTTTAATGACAACAACAAAATGATACCTATCATTTCTCAATAAAGAATGAACTGTAACTTGAAAACATTCAGCTTTACAAAGAACTGTGAACTACCGTGTCCTGATTATTCTCCTTTTGACACAGTTGGGTGGCATCTCTGTTGCAGACTGTAAGGGGCTGCAGCTGTAATCCAGTGGTTCGCAGCCTCGACTGCATATTGGAATTACCTGGGAAGCTTTTAAAACCTCATATGGATGCCTGAACCCCACCCTAGAGACTTTGACTAGTCTGAGGGCTCTCCGTGTGATTTCATTTTGTTTTGTTTGTTTGTTTGTTTGTTTGTTTTGAGACAGAGTCTTGCTCTGTTGCTCAGGCTGGAGTGCAGTGGTGCAATCTCGGCTCACTGCAACCTCTGCCTCTCCACTTCCAGCAATTCTCGTGCCTCAGCCTCCTGAGTAGCTGGGATTATAGGCACCCGCCACCATGCCTGGCTAATTTTTGTATTTTTAGTAGAGACGGGTTTTTGCCACGTTGGCCAGGCTGGTTTCGAACTCTTGACCTCAGGTGATCTACCTGCCTCAGCCTCCCAAAGTGCTGGGATTACAGGCGTGAGCCACCATACCCGGCCGTGATTTTGTTTTGTAGCGGGAGTTGAGAATCATCTGTATCATCTAGGCCCCTTGCAATGCATGAGCCCCCAGTATAGCATCTCTACTAAGTTGTACAACTAATATAAATGGCCTAAATGTTTGGGAGTTTCTCCACCCTTTAAGTCTCTCAAAACTGTCACTTGGGAGAAGGGATTTCCTGAAGGTCAGTATCAGAGAAGAGAAGGGAACTTCCATTCATTAAGTGTCTGCTGGGAACCAGGCACAGTGCTAAGTTCTTTTTAAAAAGGTATTCTTTTAATTATTTTAAATGATATTTATTAGTTTTTAAAAATATGATAAAGATAAAGAAAAGTAACAGACAATCCTCCTGTGTGATAACCCCTAGAGAGTTAAAACGGGGGAAAAAGTACAGTGTGGTAGGCAGGGTAGTAGCCCTCCCCTCACAAAGATGTCCACGTTGTAATCCCCAGAACCTGTGAAGACATCGCCTTACATGGCAAAGGGACTTTAAGACCTTGGGAGGGGAGATTATCCTGGACAATCCAGGTGGCCCCAGTGTAATCACAAGTGTCCCTCAAAGTGGAAGAGGTGGAGGTGGGGGGAATATGGGAAATCTTCTGCCCAATTTTGCTGTGAAACTAAAACTTCCCTAAAAAATAAAGTCCACTGGGCTTCTTTGTGCATGCCTGTAGTTCCAGCTACTCAGGAGGCTGAGACAGGAGGATCCCTGGAGCCCAGGAATTCGAGGCTTCAGTGAGATATGATCCAGCCACTCCACTCCAGCTTGGGCAATGTAGTGAGATTCCATCTCAAAATAAATAGTCTATTTTAAAAAAAAGATGGAAGAGGGAGGCAGAAGAGAAGGTCTGAGTGATGCAATGTGAGAAGGCCTCAATCCACCATTGCTGGATTTGCAGCTGGAAGGGGGTCATGAACCAAGGAATGCAGGGGGCCTCTGGGTGCTGGAAAAGGCAAGCAAGGGGTTCTCCTCTAGAGATTTTAGCCTGTGAGACCCATTTTGGAACTTCTGACCTCCAGAACTGTTTAATAATAAAGAATATTATTTAAATCACTAAGTTTGTGGGAATTTGCTATAGTAGCAATGGAAAACTAATGTAGCCAGTGATATATCTGTGTCATTTTTTCACATGTCATCTTGTTTACCAAATGAAGTGTGCATTTTAGCCCCATTTTATTTTTATTTTTAAACATTTTTTATTTTTAAATTTTAAAATTTTTTTAGAGATGGGCTCTCACTATGTTGCCCAGGCTGGTCTTGAACTCCTGGGCTCAAGCAATCTTCCTACCTCAGCCTCCCAAAGTGCTGGGATTACAGGCATGATCCACCATGCCCACCCTAATTTTTAATTTTTATAAGTACATACTAGGTGTGTAGCCTCAGTTTACAGATGAGGAAGCTGAGGTCTAGAGAAACTTGCTAATAAATGCAGAGCAGGATTTTAACCAAGGTCTGTACCCGGCTGCCATGCTACACTCCTGTTTGGCTGAAGCCAGCCAGCCTGTCTGCCTCTGGATCACCCTTGAGTAGCAGGTCCTTCCTGAGACCTCAGGGAGAGCTTTCTTCCTGGTGGGATTCGGCATTCCCTTAGAGGCAAGGAGTGAGAGACGGTGTCAAAAAGAGGTCCTTTATCATCTAAGGGAGAGTTGGGAATGTTTGAAGAGCGAGGCAGGGGTCCTAAGACACCAGTTAAGGAGAATGGAAAACGTGTTCCTAAGACCCAGGACTGTGGCACCATGGAGACCCACAGTGGGGCTCTAATCGTCACGGTTCATGCTGGGGTTCCCACCCATAATCCCACATGGCCAGATGGCACCCTGCTTGGGGAGAGGGATACTCTTGGACCCTCCAAGATTAGGAGGTGAGGGGAATATCTTCCTGAAATGCCCTGTTTGGTGCCCCGAGGCACTCATGGCATTTCTAACTATAGCTGGTCTTCAGCCAGCCAAGCCCACAGTGGGAGGAAATAATCGAAATCCAGGAGCTACCACCAGCTGTGGGCATGGGGAGCCATTGACTGAGGAGTCTGGGGTTTGCTTCTTGGCACCCCAGTACCTCTGGGGGTGCTCTGCCTTTGAGCTACATGATGCTCACCTTGGGCCTCTCCATTCAGGGGGGCCATTGCAGCAGGGAAAGCATGCCAGAGAGAGCGTGTCAGGCTAACTGTAACCCTCTGTCTTTGCAGTCCTGAGAAACATCTTTGTCCTCACCTGCATCATCATCGTCTGTTCCCTGCTCTTCCCTGTCCTGTGGCACCTCTGGATTTATGCAGGAAGTGCCAACTCTAATTTCTTTTATGCCATCACACTGACCTTCAACGTTGGGCAGGTAAGAGGGACAGCATGGGGGTCAGCTTGGGGACAGGAATTCATTTTGCAGCCTCAAGCATTCAACGATGGCCTTGGATTCTGCATACCGGGGGGTGCAGACGTGAAGGAGGCACAGTTACTCCCCTCAAGTAGCTCCCAGTCAGTGAGGACGGGGAAGTAAGAGCAGTGTAAGGCTGAACCTGGCAGATATGTATTGGGCACCACACTGAACCATAGCCATGCTGTATTCTCAGCAAGCCTAGGAGACAGGGCATGTTAGCCCTACTTTACAAATGAGGGACAGAGGCTTGCAGAGGTCCTCTCTTCTCGAAGGTCATTGGAGGAGCCAAGAACAAAATTCACATAAGGCTTGATTTCTGAGGCACCCCTTTCTGTAATGGTGCCTGTGGTTCCAGCACCCATAGGGAGTAGATAGAGTGAGGGGGAGAGGGCAAGGCAAGGGGAGGAGAGGCTCTGCGGACTCTCGGGACAGCAGGAACAAAGGCAGGCAGAGGAGAAGGGGGCCGGTCTGGCTGTTGGGGAGTTGAGCATAAATTGTGTGGCTGGGAGCGGTGGAGAGGAGGCTGTGGTCACAGGCTGAGGAGTACCAGCAAGGAGCTCAGCCTTCCCCTGAGCTGGGAAGCCTGTCCCTCTGTTCCACAGAGCAGGATTCTCAATCAAAATCCTCAGAGGGAGCTTGTTAAAAATGCAGATTCCCTGTTAACAGGCTTTAAACTCTGCAATTATGTTGCAGCCGTCCCAAGTACATGGCTCTGTTTTAAAAAGCCAGGTTCTCTGATCCCACTCCCAGAAATGTTGATTCAATGTGGAATACAGGGTCAGGAATTTATATTTTTAATAAGCTCTTCCAGAGGTTCTGTGGCAGTGGGTCTAGCAAACTCTAGGTGGACTCACCCACGCTTCTTGGAAGTTCCCTCCTCCACGTGCTGCCTTCTCTCAGGTCAGGCTCTGGCCTCGTAGTGGAAGTCTTTTGAGAATCACTTGTACCATTTACCATTTCAATTGCCATTGGCACAGCCAGGCATTTCCTATGTGTAATAGCCTGGATGGGAAGCAGGCTGGCTGGAAAGACTAATGATGCCAGTGAATAATCCCCAGGGTAATTCTTGCCTCCAAGGTTAGCTGCGGGAAAAGAAAGGAGTTAGGGCTTTTTCAGTGAGTGATGGGACTGGTGTTTCCTGCATGGACATTTCTGGAGGATTAATGTTCAGCCCAGCCAGTTGTCTTGGTTTGTGAGCAGAAGAAAGAGAGATAGAGGGCCTTGTAGCCTGGGTGGGGCCCAGCCGGAGGGCCTGTTCTGTCTCTCACACTGTAGTTAGGGTTGGTGGATGCGCAGCCTCTCTTACTTCTGACCCACGCAGGCAGAATTCTGCAGGGCTCAATTGCATATCCTGAAGGAATCCAGAAGGTTGCCCTGGCTCTCCTGCCTTTCTGGGATCTCCTTCCTTTTCCTTACCTTCCAGTGGTAGCTGGCATGGGTGGGCATTGGGCCTGCCCTGGGCCTCTAGGGAGGTTGGCAAGCTCCACAGAAATAGTCCACAGCCTGTTGTCTTGTCATGAGTCTTAGTCTTAAGTTTGGGTCTGGAAATACAGTTGCAGTGATTATGAAGCATCCATGGAACTTGCCAGATAACAGCTTTCTTCTCTGTGGCTGCCTTTCTGAGAGAAGGGACTCTAAAGCAGCACAGGGGGTTGTCTGCAAGTGGTCAGGTGCCATTGAAGGCAGGAGAAACTGAATTATTGGAAAGAGGGATTGGGGTTAGGGATGGAAACCAAAGGCAGGTGGATCAAGTGTGTTCATAGCTGAGAGAAACCAGCTGGACTCTTGGCATGATCTCTTACCTTTTTTTTTCTTAATCTCTTTTTAAAATGTATTTTAAATCATCAAGTAATACATGAATTCATTATTGCTGGGGGAAAGAAGTCAAACAAAATAGAAGAATATGGAATGGGCTGAGTGTGGTGGCTCATGCATGTGATCCCAGCTCTTTGAGAGACCAAGGTAGAAGGATTACTTGAGGCTAGGAGTTCAAGAACAGCCTGGGCAACATAGCAAAAGCCCATCTCTACCAAAAAATAAAAAATAAAAAGACTATGCAATGAAAAGAAAAGATCTGCCTGAGCCCCCATCATTTTCTACTCCTCTGCAGACGTGGCCTTTGGGATCAGTTTGGTATGTGTCTTTGCAGACTTTCTTCTGTGCATTTATAGACAGCTATAGACACAGGTACATAAAGAGGGTTTTTTGTTTGTTTGTTTATGTAGGTAAATGGCATTCTCCTTTAAGTAGCATTCTTTGGCTTGCTGTTTTTCACTTAATGATTTTGTCTTGAGATAATTTTTTAATACCTCTGTAACATCCAGTGGTTTGGACTAGGTACAGCCCTGCTGATGGGCATTGAGGTTGCCCTTGGTTATTTTGGCACTTTATTTATATATTTATTTTTTGAGATAGAGTCTCACTCTGTCACCCAGGATAGAGCGCAATGGCGTGATCTTGGCTCACTGCAACCTCCACCTCCTGGGTTCAAGCAATTCTCTCACCTCAGCCTCCTGAGTAGCCAGGATTATAGGCGTGCACTACCATGCCCGCCTAATTTTTGTATTTTTGGTAGAGAGTAGAGACAGGGTTTCACCACATTAGCTAGGCTGGTCTTGAACTCCTGACCTCAAGTGATTTGCCCGCCTCGACCTCCCAAAGTGCTGCGATTACAGGTGTGAGCCACTGCGCCCAGCCTATTTTGTCACTTTAAATGTAAGAGCCTTGCAGCCGGGCCTGGTGGCTCATGCCTGTAATCCCAGCACTTTGGGAGGCTGAGATGGGAGGATCACTTGAGGTCAGGAGTTTGAGACCAGGCTGGTCAATAGCAATAAATAATAAAAATAATAATTAGTAAATAAAAAAGTAATAATAAATAGTAAATAAATAAAATGGAAGAGCCTTGCATATCCCTCCACATATTCTTGTACACACATGCTGGAGTTTTATAGAGTAGATTCCACGTGGTGGGATTTGCTGGGTCAGGGGGCATATGCATTTTACGCCTTTGGCAGGTATTTCCAAGCTGCCCTTCAGGCAGGCCACACCAACCTACAGGCCTCCCAGCAGGGGGTCCAAGTACTTCCTGGGGCTGCTGGCTTTCGACTTTGTTGCTGCTGCTGCCAGGTCACTAACAGGGTGCATCAGATGGGGCCACTTGCTCACTGAGGCAGTCACTCGAGGCATGTCCTTGTCCCAGAGCGCTGACTGAGGTAAGAGAGCCCCTCTTCATGAAAGTTATGCCACCCTTGCCTTTGGACCTGTTGGGAGCCTCAGAGTGCAAAATGAGACATTTCAAGTTTTACTAAGAGTGAAGTGTCACCTCCTCATAGAGACCTTTCATGAGGTCCCCTTGTCCCACTGTCTTTTTCTCAGCCTTGCATGTCCTGCGCAGCCCAAACCCAGCCCCTGCTTCTGTGTCTTCCATCGAGACGTACGGGATTTGGGGACATGTTCTCAGTTCCATATCCTGCTGTGAGCTAGGAAGGTGCCTGGTATTCACCTGCCTCATTTTCTCCTCCTTGGGCAAGACAAAGCAGAGCTCTCTTAGGAACCAGATGAGTACAGATTTCAAGGAAGTATCTAGAACCTTGATATCATTGCTGAAATCAAGAGCTGAATATAGAGAACATCTTGGCTTATAGATTTTTTTTTAAATCCTGCTCTGTTTGAGTTGTTCAGTGCCATACCCTATTACAGAACAAATTATGTGTGGATTATTAGTTATACCGGCAGGTAAACCAGTGACTAAGGCCCCATCCTTTACCCTGGGAGCTATTATTTTTCTGCCTGTGGCATGGTTCATTTGCTAATTATGGTTGTTCCTCAGAGTCAGTAACAGGAAATGACAACAGTAAACCATCCATGGTGGGGGGTGCGCCTGAGTGTGAGAGAACGAAGGAGGGATTGAGACCAGTGGATTTCTTGAGGGCCTCCCCCACTTCCTCAAGTGATTTAACTTCTCTAGGTTGCAGTTTCCTTATCTCAAAAACCGGGATGATGACCCACAGCTTCCAGGGTGTTGAGAGGATTGGACATAACTTGTGGGTCCTGTTGCCATTACTCATGTGTGTTGACATGGGAAACAGCAAGAGCAACATGCTCTTCAAATACCCAGAGCAGATTCCTGGAGAGACAGTCCATGAACCAAAGGAAGCAGTTTTTTTTTAACCCTTTTATTTTGTGAGTCAGTGACCAGCAGGTGGAAAATATTAATCAAGGATTACATATAAACAAAAAGGAACTTGTTTAAATTTAGCTTTTTTAAAAGAGTAGGGCAAAGTGTCACACTCACCTTCATTCTGTTTAAAAACAGAGAACATAAGAAAATCTTCTCCTAAAATTAAAATTAATAGTGGCTTATGCGGCCGGGCGCGGTGGCTCACACCTGTAATTCCAGCACTTTGGGATCATGAGGTCAGGAGATCAAGACCATCCTGGCTAACACGGTGAAACCCCGTCTCTACTAAAAATACAAAAATTATCTGGATGTGGTGGCACGCGCCTGTAGTCCCAGCTATTCGGGAGGCTGAGGTAGAAGAATTGCTCGAACCCTGAAGGTGGAGGCTGCAGTGAGCCAAGATCGTGCCACTGCACTCCAGCCTGGGCGACAGAGCGAGACTGTGTCTCAAAAAAAAATAAAAATAAATAACAGTGGCTCATGTTTCAGGAGAGCTTACTAGGGGCTGGCCCCACGTGATCCCTATAATCTTCTGATCACGTGCTCAGATGGCCTTCCGAACCATTCTGTGTGCATTTACATAAACTCATAGGCTCATGGAGAGAGAGGCTTATTTGTATGTGGGTATGTGTGTTTTATTATTGACATAATGATGAAAGTAGGACTTTTTTCCCTTTTAGTAAAATGTCTGGGTGAACTTTCCTTGCTCATATGTGAGAGAGGAACCTCCTTTTTATTTGAGTCCTGCATATGTGAACTCACCACACTTTATGTAACTACTCTACTGACAGCCCTTTACATTGTTTTCCTTTTTTTCTTTAGTTATAAGGAATTTACTCCTCATAACAGCCCTTTGAAGGAAGTACTATTATTAACTCATGATACAAATGAGGAAACTGAGGCTTGGAAGGGTTAGAGACTTACCCAAACTCACTAAGCTGTGAAGGGGTGTATTTATCCACAGTCTTGTTTGTCACATCCTCTTAGTAGACTGTGGGTTCCATTAGGGCGAGCCCTGGGTCTGTCTTCTTCATGGCTGTATCCCCAGCACCAAGAAGAATATTCAGTGACTACTTATTGATGACAAATTGAATGAGCTGGCATCAGAAACCACATTTTATGACCAATGCTCTAACACATTTCTGTACACCCTGACCTCCCCGTGCCAATCCCTGTTTTGGTCTGATTTGGGCCTCTGGCTAGTCTACTGGATTACTAGGGGGTCAGAGCCAGAGCCCCCTTACCCTTGTATCCCAGTAGCTGGCCTGAGAGCCCCACTCCTGCCCTGTGTCTACATCTAAAGCAGACTTCTCGTCTGCCTGCCCTTCCTTTTTTAAATTTTATTTTAGTAGGCCGGTTGCAGTAGCTCGTGCCTGTAATCCCAACACTTTGGGAGGCTGAGGCGGGCAGATCGCTTGAGCTTAGGAGTTCGAGAACAGCCTGGGCAACATGGCAAAACCCCATCTCTACAAAAAAATACAAAACTAACCGGGTGCAGTGGCAAGCTACCTGTAATCCCAGCTACTCAGGAGGCTGAGGCAGGAGAATCGCTTAAGCCCGGTAGGCGAAGGTTGCAGTGAGCCGAGATCACGCCACTACACTCCATCCTGGGTGACAGGAGTGAAAATGCTATCTCAAAAAAATTTTTTTTAATTTTATTTCATTTTTTTTTCTTTTTGAGACAGGGTCTTGCTCTGTTGCCCAGGCTGGGGTGCAGTGGCACAGTCACAGCTCACTGCAGCCTCAACCTCTTAGGCTCAAGAGGTCCTCCCACCTCAGCCTCCCAAGTAGCTAGAACTACAGGCACACCCCCACACCTGGCTACTTTTTAAATTTTTGGTAGAGACAGGGTCTTGCTATGTTGTTACGAGCTCGAACTCCTGAGCTCAAGCCAAACTCCTGCCTCAGCCTCCCAAAGTGCTGGGATTACAGGTGTCAGCTGCCGCACCTGGCCAACCACCCACCCTTCCAAGCAGGATCTGGATCATCTGGAACCCTACTCCTCAAGCCACTGCCTATTTGCCATGAGGGGCCAGCCCTGACCCCTCCCTGTACTGCAGACCCTCAGATACTGGGCTGGCCTTGCATTGGCCATTCTCCTTTCTGTTTTGAGTGAGGCCTGAAGCCCGAGGTCTGACACCAACCTCCTGCATGCTGCCTGTCCCCTGCCTGGGACTCACTGTTCACTGCAACACAGGTGAAACCACAATCCTGTCTCCCGGAGTTGCCTCTCAGTTGGCCTGGTGTGTCATTCTGGGAAATGGGACCTATGAGGAAATGCTTGGAGACGTGTTGGGTGGGTCATTAGTGGCTGAGTGGTGTGTAGCCCCCATTTGGGGTTGGCTCGAGACCCATTTCAGGTTTCTTCCTGCCGGTTGTGTGTGGCCTGGGCTGTGCAAGATCCCAGGTCTGTGTGTGGGAAGGCTCGTTGCTCCCGATATGCGGTGCCTGTGGCCAACCTGGAGCCCTTGTCCTCATCCTGCTGGATGTGCGTGTTTACTTTGCTTTTCCCAACTAGTGTAATTCTGTCAAGGTCTTAGTTCATTCCTTTGTCCTTCCAGCACTGAGCATCCCAAGCTTGTCCCTCACAGGCCCTTCCCAGCCTATTCTCCTCCCCAACAACCAGAGTGACAGGAAGAGCCCAGGCTACATACAGCAGGACAAAGGCCACAGAAGGCCAGGGCTCTGGAAGCCCAAACTCTATAGCGACTCCAGCCCTGTCTGTCCTGGCTCGCTGGCCTCAGGCACATCCCGTAACTCCTGGGAAGCTAATTTATTTATTTGCAAATGTTAATTAGGTTCCTACTATTCACCAGGCACTCTGCGAGGGGTGAATGAGACAGAGGTGTACTTCCAAGGAGCCCTCGGTCTGTGGAGAGAAAGGAAAAGACATGGGCAGGACAGGGCAGCCTGACGAGCTGGGAGCCCAGAGCTGGGCTGTTAAGGAGGCTTCCTGGGGAAGGTGGCCTCTAAGTGGGGTCCTGAGGGATGGGTAGGATCTAACTGGGTTCTATGATTTTAGGTAGCAAGACCTGGGTGGGGGTGAAGGAGGGAGAGAGAGAGAGAGAGAGAGAGAGAGGAGGAAGGAGGGAGCAAAGGAGGAACACCGTGCTGCTGGGAGCTCAGTGGGACTGGCTGTACCACTTGAGAGGGAATGAGGGCAATTCAGACAGCAGTGGTCAGACCACAGGCCTTCAAGGGCCTCTTATGCAGAGGTCCAGACTGCACCTTTGGCTTTAAGAGCTGAGGATAAATGTGATCAGATCCATGCTCTGAAAACCTCACTGCTGGGAAGAGCAGAGGTAAGAGGTGTGAGCCTGGCATCCAGGGCACCAGGGACGAGGCTAGGGGAGGTTGAAATCTGGGGGAGGTGGTGGTGGCCTCAGTTTCCTCAAACTGGGAAGGTGGTTTTGAGGACTGAATGTGGGAAAAGTGCCATGTAAGTGAAAAGTGCCATGTAAGGGACAGTTACTTGTAGCCTCATCCTCAGTCTCACCTTGTGACCTCTCAGACCCTGACACTGAGGTCCAGAGATTTCACTTGTTACTTTGCATCTTCAGAGCTGGAGGGTGGAGTTTTCTCCTCCACCATTTCCTCCTACATAATGTCCGCTCCGGCCTGTGGGTTGCCAGGTTACGCCAAAGTGCTGTCCAGCTCCACAGTCGGCCGCCAGCCTCCTCTGCCTCCCAGCTTCCTGGATCCCAGGCAGGTGGGCAGAGGCTGCTGCACTTTGCCAACTGTGACGGCCACATGCATTCCCCCCAGCGTGGGCTGACTGTCAAATGTCAGTGTCTGTGTCCCCAACAGCAGCAGGAGGCCTGGGGAACCAGGACATGCCTGGGTGATAGCACCTGCTTCTCTAGGAATCTGCAGCCCTGGTGGTGGACAAGGCTGCTGTCCTGAGCCCAGTAGTTTCAAGACACACTGTATTAACAACCTCTACTGGCTTTTTACAAAAAAAGTCAATCTCTCTCTCTCTCCACTGAGTGACAGAGCTGTGAACTGGGGAGAGCAGACTCCGCAGGGTGTAAAGGTACCTGAGGTGTCAGCACAGGCCTGGCATGTAGCAGGACTCAGTTCATGTGGGTGCAGACCCTAGGGGGTTGTGGAAGAACTCAGGATTGGGCCTCTGACAGGCAGGACTGGCCCCTAACTCTTCACTTCCTACCATGTGACCTTTTGCAGGGCCCATAACCCCTGAGCTTCCCTTCTCTAAGTAGGCATTGTCAGCCCTACCCTGGGGGGTTGGAAAGGGACAATATTGTTTTTTTGTTAAAGGGCCTGGACCAGGGCAGACACTCAGAAGATATTCATTTCCCTGTCTCTCCATCCTGCCCTGCACTAGAGCATGTTCTGAGGGTTTCGTTCTACTTCTGATTCATCCTGTCTGTCCCTGGTCACCCCTTTATCAGCTAGCTGCCCCATGAGCTCTTCATCATGGTCCCAGAGGGAGGCGGCCCTGGAGCCCTCATGGCTGCCATAGAGAGGAATGTGGACCGAGCCGTCCCTGGGGGCAGCGCTGAGAGGGTACAGACCAGCAAACAACTCAGAGAGAGCTGGCCCTGTGCCGGGCCTGGGGCCATAGAACTGGAGCAAATGCAGCCCCATTTGGTTGGGAGGCCAGTGGGCAGTGACTTCACTTCAGGGTCCATGTAACAATGCAGGGTTAGAGAAGACTCCTGGCAGGAGATGAGCCTCTGAGGGATAGGTGGGAGCTGCAGCGCTGCTGGGCAGGGCAGGGGGAGCCAGGGAACTTCTGAGCAGGCAAGCGTGCGTGTATGTGTGTGTATCTGTGTGTGTGTGAGTGCAGTGCGAGCATGTGAGCAGTGAGAGCGTGCGTGTATGTGTGTGCATCTGTGTGTGTGAGCATGTGTGTCTAAGCATTGCAAGCTTGCATGTATGTGTGCACCTGTGTGCGTGTATGTGTACCTGTGAGTGCAATG
This sequence comes from Homo sapiens, assembly GCF_000001405.40. Taxonomy (NCBI): domain Eukaryota; kingdom Metazoa; phylum Chordata; class Mammalia; order Primates; family Hominidae; genus Homo; species Homo sapiens. Next base: position 34,565,938 of record NC_000020.11, on the reverse strand, counting down.
TGAGCGTGTCTGAGCAGTGCGAGCATGTGTGTGTGCAAGCATGTGTGTCTAAGCATTGCAAGCATGCGTGTATGTGTGCACCTGTGTGTGTGCACCTGTGTGTGAGTGCAGTGCGAGCCTGTGTGAGCAGTGCAAGCGTGCATGTATGTGTGTGCACCTGTGTGTGCATGTGTGAGCAGTGTGAGTGTGCGTGTGTGTGCACCTGTGTGTGTGTGTGTGTGTGTGTGTGTCCAGAGAGGTGGCTGCAGGAAGAGAAGAGGGCAAGTCTGAGAAGGGGATTGGCAAGGCAGTATTTCAGCCACATTGGGTGGGATCCAGAGACCTGAGGACACAGAGTGACATGTTCTGGGGTCCTAACTGGCACAAAGACTAGAGGAGCCCGGCCGGGCGCGGTGGCTCATGCCTGTAATACCAGCACTGGGAGGCTGAGGTGGGCGGATCATGAGGTCTGGAGATCGAGACCATCCTGGCTATCATGGTGAAACCCCGTCTCTACTAAAAATACAAAAAAAGAAAAAACTAGCCAGGGGTGGTGGCGCACGCTTGTAGTCCCAGCTTTCTCGGGAGGCTGAGGCGGGAGAATCACTTGAACCGCGGAGGTTGCAGTGAGCTGAGATCACACCATTGCACTCCAGCCTGGGTGACAGAGCGAGACTTCGTCTCAAAAAAAAACTAGAGGAGCCCAGCATTGTTGGTAACAAGCTAGAGCCTATTACTGTCATTTTCCAGATGAGGAAAATGCAGCCCAGGGGACAGGAAGAGACTTAATATCACACAGCCGCTGACTCGCCCATGCAAATTCCACAGCCCCTTGCCCAACTCGCCCCTGTCCAGACTGGGCAAAGGGGCTCTGGGTCTGCAGCTGCTGTGTTGGCTGCACCCTAGGGCCTCTGGGAAATCCCTGCTCTCCTCACGGCCCAAATGGAAAGCCCCAAGGTCAGAAGAGGTTGTCCTGGCTACAGGCTTCCCTCTGAAAGGGCCAGGCCTCTCGGCCAGCCTGGTGTCCTCTCCCTGGGGGCAGGGTGCTCACTCAGGACTGATGACACCCAGGGCTGTGTGCCCAAGCCGCTCACAGGGCTCTTCCCGCCACCCCCTTTATCCTCCAGATTTCCACACACACAGCAGAGTTGACAGCTTTAGCATTGGACACCCATATACATACCCACCAGCGGGAGTCCACCATTCACATCTTCAGGTACTTCTTCCATCATCCCTCAGTCCATCTTACTTTTTTAGTGTATTTCAAATTGAAATGCAGACATCAGTACATTTCCTGCTAAATATTTCAGCATGTGTATCATTTTCTTATGTAAAATTTATTATACAGGGAAAAGTGCAAATCTTTTGTGTACATTTGCCAAAGCTCTCTTTCACTCAGCAAAATATTTTGAGTTTGTTACATACAACAATAGGTCATTGCTGTTAATTTTTTTCCTGTTTCAAGAGCTGGAGTTTTGCTCTGTTGCCCAGGTCGACCTCCTGGGCTTAAGGGATCCCCTTGCCTCGGCTTCCCGAGTAGCTGGAATTACAGGCACAAGCCACCATTCCCAGCTAGTTCATTTATTTTTTAAATAAACTTTTTATTTTAGAATCACTTTAGATTTATAGAAAAGTTGCAGAGATAGAACAGAGTTCCTGTAAGCCCCCACCTAGTTGCCTAAGTTGTTAACATCTTATATTTTACCGTGATGTGTTTGTCAAAACTAAGACACTCACCCTGATACGTTACTATTAGTCTGAAACACTAGAATGGATTTGGATTTCCTGTTGTTCCAGTCACAGCCTCTTTCTCTACCAGGACCCCATCGAGAGGTCCACATTACATGTAAGGTCACATCTCCCCAGTGTCTTCTGCTTTTCTTCTTAGTCTTTTCTGACTTCTCATGACCTTGACAGTTGAGGAGCGCTGGCCAGGTATCTTGTAGAATGTCACCCAATTTAGGTTTGTCCCCCAGTTTAGGTTTGTCTGATGCTTTTCTTAGGACTATCCTGGGGTTGTGGGTTTTTAGAAAGAATACCCCAGGCAAAGTGCCCTTCTCATCACATCTATTGGGGTTACATGCTAGCCACGTGATTTCAAGCTGATGTTAACCTCCACCACGTGGTTAAGATAGTGTTGGCCAGGTCTCTCCACTGTAAAGTTACTCTTTTCCCTTTCCCTGCTCCTCAGGAGGAAGTGAGTAACCAAGTCTAGACCCCCCTAGGCTTAGGAGATGCAGAGTGGACAAGAATTAAGCTCCTTCTATGGGAGGGGGATATAACTACCTACATTGTTTGGAATTCTTCTGGAAGGAAGATTTATCTCCCCCCCCCCATTGATGTATTGATTCATTGATTTATTGGCTGATTTGTTTTAATTGAAGCTTTATTTTTTATTATTACTTTTTGAGACGCAGTTTCGCTCTTGTTGCCTAGGCTGGAGTGCAATGGCGCATCTCCGCCTCCCAGGTTCAAACCATTCTCCTGCCTTCAGCCTCCCAAGTAGCTGGGATTACAGGCATGCGCCACCATGCCCGGCTAATTTTGTATTTTTAGTAGAGACGGGGTTTCTCCATGTTGGTCAGGCTGGTCTCGAACTCCCAACCTCAGGTGATCCGCCTGCTTCGGCCTCCCAAAGTGCTGGGATTACAGGCATGAGCCACCGCACCTCGCCGAAGTTTTATTTTTATCAATGGAATACATGTATGTAGTTTGCAAAGTTAAGGCTTATAGGGGAAAAGAATAGCTACCTAAAGTCTTACTGTTATTTCTGTTGGTACTTCTAAATAACATGCTTACTTTTCCATGTGTACGTTTTTCCGTTTTATATTAGGTTGGATCATATGAAATTGCCAGTATTCAACCATTTTTTTATCTGCAAAACTGGCAATTTCATATGGTCCAACCTAATAACCTAATCTTTTTCTTCCTGCTTCTTGTCCAGATGATTATTGTGTGACATGGAGTTGCTTCGTTTTGATTGTTGTGGATTGTGACTGCACCTGCCCCTCAGCTGACCTGGTTCAGGGATCAGCCTCTGAGCTCAGCCCCTGCTTTGGGCTCCTCCTGCCCAGATGGCATCTCGGGCCTGGGTGAGAAAGGGCTGCAGGGTATGAGGTCAGCCTTTGCTGTGATCACTGCCCCCCAGTGGGCCAGCCTGGAGCTGCCAGCTGGGCAGCTGGGGGCAGGGCCTCGGGGGCTGCCTGAGCTCTGTCTGCTTTGCTGACGCTGTGACCAATCTCGTGCTCATCAGTGATCTGGGCCCCAGGCAGACCACCTTTCTGGGTCCATGGCCATTAGTCCAGTGCTCCAGGTGTAGCCTTAGGCCAACCATTGAACCCTTTGAGTCTCAGTTTCCCCATCTGTTTAAGATGAGGATTGTTCAACCTTCCAGATGGGCTTCTGTGGTGATAGAATGGCAGGTACTTGTCCTGAGGCCATCAGAGCTGCTGGTGACAGGACACCTTCCTGAACTCCTCCAGGCGCCTCTGATCTCTCCTTAGCTGCTGTTGTGTTACCTTCAGGTCAGTGAGAAGCTGCCCAGGACAGGGTCTGGAGGTCTAGATCCCAGGCTTAGCTCAACCTGTCTTGCCCCAAGACCATAGCCAAGTGCTCTGTGCCTCAGTCTCCCCATCTGTGCCAGGTGGTTGGTGCCAATCCTCTGAGGCCTCCAGGTGCCTGAGAGCTGCGGTGTCTGTAGTGTGAGCCCCTGTCCCCTCATCCTTCTCTGAGGCTGGGCCCTGCCCAACCTGCTCCAGGGACCAGTGGTCTTGGGAAGCTTGGGCTGACTGGGATTGCAGACTCCGGGTCTGGTGTATAGGGCCCTTGGCAAATCCCTATTCCTTTCTGGGCCTCCTTGAAGAGACAGTGGGCTGAGCTTCTAGGCTCCCTTTGATTCTTCTGTGTGTGGCCCAGAATGGGACAGACAGACTGAGCTGGGCACAGAAATACCATAGTGACAGAACCATTCGAAGACCCTGCCCTGATGGAGGCCCCGGGCCAGGGGAGGAGGCACAGTCAGGCTGTCAGCTGAATGGAAAATTACACTTTCGATGAGTCTGTTATCGAGTAGAGATTAGTGGGGCCAAGAACTAATCTGGGGGGCAAGTGATCCTTCCTGAGCCCTGAAGAGTAAGCAGCTGTCAACTAGATGAACGGGGAGAGAACATTCCAGGCAGAAGAAACAGTAAAGATCCTGCCGTGGGGTGAGGTGGAGCCGGGAGAGGGCGGACAGGGACCCTAGCAAGGTCTCAGAGCACGAGGGAGTTCGAGCTTTGCCCTAAGGCTTGGGAAGCCTTTGGAGGATTTGAAGGCTGGAAGTAACACCATCAGATGTGGGTTTTGAAAAGCTCCCTCTGGCTGCCAGGGAGAATGGGGTGGGCACGGGTTTGAGAGCAGGGAGCCCAAGGACCAAGCTTTGCTGTTGTTTAGGAGATGAGATGACAGTGGCTCTGTCCAGAGTAGTGACTGTGGGGATGGATCCAAAGGGTGGATTTGAGTTTAGGGGGAATTGACAGGTCATGGTGGCTCGATGTATGAGAGAAGTGTCAGGGCAATTTTGTGGCCTGGGCACCTGGCTGGAAGATGGGGGCATGGATGCTGAGTGGGAGAAGTGTATTTGACAGAGGGAAGGTGAGGAGTTTGATGTGGACCTGGCTGGGATGGAAGTGGCTGTGGGAGGATGGGGCAGAGGCCTCTGGTTGCACAGGCACCAGGCTGGCATTCGAGGCCAGAGCCTGGGATGGAGGTGTAGACCATGGGTGGGGGCAGGGGGAGTCCAGGCAGCTTCTGAGAGGCCAGACCTTGCAGGGTCAATTATGGGCCCTGAGGTGGGGGCCCTGAGGAGGGCCTCTCCAGTGATTGTGATCCAGAGCCAGGCAGGGGCGTTCCTGTCTTCCAACAACACCTGCCAGCAGTTCAGGGATCCTGGGTTTAGGGGGAGGTACCCAGCAGCGCCTCACACCCTCTCTCTCCCCCCAGATCCTGCTCATCTCTGATTACTTCTATGCCTTCCTGCGGCGGGAGTACTACCTCACACATGGCCTCTACTTGACCGCCAAGGATGGCACAGAGGCCATGCTCGTGCTCAAGTAGGCCTGGCTGGCACAGGGCTGCATGGACCTCAGGGGGCTGTGGGGCCAGAAGCTGGGCCAAGCCCTCCAGCCAGAGTTGCCAGCAGGCGAGTGCTTGGGCAGAAGAGGTTCGAGTCCAGGGTCACAAGTCTCTGGTACCAAAAGGGACCCATGGCTGACTGACAGCAAGGCCTATGGGGAAGAACTGGGAGCTCCCCAACTTGGACCCCCACCTTGTGGCTCTGCACACCAAGGAGCCCCCTCCCAGACAGGAAGGAGAAGAGGCAGGTGAGCAGGGCTTGTTAGATTGTGGCTACTTAATAAATGTTTTTTGTTATGAAGTCTACCCTGAGACCACATCTGCATTGCACTCCTAGAGGGGGTGGCCCCTAATAATGTTCTGGAACACTACACACAGGTGTGGGTTTCCAGAGCGAGCACCGCGGCCACAGAACACAAGTCTGTGCGCCAGAGCCCGGGGATGGTGCGGGCAGCCCCACCAGCACCCTCCCCACTCCCAAGCAAGCGGCTGGAGGCACAGGGCCAGGCAGGCCTGAGCAATCTTTATTCTGCAGAGGGACAATGACCACAGATCCATACACCACGTGGAGACCGAGGGGCGGGGAGCCAGGGGCCAGTCTTTCAGGGGTGGGCAGGTCCAGGCGGTGGGCAGAGCCTCGGGTGGGTGAGGGGCAGATGGGCAGACAGGCAGGGGCCTAAAAAAAAGATGAACCACACAGCAGGGGTGCTGGGAGCTGCTCCCCACCCTCCCCCATCCCACCAGCCAGCACCCAGAGGGACAACCCTAACACGACCGGCCCAGGATCCACCCAGGGGCAGAGTAGGTGGGTTGGTGCCCTCTGACTAGGGGGGCACATGCCTGCCCAGCCCACCACGGTAGAGGCAGCTCAGTTCAGGAACCAGGAGCTCTCTGGGCAGGGCCTGACCGGGGCCGCCCGACTCCCAGGCCGAGCCCCCCTACTGCTGGCTCAGAAGCCGAAGGTTTCCTGGGAGGCGTAGACCATATAGAGGAAGCCGTCCTCGTCTTTCTCCTGCTCGTAGATGTCCGCGATGGGCGTGGACACACTCACCATGCTGTGCTGGTTCACCAGCAGGAAGAAGGCCTGCGTGGGGTTCAGCTGCAGGCGGCGCCTGCAGCCGGCGGGAGAGTATGCAGCTGTGAGGGGCTTGGCTGCGGGACGGACATAGCCCTGACCCCCAGAATGATTCCCAGCCTTTCACACCCATTCTCACCCCAGCTGTCACCTCTGACCCAACACCGACTGCAGCCCCGACCTTGACCTTTCCAGCCACCCCAGAACAGGGGCCCACCGCCCGGTCCCATCACCCCTGACCCCACTCCCACCCCTTCTCGGCGGGAACCCGGCTCCCCTCCCGACCCTAGCCACCTCCTGGCGGCGGCTGCCCACGCACCGGATGATCTTGACCAACTCGCTCATGTTGACATGGTCCGGGACCAAAAACTTGGTCTTGTCCAGGACGGGCAGCTGCTTCTCACCCTTGTAGCGCTCGATGATCACCTGGGAGCAGGGCGGGCGGGCAGGGGGTCGTGTCGGGAACGCGCGAGGCGGGGGCGGGGCAGGGCTGGGGGTGCGGGACTCACCGGGATTTTGCTGGGGTGCTGGTCGCGGATCTGCTGTACCTCCTTACAGCGGTCGGCTGCGGACAGCGGCCAGACCGTGAGGCCGGGTCGGGCCGGCCCAGGTCCGCCCCGCCTGTCCCGGAGGGGCGGCCCCCGGCCACGCCCCAGCTCCAGCCCCCACCCCCGGGGCCATCAGGCCCCACAGCCCCTGGCACCTATCGCGGTGGGGAAGCGGGCAGCCCCCGCCCAGGCCGGAGCTGGTCCCAGCCCGAGGGTCCAGCCAGAGCCTGACGTCACGGGGCTGACGTCACCTGCGGCAGTCGGGGTCGGCCGGCACCCCTGCCCCAGAGCTCGCAGCTCGCCTGCCGGGCCTCACCGAAGCTCCGCCGCTGCTTGAAAGGCCGGTCTGAGGGCATCGCGCGGGCCCGGCTGGGCGCGCAGGCCGGGGCTCTGGGGCGCGGGGATGTGTCTGCGGTTTGGGGGCTCCGGGGGCTCCGCGCCTCGCGCTCAAGGGCTCCGGGGCTCGCGCTGAGCACGGCGGCTGCGGCTGCGGGAGGTAACTCGCCCGGTGACGTCAGGTCACAACATTCCTTAAAGGGGAGGCCAGTGCGCCGCTCCCATTGGGCCGACGCACAACCCGCCCGCCCGGACCCGTGACGTCACGGCGCAGAGAGCCTGGGTCCGCGGACCGGGACGCGAGGGGCGGGGCTTCTGGGCGCGTCACAGTCCCGTGACGTCATGGGCAGCGCGGGAGCTTCTCCCGCAGCCCGAACTCAAGGTAAGGCCCGGAGGGCGGTGGGGCCGCCCTAGGCCGATGGAGCGGGCGGGCCAGGCTGCAGCCCCACGGCACCACTTCCCGCCCTCACCGAGTCTGTGTCAGGACTGACGCGGTTCTGGGCGCCGTGGGAAACAGCCGGAGCCAAAGGCCCGGCGCCTTCACGGGGCTTAGGGCGAGAGAAGGGAGAAGGTGCGGGAGGCACAGTCAGACACAGGATAGAACAGGATGCTAGAAATGAACGCCCAGGTTTGAAAAAGAATAATATAATTGAAAAGTAGAGCCATCGAAATTCAGGTCTCAGAGGATGAGGTGAGAAGGCAGAAAAGGACAACAGAAGAGAAATCGTGGACCTGGAGGCTGATCGGAAGCAGCTCACCAGAGAGACAGGTGATGGGGAATAAGGAAAAGGGCACAGATGGCAACGCCAGGAGAACTCGCGGGCCCGAGCAGAGCTCCAGAGGCGAACACTGAAAGACCTGCAGAGACAGTTCCTGAAAAAGAGCTGCCAGAAATGATGCTTAAAATCCAGAGCAGAATGCGCAGACTGAAGATCAACATTTTTTTGGGGGAGGGGGGAGGGGGACGAAGTCTCGTTCTGTCGCCAGGCTGGGGTGCAGTGGTGCGATCTCAGCTCACTGCAACCTCTGCCTCCCGGGTTCAAGCGATTCTCCTGCCTCAGTCAGCCTCCTCAGTAGCTGGGATTACAGGCGCCTGCCACCACCCCCAGCTAATTATTGTATTTTTAGTAGAGATGGAGTTTCACCATGTTGGCCAGGATGGTCTCGATCTCCTGACCTCGTGATCCACTCGCCTCGGCCTCCCAAAGTGCTGGGATTACAGGTGTGAGCCACCACGCCTGGCCGCCGAAATAATTTTTAAAGAATGTAGTTTAGTAACAAGGACATGGAACCCAAAAGGAAGAAATTAGATGGAAAAATGGTGAGCAAATTGGTAAACATGTGAATCTAAACAAGCATTTAATATGCAATATGAATAATAATGATTAATTTGTGGGCCACAGAAACAAGATGCATGAGACACAAGAACATGGAAGACTGAGAGGGCAATTTGAGAGGGGGTTAAAGAGACTGAGCATTGTCTGGCTTTGTAAAGTCAGGTGTGTATTTCAGATATTTAAGAGGATCACCAAAAGAATACAAACGGAACTATAACTGCCAATGCAGAGAAAAGGGTAGTGATGGGTATTAAAACTATAATGGAAGGCAGAAAGGGAGAAAAAGGAAGCAAAGTAAAAGGGATGGTAAATATATAGTACAAAACCAGAGGTAGAAAATGTGGTTTACATTCACCTCTTAAAACACAGATGACCAGATTGGCCAAGAAAAAATAAGATGCAGCTCTATGCTATTTACAAGAGGAAATTTAAAACCTAAGGGCACCAAAAAGTAAAACGATGGGAAAAGGTGTACTAGAGAAAAACTAACCAAAAGATGTACCTATAGAAAACTCAGACAAAATAGGCCTTCAGGCAGAAGACACTGGGGATAAGAGGATCAACATGAAATGATGCGAGGAGGAACTCTGTGAAGAGAGGAAAGTTCTGAACTTCTATGTTCCAGGGTTTTTGTTTTTAAGGCTGAAAATAGGCCAGGCGCAGTGGCTCATGCCAGTAATCCCAGCACTTTGGGAGGCCGAGGTGGGTGGATCACTAGAGGCTGGGAATTCAAGACCAGCCTGGCCAACATGGCAAAACTCTGTCTCTACTAAAAATACAAAGATTAGCTAGCTGGGCGTGGTGGTGCACGCCTGTCATCCCAACTACTCAGGTGGCTGAGGCACAAGAATTGCTTGAACCTGCTAGGCGGAGGTTGCAGTGAGCTGAGATTGCGCCACTGCCCTCCAGCCTGGGCAACAGAGTGAGACTCTGTCTCGAAAAAAAAAAAAAAGAGGCTGAAAATATATTAAGAACACAAGGAGAAATTGCCAGGTCCTCCATCATAGGGAGACATAAGACCTCTTTGAGTAACTAATAAACCAAACAACCAAAAAAAAAAGGACATAGAGGATGTTAATACAGTTACTAATCAAGATCAATGAACCCCAATAGAAAACCTGACAGTTAGTTTTTTAACTTTTAAAATTTAAATTTCAGACCTGTGTGAGACCAACACATTATTTTCAATCACACAAGGAACATTTACAAAAATGACCCAACTACTAGGGTGCACGACAAATCTCAACAGATATCAAATCAGTTTCAACCATATTCTTTGGCCACAGACAAAAGCCGCGTAAGCTCCAGCTGTGTGGAAATTTAAACCTATTCTAAATATGAAGTCATATATAAATAAAAATTATTTAGTTCAAACAAAAAATGAGGATACATATGCTAAGAAAACTTGGTGGCCGGGCGCAGTGGCTCACGCCTGTAATCCCAGCACTTTGGGAGGCCAAGGCAGGCGGATCACGAGGTCAGGAGATCGAGACCATCCTGGCTAACATGGTGAAACCCCGTCTCTACTAAAAATACAAAAAATTAGCTGGGCGTGGTGGCGGGCGCCTGTAGTTCCAGCTACTCGGGAGGCTGAGGCAGGAGAATGGCTCGAACCTGGGAGGCGGAGCTTGCAGTAAATGGAGATCGCGCCACTGCACTCCAGCCTGGGCGACAGAGCGAGACTCCATCAAAAAAAAAAAAAAAAGAAAGAAAACTTGGGAGGGGGGCCATGGCAGGCCAGGTGTGGTGGTTCATACCTGTAATCCCAGCACTTTGGGGGGCCCAGACTGGAGAATTGCTTGAGCCCAAGAGTTCAAGGCTGCAGTGAGCTGTGATTGCAGCTCTGCATTCCAGCCTCGGTGACAAAATAAGATCCATTTCTTTAAAAAAAAAAAAAATCAGATTTATAGCCTTATTACATAGATGTATTACTTAGATAATAAATACAGAAAATCCATGAGCAGAGTTTCAAAGAAATTTAAGAAGGAGTAATAGTGTAATCCTAGCACTTTGGGAGGCCCAGGTTGGAAAATCATTTGAGCCCAGAAGTTTGAGACCAGCCTGGGCCACATAGTGAGACCCCGTCTCTACAAAAATGAGAAAATTAGGCCAGGCACAGTGGCTCACGCCTGTAATCCCAACACTTTGGGAGGCTGAGGTGGGCAGATCACTTGAGGCCAGGAGTTCGAGACCAGCCTGGCCAACATGGCAAAACCCTGTCTCTACTAAAAATACAGAAGTTAGCTGGGTGTGGTGGTGCATTCTGTAATCTCAGCTACTTGGGAGGCTGAGGCACAAGAATTGCTTGAATCCGGGAGGCAGAGGTTTCAGTGAGCCAAGATCATGCCACTGCACTCCAGCCTGCGTGACAAGAGTGAGACTCTGTCTCAAAAAAAAAAAAAAATAAGAAAATTCGCTGGCTTTGGTGGCACACACCTATAGTCCCAACTACTCAGGAAGGATCGTTTGAGTGACAGAGGCCCTTTCTCAGAAAAACAACAAAAAATGCTGAAAACAAACAAAAAACAACAACAACAAAAAATAGGCCAGGTGTGGTGGCCCACACCTGTAATCACAGCACTTGGGGAGGCCAAGGCAGGCAGATCACTTGAGTCCAGGAGTTGTAGACCAGCCTGGGCAATATGGTGAAACCCCATCTCTACAAAAAAAAAAAATACAAAAAATACAAAATACAAAAATTACAAAATACAAAAAAATTAGCTGGGTATGGTGGCACGTGTCTGTAGTCCAGCTACGTGGGAGGCTGAGGCATGAGAATTGCTTGAACCAGGGAGGTGGAGGTTGTAGTGAGCCAAGATTGTGTCACTACACTCCAGCCTGGCGACAGAGCGAGAGACCCCATCTCAAAAAACAAAAACAGGCCGGGCGCGGTGTCTCATGCCTGTAATCCCAGCACTTTGGGCGGCCAAGGCAGGCGGATCATGAGGTTAAGAGATTGAGACCATCCTGGCCAACATGGTGAAACCCCGTCTCTACTAAAAATACAAAAATTAGCTGGGCGTGGTGGTGCATGCCTGTAGTCCCAGCTACTTGGGAGGCTGAGGCAGGAGAATCACTTGAACCTGGGAGGCGGAGGTTGCAGTGAACCGAGATCGCGCCACCGCACTCCAGCCTGGTGACAGAGCGAGAGTTTGTCTAAAAAAAAAAAAAAAAAAAAAAAAAAAAAAAAAAAAAAACCCAACGTATAGTAAACATGTACTTAAAGGTAAAACACTATACTATGTGGTAAAACATGAAATATTCTCTTAAAAGCCAGGAACAAATGGCTAGTAAAGACAATTCAGTATTGTACAGGGGTCCAGAGCACCAAGACAAAAAAAGAGCAAACCTGTCACTCACAGCCAGGAAATCCAAGAGAATCTACACACAGTGAAAGACTGGTAACTACTGAAGGCTGAGGACACCTGATAGGTAATAAGTTTAGAGGAACGTGGAAAGATGGGCTCTTTCCACTGCTGCTGGGAGTGTAACTGACCTCAGCTACACTGGAGAGCAATTTGGCAAAATTGACCCAAACTGAAGATGCCCATGTCTTTCCTACACACCAGGAATTCCACTGTGTGTGCCCAGGAGCCCAGGGAAACAAGGGTAAGAATGTTTATTGTAACATTTTCATAATAGCAAAAAGTTGGGAACCACCTAAATGTCTTATTCAATAGCTTGCTGTGTGTTCCTATAACAGAACCACACCCTGTTTAATGAAAGATGGAGAGGAGTCGGCAAATGTTTCCCTTAAAGGGCCAGACAGTAAATATTTTAGGCTTTGCAGGCCATGTGGTCTCTGGCAGCCACCTGGTTCTGCTGTAGTGGCCTTAGACAGCCTAAATGAGATTGGCTGGATCTGGATAAAACTTTATTTGCCAAAACAAACAGACTTAACTGAGGGCCTTAGTTTGCCGACTTTTGATCCAGAGCTGTGTGTCAAACTGGACAAACCTCACACACACAGTGCCACAGAAGATTAAATGTGACCAGGCCCACTGAGAGCAGCCAAAGAACTGGGTCAGCCTTGGAAAGTGATTACACCTGTCTTTTGTCAGACTCAGCCCTGAACTGAGGCCAACGTGGAGGAGGAGGGCCCCAAGTCCCAAGCTGTGAGCTCTGCCCCTGCCTGACAGTCAGCAGGGCTGACTCGCCCTTCAGTCCCTCCCCTGCCCCATCACCCCTGAATCCAGTGGCCTGACCTCTACTTCATGTGTCTGCTTGAATGTCTGACAGACATCTCAAACTTGACCTGTGCACAACAAACCCATGATCTTCCCCTAAAATGTGCTCCAGTTGGAATCTTTTGTCTCCCCTTTTCAGGCCAAAAACCTTTTTCATTTATTTATTTTTCATTTTTGAGATGCAATTTCGCTCGTCACCTAGGTAGGGAGTGCAACGGCACAATATTGGCGTACCGCAACCTCCGCCACCCACCTTCAAGCGATTCTCCTGCCTCAGCCTCCCGAGTGGCTGGGATTACAGGCACCCGTCACCATGCCCAGCTAATTTTTGTATTTTTGGTAGAGACGGGGTTTCACCATGTTGGCCAGGCTGGTCTCGAACTCCTGGCCTCAGGCGATCCACCTGCCTTGGGCTTCCAAAGTGCTGGGATTATAGGTGTGAGCCATTGTGCCCGGCCTCCTCAGAGTCATTCTTGACTCCTTCCTTTCCTTTACCACCCCCTTCCACCACTCCTGCTCCACACCCAGTCCATCCTCAAATCCTGTCTGTTCCACCTTCAAGATTCTCCAGAATCTGACCATGGCACACCACGGCCGCCACTGCCACCAGGGCCAGAGCCCCGACCACATCTTGCAGAACTGCTGCTATTGTCTCCTTGCTGGTTTTCCTGCCCTGGCCTTGCCTCCTTCAGTCCGCTCTCAGGACAGTGACCACAGCTGTCCTGTCCCCACATACCCCTCTTAGAGTAAGAGCCAAGGGCTGATGGATGGTGGCCCAGGAGGCCGTGGGATCTGCCTCCCCGCTACTCCTCTGGCCTCCTGGCTACTCTAGGAATCCCTGTCAGGCTCATGCCCCAGGGCCTTTGCCTGGAACATCCTTCCCCGGGATCTCTGTGTCCCTCACACCCTCACCTCGAGTTTTGGTTCAAGTGTCTCCTCAGGGAGGCCTTCCAATATGCTGTATAATTTTTCTGGGCATTTCATTATGAAAGCGTTCAAACACACTTGAAATAATGGTAGTGGTCCCTCTTACACCCAGTTACATTCTGCCATTAACAGTTGGCTCTGCCAGGTCCAGAGGCTCACGCCTGTAACCCAAGCACTTTTCAAAGGCCAAGGCAGGTGGATCACCTGAGGTCAGGAATTTGAGACCAGCGTGGCCAACCTGGCGAAACCCCGTCTCTACTAAAAATACAAAAATTAGCTGGGTGTGGCAGTACTCGCCTGTAATCCCAGCCACTGGGGAGGCTGAGGCAGGAGAATCGCTTCAACCTGGAAGGTGGAGATTGCAGTGAGCCGAGATCGCACACTGCACTCTAGCCTGGGTGACAGAGATTTTGAGATTCCATCTCAAAAGCAGTTGGCTTCATCTGCTTTATTACGTCTCTGTCCATTTTCCCTTTTTGTTGAATTTCAGAGTAAGTTGCAGACATCTGTTCACTTTCTCCTCAGTCTTTCACATTCATGTCAGTATTTGGTTTTTTTTCTTTCAGGGTAAAATTCACAAACAATGAAATGCAGAGGTGTCAAGTGTACTCTTTGGTGAGTCTGAGAAGTACACTCACTAATGTGACCCAAACCCCTTTCAAGATAGAGAACATGGCCAGGCGCGGTGGCTCACGCCTGTAATCCCAGCACTTCGGGAGGCCAAGGGCAGATCACCTGAAGTCAAGAGTTCAAGACCAGCCTGGCCAACATGGTGAAACCCCATCTCTACTAAAGATAGAAAAAATTAGCCAGGCGTGATGGCAGGCACCTGTAATCCCAGCTACCTCCTGAATCGGAGAATCACTTGAACCCAGGAGGCAGAGGTTGCAGTGAGCCGAAATCGTGCCACTGCACTCCAGCCTGACTGTGGGCAACACAGCAAGACTCAAAAAAAAAAAAAAAAAAAAAAGGACAGCGTTCCCCTTGGAAGGTTCCTTGGGCCTCACCAGTCTACCTGCACGCCCCATGGAGGCAATCATTATTCTCATTTCTCACCATATTCTGGCCTGGTCTAGAAATTCTTCTAGATGGAATCATACGGCATGTATTCTTGTGCCTCTGGTTTAATTCAACATGAAGTTTTGAGGCTTACCCATGTTGTTGCAGGTATCAGTAGGCTTTTTTTTTTTTTGAGACAGAGTCTGTCACCCAGGCTGAAGTGCAGTGGCAAGATCTTGGCTCACTGCAACCTCCACCTTCTGGGTTCAAGTGATTCTCCTGCCTTGGTCTCCTGAGTAGCTGGGATTACGGGAGCATGCCACCAGGCCTGGCTAATTTTTTTTTTTGTATTTTTAGTAGAGACAGGGTTTCACTATATTGCCCAGGCTGGTCTCAAACTCCTGACCTCCTGATCTACCGGTTTCAGCCTCCTAAAGTGCTGAGATTACAAGCATGAGCCACCGTGCCCAAGTAGGCCATTTCTTTAAACTATCAAGTAGGTTCCCATGGATGGATGTAGCAGTTTTTCCATTGATGGATGCCTGGGCTGTTTCCAGCTTTTGGTGATTGTGAATAAAACTGCTCTGAACGTTTCTGTGACAGTGTTTGTGTGGATATATATATATTTTTAATTATACTTTAAGGGATATGTTCTTTTGTTTCACTTGGACGAATAGGAGATATGCTGGCTTTGGGGGCAGGTGTGTGTTTGAGGAGTGGCCAGGCCTCTCTTCAGTGCTGTTCCATTTTGTGCTCCCATCAGCGATGTGCGGGAGTTCCAGGTGCGCTGCCTCCTTGCCACCGTTTGGTGGTGTTCATTTTCGTTTCGCCATTTTGGCGGGTGTGTAGTGGTATCTCACTGTGGTTTTACATTTAATATTATAAAATTTTATTTCCTTCTCACTAAAGTGCAAGCCCTTGAAGGGCAGTTCTGCATATGCTTGGTTCCTGCTACACCCCAGGACTTAGAGTGTGGCACATGGTGGGTGCTCAGTAATTATTATTTGGATAAGTGACCCCTCCCCCAGGCCCCCACAGTCATCTCTCCATGCCGTTTGCCATCTAGAAGGTCTATCTCCCCCTCTAGACCATGCGCAGGGACAGAGTCTGTGCCAAGCACTGCTGCTGGGTGCTAGGAGGATCAGCAGAGGTTGGGGGAGTCGTTTCTGCTCAGGGGGTCTCAGCCACGGTCAAGCGCACCCTCGACTGCTCTGCTCCCACCCCTCATTCCTGCCGTTCTGTGGCTTCGGACTTGGACCCATGGGCCTGAGAAAAAGTGGAGAACTGGCCTTGGCCGGCCTGGCACACGGGCGGAGCAACCCTGGCCTGCTTGGCCACTGATGACCGCGAGTGTGGACAGACCATAGGCCCTGAGCTCCTTCACACAACGGCAGGCGGGCCAGACAGACCTGGGTCCACAGCTGCTTTTCCACATGGAGAACTGAAGAATCTCATCTTCATCTGCAAAACTGAGACAGTGTCAGAACTACCTCTGAGGTGGAGGGTCAGTCAGCAACTCGGAAGCCATGGAGTCCTGGGGGAAACAGGGCCTGCAATCAGCACGGAGGCAGGAGGCAGGAGGGACTGACTCTGGACGAGATTGAAGACTGGCTGAACCAGAAGTGCTGAAATCACCTCTCCCTAAGACACGCCCACCAGTGCCATGGCAGTTTACCATTGCCATGGCAACACCTGGAAGTTACCACCTCTGGCCATGGCAACACTCAAAAGTTACCGCCCATTTTCTAGCTATTTCTGAATAACCCGCCCCCTGAATTAGGATGTCATTAAAAATGGGAATAAGCACGGATTCAGATCTGTCCCTGGGCTGCTACTCTCAGCACACTGCCCATGGCGGGGCCAGTCACAGCCGTAACGTGCCACCCCATCAATCAAGCTGTTTTCTTCTACCACCGGCTGGTTCTTGAATTCCTTCCTGAGCCAGGCAAAGAACCTGCCCTGCATCAACACCGCTGTGACTTGGCGCCTCGTTTAAGGTGATGAACTCGTAAAAATGGGCCTCATATCGGGAGGACACGTGGGCTGAAGTCTGAGTCAGGGTCATTATCTCCGAGGAAGGATTGGCAGTTCCCGTTTACAGACTCAAAGTGAAGGCTGACCATGGTGGCTCGTGCCTGTAATCCCAGCACTTTGGGAGGCCAAGGTGGTCTGATCACCTGAGGTCAAGAGTTCTAGACCAGCCTGGCCAACACGGCGAAACCCCTTCTCTACTAAAAATACAAAAATTAGCCAGGCATGATGGTGCATGCCTGCAATCCCAGCTACTTGGGAAGCTGAGGCAGAAGAATCACTTGAACCCGGGAGGCGGAGGTTGCAGTGAGCCAAGATTGCACCACTGCCCTCTAGCCTGGGTGATAGAGACTATCAAAACAAAAACAAAACCAAAAAACCACAACCAAAAAAGCAAAGTGGGGCCGGGCATGGTGGCTCACACCTGTAATCCCAGCACTTCGGGAGGCCGAGGTGGGTGGATCACCTGAGGTCAGGAGTTCAAGACCAGCTTGGCCAACATGGTGAAACCCTGTATCTACTAAAAACACAAAAATTAGCTGGGCATGGTGGCGGGCGCCTGTAGTCTCAGCTACTCGGGAGACTGAGGCAGGAGAATTGCTTGAACCCGGGAGGCGGAGGTTTTAGTGAGTCGAGATTGTGCCATTGCACTCCAGCCTGGGAGACAAGAGCAAGACTCCATCTTTAAAAAAAAAAAAAAAAGGCAGCGAAGGGGAACACTCCAAAGATTGTAGGGACTGAGACCCACTCAGGGGTCCTCCGGCCTCGAGCTCACACTGCCCCACCTTGCTCCCCACAGATCCTCTGCTTTCACTGGAAAAGTGGAGGCTGAGAACACCAACCCCACAGCCCATGCAGGGCCTCAGACCTGGCCATTCCCTTCCTCCGGGCCTCACCCGCATATCTGTCCTCCTCTTGAGCCAGGGGCGTGCTCAGGCCTCTCCAGCTCTAACTCCACCTCCCTGAGTGAGAGGGCCGGGGCTGCCACCCTTCTCCCTCCGTGACCTCAAGCCCTTGGAGCGGTCTGGTCACCTGGGGAGGTTGGCTCCCCGCGGCCTTCGCAGCCTCCAGCCACTCATGGGGTCCTGGGTTCTCTCCACACCCACCAGTGCCTCCACTATGAGTGACGTACAATCCCCACCTCCAGTTTGGCTTCCAGCTGTCAGGTCCAGGCTCTGTCTCTGGAACAAAGGCTGCCTCCGAACTCAACACGTCCAAAGGAAGTCATCTCTTTCCCCAAGCCTGTGCCTCTAGCTAATCGCCCCCTCCCTTCTCATCCCATCACCTGGTCCAGGCCCAGGTGGACTCCCCCTCACCTGCCATTGCAGTCCTGAGTCCTCTCAAGCCCATCTGTGTCGTCCCACCTGTCTCCACCGTCACTGCTCCGGGAACCCCCCTCCCTCGTCTGCCCTAGAGGGCACCTCACCAGTGTGCCTCCCCTGCAGAAGCAAGGCCGAGCACACTGACCCCCGCCTATCTGAACAATCAGCCCCTTCCAAAGTTTCATTCTGGCCAGGTGCGGTGGCTCACACCTGCAATCCCAGCGTTTAGGGAGGCCGCAGGAGCTCAAGACCAGCCTGGGAAACTATTTGTCCATTCTCACACTGCTGTGAAGAACTGCCCGAGCCTGAGTAATTTACAAAGAAAAGAGGTTTAACTGAGGCACAGTTCTGCATGGCTGGGGAGGCCTCAGGAAACTCACAATCCTGGAGGAAGGTGACGGGGAAGCAGGCACCTTCTTCGCTAGGCGACAGGAGAGAGAATGAACGCAGGAGGACCTACCAAACCATCAGCTCTTGTGAGAACTATCACGGGAAGAGCATGGGGGAACCGCCCCCATGATTCAATCACCTCCACCTGGGCTCTCCCTTGACACCTGGGGATTATGGGGATTATAATTCAAGATGAGATTTTGGGTGGGGCAGAGCCAGACCATATCAGCAACATAACCAGACCCTGTCTCTATTTAAAAAAAAAAAAAAAAAAAAAAGGTGGGGAGCGGTTGGGGAAGAAAAAAATTTTAATTAAAAAAAAAATTCCACTGCCACCCTCTATCCAGTCACTTCCCTTCCTCACCCAGCACAGACTCCACAGCCATCATAATTACTTCCAAAAGTCCCAACTCCCTCTTTCTTCTGCCGCCTTAACCTGGCCGAGTTCAGCTGTATGGTGACTGCTGCACCCCCGGCTGAAAAAGATGCTGCAAAAGGGCCACCTGCCGAACCCGTCAAACTCCCCGCCCGCGTCCCCAGGGAAGTGTATGTTTTCTCTCCTCTCCTGCGAGGCACCTTCCCTGCTGCCCTCACTCCACAGAGACCTTGCCCTGCCATCTGGGCCGCTCCCTGGCTATGCTGAGTGGAATCACTGTCCCTGTTCCTAAGGCCAGTCCTTCCACTGTGCGCAGGACGCCAGCCCTCCTCACGCCCCATGGACTTGCTCCGAGGCCCCTTACGATCTCTCCGCAGCAAACAAATGTGTTCTGGTGACTCACCCCTCCTCAAAATCCTTTCTCCTTGCACCTGGCTTCCATGCAGTCAGGAGTGGCAGGTGGCTGAACTTCAGTTAATTAGGCCTAAGTAGGAAGTGCCCTATGGGACTCCTGGGAAATTGCCTTAAAGGGAAAAGGTACATCCTTTGCCATCCCCATCCTCCATCAGCTGCCATCTGGAACTTGAACGTGATAACTGGGGCTCCAGAAGCTTTTTTTGTTTTGTTTTGAGACGGAGTTTCGCTCTTGTTGCCCAGGCTGGAGTGCAATGGCACGATCTTGACTCACAGCAACCTCCATCTCCCAGGTTCAAGCGATTCTCCTGCCTCAGCTTCCCGAGTAGTTGGGATTACAGGCATGTGCACCACGCCTGGCTACTTTTGTATTTTTAGTAGACATGGGGTTTCTCCATGTTGGTCAGGCTGATCTCGAACTCCTGACCTCAGGTGATCTGCCCGCCTCGGCCTCCCAAAATGCTGGGATTACAGGCGTGAGCCACCATGCCCAGCCTCCACAACCTTTTTTTTTGGAGACACGGTCTCACTCTGTTGGCCAGGCTGGAGTGCAGTGGCGCAATGCAGCCTTGACCTGCCAGGCTCAAGCAATCCTCTCATCTCAGCCTCCCAAGTAGCTGGGACTACAGGTACTCACCATCGCACCCGGCTGTCTTTTGTATTTTTAGTAGAAATGGGGTTTCACCACGTTACCCAGGCTGGTCTCGAACTCCTGGGCTCAAGAGAATCTCCCGCCTTGGCCTCTCAAAGTGCTGGGATTACAGGCATGAGCCACTGCACCTAACCTTCTTGGCTTTAAATACCAGTAACAGGCTGATAGCTCCATATCCTTATGTCTAGCAAGGCCTGGCAGAGTTGGGTATTCAACAGTCCATCCGACATTCTTTCTAAACACATGGGTATCTCACAGGCTCAGATTAAGCCATTTCCAAATTGCTGGTGCTCTTTCCCCACAAAGGTCCCCAGTCAGCCTCCTCTCAGTAAATGGCAGCACCTGGTTGCCCAAGCAGGCATGGAGGAGTCTCCTTTGATGTCTCATTTCCTTACTTTCCAACCCTCCCCAGCAAGTCCTGGCGTTCTCCCTTCAGAATCCCCCCTTCCGACCCCATGAAACCGCCCTTGCCCAAGCCACCATCAGTTCTCCCCTGGCTGCCTGCGCTCCTGACTCCACTCGGCTCCACATTCTCCCCGGAGCCACCGGGACGCAAACCTGTGTACATTTCTAGAGAGCAGGTTCATGTTTGCAGGGGGCTGTCTTTGGTTGACTCTGGCAGATTCGCCCTGACTTCTAGATAACGCTCCTCATTCTTCAGTTACTTCATTAGAAAAGGGCTGGGAAGCCCCTGGCTTATCATATTATAGCCTGTTGTTAGGTTATTGCAAACTTTTTAAATTTAATTTTTACCCAAATACTTGTAGTATTTAAAAATCAAATATGCCAGGCGTGGTGGCTTGCACCTGTAATCCCAGCAGTTTGGGAGGCTGAGGTGGGAGAATTGCTTGAGCCCAGGAGTTGGATCCCAGCTTTAGCAACATGGTGAAACCCTGTCTCTACTAAAAATACAGAAAAATTACCCAGGTGTGGTGGCGCACACCTGCAATCCCAGCTCCTTGGGAGGCTGAGGCAGAATTGCTTGAACCTGGGAGGCAGAGGTTGCAGTGAGCTGAGATCAGGCCACTCACTGCACTCCAGCCTGGGTGAAAAGAGGGAGATTGTGTACCCCCCCTGCCCCCCACAAAAAATCATGAAATTCCCTATTTCACCTAGCCTTTTTTAGGGAAAACAGCTAACGTATTTCTTGTGAACTAGGGAGTTGAAGTTGAATTACCTTCATCTTAGTTTCTGCTGAGACCCCCCAAGGCATATTCTCTGGGCCGATTGCCACGTAGAGGAGCAGGACCAGCAGCAGCCTGGACTGTGACACCAGGTGGTCCCAAGCGAGCTCACACTTCTGCTGGGAATGTGGTCTATAAAGGAGCTGGAAGTTCGAGGAAGATTTTTAGAGGCCACCGAGAGGCTATGAATCTTATCGTAACCCATGGAGGAAGGCGGTGGGGTTTCTGCTTCACCACGACTCAACAGAAGAGAGTGTGTAGAGGGGAGACCCCGACAGCCAGGAGCCAAAGATAGGGCCGGCCAGAAGGAGCGCACCCTTCAAAGTGAGGGAGCTACCAACAGAAGAGGGCAGGGGGCATGCGTGTCAAAGCGCATGAAAATGCACCACGGCCGAAGCCAGTTCACAGCAGTATCGGCGAACGATGAATTTCTGCTCCCCACCTCATGCCCCTCTCAGCAACTTGGGAAAGAGAGCTGACAGCACCAAGTGGGCAAATAAAATAAGGCCGAGGCCAAACATAAGCTGCTCTCCCCCTGCAGAGAGCGAGGTTCCCCGCGGGCCCACAGTGGAAGGGGCGGCCTCTCTCCAAACGCGGCTGGAAGGAGTAGTTCCTGTGTTGGGCGGGGACTTCATCTGCCCAGGGCAGGGCTTGCTCTACATCTCACCTAGGGACAGCGGGAGAACAAGCCCTAGAGAGTAAATTTAGACAGTGAGAGACCAAAATAAAGGTGCTTTTGATTGGATTGAGCTTGTTCACCATAGCAGTAGGACTAGTATTTTGAACATGTTCTGCAATTGTGTTATTTGCCTTCTCAATACATAACTGATCAGCTGAAGTTCACTGACAGTGGGGTATGCTTACTAATTTGATGGATTCAGTGACTTTGATTTCTACCTGCTGTGATGACGGAATCTGAGACCTCCATTTCTCATTTTTTCTTTTTCTGGTAATTTGGTAGAGACAGATGGGAATTTGGTATGGAAAGGTGGCTTTCAGGATTCTCAATGAAAAACGTGCCAACATGCAGTGTCTCAGAGCCAAACATACGAAAGAGGAGAAAACCTATAATCCTTTGAGCATTTTTAATTTTTGGAGAAACAGCAATACCAGCTCACAGAGGAGGATCAGAATTCCAGGGAGCCGTGGCCAGGGCTGAGGCGGAGGCATGAGTGCTGACGGGAGATGGCAGCTGCGGCACCTCCCGAGAAGCTGCCACTTCCCTGAAACGCCGGCCCTGCTCACGGAGCCCAGGTGAGAGCTGTACCTTAGAGGGCAGAAATCATACTTGGAGGAAATCAGAACAGGGTGGCCTCTGGGGAGTGGGCTGGGCCGACTGGGAAGCAGCAGCAGCTTTCCTGAAACGGCTGTGAGGTTACACAGGGGTCACATTTGTCACTTTGAAGATCTGTGCATTTTACTCTATGTAAATCTTACCCATCCTCCAAAAGCAGTAAACAAACTAGTTAATGATACACACTTGGCAGTGCTTGGGGTGGGTACTGCCTGCAATATACTTAGAAAGCCATAAAAAATAAGTTAGATGGAAGAATGGAAAGTTATGTGATACAGAAATATAGCAAAATGGGTAACTGTAGAATTGAGATGGAAGATATACAATTATTTCAATTCTCTGTAGGTTTGAAATTTTTCATAAAAAAATACTGGGTGTGGGCACACCTTTGCTATATTGGCAAATGTCCTTCTGAAACTCAGAACCCATGCTTTTCCCTCTAGGCCTAGGACAGCTGTCAGTTTCTAACCTTGACAGTATACACGCTACTTTTGAGTACAGAAACACTAGGGTTTTTGTATGTGGAATACCATTATTTAGATTCTTAAAAATCTGAATTTTGGCCAAGCATGGTGGCTCACGCCTGTAATCCCAGCACTTTGGGAGGCCAAGGCAGGCGGATCACCTGAGGCCAGGAGTTTGAGACCAGCCTGGCCAACATGGTGAAACCCCATCTCTACAAAAAAATACAAAAACTAGCTCAGGCATGGTGGTGGGCGCTTATAGTCCCAGCTACTTGGGAGGCTGACGCAGGAGAATCACTTGAACCTGGGAGGTGGCGGTTGCAGTGAGCCAAAATCGCGCCACTGCACTCCAGCCTGAGTGACAGAGAGAGACTCTGTCTCAAAAAAAAAACAAAAAACAAAACTTAATTTTAACCTCTTTTTCCCCCGCTGTAAACCTTCTCTGTGGCCATGAATTTTTACATCTTTTTTGAGACAAGGTCTCACTTTGTCACCCAGGCTGGAGTGCAGTGGTGGACGCATAGCTCGCTGCAGCATCAACCTCAAGCAATCCTCCCACCTCAGCTTCCCCAGCAGCTGGGACTACAGGTGCGTGCCACCACGCCCAGCTAATTTTCATATTTTTGGTGGAGACAAGGTTTTGCCATGTCGCAACAGGCTGTTCTTGAACTCCTGGGCTCAAGCAATCCTGCCCTGACCTCCCAAAGTGCTGGGATTACAGGCAGGAGCCACCGCACCCAGCCAGATTTTTACATCTTGAGTCCAAGGAATTATGCTTGCCTTGCTGCATTACAAACTCCTGATGTACATGGTGGGCTCCTGATGTACAAAATCCTGGTGCTCAAGGGACTGGGAAGTGGAGCATCTTTATTTTCATAAGAAACTTTCCCCAAGACTTTGATGGAATGCTTTTAGGATGGGGAACTTTAAGGCAAACAAGAGGCAGTACTAGGGGGACTAAGGGAAGGTGGAAGGGACAGGCCCTCAGCCCTATTCTGAACCCTTGCTTTGGAGCCAGAACGCCTCCTCCCTCCAGGGACAGACCCCCGATCGCCGTCCTAGAAACCTGACCTCTCCTCCTCCGACCTCCTTCCCCATTATCCTTCTTGGAGAAATTCAAGCAGAAGGACGGAGGAGCCTCAGACTTGGATCCCAGCTTCCGAGAACACAAGGGTGACGCTGCTGGCCACACCCCACGTTCGTCTGCAGCACGGAACTTAGCAGAGAATCACCACGTGGGGTCTGCAGTCACCCACTCTCAGGGGGCGCTTCCTAGGTCCGCAGGGACAGGGGAAACCAGAGTGTTTCTCAGACAACCAACGTTACTTGAAGATTCAGGGAAAACTATTTGAGAGGGTTATTTTTATATTAAGATAATCACGAATATATTATAGAGTGGAAAATGCCTATTATCTTTCATTAAAGTAGCTTTTGAAGAAATTTTGCCACGCCCTTATAAACTACACCCCTCAACTCCAAAGAGTATGTATTTCACTCCTCCGATAGCATTGAGGAAGCCTCACTGGAAAATCTGGGCAATTATGATTGCTAGATGGAAGAACTCACAGACAGTGGTGACTTCTGGGGCAGGGAGGACAAGGACGGGGATTTCCAGGCTCACACTACACGGTGCCGAGTCTTTTTCCTGTGTAACAGGAAACAAAAGATAAAAAGAAAAACCCTAATAAAATTAAATACATGTGGTTTCAGAGGGAAAAAAACAAGAGTGTGGCTGGATGAGGGGTGGGTGGGAGTCTGAGTGCAGGTGAATTCTGGGAAGCACTCGGCGAGAGGACCCCTGCGCTCCAAGTCTGCGGGGCAGATGTTTGCCCAGGACAGGCTCACTTGGGTGAACGGGGGCCCTCCAGGATTTCTGGGGCAGATAGTGTGGGAAGAGCAAGGCTATTTGAGTCTGAGACCTGTGTCCTGGCTGTGAGGGCGTAGGTAAGCCATTCTAAACCCAAGTCCCCATGTCTGAGGTGGCCCTAACACTCTGTCTACAGATGGTACCGTGAGGTGAGAGCTACTGTATGTTACACGCCAGGTGCATTCCGGGTCCTCAGTAAGTACCACTCTCTTCCCCAGTGCAGCATAGTAGAAAAAATCTTTCAACACTGGCAGCAGTGGGAAACAGTAAAAGAAGGACTAGGGCCAAGAGGCCCAGAAACCAGAGCACCAATTATACACCAAGCTACACTAAGTATGGCCACAGGCACAAGAAGCAGCAGGCCTCTCGGACACCATGAACATCATCTCCCACCAGGGCTGGAGGAGGCAACCGGGCCTCCGACGTGTGATTACACAGGAAGAGTGAGGCCTTTTCAACCTAGTGTTTAAAGACACAACAGACGGGTAAGCATTTTGGTTATTTTTAGTTAAAGAAAAACAGCTTTCTCCAAGGGCGACAAAGTGAACTGAAGGTCAGAAGGAAGCTGGGTGCGGGCTTCCTGCAAGCTCTTGCTCCAAAACCTGGAAGTGAGGAGAGGGCGCTCCGGAGCTCTGGGGAAGGTTGGTGCACACAGGGGTTCCGTTGGTGGGGGAGAAGAGCCGCCAGCCCACACACGGTCACTGGATTGGTGTGAGTGGGTTCCAAGCGACTGCCATGTGCTAGTCCACTGACATGATTGACATTAACATTCTTGGGGGGCATTAAATTAAGGAATGACACAGGGAGCCAAGAGAGTGGCTTATTCGGTTGGATTCTGAATCACAATCAGGAAATAGTCTTTATCTGCAAAAGAGAAAAATGAAAAAAAATCACTAAATGTAAAATGAGAGAAAAACACACAAGAAAGCAAATAAACCATTAAATCACTAACCATAAAATGAGGAAGGGGAGAAAGCAACAAAAAGCATCAACGTTCAGCATCTCCAAATGCTGGGAAAACGGAAGATAAACCTTTAAGATTCCTGCAGGGGCTCCTGCAAGAGGGGCCTCCCCATACCGGGCAGCGGGCACTCTACAGTGTGTCGTCTCTTCTAATCCTCCCCACGACAGTGGCAGCAGGTAGGCAGGATTCTCACCCCTGTTTTCCAGGTGGGGGGACTCCAGTTCAAAGAGCTCCAATGAATTGCCTAAGGCCATGGTTGTCAAGCTAGCAGGCATCCCAACCACCTGGAGGGCTCTACGCCCAGAACCATCATTTAGTGGGGCTGGGGCAAAGCCCAAGAGTTTGCATTTCTCTAACAAGTTCCCAGGTGATGCTGATGTTGTAGGCTGTGGGAGGACCACTGGCTTAAGGTTACCCAGCTACTTAGTGTCAAAGATGGAATTCCGACATACTTCACTGGACTTGGGTAATGTCATTTTCTTTTTTCTCTCTCTCTTTTTTTCCCCTCCGCGAGACAGAGCAAGAGCTCTGTCACCCAGGCTGAGTACAGTGGTGCGATCATGACTCGCTGCAGCCTTGACCTCCTGGGCTCAGGTGATCCTCCCGCCTCAGCCTCCCATGTAGCTGGGACTACAGGCACACCCCACCAAACCTGGGTAAATTTTTAAAAAGTTTTTTGTAGAAGGTCAGGCGTGGTGGCTCACGTAGCACTTTGGGAGGCCAAGGTGGGCAGATCACTTGAGGTCAGGAATTCAAGACCAGCCTGGCCAACATGGTGAAACCCCATCTCTACTAAAAATACAAAAATTAGCCAGGCTTGGTGGCAGGTGCCTGTAATCCCAGCTACTTGGGAGGCTGAGGCAGGAGATCTGCCTGAACTTGGGAGGCAGAAGTTGCAGATCGCCTCACTGCACTCCAGCCTGGGTGATAAAGTGAGACTCCATTAAGAAAAAAAAAAAGTTTTGTACAGATGGGGTCTCACTATGTTGCCCAAGCTGGTTGCAAACTCCTGGGCTCGAGTGATCCTCCTGTCTCAGCCTCCCAAAGTGTTGGGATTATAGGTGTGAGCAACCACACCCAGCCAGTTAATGTCAATTTCTGTCACAAACTCAATTTGTTGGCTTTCCAGAACCTTCTGAATAAGAAAATTTCAAAATGGGACAAAGCAGCCTGGATTCCAGCTCCAGGGATCTGGCCCTGTAAGGAGGAATGTCCACCATTAAATCACAGCAAGTCCAAGTCCTTGGAGGTGAGCCTGAGTGCCTCCCGTTTCACTGAAGAGGTAACTGGAGAAGTGGTATTGTTGCATTTAGGGCTTGATGATTTGGAGTAAAAGACACTGATGTTACCGATTGTGCCTATTTTTATCAGTGGCTTGTTAATTATTTGTTTTCATTAGTGATTTTTATATATGCAGATTTACCCACTTAATCAAACTGCAAACATTGATCAAGGCTTCTTTGTGTCCAGGTCTGGGCCACCCACTTCTCACACGGCACCTCAGTGAATCCTCGAGTCACTCTGAGAACACGGAGCCTCAGAGAGTTAAAGGGCTTGCCCAATCCAGGGTAAATCCACAGGTGGAGTGGGGACAGGGACCTGGGTTTGACCCCATACTCTGAACTGCCCTGGTCTGCTGCCCCCTGCTGAGCATGAGCGAAATGGCAGGACCTCAGCCAAGTCACTTTGTGGCTGTTCAGAGCCAAGCCTAAAGCTTGGTTCTTCCCACGAAGATGGGCTGTTGCAACAGGGAAGAAACAGAAATGAAGTGACTAACAGTTTCATGGCTAACCAATCTGCATACATAAAAATCACTAATGAAAACAGAAATAATTAACAAGCCACTGATAAAAATAGGCACAATCGGTAACATCAGTGTCTTTTACTCCAAATCATCAAGCCCTAAATGCAACAATACCACTTCAGGTGCTTTGTGAGAGGTAGTGTGTGTTGAAGGTTGTGTAGGCTGAGTTAGTTACCTCAGCTTTAATACTAGTGAAGTTAATAAGTGAAAACTAGAAGTCTGTTTTTTTTGTTTTGTTTTTTGAGACTGGGTCTCGCTGTTGCCCAGGCTGGAGTGCAGTGGCGTGATCATGGCTCACTGCAGCCTCAACTGCCCAGGCTCAAGCGATCCTCCTGCCTCAGCCTCCCGAGTAGCTGGGAATACTGGTGCCACCATGTCCAGCTAACAAAAGTTTGTGTTAAAATGTCTTGGCCGGGCATGGTGGCTCACGCATATAATCCCAGCACTTTGGGAGGCTGAGGTGGGAGAATCGCTTGAGCCTAGGAGTTTGACACCAGCCTGGGCAACATAGTGAAACCCTGTCTCTACCAAAAAAAAAAAAAAAAAAAAAAATGCTGGGTGTGGCGACACATGCCTGTGGTCCCAGCAGTATACTAGGGAGGCTGAGGCTGCAGAGAGCCATGATCGCACCACTGCACTCCAGCCTGGGCAACAGAGCTAGACCCTGTCTCAAAAAAAAAAAAAAAAAAAAGCCTGTTCACGTGGGCGGTTCTGGGCCAGGGTGGGGTGAATGTGGCACACATGTGGAGAGCCACACTGTCTGGAACACCTGCTGCTGTCTGCAGCCTGGGAAGCAGTACCTCAGCTGGATGGGGTCAGGTCAGGCAGGTGGGAAGGCATGGATCTCCCTCCCGGGCCAGGCTGCTCCAGGCTGCCCACGATGTGTAGGGTGCTAACTACAGTCTCAAACGGGCACTTCCAGCAGCAGCCAGGCCTGCTCTACGCCTGTGGCCACCCCTGGGTCCTGTGTTCTGTAGCCATCCTGAGGCAATTCAGCGCCAGGGCCTCCTAGGCTCTGCGTGGTGGCTCCTGACCACAGGAGTTCTGGCACCAAAACCCAATTATTTTTTCTTGGCCACATAAAAGTGGGTATGTCAAAGTGTCAAATCACTGGTTTTCATCCTAAAACTATGCCCCACAGACATCCCTGACCCCGTCCCCACTGCTGACCCCACTTCTGACCCATATCAGTGGGGTGTCAGCAGTGGAGGGAGGTTTACAGAGTCATTCATTTATTTAATCAATGGATATTTGCTAGATGCTTACTATGTGCTTACAAGCCCCTGCCCTCATAGAACTTACTCTCAAGTGGAGTAGATGGCCTTAAAAATGCAGGTAAGCATTTGGTGACGAGGAAGGACTTGAGTGGCAGCAGTGAGGCTGAGCCAAAGAAGCATGCTCTGTAAGACAAGCTCAGCGCGCCACCGTCCTCCAGCACAGCGCCGCATGTGTGTGGGAGAGAGACAGTGTGACTTGAGAGCACGGGCGCCCCCTGCAGTGCTGCCAAGGTGAGGGACTGGCCACCTCATCCTCCTCCACTGACAAGGTTGTGGGATCTCCAGGCCTGTGAACCCCAAGGAGAACCCCCTACTTGGGAGCTGCCCATTCTGGACTCAAGCACCAACCACAGTCATGGGCTCTGAATGCCTGTGGGTCTTCAGGGCCAAATTGGAGACGCTGCCGCTGCCAAGTTGAGACCTGAATGGCCAGGAGCTTTCAGATGACACTGTCCTTCCAGAGGAGACATTCTCAGGAGCTTTATGCCAAGGGACACTGTCTGTGGAGAATTTGTCTGATTTGGAGACCAAGTAATTTGCTCCCTTCCCCCATACCCTGAACTCCCAGTGGGCCACTGGGGAGCACAAGGTCTGCTGTGCACAGGGTGAGCAGGGGGACTGTTCCCGGCCCAACTTTTTTTTTTTTTTTTTTTTTGAGACAGAGTCTCACTCTGTTTCCCAGGCTGGAGTGCAGTGGCGCGATCTCAGCTCACTGCAAGCTCCGCCTCCTGGGTTCAAGTGATTCTCCTGCCTCAGCGTCCCAAGTACCTGGGATTACAGGTGTGCGCCACCATGCCCAGCTAATTTTTTTATTTTTAGTAGAGACGGGGTTTCACCATGTTGGTCAGGCTGGTCTTGAACTCCTGACCTTGTGATCCGCCTGCCTTGGCCTCCCAAAGTGCTGGGATTACAGGCGTGAGCCACTGCGCTCCATCCCGGCCCGACTTTTGGGGAGTGAAGCTTTGTCCTCTGCAGTCACACAACATGACAACCTGGGAGGAACTGCAGTTTAAATCTGATTCCAAGGCTTTTTCCCCCAACCCAGGTCAACACACTCAACCAGGCAGGGTGGCTCAGGACATCAGCACAGCACAGTCCCCTACTCGACACTTTACAGATGTGGATTTGCAGGTGTTCTGCGACTTGCCCAGGGTCATGCTTGTGGGAAGCAAAGCTGGGAAAACAGATTCTGTGCCTCCTGCAGTCTTTTCTCCCCGATGGATCAGGCATTACACACAGAAGCGTGATTTTGGAATAATAGACTCTGGAGTTATTCTTATGTTCTTCTCTGTGACTGAACTGCTCTGTCCCCACCCCTCTAGGGAGTGTCCCAGGGAGCCTGTGGGCTGCTGTGACTGGCTCTATAGTTCTTTCCTGCCCATCCTTCCAGGCCTGGTGACAGAACCTATGCTGGTCTGCTGCAGGGAGTGGCTGACCTCCCATCAAATTACCTCAGAACTCTGTGGCCAGCCTCCTTGCCCTCTGTGTTGCCAGTCCAGAGCATTCAGTGTCCCCAGACCCCCCACTGCCTTCCTTTATCCAGGTCCTAATCATAATCCTATCACCTCCTGCCCTAAAAACCTCTGCTTGCAAGATCAAGTCCATGCAACTGAGTTAGGTGTTTGTGGCCCCTTCTAAACTGGACCAAAGCCTCACCTCCCACTCCTCCCCACTCACATCCTGATGCCCTAGATAAGCGGCACTGCAGCGGGAGTGCACCATCACGCGCATACGTGACGCACGCACACTCAACTATGTGGCTCAGCCAAGAAAAAGCAGAGTGAGAAAAAAGTAATAATGCAAAGACGGCCCTGGAGGCTCTGCCTGCCACCCCAGTCCATGAGTGAGAGCGAGGGAGCCGGGCAGGAGATGTGGCTCTGTTGCTCGCTCCTGTGCTCCCATCCTTGTGGGCTCCTCCCAGAATGAGCATCTCCTCACCCTGAGAATGATCCTAAGGACTAAACACAGGCCTTGGTTGCACCACAGAGCCCCCAAATGCAAGGCAAGCACCTCGCGTAAAGGAAACAAAGCAATCTGCTCCCGTGCGGCAGGAAAAGCTGGCTGTAAGGGGCCTAAAGACAGGCCTGGCCTTTACAAGTGGGCAGAGAACATGTTTTCAAGGATAAAATGATACAGTACTTTTGCTTTACATTTTGGAGAAGAATCACTGAATATTCTTCCAAACGTGGCTTTCCGCCCCTCCGCCTTGCTCACACTGCTTCCTGGTGCCCTTAAGATTCAGCTCCAGTGTCCCCTCTTCTGGGAAGCTTTTGCAGACAGCCCCAGACAGGCCTGGCCACACCCTCCTCTATGTCCCAAATGCCTTTGAGTTTTCTCCTATCAAGGAAGGGGAGACACACATGATGCTCACGTGTCTGTCTATCTCAGGAGA
The DNA here is from genome assembly GCF_000001405.40 of Homo sapiens. NCBI lineage: Eukaryota > Metazoa > Chordata > Mammalia > Primates > Hominidae > Homo > Homo sapiens. Next base: position 34,535,007 of record NC_000020.11, on the reverse strand, counting down.
CTGGGGTTACCCTCTGGGGCCGGTCCCTGGGAGGATCTGCTATGGGACACCAGCTGGAGGCTGGCTAGGCAGTGAGGCAACAACCCAATTCCTTCAACTCCTCGGGCCCTGCTTGGATCCTCTGGAGACACCACTGTGCCAGGACTCCTGATGAGCCACAGAGAATGTGCCATGAGGTCTGTTCCTACATGGGGAGGTAGAAGACCCCTTACCTGGTGCAACCATAATTTCATTTTTCTTGGAGCGAATTCGAAGGAAGGTGAGATCGTTCTGGGGGTCGATGTCACGCACGGTGCTCCGTGCCTTCAGGATGAAGCTGTGCATGAGGCTGGCATACTGGGTGGTGGTGGGGTTGTCCATGGTGCTCTTGATGGGAATGCCTGAGGGGAGAGCAGACGGAGACTGAGAGGATGTGGAGCCCCTTCTGCCGAGCTCCCACCCACACCCCTAATTGGGGAGAACTGGAATAGCAGTTCTCAGTCAATGCCACCATCCGCAGAGGGCTTGCTATGTGACAGGCATGGTGCTGAGCACCCGAAGCATGCCAGTGCCATGCCCTAGAACTACTCTGTGGGTGGCAACACCATCTCATTCGCCCATGAGGCAACAGGAGCTCTGAGTGATGAGGCGACCTGTCTGTAGTCACACAGTGGGGCCAGGATTCACATGCAGGCCTGCTGGCTCACTCCTGGGTTCCTTTCCCAGGGCTGATTGGTTCCCAGCAGTAAAAGGAGAGACTAGCTCTGATTCATGCAGGGACACAGATTTAAAAAACTAACAAAATCAGGTTTTTATTTTTTTGTCCAAAAAAAGAGAGACTCTCATTCATAGTGCTTAGAATTGAAACCAGGAAGCGCTTTTACAAATTTCTTTTTTTTGAGACGGAGTCTTGCTCTGTTGCCCAGGCTGGAGTGCAGTGGCTCACTGCAACCTCTGCCTCCCGGGTTCAAGTGATTCTCCTGCCTCAGTTTCCCAAGTATCTGGGATTACAGGCGCGTGCCACAGCACCCAGCTAGCTAATTTTTGTATTTTTAGTAGAGACAAGGTTTCACCATGTTTGCCAGGCTGGTCTTGAACTCCTGACCTCAGGTGATCCGCCCACCTCGGCCTCCCAAAGTGCTGGGATTACAGACGTGAGCCATCGCACCCTGCCTTACAAACTTCTTTTATTTATTTTATTTTATTTTTTGAGATGGAGTCTTGCTGTGTCGCCCAGGCTGGAGTGCAATGGTGCAACCTCGGCTCATTGCAACCTCCGCCTCCCAGGTTCAAGTGATTCTCCTGCCTCAGCCTCCTGTGTAGCTGGAACTACAGACGCGCACCACCACACCTGGCTGATTTTTGTATTTTTAGAAGAGACGGGGTTTCACCATACTGGCCAGGCTAGTCTTGAACTCCTGACCTCATGATCCACCCGCCTCGGCCTTCCAAAGTGCTGGGATTACAGGCGTGAGCCACCGCGCCCGGCCACAAACTTCTACACACTAAAAAGTAGAAGAGAAAAAGTCAGCTTGTGCTGGGACATAACCATCATGATTTCCACCCAAGGGAGGCTTGGGTAGCAGCTATAAACACACTGTCCACATGGCCGTGCCAAGTTAAAGCATGTTTCTATGTTTGTACAACAGGCACAGAAACATGGAACATGTTGACCCTTTGTAAACAGCACTGCTATCTCTTTCAAAGAGCCCACTAGGTGAGCGGTCCACAGACCTCCCCAGCCCCTACTGTTGGCTACTTAGGGGCTGGGTTTGTTACCAGTATAATTAACTGGGCAGTGAACATCACCGTATACCAAGCCTTTTGTTTGAGGACTGTTTCCTTGAGATGAACCATTAAGTGGACTTATTCACTGGACGGTGCCTACTGTCACAGAGGTGAGGCATGCGGCTCACACTGAGCCACCGCAGGTCATGATTGGGCCAGCAGGTGCCTGTGAATTGCCTGTGACATATGAGCAGAAGACTCCATCCATGGGACCCCAAGAGCCCGCCAGCTGACAGGCACTTGAGGAATGTGGCACAAGTAGCTCCTCACATAGAAGTGGCCAGCTTTGGGGCCCAGGACCCTGCTCATCCTGCCCACAGCTGCTCAGTCTAGGGATCGGCCAAAGGCAGTTATCAGGCCGACTGGCTGAGTGGTAAAGAAACTGGCTCAATCTTGTCATCCTAGGGCACCAGGAATGTGAGGGTGGGCAGAAGAGGACATGGTGGCAAAAGAAGCAGGTGAGTCGCAGAGGCTTTTTGAGCCAAGTCAAGTCAGGAGAACAGGTTGCAGTCATCACTTGTCTGTAAGAGACAAGATGACCAGATCACCAGGGTTGCTGCTGGCTCCTGGATGGCCACAATGTGCATGGCAGGGCCCCGCAAAGCCTTGCTCTACAGTTGAAGCTTCCTGAGGATGGCAGTAATGAATGCGTCCATTATAATCTAACCACGATGGGGCGGCGATGGGGTAGGAGCCACCACGACTCTTTCTGCCCACCCTCGCATTCCTGGGGGCCTAAGAAAACAAGACTGGGCCAGTTTCTTGCCACCCAGCAAGTCAGTCTGATGAATGCCTTTAGTCGTGTCCTAGGCTGGGCAGCTATGGACCAGATTAATAGGGTCCTGGGCTCCAAATTGACCTAGGCTTACACCCAGCTCTGCCCTTCACAGCTATGCAGCCTTGGGCAAGTGATGAAACCTCCTGAGCTTCCACTGCCTTATCTGTTAAATAATATCTGTGCTTCAAAGTGCTGCTGGGCGGGCTGAATACTGCTTAATTCATTTAAGAATGTTTAGCAAGAGTACACTTAATAAATGTTAATAAACACCACTCACACAGTAAATGCCATTTCCATTCATCTGAAGGGATGTGACTATTGCTTAAACCCGCAAGGGCCTTGCTAAAACACAGCCCACCCACCGAGGGCCAGGACCAGAGCCCAGGTAGAGCCCTGGGTTGGCTGTTCTTGCTACCTGGCCGGGAACCCGCCCCTTAGCTCACCTTTGGGCCCCAATGGTAAGAGGCCCACAGTCCCAAGACTTGGCATGGTTTGGGTGATCAGAACCCCTAACCTTCTCTTTTTACACACCACGAAGCCACCTTCTCACAGATCCCTCTGCCTGGAACTTTCTTTCCTTCCCCTATTCACTCATGATTTCCACTTTGGTCCCTGAGGTCTCCATCTTCGGGTGACACTTCCCATCCCCACTGGCACCATCCCAGCACCACGCAGTTTTTCCAGGTTGACACTGCACCATTACAAAGTGATCATTATTCCATCTCCCACCACAATGTAAGCTCCCCAAGGGCTTGACCAAGTCTGATTTGCTCACTAGTGTCCCTAGAGAGACAGCATTAAGCTTTTATTGCTATTGGTAAGTGAGTGGTCAAAGGGTCTACTTTTACTAGTTTGGAAAGATATTGGCATGAGGAGTCTGATCACATCCATATAAGCGGGAGCTGTGTAAAACAGACAAGAAACTAAACATCTACTGGCTCACTCCAAAAACAAAAGAAAACGTGGAAGTACAGGGCCAAGGACCAAAACCGGGAAGAAATTAAAACAAGGACAAAGGTTAATTCCAGATTCACTGGATGCTGGAGCTGGAGGAGACCTGAGACGGCCTAGTTATTAGGCCACCTGCTCCCTGCCTCTGTCTTCACAAATGAACACTGTGTAGCCTGCAGAAGTAGCTGGTTATCTGGGAGGCACGATTTCTAACTTGGGGCTCTGATCTACTGGGATACACCCCCAGGCCCTTCCACCACACCCAGTCCCTTCAAGTGATAAAAAACATCTAAAAAATTCAACAGATACTTTAATCAAACACCAACTCTGGGCCAACACCATCCTAAGTACTACAGACAGCAGTGAACACAAGAGACCAATCTTTGCCTTCATGGGACTTACACATTTAAGCCTTTTATTCTGCCTGTGTGGGTAGCAGCAGAGGATGGCAGGGGGTCTGGAGAAGTATAAATGGAATGAAACTTCCCTTGCGTTTTCGGTAAAGCTGCTTAAACTCAGACTTTTATTATGAAACACCATTTGAATCTAGCCAAGGCAGAGATGTCAAAAGGCAGTGGCAGATGGCTCGAAAGTATTGGGACTTGGGTATGTCATAGGTTCAGGGGCAGGAGCAGGAGCAACCACTCTGGCTGGGCTGGGGTGATCAGTGAGGGTGTCCTCAAGAAAGAGGCAGCTGAGCTGAATGTTGGGGATGGGTAGGAAAACCCTAGATAAGATCATAGGCATCCCAATACAATTATCCTCAAATAATCATCTTTAATGGAAGCTTCCAGAGGGCTTAAAGGCCCCATGGATCAGTGGGAAGTGTGACCAACTCAGATTCTGTGTTCTGACCACGTTCATTCACAGCTGGGTGACCTTGGGCGGTTCCCCACACCTCTCTCAGCTTTGGGTTTCTCATCTGCAAACTGGGCAAACCCTTGCCTCGCAGGGTCACTGTGTGAGATGTAAACGAGACACTGATGTGGGGGCCCTGAGAATGGGACGCAAGTTAAAGACACACACACACTAACTGAGACATTCATAGGCATTTCATGCCAGGCACTATTCTAAAAGCTTCCCCTAGAGGAAGGCAGAATTATGACCCACATTTTACAAATGAGAAAACTTAACAGAGAAAGTGGCTTATGCCCAAAACCACATAGCTGATAAGTTAAGTAGGGCCCAGATTCAAAGCCAGGTGGGCTCATTCTGCATTCCACGTTCTCAGCTATGGTGCAATCAGCCCCATGAGTATACAAAAAAGCAGCACTCACTAGTATCCAAAAGGTAAGCAGCTAGGGCTTCCCAGTGAAAAGGCTTGGCTTTAGGGGCAGTTTTAAGGCAAGAATGAGGGCCTCTCCTTTGTGAGTTCATGTGGAAGCCTGGGGGTCACAGCTGGGGCTGTTGGCCCCTGGGGTTGTCTCCTTGGAGTCAAAATGTCCAGTCCCAGAAGACAGTTTCTCTCTTAGTGACAAAAGTCTTTCAGGTCTTAGAGCAAGAAGTGCCCAAAAGAGATTCCCTGGACCATCACAGGACTCGAGGCAGTTGAGGGCTGAAGCGGGGAAAGGAGTTGCCTCAGGCCACCCAACTGATCAGGGGCAGCCCTGAGCAGGGGGCCTGCTCCTGTCTCCACAGTGTCCCAAGGGCTCCCAGCCTCCTGTAAATGAAATGACCACATGGTTTAATCAGAACTAGACAGGGCTGGGGAGCACGTTCTGTCTAGCTCTGTGCTTGCCAGGGCTCTGCTGACTTGGAAATCAACATTTTTTTTTTTTTTTTGAGACCGAGTTTCATTCTTGTCGTCCAGGCTGGAGTGCAGTGGTGTGATCTCGGCTCATTGCAACCTCTGCCTCCTTGGTTCAAGCGATTCTCCTGCCTCAGCCTCCCGAATAGCTGGGATTACAGGTGCCCGCCACCACACCAGGCTAATTTTTGTATTTTTAGTAGAGACAAGGTTTCACCATGTTGGCCAGGCTGGTCTCGAACTCCTGACCTCAGGTGATACGCCCGCCTCGGCCTCCCAAAGGGCTGAGATTACAGGCGTGAGCCACCACGCCTGGCTGGAAATCAACATTCTATCCAAGGACACAGCACCTCCACTTTGTTGCCCTTGATGGCTTTCATTCTGCTTAAGTAGGAATTGCTGAGAACTCTGCTTCTCCAAAACAAGGCCTAGACTGAAGACACACATAAGAGGCTCTCTAAGAGCACTGAACAAATTAGAGCCCACTGAATACACTGGGCTAGAGAATTTGGGGGGCCCCGCAACCGGGCATGGCCTGACCTCTTGGGATGTCCAAGTGTGTCTGTAAAGGTGGCCGCAATAATGTCTACCCTACGAGGCAGCCAAGAAACACATAAACAAACCGTGCCTGGCAGCACACCAGACATGTGACAGACACAGGCACTGCTGTACCACTTCCACCCACAGGGCTGCTGGTAAATCCTGGCCTGTGGGAGCAGCCCCTGGGCTGGGCACTGAAGGGCCTACACACTTCATTGTTACTTTTTGTTTTTTTTTTTTTAAAGAGACAAGGTCTTGCTCTGTGCTGGAGTGCAATCAAAGCTTTGAGCAAGAAGCCTTGAAGCAAACTGCAGTCTTGAACTCCCGGGCTCAAGGAATCCTCCTGTCTTAGCATCCTGAGTAGCTAAGACTACAGGCGTGTGCCACCACACCTGCCTAATTTTTCTTTTTTTTGTGTGGAGTTCGGGGTCTCACTACATTGCCCAGGCTGGTCTTGAACCCCTTGGCTCAAGCAATCGTCCTGCCATGGCCTCCCAAAGTGCTGAGAACAGGTGTGAGCAACCATGCACCACGCCCAGCCATTATAACAATTATTAATCTACTGATTATGGCATCTAACATGCTTGCAAAAATTTCAGGTTTTTTCCTTTGGGATTATTTCCTCTCAACACAGTCCTCAAGAATTACCAAATCAAAGGGGCTGATGGCAACACCCACTGTGGTTGGTTCATTTAACGTTCACTGACCTGACTCTGCGGCCTGTGGTGAATGACACGGGAACAGAGGTGAGTCAGGCATGGTCCTGGTCTTCCTTCACTGGTCACGCTGCTCTATCAGCAGCAGTGTCTCAGTGGACTCCTCTCCTCCCAAGTCTCACATAAACTGGTTTATGTTATTTTTGTAAACTCCAGTAGGGTAGTTTTTTTTTTTTTTTTTTTTTTTTTTTTTTTTTGAGACGGAGTCTCGCTCTGTCGCCCAGGCTGGAGTGCAGTGGCGGGATCTCGGCTCACTGCAAGCTCCGCCTCCCGGGTTCACGCCATTCTCCCGCCTCAGCCTCCCAAGTAGCTGGGACTACAGGCGCCCGCCACTACGCCCGGCTAATTTTTTGTATTTTTAGTAGAGACGGGGTTTCACCGTTTTAGCCGGGATGGTCTCGATCTCCTGACCTCGTGATCCGCCCGCCTCGGCCTCCCAAAGTGCTGGGATTACAGGCGTGAGCCACCGCGCCCGGCCGGCTACTCCAGTAGGGTAGTTTTTAAATTGGCCAAACCCCTTTCCAAATTAAAACCAATGTAGAAACATGAACTGATGGTTCTTAGTGTGTGTGCTCTGACTGAAGTGGAGGACAGGAACCCCAGCCTCTACCTCTACTCCCAGGGTAGCACAGGACCCCTGGGTTTAAGGACCACAGCCCTGAAAACATGATCTGAGGCAGTCTCTCCAAGGGAAGGCCTTCGGAAGGAGACAGAACTGCTGTGAATCTTAGGCCTGTGGCTCTCACTGCAGCCTCTTCTGATTAGAATCTATCCCCTAAAGCAGAATTTTCTAAACCTGTCTGATCATAAGAATCTCCTGGGGTGCTTCGTAAACACACAGATTCCTCAGGTCTTGCTTTGGCTCTAATAAATTAGACTTTTTGGTGCAGAGGCCTGGAAAGCTATGTTTAACAGGACCCCCGGGTGATTTCAAAGAATGAATACGTGTGGGAAACACTGTGGCCTAGAGGCATGAAGCATGTGGATGCTCCCAACCCAACAGGGGAACCCAATCAGGTAAATCAGAGTTTGTATGAACAAATGCCTCACAGCTCAAAACAGATGGTGACGATACTGTACTAAATGCTTTACGCTGTTCATTCTTAGTTACTCTTCAACTTATAAGGTAGATATAAGTATTATCCCCATTTACAGGCTTAAGCGACTTGGCCAAGGTCACAAAGCTAGTCAGGAGATGAGGCAGAATTCAAACTCACAACTGCTGGATTCCAGAGTCCCTGTCCTTACTGCTGCCTGGAGCGTGAGGGTCTGGGGGCCATTCTGGTTCTTTACAGCCTGGCGCGGGAGAAAGCACCCAAGCGCACTCAGACGGGCTTGGATTTAAATCTCGACTGTGTGATGGTAGGCCGATCAATTACATTTCTAGACTCAGTTTTCTCCATTGCAAAATGCAGACGACAGGGCTGCACCAGCCAGAATCTTGGCACAGAGCGGGTATGTGATAAATGCTAGCTCCCTTCCTGTCCAGTGCAGTCTGGGAAAGTTAGTATCTGTACACTTCTACCTACACAGATACCACTCAGAAAGGGTTGTTGGGGTGGAGGGGAGCTGCAGGCACAGAGGAGTTAACTAGAGAACTATCCAGCCAATAAAGCAGAATCAACACAAATGGGGATGTAATATCCACTTAATGGATTTACTAAAAAGTAGAAACAACAAAATTGGGCTAATGAACATTGTCGTGGCACTTAATTTGTTTATGTAAACCATGAAGCAATATTTTAAAAAGCTCAAGTGTAAACATATGCCCAAGGGTAACAACTATGATTATGGTCCTCTGGAACTGTGCTGGACGAGGCTGAGTAAGCATGGAAGACTGAAGTGTGATCTGTCAGGGTGGTGGGATTGAGCGGATTTTCCCTTTGTGAGGACACTGGAGGTGGCTGGTCTGAATGCAGTTTACAACTAATTGCTCACAACCAGTTACCGATTTCTTTGTCCCTTCTCCACTCCCGCTGCTTCACCTGACTAGCCTTAATGAAAAAAAAAAAAAAAAAAAAAAGAACACTGGAGGTGTTAAAAATTAAAAAGGCCTAAAATTAGATCAGATTCATGAAGGGCTTAGTGAACAGCAAGTGCTATGCTGTGTTATGGCTGCTTCTGGGCCTGCCTGGGTGCGGGTCATGGCGGGAGGGAGGGCGTACCTTCTGTGTTCACGACGATGATTCCCTGCACTCCCTTCTGGCTCTGCAGTCGCTTCAGTGTCTCCTCCACCTCTGCCTGCCAGAAAACAAGACCAAGGTTAGGAGAGGCCGATAGGCAGGATTAACTTCCTCATACCCCAGGCAGATGAATCATACGTTTGTCTTCCAACAACAAACAAGTAATACTCAGGCACCTGGCACACCCTCAAAGTTCCCCAGGCTGATCTGACGTGCTCCTCCGGCCACCACCAGTGCCCAGAGCATCCGCTCACACCCCCACGCAGGACAGGGCTGCTCCTGGCGCTCTGCCCACCAGGCACTATTATCCCACCCTCCTCAGCTGTTGGGGAGCAGAATATAAACACCATTCCCATGTATATACATGTCCATGACTCACATATTTGGCATAGCTGGGGGATGGGACTCTGTTGATTTAAGAAAACTCAGAGAGTAGTATCTAACAGGAAGACAACACTTTGTCATTTGTGGCCCAAACAGCACATGAGGATAGACTCAGTGACTGCGGCAGGCATCTGAGATAGTGTGATGCACAGCACTCAGCTGTAAGAAGTGTGCCTTGGGAAGGGGCTCATTAATCTTGATTACCCAGAAACTGCTCTGGTGGGCTACTCTTGCATATGGCATCTGTAAGTGGAGGGGCAGTCGCAGTTCGGGTCCTCATTCTGCCATGCCAGGCCTCCTGTCACTCCTGTCCTACCCTTCCCTCCACTCTCCAGCTCCGTGACACACCTCCCTATCTCTACATCTTTTTATCCCACAAGGCCTCTTCTCTGCTGAAATCCAACAAACTCCTCTTGACCATCTAAGACATCATCTCCTCCGCGAAGCCTTTACTGATCCCCCAGTTGATGGAGTCTGCCTACGTGTGACTCCCCAAATCCCTGGGTGTGCCTCTCTGGGACATGCATTAGGTACTATGTCCATTTCTTAGAGACTCTAAAAAGGTCTGTGGAGTAGAAGTGTGATAAACACCGCTTAACTGAACTAGACTTAATTCTTCCTGTGGATGGAAACTAGCCCTGAGGTATACCTGTTCTCAGGCGGCCCCTTCCAGACTGGTCTAGAATCCAGTCAGAAGCCCCTCAAAGGCTGAGAGTTGTTAGAAACAGAGGCTCCATTCACCAAAAGAAATGGGGGGGGGGATCCTCAACACTGGGTGGAGACAGCACAATGAATTCTTGTTTTTCTGGAAGGCACAAGGCTGACAATCCAGTCACTGCCACCCACTCCCCTGTGACAGAATACTCTCGAACACTGGAGGGAAGGGTAAACAAGCTCCTCCTATAAAGTGGCAAATGGGGCCGGTGCGGCGGCTCATGCCTGTAATCCCAGCACTTTGGGAGGCCGAGATGGGCGGATCATGAGGTCAGGAGATAGAAACCATCCTGGCTAACACGGTGAAACTCCGTCTCTCCTGAAAATACAAAAAAAATTAGCCGGGCGTAGTGGCGGGCGCCTGTAGTCCCAGCTACTGGGGAGGCTGAGGCAGAAGAATGGCGTGAACCCGCGGGGTGGAGCTTGCAGTAAGCCGAGATCGCACCACTGCACTCCAGCATGGGCGACTGGGACTCCATTTCCAAAAAAAAAAAACAAAAAAAAAAGTGGAAAATGGACTTATGCCTCTAAGATCTGGAGCCTGGGTACAATGACAGGGCTCTGTGGACGTGAGAGTACAATGCAGTGGGTCATGCGTGTATGAGATCGAATGTCAGTCAACACACTCACTGAGCTCCTACTGTATGCCAACGGCTATTCTGAAAGGGAGGAGTGGGGCACAATAGTGGTCACTGCTGGACAGTACTCACTGGACAGTACTCATTCTACCCTGCTCGCCCTCCTGGAAATTCATCATGGACCAAAGTACAGTGACATTTGCAATAGCAGAATGCAGAAAGAACTAAAAATGCCTAACAATTAGGGAAAAGGCCAAGTAGATTATGGAACATCCACTAATAGGAATACACATATTAACCATGGTGATTAGACCATGTTATACCATCACAAAAGGTGTGTGCTATAATGTTAAGTGAAAACAGCAAAATGCAAAAATAAAGTGCTTTGGTGACTGCAATCACATGAAAACAAAAGGTTACAGGAGATTATGAAAAAAGAGCCACATTAAGGGCAAGGAATTATAGAAAGGTTTTATTTTCTTTTTTTCAAAACACCCTTTTTCATTCTACTGTATTGTTTCTATTTAAAAACATTTTAACCCCCCATCTATGCATCCAAAAGAAGTCTATGATACAGGGGCCACAAGGCTCTGATACACTCAATGTTGTCAGAATAAGATGTAAGAATAACTTGGATGACAATTTAAGACAGCTCAATCTGCAATCAACCCAGAAAGAAAGGGGAAAGAAAGTGAAAACCGAGATGTCAGAATCTAAATCCAAAACAGCCCCCAGAGATTGGAGAATGGGGCTGAAATGAAAAAGATGAAATTTCTTAAGACTGCTATTCATTTAGTAACTACATGGCAACCTTCCATATGCCAGACATTGTTCTAGGCCTGTGATGATGCAGTGAACAAAATATAACAAAAATCCCATGTCACGAAACTGACATTTGTGGGAAAGGACATTAAATAAGCAAAAAGAAGTAAAACATAAATGTCAGCTACAGCAGGGAAACGGGACCTGGAATGCAGGGGTGATGGGAATGTGAAATACATCATCAGAGAAGGCTCACCAAGGCAATAGTGAGTAGACATCTGAAGGAAATGAGGGAGTTAGCCATGCCGGTTTCTGGGGAGTGTTCCAGACAGCACCAAGAGCAAGCACAAAAGCCCTGGGGTGGGCAAGCATCCGGTATGTTCAGGGGGAAAAGCAAAGGGGCCACTGTGGCTGAAGGGCAGGGAGCAGGGGAGGGACAGCAGCTGGGATCCGGGACCAGACCACAGACGGCCTGGCAGATCAAGTGTTGACCTTGGTTTTCACTGGGCGTGATTCATGGAGCCACTGTCAAGTTTTGAGGTAAAGAGTGACAAGACCTGATGCTTCCAAAGGACGGCTCTGGCTGCTGTGGGGAGAAGGGACAGCAGGGGGCGAACACAGCCTGCGGAAGCCTCCTACCCCTGCCCTGCCAGGTGCTGCTCTCGGTCTGAAGGAAACAAGCTTCCCTCCTTCACTCACTGCTTGATGTAACTACCTCCCAACCCTTTGGACTCAGCTCCAGAGCCCGCAGGAGGCTTCTCTGACATCAGCCCCTCTACTGGGCACCGAGGCCCCCAGCCTTCGCAGCACTGACCACAATGCAGTGCAACTGTTTAGGTCACGTTCATCTCCTCCTCCAGACGCAAGGCACCCTGGAATCAGGAAACCAGACCAGACTTTATAGCCCCAGTACCTCGCATAGGATAGGCTCAATAAATACTGAAGGAACAAATAAAAAGCATTTCTGCAACTATGTTTCACGAAATCAACCTTTTTAAGTACAGGAGGGGGACATGGCCTCACAGTCCACAGTGTGAAAAAGAGCTAAGGTTTAGGTGATCTGAAACTCAACGAGAACCAGATACTAAGATCTGGCTGTTTAAAAGTAAACATGGGCTGGGCACAGTGGCTCATGCCTGTAATCCCAGCACTTTGGGGGACCAAAGCAGGTAGACTGCTTGAGCCCAGGAGTTTGAGACCAGCCTGGGCAACATGGTGAAGCTTCGTCTCTACAAAAGATAAAAAAAATTAACCATGCGTGGTGTCGTGTGCCTGCAGTCCCAGCTAGTTGGGAGGCTGAGGTGAAAGGATTGCCTGAGCCCAGGAGGCCGAGGCTGCAGTGAGCCATGATCGCGCCATTGCACTCCAGCCTGGAAAACAGAGTGTAAGACTCATCAAAAAAAAAAAAAAAAAAAAAAGAAAAAGAAAAAAGAAAGAAAGAAAAAAGAAAAGTAAACACACATCTCACACATCTATCAGGAATGGGAGGACACATAGGTATAATTTCCCTACTCAGCGCCTACTATGGGTCATATATTGCTTTCAGACACATGCTCTCTTCTGAAACTCCCATTCATGGGTTAGTATGATCTCCATGTTAGTGATGGGGAAACAGGTTTGGAAAGGAGAAGGGTTTTGCCCAAGAACACACTGCAGGTCAACAGAAGAGCTGAATATACTGGTGACCACAACTGAGGAGGTCCCTGCCCTCAGGGAGCTCACATTCTGGTGAAAGAGACTTAAACAAGTGAGCAAGATTCTTGCAGGATACAGGGACTAGGCTGTGGGGCAAGGGATGCTACTCTGGCTAATGTGGTCAGGAACACCTGAGGAGATGTAATCTTTTTTTTTTTTGAGATAGGGTCTCACTCTGTCACCCAGGCGTGCCATGGTTCGATCATGGCTCACTGCAGCCTTGACCTCCCAGGCTCAAGTGATCCTCCCACTTCAGCCTCCCGAACACGTGGGACTACTGATGTGTACTGCCAAACCCAGCTAATTTTTTGTAGAGATGGGGTTTCGACATGTTGCCCAGGCTGGTCTTGAACTCCTGGGCTCAAGTGATCTACTGCCTTGGCCTCCCAAACTGTTGGGACTACAGGCGTGAGCCACCATTCTCGGCCATAAGTATGTCATCTTTAAGCCAAGAATCAAATGATGAGAAAGAAATGCACTCTGGGCAATGGGATGATGGAGACAAGGTTCCCCAATTCTCTAGTTCCCAGATGCACATTCCTGACACATGGAAAAACAAGCAGCAATAAAGATCCAGGAGGATCCATTGGCTCAGCATAGGAGGGATGACCACTGGAAGCAAATGACTGACAAAGAACTATGACCAATTTGACCACTAAACATAAAACTTCTGTATAAGAATAACTAATCTAACAGGATAGAAAAGTATTTGCATCAAATATAACAGACAAAATAAATAAAAAAAAAACACAAAATGACTAAGAACAATAGCAAGTCTCTAGTAGGTAGTGCACAAAAGAATACTAGTAGAAAATATGCCTACGAGAAATTACAATCACATCAAACCATGGTCATCATCCCTCACAAACAAATGAAAAATTCAGCTGGGCGTGGTGCTCACACCTGTAATCTCAGCACTTTGGGAAACTGAGGTGGGTGAATCACTTGAGGTCAGGAGTTTGAGACCAGCCTGGCCAACATGGGGAAACCCTGTCTCTACTAAAAATACAAAAATTAGCCGTCATGGTGGCATGGGCCTGTAATCCCAGCTACTCAGGAGGCTGAGGCAGGAAAATTGCTTGAACCTGGGAGGCAGAGTTTGTAGTGAGCTGAGATCGTGCCCTCCAGCCTGGGCAACAGAGTGAGATTCCATTTCAAAAAAAAAAGACAGAAATGAAAAATTATAGCAATGCTGAGGTTTATTTTTAAATGCTGGCATTGTTATTACAAAACTGGCAGGTGCAAGGGCAATACAATCTTGACAAAGCTACAGGACAATATATTGCAAGAACCATAAAAGCACTGGTCCTTCCACCTCAGAAATTATTTTCCTAAGAATTTTATCCTGAGGAAATAATCTAATAAGTAAGTTAAAATGAAACAAAACAAGATATTCACAGAAGCATCATCACAGCACTATTTCTACTAATTAAGAAATGGAAGCAGCCAGGTATGGTGGCTCATGCCTGTAATCCTGGCACTTTGGGAGGCTGAGGCAGGCGGATCACCTGAGGTCAGGAGTTTGAGACCAGCCTGGCCAACATGGCGAAACCCTGTTTCTACTAAAAAATACAAAAATTAGCTGGGCGTCATGATGCACACCTGTTAATCCCAGCTACTCAGGAGGCTGAGGCAGGAAAATCACTTGAACCTGGGAGGCAGAGGTTGCAGTGAGCTGAGATTGAGCCACTGAACTCCAGTCTGGGCAACAGAGTGAGACTCCATCTCTAAAACAAACAAACCAAAAAGAAATGGGAGCAACCCAAATGTACACAGGTAAGATATTTGGCCAATTATGGTACAACTATTTCACCGAGTATTATGTAGTCACTAAGTAGTTAATCACAAAGATGATATGACAACAAGGTTAAATGTTTTTGGATATTAAAACAACAAAAAAAGAAAAAAATCCCCCCAAAACTCAGCATGCATTATCTTGGAAAATATGCATATGTGAACAAAAGAGGAAGGAGAACATACAAAGATGAAAATAGTTATGTGGCACAGTGAAACTGGACGAGGAGAATTATATGTGATTATTTTTTAATTTTATTTATTTATTTTGAGACAGAGTCTTGCTCTGTTGCCCAGGCTGGAGTGCACTGGCCTGGTCTCGGATCACTGCAACCCCCGCCTCCCGGGTTCAAGCGATTCTAGTGCCTCAGCCTCCTGAGCAGCTGGAATTACAGATGCACGGCTTCCGGCTACTTTTCGTATTTTTAGTAGAGACAGAGTTTCACCATGTTGCCCAGGCTGGTCTCCAACTCCTGACCTCAAGTGATCTGCCCACCTTGGCCTCCCAAAGTGCTGGGATTATATGCGTCAGCCATTGTGTCCGGCCAATTATAGATGATTTTTATATCATTATTCTAAAGGTCAGTTTCCACCTAAAATGTAAAATATGCAAGCCAAAAGTGCCACTTGTAGAAATCTATCCTACATAACCACTAGCATGAGTGCAAAAAAGACAAGAACAGTTACTGCAGCAGTGTCTGGAATAAAAAAACTATACACCACCTAAATGTACATATGGGACTAGGATACGATACAGACCTTAAAAAGAATGAAGTGGACCTGCATATAATAACACAGAAAAATGTGTGATATTTTTAAGTGAACAGAACAAGTTGCAGAATAAGATATATACATATATATCTTAAAGTCAACTTCTGTTTTCTCTTATTTTTTTCTCACCCAGGGTGGAGTGCAGTGGTGCAGTCACGGCTCACTGTAGCCTTGACCTCCTGGGCTCAGGCGATCTCTCCACTTCAGCCTTAAAGTAAAGTTAACATATACAAATATATATATATTCCAGTTTCATCTAATAAACAGCTTATACATAAATGTGCTTATGCACCAAACACATCTGGAAGGAAACACACCCAACTGCCAACAGAAGTTGCCACGGGGTAGTAAGATGGGGACCACATAAACTTTCTATATTATATCCTCTGGTACTGCTTCAAATTGTTAACATACATGGTGGTTTACGCCCATAATCCCAGCATTTTTGGAGGCGGAGGTGGGCGGATCACCTGAGGTCATGAGTTTGAGACCAGCCTGGTCAACATGGTGAAACCCTGTCTCTACTAAAAATAGAAAAAAAACCCTGTCTCTACCAAAAATAGAAAAATTAGCCAGGCATGGTGGCATGCTCCTGCAGTCCCAGCTACTCCGGAGGCTGAGGCAGGAGAATCACTCGAACCCGGGAGGCAGAGGTTGCAGTGAGCTCAGATCACACCACTGCACTCCAGCCTGGGCGAAAGGGCAAGACTCTGTTTCAAAAGAAAAAAAAAAAAAGTTAAACTAGGCATCTAAATTTGCATTGCTTTTATGAGTATAACCACGGAGTAGCATAATACAGGTTCTAGAAAGCTACAGTTTAAGTAAGAAAAAGGGGGGCCATATAAGTGCTTGTATAGATGCATAAGAAACTAACAGCTGGGTGTGGTGGCTCACGCCTGTAATCCTAACACTTTGGGAGGCCAACGTGGGTGAATCACTTGAGCCCAGGAGTTCAAGACCAGCCTGGGCAACATGGCAAAACCCCAACTCTACAAAAAAAAAATACAAAAAAATTAGCAGGGTGTGGTGGCGTGCACCAGTAGTCCCAGATACTTGGGGAATTAAGGCAGGAGGATCACTTGAGCCCAGGAGGGTCAAGTTTGCAAGAAAAAAAAAAAAAGAAACTAACAATGGTTGTTTCTAAAGGAGGAGAGACTGAGACTGGGGGTTAGGAGAGTGGGAATTTTATTTTTCACTTAGATCCTTTTACATCATTTATTTTTTTACTGTGTGCAAGTATTACCTGTAAACAATCCTAAAATTCGTATGGAACCACAAAAGACTCAGAAAAGCCAAAAGAAGCCTGGACGAAAAGAACAAAGCTTGAGGTATCACACTACCTGATTTCAAAATATACCAGAAAGGTATAGTAACCAAAAGAGCATGGTATTGGTATAAAACACAGACCAATGGAATAGAATAGAGGACCCAGAAATAAATCCACTTATTTACGGCCAACTGATTTTCGACAAAGGCATCGAAAAAACAAAACAAAACAAAAACAACAACAAAAACGAAAAAAAAAACCTACCATAAATCAGCAATACCACTACTGGGTATTTATTCAAAGGAACGGAAATTAGTACATCAAAGGCATCCCTACATCCTCATGTTCATATTGCAGCACTATTCATAATAGCTAAATTATGGAATTAGCGTCCATCAATAGGTAAATGGATAAAGAAAATGTGGGCCAGGCGTGGTGGCTCACGCCTGTAATCCCAGCACTTTGGGAGGCTGAGGCGAGCAGATCACGAGGTCAGGAGATCGAGACCACCGTGTTGAGGCGGACTAACACGGTGAAACCCCGTCTCTACTAAAAATACAAAAAATTAGCTGGGCGTGGTGGTGGGCGCCTGTAGTCCCAGCTACTCGGGAGGCTGAGGCGGGAGAATCACTTGAACCTGGGAGGCGGAGGTGGCAGTGAACTAAGATGGTGCCACTGCACTCCAGCCTGAGCGACAGAGACACACTCCATCTCAAAAAAAAAAAAAAAAAAAGAAATAATGAATGTTTAAGGTGATGGATATTCTATAATAAATATAGCCTGATTTGATCATTACACATCATATGCATGTATCAAAATATTACATGTATATCTACAACATAAATGTGTACAACTATTATATATCAATTTTTTTTACAGCTTAAGAAGTGATGTGAAAAATGAAGTTATACATATTTGAAGCATTATTACATGTTTGTAATGATGTGGAGATATTGTGGTGTAATAATGAAAAACACAGAACCCACAATTGCACATTCAATAGGGGCTAAACTGTATAAACCAAAAACAAGCAAAAAAGACTAGAAGTCATATGACTACTGTAAGTGGTTGCCTCTAGGTGATGACACGGTTTCTTTTTTCAATTTTTTTATTACAAGCTCTAGATTTCTAAATAAGATTTTTGAAAAAGTAATATATTCACATGGCTTAAAATTTGAAACTTTTTCAAATTTTGCCCAAGCTGTGAGGATTACAAACACAAAACCTGTAACGGCGTTGAGAACCCACAGCTGCAGCAAGCAAGGTAGAAAGCAAGCTTTGGGATCCCCAAGAGCAGACCCCGCCCGTTCCTGACTCTGGCACCCAGTCCCAGCGGCTAGAAAGAACCACGCCGACAGAGTGGCGGCCGTCAAGCTTCTAGGGTTCAAATCCATCTCCACTATTTCCTGGGGCAAAGCACTTGGCTTCTCGGGGCGCTGAATAACAGATATGTATAACAAAATGGGACTAAAGATTGTATCTACCTCACAGAGCTGGGAGGAGGCGGAGGAAATACAAGATACATAAAGTGCTTGGCAGAGCCTGCCACAAACTGAGCTCCCGGGAAACGTTGCCAGGGTTGCCATCGCGCACCAAGGCCCCAAAACTCTAGGCTGCAGGGCCGCCGCCCACCCCTCGCCCATCATCTCTTCCTGGCCGAGGCTGGGCTCCCGCTTCCGGTCAAGGGGCAGCGGGATCCGGCGGCCCCGCCTCGGTCAGGCTTTAGAGGCCTCCGCCGCCGGGTTCCACCCTCAAGTCGGCTGGGGCCCGGGCCCGGCCACGCCCAGCCACCACCGATTCCCTGTCCGGAGCTCTGAGATCCCCTCATCCTCGGAAGACTGAAGGCCTGGCGTGGGGTGGTGGGCGGCCGCCAGCCACAAGACCCCGGCGCACGCTCACCATTTCCGACCGATCCGGTAGCCCCGCGTAGCGAACACTTAGCGAGTCCTGTGCCTTTCTGCGCCTGCGCAAAGGTTTCTGTCAAAACGGACAGCTCTAGCTGCCTATCAGGAGCCAGCGTGAGGCGGGGGCGGGCGAGCCGATCTTGGCTCCGCCAGGATTCTTGGAAAATCTGCTTTCCACTGTGGCAAAGCGAAAAGCTAAGGAGCAGTGCGCTAAGCTGTGGAAAATTCCCAACTCCAGCCGTGCAGAAAAGATGCTGGTTCTGGCTGGACGCGGTGGCTTACGCCTGTAATTCCAGCACTTTGGGAGGCCGAGTCGGAAGGATTGCTTGAGCCCAAGAGTTCGAGACCAGCCTGGGCAACATGGAGAGACCCCTTCTCTACTAAAAAATAAACAAAATTAGCCGGGCGTGGTGGCGCGCTCGTGTAGTTCCAGTTACTCCAGAGGCTGAGGTAGGAGGATCGCCTGACCAGGAGTTCGAGGCTGCAGTGAGCCGAGATTGCGCCACTGCACCCCAGCCTGGGCGACAGAGCAAGAGACCCTGACTAAAACAAAACAAAACAAAAACCATGCTGGTTCTCGGTATCGGAAGAGGCTTTCAGTGCTGGTTCTCGGTATCGGAAGAGGCTTTCAGCTCTCAATGGAGGTCTAAGCTGGTTCTGGAGTCCCTGAGTGGAGCGTGGTGGGAGGGTATGAAGGCAAGTGGGACGGTTGCTGAGACCCGCTTTGCGCCCAGACTGAGCCAGAGAGAGGCCCAGGGCCAAAATGCGCTTCGGGATCGGGCAGGCCTGGGGTGGGGCTGGAGTCAGGTACCTCGAGTCTCCGGGTAAGATGCCGTGCAAGCTCGGAGATGAATTGGTTAGGGCTGGCCTGGGAGTCTTTAGAATCCGAGCTCAGCCCCGCCTCGCGTTACCTAGCAGAAGGCACTTCACATCTGTGTGTTCTGTCTTGTTCTCACCTCTGAAAGGGGGACTCTTCCCAGAGCCCTATGTTGTCCTGTTCCGGCAGGCCGCAAACGTTTCTGGGTCCTCTAGGAGTAAATAACTTCTGTTAAAACATGCTGCCGTTTAGTGAACCCTGTGCCACATTACTGTGCTGAACACGCACATAACGTTATCTCCGGTAGCTTCAGGGAAGTATCGGTAACCTCGATACTTTATAAATGCTGTTTCTCCCAGGCACTGTAGCTTGCTGGATTCAACGATGATCTAACTCCAAAGTTTCATTCCACAGTAGCTGCTCTTCAGTGAGGAAGGATTTGGTTCTCCTTCCAGGAGTGTCTGCATGTTAAGAGGATTGACTTTACTGCGAAGAAACCTAGCAGACACCACCGTAACCAGATCAAAGTTAGTATTACTGGCAAGGGGAGATATTGATGCCGTGTGCCCCGATAAAAATGCGTTAAGGGCACATCACCTCCGAGTCATTTTCCACAAAAACTCCCAGCCTTAAACCATGAGAAAATTTCACTAAATCCAGTGTGAGGGATGTTCTACAAGATACCTGTACCCCGCCCCCGCCCCCCAAAATCTCAAAGTCATGAAAGCAAGGAATGAATGCGGAACTGTCACAGATTAGAGGAGTAAGGAGAAAGAAAAATAACATGGGTGGGAAAATTGGTGAAATCTGAGTAAGGGCTGTAGTTTAGTGTTATTTTTACCAGTGTTAATTTATTAGTTTTGGTAATTCTAGCATGGTTATATGGGATCATAACATTGGAGAAAGCTGGGTGAAGACTGTGCAGGAACTCTTAACCATTTTTGCAACAGCTCTGTAAATGTAAAATTATTTCAAAATAAATTTTTAAAAGGACTGGATCCAAAGGAATTTCTATTGAATGCTGGAAACATTAGGAAAGCATTTAGCAAGGGGAAGAAGTGCTGCAGAGACTGGACCCTAAAACATCCTGGAAGATAAGCACTGGAAGAATCACCACTGTCTTGCCCATGGAGAACCAGACTGAGAGGAGTGAAAGGATTTTAACAGATTACAATCCCAGAAGCAAAAAAGAGAATGGCCAATAGTTCATGTGACAGGAGCCAAAATGAGAATGAAGGAGGAGCTGGAATAGGACCAAGAATGTCCCGGAGTGGCAGGCTTAGAGTTTTGGCCCGGCGCAGTGGCTCACACCTGTAATCTCAGCACTTTGGGAGGCCAAGGTGGGCGGATCACGAGGTCAGGAGTTCGAGACCAGTCTGGCCAACATAGTGAAAGCCCCTCTACTAAAAATACACAAAAAATTAGCCGGGGGTGGTGGTGTGCGCCTGTAACCCCAGCTATTCGGGAGGCTGAGGCAGGAGAATCGCGTGAACCCAGGAGGCGGCGGTTGCAGTGAGCCAAGATCGCCCCACTGCACTCCAGCCTGGGCGACAGAACAAGACTCCGTCTCAAAAAAAAGAAAAAAAAGTTTTATTCTGCGGTAATGGAGAAACCACTGTAAAATTTTAGGTAGAGGAGGCATGAGACAGGTCTTCCACAGATAATCCTGAGGTAGTACAGAAGATATACTGGAGCGAGGAGGATGGAAAAATGAAGACAGGATGCTGTTATGGTCAGCCAGATTAGGGAGGAAGCACGTGGGCTGTGGCAATGTTGTCAGCTCTGAGAGAACGGATTTTTAAAAGTTTTGGGGCCAGGCGCGGTGGCTCATGCCTGTAATCCAAACACTTGGGAGGCCAAGGCGGGCGGATCACCTGAGGTCAGGAGTTCGAGACCAGCCTGGCCAACGTGGGGAAACCCCGTCTCTACTAAAAATACAAAAATTAGCCGTGCATTGGTGATGGGCACCTGTAATCCCAGCTACTAGGGAGGCTGAGGCAGAATTACTTGAACCCGGGAGGTGGAGGTTGCAGCGAGCCGAGATTGCGCCACTGCACTCCAGCCTGGGCGACAGAGCGTGACTCCATCTCAAAAAAAAAAAGTTTTGGGGATAGATAGGATTTGGAGACTAATTAAATGGAATGGCAAAATTGGTCACATTCGACTCCCAGTGTTGTGGTAAGTAGCAGTACAACAAAAATGGTAAAGTATGCATGCTTTAGAGTCAAACCATCCTGGATTCCAGCCTGTATTCTTTCTACTTAATAGTTGTGGACATGATTCAATCATTTTGAGCCTCTATTTTCTTGTAAAACAGAGATAATCATTACCAATAACAGGAAGACTAAGTGACACTGCACATAGCATATCTACCAGTGTCCTGCACATAGTGATAAATGTTGACAGTTGTTTTGGTATTAAATGAATATGGGTGTGGTACTGGTTGCTATGATATGGAAGACAAATAGAACAACAGGTCTGAATTAGAAGAAAAATAACAGGAGGGCTGTTTTTAGTGATCTTTCAAGTATGACTACAAATTGTCAAGGTCCTTCCCTGTGGGGTGCTTTGAGGAAATCCTCTTGTCCATAGCCACTCTTTGCTTATTAACAGACCCCTGTGCATAAGTGATCAACAGTGTCCTTCTGGGATTTATGTTTAAGGCCCTCTTTTCCTTGCCAACCAGGAATATTCCCCTGGCTCCTCACTCCAGATATCCTGATCACAAAGGAGTCCTATGAACATGGAAGAATTGACAACTGAAATGGGCTGGGAGAGAGAGCAGCTCCTGTACTGGAGTTACATAATGTGAGACAGACACTTAAAAAGTCCAGAGAACAGCCAGTCAGTCACAGCTGAGTCCCAGTTTGATGATTTGTAGGGTTTGGGATGAGAGCCAATGGCCAGTAAGAACAATTACTTACTGACCATTGACCCTCACTTAGCGGGGCATATTTTTCCCCTTATTCTAAGCCACAATGAAACTAGAGCATTCTAGCAGCTTCCATTGGACAGAATAAACAGGATAGGGTCTACTAACTACTCAGGACCTGGGAGGGGCCTGCAGTTTTTGTCCTCTAGTCCATGTTAGATCAGCCGTATTAAAAAATTCCTCTTCCCTTAGTCTCTCTCCACTGGTTCTGTTTTAAATGAGAGCATAATCACCTGAGCTTCCTAATAAGACAAAGTTCTACTGACGCTGGTAACCAGGTCAGCTTGTTGAGAACAGTCTTGGTAACAGTCTTGACAGCTAGCTAGTTGGTGGTTCTCTACTCAGCACTCATGCCTGTGGTCCCGGTCTTTTAGTTGTCTCAGAAAAGCAATTCATATGGAGGCCTTTATGTTGGTTGATGGCCCCTGCAGATATCTTCATCTTCAACATGGGCACCAAATCCAGTCTCATCTGCAACAGCTCTTTCTAGTTTTTTTCTACCCGTACCGTGGCAGGCCAGATCTCAATAACGCAGGCCTCCATAACAACTGTTTCAGCACTGAGTGGTTAAGTTAAATATTAAAAGCTGAAAGAGTGAGGGCCCTTATGCAAAGGCTAGAATGTAACAAAAGGCCACCAAGGGTTTTGCCCAGGCCTTTTCTGGGCCTTGAAGCATGACAAGATAACAAAGGAACCCATTTAGGATTAAACAAGTTTTATTGGGGGTCTGAAGGAACTTATTGAGGGGGTCTGAAGGCCTCCACAAACAAGTTTACTGGGGGTCTGAAGGAAGTCCCCAAACCTCCAT
Source organism: Homo sapiens (assembly GCF_000001405.40). Lineage (NCBI taxonomy): Eukaryota > Metazoa > Chordata > Mammalia > Primates > Hominidae > Homo > Homo sapiens. The sequence goes on along the minus strand of NC_000020.11, from coordinate 34,511,899 downwards.
GATTTAGCAGGAAACAAGATAAGGGTAATCACCCCAGCACCTGGACCCATTTAGATTAAGTAAATTTACTGAGGCTCCAGAGGAAGGTCTTCAGGGCTCAGATCTTATTTATAGATTTAAAAAAGTGAATCACTTATGTCTTTAGATGAATGTACACTCACATGTAGACATATAGCTTATAATGTAAATAAGCTCTGGAAAACTTTGTAGTTTTGAGTTGGTCTTGGGATCATTTCCAGGCTTTCTCCCCATACCTGGTTACAGAAATAAACTCCCTCCTTTCTCAGTTCATCTGCACCTCATTATTGGGCTGCGAGAATAAGCAGTCCAACCCTTGATTTGGTCTGGGAACAATACCACAATCCAGATGGGCTGTAACTTGCCACTTAAAAAAGCAGAGAGGCAGAAATCTATGTGACCTGGTCACATATAAGTCTCAGAAGGTGGGGCCGGGGAGAGAGGAAAGAGACCCCTCCTTACCCAAGACTGATAGAAAAGCATGCAAATGAAGGACCAAAAAAGTTTAATTATAAACAGTCTTACATCTTGTAGGAAAACGCAAGTGAGGCAACCACTGAAGGAACTTTATAAAAGCATTTGACTCCCTGTAATATTTGTAGCATTACCTGAGTATTAAAAGTAACAGATCAAGAAAACAAAGGTACTCTTAATACAGTAATATACAATCCAGTGCTGCCAATTCCATTTTTAGTTAATGAAAGCAAATTATACAAACAAAGTAAATAACTAAAAGAAAAACAAAAAAAGGAGGGGGGCTGGAGATACCAACAATACTAAATAGAAGTCGTTAACTCTAAAGGAGTTTAGAAAGGTAAGTTACATCCACAACAGGAAAGGATATAAAAATAGAGGAAAAATTTAATTCCGTGAGTCAACCCCGGTAACATTTCGGATTATTAACCAGATAAGTAAAAAGTGGTAGAGTGGGCTTGACTGAAATAGTTCATTTAGGATGAGAACTTTGTGTATAGTTGAGTCAAGTTTCACTAAAATTTCTGATCATTGGTATGTCAATCTCTTGATGAAAAATCAGTACCTGAATATGTCTTTTTGTTTTTTTAAGAGACAGGGTCTTGCTATGTTGCCCAGGCAGGATTTGAACTCCTGGGATCCTCCCACCTCAGCCTCCCGAGTACAATACCTGAATTTTAAATAGAGTTATTGTAAGTCTTATGAAATGAGATTTTGCTGCACTCTGACATAAGATAATAAAAGACAGAGCAGGAATTCATTATTATGAGCTGCTTGATCAGTTTTAAACCACTCCATTTGATGAAACAAGTGAGGTCCTTCCCTCCTGACCAGGCTGTGGAATGCTGTCTTCCCCAACCCCCACCCCCTGCAAAAGAGCAGAACAATAAGGCAATTGCTCATTTTACTTTGTTTTTATTTCAATGTAACATGCAGTAAAAAAAAAAAAAAAAAAAAAAAAAAATTAACAGGATTTATTAGCATTTACAATGCTTACAAAGAAAAAGACTTCTAAAAGCAAGTTAGTTCAGATTTAAGAAAAAGCTCTAAGTAAATACTTACAATAAATCTATTTCCATATGTTCAGTTTGGACCAAAATTTAAGATAGCATTTGGTAGATATTTATGTCTGCGGTCTATTTGCAGTATTTTTATATAACCTCTGATTCTTGGGATATCCAGCCCCCATTTTCCTAACACAGCAGGGAAGACATATACATGTGGCCACTTAAATTAAAGGAAAAAATGGAGTAGGGAGATCCCAGGCTGCAAAAATATATACAAGCATTTACCTTTTCCAGAACTAAACACTTCTTCCATAAAAATATTAAATAGCCAAGCCCTATAGAACTAGGGCCAGGGCTACTTCAAATATAACTATTCTGTATTTTAAAAATATAGGGCAGAAAGCCTTTTGGGTGATATTTATATATTTTCACACAATATTTCTAGGTCCCTAAATGAATCATGAAGCATTATATAGAACCAAAAAAATGTATTTTCTTACATTATCTCTTAATTTAATTTCATAAATCTCTAGTAAATATTGTAGGTAACTACATTTCAGTATGAGAATTCACCTCAACAGGAAGTCTTTATAGAGGGCTTAATCTTCATTAGCCATATATTACCAAGTTCAGACTTATATAATGAACGGGTAGTTGGCAGACATTCGCTCTGTAAGACAAAGCAATAGCGTTTTTTCTCCCTACCAACAAAAAGGCAGAGTCCCTACTTTTAACAACCAGGGCTTTTAGAAACCACACAGTATTTCCTGGGGTACATGAAATAAAAAAACCATAGGGCTGGGGAGAGCCTAGCCTCCCCATTTACACTGAGCTGCTTGATGAGGCAACCCTTTCACTCATGTAAGTCTCTGCTTTATGATGGCAGTATCTTACAGTAGACAAGTTTAAAAAAATGTTTTTATTGTTGTTCCAGGATGTAAAAGGAAGAACATTAGGGACAAAAAATTGTTTTTCTTTTTTCCATATGGAACAGGGTTCTGCTGCTTATTCTTGGCTTAATATTACTTGTTCATGCTATGCCTCTGAAATGTGGCAAAAGTCCCTGATACATGAGCTATGAGGCTGTCCTCAGGGTTCAGCTATGATAGAGACTCAGCTGGCTTAGGCTTCATCCACTGCCAATGAAGTCAAATTTATAACAGCCACCTTGACAGTCGAAGCTAGGCCAAGTTAAAATAATTAATTCCAGAGAACTTCAAAGTGCATTAATCAGTTAATAATGGAGCAATCTAAACTTAAATAGTCGTGAGAAAAAAAGGAAACCCTGTTAAAAATTTTAGGGGTGAAAATATTGCAGATGAGGGTTATCAATCCAGTTCATGACAATGTAAAGAATGGAAATGACTACTCCAACATATGTCAGAGAAATGATAACTTTGAAGACTTTTAATTCACAGAGAATATATTCCTGTGGTTACTGGATGTTATCTTCCTTTCTTTTTAGCCAGTACCACAGCTCTCCCTCTCAAATGAAAATCTGATGTCAAAAGCTGTTTCACTGACCTCTATTTGGACTAGAAAGCACTCTAGTCTTTCTAGTCTTAAACTCCTTAACAATAATTAAATATAACTGAAGTTGTTGGATTATGATAAAACTATAAAGCATCAATTATATAGCGGAACATATAAAAATCACCAGAGACATCTTTAGATGAATTCAATTAAATTAATTCTAATTCTAGGCTAAGTTTTTTTTCCTTTTATTTATTTATCCCCCACCACGCTGCCCAAAAAAAAGACAGGGTCTCCCTATGTTGCCCAGGCTGGTCTTTAACTCCTGGGCTAAAGGGATCCTCCTGCCTCGGCCTCCCAGAGTGCTAGGATTACAGGTATGAGCCACCATGCCCGGCCCTAGGTTAACTTCTTAAAACAATGAAGGAATCACAGTGTTAACATTGTTTGTAAAGTGTAGTATTTGTCAGGCAACTGAAACAATCAGACTTCCAAATGAAGTCATTTGCAGGCTGTGACCAACTTTTCCCTGAATTCAAATTGACAAAACTACTTTGTAGAGATGCAAGAGTCTTGCCTCACTTCCAGGAATGATGTATGGATTCATGCGCCAGAAAGGAAAAACAATAGTCAAGTCAGACTAAAATGAGAGGGAGAACACAAGCCCGAATTTTGCTCACATCCCCAGAAGCAGGAGTAAGCTTGCACTTTTAACAAATGCCTCTTACCAAGAGGCTTAATAGGAAAATCTTGTATATTGCAGTTACCAAAGGACTTCCCTGCATGTCTGCAGAATGTCTAAAAGAAAAAAACACTACTCCCAAGTGAGACTTTTGACACACATAAAATATTGTTGTTAAAGGAATAAACTAGTGGAATAAGACAAGGCAAATTTCATTGTTGTGTTAAAATCTCATGTTAAGCAAGGTTCTGACTAGTCATTTGCAGACCTGATTTCTGGAAACGCTGAGTAGAAATCACTGGGAGATAAATCTAAATGAGAACATTAATTTACTTACACTCAGATAACTCTCTAAAGAGCCATTGTCCAATTTTACAAGATGTGCAACAGGCAGAGAAGGACAAACATTGCAAATAAGTTCTTGCCCATTCATGGTGCAAGTTCTCAGAAGTTACTCTTGTCCAAATCCTTCTGTTTCTTCTATGGCAAACAACAGCTTTTCCTTCAGTTGCTCATAGCTCTTGTATGGTGGCAGGTCCAGGCGATTAAAACTAAAAGCAAGAATTGTTAGTTTGAGAAAAGGAAATATGCAAAGAATCAAATGAGTAGTGTAGTATACTACTTTATACACTACTATAGAAGCACAAAAATATACTACTGTGCTTCAAAGGATACCATCAAGAAAGTGAAATAACCCAAAAATGGGAAAAAATATTTGTAAATCATATATCTGATAAAGGACTGGTATCCAAAATATATAAAAAACTTAAAACTCAACAATATTTAAAAATGAACAAAGGATAGAGATTTCTCCAAAGACATACAAATGACCAATAAGCACATTAAAAAAATGCTCAACATCCTTTACCATGCAAATAAAAACCACAATGAGATACCACTTCACACCTGTTGGGATGGCTATTATTTAAAACACCAAAACAACAACAACAACAACCAAAAAAAAAAAAAAAAAAAAAAAAAACAGAAGAAAACAAGAGTTGAAAAGGATGTGAGGATGTGGAGAAATTGGAGCCCCTCTGCACTACAGGTAGGAATATAACGCAGTGTAGTCACTATGGAAAACAGTATGGCGAGATTCCCCCAAAAAATTAAAAATAGAATTACTACATGATCAAGGAATTCCACCTCTGGGTATATACCCAAAACAACTGAAAGCAGGGCCATGGACAGATATATCTATATTCTACCACAGTATACCTATGTTTATAGCAGCATAAACAGCCAAAAGGTGGAAATAATCTAAGTGTCCATGGACAGATGAATGTATAAACAAAATGTAGTATATCCAGACTATCAAATATTATTCAGCATTAAAAAGGAGGAAATGCTGACACATGCTACAACATGGATGAAAATTAAAGATATTATTCTAAGTGAAATAAGCCAGCCAGGAAAGGACAAATAAGGTACGATTCTACACTTACGAAGTACTAAAGAATCATAGAAACAGTAGTAGAATGATGTTTGCCAGGACCTGGGGAAAGGGAGTCATGGGGAGTCATTGTTTAAAGCAGCAGTCTCCAGCCTTTTTGGCACCAGGCAATGGTTTTGTGGAAGACAATTTTTCCATGGACAGGAGTGGAGAGGGGGATGGTTTCAGGATGAAACTGTTCCACCTCAGGTTAGATTCTCGTAAGGAATGCACAATCTAGATCCCTCACATGCACAGTTCACAATAGTTATTGCTCCTATGAGAATCTAATGCCTCTGCTGATCTGACAAGTGGTGGAGCTCAGCAGGTAATGCTCATTCACCCTCCACTTACCTCCTGCTGTGCAGCCCAGTTCCTAACAGGCTGGGGACCAGGAGTTGGGGACCCCTGCTTTAATGGGTACCATTTCAATTTTACAAGATGAAAAATGTTTTAGGTCTGGCATGATGGCCTGTAATTCCAGCACTTTGGGAGGTCAAAGCAGGAGTATTGCTTGAGCTCAAGAGGTCGAGACCAGCCTGAGCAACAAAGTAAGACTCTGTCTCTACAAAAAGTTTAGAAATTGGCCAGGTGTGGTAGCACATGCCTGTCGTCCCAGCTACTTGGGAGGCTAAGGTAGGAGGACAGTTTGAGCCCGGGAGGTGGAGGGTGCATGAGTGGAGATTGAGCTACAGCACTCCAGCCTGGGTGACAGACTGAGACATGTCTCAACAAAAGAAACAATTTTTGGAGATAGGTGATGGTGATGACTGCATAATGATATGAATGCACTTAATGCCACTGAACTGTACACACTTAAAAATGGTAAATTCTATGTTATGTATATTAAACCCAACAATTAATTTTAAAAAGGAATGAAATACTGTATATGCTAGACCATGGATGAACCTTGAAAACATGCTAAGTAAAAGAAGCTACACACAAAAGGTTGTATATTTTGGCTGGGGGCAGTGGCTCACGCCTGTAATCCCAGGACTTTGGGAGGCCAAAGTGGGTGGATCACGAGGTCAGGAGTTCAAGAACAGCCTGGCGAACATGGTGAAACCCCGTCTCTACTAAAAATACAAAAATTAGCCATGCGTGGTGGTGCATGCTGCCTATAGTCCCAGCTACTCGGGAGGCTGAGGCAGGAGAATCACTTGAACCCAGGAGGCAGAGGTTGCAATGAGCTGAGATCACGCCACTGCACTCCAGCCTGGGTGACAGAGAGAGACTGTCTCCAAAAAAAAAAAAGTTATATATTTATCGTATGATTCATTTTATATGAAATGTCCAGAACAGGAAAATTCATAGAGACAGAAAGTAGATTAGTGGTTACCAAGGGCTACACGGGGTAAAAAGGGAGTGACTGCTAATGGGTACATGGATTTTTGGGAGGGTGAAAAAATTCTGGAATTAGACAGTAATGATGCTTACATAACCTCATAAATATGCTAAAATCACTGAACAGGCCAGATGCGGCAGCTCACACCTGTAATCCCAACACTTTGGGAGGCCGAGGTGGGTGGATCACCTGAGATCAGGAGTTTGAGACCGGCCTGACCAACATGGCGAAACCCCATCTGTACTAAAAATACAAAAATTAGCTGGGCGTGGTCACGGGCGCCTGTAATCCCAGCTGCTTGGGAGGCTGAGGCAAGAGAATTGCTTGAACCTGGGAGGCGGAGGTTGCAGTGAGCTGAGATCAAACCACTGCACTCCAGCCTGGTCTACAAAGTGAGACCCTGTCTCAAAAACAAACAAACAAACAAACAAACAAAAAAACCCCACTGAACCGAACTGCATAATTTAAGAAGGTGAGTTTTATAATCTGTAAATTATATATCAATAAAATTGTTACTTAAACACTACATGCATGTACAAAACATTATGTATAAAAACAAAAAGGAATAGACATTAGTAAAACAGTAAAGAGGTCAGATATCCAGGAAGGACCATATGTGACCACTAAAATATATCCCACAAAATAAGGTTCAAATATTGTTGACATTAGGTTGAATTCCAAAATATTAATATATTTGCTGTCAGATTAGGATTAGATTTAGTTTTCTACATTTTTAGAAATGTAATTAGATTTCAAATGAGAATATTTGTGGTCATGATGTTAGAAAGTAGGTCTCCTAACTTTCTTTTGCTGCCCTCAGAGAAAAGTTAAAATAACTCTAAATCCCACATTAGAAAAAAAATTCAGATGTGAAAAAAGGAATTGATTGCAAATAGTTGTAAGGAATCATACAGGGGTGAACAAAATGCTCTTAAACTGGATTGCTATGATGGCTGTGCTATTCTGTAAATCTACTAAATATCATTTTTAATTTCTAGCTGGCTTTAAATAGCTACAGATAACTGGACAAAAGCTGTTTTCTCTATCCATTCTGATTGTACTTACCAGGTATGACTTCTGGGTAGCCAATTTTCTTTCCCAACTTTTTCAATGCAGAATTTCTGTGGTCCATTGCTCCCTAAAACATAATGAAATCATAAACAGTTTGTTAGTATAGTGGATCTCAAACTGTGTTCCCCAATCCAACAAGCATCAGCATCATGAGGGAACTTGTTAGAACCATAAATCCTCAGGCCCCACACATCATCTTACTAATTCAGAAACTCTGGGTTAGGTGTGGTGGCTCATGTCTGTTATCCCAGTACTTTGAGAGGCAAAGGTGGGCAGCTCACTTGAGGTCAGGAGTTCAAGATCAGCCTGGCCAATATGGTGAATCTTGATCTCTACTAAAAATACAAAAACTAGCCAAGTGTGGTGGCGTATGCCTGTAATCCCAGCTACTCAGGAGACTGAGGCAGGAGAATTGCTTGAATCTGTGCAGCAAAGTTGCAGTGACTCAAGATTGCGCCACTACACTCTCGCCCGGGTGACAGAACGAGACCCTATCTCAAAAAAAAAAAAAACCAAAAAAAAAAAAACCAAAAAAAAAAAAAAACCCAAAAAACCCAAAAGCAACCAACAAACAAAAAAGAAACTCTAGGGGTCAGGCTCAGCAATATGTGCTTTAACAAGCTTCCGGGTGATTCTGGTAAGTGTAAAAGTTTGAAGACTATAGTTTGTTAATATAAGTCCCAAAGGAGAAAATGCAGTTTCATCTAGCATTCTTTAGCCGGAATAACACATTGTTATGATTAATAAAAGCTTACACAAGAACACACAAAAAGCTTAATTTTAGTAGTTTGAAAGACAATAACGAAACTACAATAAAACTTGATTTAAATACAGAATTAATAAAACTTTGTGAAATGTAAATATCCTAGTGAATTCCATATTATTAATGCTGGAACTTACAGGTCCTGTAGGGCATACCCTTACAAAAACAGATACAAGTATAAACATAAAATACTTGCCCCTCATTTACCTGCTGCTGGAGATAGCTGTGAAAAGTGATCATAAAAACACCAGTTTTTTAAAAGATCATTACTTTTCCCTAGGAAGCATTTATTGTTGGTCTCAATGACTGGTAATGCTACTAGATATTTTAATTAGAAGGGGGCAGGAACGCTAACTGTTCTGTAATGTGTGACACTGTCAGACACAAAGAACTTTCTCATGTCCCACCTGACTAAACCCTGTATACTAAGTATACCCAATATAAATTGTTAGTGCTTTTGTATTTAATAACACTGAATTGTTTTCACAAGTAGTTATGTAAAAAGTCCAGTAATATAGGAAACGTTATAAAAAAACACAGTTAAAATTATTCTGTGGTGTTCAACACATAAATTAAAATTAACTCACTCTGCATGTTCTCTCTACTCAATATATATATTTTTTGAGACAGAGTCTCACTCTGTCACCCTGGCTGGATGGCAGTGGCACAATCTTGGCTCAATGCAACCTCCGCCTCCTGGGTTCAAGCAATTCTCATGCCTTAGAGTAGCTGTGATTACAGATGTGCACCACCACACCCAACTAATTTTTGTATTTTTAGTAAAGATGGGGTTTTACCATGTTGGCCAGGCTGGTCTTGAACTCCTGGCCTCAAGTGATCAACCCACCTTGGCCTCCCAAAGTGTTGGGATTACAGGCATGAGCCATCATGTCCACCCTCTACTCAATATTTTATAGCATTTTCTTTTTTTTTTTGAGGCGGAGTCTCCCAGGCTGGAGTGCAGTGGAGCAATCTTGGCTCACCACAACCTCCGCCTCCCAGGTTCAAGTGATTCTCCTGCCTCAGCCTCCCGAGTAGCTGGGATTACAGGTGCCCACTACCACACCCGGCTAATTTTGTATTTTTAGTAGAGATGGGGTTTCACTATGTTGGCCAGGCTGGTCTTGAACTCCTGACCTCAAGTGACCCAACCGTCTCGGCCTCCCAAAGTGCTGGGATTACAGGTGTGAGTCACTGTACCTGGTCACATTTCATTTTTTATAAATTTTTTTTTTTTTTAAGACACAGGGTATCACTATGTTGCCCATGCTTAAGTGCAGTGGCTGTTCACAGAAGCAGTTATAGTGCACTACAGGCTTGAAATCTTGGGCTCCAGCAATTCTCCTGCCTCAGCCTCCAAATAACTGGGACTACAGATGTGTGCCCACCATACCTAGCAGCATATTTAACTACATAGATGGAAAGGAGTTTCATTTAATAATGCACATTAGTATGTAACAGAAAGGATTCTGAATTGCTTTTAATAGATTTAAAATCAAATATTAAAAACTCTGACACTGTCCCTAAACCATACAACTTCTGTGTAGACTTTTGTACCTATGTTCCTATTTTCAGCCACCTTTCAAATGTTATGGTCTCCGAGGCTTTTTTACATGTTAGAGCCTTGGCCTATAGTAGAATTTCATGACAGGAGATATATTCTGATACTATGCTTTTAAGATCTACCTCATTTTTCTCCACCTTGACCATCTATAATTTATTTTTGCAGGTGTATTATTCATACTTTATTTAGGTTACTTCCCTCCTTTTGTTATCACATATACTTAAGTCTATTATTTATCTTTCTCATCTGTTCTTTTATTTTCCAGTACTACTTGTCTTTTTTTTTTTTTTTTTGAGAGATGGAGTTTCGCTCTTGTTGCCCAGGCTGGAGTGCAATGGTACGATCTTGGCTCACTGCAACCTCTGCCTCCCAGGTTCAAGCGATTCTCCTGCCTCAGCCTCCTGAGTAGCTGGGATTACAGGCATGTGCCACCACGCCTGGCTAATTTTGTATTTTCAGTAGAGATACGGTTTCTCCATGTTGGTCAGGCTGGTCTCGAACTCCCAACCTCAGGTGATCCGCCCGCCTCAGCCTCCCAAAGTGCTGGGATTACAGGCGTGAGCCACCGCACTCAGCCCTTCCAGTACTTCTTATAGAGAATGGCTTTTGATCTTGTCTTAAACCTTTTCTTATAAGTAGGAACAAATATTTGACTTCTTAGGTATATCTTCTAACATAGTTGTCCCCAAATAGACATGTATTAAAACACATATTATTTCATTATAAATTACCTAAAAAATTTAATCCCTTATATTACAGTTAAGGCTATGTATAAGTATTTTCTAGGGATTGTCAATAGGTTATTTCATCCATAAATCAGTGTATTAAAGGGGATATTATGAATATATATTAATAAAAGTGGGATGTTGGATCCATCCCCAAGGTCAAGAAGCATCCCATTAAAGAATTACATACACCACCTCTAAAACTTTCTCTTCCTGTGCTGGGTGGAAGTTTAAACTAGATGGCTGCCTCTGCAGAAACCTTACAGACCAGGAGAGAATGAGATAATATTCAAAGTACTGCAAGAAAAAAATTGGCAGCCAAGATTACTATACCCAGCAAAACCATCCTTCAGACATACAGGAGAAATACAGTATTTCCCAGACATGGGGAAATAGAAGGAATTCATCACCTTATGAAAAATGCTCAACGGACTCCCACATCTGGAAGTGAAAAGATGATAATCACTCTCATGAAAATACACAAAAAGTATTAATATAACACTCTGGTAGAGCAGATACACTAAGGGAAAAAAGAACCAAACCTTAGCACTATAGAAAACCACAAAAACCATAATGATAAACAATGAGAGAAAGAAAGGAACGACGGATATATAAAGCAACCAGAAAGTAATTTTAAAAATGACAGGAGTAAGTCCTGATCTATCAGTAATAACCTTGAATATAAGTGGATAAATTCCCTACTAAAAAGATATAGACTGGCTGAATAGATTTAAAAAGAAAAATGACCCAACTATCATATGCTGCCTCCAAGAAACTTGCTTTACCCGTAAAGACACATACAGACTGAAAAGGAAGGGATGAAAAAGATATTTCATGGAAATGGAAATCCAAAGTGAGCAGGAGTAGCTATACATATATCAGGCAAACAGACTTTAAATCAAAAACTATAAAAAGAGACAAAGGGCATTCTATAATGATAAAGGGACCAATTCAACAAGAGGATATGAGAGTTATATATGCACCCAACACCAAAGAACCCAGATATAAAAAGGAAATATTATTATATTAAAAGGGAAAGACAGACTCCAATACTAGTTGGGGACTTCAATATCCACTCTTAGCACTGGATAGATCATCTAGACAGAAAATCAACAAAGAAACATTGGATTTAAACTGTACTTCAGACCAAATGAACCTAACAGTCATTCATAGAACATTTCATCCAACAGCTTCAGAATACACATTCTTGTCATCAGCACATGGAACATTCTCCTGGGGAAACCACATATTAAGACCCAAAACAAGTCTCAACAAATTTAAAAGAACTGAAGTCATAATGTCAAATATATTTTCTGAACACAATGGAGTAAGACTAGAAATCAATAAAAAGAGGAACTTTCAAAATTGTATAAATACATGGTAATTAAACGTGCTCCAGAATGACCAATGGGGAAATGTAAAAGGAAATTTAAAAATTCCATGAAACAAATGCAAATGGAAACACAATATATTGAAAATTATAAAATATAGCAAAACCAATATTAAAAGGTAATGTTATAGCAATAAATGCCTACATCAAAAAAGTGGAAAGATTTTAAACAAATGACCTAATGATACACTTTGAGAAACCAGAAAAGAACAAAGCAAACCCAAAATTACTAGAAGGAAAGAAATAATAAAGATCAAAACAGAAATAAACAAAAATGAGGCTAAAAATGAAGACAAAAGATAGATGAAATGAAAAGTTGTTTTTTTTTTCTGAAAGGATAAACAAAATTGACAAACCATTAGCTAAACTAACCAAGAAAAGACCCAAATAAATGAAATCAGAAACGAAAAGGGAGACATTACAACTGACACCACAGAAATACAAAGGACCTTTAGAAATTATTATGAACTACACACCAACTTAGAAAACCTATGGAAATTGATACATTCCTGGACACATACAACCTACCAAGACTGAACCAAGAAAAAGCAGAAAAGCTGAAAAGATCAATTATAAGTAACATGACTGAATCTGTAATAAAAAGTCTCCCATTTGCACTCCAGCCTGGGTGTCAGAGCAAGACTGTCTCAAAAAAAAAAAAAAAAAAAAAAAAAAAAAAAAAAGCTGGGCACAGTGGCTCACGCCTGTAATCCCAGCACTTTGGGAGTCCAAGGCGGGCGGATCACAAGGTCAGGACATCGAGACCATCCTGGCTAACGCGGTGAAACCCCGTCTCTACTAAAAAGACAAAAAATTAGCCGAGCATGGTGGCAGGCGCCTGTAGTCCCAGTTACTCGGGAGGCTGAGGCAGGAGAATGGTGTGAACCTGTGAGGCGGAGGTTGCAGTGAGCCGAGATCGTGCCACTGCGTTCCAGCCTGGGTGAAAGAGCAAGACTCTGTCTCAAGAAAAAAAAAAAAAGTCTCCCATCAAAGAAAACAAAAGTCTAGGAACCAATGGAATTCTAACAAACATTTAAAGAAGAACTAATACCAATTCTTTTCAAGCTCTTCCAGAAAATAGAAGAGAGAATTTTTTGAAACTCATTCTACAAGGCCAGCGTTACCCTGATACCAAAACTAGACAAGGATACAAGAAACAAAAACAAAAAAAAAGGAGGAAAAGAAAAGAAAAGAAAACTATAGGCCAATATCCTTGATGAACACAGATGCAAAAATCCTCAATGAAATACAAGCAAATCAAATTCAGCAACACATTAAAAAGATCCAAAGGTTGCAAGGATGGTTCAACATATACAAATCAATGAACATAACAAAGTATATCAACAGAATGATGGGCTAAACCATATGATCTTCTCAATAGATGCAGAAAAAATATTTAATAAAATCCAACATCACTTCATAAGAAAAACTCTCAACAAGTTAGGCACAGAAGGAATGTACCTGAACATAATAAAGGCTATATATTACAAATCCACAGCCAACATCATACTGAACAGAGAAAACTAAAAGCTTTTCCTCCAAGATATGGAACAAGACAAGGGTGCCCACTTTCACCACATTTATTCAACAAACTGCTGGAAGTCCCAGCCAAAGCAATTAGATAAGAGAAAGAAATAAAGGGCATCAGAATTAGGAAGAAGTTGAACTATACCTGTTCGCAGACAACATGACCTTATATACAGAAAACCTTAAAAACTCCACCAATAAAAAATTATTGGAACTGATAAACACATTAAGTAAAGTTGTAGGATACAAAATCAACATACAAAAATCAGCAGCGTTTCTATAAAACAACAAACTAGAAGAAAAAGAAATCAAGAAAGCAATCCTACTTACAATAGCTACAAACAACAAAAACCTAGAAATAAATTTAACCAAGGAGGTGAACGATCTCTACAGCAAAAACTATAAAACACTGACAAAAGAAACTGAAGAAAACACACAAAAAATGTAAAGACATCCCATGTTCATGGGTTGAAAAATTAATACTCCACTAATAACCGTACTATTAAAAATTTCTACAGATTCAATGCAATCCCTACAGAAATACCAATGACGGCTGGGTGTAGTGGCTCATGCCTGTAATCCCATCACTTTGGGAGGCCAAGGTGGGCGGATCACCGGAGTTCAGGAGTGCAAGACCAGACCAGTCACATGGCGAAATGCCATCTCTACTAAAAATACAGAAAGTGGCTGGGTGTGGTGGCATATGCCTGTAATCCCAGCTACTTGGGAGGCTGAGGCACAAGAATCACTTGAACCCGGGAGGCAGAGGTTGCAGTGAACTGAGAATGTGCCACTGCACTCCAGCCTGGGTGACAGAGTGATACATTCCATCTCAAAAAACAAAAACAAAAACAAAAACAACCAATGACATTCTTCACAGAAATAGAAAAAACAATCCTAAAACTCATACTGAACTACAAAGGATCCTGAATAGCCAAAGCCATTCTGAACAAAAAGCTGGAGGCATCACACTACTGGACTTCAAGATATACAACAAAGCTATAGTAACCAATACAGCATGGTACTGGCATAATAGCAGACACATAGACCAGTGGAACAGAAGAGAGAACCCAGAAACAAACCCACATATTTACATCCAACTGATTTTCAATAAAGACACTAAGAACAATCATTGGCTGGGCACAGTGGCTCATGCCTGTAATCCCAGCACTTTGGGAGGCTGAGGCAGGCAGATCACAAGGTTAGGAGTTCAAGACCAGCCTGACCAACATAGAGAAACCCTATCTCTATTAAAAATAAAAAAACTAGCCAGGTGTGGTGGTGCGTGCCTGCAATCCCAGCTACTCAGGAGGCTAAGGCAAGAGAATTGCTTGATCCTGGGAGGCGGAGGTTGTGGGGAGCCGAGATCTCGCCACTGTACTCCAGCCTGGGCAACGGAGTGAGACTCTGTCTCAAAAAAAAAGAACAATCATTGGGGGAAAGGACACTCTCTTCAATAAATGGTACTGGAATAACAGAAATCTATATGCTAAAAATGAAAGTAGACCCCTTTCTCTCATAACGTACAAAAATCAACTCAAAATGGATTAAACAGGAAAAATGCTTCAGGGCACAGGTCTGAGCAAAGATTTTTCTTTTCTCTTTTCTTTTTTTTTTTTTTTTTTGAGATGGAGTGTTGCTCTTCTTGCCCAGGCTGGAGTGCAATGGCACGATCTCGGCTCACCTCAACCTCCGCCTCCTGGGTTCAAGTGATTCTCCTGCCTCAGCCTCCTGAGTAGTTGGGATGACAGGCACGCGCCACCACGCCCAGCTAATTTTTGTATTTTTAGTAGAGACAGGGTTTCTCCATGGTCAGGCTGGTCTTGAACTCCCGACCTCAGGTGATCCACCCGTCTCGGCCTCCCAAAGTGCTGGGCCTACAGGCACGAGCCACCACACCTGGCCCTGAGCCAAGATTTTATAAAGAGGACATAAAAAGCACAGGCAACAAAAATAAAAATAGACAAATTGGGTTATATGAAACTAAAAAGCTTTGGCATAGCAAAGGAAACAATCAACACAGTGTAGAGACAATCTGCAGAATGGGAGAAAGTATATGCAAACAATTCATCCAACAAAGAATATCCAGAATATACAAGAACTCAACAGCAAAAAAGAAGAAAAACAATGCATTAAAAAATGGGATATGAGCTAAATAGATATCTCTCAAAATAACAATGTTAAACATAACTAATCATCAGGGAGATGCAAATCAAAACCACAATGAACTATCATCTCACCTCAGTTAGAATAACTGTTACAGATTAAAAAATAACAAATGCTGGCAAGGATGTGGAAAAAGAGGAACTCTTATATACTGTTGGCAGGGATGTAAATTCTTCTTCTTAACTTCTTGAGACAGAGTATTGCTCTGTCACCCAGGCTAGAGTGCAACCTCTGCCTCCCAGTTTCAAGCAATTGTTGTGCCTCAGCCTCCCAAGCAGCTGGGATTACAGGCGTGTACCACCACTCTCAGCTAATTTTTTTTTTTTTTTTTTTTTTTTTTTAGTATTTTCAGTAGAGACAGGGTTTCACTATGTTGACCAGGCTGATCTCAAACTCCTGGCCTTAAGAGATCCACCCATCTCAGCCGCCCAACAACCATATGATCCAGCAATCCCACTATGGGGCATTCATCTAAAGAAAAGGAAATCAGTATGTCGAACAGACATCTGCACTCCCATGTCTACTGCAGCACCATTCACAAGGGCCAAGATAGGGAATCAACTTATGTGTCCATAATCAGGTAAACGGATAAAGAAAATGTGGTGTATAAACAAACTGGAATACTTCAGACATTTTTTAAAAAAGCAAAATTCTGTCATTTATGACAACATAGATGAACATGGAGGACGTTTTAAGTGACATAAGCCAAGCACAAAAAGATAAATACTACATGCTGTCACTCGTGAAAGCTAAGAAAGCCGATCTCATAGAAGTACAAAGTGCAACAGTGGTTACTACAGAAGGGTGGCAGGAATGAGGGGAGAGCCAAAGGTTGGTTAATAGATGCACAAGTACAGATCGGCAGGAAGAATAAGTTCTAGTGTTCTATAGCACTATACAATGACTATAATCAACAACAATTTACCGTGTGTGTGTGTGCGTGTGTATATATATATATATATATATATTTTATTTATTTATTTATTTATTTATTTTTGAGTTGGAGTTTTGTTCTTGTCGCCCAGGCTGGAATGTAGTGGCATAATCTCGACTCACTGCAACCTCTGCCTCCCAGGTTCAAGTGATTCTCCTGCCTCAGCCTCCCAAGTAGCTGGGATTACAGGCTCCCACCACCTCACCTGGCTAATTTTTTTTTTTTTTTTTTGTATTTTTCGTAGAGAAGGGGATTTACCACGATGGCCAGGCTGGTCTCGAACTCCTGACCTCAGGTGATCCGCCTGCCTCGGCCTCCCAACGTGCTGGGATTACAGGCGTGAGCCACCGCGCCCAGTGTATGTATTTTTAAGAT
This sequence comes from Homo sapiens, assembly GCF_000001405.40. Taxonomy (NCBI): domain Eukaryota; kingdom Metazoa; phylum Chordata; class Mammalia; order Primates; family Hominidae; genus Homo; species Homo sapiens. Next base: position 34,494,953 of record NC_000020.11, on the reverse strand, counting down.
AGGGTCTCACTCTGTCACTGAGACTGTAGTGCAGTGGCATGACCTTGGCTCACTGCAACCTTCACCTCCAAGGCTCAAGTGATCCTCCCACCTCAACCTCCTGAATAGCAGGGACTACAGGCATGTACCACCACGCTCAGCTAACTTCTAAATTTTCTGTAGAGACAGGGTTTCCCTATATTGCCCAGGCTTGTCTCAAACCCCTGGGCTCGTGTGTTCCTCCTGCCTCAGCCTCCCAAAGTGCTGGGATTACAGGTGTGAACCACTGCACCTGGACTGTATGTTTATAAATAGTTAGAAAAGTGAGTTTTGAATGTTCCCAACACAAAGAATTGATAAATGTTTGAGGTGATGGATATCCTAATTACCCCAATTTGATCATTATATATTGTATACATGTATCAAAATAAAAACTGTACCCCTAAATGTGTACAATTATGTCAATTAAGAATAATTTAAAAAGTAAAAAAGAATAAAGATTTGAAACTAAAACAAACAAAATAAACTAGATAGCCTCTAAAATTCTCCAAACCACAATCTCACTGTTTCTGTCTCCTAACAAAAACTTTCCTAGAAATCACCCTTCTGAGACCTCTCTGTAGCACTGAAGAAAAAAATTCCTTCTAATTGCTTCTCAGACAGTATACTATTTCTTTCTTCTTTTCACTCTCTGGTCTCTCCTTTAAATTGGCTTCCAGACTAATTCCATCTTTTCTTTTCCTTTGAGATGGAGTCTCACTCTGTTTCCCAGGCTGGAGTGCAGTGGCACGATCTCAGCTCACTGCAACCTCTGCCTCCCGGGTTCAAGCGATTCTCCCTGCCTCAGCCTTCCCAGTAGCCAGGGCTACAAGTGTGCGTCAACACGCCCGGCTAATTTTTGTATTTTTAGTAGAGACGGGGTCTCACCATGTCGTCCCAGCTGTTCTCAAACTCCTGAGCTCAAGCGATCCACCCAGCTCAGCCTCCTAAAGTGCTGGAATTATAGGCGTGAGGCTGTGCCTGGCCTAGGCTATCTCCTTCTGTCTTATCCCTACATGCAGATGGTTCTAGGCATTAGCCTTCTACTCCTCTCTGTATTCTATTTCTGCCTAAGACCACACATTCTCACAGCATCAAATGTCACTGCTCTGATGATTCAACTTCTTCTGTTTCCTCTTAACTCTAACTCATATATTGTTACCTCTACAGCTGCTTCCCTGGGGTTTTCTACTTGGTTGTCCAGCAGTTACCTTAAATTCAGCAGGTTCTAAGCTGCTCAGCATCCTCCCCCAACATCTACAACGATGCATACTCTTTATACTTCCTAACTTCTCCATTGCTCCATGTTCCATAACATGACAATTATTGCTGATACCCCTCTCTTATACTTCATTTTCTATTAAGCTCTCTACCTGTTTCTCCTTTGGAACTTTACCTAGTATCTACCCCCTCTTTTCTATTTCTACTTTCATCTCCTGAGATCAGGTTCTCATCATTGCTGCAATGATTTCTTCTTATCTCTAGGTCCTCACCATCTTTTAATCCACACTGTATCTTCCTATCAAATCTTCCTAAATGCAGCTTGAGCAAGTTTTCCTCTCTTCAAAAAGTTCCACAGCTTCCAATACCCTCACGGTAATATCCAAATTCTTTTTCTGGCTTTTAAAGTACTTTCTAAACTGGTTCCATGTTCTGTATTCAAAATTACCTGCTTAGTTCTAATTTTGACTCTCTGCTTCAGTCTGAAGCAGGCTTTGGGATCTTAACTTCTCTGTGTATCCTCCTATGATACTTGGGATAATGTTGGTATTAAGGAAATACTTGAATTTACTTAAATAATTTACTGTTTAGTAACAAAGTGAATATTGCCATAGTCATTCATCTTAATATTCATTTTAAGCAGCAGATTGCTGTGTAACAGGCACTTTGCCAGGGGCAAGAAATAAAAAGATGAAGATATGAATCCATTTCTCAAAGAACTCCCAGTCTCCCAGGGAAGAGTGGTTTTAAACACAATACTAAAACTACAATCCACTATTGTATTATATAATGATCTTCTCACATCGTTAAATAATACAACCAATAGTGATTGACTCTTAAGACACACATGTTTGGCAAATGACTAAATGAACAGATTTACATACAGAAGACTGCTGTCCTAATGAGTTAGCTGTGGGTTCTAGCTTGAGGGTTAAAAATTTCTACAAAGGTAAGTACTAAAAACTATTTTAAAGGTTATACAAATCCATGCTAACTGGGAATAGTTAAGAAAATGGCTATCCCTGTCTTTGTTGTTTCTAATAGGCTGTATACACATTTACGTAAAGCAGCATGATAAACAATTTTCTGTATAGGAAAAGTGATCCTGTATACATACCCATGAGATCAGCAAATCCTCCTACTGGCAATCGGCAGGTTCCAGTAACAAACTGCAGAAGTCTCATTCTCTTCTCATTATCAATTTCTTTAACAAACTGTTAAAAGTATATTTAAAGAGATATATATGTCATATGTTACATTCAGCACACTAAACAAGAAAGAAAAATAATGATTTCAAATCTTTTATTTTTTTTAGAGGTGAGGTGTCCCAGGCTCTGTGGCCCAGGCTGGGGTGCAGTGATGCAATCATAGCTGATTGCAGCCTCTAACTCCTGGGCAGCAGGCAGTCCTCCTGCCTCGGCCTCCAGAGTAGCTGGGACTATAGGAGCAAGCCACTGTATCTAGCTCATTTCAAATCTTAAAGGAAACTCTGGTGTCCACTGCATTAGATAATTACTTAACACTATGGATGGAGGGCCATTTCCATGTTTATCAAAGCCCCATCAACCTTTCCTTATATAAATCTTAGGACAATATACTTAAAGGGATATATAAAAAGTAAGATGGACTGAGACCAAGAGCTCCGTACTCACGCAGTTTTAAGATTAGCTCTTCTAGGGCAGCCCTTCCTGTGACTCCCCATCCCACCACCACCCCCCAGCCCCAGATTTGCCCGTCCTATAGGATATTCATGTGGCTACACAGGATACAGACCTTGAGTCAGTACAGACTTTTTGGTTTAATAAACAACTTTAATCAAACTCACAGAATTCTGATGCAGGATATATCCCAATAACCTCCTCTTCTCAATGTTCTTTAGGTTTTGGTATAGCTACACATAGCTAGAATTATGTGGTTTTTATTTCATACAATTCTGACTCAAAACAATAGGTTTCTAGAGAATGTTTCTAGCCTGTAGTATAACTGTTTTGCCTCAGCCAAAAACTTTTTTATAAGGAATAATTTTTATCCTATTGTAGTATTATTAATTATCCTACAATTGTAATCCTACTTGTTATAGAAGCTCAGTTTAAGTTTCTCATATGAATTTTTTTACATGTATACCAGATTTTTTTAATTTTTTAAATTTTTGTAAAATATACACAACATAAATTCTCGATTTTAACCATTTTGAGTGTAATTCAATGACATTAAGTACATTCACACTGTTGTGCAACCATCGCCACTATTTCCAACTTTTTCATCATCCCAAGTAAAACCTATGTACACATTAAACACAACTTCCCATTTTTGCTCCCTGCAACTTCTGGTAACCCATATTCTACTTTTGCCTCTATGAAGCTGCCCATTCTAGTAACCTCATGTAAGTGGAATTATACAGTATTTGTCCGTTTGTGTCTGGCTTACTTCGCTTATCTTAAAATTCATAATGTTTTTAAGGTTTGTTCATGTTGTAGCACATACCAAAAATCTCATTACTTTTTAGCACTGAATAATATTCCAACACAGACAGTCCCTGGCTTACAAATTTTTGACTTTATGATGGGTTTATTGGGTTTATTACTCCATCATAAGTTGAGGAGCACCTAGACTTATGATGGTTCGATTTATGATTTTTCAACTTTACAATGGGTAAGTTGTGACTTTACAATGTAACTTTACAATGGGTAAGTTATGATAAGGGTATTAAATGCATTTTCAACTCAAGATATTTTTGACTTATGATGGATATAAAGGATAAAACTCCAAGTCCAGGAGCATCTGTATATGCATATACCACATTTTGTGTCGGTAAATGAATGATGAATACTGGTGTACAAGTATCTGTTTAAGTCTCTGCTTTCAATTTTTTGGGCTGTATACCAAGGATTGGAATTCCTGGATCTTATGTTAATTCTATGCTTAAATTTTGAGGAACCACCAAACTATTTCCACAGTGGTGTGGTATTTCACACTATCACCAGCAATGCGCCCTTGGCAATGGTTGTTCTTCTCCACTTCAAAAATAATACTAAGTGTGATGTGGTATCTCATTGTGTTGTTTTTGTTTTTGAGACAGAGTCTTGCTCTGTCACCCAGGCTGGAGTGCAGTAGTGCGAACTTGGCTTACTGCAACCTCTGCCTTCCAGGTTCAAGTGATTCTCCTGCCTCAGCCTCCCAAGTAGCTGGGATTACAGGCATGTGCCACCATGCCCGGCTAATTTCACCGTGTTAGCCAGGACGGTCTTGATCTCCTGATGTCGTGATCCACCCGCCTCAGCCTCCCAAAGTGCTGGGATTACAGGTGTGAGCCACCGCACCCAGCCTCACTGTGGTTTTGATTTGCATTTCTCTAATGACTAATGATGTTGAACATCATATACCATGCTTAAGGCAGACATTTTTAGAGAGATACCGTTATGATTCTAAACCAAGTCTCTTAAATTTTGCCTTCTGAACATTATATAATTAATGAAGTATAAATGATAAAAAACATACTACAGACAGTCCTATAAAACCCCAAAACCATTTAAATCAAATGTAGGTAAATTTTATCATCTCGAATTGTCTTACACTCTACTTTGGACAAAGATGCAAGGTATGTGTGGCTTACTTGGCAATAGTCTTAAAAGGATGCTGTTATAATCTGTATTCATTTATTATAATGCATGGACTAAGGGGTCTATATACACTGGTACATTTTGACCTGTGACTCATTTCCATATGTGGTAAGCAAATTCTAAAAAATTATGCTGTGTCAACTAATAGAAATAAATTTAAAAACAAACCTGCCAAAACCACATGATTTGTTTGCTGGTCCTTGCATAATGACGGTAGATGGCATGTCTTTGCCAGTCATTCAAATCAATCTCTTGCATTCCACATAAAAGGACCTTTAGGGATGAAAAAGACAAATTGTTTCCTAAGGTAACTGTACAAAAACAGCTGGACATAGGAAAGACTAAGATTAAGCAAAGCTTTAGAATAACAATCAGTAGGCTTTGACTTATCAACTATACATCAAGAATTATATCTACATTGCTCATGAAGGCAAGGTTCCATGCACGGTGTCATACATATACATATTCAGGGAAGTAAGTCACTCAATTGTAGAGAAGCTCTAATATTTGTACTTTGGAGGGGGTAATACTATTGTTTTATCTTTGGATAAATTATGATTTTCTTTAACCATTGGGGATGTTTCAAAACATTTTGCCCCAGTATAAAAATATTACAGTAACAGGAAAGATGGGAAAGTGAGTTAAAAGCAGACAACTTAAGGCATTATTTACTAGCATGGTACAGGGGAATGAAGGAAAATTCATTACCTCTAATTCCTTTGCATCAAAGTATTGCAAATATTGCTGGGGAAGAATTTCATTAAAGCCTTCAAAGAAAGCTTGTGTCTGTTCTTCAACACCTCGAGACAACCTCCACTCAGCTACCATTCTGGCAAACAAATATGAAAAAACCTATCAGGAAGTTTAGATCTTATCTTTAAATTCTGAGTATAAAAATAAATTTTAAAAAATTATAAAAAACTTAAAATATATTCAAAAATAGAACATAATGAACCCCCTGTACACATGTCCAAGCTTCATCACAATGCCCATCTATTTCATCTATGCCCCTACTCATACCCTAGATATCATATAATTTCATTTCTTTATTTATTTGAGATGAGGTCTCACTCTGTCACCTGAGCTGAAGCACAGTGGCACAATCTTGGCTCACTGCAGTCTCGACCTCCTGGGCTCAAGCAATCCTCCTACCTCGGCCTCCCGAGTAGCTGGGAATATAGGTGTGCAACACCACGCCTGGCTGATTTTTGGTTTTGTATGTAGAGATGGTGTCTCTCTGTGATGCCAAGGCTGGTTTTAAATATCTGGCCTCAAGTGATCTTCCTGCCTCCGCCATCCAAAGTGCTACGATTACAAGCGTGTGCCACCATTGCCAAGCCATATAATTTCTTTTTTTTTCTTTTATTTTGTTTTTGTTTTTTGAGACAGGGTCGCGCTCTGTCACTCAGGCTGGAGTGCAATGATACAATCTGGGCTCACTGCAGCCTCCACCTTCCAGGTTCAGTCAGTTCTTGTGCATCAGCCTCCCGAGTAGCTGGCATTACAGGCGTGCGCCACCACACCCAACTGATTTTTGTGTTTTTAGTAGAGACGGGGGTTTCATCATGTTGGCCAGGCTGGTCTTGAACTCCTGACCTTAAGTGTTCTGCCTGCCTTCTCCCAAAGTGCTGGGATTACAGGCACGAACCACCACGCCCAGCCCAGATAATTTCATTTTGAACAAATACTTCAGTATTTGTCTCTACGACATGAGGATTATTTTTTAAAACATAAATCATAAAAACATGACCGCATCATTATTTTATAAACCTAGAATTCTAAATCTAGTGACAATATCCTTCAAAAAATGAAGGTGAAATAAAGATGTTTTCATATAAAAGCTGAGAAAATGCATCACCAAGAGATGCACACTAAGTGAAATGGTAAAGAAAGGTTTTTTTTTTTAAAGCCAAAGGGAAATTATCTTAGATTTAAAAAAAAAAATGAATCTGAGGAAAGAAATAAGGAGAACCAGAAATAGTAATGTGAGTAAATATAAGATTATTTTTGAAAATAGTTAAAAATTAAAGCAAGAATAACAGTAACAAAGTATTATATTTGTGACACGTAGAAATAATATATGACAACAACACCACAAAGAGCTGGAGTGAGGTAAATGGAATTATATTATTATGAGCTTCTTTTCTTTTTTTTTGAGACGAAGTCTCGCTCTTGTCCCCTAGGCTGAAGCGCAATGGCGTGATCTCGACTTACTGCAACCTCCGCCACCTGGGTTCAAGCGATTCTCATGCCTCAGCCTCCCAAGTAGCTGGGATTACAGGTGCCTGCCACCATGCCTAGTTGATTTTTGTATTTTTAGTAGAGACGGGGTTTCATCATGTTGGCCAGGCTGGTCTCGAACTCCTGACCTCAGGCAATCTGCCCACCTCAGCCTCCCAAAGTGCTGGAATTACAGGTGTGAGCCACCGCACCTGGCCTATGAGCTTCTTATATTGTACAAGAAGTAGTGTTTGGGTCAACAGGGATGTTAAAGATGCATATTATCATAATCATTAGAGTTGCCACTAAAGTTAAACAAAGAGGTATAGCTAAAAAACCAACAGAAGAGCTAAAAAAGAAAGTAAAAATTGCTTTATTCAAAGAAGGCAAGAAAGAACAAAGAAAGTTGGGAAAAATAAGAAACAAATAGCAAGGCGAGACAAATAGCAAAACAAATAGCAATGGTTAGACAAAAGTCCAACCAAATCAGTAATAAAATTAAACATAAATGTACTGAACACTCCAATTATAAAGTAGAGATTATCAGGATAAAAATAAGACCTGGCTGGGCACGGCGGCTCATGCCTGTAATCCCAGCACTTCGGGAGGCTGAGGTGAGGGGATCACGAGGTCAGGAGATTGAGACTTTCCTGGCTAACACGGTGAAACCCTGTCTCTACTAAAAATACAAAAAAATTAGCCAGGTGTGGTGGCAGGCGCCTGTAGTCCCAGCTACTCCGGAGGCTGAGGCAGGAGAATGACGTGAACCCAGGGAGCGGAGCTTAGAGTGAGCCAAGATGGCACCACTGCACTCCAGCCTGGGTGACAGAGAGACTACGTCTCAAAAAAAAAAAAAAAAAAACCTAACAAATACTTTTAAATACAATGAGAGTGGCTGGATGTGGTGGCTGACATCTGTAATCCCAGCACTTTGGGAGGCTGAGGTGGGTGGATCCCTTGAGCACAGGAGTTCAAGACCAGCCTGGGCAACACGGTGAAACCCCATCTCGTCATGTGGGTGTGGTGGCACATGCCTGTAGTCCCAGCTGCTTGGTGGCTGAGGCTAGAGGATCGCTTGAACTTCTGGAATTGGACGCTGCCGTGAGGCAAGATTTCACCACTGCACTCCAGCCTGGGTGACAAAGTGAGACCCTGTCTCAAAAATATTAATAATAAAAATAAAACATAATAAATAAATAAATAAATAAAATAAATAAAATAGTGAAAAACACAACATTCCAAAATTTGTGGCTGGGCGTGGTGGCTCATGCCTGTAATCCAGGCACTTTGGGACGCTGAGGCAGGCGGATCACCTGAGGTCAAGAGTTCAAGACAAGCCCGGCCAACATGGCAAAACCCCGTCTCTACTAAAAATACAAAAATTAGCCAGGCGTGGTGGCGGGTGCCTATAATCCCAGCTGCTCGGGAGGCTGAGGCAGAAGAATCACTTGAACCCAGGAGATGGAAGTTGCAGTGAGCCAAGATTGTACCGCTGCACTCCAGCCTGGGCGACAGAGCAAGACTCTGTCTCGGGGGAAAAAAAAAAAAAGGTGTGGACTGGATGCGGCGGCTCATGCCTATAATTCCAGCACTTTGGGAGACCAAAGTGGGAGTATCGTTTGGATCCAGGAGTTTGGAGACCAGCCTGGGTAACATAGTAAGACCCATCTCCTACAATAAATAAATAAATAAGTAAGCCAGGCATGGTAGTACATGCCTGTGGTTCCAGCTACCTGGAAGGCTGAGGTGGGAGGCTATCTGGAGCTCAGGAGGTTGAGGCTACAGTGAACCATGACTCTACCACTACGCTCCAACCTGGGCAACCTCAGAGTGAGACTCTATCTCAAAAAAAACAACAAAAAATTGTGGGATATAGCTAAAGAAATACTTAGTTGGAAATATGCAGCTTTAAATCCTTATATTAGAAAACAGAATGTGGGAGGATAGCTTAAGGCAAGGAGTCTGAGACCAGCCTGTGCAAAATAGCAAGACCACATCTCTACAAAAATAAAAACAACCAAAAAATTTGCTGGGCACAGTGGCTTGTGCCTACAGTCCCAGCTACTCAGAAGGATGAGGCAGGGGGATCCTTTGATCCCAGGAGTTTAAGACTGCAGTGAGCTCTGATCGTGCCACTGTATTTCAGCCTCGGCAACAGAGCAAGACTCCGTCAAAGAAGAACGAAATCTAGACGTATCGTAAGAAAAGGTAAGAAGAGGGAGGGAAGAAGGGAAAGAGAAGAGTTTCTAAAATCAATGATCTGAAATATTTAAGAACTCCAACAATCACAAATAAAAAGACAACCCAATTTTAGAATGGATAAAAGATTTGGATACACACATCACAAAAGAAGAGCTACAAATGATCAATATGCATAGAAAAACGTACTTGACACCATTAGTCAAGGAAGAAATGGAAATTAAAACCACGAGATATTACTGACAATGCTGAATTGGCAAGAACGTGAAGCAACTCTCAAATACTACTAGTAGGACTGCAAAATGGCAAAAACACTTTGGGAAACTGGCAGTTTCTAATAAAGTCAAACACCTTCCCAGCGATTTCACTCCTAGGTATTTACTCAAGAAAAATATGTCCACAAAAAGATATCACAAGAATGTTTATAGCAGCTTTACTCATAAAAGCCCCAGACTGAGAAACAACCAAAACATTTATCACCAAGAGAATGGATAAACAAATTTTGAGATATACACAGCATGGAATATTTCTCAGCAATAAAAAGGAATAAAATACTGATATAAACAATATGGCTGAATCTCACAAACACCAAATAAAAGAAAAAATCAGACACTAAAAGCTAGATATAAGAGTACATACTCTATGATTTCATTTTAGGAAGTTTAAGATCAGAAACAGTTATAGAAATAGAACTAAACAGAAATGGTTACCTACCTCTGGGGCTGGGAGAAGGGAGGTGTGCATTGGCCCCTTATGGGGTCCAGAATAGAAAAAAAAGTTCCACAATTTGGGTCATATTTACATGGACATGATGCTATATGGAACAGTGTTTACAGAATTGGTAATTAAATGAGTGATCTAGCACAACTTCTCTCCATAAAATGCTCACATTTGGGCTGATATATATATTTGTCAAATTTCAACTTCTACACTTAAGATCAGTGCATTTTATTCTAAGGAAATTATACTTCTTAAAATAATACTAAAAACCCCCCAAACTCTGAAATTTTAAGCAAGCCATTATTGAAGTAGATACTAAAAACCTTTTTAGCTGCCCATTATCTTAAAATGTTATCTTACCAGCAACAAAACTATTGAGAAACGTAGTACATCTCTTGGAATCTCGAAACATTACCTCTCTGGAATGCTATATATGTCATAAGAAAATCTAGACATATCATAACAAAAAAACTGGAGAATTGACAAAAACGAATTGACTACATTTTAAAAGCAGATTTCAAAATAAACTTTTAAAAGGATAGATTGTTGTCCAAGAAATAATGACAGCTCACTGTGTTAAATAGTATACTTTCAATTATGGAGGGAAAAACCAGGCAAGAAATGCAGAACCTGGAACTTAAGAAGTAAATATGCAAAATTTAACCCTGGCTGGAAAGAATTGCTATTGAGAAGGTATGAATGAACTATTAGCTCTTGAGACTAGTAGCATGAACCAATGGAAATAATCAGAAAGGATATACTATAAAACATCATTTTAGTTATAAATTTTACCCAACCTTATGATATAGTTTGGCTCTGTGTCCCCACCCAAATCACATCTTGTAGCTCCCATAATTCCTATGTGTTATGGGAGAGAACCAGTGGGAGATAACTGAATCATGGGGGCGGGCCTTTCTCATGTTGTTCTCATTATAGTGAATAAGTCTCACAAGATCTGATGGTTTTAAAATGGGAGTTTCCCAGCACAAGCTCTCTCTTTGCCGGCTGCCATTCATGTAAGACATGCCTTGCTCCTCCTTGCCTTCCACCATGATTGTGAGGCCTCCCCAGCCATGTGGAACTGTAAGTCCATTAAACCTCTTTCTTTTGTAAATTGTCCACTCTCAAGTATGTCTTAGCAGCAGTGTGAAAACAGTAAATTGTTACCAGGAGTGGGGTGCTGCTGAAGATAACTGAAAATGTGGATGCAACTTTAGAACTGGGTAACAGGCAGACGTTGGAACAGTTTGGAGGGCTCAGAAGAAGACAGGAAAATGTGGGAAAGTTTGGAACTTCCTATAGACTTGTTGAATGGCTTTGACCAAAATGCTGACAGCAATATGGACAATAAAGTCCAGGCTGAGGTGTTCTCAGATGGAAATGAGAAACTTTTTGGGAAATGCAGCAAAGGTGACTCTTTGTATGTTTTAGCAAAGAGACTGGCAGCATTTTGCCCCTGTGCTAGAGACTGGTGGATTTGTACTTGAGAGAGACGATTGTACTTGAGAGAGATGATTTAGGGTATCTGGTGGAATAAATTTCTACGTAGCAAAGCATTCAAGAGGAGACTTGCGTGCTGTTAAAGGCATTCAGTTTTGTAAGGGAAGCAGAGCATAAAAGTTTGGAAAATTTGCAGCCCAACAATGCAATAGACAAGAAAATCTCATTTTCTGAGGAGAAATTCAAGCTGGCTACAGAAATTTGCATAAGTAATGAGGACCCGAATGTTAATCCCCAAGACAATGTGGAAAATGTCTACAGGGCACGTCAGAGGTCTTCATGGAAGCCCCTCCTATCACAAGCCTGTAGGCAGGCCTAGGAGCTAAAAATGGTTTCATGGGCCGGGCCCAGGGTCCCCACGCTGTGTGCACTCTAGGGACTTGGTGCCCTGTTTCCTAGCTGCTCCAGCATGACTAAAAGTGGCCAAGGTACAGCCCGGGTTGTTGCTTCAGAAGGTGGAAGCCCCAGGAGTTGGCAGCTTCCACGTGCTGTTGAGCCTGAGGGTGCACAGAAGGCAAAAATTGAGGCTTGGGAACCTCCCTCTAGATTTCAGAAGACGTATGGAAATGCCTAGATGCCCAGGCAAAAGTCTGCTTGCAGGGGCAGGGCACTCACAGAGAACCTCTGCTAGGTCAGTGTGGAGGGGAAATGTGAAGTTGGAGGCCCATACAGAGTCCCTACTGGGGCACTGCCTAGTGGAGCTGTGAGAAGAGGGCAACCGTCCTCTAGACCCCAGAATGGTAGATCCACCAACAGCTTGCAGCATGAGACTGGAAAAGCCATAGACACTCAACGCCAGCCCATGAAAGCAGCCGGTGGGGGGCTATACCCTGCAAAGCCCCAAGGGCAGTGTTGCCCAAGGCCATGGGAGGCCACCTCTTACATCAGGGTGACTTGCATATGAGACATGGAGTCAAAAGAGATCATTTTGGAACTTGAAGATTTGACTGCCCTGCTGGATTTCAAACTTGCATGGGGCCTGTAGCTCCTTTGTTTTGGCCAATTTCTCCCATCTTGAATGGCTGTATTTACCCAATGCCTGTATCCCTGAGTGTATGTAGGAAGTAACTAAGTTGCTTTTAATTTTACAGGCTCATAGGCGGAAGGGACTTCCCTTGTCCCAGATGAGACTTTGGACTGTGGACTTTTGAGTTAATGCTGAAATAAGTTAAGACTTTGGGGACTGTTGAGAAGGCATGATTGGTTTTGAAATGTGAAGACATGAGATTTGGGAGGGGCTAGGGGCAGAATGATATGGTTTGGCTCTGTGTCCTCACCCAAATCTCACCTTGTAGCTCCCATAATTCCCATGTGTTGTAAGAGAGAATCAGTGAGATAACTGAATCATGGGATCACGGGGGTGGGTCTTTCCCCTGCTGTTTGCATGACAGTGAATATGTCTCACAAGATATGATGAAGTGTTTTGTTCATTCGTTTGTTTGTTTTGAGACAGAGTCTTGCTCTGTTACCAGGCTGGAGTGCAGTGGTGCTATCCTGGCTCACTGCAATCCCCGCCTCCCAGGTTCAAGCCATTCTCCTGCCTCAGCCTCCCTAGTAGCTGGGATTACAGGCACATGCCACCACACCCAGCTAATTTTTGTATTTTTAGTAGAGATGGGGTTTCACCATGTTGGCCAGGATGGTCTCAATCTCCTGACCTTGTGATCTGCCTGCCTTGGCCTTCCAAAGTGCTAGGATTACAGGCATGAGCCACCATGCCTGGCCGATGATGAGGTTTTAAAAACAGGAGTTTTCCCTGTACAAGCTCTCTCTTTGCCTGCTGCCATCCATGTAAGATGTGACTTGCCCCTCCTTGCCTTCCACCATGAGGGTGAGGCCTCCCCACCCTCGTGGAACTGTAAGTCCATTAAACCTCTTTTTTTTATAAATTGCCCAGTCTTGGATATGTCTTTATCAGCAGCAGGAAAGTGGATTAATACACCTTACAATATTCCCCATGAAAATATCTGCATATATATTTGAGATTCTTTTTAATGACATGTTATACAGCATAGTGATTACAGAGTTGATGTTTAAAAGAGTGATCCTGCATGACTTTTATCCTTAAAACTCTTTTAAAAACACTTAAAAAAAAACTTTTTAGAAATGAAAAATGACTGCCTACATAGGATATTGATTAGTACAGAGACAAATACTATTTTTGGAGATACTCTCCATTAGTATTAGTAAGCAATTATCAATGTGCTGTAGTCAAACAAAAAGTGAAATGTGAAAAGGAGCACTCTCACCTGATGTATTCCTCTTTATTTTCTTCTGTTACAAGAATATTGCCACCATTAGGTTTCAGATCATGACTCTTAATTTCACCTAGAATTTCTTTGTCAACGGAGAAGTACATTTCCAAATCACATTCCTCAATATTGTTTTCCCTGCACAAATGAAATTAGCACTATTTGTTATATCCACCAATTCAATCATAATTTATAAGTTTTTAACGAAAGGCCCATGTTCTTAAATAATTAATATTAAGCTATAACATCAAAATAAGAAGAAATAAGATTCTGTTCTAAGGTCATATTATTGCCGAAGATCTTGGGTGTATTTTTGTAAAATTTATCATATTGAATAAAAAGACAGGTTTGATATATAGATCATTTAAATACAATAAACCAATTATGTGCCTACAGTTTGGATAAGTTATCAATACTACACGGAATGCATATAACTATATTTTAATAAATTACATGGAAAAAGAAACTTACTTAACCCAGATGAGAGAATTGTAAAATTCTGGATCAATAGATTCTAAATCCTTGAGTCCAACTGGTTTGTTCAAGATACGCTTATAGAATGGTAAAGAAAAACCCGTGTCTATGAATTTCCCATGGAACAGAGCCTATGAAAAAAGGAAACAAGACCGCTTAAAATAACTGTACAATAATCATTTTATTTCAATATATTAGATGTACTCTTCATTTAAAAACACTTCCCTGGGTCAGGCATGGTGGCTCACGCCTGTAATCCCAGCAATCTGGGAGGCCGAGGTGGGTGGATCACCTGAGGTCAGGAGTTCGAGACCAGACTGACCAACATGGAGAAACCCCATCTCTACTAAAAACACAAAAATTAGCCGGACATGGTGGCACATGCTTGTTTGTAATCCCAGCTACTCGGGAGGCTGAGGCAGGAGAATTGCTCGAACCTGGGAGGCAGAGGTTGTGGTGGGCCGAGATCACGCCATTGCACTCTAGCCTGGGCAACAAAAGTGAAACTTTGTCTCAAAAAAACACTTCCCTGGCTGGGCACGGTGACTTATACCTGTAATCCCAGCACTTTGGAAGGCTGAGGCAGGTGGATTACCTGAGGTCAGGAGTTCAAGACCAGCCTGGCCAACATAGCAAAACCCCTTCTCTACTAAAAATACAAAAATTAGCCAGGCATGGTGGCGCACACCTGTAATCCTAGCTACTTGGGAGGCTGAGGCGGGAGAACTGACTGAGTCCAGGAAGCAGAGGTTGCAGTGAGCCAAGATCGTGTCACTGTACTCCAGCCTGGGTGACAGAGCAAGACTCTGTCTCAAAAATAAAAAACAAAACAAAACAAAAAACCACTTCCCTTTCTCTCATATGATCTGTTATGGCACCTAAGAGAAAATTTAGTATTGCTGAATAAGCAAAGTAAACATAATTCTTGACCTGCACTTACCATGGCAATAAATCTGCCAATAAAACGAAAATATTTCAGGTGATCTGGATTGATGTAAGAAGCGGGGTTTATCTGCAAGCAGTAGTTATCCTTCCCTGCATATTCAAACAGGCAATACATTGGGTTCAACACTTCATGTGACAAAAGAAAGAACCATTCTCTGAAATCAAAAGAAAATTTACGATGAAAAATCTTGTAGGTTACCAAGAAATCAAAGAACAGTGCTATAAAGTTCTCAGGGATCTATACCCCTCAGCTAGTGATAGTTTTCTAATCTCATGTTGATTTTTATTGCTTCTGTTCAAACTCACATCTGTTTCACAGAGTTGGTAGTATACACCATCTTTGGTAGATGGTAATATATACATTATTACATTTCAAAAAATCTAAGACAACATTGCACCTTTATTTGATGAACGACTAAATTGTATTTTCCAATTTTACCTGAGATACATCGTAATTTCAGAGATATTATAAAATGAAAATATTAGTCTTAGAATCAATGAAATACTATTCATAGGCAAATTTAAAATTCACTATTTACCCATGTGAGTAAAGTGGCTGAAATCAATCTAATATTCCATCTATTACTAAGTCCCATAATAATCCCCATCAAGTGCCACTACTCCCTACACGTTAAATCAATATGAAAATTCTTCCAATTTCACAGAGGCAGTAAAGTTCTTAATTCCAGCCACTCACATATTAGAAAAATGCTGAGACTCTAAGTCAAATATTGTGAAAATATGAACCAATATTAACATAAGATTATGGTTACTAAAACTACGTAACATGGGTGATCTGGGGTAATACATGTGGCATAAGCCTGTAATCTGGATCTCTTTTCCTGTTAGTTCATGGCCTCTTGTGATAAGTGTATCTCATGACACACTTTAATATTGCTAGTTTATTTTCTTATTAGGAATGAATGATTGCTCTCCTCTTCAATTGCCTTTAACTTATACAAAATTACATGTTTCTACTCATATTTGTTATTTATCTATGATTATATCATATATTTTGAAATAATTTTATTTAAACTCAGAAACATAATATAAATAAGAACTACTAAAATGTAGCCACCAATTAGCGTGCACACAAAGACACAGGCTCTGAACTAGGTCATTAATAAACAATATTTCTACTCTTCACAATAATCCTAGAAATGTAGATATTAATATTCTTATTTTACAGATGAAAATATTTGCCCAACATCACACTATTGAGAGCAGAAAAAGATTCAAATCCCGTCTTGACCCCAAAGTCCTTGTCTTTGCACAATGCCAGCTCTACGCAAATTTTTAACCTGGTGTGATATATTATCATGGAATAAGCAAAGCAATTCTCATTAGAGACTATCTTCTAGGGTCCAATATTAAGCTCCAATATGAAGAAAGCAGAATTAAGACTTTCAACTCCTATTTTGTACAACCTTCTATATTTTCATGACAAATATACTAATCTCAGTTGGAAACTGAGTAACTATTACCTGTATCAGTAATCTGTGGTGGGGAAAATGACCTGATCACTATAAGGCCTTGTGTTTTCTGTGGAACAGATATAAGAGGTGGTAGACTTAACACTGGCTACTGGTTAAATGATACAAAGCTTGCATCCAGGCTCTACAATTTATTATGTGCCTTAGGTGAGTCTCTAAGCCTCTTCATCATCCTATAAAATTCTGTATCACAAGGTTACCCTGAAGATTAAATGAGTGATGTGGGTGAAATCAATCAGCTGTACATGACATAGAAAGTGCTGAATTAAATGTTTTTTGAAATTCTGTAGCTACAGCATAATAAAGGTATAATAATTTGACATATTTCATTTTCCTAAAATATAAGATTGAGAAAATAATACTTGCAAGCGAAGTGCAATGGTACCTTTGGAGGAAAGGAACTAAGTTCTGAGTATTCATATTATCACTACCTTGCTACACCTCCATAATCTAAACCTTCTTCTCCTGGAAAAATCACCCACAAACGTCTTCGCAGATCTTGGGGACTGAAGCTCATTATCTAAAAAAAAATAAAGTAAAATAATTGGTGAAAAAAGCTATTGAAACACTGTCTACCACTTCTAGGTTTGACATCTCCTTCGTTATAGGTAACTGAAATCTCCCATGACACAGAAAGGTGTTCATGGTCTAGTCAAAACCACACATACAGAAAATACATTATAGTAACGTTTAATAATATTTTATTATATACATCTATATTTTTATATACCTTATACACGTGATTTTATTTATTTATTTACTTTTAGACAGTCTCTCCCTCGTTGCCCAGGCTGGAGTGCAATGGCACAATCTCGGCTTACCACACCTCCACCTCCCAGGTTCAAGCGATTCTCTTGCCTTAGCCTCCCAAGTAGCTGGAACTACAGGTGTGCGCCACCACGCCCGGCTAATTTTGTATTTTTAGTAGAGACGGGGTTTTGCCATGTTGGCCAGGCTGGTCTCAAACTCCTGACCTCAGGTGATCCACCGGCCTTGGCCTCCCAAAGTGCTGGGATTACAGACGTGAGCCATCATGCCCGGCCGTGATTTTATTTTTAATGATGCTACTATTGACTTATAATGTTGCCTGTATCAATTACTTAGAACATAGATGGGCATGGTCAGAGGTTGGGTGGGGTTTTTGTGGTTTGGTTATTAGGTTTGGTTTTGACTCATAGCCAAAGGTACACGTAACAGCTAACTGGCTAACCGAGAAATGAAAACCAGTAGCTGCAGAGAGACCCAGTTAACTTTGGAAACTCATTCTCAGCGGCAACCGATAACTACCTACAAAAACTACTCAAATTTTGTGTCCCACTATAGGTGGTTAATAGGATCATCTTCATATTTGAAGGACAGTACATTACTGAGCTACAATCAATAGGTCATTTGGTTTCCTGCCACGTAAAACAAATTATTTGACCAAAATTGTGTGTGTATAGCACTGCATATATCAATTACTCTTACAAAAAAATACAGAAGAACATGGAAAGGGAGAAGTTGATATAATGCCTATACTTTATTGAGTGATAAGAATGAATTACCACACTTAAATATCCAGAGAGGATCAGTAAGTATACCTGTTTATGCCAAGTTCTCTCAGTTCCCCCACAAAACCATCACATTTATGAATTCACATCCCACTCAAGCCAGAAAATCCCAGATGTAACAAAAAACTTCAATGCTTATGACATATGTACGTTTATGCCAAGTATTCTACAAATAGTATAGGCTAGGTATACAGCAACGCAAATGAGAAATGTCACAAGGTTAAAACTATCTTTAAATAATTCCTTTTGAGTTCCCGACCGCG
Organism: Homo sapiens; assembly: GCF_000001405.40. Taxonomy (NCBI): domain Eukaryota; kingdom Metazoa; phylum Chordata; class Mammalia; order Primates; family Hominidae; genus Homo; species Homo sapiens. The sequence continues at coordinate 34,476,478 of NC_000020.11, read as the reverse complement.
GGCGATGGCTGCCGCTGGGGGCGCCCGGCTGCTGCGCGCCGCTTCTGCGGTCCTCGGCGACCCGGCCGGCCGGTGGCTGCACCACGCCGGGTCCCGCGCTGGAGCCAGCGGCCTGCTGAGGAGCCGGGGACCGGGCCGGAGCGCGGAGGCGAGCCGGCCGCTGAGCGTGTCGGCAGGGGCGCGGAGCAGCTCAGAAGATAAAGTGACAGTCCACTTTATAAACTGTGATGGTGAAACATTAACAACCAAAGGAAAAGTTGGTGATTCTCTGCTAGACGTTGTGGTTGAAAATAATCCAGATATTGATGGCTTTGGTGCATGTGAGGGAACTCTGGCTTGTTTAACCTGTCATCTCATCTTTGAAGATCACATATATGAGAAGTTAGATGCAATCACTGATGAGGAGAATCACATGCTCGATCTGGCATATGGACTAACAGATCACAGTTGGGCTGCCAAATCTGTTTGACAAAATCTATGGACAATATGACTGTTCGAGTGCCTGAAACAGTGGCTGATGCCAGACAATCCATTGATGTGGGCAAGACCTCCTGAACTAGAACAAATAGGAATATTTTCATGGAATTTTACCTATTTTTATAATTATTATTTAAGTGATAAAATGAGTACATGGATGAGTGGATTCTGTATTATGACTAGCTTTACTATTTTAATTCACCTTGTATAACTACTAAATTTTGTCATTCTTGAAAGTATGCAGCTCTGCCTCTGCCTCTGCCTGCCTCTGCCTGCCCCTGCCCCTGCCCCTGCCCCTGCCCCTGCCTCTGCCTCTCCCGTCTCCCTCTCCCCACGGTCTCGCTCTCCCTCTCTTTCCACGGTCTCCCTCTGATGCCGAGCCGAAGCTGGACTGTACTGCTGCCATCTCGGCTCACTGCAACCTCCCTGCCTGATTCTCCTGCCTCAGCCTGCCCAGTGCCTACGATTGCAGGCACGCGCCGCCACGCCTGACTGGTTTTCGTATTTTTTTGGTGGAGACGGGATTTCGATGTGTTGGCCGGGCCGGTCTCCAGCTCCTAACCGCGAGTGATCCGCCAGCCTTGGCCTCCCGAGGTGCCGGGATTGCAGACGGAGTCTCGTTCACTCAGTGCTCAATGGTGCCCAGGCTGGAGTGCAGTGGCGTGATCTCGGCTAGCTACAACCTCCACCTCCCAGCCGCCTGCCTTGGCCTCCCAAAGTGCCGAGATTGCAGCCTCTGCCCGGCCGCCACCACGTCTGGGAAGTGAGGAGCATCTCTGCCTGGCCGCCCATCGTCTGGGATGTGAGGAGCCCCTCTGCCTGGCTGCCCAGTCTGGAAAGTGAGGAGCGTCTCTGCCCGGCCGCCATCCCATCTAGGAGTGAGGAGCGCCTCTTCCCGGCCGCCATCACATCTAGGAAGTGAGGAGCGTCTCTGCCCGGCCGCCCATGGTCTGGGATGTGGGGAGCGCCTCTGCCCCGCCGCCCCGTCTGGGATGTGAGGAGCGCCTCTGCCCAGCCGCGACCCCGTCTGGGAGGTGAGGAGCATCTCTGCCCAGCCACCCCGTCTGAGAAGTGAGGAGACCCTCTGCCTGGCAACCGCCCCGTCTGAGAAGTGAGGAGCCCCTCCGCCCGGCAGCCGCCCCGTCTGGGAAGTGAGGAGCGTCTCCACCCGGCAGCCACCCTGTCCGGGAGGGAGGTGGGGGGGTCAGCCCCCCCGCCCGGCCAGCCGCCCTGTCCTGGAGGTGCGGGGTGCCTCTGCCCGGCCGCCCCTACTGGGAAGTGAGGAGCCCCTCTGCCAGGCCACCACCCCGTCTGGGAGGTGTACCCAACAGCTCATTGAGAACGGGCCATGATGACAATGGCGGTTTTGTGGAATAGAAAGCGGGGAAGGGTGGGTAAAGGATTGAGAAATCGGATGGTTGCCGTGTCTGTGCAGAAAGAAGTATACATGGGAGACTTTTCATTTTGTTCTGTACTAAGAATAATTCTTCTGCCTTGGGATCCTGTTGATCTGTGACCTTACCCCCAACCCTGTGCTCTCTGAAACATGTGCTGCGTCCACTCATGGTTAAATGGATTAAGGGCGGTGCAAGATGTGCTTTGTTAAACAGATGCTTGAAGACAGCATGCTCGTTAAGAGTCATCACCACTCCCTAATCTCAAGTACCCAGGGACACAAACACTGCGGAAGGCCGCAGGGTCCTCTGCCTAGGAGAACTAGGGACCTTTGTTCACTTGTTTATCTGCTGACCTTCCCTCCACTATTGTCCTATGACCCTGCCAAATCCCCCTCTGCGAGAAACACCCAAGAATGATCAATAAAAGAAAAAAAAAAGAAAGTATGCAATTTTTATTTTGGTTATATTACAAAAATGTCAGTCAGATATTAAAAAATAGTTAATGTGATAGAAAAACCTTACATATTTTTTCTTATGTTTGTTTAGCGACTTTAGCAAAATGTTTTCATATAATCTCATCTGTTTACCTAGAAGATAGGTTAAGGAAATATATTATTATTCCTGTTTGATGTAGGTGAAGGCAGAGATCTAACCTGGCTTGTTTAGGGCCATACCACTAATTGGAAAATCTGTACTAGAACCTGTGTCTTATTACTATAAGCTATTATGTTCAGACTGAAACTGGAGAAATTACGACAATTTATAGCAGTAGTTAAATCTGAATGTGTATGGACAAAAATATTTAATTGCTCAGTAAACTGCTTAACTTCAAAGATAGTTATTAACCTCATAAATATTTCAAAATTTTGATTCTGAAGTCTAAGTCTGAACACAGACATAACACTATCAAAGAAGTTTGATCTCTGTTTTGACTCAACTAGAGGAAAAATGATTGGATGGGTTTATTCTTTTCTAAGCAGAATGGTTTAACTTTGTACTCTTTGAAAAACAATGCTGATTTCTAAATCTCTGCCTATAACAGAATGGAAACCTTATGAATGAATTGTGTTTCTCTGTCCTGAGCTGGAGAAGGGAATGAGCAGGCTGACAGGTCGCACAGCCCCAGGTGGCGCCATTCTCTCATGCAAGGATGGGGCTCCAGGGTGAGCAGCGTGGGCTGCAGTGTGTCAGTCCCAGGAGGGAGGGAGTGGCGAGCACCACAGATTACCACATATGTGTGGAAGACATTTGTATCCTTATCTTTACTATAAATAAATCCATAAAAGTTAAAAAAAAATTCCTTTTAACAAATGTCTAATATGAAGGAAAAAAAATTGTTTTCTCCTGTACTTTCCCCCATAACCAGTTGTGCTGTGTTAACAGAAGAAACACTATCCCAGAGCAATTTTATCCAACAACTATCCAAAGAAAATCTGATGCTAATTTTGCAATTAGTTTTGTTACCTTTAAGCAATCAAATTGTTCTCTTATATTTTTATTAACCAGTTATTTGATGGATGTCAAATCTAGGGTGACAGCTTTAAAAACTGTTTTAGAACCATCTAGTCAGTTATTTTGCAAAAGACTTTAGGTTTCAAAGTCAAAAGATAAAGGAACAGTTTAATCATGTTTTGCATCTTTCCAGGACTGGTAAGAGGTAAGCAAGTTGCTTCAAGAAACTCGTCCAACAGAGTGATAAAAGGGTGGTTATGAACATAAAATTAGAAATGGGCAAGGACTAGGGTGGGGAATGGCCTGTGACACTTACATCAGATCAAGGGGATGACTCATAATTCTCTAAATGGCCTCAGTAAAGCTCCACTTCCCACTAAAAAGTTTTCTGCTCCTACATAGCAGGATGCCAACTGGCTTTTTCCTTTAATGTCAATAACTGACGTTCCATTAGGAAATGAAAAAAACTGATTCTGAAAGCAAGTAGCCAGCTACCACCAACTGTCTCAACCTCTTTTCCCTTTGCATTCAATTCCGTACTTCTTGAAGCTGTAGTTGCTACAATACCACTGGTGCTTGAAAATAATCACTTCCACATCTGGCTATAAAACAAGGACTAACCAGATGTTTTCATTTTAAGACATTTTTTCACTAGTTATTTTAATCTTCTACATAACACAATCATTTTAACATTTAGTTGCAGTAGGTTATTAGTAATATCTGCAAGATAAAGGCGAATAGTAGACTAACTCAAGTTTTTTTTTTTTTTTTTTTTTTTTTAAATTGAGATGGAGTTTTGCTCTTATTGCCCAGGCTGGAATGCAATGGCACGATCTCGGGTCACTGCAACCTCCACCTCCCAGGTTCAGGTGACTCTCCTGAGTAGCTTTACAGGATTACAGGCATCAGCCACCAGGCCCAGCTAATTTTTATATTTTTAATAGAGACAAGGTTTCACCATCTTGGCCAGGCTGGTCTCAAACTCCTGACCTCAGGTGATGTACCCGCCTCAGCCTCCCAAAGTGCTGGGATTACAGGCATGAGCCACCGTGCCCAGCGAGTAAATTAACTCAAGTTCTGAAGACAAGTGAAAAAATCTGCTGACTACTTCTGAAAACTCATATATATCTTTTTTTAGATACTGTCACCAATGACCACTTTTTTTCCTGTTAAGAGTAACATACGCTTATTGTAAAAATCCAAGTAATACTGAAGTGTTAAAACAAGTCTTCCCCTCTCCTTTCTACAATCTGATAATGTTCATATGGGTATTTCCAGACCTTTGGCTACCAAAAACCTATTATCTTACCTATGCATTTATTTCAAATCATACCAGTTTAGAAATGGAAACCTGAAACACACACACACACACACAAACCTATTATCTTACCTATGCATTTATTTCAAATCATACCAGTTTAGAAATGGAAACCTGAAACACACACACACACACACACACACACACACACACACACACACCCCTTAAGCCCTAAGGTGGCTGGCAATGAGATCGCACTTGAAAAATTCAAGGACTTCAACTCAAGAAGTTCCAAACCATTCAGATTAAACTGACAGCACCAAAAGCGGGTCCTAAGCTAGCAGCCAGGGGGGAAATTATTGAGAGAATGAAACAGTACCTGTTGAAAGGAATCCTCAAACAATGTTTTTCTTGTCACTGTAATCTTTATGTGCTGTGGCATGGCCAGTTGCTGAAATAGAAGAATGACTTAAGTCAACTCTCATCATTAAAATAGCCTATCAAAAAAATCAAAAGGGGAAAGTTTTATTTACTTTTATCTTTCCTTACAGAAACAAGTAGACTATGAATATAAATTTATATTCAATAATGTTTACCAATGCATCTGTGAGTATTCATGCTAATTACAGATTAATATATGCAAACAGAAGAACCACAAGATTGATCTCATATGCACACTGCTTACTTAATAATGTGTCAAATAAATCTTTACTTAATCTTATTTTCCAACAGTTAATCCAGATTCTTCTTGCTTCCATGGGTCCAGTTAATTACAAGAGTTTCAAGTGTAAAAATATTCATCACAGTAACTTTGACTAGGGCATTCATTTGATTTAGAACCCATAAAAAATCATTAATTCCAGTAAATATCTATACATAAGAAATAGTTGATCACATCTGAAAAAAACACTGAATATAACATCTATGTATGGACATGTTCATGTATGTATGAACATGTATTTATCTATCAAAGTCAGTTATATCAAACGATAGATATAAAAATGGCTGGTGTCCGGGCATGCTGGTTTATGCCTGTAATCCCAGCACTTGGGGAAGATGAGGCAGGAGGATCATTTGAATCCAGGAGTTCAAAACCAGCCTGGGCAACATAAGGGGACCCTGTCTCTACTAAAAATTAGCCAGGTGTGGTGAAGTGCATCTGTAGTGTCAGCTAGCGAGAAGGCTGAGGCAAGAGGATCACTTGAGCCCAGGAGGTCAAGGCTGCAGTAAGCCATGATGGCACCACTGCACTCCAGCCTGGGTGACAGAGTGAGATCCTGTCTCAGAAAAAATAACACATAAAAATAAAGTAGCTGGTTAAAATTATATCAGAAAATGCTTTTACTTACATTTGAAGATTCCTGCAATCTGAAAGTAATGGCTACTGAGGAAAAAGTGACAATGTTTGCTTATTCAGATGGTTTCAAGTTTAATTTTCTTCTTTAAAAAAAAGAAATATATATATATATATATTTACAGAGGTAAGGCCTCAATATGTTGCCCAGACTGGTCCTGAACTCCTGAGCTCAAGTGATCTGCCCACCTCGGCCTCCCCAAGTGCTGGGATTACATGAGGTTTAATTTTCTGAATAACCAAAGTCACAAATGATCTAATTGATAAATCTATTTATTTGCTCTAAAAATAGATGAAAGAGATTCTAATGCTTCCCATTTTACCTGTTTTTCTGTGAGTTAAGTATTTTCACAATCACTGTGTAATATAAAGCAACACAACAAAGTTAAGGCAGTACAGAGATACAGTTCCAATACTAACCTGACACCAGAACCGGAAATACTGAACCTTTGCTTTGAAGTCCCGAACATAGGCTATCTGAGGTCCATTGTCTCTGAGGAAGAACAAGGGTTAACAGGACATATATAGCTGCTTGTAAAAGATAATGCTGAAGGAAAGCAAAATATCCCACCCTCTCTCAGCACTTACTAACCAAATTCAAAAATATAGCATATTCCTAACAAAACCATTCTTTGCTTTTTGAGAGATATTTCCCCAAGAATACTTTTAAGTAACAGAAAAAACAAACAAAAAACTTTGATTTTGTTGAAACTACTGTTGTGGGATTTTCTTTTCTATGCTGCCAAATCTAAGAGGGCTAAGTAAAGGGGTTTCTATCTGAGAATGCTGTCTATCCCAACATCAATTCCCTCCTTTATCTTTAAGTAAAACCCTTGCTATTTAACTAAGTAGAATGCTACATATAATAAAGACTACATTTCTCTATATGGCCATGTGACTTAAGTCTCTAAGTGAAAGTGGCATATGAAACGTTCAAGAAGGATCTTTTTGGCCAGGTGCAGTGGTTCACACCTATAAATCCCAGCACTTTGGGAGGCTGAGGCGGGTGGATCATCTGAGGTCAGGAGTTTGAGACCAGCCTGACCAACATGTTGAAACTCTGTCTCTACTAAAAATTATAAAAATTAGCCGGGTGTGGTGGCAGGTGCCTCTAATCCCATCTACTTGGGAGGCTGAGGCAGGAGAATCACTTGAACCTCAGAGGTCAAGGCTGCAGTGAGCTGAGATTGCACCACTGCACTCCAGCAAGGGTGACAAAGCTAGACTCCGTCTAAAAAAAAAAAGGAAGGATTTTCTAAAAGACAGCTAAAATAGCTAAAAAGTGTGTGAGTGTGTGTGTGTGTGTGTGTGTGTGTGTTTATAATTTGCCCTTCCTCCAAATTCCAGCCTGGAGTGTGACCCTGATAGCTTAAGTTTCAGCAGCTGTCACAGACCATGAGGTCACTTTGAAGAATGAGACCATACTCTAGGATGGTAGAAAAGACAGAAGAATTTTAGATCACTATGACACCATGGGGTTTCTCAGCTAGCCTTGGACTTAATACCACTGCATTATCTCCCTCTTAAAAATTCAATGTATATCAGTGTAGAAATACAACTGATTTTGTACATTGACTTTATATTCTGTTACGCTGTTAAATTCACTTACTAGTTCTAGTAATTTTTTCTAGATTCTTCATGATTTTCTGTATACAAACGTTATTTGTGTGAGGGGAAAAGAGACAGTTTTACTTCTTCCTTTCCAATTTATACATCTTATATTTCTTTTCTTTTCTTTCTTTTTTTTTTTGAGATGGAGTCTTGCTCTGTCTCCCAGGCTGGAGTGCAGTGGCGCAATCTCTGCTCACTGTAACCTCTGACCCAGAGGTTCAAGCGATTCTCCTGCCTCCGCCTCCTGAGTAGCTGGGATTACAGGTGCCCACCACCATGACTGACTAATTTTTGTATTTTTAGTAGAGACGGGGTTTAGCCATGTTGGCCAGGCTGGTCTCAAACTCCTGGCCTCAAGTGATCTGCCTGCCTGGGCCTCCCAAAGTGCTGGGATTACAGGCGTGAGCCACCATGCCCGGCCTGTATTTCTTTTTCTCATCTCACTGCACTGGGTAGGAATACTGACACAATGTTGAATGAAGTAATGACAGTAGATATCCTTGTCTTACTCTTGATGTTCTACGGTATTTCATCATTAATTGTGATGTTGGCTGTAAGCTTTTGTTACATTTTTTTTTTCCAATAAAAATGTTTCCGGCAGGGCGCAGCAGCTCACGCCTGTAATCCCAGCACTTTGGGAGGCCAAGGCAGGTGGATCATGAGGTCAGGAGATTGAGAACATCCTGGCTAACACAGTGAAACCCCGTCTCTACTAAAAATACAAAAAATTAGCCAGGTGTGGTGGCGGGCGTCTGTAGTCCCAGCTACTCAGGAGGCTAAGGCAAGAGAATGGCGTGAACCCGGGAGGCAGAGCTTGCAGTGAGCTGAGATTGTGCCACTGCACTCCAGCCTGGGCGACAAAGTGAGACTCCGTCTCAAAAAAAAAAAAAAAAAAGTTTCCAAGGTAGCTGAGAGTTTCTCATAAATTTGCATTGTATTATGTCACAAGCTTTTCCTGAAATTATCGTATGATTTTTCTCCTTTAACCAATTTTGTTTGTTTTGACATGGAATGTCACTCTGTCACCCAGGGTGGAATGCAGTGGCCTGAAACCTCATCTCTACTAAAAATACAAAATTAGCCAGGCATGGTGGCGCATGCCTATAATCCCAGCTAATCAGGAGGCTGAGGCAGGAGAATTGCTTGAACCAGGGAGGCCGAGGTTGCGGTGAGCCGAGATTGGGCTATTGCACTCCAGCCTGGGCAACAAGAGTGAAACTCCGTCTCAAAAAAAAAAAAAAAAAAAAAAAATGAAAAAGAAAACATTTCCATCACTTGTATTTTATGAATGAATTTGAATAGGACTGATTAATTTATAACTTATAAGTTTGATGAACCTTACCAGTGACACCATCTAGGCCAGAATTTTCTTCATGAGAAATCTTTTTTTTCTTTTTTTTTTTTTTTGAGACAGGGTCACACTCTGCCACCCAGGCTCAAGTACAGTGGCGCGATCTCGGTTCACCACAGCTTCCTGGGCTCAAGCAATCTTCCCATCTCACCCTCCTAAGTAACTGGGACTACAGGCATGCACCACCACACCCAGCTAATATTTTGTATTTTTTGTAGACATGGGTTTCACCATGTTGCCTAGGCTGGTCTTGAACTCTTGAGCTCAAGTGATCTGCCCACCTTGGCCTCCCAAAGTGCTGAGATTACTGGCATGAGCCACTGGGCCTGCCCTTAAAAATTATTTAATTATGCATTTGATTTATCAGCTATAGGGATATTTAGACTTACTATCTGTTCTTGTGTCCATTTTGGTGACATATCTTTCAAAGAATTTGTCCATTTGATCTAAAATGTTAAAGTTATTGGCATAAATATACCCTTTATTATCCTTTTAATGTCTATAAAATATACAGTGATGTCCCTCTTTTTTTCTCTATAGGTTTAATTACTAAGGGTTGTTAATATTATTAATGTTTACCAAAAATTTATCTTCTAGCTTTGGGCGCTCCATTGTTTCTTTTCCACTTCACTGAGTTCTGCTTTTATTTATTTCCTTTCTTGTACTTACTTTAGGTTTAATAACTTGCCTTTTTCTAGCATCTGAATGTAAAAGCAGAGATCACTGATTTTATCTTTCCTATATTCTCATCTACTTCTTTAAAACAAAAGTTTCCCGCTGAAGACTACTTTAGTTAAATCCCACAAATTGTGATATGTGGTGTTTTAATTATTATTCAAAATAAAATATTTCCTGATTTTTCTTGTAACTTCTTTTTTGAGCAATGGTAATGATGTGGTGTAAGTCCTGCTGGACTATTTTTAAATAATGGGGACAAATACACTTCTATCTTACATAAACCACTATTATTTTAGTGTTTTCTATTATATGCACCCAAACTTATTGTAACTAAAATGAATGATAGAATAATATTATCGGTAATTTATTCCCATATCTAAATTACCTCTGTAATTTCATTAATACCAAATTGGCCTGATTTTCCAGTTTCTGCTTTAAATATAAAAGTTGTTAATGTGTAGAAGTATAAAATTAGAAAGTAATAGGGAACCATCTTTGCTCTAAGAAAGCCACACTATAAGAAAACTACAGAGCAACATTCCTTATGAACACTGATGGAAAAATACTAAAAAAAAATCAGCAAAAAAATCTCAGCAGCATATTAAAAGCACACTTTAATCCTTTTGACTAAGTAGGATTTATTCCTGGAATGCAAAAAAGGTTCAACCTATGAAAAATCAACATAATATACCACATTAACAGAATGAGGGGGGGAAAAAATCACATGATCATCTCAATTGATACCAAAAAAGGATTTTACAAAATTTAATACACTTTCATGATAAAACACTCCACAACAGGGATAGGAAACACTAGGAATAGAGGGAAACTACCTCAATATAATAAAAGGCACATATAAAAATCTAACAGCAAACATCACATTCAATGGTTAGAAGTTTTTTCTTTAAGATGAGGAACAATATAAGAATGCCTATTTTCACCACTTGTAGTCAACATAGTATCCAGAAGCTCTAGCCAGAGGAATTAAGCAAGAAAAATAAATAAATAAATAAAAGATACCCAAATTGGGAAGAAGAAAACTTATCTGTTTTCAGAAGCTAAGATCTTTTACGAAGAAAACACTAAATATTCCACAACGAAAAACCCTGCCAGAGTAAGTGAATTCAGGAAAGTAGCAGCATACAAAGTCAACACAAAATAGTTCCATTTCTATATACTAAGAATAAACAATATAAAAAGAAAATTAAGATAACAATTCCATTTACAATAGCATCACAAAGAATAAAAAATACTTAGGAATTAATCAAGAAGGCAAAAGACTCGTACACTGAAAACCACAAAACACTGCTGAAAGAAATCAAAGAAAACACAAAGATATCCACATTCATGGATTGGAAGACTTAATATTGTTAAGATGACCACACTACCCCAGATTGATACAGATATTGAATCTGTATTGATCAATATGGATTTTATTGATTCTGTACATTCAATAAAATCCCCTATCAAAATCCAAATGACTTCTTTTTTTCAGAAATAAAAAAATCCATCCTAAAATTCATATGGAATCTCAAAGGACCCTGAATAGTCAAAAGCAGCTTGAAAAAAAGAACAAAGTTGGAGGACACATACCTTCCTGATTTGAAAACTTGCTACAAAGCTATAGCGTGGTATTGGCAAATCAGACATACAGACCAACAGAATAAACAGCCCAGAAATAATCCCTTGCATATATGGTAAAATGCTATTGACAATGGTGCCACAGTCATGCAATGGGGAAAGGACAGTCTTTTCAACAAATGGTGCTTGGGAAAATTGGACATTCACATTCAAAAAGATGAAGTTGGACCCTTACCCAACACCATATACAAAATTTAACTTAAAATGGATAAAAGATCTAAATGTAAGAGCTAAAATTAAAGAACTCTCAGGCCAGGCGCGGTGGCTCATGCCTGTAATCCCTACTCTTTGGGAGGCTGAGGGGGTGTGGATCACGAGGTCAGGAGTTTGAGACCAGCCTGACCAACATGGTGAAACCCCGTCTCTACTAAAAATACGAAAATTAGCCAGGCGTGTTGGTGCGTAGCTAAAACCCCAGCTACTCAGGAGGCTGAGGCAAAAGAATCGCTTCAACCCAGGCGGTAGAGGTTGCAGTGAGCTGAGATCTTGCCACTGCACTCCAGCCTGGGCGACAGAGTGAGACTCTATCTACAAAAAAAAAAAGAACTTAGGGCAAAGCTTTATGACACTGGATTTGGAAATGATTTCTTGGATATGACACCAAAGGTACAGGTGACAAAGAAAAAACTGACAGGCTGGGCGCGGAGCTTCACATCTGTAATCCCAACACTTCAGGAGGCTGAGGCGGGCGGATCACCTGAGGTCGGGAGTTCGAGATCAGCCTGACCAACAAGGAGAAACCCTGTCTTCTACTAAAAATACAAAATTAGCTCAGCGTGGTGGTGCATGCCTATAATCCCAGCGACTCGGGAGGCTGAAGCAGGAGAATAGCTTGAACCCAGGAGGCAGAAGTTGTGGTGAGCCGAGATCGCACCATTGCACTCCTGGGCAAAAAGAGTGGGCAAAAAGAGTGAAGCTCCGTCTCAAAAAAAAAAAAGAAAGAAAGAAAGAAAAAAAAAAAAAGAAAAAACAGGCCGGGCACGGTGGCTCACGCCTGTAATCCCAGCACTTTGGGAGACTGAGGTGGGTGGATCACGAGGTCAGGAGATCAAGACCATCCTGGCTAATGTGGTGAAACCCCGTCTCTATTAAACAAAATACAAAAAAAAAAAAAAAAATTAGCTGGGCATGGTGGCGGGCGCCTGTAGGCCCAGCTACTTCGGAGGCTGAGGCAGGAGAATGGCGTGAACCCGGGAGGCATAGCTTGCAGTGAGCCGAGATTGTGCCACTGCACTCCAGCCTGGGTGACAGAGAGAGAGACTGTCTCAAAAAAGAAAAGAAAAGAAAAAATTGACAAATCAGACATCAAAATCTAAAATGTTTTATACATCAAAGGGCACTATCTACAGTAAAAAGGAAACCACAGAATGGGAGAAAATAATTGCAAATCATGTATTTGATAAGGGATTAACACCCAGAATATATAGAGAACACCTAAAACTCAATCGCAAAAGAAAAAAAAAACAACAACAAATGGGCAAAGGACTTGAAGAGACATTTTTCCAAAGAAGATACACAAATAGCCAAGAAGCATATGAAAAGATACTCAACATCACAAACCATTAGAAAAATACAAAGAAAAACCACAATGAAATACGACATTAAGGATGACTATTTAAAAAAAAATATGATGATGATGAAGAAAAAAAAAACAGAAGAGTTGATGAGAACGTACAGAAATTGGAATTCTTCTGCACTAGGGTGGAAATGTAAACTGGCACAGACACTGAAAAACAGTATGGTGGTTCTTCAAAAAATTAAATACAGAATTAATATTTAATCCAGCAATAGATACAAAAGTCATCCTAACCCTAACCCTAACCCTAACTTTTGGGTACAGATACAAAAGTCATCGAAGTAGGAACTCAAACAGATACTTGGTTTTTGGTGTTTTTTTGAGACGGAGTCTCACTCTGTCACCCAGGCTGGAGTGCTGTGGCATGATCTTGACTCACTGCAACCTCTGCCTCCTGGGTTCAAGCGATTCTCCTGCCTCACACTCCCGAGTAGCCGGGATTACAGGTGTGCGCCACCATGCCCAGCTAATTTTTGTATTTTTAGTAGAGATGGGGTTTTGCCATGTTGACCAGACTGGTCTCCAACTCCTGATATCAGGTGATCCGCCTGCCTTGGCCTCCCAAAGCGCTGGGATTACAGGCATGAGCCACTGCGCCCGGCCTCAAGCAGAAAATTATATACCAATGTTCAGAGCAGCATTATTTACAATACCCCCCAAAAAACAGAAACAATGCAAATATCTGTGAATAAACAAAATGTGATATATACATACACTGGAATATTATTCAGCTTCAATAAGGAATGAAAATGTTGATACATATTACAACACGGATAAATCTTGAAGATATGACCTTAGTGAAATAATCCAGAAACATAAGCATAAATATTGTATGACTCCAATAATATGAGGTACTTCGACTAGTCAAATTCATAGAGAAAGACAGTAGAAGGCTGGTTACCAGGTCTGCTAAAGTTATTGTTTAAAGGGTACAGTGTTTCAGTGTGGAATGATGAAAACATTCTGGAGATGGATGGTGGTAATGATTATGCCACAATATGAATGTGCTTAATGCCACTGAACTGTACACATAAAACAAGAAACTTTAGGTTATATATTTTCCCACAAAAGAAGTCATAAAGCACATAAGCAAATCAAAAGGTTACTTTCTCAGAAATGGGGTGGGGGATAAGTAATGAGAGCTTTTTTAACGTCAAAAAGTTAAGGGAATGAAAGAAGCTGAAAATCAGAAATCAGAGACTAATTGGTAAGCAGTACAATACCTATAAATTCTAAATAGTTTCATTTAGTGCTGTGTGAACAAATGGTAACAAATATGAAAATCTCTAGGATAAAATATCCAAGAGGGAGATGGAAATGCAAAATACTTAATGAACAGAAACCTATTGTCAAGCTAACTCAAGAAATACTAAGACTTCCACTCCTTGCTAATACAAATCTTTATATCAAAATCTGAAGGACTAGTATTTTACTCTTAATCTACAATGTTTAGAAAACTTACAGGGCAGATTTTCCTGTGCGGGGATCTATATAGGTGGTAGTTCTTCTATTGTGGTCCACAAAATATGGAATTCCATCCACTGTGAATCTCATTTCCCAACCTTCAGGTAAGGGCTTTTCATTTAATTGACTACGAAACACAGGAAAAAACATAAACAAAAATATTAAAGAGTTGCTTGTTTGCCAAGTACAGAAGCTACAAATGTCAATAAACATAGCAGAAATCTTTTAGAAAACCATTCAGTTCAGTAATTCAGTTGTATACTAGACATCTCTATGTGGACATCCTACAAACAGGTTAAACTCAAAGTCCATCAAACACAACTCAAGTCTTCTGCCGTCTACTTGGCTTATGTTCCCCATTAGCTAATGACTCATCCTAAACATTTTGTTAACCAAGTTCTAACCATTCTGCCTTAGAAATCTTCACGTTCATCTCTATTTCCAATCCCCAACACCATCCTTTCTCTGGCTTTGTTTCTCTCCTGCTTTTTTTTTTTTTTTTTTTTTTTTATAGATGGAGTCTCACTGTCGCCCAGGCTGGAGTGCAGGGGCACGATATCTTGGCTCACTGCAACCTCCACCTCCCAGGTTCAAGCGATTCTCCTGCCTCAGCCTCAGCTGGGACTACAGGCGCCTGCCACCACGCCCACGCCCAGCTAATTTTTGTATTTTTAGTAGAGACAGGGTTTCACCATGTTGGCCAGGCTGGGTTTGAACTCCTGACCTTGTGATCCTCCCACCTCAGCCTTCCAAGGTGCTGGAATTACAGGCGTGAGCCACTGCGCCCAGCCATCTTCTGCATTTTTTGAACAGCCACCTAACTCGTTTTCCTTATCTGATCTCACTCTAGGCCTGCTCTTATACTGATACTGCTAACAGAGTATCATCCTAAAACAGAGATCTTATTTAAATTAGTTATCTCTGTAAAGTACTATCACTGTTCCACCATTACCAATGATTAAGATCTAAAGTTCTTCATATGGCATTCACTCAGCCTCTATACGCTGGCCTCAATGTTCCCTTTGCACCCAAACCTCTAACTCCCTTTCATGAATCCCATGATTTCACAGTGTAGGCCACTCAGCACTTCCTTAAATAAGATATGATCTGCCACACCTCCAAATGAAGCCTTTCCTTTTGTCCCATATTATCTATCTACTGTTTTTCTACTAAGGCAACTCAAAAAAAGATTCTTTTAAGAGAAAGAATCTCACTCTGCTGCCCAGGGTGGAGTGCAGTGGCATGATCATAGTTCACTGCAGCCTCAAACTCCTGGGTTCAAGCAATCCTCCCACCTCAGCCTCCCTAGTAGCTAGGACTACAGTTGTATACCACCACACCCGGTTAAATTATAAAATTTTATGTAGAGACTGGTCTCACTATGTTCCCCAGGCTGGTCTTGAACTCCTGACCGGAAGTGATCCTCCTATTTTGGCCTCTCAAAGCACTGGGATTACAGATGTTGAGACACTACACAAGGCCTAATATGTTATTTATGAAGTATTCCATGCCACCTCCTTAATACCTATCTTTATACCTTGAAAACTCTTGTGACCCTAGACAAGCTGCTTAATCTCTCTAAACTTTAGGTTCTTTGTCCATAAAACAGAGACAACAATGTCTATGAGACTAGATGAGGAACAAATGAGACAGGTAAAAAGTGACAGTGAGCCCAAGTTGTAATTGTTATTACTCCTACTACAACTATAGATTGATCGTTCTCTTTAGGTCTTCCAAAAGTATTTCCTACATACTGCCAGGACATCTTTTAATCAAGTATTTCAGTTTGTGTGTTTGGCAACAACTTCCCACCAGCCTGGGCAACATAGAGACACCGTCTCTACCCAAAAAAAAAAAAAAAAAAAAAGCTGGGTGTGGTGGCCCATGCCTATAGTCCAAGCTACTTGGGAGGCTGAGGCAGGAGGATTGCTTGAGCCCAGGAGGTCAAGGCTGCAGCAAGCCATGATCATGTCACTTCACTCCAGCCTGGGTGACAGACTGAGACCTTGTCTCAAACAACAACAACAACAACAACAACAAACCTGTATTCACTTAACTGAATACAAATGTCAGATAAAACAGACTACCAAAAATGTAAAAAAGAGGATTCTCAATTGTTATACTTGCAAGATAGGCTCAGTAACAAGTTGTTGTCTTGAAAATAAATTAGATAGAACTAGGTCATCTGTGTTGTTAAAGCAGAATTCTAACTTTAGCTATAAAACTTTAAACATCTAAGAGGAAACAAAAAAATGGCAGCAAATTATAGAAAGGTGACTTCTTCAATTCTATTCTTAGAAAATTCTAAAGAGGAAGAAAATGTTATCTATGAAATTCTTCATTCTTCCTTTATGGAAACTGAATAAATTTAAGTAAATGCAGTAACTCCATTTAAAAAGAAAATGGTCATTTGTTGGTAGGCAGAAAAAACTATTTTAAGTTGAAAGCATATCTTTTTTTATTTATTTTTAGTTTTAGTTTTTTGAGGCAGAGTCACACTCTGTCGCCCAAGCTGGAATGCAGTGGTATGATCTCAGCTCAGTGCAACCTAAACCATACCTTCAGAACAAAAGTTTTTAAAACTTTTGAGCCATGGAATATCTGTTCTCAAATTATAATTATACCAAAAGAGAGGTCTGGCCTTTGCCCTCAGCAACTTGGTAGTGATGTTTAGGCCCTTGGAATGCACTGCGTATTGGGAATATCTTTGTTTGCCTGGAGGCTTTGATCACTGGACAGTCAAGGCTGTGGGACATGGAGCATCAGTTCCGACCTCTGGAGGAACTAGAGACTAAAGGGCATTAGCTCAAATCTCCAGTAAGGACTGGAGACAAAAGGTCAGCCAAGAGGGCAGTACGTGATCAAGCCCCAATAAAAACCCTAGATACCAGAGACTTCCCTGGTTGGTGATACTCGACCTCAATGTGTACTGTCCCACAATAATGCTGGATGTTCAGAGCCTCCCAGACTCTGCCCTGTGCACCTATTCCTTCTGCTGATTTTATTTTGCATTCTTTCTCTAGAATAAATGTGACTATAAGAGGTTTCAATGAGTTCTCAGTACTTCTAGTAACTTATCATACCTAAGAGTGGTGGTGGGGGCCCCCAAATTTGTAGACAGTTGGTCTGGAGTCATCCTGTGGACCCCCAATATTGTCGCTGATGTCTGAAGTGAGGGCAGCAGTTTTGTGGAGGACTGTGCCCTCCGACTGTACAGTCTGCCAAATTCCTTGCAGAATGGAACCCTCTGGCAGTCTGATAAATGCATAGTATTACAGACTGTTATGGGTTGAACTGTGTCCTCCCTCCAAATGCACGTTTATATCCTGGCCCTCAATAACTCAGAATGTGACCTTATTTGGAAACAGAGTTACTGCAGATGTATCAAGATGAGGTCATACTGAAGTACTGTGGGCCACTAATCCTATAGGACTGACGTCCTTATAAACAGGAAATTTGGGTACAGATAGACATACAGACAGGAAGAGTGCCATGTGAAGACTGGATTCATGCTGCCACAAGCCAAGGAGCTACAAGAAGCCAGGAGAAAGACCTGGAACAGATCTCTTCCTAGTATCTTCTGAGTGAGCATGGCCCTGCTGACATCGTGATCTCAAGCTTCTAGCCTCCAGAACCCTGAGACATACATTTCTATGGTTTAAGCAACCTCCTCTGTGGTACTTTGTTAAGGCGCCCTAGCAAACTAATATGCATACTATTATAACATGTTACAAAGATAAACCATTATATATACATAATTGTCAAAACATTATTTCTGTAATCCCAGCTACTCAGGAGGCTAAGGCAGGAGGATCGCTTAAAGACAGGAGTTTGAGAACAGCCTGGGCAACAAAGGGAGACCTTTGTGATAATGTACATATATCTCTTTATTAATAAATTAGCAAGTCCTTGTAATTATGTGTGTAAACAAGTATTTAGAGATATCTGCAACAACAACAGAATATTTTTTAACACCCTTTGACTTCTACTGATGGCAAACTCCTAGGCATTCTTAATCCTACATGGTAGTAGCCTACATTCATAATGGAAGAAGATACTAAATTTCCAGTAAAGAGTAATGAAACTGAGTATGTATTTTCTTCCTCCTTGAAACCACATACCCTAGATTCTTAACCAGTGATCTCAGGTTAAGAAACCCTGATTTAGAATCACTAATCTGTTCTTAGTAATTAAAAATAATATATATGTTAATAAGTATATTCTCATGTGCCAGATAATTTTTTTTGCTTTTCTATTGTTTTCTTTTTTTTTGAAACAGCCCTCAACCTGTCCTCCAGGTTGGAGTGTACTGGCACAATCATAGTTCACTGCAGTCTCGACTTCCTGGGCTCAGGTGATCCTCCCACCTCAGTCTCCCGAGTAGCTGGGACTACAGGTATACATGCCAACACACCCAATTTTGGGGATTTTTTTTGTAGAGACAGGGTCTCACTGCATTACGCAGGTCTTCCTGGCCTCAAACAATCCTCCCTCCTTGGCCTCCCAAAGTGCTGGGATAATGGGCATGAGCCACCATGCCCAGTTAAAGTTTTTTCCTGCACTTTGAAGAAATCTTCAAACTTTCCATTAGATGAAAATAATAGTATAATTTTCTCTTTCCAAAGTATGTAGGTGATTAACGTTTTAGGTCTTTGGCAAAAGAATATGAACTTTGATCTTCTTCAGTTGTTAGAAATAAGGTATAATCTTTAAGAGATTAAATATACACAAGTAACTATTCTTACCCTTGACTTCTGGGGTCTTCCCATTGTGTAATTCGTGTGTTGTGGTTGACGAAATATACTCTGCCATTGCTGTCTGTTCTCTTCTCTTTGGGAAGGGCAGGGGCAGGGGAAAGCAAAGCATTAGCATTGGCATAGTCTTCTTGCTCAAGGTAAAATAAAATTATTTGAATTTGCCCATTTCTCATTTCATTGTTTATTTTATAGTTTTTAAATCACAGCTTTAAAAGGTTTAATTTATTGACTATTAAATGCACATCCTTACTGAAGTTATAGAAATATTACATCTTAGAAGCTAAGTAGACGTACTTTATAATGTCCTAACCATAGGACCTTTCTACTCAATCCAACCAACAGCAGCAAGAATAATGAACAGTTATTTAGTTTTTTACACAGGACCTTCATTTTATTCTTAATAGTCCCATAGGGTAGGTGAATTCATCTTTATCCTTAAGATAAGAAAACTCAGATAGGTTAAATAATCTACCTGAAACCTCAGAATTAAGTAGCAGAGATGAGATGGAAACTCAGGTCTCCATTTAGGGATTTTTTTTTTTTCCATACTACATCATTTCATTCATTAAAATATAGTAAGGTGCCAGGCGGGGTGGCTCAGGCCTGTAATCCCAGCACTTTGGGAGGCCAAGGCAAGTAGATTGCTTGAGCTCAGGAGTTTGAGACCAGCCTGGGCCATATGGTGAACCCTCATCTCTACAAAAAATACAAAAAAATTAGTGGGCCGTGCTGGCAGCCCACTAATATATATATTTGATATATATTAAATATACATTTGTATATATAAATACACACACACACACATATATATATATATATTTTTTTTTTTGGAGACAAGGTCTCACTTTGTCACCCTGGCTGGAGTGCAGTGGCGTGATCTCAGCTCACTACAGCCTTGACCTCCCAGGTTCAGGTGATCCTCCTGCCTTAG
Source organism: Homo sapiens (assembly GCF_000001405.40). Lineage (NCBI taxonomy): Eukaryota > Metazoa > Chordata > Mammalia > Primates > Hominidae > Homo > Homo sapiens. The sequence goes on along the minus strand of NC_000020.11, from coordinate 34,456,531 downwards.
CCCCACAACTTGTACAACTTGATTTTTAGAAACTAAGCTTTTTAAAAAGTTTGAATCCATTCTGTGATCTTTAATACATCAGTTATTCATTTTGAGACATGTTGAACAAATAAAAAAATTAGGATACCAGAAGAGTCCCATCTTTTGAAGAATTAATTGGTAATGGGACAGAGAAGCAACTTCCGGGGCTAAGGCAGGAGGGTCACCTGAACCTGGGAGGTCAAGACTGCAGTGAGCTGAGATCATGCCACTGCACTCTAGCCTGGGTGACAAAGTGAGGCCCTGTCTCAAAAAAAAAAAAAAAAAAAAAAAAAAAATATATATATATATATATATATATATATATACACACACACACACACACACACACACAATATATAAAAATATATATAAAATAAGGAATATAATGTAATTTGAGAGTGTGTATATATACATACATATATATACAAAATAAGGAATATAATATAAGGTATATGCTAGGCATTATTCAACTAAAAAATACTTCCTTTCTTAATACACTTAACATATCTCGTTCCTTAATATACCCAGTTCCAAAATCCTAAATATCTACAGTAACTTTCTATACAAGGGATAGGAAGCAGAACTCAGTTCTCTAATTACTGCATCTAAAGCTGCTGCTTGTTCCCCAACTGCCTCTTGCTTTAGGATTCTCCCTGTTTTCGTGTTCCCAGTCTACAAAATTTTACCTGCTTTCCTGAAATCTCCCCATTAAGGTTTAGAAGATGTGGATATTGGCCGGGCGCAGTAGCTCATGCCTGTAATTCTAGCACGTTGGGAGGCAGAGGCGGGCGGACTGCCTGAGCTCAGGAGTTCAAGACCAACCTGGGCAACATGGTGAAACCCCGTCTCTACTAAAATACAAAAAAGAAAAAAAAAAAAAATTAGCCAGGCATGGCGGTGTGCACCTGTAGTCCCAGCAACTCGAGAGGCTGAGGCAGGAGAACTGCTTGAACCCGGGACGCAGAGGTTACAGTGTGCCGAGATGGATTACAGCCTGGCGACAGAGCAAGACTCCGTCTCAAAAAAAAAAAAAAAATGTGGATATCATTTTCTCTTTTAGTAAACAAATTAAGTAGACTTGAAATTTTAACAGTTCTGCTGTTTTTGAATTACTGACTTCTCTGTCCCATTACCAATGAATTCTTCAAAAGATGGGATTCCTGCTGTATCCTAATTTATTTGTTCAACATGTCTCAAAATGAATAACTGATGTATTAAAGATCATAGAATGAACTGATGTATTAAAGATCATAGAATGAACTGAAACTTTTTAAAAAGCTTAGTTTCTAAAAATCAGCATTTTAAACAAAAATTTAAGTTTAATCCATGTTGACATGGCTAATTTTTATTTCCTGTGGTTTGAAAAATTGGTTAACTATTGGTCCTGCGCTGTGGCTCACGCCTGTAATCCCAGGACTCTGGGAGTTATAAGGCAGGCGGATGGCCTGAGGTCACGAGTTTGAGACCAGCGTGGCCAACAGGTCGAAACCCCGTCTCTACTAAAAATACAAAAATTAGCTGGGCATGGTGGTGGGCATCTGTAATCCCAGCTACTAGGGAGACTGAGGCAGGAGAATCGCTTGAACCCGGGAGGCAGAGGTTGCAGTGAGCCAAGATCATGCCATTGCACTCCAGCCTGGGCGACAAGAGCAAAACTCCATCTCAAAAAAAAAAAAAAAAAAAAAAAAAAAAACAGGAAAAGAAAAAAGAAAAATTGGTAACTATTTTTCAAATTAACACTTGAGATCATCTGGATCAGTTTTAGGCCAAATTATAGTCTTGTCAAGTTCGTATTTGGTAATATTTAATTTTATTTCCAATATAATTCCATGATTTCAAGTAGTAGTGATAACAGAGGTTAAAATGGATGTAACTAGTGAGTATCACAAACCTGCTTCTGACATTTAAAGCTACTTTCTATGTCAGCTTAGCTTAAAATGAAAATAGAATTCCAATGTGCATAATATACAGAAAAGTGGGACTCTGCCTCTCATGACACAGGTTTTGCTGGTCAAGGCATCTTCAGTGCATAAGCTTATCACCAACTCAAAGGCTGTCTCTAAAGAAAAACATAGGCCGGGCGCGGTGGCTCACACCTGTAATCCCAGCACTTTGGGAGGCCGAGGCGGGCGGATCACGAGGTCAGGAGATCGAGACCATCCTGGCTAACACAATGAAACCCCGTCTCTACTAAAAATACAAAAAATTAGCCGGGCGTGGTAGCGGGCGCCTGTAGTCCCAGCTACTCGGGAGGCTGAGGCAGGAGAATGGCGTGAACCCGGGAGGCGGAGGTTGCAGTGAGCCGAGATCGCGCCACTGCACTCCAGCCTGGGCGACAGAGCGAGACTCCGTCTCAAAAAAAAAAAAAAGAAAAACATAATCACCCACAGTGTTACAGCTTGCTCTTGTTAACATAACAGCAAGATAAGTTCATGTCTTGGCAGTCGCATTAAATTTTAAAAATTTATTTGCAGAATCCAGAATTCTCTCTTTGTTCTTCTTCTTCTTTTTTGAGACGGAGCCTTGCTCTGTCACCCAGGCTGGACTGGAGTGCAGTGGCGCGATCTCAGCTCACTGCAGCCTCGACCTCTCAGGTTTAAGCAATTCTCCTGCCTCAGCCTCCCAAATAGCTGGTACTACAGACGTCCACCACCACTCCCAGCTAATTTTTGTATTTTTTGTGGAGACAGCATTTCACCATGTTGGCCAGGCTGATCACGAACTCCTGACCTCAGGTGATTCACCCGCCTCGACCTCCCAAAGTGCTGGAATTACAGGCATGAGCCACCGTACCCAGCCAGAATTCTCTTTCTTGTTTAAAAATATATATCCAAATAATTTTTATAACCTAAAAATAATACCCTAAGTATATAGCTGAGCACATACTCAACTTTTTTCTCTCTCTTTTGGTTTTTTGAAAGAGTATCACTCTGTTGTCCAGGCTGGAGTGCAGTGATACAATCACAGCGCACTATAGCCTTGACCTCCGGGGCTCAAGCAACCCTCCCACTTCAGCCACCCAAGTAGCTGGAACTACAGGCATGCCACACCCAACTAATTTTTGTATTTTTTGTAAAGATGGGGTTTCACCATGTTGCCCCAGCCTGGTATCGAACTCCTGGACACAAGCCTTGGCCTCCCAAAGTACTGGGATTACAGGCGTGAGCCACTGTAATGGCCATTCATCTTTTATCTGTCAGCAAAGTTCAGATTTCAGGCCAAGATTTTCCTTTCAGAAGATAACATGAGGCAAGAGAAAATTAATAGCAAACATTTTTCTCATATATATTCTAAGTATATGCTGCTGAGATCAGCCTTGACACATTTGTGAACTGAAGGCTCATCTACTTAATGAGAGGAAGTGCTGTGGCTGTAGAACGGATTTCTGACTTTGTTGAAAAATCACATAATAAACAATACTGAAATTACTGAACATCAAATCCAAATGCAGATTAGAACACTTCCTGACTTGATGAATAAAACAGTAAAAAACAGACACTTCTTGTCATTCTATGTATTCTTTCACAGTAACTAGGAAAATGAGAGAATATCTTCATACTTGATTGGCGAAGCACCTATACAAAGCCCTATTAAATAATACTGGTGAACCAAAAGTATTCTTTGTTCTTTATCCTCTATAGTATGTTCATGTGTTAAAAATTCTTCACTGCCTAGCTAGGCATCGTGGCACAAAACTGTAATTCCAGCTACTCAGGAGGCTGAGGCATTGCTTGAGGCCAGGAGTTCAAAGCTGTAGTGTGCAATTACTATGCTGGAGAACAGCCACTGCACCCCAGCCTGGGCAACACAGGGAGACCCCCATCTCTAAAAAACCAATTATTCACTGAGCCTATGAGGTAGGAATGTCTAGTCCCAGCATATAAAAGTCTGAAAGGGTGCAAGCTGTAAGATGGGATTCTATCAACCTGGGTCAATCCTGAAGGTATGTTGGGTGGGTTGCTTCATCTGATATACTACCAGTGCTGTCACTGGTTCTACAAGTAAGGTATATGCCCCAAAGGCAGCAAGTCATAAAGCAGTGCTCAGTCTGAGTAGGATAATCATAAACATCTGTAGCACTACTTCAACATGAGGAATGTGAAACCTAAAAATAAGCAGACTGTAAAATAGCAGAACAAGACTCTAATAACCTGGCTAAGCTGGATCTTTAACACAGTATTTTAGCAAAGTGTTGTTGGCTAAAGTAAAAATGAGAAAGATCTGGATGATAAAGAAAATGATGAATACAGAAGGCAAGGACCAACTTGCAGGAAAGACTTTTCTGATAAAGGAAACGCAGCTCACAATTCAGCTTTCTATAAGCAAGAGGCATTTTTTTCTACACCTGCCCTAGAGAAGGAGTAAAACAGTTTTGTTTCTGACCATAACCATGAAGCAGGTCATAGTTTTTCTGCAACTTTTTTTTTTTTTTTTTTTTTTTGAGACAGGGTCTCACTCTGTTGCCCAGGCTGAAGCACAGTGGCAAAATCTTGGCCTACTTGCAGCCTTGACTTCCCAGGCTCAGGTGATCCTCCCACCTCAGCCTCCCAAGAAACTGGGATTAGGAGGTGTTCCACCACACCCAGATTATTTTTTGTATTTTTTTATAGAGACAGGTTTTCGCTATGTTGCCCAGGCTGATCTCCAACTCCCGGGCTCAAGCAATGTTCCCACTTCAGCCTCCCAAAGCGCTGAGATGACAGGTGTGAGCCACCATGCCTGGCCTGCAATAAAATTAAGAGGATAAATACATATCCTTTGGATATATCATTTTAGTGCATGAGTTTTTTTCTCCTTCTCTAACATAAGACATACAACTCTAGAAATAAAGCTGGGAAACTCTAGAAATAAAACCATCCATGTCTGGGAATGCAATCTGACAGGTTAAGTTTAATATGCCTTGTAAGGGCAACATCCCCTCTTCTAAAGTACTTCATACTAACCATTCACTGACCACTCTTAGGCTTCAGTAGAGACAGAGGACTCCTTAACTCCAGGCTGCCAAGCTTTGGTAAAGACAGAAATTCACAACTTGCTTTCTTCTTTTTTTTGAGACAGGGTCTTGCTCTCTCACCCGGGCTGGAGTGCAATAGTGTGATCTCGACTCTCTGAAGCCTCAAACTCCCAAGCTCAAGCGATCCTCCCACGTCAGCCTCAAGAGTAGCTGGGACTATAGGCAAGCACCACCATGCCTGGCTAATTTCTTTTTTTTTTTTTTTTTGAGACGGAGTCTCGCTCTGTCGCCTATGCTGGAGTGCAATGGCGCGATCTTGGCTCACTGCAACCTCCGCCTCCCGGGTTCAAGTGACTCTCCTGCCTCAGCCTCCTGAGCAGCTGGGATTACAGGCACGGGCCACCAAGCCCACCTAATTTTTTTGTATTTTTAGTAGAGACAGGGTTTCACCATGTTGGTCAGGCTGGTCTTGAACTCCTGAACTGAAGCGATTCACCTGCCTCAGCCTCCTAAAGTGTTAGGATTATAAGTGTAAGTCACTGCATCGGGCCCACAACTTTCATATGTCCTCCTGTTGTTATAAGCTAATAACAGTAACAGTTATATGTATAGCCTAATACATTTTTTACCTTTTTGACTCACAGAAGTGTTTTGAGAATAGATACCTTTAAATAAGAGCAATGAGATTTCTCAAAGAAAAGCTTATACCCCCAGTAGCATTTATTAACCAGACTCATGTGATCTTGACACACCAACATTTTTTCTCCATAACTCAGTACTGCTAGAACAATGTATCTTGGGGACCAACTTTTCCCAATCTAGAAATATCACTTTCTGAATTTATCCCAATATTATGAAGTATCTTCAGCTCTTGAAGACAAAACTCTGGTTCCACAATGGGCTTTATGTTGTTTTCCACTTTCTATTATAATATATTATTATCTTGCTTCTATGCAAAACTTTCTATACTGCCATCTTTATTCTGAAACCTTGCTATATAATGCTGTGAGTATTACATAACACTATAAAATAGAACCTAGTAGGGTAGGTCCAGCTTAAAGTCTATTAAGGTCTATTTTAATAACTAAGGTATCAGATATACTCAATAACAGCACATGCTCTTGAGCTCCATGGTGTAGGGCATGAAGTTGACACCTTCACATGTGCTCCTTCCACTCTTCTATCAGATAATGCCAACTTAACCAAACTCTGAACCTTGTTTTAGGAGAACCAATGTGATTACAATTTTTTAAAAAGCTTTTTATTTTGAATTAATTATTACTCACAGGATGTAAAAAATTGCACAAAAAGTCTCACATATACTTCATTTTTCTCCGATGGTGACATCTTATATAACTACGTACAGCATCAAAACCACAGAAGTGGCATTGGTACATTATTGTTAACCACAAACATTGTTAAATTTTCACCATGTTTAAAAGCTGAATTCATTTCTGTAAATATATAGTTCTATGCATTATCTCATGTATACATTATTAATGTAATCACCTATTACCAAAATCAAGATACAGAATCATCTTGTGGATCTTGATGGAATCAAGATGATGGAATCATCATCATCACGTAAAACCCCCTTATGTTACCTTTTAATATTTGAATCCACTTCCCACCTACCCTGTTTCCTGACAAGTACTAATATGTTCTCCATCTCTAGTTTTGTCATTTTGAGAATGTTATATGAATTGAATCACACAGGTTGTGATCTTTTGAGACTGACTTTCTTCATCAAGCAAATTACTCTTGAAGTCCACCCAGACCTACTGGTGTATCAATAGCCCATTCCTTTTTTATTGCTGGGTGATCAGTATCTTTAAACTGTAGAAGAGTAAAATAATTATGAGCGTCAATAAAAGTTTATAAAGAGTCCACTTAATGTTTGGGGAATTTAATGCCTATTTGTGAATTAAACTGATATATATATTAAAAAAAAACTTCCCAGACATTCACTCAAGCAAGAGCACAGTATCAGACATAAATATCTGTTTTAAAATGACACAATTGGAAGAGAACAAAAATGAAATGACAGAACTCCATGAAGAAACTCATGTGACTTACCCCATCCAGGTGGCAATGGACCAAGAGGATCAAATTCTTTACTTTGTGATGTAGCAAATAAATCTTGATTCTAAAAAGAACCAAAAAGTGATGAAACTATTAACAACTTAACAACTTATCTGACAGCAAGCTTATGAGTTCTGATTTCCCTTCCCTGGCAATGTATAACACAGAGAGTTTGTATCTTAAAGAAGTGTCACATGGTTATGGATAAATGCCAATATACTTTGGTTTGGTTTAAAAAAAACCGGTGCAAACATTACCTAACATTTAAAATTATTTAAAATTAAAATACTACACATATATGTAATCCTCATCCCCAAAATGACCATTTTTCCTTTGTGCTACAAATTTTACATCAATAATATAAAAATTAGAAAAATATATAACCCCCCCAAAAGTCATTTACAATACCAGTACCCAGAATCATCATATGACTATGAAAAATATTATATGTGTAACTCAAAAACAGAAGATCAAATACAGAACATGTGACATACAAAGAATTATGAGAAGAGAGTTGGGGGAACAGGAAGAGTGGGCTGCCAGATGAGTGGAAGGAAAGGTTTCCAGCTGGAAAGTGTTAATGAGCCTAGAACTGTATGGAAGACTTCTTAAAAGTTCTGTTTCCAATGATCACATTGGTGGAGAGAAAGATTTGGCTAGATAAGATGAAAGCAAAGTAAGAGTCAACCTTTGGAAAAAGAAAACAAAAGTCACACCGACTCTGTGTAGAGATATTAAGTCTGTTTTGATTTAAATGTATAATTAAGTAGAGATAATTACATGGTCACCCAGTAAGATTTGGTTAAACCCTTTCTTCTTCAGTAAGATAAACAAGAGTCTAACTGCATTAAAAATAATTTCACTATGGGGAAGAAAAAAAAAACAAGTAAAACAGGGCAATGAATCCCACATTCCCACATACCCAGCACCAGGATTCAACACTTATCAAGACTTTGCCAAGTTTCTTTATCTCTTTTCTCCTGTTCTTTGTTGAAGCGAAAATCAAACATTATTTCACCTCTACTACATATTTTAGTATGTCTCTCTAAAATTTGTGGACATTTTCTTTTCTTTTTTTTTTTGAGATGGAGTCTCACTCTGTCGCCCAGGCTGGAGTACAGTGGCACGATCTCGGCTCACTGTAGCCTCCGGCTCCCAGGTTCAAGTGATTCTCCTGCCTCAGCCTCCTGAGTAGCTGGGATCACAGGCACGCGCCACCACGCCCAGCTAACTTTTTGTATTTTTAGTAGAGACCGGGTTTCACCATGTTGGTCAGGCTGGCCTCAAACTCCTGACCTTGTTCGTGATCCACCCGCCTCGGCCTCCCAAAGTGCTGGGAGTACAGGTGTGAGCCACCGCGCCAGGCTGACATTTTCTTACATAATCACAATGTCATTATGACATGTGGTAAAGAATCAATGTTAATTTTATCATCCAATACCTAATCTGTAATTAAATGCATGATTGCTTATTTGTTAAAATCAGGACCCAAACAAAGTCCTTACGTTACATTTGGTTGTTTCTCTTAAATCTCAATATAGAGCAGCTCCCCTGCTATCTCTTCTTGTTTCTTTACCCACCCCTACAACCCCATGTCACCGGCCTACTACAGAAACCTGGTTGATTGATGAGGTTTTAAAGGATATGAGCTACATTACACTACTGATATAATAACTCTTGGATTTAGTGCTGTCGAGAACTGCCTTGCTCCTCCTGACAGACATGATTATGAGAAGATGTGAGAACAGGGAGGCCAGCGGGAAACACTACAAAAGGTCTGAGCCCAAGTTACAGATGAGGTCTGAAAAGTTTGGCACGTGACATACTGTACTGACAATTTTAAGACTGAAGCCAACCCCACTGGCTCTCCCTGGACGGATAAACTAGGGACATGCACAATTAAGCCATGGACCAGGAAGAACCATTTCACAGTGTTTTACTGTCAACCATATCCACTCTGAGACTTAAAATGCTGGGTGTATGACAGTTTCTGTATGCTAGTAAGAGTCACAACAACAATGGTGGACAAAGGCCACTTCATATACTCAATAAACAGACTATTTCTCAGCAACACCCCATCATTTTTAAAGTAAATGTTATTAAGGATGTTAAATTAATTCACTTCAGCTTATATCTTTGGCTATGTTAACTAAAATAGGCTGTTTAGATTCTATGTAATTTCAAACCACTCCACATCAAGTACAAAGAGTAAAAATTTCAGAAAATTGTTCAGATTATATTGGATTGGGCGGGGGGACAGGATGATGAAGGAGAAGCTGTACTTAAAAAAAAAAAAAAAAATTCCAAAGACTCTGAGTACTAAATCGGTCAGGATTACAGTAGTCAAAACACACCGTTGGTGCTCCAGAAATCTGCTAAATCTCTCTTTTAAAAGAATGCTTTGAAAGATTGTGTAATGCAAAAATGAGATAAAGGGTACATATACAGAGGTGAATATGAAGGAGAGAAGAGATGGGAACTAACATTTCTAAGCATTCAGTACATGCCAAATATATTGGAACTTTATTTTAAAGAATCCTCAGAAAAACTCTGAGGCAATTTTATATCTGTATTTATTTTACAGATAAAGGAAATAAGTCTTGATGAGGTTAAGTAACTTACTCAAAGTCATATGGAGAAAGTAACTGTGGAACCAGGATTCGAACCCAGATGTGTCTAACTCCAAAGCCCATGCTCTTTCCACTGAACACCCATGTGGAAACTAGTTTTAAAGAAGGCAGGCAAGCTAGGTATTCAAACCTAGAAGAAATTTGGCCAGGCATACCACAGGTGATTATAATTTAGAAAGGAAGGAAGATGTAAAACAGCATAGAAAAAAAAATGAAAAGAAGGGTAAAGTACACAAGAGACAAAATTCATTTCAGCTTTAAAACCACTGGGAGGGGAAATATAGTTAGCAACTGTTTAGAGAAAGTGGCAGGAAAAAATTGTTATATGAAAGAAAAGTACCTGAGTCATAACCAAGGAACAAAGGGAAGGCTGCTGATAAAGGTGAATTTGTCTACAGCAGTGAGTGCTATTATGATGATGAGGTATAAGGAATAGACAAGAATATGAAGAAAAGGGATAAAACTATGCCTAGTTAGGAAAGGAATACGAAAGGTGCTGTTTTACTCTGATGAATTCTAACAGGGATGATACCAATGGCAGTGGAGGGGAAGAGATGGTGATGGAGGGGGCATTTTCTCCTGAGCTCCTTAAGGCTTGATTTTCTTCGTTTAGGTTCTATATAACAAATCCATCTTGTTTGGCATAGAGAATCAAATTTCTCAATGGATTATTTTCCTTTTCCTCCAGACAAAAGATCAATGATACTGTATGACTTGAGAGATTATAAAATTCCTAGCACCAAAGACTGCATAGCAAAGGAAGATTTTGGAGTACTTACACTATTAATGCAATATTGCTCTACAGGAAAATATGTAAAATTTAAACCATTTGTTTCTAGAAGGGAAATGATTTTATATCAAAGATAATAAAGATTTAAAGCCAGAATAATATAGTAAGCATACTCCTATAAAGGATCAAATTTCTTCAGTCTCCCAGAGTACCAAATAATTTATTAGGTAAGCCTTATCTCCAAATGGTAAAAAGTGGTTAAACTCTTATCATCAGTTTTGCACAACCACTTTAGAGTCAGATGCTCTTAGACCCAAGGCACTAGTAAATTTAGAAATGTTTTAATTATTTTCAAGCTGCTTGGGTTTATTTTTACTACTCTTTTGTTCATGAATTTTAAGTTGTCCTAACTTATTTTTTGCTTATTTTTGACATTAAAAAGAAGAGGAAGTTGGACTTAAGCAAATTACAAAAAGGAAAAACTAGATCACACACAGAATACCCCAGACAAGGTCTAAAAATAATACCTACTAACAGCAACAACTGGGTTGCCATGCTACTTGCACCTTCTTTTTAGTGCTTTCCATGACATATGCTGGAAGGGGCTAGAAACAAAATACTCTTATTAGTTTATTAAACAACAGGCTGCTCACCCCATAAATGAATCTCTGGTTAAACTGCTGCATTGCTCCTTGAAGCTGACTACGCTGTAGCTGCCATTGTTCATAGTTCCGGACGGATTCCAGTGTTGGCCTCTGCCACGTTGTTGTTCTTGTGAAATGGTCAACATAATAAATACGTCCCATGTTGTCAACCCGCCGTTCCCAGCTAAATCAGAAAAAAAAAAAAAAAAACAAGCTAATTCAACAAATACTTGTGAAACAGATAGAATATTTTACCTTGAGAAACTACTTTTGATTTATCTGGAGTCTTTTATGTATTTTTAAATAGTTTGTAAGTGAACTTAAGAGAAATGTTTCTAAAAATTTATTTCTTGAAAGTTCATAAGATGCATTAGTCAGGTTCTTAAAATGCAATACATATTTAGTGAGTAAGTCTCAAACAGTCATTAAGTTTTGAGTTTCTTTTCAATGTTGTTTTTACTGTTTCAATCATAACAGGGACACAAATTAAATATATAGCTTTGGACAGATATCAAAAAGCACTTTTTGGCCAGGTGCAGTGGCTCACACACCTGTGATCCTAGCACTTTGGGAGGCCAAAGCAGGCGGATCACTTGAGGTCAGTAGTTCAAGACCAGCCTGGCCACCAGGGTGAAGCCCCATCTCTACTAAAAATACAAAAAATTAGCCAGGTGTGGTGGCGCAGATCTGTAGTCCCAGCTACGCGGGACGCTGAGCAGGAGAACTGCTTGAACCTATGAGGTGGGGGCTGCAGTGAGCCGAGATCATGCCAATACACTCCAGCCTGGGCAACAGAGTGAGTCTCCATCTCGAAAAAACAAAACAAAACACACACACACAATTTTTCGCAAGAACACAACTAACTTCCTATCTTTTTTTTTTGGAGACAGAGTTTCCCTCTTGTTGCCCAGACTGGATGGAGTGCAATGGCGCGATCTTGGCTCACCGCAACCTCTGCCTCTCAGGTTCAAGCGATTCTCCTGCCTCAGCCTCCTGAGTAGCTGTGATTACAGGCATGCGTCATCACACTTGGCTAATTTTGTATTTTTAGTAGAGACAGGGTTTCTCCATGTTGGTCAGGCGGCCCTCGAACTCCCGACCTCAGGTGATCCGCCCACCTCGGCCTCCCAAAGTGCTGGGATTACAGGCGTGAACCACCACGCCCAGCCCACTTCCTATCATTTTAAATGGGTACAAAATATGTAAGTAAACATTGATACAAATGTTCTAAATAAAACATTTGAAAGAATTGATTGTGTTGATTATGAACATAATTCATAAATGAATCGAATGACTTCACGATTTCTACCTGCTTGGTTATTTAGGGTGGTTTCCAATATTCTGATGTTATATAAATAATAAAATAATGAATATTCTTAATGTAGCAAACTGTTTCTTCCTTTGAATTGTTTCTTTAGGATAAATTTCACAGAGAGGATTATGAAGGGTATGTATTAATACATAATTATGGTGGGCAGATGCAGGGAGGATGACAGGGGCTGGCTCTGTTGCCCAGGAGTACAGTGGCATGATCACAGCTCACTGTAATCTTGAACTCCTGGGCTCAACAGATCCTCCCACTTCAGACTCCTGATTAACTAGGACTACAGGTACATGCCACCATGCCCAGCTAATTTCTTTTTCTTTCTATAGTGATGGGGTCTCACTATGCTGCCCAGGCTGGTCTCAAACTCCTGGCCTCAAGCGCCCATCCTACCTTGTCCCCCCAAAGTGCTAGGATTTCAGGCATCAGCCACTGTGCCCAGCCCCGGCAGCAACTAACAACGTAAAGTTCCTCACCAACACTTGATATTATCTGCTAATTTAATAACTAAAACAGTACCTTTTCAGGGTATATTTCCTTCAGATTACTAACAAGGTTAAGTATTTTTCCATGTTTGTTACTGACTTTCCTCTGGATTAAAAAATATTTTTTCTTCAATTATTTTATATGATTTTTTTTTTTTGACGGAGTCTTGATCTGTCGCCAGGCTGGAGTACAGTGGCACAATCTCAGCTCACTGCACCTCCACCTCCCAGGTTCAAGTCATTCTCCTGCCTCAGCCTCCGGAGTAGCTGGGACTACAGGCGCGCCACAACACCCAGCTAATTTTTGTATTTTTAGTAGAGACGGGGTTTCAACATGTTGGCTAGGATGGTCTCGATCTCTTGACCTCATGATCCCCCCACCTCAGCCTCCCAAGGTGCTGGGATTACAGGCGCGAGCCACCGTGCCTGGACTGTAATGTTAATGTTAATGTTAAAGGCTTAACACCATGTATTAATATATCCTTAACTTCCCCAATTAATTTGAAATGATTTTGCTATTATAGTTTTTTAAATATAATAAGAACTTCATTTTAATATATGACTGGGCTCTAATTCTTATTCATTTAAATAATTACTCTTGAAGAAACTAATACTTAAACTACAGTATTAGTAAACAGGTAAACAGCTTAGACAAGAAAAGTTAAGGAAATTTTTTTTTTTTTTTTGAGACAGAGTCTTGCTCTGTCGCCCAGGCTGGAGTGCAGTGGCGAGATCTCGGCTCACTGCAAGCTCCGCCTCCTGGGTTCATGCCATTCTCCTGCCTCAGCCTCCCAAGTAGCTGGGACTATAGGTGCCCGCCACCATGCCTGGCTTTTTTTTTTTTGTATTTTTAGTAGAAACGGGGTTTCACCACGTTAGCCAGGATGGTCTCAATCTCCTGAGCTCGTGATCCTCCCACCTCGCCCTCCCAAAGTGCTGGGATTACAGGCGTGAGCCACTGCGCCCAGCCCACCTAAGGAATCTTTAGGTCAGAAATGAGTGAAAATAGGGCCAGGCATGATAGCTCACGCCTGTAATCCCAGCACTTTGGGAGGCCAACGCGGGAGGATGGCTTGAGCTCAGGAGTTAAAAACCAGCCTGGGCGACATAGCGAGATGTTGTTTCTATAAAATAAAGAAAAGAAGAAAGAAATATGCGTGAAAACAAAAATTGTTTATCAGGCTCTGAATTAATCAGTTGTCTAGCTCTCTTCTTTTTAATTTGTACTTACCACAAAACAAAGTGGACAGAGAAAGGGCTGACAAGAAAAAGTAAAACAGAAATGTAGGGAAGATTATACAGTTGTAATCCACAATTCTGACTAAATAAAATTATTCTTTTTAAATTTAGATACTTACCCAGGAGGTAGAGGTTCTGGTCTATCCCATGTTGTTCTTTTCTCAACATGATCTACATAGTAAACTCGCCCGTGCTGGTCCACTCTCTGCTCCCAACTTAAATACAAAATTAAAAGGCTGGTAAAATACTTGCATGAGTTACCTGGCTTTTTAATCCTGTCTTTGCATTTCCATTAAATGACCATTATTGAACTAAGGCAAATAAGGACATCAGTTTAGAAAGATGATACAAATACAATTTAGGAATAAAGTGAAGAAATGTAATCTTCAGGCAGTGGCACACAGTGAATTCAATTTCTTCTATGCAAGTATCTGCTCTAGGAGAAAACATATTCCTGAAGAGGCTTGAGGTCCGTCTACCTAGGATACCGAAGTCACTCTCAATCAGGGTATAATCAGGATTTGAGTGGAAAGAAATGGCCAGGCGCAGTGGCTCTCACCTGTAATCCCAACACTTTGGGAGGCTGAGACGGGTGGATTACTTGAGGTCAGGAGTTCAAGACCAGCCTGGCCAACATGGTGAAACCCCGTTTCTACTGAAAATTCAAAAATTAGCTGGGCATGATGGTGGGCACCTGTAGTCCCAACTACTCAGGAGGCTGAGGCAGGAGAATCACTTTAACCTGGGAGGCAGTGGTTGCAGTAAGCCAAGATTGCATCATTGCACTCCAGCCTGGACAATAGAGTGAGACTCCATCTCAAAAAAAAAAAATTAGCTGGGCATGGTGGCAGGTACCTGTAATCCCAGCTACTCAGGATGCTAAGGCAAGAGAATCACTTGAACCCGGAAGACGGAGGTTACAGAGAGCTAAGATCCCACCACTGCACTACAGCTTGGGCAACAGAGCAAGATTTCATCTCAAACAAACAAACAAAAAATAAACAAGAAAAAATTACACCTGAGTATCTTAAAAACAATCTATGAAAATAATCTTAAAATAATCAGGAGAGATTAAAATGGGATTATGAGCACAAATTTTCTCAGTTTTCTGAATTATCTATCACTTTGCTATGATTTTTCTTTTTTCCCCAAGATGGAGTTTTGCTCTTGTTGCCCAGGCTGGAGTGCAGTGGCAAGATCTTGGCTCAATGCAACCTCTGCCTCCCAGGTTCAAGCAATTCTCCTGCCTCAGCCTCCCGAGTAGCTGGGATTACAGGCGCCTGCCACCACACCCAGCTAATTTTTTGTATTTTTAGTAGAGATGGGGTTTCAGCATGTTGGCCAGGCTGGTCTCGAACTCCTGACCTCAGGTGATCAGCCCGCCTCGGCCTCCCAAAATGCTGGTATTACAGGCGTGAGCCACCATGCCCAGCCTATAATGATCTTCTGATGAAAAAAATAGTTTGATATTAAAAAGGGATTTTTTCCCCCTTAAAGAAAAAGGCAATTGGAATTAGGTGATTATTTTATTAATTGGCCTTGGTTAACTTTCAGGGTCCTTTGATGAAAAAATATATTTTTCCACTTTGCCCTGAAGATTTCAAATATGGTGTGTTTTCCTTGTTCATTTTGACTCCAGATCCCCCAAAATCAGTTACAATAACATAAAAACAGTTGGCTGGGTGCTCATGCCTGTAATCCCAGCACTTTCAGAGGTTGAGGTGGTCGGATCACTTGAGGTCAGGAGTTCGAGACCAGCCTGGCCAACATGGTGAAATCCCCTACTAAAAATACAAAAATTAGCCGGGCTTGGTAGTGCACACCTGTAATCCTAGCTACTAGGGAGGCTAAGGCAGGAGAATTACTTGAACCCAGGGGGCGGAGGTCGCAGTGAGCCAAGATCACACCACTGCACTCCAGTCTGGGAGACAGAGCACTCCATCTCAAAAAAAAAAGAAATTAAAAAACAGTCATCAAAACAATGGAGTTTACTGTTGTTTACTGTTATTTTCCTTATTAATAAGTAGGCTTATGAAGAATCCTAAAGACAACATATGTTAATTTAAAAAGTTACTCACCCAGGTGGCAAGGGAGCTTGAGTTACAGGATTTAATGGCCTAGGGCCTGAGCCTCCAGATATAGTAAGAGGAATTATTAATCCAGATGTTGCTCCTTCAGATGTATTTGTATTTGTATTTGTCGGCGGCAGAGAGCCTGTACTAGACCCATCACTTTCAGAAGTGGCAGATGGTGAACCATTGACAGATGCTATAAAAGATTTGGGGAAAATAGGAAAAGAATCTTTCATTTTCTAAAATTCAGGATAGAATTTTAACTGTAAAAAATAAAAGGCAGATGATAAATATAAAACTTAAGATGTAGATGCACAGGTGAAAATTACTTAAAGAAATAAGTAATGGGAAATAACCAACGCTGCCAGTTAATAGGCTTGTTTACTTTTTCGGTCCTGTCTACCCCTATGTCCCATTACTAATCACGAAGCATGTACAGGTTCTCTGATCTTCTGATGTCACTGGAAATAAAAACTTTTAGAATAGGAAATTATTAATATTCCTTGGTATTTTAAGTTCATTTATTAATTTTCCAGCTCCTTAAAACTGCTTTCCTGTGAAACCGTGCAGATTACAGACCAATTTTTGATGTTGGTTATAATATGGAAGGTCTGATAAGAAATAACATTCTTACAGATAGTTAGTAGTCATACATTACACCTTTAAGAAATACTTGTGGACAAAACAATGTCTAGAGGAAGTCACCAAGATTATAATAAAGACATCTTAAAGACTCAGAATATACAATTAATCAAATTATCTATAAAAGGGGAAGATGTGGCTGCAGTGGCTTACGCCCGTAACTCCCACACTTTGGGAGGCCGAGGCAGAAGGATCACTTTCAGCTCAGGAGCTCCAGACCAGCCTGCGCAACATGGCAAAACTCCATCTCTACAAAAAATATAAATATTTAGCCAGGCATTGGTGGCTCATGACTGTGGTACCAGCTACTCGGGAGGCTGAGGCTAGACAATCACTTGAGCCTGGGAAGTAGAGGTGGCAGTGAGCTGAGATGTCACCACATTCCAGTCTGGGTGACAGAGTGAGACCCTGTCTCAAAAAATAAAAAAATAAAAAGGAGAAGATGTATAATTGAATAGAAATTCACTTAAAATTATTTGCAGAGAACTAATGTACTTTTCTAGTAATATTTGGTTTAACTACACTGCATTCCCTGCCCACATATTAGCAGAGAGAAACAATAAAAGGTAAGATTAAAGATTTGTTCTGGCTATCAGAGAAGTGGATAGTCTTATAGGTGTTCACATTTTTACTACCTAAAATATGCTTGTTTGTTGTGTACTTTTTATTTAAAATCTGGGTCATTTAGCATTGTTGGGTTTTCGTTTACTAACTTTTTAAAGGATATACTAGGAATAAGCAACCAAATCCTTGAGTATTTAATACATTTATGTTATAGTTACAAACCATTTAAGAAAGGTACAATGTTATTGCCATGTTATCTGCACCGCCTATACTTTATATTACGCACATGTCATTTTCATTCTCAGTAGAGCACTGCCTCAGTAACGTCACCTTGAACAAAAACTTAGGAAAAAGGCACTTTTGGTTACCTACAGAAAGATCATTCTTTTCCAAAATCTTAAATGTAAAAATACACGCAGAAAATTCACCTAAAAGAATTTCCTGACACTTACCTGAGGATTAATTGCCAACCAGGACATTATTTCCAAGAGTATTGAGAGCTGGAATACAAACCTGGTCTACGTGGGGTGGGTGGTGGTGGTCGTGAAGGTCTTGGAGGTCTAGAAGGTTTAAAACCACCATTTGAGAGTGATGGAGAATTATTCCCACTGACTCTCCTATTTTCACCAGCTCCTGCATCTTCAGGGTCATCTGATCCATTTGTGCTCACTCTGGGTAAGAAGAGGGGAAAAGGAAGGGGGAGAGGGAAATAATGAATACTCCTTGAATTTAAGAAAAAAAACAGCAGGAGGATGAAAACTTCTAAGTTTTTAAGAGCTTCAAAAAAGCTTTTTAATTTCTGGTCAGCCTTATTAAATACATAAAGAGCCTTTGGGTAGAATCCTATATAACCCCCAGAGTTCATCTAGAGATAGAGTGATGGGTTGTCCAAGGGCATAGGAACACTTGTGGCCATTCAGAACTATTAGGTATGCTGGTTCATATTTCAAATAAGCCTTCAGAAGGCCCTATATGAACAGGAACAAAGTCAAGTTCTCAAAATCCTTAGGGCACTATTTTATCACAAGCACAGATAACTTTACCATTGTTGTTTCTTGATTTCCACTGGCTATTAATTCAAGTTTGAGGCAGGTCTGGTTTTCCCATGCTAGGAGAACAAAGTGCACGTATTTCCCAGGGACTAGGCCCTGATATCCCCCAGCTCAGTACAATGGTACACAAAATGTTCAAAGCTAGTGATTTAGAGTAGAAGTAACCACAGACTTTTTTTAAAGGAGCTGTCATTTCTTCAAAGCAATGACATCAACTGGAGGGATAGAAAGGAGGGAAGAACACTAACAGGAAATGTCAGACTGAAAGCTACTGCTACTGTTGGCTAAATATAGCTGATTCCTTTTCCTTCCAGAGGGGCTCTAGTCATAGATTAGAAACAAGGGCATAAGTAGCCAGTCTGCAGATGTCTCAGCCAAGGCTCTGGTATGTACTACCTCCAAACCACTACACAGTACTAACCCATACTCCTAGGAATTTCAGAATAAGCCTGAACAAAATAAAATCTAATAGATTCAACTAACAGAGGCCGGGTGCTGTGGCTCACGCTTGTAATTGCAGCACTTTGGGAAGCTGAGGTGAAAGGATCACTTAAGCGCAGGAGTGACAGATCAGCCTGGGCAACATGACAAGGCCCTGTCTGTACAAAAAAATTTAAAAAGTAGCTGGGCATGGCAGGGCACGCCTGTAGTCGAAGCTACTCAGGAGGCTGAGGTGGGAGGATTGTTTGAGTCTGGGAAGTGGAGGTTGCAGTGAGCTGAGCTTGCGCCACTGCACTCCAACCTGGGAGACAGAGTGAGACCCTGTCTCAAACAAACAAAGAAACAGAGAGGCAGTACCATGTATTAAATTTTTTTTCTGTAAAACATGTATTGCAATGATTTATTTTTAATAAAAACAGTATAACATGATGTTTTGATATACATAGTGAAAAAAAGTACTACAGTCAAGCTAATTAACATCTCTCTCTCCTCACATAGTTTTTTTCTTTTTCCTTTTTTTTTTGAGACAGCGTCTCATTCCATCGCCCAGGCTGGAGTGCAGTGGTGTGATCTCGGCTCACTGCAACCTTCACCTACCAGGTTCTAGCAGTTCTCATGCCTCAGCCTCCCGAGTAGGTAGGACTACAGGCACCTGCCACCACGCGCAGCTAATTCTTTTGTGTATTTCGTAGAGACAGGGTTTCGCCATGTTGCCCAGGCTGGTCTTGAACTCCTGACCTCAAGCAATCCTCCCTCCTTGGCCTCCCAAAGTGCTACAATTACAGGCACGAGCCACTGCGTACCAGTCCTCATATTTTAAAAGACATTTTCAAACTGTGTACCACAGAAATCCTTTAGGGCCTTTCTATTCAAAGTGTGGTCTTTAAACCAAACGGACGAGCACTATACAGGAGCTTGTCAGAAATGCACAATCTTCAAAACTATTCTAGACCTACTATATCAGAGCTAGCATTTTAACAAGATCCCCAGATTATATATGTGGACAGTAAGGTATGACAAGCACTACTTTGGGGGTTCCCCAAATGCTTATAATAGAGGGAACACCTCAGTAATTGGCAGTCAGCACCTGATTAGTGTTGACTACCTGCAGAACATGGTCTGAATGCAGGAAGAGTCAGCTTTGACACTGCTTCTCTTCTTCTAAGTGAGGTTTCCAAAACCATTTTAAGACTGCGTATTGCCTCTCCATGCTATTTTAAGACGTTCCTAACTAGTTTGAAAGAAGAGTTCCTGCTGCTTTTTAAATAACAGATAACAATGAGTAGAATAGACCAAAAATTGGGAAATTAAGGTTTCTAGCTCTGACTCTGCTACTGATGAGTTATGTGACCCAAGAATGCATCCTAAAATGTATTATCTTGACTACAAGATGCCTAAAAATCTTTCAGCTAGAAAATTCATACTAAATTGCACATTCAGTGCTAGACAAGTTTTAGGGATATGTGAGGGAGAAGGAACATTCAGTGCATGAGATAAACCTACTATGATAAAGGTACAGCAGAAACAGGATTCCAAAAATGCTATGATTTGTTGCTGGGGATTAAAATTTGGGGAATTTTAACATCAATGCTGTACACCCTTATAACATTTTGATCTCAATTTTTCAATGGAGTCATCTGATAACCCGTACAACTCCTTAAATTTCCTTGATACTTAGAATTGTTCCTCTTCCTAGATCTTGAACTCTAAAATCCCTCTAACTACAACTTCCTATTTATTCTACCTGCCTCCTACAGTATCTTTTATTCAGTCTCATCACAACCTTCAACTCCTTCCAGAATCTTTACAGTTCATCAGCTCACTTCACGCCTCACTTGGGCTTCATCATAGGCTACTTTCCCTAGTAGTTTCAATTCCTTCACCCTTGCCCAACTGCTTCCCCTCCCAGAAATTCTTCCACCACAACTAACCCCTCATCTACTTTTTACACTACTATTCTCTCAGACCAACAAGTAATGCTGGAGAATGTTCCAGTTGAGAAGTCAGGTGTATTTTAGTGGAGTAAATAAACTAAGTAAAGTAGCATATTAAAGGGCAGGCTGCTCTACAAACAATTCTAATAAATTTTCCACTGGGCCCAGTAAAGAAAAGGTCAGAGGTTTTCACTACCAATTATTAAAGACAAAAACTCTTTTCTCCCCTCTTATTAAAAAGAAGAAATCGGCCGGCTGCAGTGGCTCACGCCTGTAATCCCAGCACTTAAGGAGGCCAAGGTGGACAGATCACTTGAGGTCAGGAGTTTGAGACTAGCCTGGCTTATATGGCGAAACCCCATCTCTACTAAAAATACAAAAATTAGCTGGGTATGGTGGCATGCGCCTATAGTCCCAGCTACTCGGGAGGCTGAGCTGGGAGGATCGCTTGAACCCAAGAGGCTGAGGTTGTGGTAAGCGGAGATTGTGCTACTGCACTCCAGCCTGGGCAACAGAGCAAGACTCTGTCTCAAAAAAAAAAAACCCAAAAACAAACAAACCAAAAAATCACAGCTCAAGACTCCTGGGAGCTAGGGAATTATAAATGACGGATGACTTTGACAACCTAGTAGTAAAACCATGGGTTTAATGAGATTAGTGTGCTGGTATTAAAATTAATGGGAATAAAGAAATTAATAATTTGGTAGGACAAAAAGCTCTAAGTCCTATACAATCATACAGACCTAGGCAAAAGATAGAAAAAAATTAAAATTGTGCTTCAGTCTATGTATTTGTATTTATAGAGTATTCAAATACCTAAAACTGGATTATGTCAAAGAGACCAAGCCAACATTGGCTACAGCTGACATTATTCAACAACTTTAATTGGGTTATCTATATTGTTTAGAAATCAATCAGTTTCTACATCTCTAATCCACTCCTGGACCCATCCCCAGTGCCCCTTGCAAACCTTTTCCATCTCCTCAAATTGCTAATACCAATCTGTAGCTATCCCTGACTCTTCCTCTTCCCTAAAAATAATGATTATCTGCTATCCCTCAACTTTCTCCCATACCTTAAAATTTCTCTGTGCCACTAACCATCTCCATCTGTTTCCCATGTCTGAAAAAGTCTCTCTCCCCTTCTTCAAGGATGATTTGCCTATCATGTCCTGGATGGCAGACTATATCCTCTAGGACTGCCCAACATCTTTTAATGCTTTCTTGCATCTTCATTATATTCCTTTCTTATAGACCTTTTGTCTTACTCTACAAATATAATCAAGCACCCAAACCTAAAATGTTTCCTCAATCCTATCTGTTCCTCAAGCTGTCTTCCCATTCCCCTTTCCTTCACTATACTCTTTTTTAAAATGCAGTTAATATAGTTAGTGCATTTTATTTTATTTTTCCCTTAGGGTTTTCCTCTGTCACCCAGGCTGGAGTGCCGTGGCACAACCATGGTTTACCACAGCCTCAGCCTCCCAGACTCACATGATCCTCCCGCCTCACCTCCCAGGCTCATATGATCCTCCCGCCTCAGTCTCCTGAGTAGCTGGGAATACAGGCATGCACCACCATACCCAGCTAATTTTTGTATGTTTTTGTAGAGACAAGGTCCTGCCATGTTGCCCATGCTAGTTTCAAACTCCAGGGTTCAGGCTATCTGCCCACTTCAGCCTCCCAAAGTGCTGTGATTATAGGCATGAGCCACTGCGCCTAGCCCCCATTTTAATTTTTAAAACAGACTTTCAAAGAACAAAAGTAACTTCTAATTATAAAATAAAAATTATCTGCCATCCTACATCCTGGAGATAATTACCACCAAGACATAGGACTATCTCTTGTCAGTCCTTCTCATTGGATGTGACTGCAATCACACACTGTATAATGGTTTCATATTCTGGGTGGGTTTTTATTTGGTTAGTTACTCAATACATATTGGGCATTTCCCCCAAATTACTGAAAATCATTTTGAATGACTGCAGAAAATTATATATAGACATACTACAATTTAATCGCTTTCTTTTCATTGGTCTTTTTGGGTTTTTTTTTTTTTTTTGAGACATTGTTTCACTCTGTTGCCCAGGCTGGAGTGCATAGGCACAATCACTGCTCGCTGCAGCCCTGACCTCCCCAGGCTCACGTGATCCTCCTATTCCACAGGCACACCCAACCACACCTGGCTAATTTTTGTATTTTTTGTAGACACAGGGTTTATCCATGGTGACCAGGGTGGTCTCAAATTCCTGGGCTCAAGTGATCCACCCACCTCGGCCTCCCAAAGTGTGATTACAGGCGTGAGCCACCATGCCCTGCCTGGATTTCTTATTTCTTTTAGACAGACTGCAGAATAGAACAACCAAGTCAAAACATGCAAATATTTTGAAAGCTGAAAAATACTGGTTGCTTGTTTGTTTGTTTTTTTGAGACGAAGTCTCGCTCTTGTCCCCCAGGGTGGAGTGCAATGGCACGATCTCGGCTCACTGCAACCTCCGCCTCCCGGGTTCAAGCGATTCTCCAGCCTCAGCCTCCCAAGTAGCTGGGAATACAGGCACCTGCCACCATGCCCGGCCAATTTTTGTATTTTCAGTAGAGACGGGGTTTCACCATGTTGGCCAGGCTGGTCTCAAACTCCTGACTTCAGGTGATCCACCTGCCTCAGCCTCCTAAAGTGCTGGGATTACAGGCATGAGCCACTGCGCCCGGCCTAAATTGTTTCTTTTTAATAGTGTTTTTTTGTTTGTTTGTTTTTGGTTTCTGAGACAGATTCTCGCTCTGTCACCCAGCCTGGAACGCAGTGGCATGATTTCAGCTCACTGCAACCTCCATCTCCCAGGTTCCACAGATTCTCCTGACTCAGCCTTTTGTGTAGTTGGGACTACAGGTGCAGGCTACCATTCTGGACTTATTTTTTGTATTTTTAGTAGAGACAGGGTTTCGCCATGTCACCCAGGCTGGTCTCGAACTCCTGGATTCAAGCAATCCACCTGCCTTGGCCTCCCAAAGGTACTGGGATTACAGGCATGAGCCACTGTGCCTGGCCCTAAAAAATAGTTTTAAAGGTAATAATTGACCTGTTCTCCCATTTGCTGGACATTTTCAAATTATGTACCGCAAAATAAAAACACCCATTTCACCATAAAGTTTTAAAATCTTTGCCAATTTGGTAAGCAAAAATGTTAATGCTTTTTAAAATTAAAGATGAACAATATTTCATATAATTACAGGTCATTACAGTTTCTTCTTTCATGAACTATATATATGTTTTTTGTACATTTATCTATTACAAGGGAATAATTTTGCCTATTTTTAAGAGATCTTTACAACCTGAGAATACTGAGCATCTCATATTGGTTAAATATTTCCTTTGCTTTTGATAATACATTTTTAAATTATAAGAGTTTTATATTTCTATATAGCTAAATTTATTCAGCAATGAATTAACTATTCATATTTTCTTCTAGAGGTTTTAGTTTAATTTTTTAAAATCAATTTAAAAGTCAACATCGAATCTACTCTCATCTTGGGATAAGCTAAGGCGTTAACCTGATTTTTCTTTTCTTTTTCCAAACAGCCAGTTTTCCCTAGCTTATTAATCTAAGACTTAATTCTCTTTTGCAGCGTTTGATAGTGTTAAATGTCCCATCTTTTTTTTTTTTTTTTTTTTGACATAGAATCTAATCTTGCTCTGTCGCCCAGGCTGGAGTGCAGTGGCATGATCTCAGCTCACTGCAATCTCCACCTCCCGGGTTCAAGCAATTCTCCTGCCTCAGCCTCCTGAGTAGCTGGAATTACAGGCGCATGCCACCACACCCAGCTAACTTTTTTCTGTATTTTTAGTAGAGATGGGGTTTCACCATGTTGGCCAGGCTGGTCTTGAACTCCTAACCTCAAGTGATCCGCCCACCTTGGCCTCCCAAAGTGCTGGGATTACAGGAGTGAGCCACCGCCACCGGCCAAATGTCCCATCTTTTAAAGAACATTTTTCTCTTAATTTCTGTGACAGTGCTTTTGTAATCTTGTACTCCCACTTCTCATCATCCCTTTTTTGGTTTGTCCTCTTCCTACCATCCACTAAATATAGGTCTCTATGATTGTGTTCTTGTTCTCCTTTTCTTTCTCCACAGATTTTTCCCTAGGATCTCAAATTCCATGATTTCTAAGGTTATCTCAGAGAATGATTCCCAAATCAATCTCTACTCTTTATCTCACTCCCATCCTCTAGTATCAAATTATCAACTAAATGCAGGAGATCTAGAATAACTCTCCCATCCCAAGGCCCTCCCTTTCTTCCTTTTTTTAAAGACAAGAGTCTTGCTCTGTCACTCAAGCTGGAGTGCAATGGCGCAATCACAGTTCACTGCAACTTTGAACTCCTGGGCTCAAGGGATCCTCCCGCCTTAGCCTCCTGAGTAGCTGGGACTACAGGAGCATGCTACCTCACCTGGCTAATTTTTTATTTTATGTAGAGATGGGGTCTCGCTTTGTCCCTCAGGCTGGTCTCAAACTCCTGGGCTGAGGCAATCTTCCCCTTGGGCCTCCCAAAAAGCACTGGGATTATAGGTGTTAGCCACCATGCCCTGCCAGGTCCTCCCGTCCCTCTAAACATTCTCTTCCTATGGTCTTCCTTCCTTCTTAGGTTTTGGTTCTATGAACGATACTGCTGTCTTTCCCAGGCAATTTTACATTTTTCCTCCCTGTGCCTCTTGACACTCAGTATCTAAGTCCTGTTGATCCCACTTTCACATTCTCCCTCTACTCTTCCACCATCATTGCCTCAGTTCTAGCCTTCGTTACCTCTCAATAGATTATTGTAACAAATTTCCATATAGGACTTTCAACCTTCACTCACCACCACATAATCCAAACTATATACCACTGTCAAAATATTTTTTCCTACAGAGTTCTGATCATACAATCTCCTGTTCAAATATTTTAGGCTGGGCGTGGTGACTCACGCCTGTAATCCCAGCACTTTGGGAGGCCAAGAAGGCCAAGAAGATCACCTGAGGTCAGGAGTTCGACACAAGCCTGGCCAACATGGTGAAACCCCATCTCTACTAAAAATACAAAAAATTAGCCAAGTCTAGTGGTGCACGCATGTAATCCCAGCTACTCGGAGGCTGAGGCAGGAAAACTGCTTGAACCCAGGAGGCAGAGGTTGCAGTGAGCCGAGATCGCGTCACTGCATTCCCATCTGGGCGACAGAGCAAAACTCAGTCTTAAAACAAAACAAAACAGAACAAAATCAAATTATTTTAAAAGACATTCCTTTCCTTTAAAAAAAAAAAATTCCGTAAGTCTTTACTTGCAAACCTCCATCTGGTCCCAACCTATCTAACAATAAAAATAACATTTATTAATGGCTAAGCACTTACTTGTATATCATCCCAACTTCAGGTGGCAGTAAAGCATGATAGTTACGAGCTCAGGCTCTGAAGGTAAGGCTGTTCCAGGTTCAACTGTCCCACTTAACGCTATTAACTCAAGCAAGTTCCTTTCCCTTTCTAAGCTTGTTTTCTCATCACCTATAAAAATGAGACAATAGTACCTAACTCATAAACGTTTAAGGACTAACTGAAGGAAGAATAGACATGTTGAGCATAGTGTCTATCATATAAAGGCAAATAAATATATATTGACTGATTCTACTTTCTAATCACCAAATGCCATTTCTCCCTTGAAATTACTGCACCTTTAGCCAAATATTATGATTAAAGATTTCCTACAAAACAACCTGTGTTTCTCACCACCTTTGTTTTTCTTCTTTCCATTTAGAATTCCTTCTTCCCTCCAATTCCTCTAAGACATGCATATACAGTTTATAGCTCTGTTTTAAGGTCTTAGGTCAAATATTATTTCTTCTATTAAGGCTTTATACATTTTACTTTACACACTATTTAATTTACATCTTTTAAAACAATCGTATTATTTTCTAATAATAAACATAAAAACAACAGTTCAAAAAAAACAAGATTCAAAGCAGCTCTCAAAAGGGTATGAAATTAAGACAGATTGACAGTTCTAGCAAATTCTGCACGCTCGGACTTTGGGGAAACAGACTTCTTATATAATGAAAAATTATATAAGAAGTCTGTTTTTACTATCTGTTATTATTTCCCAGAATAGTTATAATTTGCAAAAACGTGTGTGTCTAACCATTGTGTTCTCAAAATGTAGACCCTGGTCTAGCAGCATCAGCATCACATGGAAATGTGTTAGAAATGCAAATCTTGAGTCCCACCCCAAATCTAATGAACCAGGTGATTCTAATGTGCTCTAAAGTTTGAGAAGCAGGGCCATACTAAAATAGTACTGGCGGTTTATTTTATTTATTTTAATAAGTTTAAGTTATTTTAGTAAAGTGTGAGGCTAAAACTAAAAATAGATTTTGAAAATCAATCCGGAAATCTATACAGTATACAGAATTGTCAGTGGAACCAACACCACCAATTGGCTTTGAAAAGCAATTAGCTGGCTGGGCATGGTGGCTCACACCTATAATCCCAGCACTTTGGGAGGTCCGAGGTGGGCAGATCACTTGAGGTCAGAAGTTCGAGACCAACCTGGCCAACATGGTGAAACCTCATCTCTACTAAAAATACAAAAAATTAGCTGGGCGTGGTGGTGCATGCCTATAATCCCAGCTACTTGAAAGGCTGAAGCAGGAGAATCACTTGAATCCGGGAGGTGGAGGTTGCAGTGAGCTGAGATCACGCCACTGCACTCCAGCCTGGGCAACAGAACGAGACACGGTCTCAAACAAAAAAGTAAAAAAAGAAAAGCAATTAGCTGCTAATTATGTGCTACTATAACTTTGTTCCCCTATTCCACAATCTTACAAACATCTGCTAATTTCAACATACATATACATCTGACCTATAAATAAGTTCATAAGTTATGGACAGGATAGAGAACCTCAGACAACCAAAATGCTATTATAGTACAATCAGGTCATAAATGTTCAAATCAAAGAGTAACAATCAAGAAGGCACATGTGCTGGGCGTGGTGGCTCATGTCTGTAATCCCAACACTTCGGGAGGCCGAGATAGGGCAAATGCTTCAGGTGAAAAGTTTGAGACCAGCCTGGGCAACAGAGCGAGAGCCTGTCTTTAAAATATAATAATAAACTTAAAAACAAAAAAAAAGAACGCACATCTAACGACAAAATCTTGAAAATCAGGCACCAATAATCTTGGTACTTCATAAAAATAAACAAATAAACAGAAGACAACACTGAGAAACATAAAACATCCAGACATGCTGTGGGGAAAACAGATCAATAAACACATTTATGATACAGACAGTGCTTGAATTAAGATCAAAAGCTAAAATAACCTAAGGCTATTAGTAAACTTCCTAAACGATAACTATGAGGATGGAGGGAAGGATGCGAAGCACCTGTCCACTACATATATACTTCCCTGCCTTTTAGTTTTATAGTCATGAAATCTGCAAACAAAAGCAAAGGAGAAAAGGCAGTCACAGCTATGACTACTACTCATTATTGTGTAGTAACATTTAAACAGCTTTTGACAGTTTACAAAATGCTTTTCAAACCTGTCATCTCAAAGGTGTGTGTGCTCTGGAATAAAAGCTGATGCACAGGAACTTATGCTTAACACAAAAGACATACTCAAAGATTTGTCAGGCAGTCTCAGAAACCCAGAAGACATTGTTCCCCAAATTATTTATGACAATGATTCACTTAGGAAGATAAAAAGCATTGATTAAATAGCATTAAGTAGGGGATCCAGCAATGCCTTTATAATAAATTTAAAGATGTCCAGAGTACAAGTGGTTTGATGAAAATACTGTTAAGAAAGAGACTTGCAGAAAACAAACAAGCAACAACACACTGGCATAACAGAACCTTTTACATACCCACTTATTATACAAAGATACAGGTTTATTGTGTAAAAGAAGAGGTAAATGACCAAAGCAAACTGAAATACTAAAACATTTTATGCGGGAACTTTCAGGAATTCAAGAAATCTTCTACTAAATATAATAATACTAAAAAAAGACAAAAGAGACATAATAGTATTCAGTCTACAGATATTTATGTAATTTTTTAAACCTGTCCTATTGCTTTTCTTTTTTTTTGACACAGGGTCTAACTGTCATCACTCTGAGTACAGTGGCACGATCTCAGCTCACTGATCTCCCCAGCTCAAGTGATCCTCCCACTTTGGGCACCCTCCCCACTCCAACAGCTGGGACTACAGGCACGTGCCACCAGGCCTAACTACCGTTTTTTAATTTTAATTTTTCTGTTTTGTTTTGTTTTCTGTAGAGATGAGGTCTCACTCAATTGCCCAGGCTGGTCTCAAACTCCTAGGCTCAAGTGATCCTCCTGTCTTGGCCTCCCAAAATGCTGGGATTACAGGTGTGAGCTACCATGACCGGCCCCATTGATTTTAATCACAGTAAAGAATAAAAGTATCTGCTATTTTCTAGGCAAGAAGTTACTGCTCCTTAATATTCTACATCTCGTGAGATTAGTATAGATGATTCTTCATCATAAGAATGTGAAAGCAGATACCTATTAGGTAAGACACAACAGCTTTATAAACTTTGATTTTCCTAAAGATCTTGATGAGTTGTCTTTAACTTTTTATTATGAAAACCTTCATATATTGGCCAGGTGCAGTGGCTCATGCCTGTAATCCCAGCACTTTGGAAGGCTGAGGCAGGCAGATCACGAAGTCAGAAGAATGAGACCATAGTGGCCAACATGGTGAAACCCCGTCTCTACTAAAAATACAAAAAATTAGCTGGGCATCGTGGCGGGTGCCTGTAATCCCAGCTACTCGGGAGGCTGAGCCAGGAGAATTGCTTGAACCTGTGAGGTGGAGGTTGTAGAGAGCCAAAATTGTGTCACTGCACTCCAGCCTGGGTGACAGAGTGAGACAACACCTCAAAAAACAAAAAAAAAAACCAAAAAACTTCCATATATCTATCGGCCAGGCATGGCAGCTTATGCCTATAATCCCAGCACTTTGGGAGGCTAAGGCAGGCAGATCACTTGAGATCAGGAGTTCAAGACCAGCCTGGCCAATATGGCAAAACCCCATCTCTTACTAAAAATACAAACAGCCGGGCATGGTGGTGTATGCCTGTCTTGAGTAGTCCCAGCTACACAAGAGGCTAAGGCAAGAGAATCGCTTGAACCCGGGAGATGGAGGTTGCAGTGAGCTGAGATCGCGCCACTGCACTTCAGCCTGGGTGAAAGAGTGAATCTCCATCTAAAAAAACAAAAAAACAAAACAAAAAAAAAACAACCCATAGATGACAAATGCAGATAGACTAATACAATAAACTCCCATGTACCTAACAGCACAGCTTCAACAACCATCAGTATTTTGTTCTACTTTCTTCACCTATCCTCCTCTGCAGCATCTGACACTGTAACATCCCATCTTTGTGGATAATTTTCCCTCACAGTCTGTGACATTACTTTTCTCGTTCTTCTCCCCTTCTGACTACTCCTCCTGTGGTTCATCATCTTCTTCCTACTCACTGCTTATGCAATTTGAGAAAAACAAAGAATCAAATGGAATTTTATAATCACTGCACTCTGTGGTTAAGACATGCCACTCACTACTTTAAAAGCAGAATCATCTCCTTTCCTAATTTTATCTGCTGTTACCGATTTCCAGGATAACCAATAAGCAGTCTAAGTTAATTCACATAGTCCAAGGCTTTCAACACCTTTTAGATGAAGGGGGCCTGCCCCTCCATACCTGTGGGTATTTCTCGTCAGGTGGAGACGAGAGACTGAGAAAAGAAATAAGACACAGACACAAAGTACAGAGAAAGAACAGTGGGCCCAGGAGACCGGCGCTCAACGTGTGAGGACCCACACCAGCGCTGGTCTCTGATTTCCCTTAGTATTTATTGATCACTATTTTTACTATCTTGGCGAGGGGAGTGTGGCAGGGCAACAGGGTGATGGTGGGGAGAAGGTCAGCAGGGAAAAATGTGAGCAAAGGAATCTGTATCATGAATACGTTCAAGGAAAGGTACTATGTCTGGATGTGCACAGAGGCTAGATTTATGTTTCACTTTACACAAACATCTCACTGTAGCAAAGAGTAACAGAGCAGTATTGCTGCCAGCATATCTCACCTCCAGCCACGGGGCGGTTTTCTCCTATCTCAGAATAGAACGAATGGTTGGCTTTACACCCCGACATTCCATTCCCAGGGACGAGCAGGAGATAGAAACCTTCCTCTTATCTCAACTGCAAAGAGGCCTCCCTCTTTCACTACTCCTCCTCAGCACAGACCCTTCACAGGTGTTGGGCTGGAGGATGTAAGGTTTTTCCTTTCCCACGAGGCCATATCTCAGGCTGTCTCAGTGGGGGGAAACCTTGGACAATACCCAGGCTTTCTTGGGCAGAGGTCCCTGCGGCTTTCTGCAGTGCATTGTGTCCGTGGTTAATCGAGAATGGAGAATGGCGATGACTTTTACCAGGCATACTGCCTGCAAACATATTGTTAACAAGGCACATTCTGCACAGACCTAAATCCATTAAACCTTGAATCAATACAGCACATGTTTCTGTGAGCACAGGGTTGGGGCTAAAGTTACAGATTAACAGCATCTCAAAGCAGAACAATTTTTCTTAGTACAGATCAAAATGGAGTTTCTTACGTCTTCCTTTTCTACATAGACACAGTAACAAACTGATCTTTCTTTCTTTTCCCCACATTTAGGTCCAAACTTGAACGCAGATAGGCACATGAAAGTGCTAAACCTGGGCTAACAGCAAACAGCTGGTACAAAGCTCTGCCCCTTCTAATGAAGGCCCAGATGATACCATAGCTAGTGGTGACCTTCACATATGTGTAAAGCTCCTATCTCAGTTTTTCTGGAAAAGAAACTTAACAGCCCAATGATGGCTCTGGAGTTTAGAACACCCTGCCTCTGAAAAGGTGCCAGTATATTTATTTTCTACAAGCTGAAGAAGTATCAACAATTTGGTTATCCCTAGCCCACTCCAGATAGCTCTAATCCGATAAGCTAAGAGTCTTCAATCTTTTGCAAATATTTCCCTTCTTGAGTTCTGAATTCTTTCTGACACTCATTTATTCTTATATCATGAACCTGAAGTTTACACTAAAATGAATATTTAGGAAATCTATCTCTCCGCATTCTGTGGTAAGCAATCAGTGAATGCTTACCTTGTTTCATCCTTGGATCTGGAGCCATCATCATTCTGAGAAGCACCTTTAACATCAAAGTTTAAACAGAAAATGAGTTTCAAGAGAGTAGTTTTCATGTTTTTTCTTTTCTAAACATGCCATGTAAGCAAAGCCTTTTATTAAATCTTTGTAATAAAGAACATACTATAACTTAAATTCCAACATGACTTTAAAAGGAAAAATGTGATTTTCATGACTGCAAAAAAAGTCTGCCAAAATTTTGTGCAAATGCTTAATAATTAATGGATACGGGATGTTAATTACTAAAGGTATATTACTCATGCACTACTATTCCTGCCTTTTTTTTGAAATATGTCTAACTCTAATTTAAACCTAGTGTTTTAACCATCTTTGTATCCCAAATACCTCATAAAAAAGTGCTGATCGCCAGCAGAATAAAATCGATTCCAGAAACAGAAAAACCCATAACGTCTCTCTTATTGCAGGGGCCTGGAAAACAGCTTAAAAATTAGGAAAGCCACAAATGGGAATCCAAGTTGCCAAAAATTAATGCCACAATATTCTTATTTTCTTCTTGCTTTATTGATGGAAAATATCCTTAGGATTCAGTCCAGATCTTTTTACTGTAACAGTGTTGGAGGAGCCAGGTGCAACAGCTTACACCTGTAATCCCAGCATTTTGGGAGGCCAAGGTGGGCGAATCACCTCAGGTCAGGAGTTCAAGACCAGCCTGGCCTACATGGTAAAACCTGTCTCTACTAAAAATACAAAAATTAGCCAAGAGTGGTGGCAGGCACCTGCAATCCCAGCTACTTGGGAGGCTGAGGCAGGAGAATCGCTAGAACCCGGGAGGCAGAAATTTCAGTGAGCCAAGATCGCGCCATTGCACTCCAGTCTGGGCAACAAGAGCAAAACTCCCGTCTCAAAAAAAAGAAAAGTGTTGGAGGGAGGGTGCTAAAGGTAGGTACATTTAAAGAAGCAAAACAAATGGTAAACAGGGAAAGAGAAAGAAAAATGATCACATGTAGAAACAAGAACTCAAGTTCGACCACCTAGGTCCATTTAGTAAAGGAACAATAGGCCCTGGATAGAATCATAGTTTAAACAGGGAAATTATTACCATATTACAAAAAAGCATAATTGGTGGATTAATTTAAAAAATACTGAGTCACCACTATACTATACCATACTTAGCAAAGTTGGTAAATGTCTCATCCAGTCTAGAAATATATTATCTTTAAATAGTATGTGAATAAAATGTTGTCTATACAATGGAATTATTACTATTTGGTAATAAAAGAGAACAAACTAATGAAACACGCTATATCATGGATGAACCTCAAAAACATTATGCTAAGTGAAAGAAGCCAGACACAAAAAACAGATATTTTATGATTCCATTTATACAAATGTCCAGAAAAAGACGAATTTTTAGAGATAAAAAATAGAGGCCGGGCGTGGTGGCTCACACCTGTAATCCCAGCACTTTGGGAGGCCAAGGTGGGCAGATTGCCTGAGGTCAGGAACTTGAGACCAGCCTGGCCAACATGGCGAAACTTCATCTCTACTAAAAATACAAAAATTAGCTGAGTGTGGTGGCGGGCGCCTGTAGTCCCAACCACTCAGGAGTCTGAGGCAAGAGAATCACTTGAACCTGGGAGGCAGAGGTTGCAGTGAGCAGAGATCACACCACTGCACTCCACCCTGGGCGACAGAGTGAAACTCCGTCTCAAAAAAAAAAAAATACAGATTAGTGGTGGTTGCCTGTGGCTGACAGTGAGAAGGGAAGCTCCTGTAAACAGGCAAGAGGGATTTTACTGAGGGGATAAAAATGTTTTAAACCTAAATTACAGTGATAGTTGAATCCCTCACTTAAGTTACTAAAATTCATTAAGCTGTACACTTGAAATGGGTAAATTTTATGTTGTATAAAATACAACTCAATAAAGATGTTAATGTGGTAAAAAAAAAATGGTACAATGAAATACATTTTGGCTATAAAGGGTAAATTTCAGTTTAAGAATGTTTTAATATGGAATATAGTCCCCTAAAATGGCTTATGAATGGGACATAAATGAAATCAGAAAACCACAACAAAATATCCAGCATAAGTTACTAAAATGTGTCTATTAGTATTTCACTTTTCTCAAAATTAAGAAAATCATTAGGAATAATCCATTTAAGTCTACCATTATTTGCTACTTCTAAAACCTTCTCACTACAGTGACAAAGAACAGTATTTTAATCACATGAGTTCTGAGGGCAGACTGCCTAGGTTTGTATCCTAGCTTTATCATGTACTTTGTGACCTTACAAAAGTACACTTGACTTCCTGTACTTTTCCTGCATATATAAAATGGGGATGACACCTACTTCATAGAGTATTTATAAGAATTAAACATGTAAACATTTAGCACAGTGCTAGCACATATAAGCAGTCCATAAATAATAACTATTATTTCTCAAAATTTACATCTCATTAGGAAAGTCTAAACAAGGGCCATTTTTCAATATACATATTTTTTCTTGACAAAGGGTCTTGATGCATTGTCCAGGCTGGAGTACAGTGGCATGGTCATAGCTCACTGCAGCCTCAACTTCTCAGGCTCAAGCAATCCTCCCACCTCAGCCTCCCAAAGTGGGAGGATGCATGGATGCATGCCACCACAAAATCAGCTACATTTTTTAAAGATTTTTTTGAATACATGGAGTCTCACCATGTTGTCCATGCTGGTCTCAAACTCCCGGACTCAAGTGATCCTCCCGCCTTGGCTTCCCAGAGTGCTGGGATTACAGGTGTGAGCCACCATGCCTGGAATATTCACTCTTTTATTTCACTCCAATATAAAGTGAAGCCATAACTATGAAATGTATGGCATAAATTATTTAGATCTTATCCTCTGCTTACAACCAGAGAATAGTTAACAACAACAACAACAACAACAACAAAAATCTAACACTTATACAATGAACGTCCAAGAAGAGAACAATGGTTGTTCTTAACCACTGCATTTTACAAACGTATTGCCCTTTAAAGGTATTCCCAATCCAAATTTCCTCAAGAAAATTTGTCAGATTGCTAAATGCACATGTTTTACCCACAAGAAACTTTGGAAGATCTACAAAGATCTCTTCTACTCAGTAAGCTCGTCAAAATGACCTGCCCTCCCACCACAAAATAACTAGCTCCTAGATAAAGCGTTTTAACACATCGTTCCTATTTCTTGGGTGTCTAGCAATCTCAAAAACAAAAAAGTGAACTGAAGCCAGGTATGGTGGTGAGCACCTGAAGTCCCAGCTACTCAAAAAGCTGAGGCAGGAGGACTGCTTGAGGCCAGGAGTTCAAAGGTGCAGTGTGCTATGACCGTTCCTGTGAATAGCCACTGAGCTCTAGTCTGGCAACACAGCGAGATCCTGTCTCAAAAATAAAAAAACAAAGTGAACAGACACAAGTATGCAGTGAGCAAATGTGAAAAACTGGGTTATCCAGAGGGCCATTTTCAATCCTCAGATGGATTAGAAAGCCTTGGGCCAGCAGCAAACCTGTGGTGCTGAACCAGAGCCTGCCACATTAGGCTGGCAAGGGTCTGATCCATTTTACAAATACACAGGTAGGAAAGGAGTTGAAGCGTTCCCAGTTCAGTGGTACACCCTAGCAACTAGCAGAAGCAAAAGAAATGTTCTCTGGGGCAAAGAATCCCCAATTTAGGCCCTTAAGATTCCAACAGATTAAGATCAAATATAAACTTGCAATCGAAGAACAAACGCAAATGAAAACAAACCTCAATGAGGAAGAGACAAAAAACCATTTATATACCCAAGGATTTCAGACACTGGAATTATCAAATGGAGAATGTTTTAAAAAAAATTCCTATGTATCAAAAAAAATTACAAGGAAGAAATGAGAAACTATCAAAAACAAGCATCAGCAATTCTACTCCTAGGTATATATCCAAAAGAAATGAAAACATATTTCTACACAGAACCTTGTACACAAATGCTTAAAGCAGCATTATTTATAATTCATAACAGCCAAATGGAAATAAGCCAAATGTCTATCAATGAATGAATGGATAAACAAATTGTGGCACAAATATACACAGTAGAACTATCATACAGCCATAAGAAGAAAGGAAGTACTGACACATTCTACAACTTGGATGAACCTCAAATTCATTATGCTAAGTAAAGAATCCAAACAAAAAAAGTCACATGATTCCTTTTATGTGATATATCCTGAATAGGCAAATCCATAGAGACAGAGAGCAGATTAGCAGTTATCACGGCTTGGGAGAAGAAAGAAATGGGGTTTTTTTTCTAAGGTGACAAGAAAGATCTGAAACTAGAGACAGATGGTGGATGTGTATCACTGTGAATACACTAAACACCATTAAGGTGTACACTTTATATAACCGTTAATTGTATGTTATGTAAATTTCATCTCAGTTTTAAATATCCTAATAGCATATTTGAAGAAGCAATTAATATTGTAAAGCTGAAAATAAACATACCCCAGCAATTCTACTCTCAAGCATACACCCAACATAAACGTTAAATCTGTTTATTAATAAACATATGCAAAAATGTTCAATGTATCACTGTTCACATGGTTTAAAAAAAAAAAGCTAAGCAAATGTCCTTTGATATAAAAATCTTAAAACCCGGTACATTCACTCAACAGATTACTATGCAGCAGTAAAAGTGAATGGCCTACGGACACAATTATATGACTAAATCTTAAAAGGCCTGTAGTCCCAGCTACTCGGGAGGCTAAGGCAGGAGAATGGCGTGAACCGGCAAGGCGGAGCTTGCAGCGAGCGGAGATAGTACCACTGCCCTCCAGCCTGGGCGACAGAGTGAGACTCCGTCTCAAAAAAAGAAAAAGGCAACACTGAAAATTAGCTGAGTGTGGTCGTGGACGCCTGTAATCCCAACTACTCGGGAGGCTGAGGCAGGAGAATTGCCTGAACCCGGAAGGAGGTTGCAGTGAGCCAAGATCGTGCCACTGCACTCAAGCCGGGGCAACAGTGGAAGACTCCGTCTCAAAAAAAAAAAAAAGGCAACACTGATATTTTCATAGAGCTCAAGAGAAACGTACAAGTAATGCTTATATATCACACATAGGATAAAACTTTTAAAGACCACAGAAATGACAAATTCAAAGTTCAGAATAGTGATTATCTCGAAAGGAAAGGAAAGGAATAATATAGGAAGAAAAATACAGGTGGATGCAATGATATTGTTAATACTCTAATTCTTAAGCTGTGTGATAGTTTCAGGGATGCTCATTTTATTTTATATCTTACACATATTAAATATGAGAATATATAACAACGGGCTTTGTAAATTGTAAAAATGAAGAACACAGTAGTCTTCACTGAAATTCACAATGACCATATCATAGCCTCAATACTTCAATTTTTACAGTACCTCTCATAAAGTAAGACAAAAACATAACATACATGTTGAAAGGAGTTTTACAGCTGGGCGCGGTGGCTCATGCCTGTAATCCCAGCACTTTTTGGGAGGCCAAGGCACATGGACCACCTGAGGCTGGGAATTTGAGACCAGCCTGACCAACATGGAGAAACTTCACCTGTACTAAAAATACAAAATTAGTCGGGCGTGGTGGCGCTTGCCTGTAATCCCAGCTACTTGGGAGGCTGAGGCAGGAGAATTGCTTGAACCCAGGAGATGGAGGTTGCGGTAAGCCGAGATCGCGCCATTGCACTCCAGTCTGGGCAATAAGAGCGAAACCCCGTCTCACAAAAAAAAAAAAAAAAAAAGGAAAAAAAGAAAAAGAAAGAAAGGAGTTTTACTACCTTTTGTGGGGAAGTAAATTATTTAATATTCTGAGCATACATAGACGTATGTTCAAATGTAAGTCAAATTTTTAAAACTAACATTACAGCAAAGTTTATCTCTATAAAATTAGTTGGTACCCAGACCAGTTGAGATCTAGTAACTTCAAATAATATTTGGTAAAGCAAAAAATTTAGGCTACTTTCTTAGAATTTATTATTCTAGTAAGAAACATTATCAATATATTCACATATGAAAATGGTTTACCCTAACGTTAAGCGGAACTACAAAAACTAGAGCCTAACATAACAAAGCATCAAAATTTAAAAGGAATGGAATGCATAGAATAAGAACCAGAAGTCACATATTCCAAAAACTCTCCCTAAATTAATTTTAAACACATCCAGAGTATACATGATAAAAAGTAAAGATCTCTACAAGACTATGTTCCTATTTTATAATCAGGAAGTTAAAAGTGGCCGGGAGTGGTGGTTCGTGCCTATAAACCCAGCACTTTGGCAGGCC
Organism: Homo sapiens; assembly: GCF_000001405.40. Taxonomy (NCBI): domain Eukaryota; kingdom Metazoa; phylum Chordata; class Mammalia; order Primates; family Hominidae; genus Homo; species Homo sapiens. The sequence continues at coordinate 34,418,216 of NC_000020.11, read as the reverse complement.
GAAGCAGGAGGATTGCCTGAGCTCAGGAGTTTGAGACCACCCTGGGCAACAGAGTGAGAACCTGTCTACAAAAAATACAAAAATTAGCTGGGTGTGGCTGAGTGCGCCTGTAGTCCTAGCTACTGGGGAGGCTGAGGTGGAAGGATCACTTGAGCCCAGGAGGCGGAGGTTGCAGTGAGCCAAGATGACACCATTGCACTCCACCCTTGGCAAATGAACGATACCCTGTCTCAAAAAAAAAAAAAAAAAGTTGAAAGTAAAATGCATTTTTCTTTCTCTTTAGGAAAACTAGTATTAGTCTTTGGCAATAATACTTTTCTGTGTTTCTTGTTAGAGGTCATAAATGGGAAGACTGGTACTAAACAACTCACCAAAAAAACCATCCCACGAAAAGAAAAAAAAAGATGAATGAGAACCTCTGGCAGATATGAACTGCCCACACCTGATTTGTTACTTCAGATCTGTGGGCTATAAGAATAAGTCAACCTTTAAAAAAAAAAAAAAAAAAAAAAAGCTGGGCCAGGCGCAGTGGCTCATGCCTATAATCCCAGCACTTTGGGAGGCCTAGGCAGGCGGATCAACTGAGGTCCGGAGTTCGACACCACCCTGGCCAACTTGGTAAAACCCCATCTGTACTAAAAATACAAAACTTAGCCAAGCATGGTGGCGCATGCCTGTCATCCCAGCTACTCGGGAGGCTGAGGAAGGAGAACTGCTTGAACCCGGGAGGCAGAGGTTGTAGTGAGCCGAGATCGTGCCATTGCACTCCAGCCTGGGCAACAAGAGCGATACTCCGTCTCAAAAAAAAAAAAAAAAGTCAGCCGGGCGCAGTGGCTCACGCCTGTAATCCCAGCAACTTTGGGAGGTCGAGGCAGGCGGATCACCTGAGGTCGGGAGTTCAAAGCCAGCCTGGCCAACACGGAGAAACCCTGTCTCTACTAAAAAATACAAAATTAGCCAGGCGTGGTGGTGCATACCTGTAAACCCAGCTACTCGGGAGGCTGAGATAGGAGAATCACTTAAACCCGGGAGGCAGAGGTTGCAGTGAGCCGAGATCGCACTATTGCACTCCAGCCTGGGCAAACAGAGCGAAACCCCATCTAAAAAAAAAAAAAAGTCTACCTAAATAGCAAATTAAAATTAGCCAGGTGTGGTGGCAGATGCCTGTAATCCTAGCTACTCTGGAGGCTGAGGCAGGAGAATCGCTTGAACCCAGGAGGCAGAGGTTGCAGTGAGCTGAGATAGTGCCACTGCACTCCAGCCTGGGTGACAAGAGCAAGACTCCGTCTCAAAAAAAAAAAAAAAGCTAGGAAGAGGTCTAGGAAGACCTCTTCCTAGAGACTCATGAAAGCAGATTAACTCTGTACTTCATTGAAGGAAAACACCATAACAAATTATGTAAAGAAAACATTATAACCGAGACTTGTAGCGAGATATTAAACTAGTTGAAAGTAGGGGAATATAAAGCCAGCTAGTTTTAAAATACAACTTAAAGAAAAAGAAAAAACAAGTACACTTTGTTTCACTTGGAAAAAGTTTATTTATATAACTGCCATTTTTAGAAAATTTATCCACCAAAAAGAAAGAACCAAAAATGTGTCTGTAAGTACAGTAGGCCTCCCCTTAGCTATGGTTTTAATTACCCACAGTCAACTGTGGTCCAAAAGTAGGTGAGTACAATAAGGTATTTTTCCCCCCAAAGGTCCAAACAAAGCTAAAAAAATGAGGTATTTTTGGAGTGAAAGTGAAACTGAGAGATGACATTCATAAAACTTTTATTGTAGTATATTGTTATAACTGTTTTCTTTTCTTTCTTTTGAGACCCAGTTTCGCTCTTGTTGCCCAGGCTGGAGTGCAATGGCATGATCTCAGCTTACCACAACCTCTAACTCCCGGGTTCAAGTGATTCTCCTGCCTCAGCCTCCCGAGTAGCTGGGATTACAGGCATGCGCCACCACGCCCAGCTAATTTTGTATTTTTAGTAGAGACGAGGTTTCTCCATGTTGGTCAGGCTGGTCTCAAACTCCCAACCTTAGGTGATCCGCCTGCCTCGGCCTCCCAGAGTGCTGGGATTACAGGCGTGAGCCACCACGCCTGGCCAGAGTCTCGCTCTGTCACCCAGGATAGAGTGCAGTGGCACTATCTTGGCTCACTGCAACCTCCACCTTCTGGTTTCAAGAGATTCTCCTGCCTCAGCCTCTCGAGCAGCTGGGCTTACGGGTGCTCGCCACCAGGCCAGGCTAATTTTTATATTTTTAGTAGAGACGGGGTTTCACCATGTTGGCCAGGCTGGTCTCAAACTCCTGACCTCGTGATCAGCCCACCTCGGCCTCCCAAAGTGCTGGGATTACAGGCGTGAGCCACCGCGTCCAGCAATTATTAAATATTTTACATTAGTAATAGTTTCATCTTCTATGGGCGAAGCTTAGGACACTATAAATACTGAGGTTTAGGGCAGTTTAACAATGTAACTTGTATTTTATCTTCCAGACTTCCAATTTATGTATAGAAAAATGTGACTATTATAGAGTTCTTGTGAACAATAATCAAAGTGTCAACTCCAAATCAGTATAACCATTTCAGAAATTTCTTTCCATCCTCACTAGCCCCAGAGAACTAATCTGGAAGACATATTAGGTCCTGCTACTTTATTTTTTTTGAGAGAGAGTCTCACTCTGTCACCCAGGCTGGAAGTGCAGTGGTGTGATCTTCGCTCACTGCAACCTCTGACTCCTGGGCTCAAGTGATCCTCCCACCTCAGCCTCCCAAGTACCTGGACTACAGGCACGTGCCACACACATGGCAAATTTTTTTATTTTTTGCAAAGATGGGGTTTTGTTATGTTGCCTAGGCTGGTCTCGAACTCCTGGGCTCAAGTAACCCTCCTGCCTCAGCCTCCCAAAGTGCTGGGATCAAGGGGTGTGAGCCACTGTGCCCAGCCTGTCCTGCTATTTTTAAAAGTCATGAGTCAAAGAGGAAGTAGGAAGTCTTTCAACAAAGTAGAAAAAGAATAGCACCTGACAGCTGCAAAATGTTTCATAATGCAGTTCCTAAGTAAACCAAAAGATCTTCGTCAAACTCATCAAGAAATCCATTAATCTGCTCTTTCATTGTCTTCAGGCCTCTAAAATCTATGTTTCAAGTGAAAATACACTTAACACATTAGGAAGTGATGGAAATATCTGATGGGAAAACAGTAGGAAAAAGTTCTATTAAATATGCTAGCTGTGTAGCCACTAACTCAGGTGCCACCACAGTTTATTTTCCTTTAACACACACTAGTAAATCAGAGATTGTAAGATTTACTAACACACATATAATGAATTAGTATTGTCAAAAGATATCTCTGTAAGTGTAGCCTACAGAAGTAGAAGGGGAATGGTAAATGGATCTCAGCTTGTAATGGCTGGGTGGTACAGTGTTAAGAAGGATTTAGAGGCCGGATGCAGTGGCTCACGCCTGTAATCCCAGCACTTTGGAAGGCTGAGGTGGGCGGATCACCTGAGGTCAAGAGTTCGAGACTAGCCTGACCAACATGGAAAAACCCCATCTCTACTAAAACAAACAAAAAAACCCCACAAAATTAGCTGGGCGTGGTGGCGCATGCCTGTAATCCCAGCTACTTAGGAGACTGAGACAGGAAAATCGCTTGAACCCAGGAGGCAGAGGTTGCGGTGAGCCGAAATCGTGCCATTGCACTCCAGCCTGGATAACAAGAGCAAAACTCCGTCTTAAAAAAAAAAAAAAAAAAAAAAAAAAGGATTTAAAGTCATATTTAAACTCAGCCCCACACTGCTACAGACAATAAACTCTGTCTGCCATTGGCACAGTTGGCGGTGTGGCATCTAACCCATATTAACTGCCATAGTTGGCCTACAGAATAAATACTATATAAATCAACTCATTACTCATGGAGGCAAATGTGATTCAACTTCTATTTGGCTAATTTTTCAACTTATGTAAAAATATACATGCTTTTATTCACAGAAATAATACACTAAAAAGAAAATGTTTAAAGTGATCAATGTCTATTTTTTAAAAAGAAAAAAATCATTTCTTTTTTTTTTTTTTTAAAGAAACAAGGTCTCACTCTGTCACCTAGGCTGGACCGCAGTGATGTGATTACGGCTCAGAGCAGCCTCAACCTCCAAGCTCAAGCAATCTTTCTGCCTCAGCCTCCCAAAGTGCTGGGATTAGAGGCGTGAGCCACCACACCGGCCAGAAAAAAACATTTTATTAATCTGAAAAAAAAAATCAAAATAATTACATACAGCATACTACAATGGCTATTTTATTTAAGAAGAATCATTAAAGACCTTAAAAAGGTAGTCACTTACTTTCTGAACATGTAGTTTCACCATTGGTAACAACTTCAGACTCTAACTGTAGCCCATCAAGACAAATTGACAAGTCTCCTATTGTCTCTGTTGGCTCTTTGTCACCTCCAAGCTGCAAAGTCACAACTACTTCTTCAACTGGAAGAAAATAAAGTTACAGAAAAAATGGTCACTTTTTTCCCAGTTAAGGCATCTTAACTGTTAAAAATTAACTGTTAAAAATGTGATGTCCGAGAAAATATAACTATATGTGCATATAAACTGTTTAACTATGTTTCACCCAAGGTTTGAACACTTTTGACACCAAAACACTGTATCTTTTAAAAAGGACAAAATATGCTAATGTTTCATATTCATGATGTAAAATAGTATCTCCATCGTTTATTATGTTCATTCCATCCTTGTAAGACTATAGTATAAAATGGGCTAGCATAAGAATAAGGATTATTTAGTAATATATACCTGAATTAAATTGAGTAAAAACATAATTTAAGGATAAATTATATCTAATAAGTCCTAAATGAGAAAATTTTTAGAAGTATGTTTTAGATAGTCGAGGGGTAGAAAAAAATGTGTTTTAAAATGATATATTAATTAAAACAAGCTACACATATTTCTACATTATATAAATATACATATACAAATAAAACCACAACCTCATAAAATGAGGACATTTTTAAAAATAAGCATTTAAAGCTGGATGTGGTGGTACCTGCCTATAGTCCCAGATATATCAGGAGGCTGAGGCAGGATAATCACTTGAGGCCAGGAGTTCAAAACTACACTGTGCTGCAACTGCACCTGTAAATAGCCACTGTACTCCAGCCTGGAAAACAGAGTGAGTCCTTGTCTCCCCATGTCCCTCCCAAAAAAAAAAGCATCTGAAAAGGAAATCTGTAAAAATATTCATTTGATTTGTCTCTGAAGTGGGATTTTTATTTTTTTCTTTCATCTCTGCTCTATATTTTAGTTTTTCCACAATTAAATATGTATTACTTTACTAATATCTATTTACTAAGTAAATAAATATTTACTAAAAATACTGAATCCAAAATGAATGGTCAAACCAAGGTTACTCAGAATACTTTCAATAGTGTAAAATTCTTCTATCTGTTCATCCTATAACCAAGTAAAACTTAAAAGTATGAGAGAACATGAGTCATTATGCATGTTTGACATATAAATTTCTTCCAGAAAAACAAACAGCTAAGTGCAATTTCTATTAGTCTTACATACATACGTTTCATATTGTTTGACTTTAATGTTTCATAAATATCTAATGCAGCAGTTCCCAACAAAACATCAGATTTCAGTGTCTGGTGACTCCACACACGAAAATGTAATTTACTCACAGGGGTAACGATACTAAAAGTGAAAAAAGAGGGAAAAAATATTATTTTTATTGAATATCACAATGAGATCCTAAATAAATTACAATTCAGTTTTAAAGTCTAAAGTCTTCTCACTGCACCCCTTACAGTTTACTATACAATCAATATTGGCCTATGTTCAGTAATCTTATGAAAATTATCTGAATGCTACATGCTTACATGGTCATTTTCACTTGCAGTTGAACTACAGAAGTAAATTCATACACATATTGTCAACAAAAGTAAAACTGCTTATCCTGCAACAAACTATTGGAAAACTAGTTTTACTTTAGTAGTACAGAAGAGTAACTTTACAAATTAAATCCTTATGTCAGTAGTTTACAGAGCTTGAAGTTATTTTATCTTTATAGTAACCCTATGAGATGGGAATTATCACTTCCTTCTTCAGATACAGAAACTGACATTCAGAGATAAAGCAAATTGCCTAAGGTCAAATAGCCAGTAAGTAGCAGAACTGTAATGTGAATAAAATCCTGACATTAAACTTTATATTAAAAAGTTCCTCACGTCAGCTACATGATTTGAAGATTACATTACATACATCAAGTTTCACACTGCTAGAGGCAAGTTGCCCAGTCCAACTATCAAATATAGACTCACTCATTCCTTGCTAAATGCCAATAAGGAATACTCTCTATAATGGTATTTCCAAAGTAAACTGGGAAATTTGAATTTGCAATACACGTAGAATCAATGTTAGAGTCAAGGATCAGAAAGCTAGGAGCACTATATAATCTACCACAGTCCTATGGTTCAATGATATAAAGACAAATTCCAGAAATGTTTGAATTTCTCTATATCTCATTCTCTCTAATGTGATCAAGTTTGAGGGGACAAAGAAACACTTTCCTCCTTTGAAGTCTACCTGTACCTATTAACCAGCACCATTTCAACGGCAATGGGTAGATAAAACAAACTAAAAATTCCACACTGCTCCTCTTCTTAGGGGATACAATGTATTCATTCTTTTCAAAATTCTCAGATGCTACTTTCAAGAGAGCTCATATTATATATTGTATTAGGAAAATATTTCTCGGCCAGGCGCAATGGCTCACGCCTGTAATCCCAGCACTTTGGGAGGCCGAGGTGGGAGGATTATTTGAGGTCAGGAGCTTGAGACCAGCCTGGCCAACATGGTGAAACCCCGTCTCTACTAAAATTACAAAAAAATTAGTTGAGAGTGGTGGTGCATGCCTGTAATCCCAGCTACTCAGGAGGCTGAGGCATGAGACTTGCTTGAACCCGGGAGGTGGAGGTTGCAGTGAGCAGAGATCGCGCCACTGCACTCCAGCCTGGGTGAGAGTGGAAAAAAGAAATTCTCTATTAGTCAATTTAGAAATCATAATAGGGATGAAATAAAAGGCAAATAAATTTAACTTTACTATTTTTAATATGGAAGAAAGGTACATAAAGTATACTGTCAAAGATGATCAGTCTTGTTTCAATTCAATTCTCAAAAGCAGTCTGGAAAGCCTGCTACACGACAATGGGAAGTGATAAAATTCCAGGCCAATTTGCTGCAACTTAAAAATTCAGGAAAATAACTTGAATTGTAAGTTTCCCAAATGTTTGTAATCAAGAACAGCACTACCACATAGAACTACAAAGAGAGTTTTTTTCTTAACTTTTAAATCACTAAGAAGTTCATGACATTAACAGCTTAAGAGCCTCCAAGTGCATATCAAGTACGCACTCAAAGCAGTTGGAGGAAATTAGGTGACCATCTAATTCAACTGAACATCTCTGGTAATCATGGAGGCTGCGACCTTTTATAGATACCACTTGGTAAAGGAAAAAATATATATGAGATGGGAACTCGCTACTTTGCCCTGGTTAATCTCGAACTCCTCCTGGGCTAAAGCACCTTATCCTCCCCCCTTATCCTCCCAAGTAGCTGGGATTGCAAACATGTGCAGTCATTCCCAGCCTCATGTGTTTTCTTGAAATTTTTTTAATACATTGTTTCATTTTGACTCAATCTACAATGAGCCATTAATTAAAAACAGAAAGCCTAAGAAACATTTATGTTGAAATAAACACAGATGAGGAACATCCGAATGATACGGGCCTCAAGATGATCTTCCATAAATTCTTTTTTTTTTTTCTCTCTTTTTTGAGACAGAGTTTCACTTGTCACCCTGGCTGGAACGCAATGGCACGATCTCAGTTCACTGCAACCTGCAACCTCCGCCTACCAGGTTCAACCAATTCTCCTGTCTCAGCCTCCCGAGTAGCTGGGATTACAGGCACCCACCACCACACCCAGCTAATTTTTGTATTTTTAGTAGAGATGGGGTTTCACCACGTTGGTCAGGCTGGTCTCGAACTCCTGACCTCAGGTGATCCTCCTACCTTGGCCTCCCAAACTGCTGGGATTACAGGAGTGAGCCACCATGCCTGGCCAAATCATTCTTTTTCTTCTTTTTTTTTTTTGTTTGTCTTTTTGTAGAGACAGGGTCTCGCTACATTGCCCAGGCTAGAGTTCAGTAGCAATTCACAGGAGCAATCATATCAAACTGCACCTTTGAACTCCTGGCCTCACACAATCCTCCTGGCTCAGTCTCCCAAAGAGTTGAGATTACAGGTGTGAGCCACCACACCTGGCTCCATGTGTTTTCTTCTATTTTAATTTTAAAAATTAAAATTAACCTTCAATGGCTGTCAATATCTTAGATTATAATGCCAACATTTAGGGCTTTGTGTTAAAACTGAGCTATATCCTACTTCTATGAATCTACACTACAGATATAAACACCAACATACAAAGATATATGCACATGGATGTATCTGCAATACTGCCTAATAGCGCAACATTAGAATCAATACAGAACTATTAAAATATAGTCCACCCATATTAAGGAATATTACAAAGCTATATAAGGGATGCAAGATCCATATGTACTCAGGTAAAGAGATCACCATGATATTAGTGTTAAGTACAAAAAGAAAGTTGTAGAATAAAATGTATAGTAGTAGTCCTAGCTACTTGAGAAAAAGGCTGAGATGGGAAGACTGCTTGAGCCGGGAAGGTTGAGAGAGAGCACTCTGGACAACATAGCAAGACCCCATCTCATTCAAAAAATAAATAACTATAGTATAACTGGCACCGTAATTTAAAATACTAAAAAACTGGCCAGGCACAGTGATGCATGCCTGTGGTCCCAGCTACTTGGGAGGCTGAGGCAGGAGGATCTCTTGAGGCCAGGAGTTCAAGGCTGCTGTGAGCTATGATAGTGCCACTATACTCCAGCTTGGGTGACAGGGTGAGGCTCTATCTCAAAATAAAACAAAGAAAAAACTAACTAAAACACTATTTTTAAAAATTAAGTTAAAAACCGGGGGGGGGGGGAGTACTCATAATCCCTTAATTCAACCCAAAGTTAATAAAAAGTGCTGCCAGAAATCTTTTTAGGTCCGTGACCATGGGCTCTCTTCAGCTATTGTTCAGTGACAAGAGCAATATCATCACCAACTAAACTAGAGAAGGTAAAGAAAGGGAGTGACTATAAAAACAGCTATCTAAAGAGAAACAAAAAAGCAAACCAGAAGGAGTCCTAGGAAAAAGAAAAAAAAAAAAAGAAGAGAGAAAGGAGGAACAACAACAACAAAAAACCAAAGTGAGAAACATTTTTTTAAATTGTATTTCCAATCATCTACTAAACAAAACATACTACAGAAAAATACTTCCAAGCTTACACTGTAAGGGGTTGCTTCCACTTGGGACTGTTTGTGTTGTTGCATTTTTCTGTCTTCTTTGACTGTCCATCTACTGTGACCTCTACGTAAGGACTTGGTCCAAACCAATTCTTCTTATTTTCCTTAAGTTTTGCTGAGATGACTATGTAAAAGAAATGAAAAACATTTCAATAGTTGAGATGTTAATTCACTCATGAAATCAATTTAACTTCATAATTAGGCAGATTTACTAAATTTACTCAGAGAAGCAGTTTTGCTCTAAAATACTTACCAATTTTATTCACTCATAACCTTTGTACTTCCTCCCATCCTAGTAAATAAATATAGAGGTTCCCCGTACCATCAACCCAAATTCCCATCAGTAGAATTCCATGGTATCAAAAGTCCAGAACTCAGATCAATTAAAAAGTACACATATGGGCCAGGTGCAGCGGGTTACACCTCTAATCCCAGAACTTTGGGAGGCTGAGGCAAGAGGATTGCCTAAGCTCAGTAGTCGAAGACCAATCTGGAAAACATAGCGAGACCTCATCTCGCCTAAAAATCAAAAAAATTAGCTGGGCACAGTGGCGTGTGCCAGTCCCAGCTACCTGGGAGGCTGAGGTAGGAGAATCGCTTGAGTCCAGGAGGTCAAGGCTTCAGTGAGCTATGGTTGTGCAACAGCTTGGGCAACAGGAGGAAAAATTTAAAAAGTACACATATGGCTGGGCAGGGTGGCTTGCACCCGTAATCTCAGCTACTCAGGTGGCTGAGGCAGGAGGACTGCTTGAGCCTAGGTGTTTAAGACCTGCCTGGGCAGCACAGCGAGACCATATCTCAAAACAAAATGTATGCATTGACAAACATGGTCAACAAACATCTGAATGCCTACCATGTGTCAGATACTGCTCTAAACTCTGTCCCTAAAGCAATTAACAGTAAAGAAAAGGATCTGGCTTTCAAGGAGATTATATTCTAATTAAAGTATTTATGATGAAAAACAGGCTGATGTGACAGAAAATGACTTGGTAGTAAGGAAGGCCTTTGAGAAGACTTTTAAGCAACCATCCAAATGACAAGGAGCCAGCCATGGGAAGACTGGAGGTGGGAATAAGACAGCATTCCAGAGAGAGGCAAATGAGTATGGCATATCTGAGGGAAAGTATAGCAAGCACAGGAAGGAATGGTAAATGAAGGGAGATAAGCTTTGTATGGGAGCTTTATAAACCAAGATAAAGAATCTGCAGCTGGGCGCAGCGGCTCACATCTGTAATCCCAGCACTTTGGGAGACTGAGGCGGGTGGATCACCTGAGGTCATGAGTTTAAGACCAGCCTGGCCAACATGGCGAAACCTCGTCTCTACTAAAAAATTTCAAAACTTAGCCAGGTGTGGTGGCAGGCGCCTGTAATCCCAGCTACTCAGGAGGCTGAGGCAGGAGAATTGCTTGAACCCGGGAGGTGGAGGTTGCAGTGAGCCGAGATTATGCCACTGCACTCCAGCCTGGGCGACAGAGTGAGCCTACGTATCAAAAATAATAATAATAATGATAATTTAGATTTTATTCTGTGTGTTGGAAAGCCAATGGAAGAATAAGAACTACAAACTAAGATTTTTTTTTTAACATCTCATATTATCTAAGGAAGAGCTTCCTATGTTGTGCATCTTGAGATACAAACTCCTTAGCCTTCACCTTTTAGTTACCTTTGCCATAAAATAGCTTTGTCCAGGCCCCTTACAGGGTATAACAAGTAGAAATCTAGCAAAGCACCCCATGATTTCCATAGGTGGCAAGTCATTGCTCCCTCATAGATGAGGTAACTACAACCAAGGAAGTACCCACCACCCAGGTTATCTACTCCACCACCCAGGTTATCTACTGTAGCAGCAAAGTTCAGAGAATGCTAATGCTCATCAAAGTTAAGGAACCCTTGGAGTTGTCAGAGGAGTTTATATAGTAACTACTTAAGAAGCTTAATATAGCCGGGTGCGGTGGCTCACGCCTGTAATCCCAGCACTTTGGGAGACTGAGACGGGCGGATCACGAGGTCAGGAGATCGAGACCATCCTGGCTAACATGGTGAAACCCTGTCTCTACTAAAAATACAAAAAATTAGCCGGGCGTGGTGGCGAGCGCCTGTAGTCCCAGCTACTCGGGAGGCTGAGGCAGGAGAATGGTGTGAACCTGGGAGGCGGAGATTGCAGTGAGCCGCGATTGCGCCACTGCACTCCAGCCTGGGTGACAGAGCAAGACTCCATCTCGAAAAAAAAAAAAAAAAGAAGCAGCAGCTTAATATATAGTCCAAAGTCTGGATATCTAAGCAGGCATAGTCCCAGGTGGTGGCCCTGAAACTCTGACTTTACATATATCAAATACTTCCATCCTTTTAGGCTTATGTGCCTTTTTGCTGGCATTCAAGCTAGCCACAGAATGACTGACTGAAGAAAAAGAAGAGTTGCAAGAGAAGGCTAGACAAATAGACAAGATCAAGCATGGTGGTTCACACTTGTAATCCCAGCACTTTGGGAGGCTGAGGCAGGAAGATCACTTGAGGCCCAGGAGTTTGAACAAAGCCTGGTCAACATAGTGAGACCCCCGTCTCTACAAAAGATAATTTTAAAAATTAGCCAGGCATGATGGCGTGCACCTGTAGTCCCAGCTGCTGGGGGGAGGCTGAGGCAGGAGGATCGCTTAAGCCTGGGAGGTCAAGGCTGCAGTGAGCTGTGATTGCACCACTGCAATCCAGCCTGGGCAACAGAGCAAAACTGTCTTTTAAAAAAAAAAAAAAATTGTTTCAGATGCCAGATGCTGAGACATCTAAGTGGAAACATGAAATAGAAAGTCTTTTTCAGAATAAAAAATATTCAAGTGGGGACCAGAGCTATCTCTGATTAAAATGTAATAGGCCGGGCACGTAATACCAGCACTTTGGGAGACCCAGGCGGGAGGATCACTTGAGCCCAGGAGTTTAAGACCAGCCTGGACAACACAGTGAGACCTCATCTCTATTAAAAAATAAAAAATAAAAAAAAAGTACTATTAAATCAAAGCTCTAGTGCTTAATATAGAGCCAAATTTAATCACAGGATTACACAGAAAAACATAAAATTTCTACTTTTAATACATTTCTGGTCTAAGAAAAGGTGAAATAGCCCAAACAATTATACATACACTCATTATATTTCAGGGCCTCTTGTGGCACTCTGAAACTGATTAAACCTAGAACAAAGAGCAACGCAAGGCTGACAGGAAGGAAATGATCTGCCCCTGTTGGGGCTTTCTAGGATTCAAACTTTTTTTTTTTTTTGAGATAGGAGTTTCGCTCTTGTTGCCCAGGCTAGAGTGCAATGGCACAATCTTAGCTCATTGCAACCTCCGCCTGCCGGGTTCAAGCGATTCTCCTGCCTCAGCCTCCCAAGCAGCTGGGGTTATAGGCACGCGCCGCCACACCCAGCTAATGTTTGTATTTTTAGTAGAAACGGGGTTTCACCATGTTGGTCAGGCTGGTGTCAAACTCCTGACCTCAGGTGATCCACTTGCCTCGGCCCCTCAAAGTGTTGGAATTACAGGCGTGAGCCACTGTGCCCAGCTGGATTCAAATTTGTGAAAGCAATTTTGCTACATAATCCTACCAAACCCCACTGAAACCTTTTTTTTTTTTTTTTTTTTTTTGAGACAGGGTCTGGTTCTGTCACCCAGGCTGGAGAATAGTGGCACAATCTCAGGTCACTGCAACCACCTCTACCTCCTGGGCTCAAGCCATCCTCCCATCTCAGCCTCCCAAGTGGCTGGGACTACAGGTGCGTGCCACCACATCCAGGAAATTTTTGTATTTTTTTTCTGGTAGAGACAAGCTTTTGACATGTTGCCCAAGTTGGTCTTGTACTCCTGGGCTCAAGAGATCCACTTACCTAGGCCTACCAAAGTGGTGGAATTACAGGCATGAGCCACCAGGCCTGGCCTAACAAACTTTACATGGGGGTGGAGGAGCACCAATTTTAGTATTTACCATGTGCCTGCACGTAAATGTCATTTCAATATCAATACCTATTCTGCGAAACAGGTATTACTGTCCTAATTTTTACACATAAAAAGAGAAGCGGCCGAACGTGGTGGCTCACACCTGTAATCCCAGCACTTTGGAAGTCTCAGTCAAAAGGATCAACGGGGGTCAGGAGCCAGCTTGACAAACATGGTGAAACCCTGTCTCTACTAAAAATACAAAAATTAGCCAGACATGGTGGCAGGCGCCTGTAATCCCAGCTACTCAGGAGGCTGAGGCAGGAGAATCACTGCAACCCGGGAGGCAGAGGTTGTAGTGAGCTGAGATCATGCCATTGCACTCCAGCCTGGGTGACAAGGGTGAAACTCCATCTCAAAAAAAAAAAAAAAAAAAAAGACAGAAGCTCTGTGAAATTTAAAAATTTGCCCAAGGGTCACACTGCAAAACCTGGACAGGAGAAATTATTTCAGTATTCAAATCTCAAAGTCTAGATTGAACAAAACCTTGTGTTATAGTCATAATATTACAAATATAAAATAAATCAATGTACTACTTTCTGAAAACTAAAGTCCCACAGTAAATTAAACAAAAAAATAAAAAACTATACATTATAAACCGGAAGAAAAAGGACCAGAAAAATGTCAGTCTCATCTGACACCTGGGCTACTATGAGAGGCCTCTAAACAACTGTTTTTACTCTCACTTCTCCAATCCAACCCCTCACAGCCACCAGAATTATTTTCCTAGAATAGATGTGATCATGTCATTAATGTCATTACTTAAATGATTCTTTATTGCCTGAAAAATGAAGTTTAAACTCTTATGGGGCATTTTACCTTGCTTAGTATGCAGCTATAACTTACCCTTCCAGCCTCCTACTAAAACAAATCTTACCAAAGTTCTATATTCTAGCCACCCTTAGTTATTTGCTGTTCCTCACATGGGCCATGTACTTTCATTCCTCTAAACATGCTGCTCCCTCTACTGAGAATGATCCTTTTTTCTTTTATACCCATTAAAATTATATTTCCTGAGAGATAAACATCCCCCTTCTCTTTGATTAAAGGCTTCTTTAATCCTAAGAAGTTAAATTATTTCCACCTCCATGCTTCCAGAGTATTTCCATATTTACGTATGGCTCCGTCAGCTTTTCATTTTGTCTTACTAGTTTTTACTCATTTAACTCACCCCGTGAGCCTCTTGATTGCACAGATATAGCCAATCTTTACAATTTCTGGAGCACTCTGGGATTTAATCTGAGAGGTATTTAATATACATGTTGAACCAAATTGTTATTAGTCATGGTAGAAAACAAAAGTTTCCCTGCTTTCTAGTCTCTGTCTCTCTGCTTTATTATAATCACTTGCTGGCTATCTCACTCTCCCATGCATGTGCTCTCTCTCTCTCACACATACCCACATACTAATGCAAATAGTTTTCATGGCTTAAACTAATGTTCCTCTGATCCTTCTGTTCTGAAGGTCAGTGCTTTGAACTGATTTCAGTTCTTCAGTGTATCTCTCTGATACAACATAAACATTTTACAATACACATACAAAAAAAGAATGGATCCGTAGCTTATCCAACCTACTTTGGATAAGCTACAGAGAACAAGGTACAACAAAAAACAGTGCCAAAACTAAATAAATAAGCAGAATAATGAACCAGGTAAGAGATCAATCCAGTTGAGCAACAGCTACCTCTTTGGAAGAACTCTGCCCTGCCTGTGGAGAACTAAACTCTAAATCACAAGTATAAAATTCTTAGTTTGCTGGACTGTTAAAGGAATAAAAAAAAAACATAAGTATAAGGGATCTTTTTGGTCCCTGAACAATCAGAGCTAAATATATTGCACTGTAATAAATTTGGGAAATGCAGTAATATTTAATTACGATTAATAATAACTAAAATCAAGATGACATCTCTTTCTTAATTTGGAGTAAAGACGAGAATATAAGAAATTTCTGGCAAATACCAAAGTTTCCTTATTTTGCCCAATGCTAGCATACAACAAACATCAAATAAAAAACACAGATGAGCCAACAACCCGGTGGAGAAGCTGAGGTCAACATGAGATTTGAAATATTTAAAGTGGATACAAAACTATTTCAGCAATGCAGACAATTAAGTGTGTTGTTGTGGGTGATGGTGCTGTTGGTAAAACAACACAACAAATTTCCATCAGAATATGTACCAACTGTTTTTGACAACTATGCAATAACAATTATGACTGGTAGAGAACCATATACTCTTGGACTTTTTGATACTGCAGAGCAAGAGGATTATGAGGGATTATGACTGCTGAGTTATCCACAAACAGATGTATTTCTAGTCTATTTTTCAGTGGTCTCTCCATCTCTCCATTTTCATTTGAAAATGTGAAAGAAAAGTGGGTGCCACTGTCCAAAGACTCCTTTGTTGCTTGTTGGGACCCAAATTGATCTCAAAGATGACCCCTCTACTATTGAGAAACTTGCCAAGAACAAACAGAAGCCTATCACTCCAGAGACTGCTGAATAAGCTGGCCCATGACCTGAAGACTGTCAAGTACGTGGAGTGTTCTGCACTCACAAAGAAAGGCCTAAAGAATGTATTTGACGAAGCAATATTGGCTGCCCTGGAACCTCCAGAACCGAAGAAGAGCTGCATATGTGTGCTGCTAGGAACATCTCTCCAGAGCCCTTTCTGCATAGCTGGTGTTGGCATCATACTAAAAGCAATGTTTAAGTCAAACTAAAGCTTAAAAATTAAAATTCGTTTTTGCCATAATGACAAACGCACTGCACCTACCCACATGTACTCATGTGAGACAAGGCCCATAGCTATGCGCCGCCCCCCCGTATCCCTAGCCCAGTACTAGTTAATTTTGAGTAATTGTATATTGTCAGAAAAGTGATTAGTACTAGTTTCAGTTTTGTTATTTCAAGATATATATATGTATTTTTAAAGCAAGGCATGCTTGTGGATGACTCTGTAACAGACTAATTGGAATTGTTGAAGCTGCTCCCTGATTCCACTCTGGGACATCTTAGTGGTTTTTTTTCCCCCTCCTCTTTTTTAGGGGGGAGGTTTGTTTTTCAGTCTTTTTTTTTTTTTTAATTCATTAACCAGTGGATGGCCCTTAAGGTGAGGAGGACCGATTGATTCCACAGTCTACTTCCTAGGTCTAGTTGAGAAAACATGTTCCCCATCTGGGGCTTTTAGGAAGGAGTATAGTAAATGCCTCATTTAATAACATACTCCTTTTAGAAAGTTAGTTGCCTTTTTACTCCACCCTTGAGTAGATCCAGTATTTGATGAAACTTGTGAAAGTAGGTGGAAGCTGTCTTACCCCTCCTCTTTTCTAGGAGACACTATATGTGACTGTGACTTTCAAGGACATTTGCTTGCCATTTGCTGATTTTTTTGGAAAGTTAATTTCTTAACTTCTTTCACTAATAAATGAAGAAAAGTACTGCACCTTTGAAACAGAACAAATGGGTTGAGCTTGTAATTTAAAAAAAAATTTCCCGGTCAAAAAAAAGAAAAAAAGAAGACACAGATGAGTTCAGTATAATAGCTGAGGTTATATATAGGCATAATTAAATGGGAAACAGGTAAATAAAGACAGGGAAGGACATAAGAAAACAGACTTACATCCAAGGTAAAGACCCTGGCTAAATGATAAGAAGAAACGAAGAGCTGATTCAAAACATCCAAGACCAGCCTGGGCAACACAATGAGAATGTGTCTTTATAAAAAATTTAAAAATTGGCTGGGAACAATGGCTCACGCCTGTAATTCGAGAACTTTGGGAGGCCGAGGTGGGTGAATCACTTGAGGTCAGGATTTTGAGACCAGCCTGGACAACATGGTAAAGCCTCATCTCTACTAAAAATACAAAAAGTGAGCCAGGCACAGTGGTGCATGCCTGCAATACCAGCTACTGGGGAGGCTGAGGCATGAGAATTGCTTGAACCTGGGAGGCGGAGGTTGCAGTGAGCCAAGATCAAGTCACTGCACTCCAGCCTGGGTGACAGAGCGAGACTCTGTTTCAATAAATAAATAAATAAGTAGGTAAGGGGGTGGGCATGGTAGGCAGAGATTGCAGTCAACTGAGATCGCGCCACTGCACTCCAGCCTGGGCGACAGAACGAAACTGTCTCAAAAAAAAAAAAAAAAAAAGAAAAATTTTTTTCTCTTTCTAACTTTCTAAAACACAAATCTAACCACCCTTTGATACAAACACTGATTACTTCCCATCTCCATCTCCCTTAGCAATAAATTTTTTTTAAGGCACACCTGAAAGACACAGCCATTCCCATTCTCAGGGCTCCCCTATTATAGGAGCTTTCATGGGTATTAGGGCAAGTTTTGTGTACTCTCTTCTTTCATGTGTCTTGCTCATGCTGTCTCCTCAAAGGGTCCTTTTCTACTTTTCTGCATTTAAACAGCAGCAATCCTAGGTCAGGGAAAGTGGCTCAGGCCTATAATTCCAACACTTATGGAAAGGCTGGGAGCATCACTTGAGGCCAGGAGTTCAAGACCATCCTGGGCAACATAGCAAGACCTTGTTTCTACAAAAAAAAATTTTTGGCCGGGCGCAGTGGCTCACGCCTATAATTCCAGCACTTTGGGAGGCTGAGGTGGGCAGATCACAAGGTCAGGAGATCAAGACCATCTTGGCCAACATGATAAAATTCCATCTCTACTAAAAATACAAAAATCAGCTGGGCTTGGTGGCGCATGTCTGTAATCCCAGCTACTCAGGAGGCTGACGCAGAAAAATTGCTTGAACCAGGGAGTCAGAGGTTGCAGTGAGCCAAGATCACGCCACCACACTCCAGCCTGGCAACAGAGCGAGACTCCGTCTTAAAAAAAAAACAAAAACACAATTTTTTTTAATTAGTCAAGTGTGGTGGGTGGTACACGCCTGTAGTCCCAGCCACTATAGAGGATGAGGAGAGAGGATTGCTTCAGCCCAGGAGGTTAAGGCTGCAGTGAACCGTGACTGTGCCACTGGAGTGTAGGGGTGCGATCTTGGCTTACTGCAACCTCTGTCTCCCAGGTTCAAGTGATTCTCCTGCCTCAGCCTCCCGAGTAGCTGGGATTACAGGCACGTATGACCACACCTGGCTAATTTTTGTATTTTTTAGTAGAAACAGGGTTTCACCATGTTGGCCAGGCTATCCTGAACTCCTGACCTCGGATGATCTGCCCGCCTCAGCCTCCCAAAGTGCTGGGATTACAGGCATGAGCCACCATGCCCGGCCAACCCTGTCCCTTAAAATAAATAAATAAATAGCAGCAATCCAAACACCACCTTCTTTCCCAGTGACTCTAGTCAAATACTGATCTCTTTTTCCTGACCAGTTATCCCTTCTTGCCATTACAATACATGGTGACATTTGTTTATTTTTATTTTATTTATTTATTTTTTTGAGACAGTTTCACTGTTGTTGCCCAGATTGGAGTGTAATGGCACGATCTCAGCTCACCGCCATCTCCGCCTCCCGGGTTCAAGCAATTCTCCTGCCTCAGCCCCCCGAGTAGCTGGAATTACAGGCATGTGCCACCATGCCCGGCTAATTTTGTATTTTTACTAGAGACAGAGTTTCTCCATGTTGCTCAGGCTGGTCTCGAACTCCCAACCTCAAGTGATCCGCCCACCTCGGCCTCCCAAAGTGCTGGGATTACAGGTGAGAGCCACCACGCCCAGCCTGACATTCATTTTTTACACTTGCATATTTATTCCTTACTTGATTCTAGAAAGGCATTGAGGCAGCTTACAATAAAACAAATACTATAACTGACCCATTAAGAGATTAAAACCCACGATGTCATTAAGGAGATTTGTGCAAAATACTTAGTTCTAAGCATTCTAGCATCAAAACTAAAGAAGTAACTCAATGAATTATGAAGGGCATTTGATTCTATTAAACTTGGCACTTCTGTCTTTTATCTTATGTTCTCTGTTTCATATCTAATAATGTTTGCTGAACTATTATCCATTATTCATGGTGTGTTTGTTTTTTGCCCTACACTTGAGCATTCTCAGAATATTTAGACCCAATTAGCAAGCAATGAATTAAAAAAAGAAAAAGAAAAAAATTTATAAAAAAGAGAATATTTAAGGCCAGGCGCGGTGGCTCACGCTGTAATCCCAGCACTTTGGGAGGCAGAGGCGGGTGGATCACCTGAGGTCAGGAGTTCAAGACCAGCCTGACCAACATGGTGAAAACCCGTTTTTACTAAAAATACAAAAATTAGCCAGGCATAGTGGCGGGTGCCTGTAATCCCAGCTATCTGGGAGGCTGAGGCAGGAGAATTGCTTGAATCTGGGAAGCGGAGGTTGCGGTGAGCCGAGATCACGCCATTGCACTCCAGCCTGGGCAACGAAAGGGAAACTGTCTCAAAAAAAAAAAGAAAAAGAATATTTTAGACCCAAGATTTTAAAAATCTGAGATGTGGCTGAGTGAGGTGGCTCACACCTCTAATACAAGCAATTTAGGAGGCTGAGGTGGGTGGATCACCTGAGCCCAGGAGTTTGAGACCAGCCTGGGCAACAGAGCAAAACGCCATCTCTATAAAAAATACAAAAATTAGCCGGGTGTGGTGGCGCACACTTGTAGTTCCAGCTACTCAGGAGGCTGAGGTGGGAGGCTCACCTGACCCCAGGAGATCAAGGTTGCAGTGAGCCATGATCACGCTGCTGCACACCAGCCTGGACGACAGGGTGAGACCCCATCTCAAAAAGAAAAAAATCTGAGATGGCTATGGATTACGACTTTTTGAGGTGCAATTAGTGTTTATCATCACAGTAAAAAAAAAAAAAAAATTCAATAACGATGATAGCAAGTAAGACACTTTATGCAAAGAAAAAAACTATTAATCATTGTCTCTGAGAATAATTTACTATTTTTTTAAATCAGTAAAAAATAAAATGTATATTACTTATGTAATCTGAAAAAGTACAGAATGTTTTAAAGGACTGTTCTAATAAAAGCTTTCAACTTTAAGCTGCCAAAAAGAAGTCATAAGAATTCTGGTCTGATATAAGTCAGCTACTCAAGCTAGATTGAGGATGAGGGGTGGGGAAAAAAAACTGGAATCTGGCCTTAACTAAGAAATAGTAATATCTTTCTTTAAGAAACAGATACTGCTAAGGAAAGATACCAGAGTTAGTGAAGGAAATCCGAAAAAATTCTATGATGTGGTTACCTTAAGACAGTATTATTTTTATATTCAATCACCTTTAGGTTTTGAGGAAAATAATAATGCTAAGATATGATCTGTGACCTAACCTATTCATAATCCAGAAGAAGCTATAAGCCAGGCATAGTTGAAACTAAAATACAGGGGATGATAATTGTTCTATAATCAATAAATGCTATCAAATTAAAGGGAGAGAGACTGAGGTTTTCATTGTGTGATAGAAATACATACACATCTGAGGAAAATCCAGTGACTCATTCTAGCTAGTACAAATGGTTCACATATAAAGACTTACAGGCCGGACGCGGTGGCTCACGCCTGTAATCCCTGTACTTTGGGAGGCCGAGGTGGGTGGATCCTGAGGTCAGGAGTTCAAGGCCAGCCTGGTCAAGATGGTGAAACCTCGTCTCTATTAAAAATGCAAAAATTAGCCAGGCTTGGTGGCGGGCGCCTATAACCCCAGCTACTTGGGAGGCTGAGGCAGAGAACTGCTTGAACCTGGGAGGCGGAGGTTGCAGTGAGCCAAGATTGCACCACTGCACTCCAGCCTGGGCGACAGAGACTCTGTCTCAAAAAAACAAACAAAAAAAAACAAAAAACCTACAAAGACACCATATGTAGACAGAGGGTGAAGGGTCTTAGCTCATACTAAAGAAACTCTATACCATAGTCTAAGAGAAGTACCTAAGGTTTTTGAGCAGGAATGAAACATATTGGATGGCATATTAAAAACATTAATCTGAAAGTGATACATGAAATGATTAGAGGAAGAAATAAAGACAGAGATATTAATTAACAATAGCGACAGAGGTATTAATTTACAATAGCAAACAAAGGACGTGAACAGACATTTCTCCAAAAAAGATACAAAAATGACCAATAAGCACATGAAAAGACAATATCATTAGCCATCAAAGGAGTACAAGCCAAAACCACAATAGGGAGCTGGGTAGGGTGGTGCATGCCTGTAGTCCCAGCTACTCAGAAGGCTGAGGTGGCACGATCACTTCAGCCTAGAAGTTAGAGATTGCAGTCAGCCATGACTGCACCACTACACTCCAGCCTGGGTGACAGAGCAGACTGTCACCTGGTCTCAAAAAAAAAAAAATTAAATGGATAAAACATATGCACGCGCGCACACACACAGAGTAAAATACTACTTCACACCCACTAGAATGGCTATCATAAAAAAGATAATCACTGGCAAGAATGTAGAGAAATCGGAATCCTCATATATTGCTAGTGGGAATGCAAAACGGTGCAGCTGCTTTTAAAAATAATTTGGGCCCGTGCAGTGGCTCACGCCTGTAATCCCAGCACATTGGTAGGCCGAGGCAGGTGGATCACCTGAGGTCAGGAGTTCGAGACCAGCCTGGCCAACATGGTGAAACCCCGTCTTTACTAAAAATACAAAAATTAGCTACACATGGTTGTGCGTGCCGGTAGTCCCAGCTACTCAGAAGACTGAGGCATGAGAATCACTTGAACCCGGGAGGCGGAGGTTGCAGTGAGCCGAGATCACACCACTGCACTCCAACCTAGGCAACAAAGCAAAACTCTGTCTCCAAAAAAAAAAAAAAATAATAATAATAATAATTTGGAATTCCTCAAAATGCTAATAAACATGGATTCCATATAACCTAGGAATTTCACTCTTAGGTATATACCCAAGAAAACTGAAAACATACATTCTCACAAAAACTTGTACACAAATGTTTATAGCATTTTTCATAAAATCCAAAAAGTGGAAACAACCCAAACATCCCTCAACTGAAGAATGGATTTTTAAAATTTCGTATACTCATACAATAAAATATTATTTAGCAAAAAAAGGAATTAAGTAATGATACATGCTACAACATGGATGAACTTTGAAAACAGTCTGCCCAAAGAAGACACAAAAGGCCACACACTGTACAATTCCATTTATATGCGAGATCCAGAATAGGCAAATCTAGAGACAGAAAGATCAGGAGTTGCCTGGGTTTGTGGATGGATGGGTTAAATGGAGAGTGACTGCTAATGAGTACAGGGCTTCTTTTTGGAAGGACGAAATTATTTTAAAGTTGATTGTGGTGATGGTTGCTGAACTCTGTGAATGTACTTTTGGGGTTCAGAAACTGATATCCCAAAATATGGTGCTTTGACTTGCTGAACTAAGTAAGTCTCTCAAGGTCTCTCTGACCCCTGCAGCTCCCCTCCCTCAATCTTCTTTCTCTCAAAGTACAGCATGAAGTTGTTTTCTGAAGTTCTCTTATCTGCCTAAGTCCAGATCCACCAAAGAAGAAAACAATTACAATTACCTTTGTTCCCATCCCTGAGTTTTCAATAACTAAACTTGTATAGCAGGAATATAAAAACTGAAGTCTTTTTTTTTTTTTTTTGAGATGGAGTCTCGCTCTGTCGCCCAGGCTGGAGTGCAATGGCATGATCTCGGCTCACTGCAACCTCCGCCTCCTAGGTTCAAGTGATTCTCCTGCCTCAGCCTCCCAAGTAGCTGGGATTACAGGTGTGCACCGCCACGCACAGCTAATTTTTTTTATTTTTAATAGAGACGGGGTTTCACCATGTTGGCCAGGCTGGTCTCAAACTCCTAATCTCAGGTGATCTGCCCACCTCGACCTCCCAAAGTGCTAGGATTACAGGTGTGAGCCACCGTGCCTGGCTGACTGAAGTCTTTTAACAGACCTGGACCTGGAGAGACTTTTGTCATAAACCACTATCTATTCTGTGGGCCAAACAGACTTTGTCCCAGGCCATTGTACATTCTTCGAGCCCTCTGAATTCCCCTAAAAATCATTTACCATCCCTCTAAAATCATCCACACTTCCCCATCTCCCTTTCCCCTATGAAGAAGAGTATATAACCATTTTGTACCCCATTGCATGATGGGGTAATCATTCTGTGATCCATCCCACCCCTACCCATGCATGCTAATAAGATGTACGCCTTTTCTCCTATTTATCTGCCTTTTGTCAGGCCCTAGTGGGAGGATCATTTAAGCCCAGGTGTTCGAAACCAGCCTGGGCATTATAGTGAGACCCCATCTCTACAAAAAACTGCAGAATTTGCTGGGCATGGTGGTGCACGACTGTAGTCACCACAGCAGGAGGCTGCATGATTGTGTCATTGTTATAAGTAAATAAATAAATGGGTAACCTGTAGGGGATATGAATTATATCTCAATAAAGCTGTTAATACAATACCAAACAAACATAATTAGCAACTACCCAGGTACCCATGTTGAAGGAAAAAAAAACTGTAAAATATCCAAGAATATTCTACAATAAAAATTACATATCTATATATCTTCATTCATTCATTCAGCAAATATTAATTGAGCACCTGACATGTAACAGCCATTAAATATTTTGTTCTCTTAAGTTTTTTTTTTTTTTTTTTTTTTTGAGACAGTCTCACCCTATCACCCAGGCTGGGGTGCAGTGGCGCAAACTCAGCTCACTGCAACCTCTACCTCCCAAAGTCAAGTGATTCTCACGCCTCAGCCTCCGGAGTAGCTGGGACAGCAGGTGTGCACCACCATGCCCAACTAATTTTGTATTCTCCATGTTGGCTTGGCTGGTCTCAAACTCCTGGCCTCAAGTGACCCGCCCACCTCAGCCTCCCAAAGTGCTGGGATTACAGGCATGGGCCACCATGCCTGGCCCTCTCAGGATTATTTTTTAATCATACGGGGAAAAATAAAGTAAAGCAGCCGATGTTTCTAAAACTTACCAGTGATCTGAAGCTGTGATTTCATGGTGAGGCTACCCATTGAACCAAGTTGTGATCCACTGTCAGACATACCACCAATAGGTTGGAAAACCTGAACATGGCAAAGGAGACACTGTAAACATCAAAAATTCCCATTAAAAACATATATAAATAGTGCTAACCTGGCTATTTATTACTGAAGACCATGTAACAAAGGCCTTTACATTACTAAACACAATTTTCAATTCTAGTCTTTATCCTACCTAACTTATTGGCAAAATCTGACATGGCTGTTCATCCCCTCCTCCATGTTTTACTTTCTTCCCTTCAGTTCCCAAGATATATTCTCCAGGTTTGTGTCCTACCACACAGATTGTTCCTTCTCAGTATCCTCTGATGATTCCTTTTCTCCATTATCTTAACGCTAACATATCCTAGATCTTAGTTCTTGGTTCCCTATTCTATCTACACTCATTCCCTTGAGGATATTACCCAGTCCCCAGTAGGTAAGACTATAAGTGGGTGCCACCATGCTCGCCTAATTTTTTTAATTTTTGGTAGAGACAGGATCTCACTATATTGCCCAGGCTGGTTTCAAACTCCTGGGCTCAAGTGATCCTCCCACCCTGACTTCCCAAAGTGCTGGATTACAGCGTGAGCCACCACACCTGACCAAATTACCCATTTAGAAGTCAATGCTTGTTAGTAATACAGGGGCCAAAAGAAGACTTCCCCTTTGCCCAGTGAAGGTTCGCTGAAAATCGTCTGACAAAACGCAGGCAGATAAATTGGAGAAAAGGCATACATAACTGTTAGCATGCATGAGTTGGGGTGGGGTGGATCACAAAATGATCACCCCATCACGCAATGGGGTACAGATGATTATAAACTGGAGGATATTACCTATCCAGATAGCTTTAAATAGCATCTATATAACATGTCCCAAGCAACTTTATTTACTTATTTATTTTTTGAGAAAGATTCTCACTCTGTCACCCAAGCTGGGGTGTTCTGGAGCGCCTCCCGGGCTGGGGGGGTCCTTCTGCTTCAGCCTCCTGAGTAGCTGGGACCACTGGTGCACACCACCACTCCCCAACCAGGAGGTCAAGTCTGCAGTGAGCTATGATCACACCACTGTACTCCAGCCTGGGCAACAGAGGAAGACCCTACCTCAAAAAAGAAGAAATAAGATACAATAAAAAATAAAATCAAACTAAATGTACTTGGCACTTACTGTTTGCCAGGCACTATGGAAGAAGTACACAAATACAATAAGGCAAACAAAATGCCTTGAAACTGTAAACGCTGTCTTGAGTTTTTATGCAAATTTAGGTTTCTGTTTAAAAGTTTAAATATAAAACAATTATGATGGCTTCTCAATTCTGCAAAAATGAAATAGAACAATAATTCCTACTGAGATGAACCCTATAAAATCCAACCTACTTCATTCTGTGCTTACATACAAAAATGCTCAAAGCTAAAATTTCGTCTCAACCATAAGGACTAGCTCATTTTCTTGGCATAATACATATATTTTTTTCCTTTACCTTGTTTATTTAAATTACACTATTTCAGATGTTTTATAACCAAAATCTGCTAAAAGAACCCTCTTATTTTAAATATGAAAGGTAAACATCATAAAGTCAATAGAAGTCATCCAGAATACATTCAGAAATGAGATGTAACCTAAAAGCCTTAACACCATATTGCACAAGATATTATTCTGATTCAAATGGCTTGTTATGGACAAGGGTCCTCAAAGACATCATTATCACATTATGTAGTTATTACTTCCTCCTCAATATCCAAAAGCCTGATTGCCATAGAACGACAATATTTAAAAAAGTAAATTAAGGGGCAGTGAGAAAAGTCCAATATCTGGCTGCTGATATTCTGCATGATAAAGGTACTCATCTCCATCAACAGTCGCTCATCTCCACTAATAATTTATTGCAAGAAAATGCCCTAATAGTACAGTATAAATTATTCTAAATATAAATTAACATTAATTACAAAGTTGCAAAAAATTTTAAATCTCTACAAAAATTAAGTATATTTTAAAAACTAAAATTAACTTCATGTAGAAAAGATTAATGAAAGCACAGACTGCAAACATTTTTAAGAACAATGACTCTCCAGATAATTACAGAGAATCATTATGGTAGAATTGTGAGGTGCTCTGCCAAAAACATCCTAGTAATTTCAATAATTTATGTACATATACATACTAGTTTTACATAACTAAAATTCACCAAGCATTTTAAATTCTTGAAAAGAATAAAAATCACTATTTGTATAATATCAAAAAAATTAGAAATAATGTATATTATCAATTGGCATATTCATATATTAAATCACATATTCATACCACAGAACAGATTACTATGCAGGTATCAAAATAAGTAACTTATTAATGACTGAAATTGAGAGATCCCAAGAACATCTTTAAAGCTGCAGAACAACATGCATGAGTTGGGGTGGGGTAGATCACAAAATGATCACCCCATCAGTATGTACAGTATGATATTATTTTTGCAAACTAAAACACTATATATTCCTATGGGTACAAATACTTGTAAATAAACGCAGAAAAAGTATACATTCCATTCAGGAGGAGGGCACCTGTGTACTCAAGTACGTGGTCATAGGGAACTGTAGTTTTGTATGTATTGTTTGAAGTTCTAAAAATAGGACATGTATCACTGTTGACTTGTACAATTTTAAAAACAGCATAAAACAGAGTAGAAAAAAATAGATAATCCACACTTCAAGTCCCATCCTCTCCCCTGAGCGCCAGATTCTTAGTTCTATTATTTACAACTGCATACATGGTTAAAATGATTAAATCTAGGCCGGGCGTGGTGACTCACTCCTGTAATCCCAGCACTCTGGGAGGCCAAGACGGGTGAATCACCTGAGGTCAGGAGTTCAACACCAGCCTGGCCAACACGTTGAAACCCCGTCTGTATTAAAAATACAAAAAATTAGCTGGGCGTGGTGGTGGATGCTTGTAATTCCAGCTACTCGGAAGTCTGAGGCAGGAGAATCGCTTGAACCCGGGAGGCAGTAAGCCAAGATTGCGCCATTGCACTCCAGCCTGGGCAACAGGAGCAAAACTCCATCTCAAAAAAGAAAAAAAAAAGATTAAATCTAGGCTGGGCACAGTGGCTCAAGCCTGTAATCCCAGCACTTTGGGAGGCTAAGGTAGGTGGATCACCTGAGGTCAGGAGTTCGAGACCAGCCTGGCCAACATAGTGAAACCTCGTCTCTACTAAAAATACAAACATTAGCCAGGTATGGTGGTACACGCTTGTAATCCCAGCTACTTGGGAGGCTGAGGCGGGAGGATCGTTGAACCTGGAAGGCTGAGATTGCAGTGAACCAACATCGTGCCATTGCACTCCAGCCTGGGCAATAGAGCTAGACTTCATCTCAAAAAAAAAAAAAAAAAAAAAAAAAGATTATTCTTGTCAATTCTATACCATGTATTACAGAAGACATTATAGCATGGTAATTATGTATGCCAACTGTGAAGTCAGACAGATCTAGATCAACATTCCTGAACTGTTACTCTGTGAACTTGAGCAAATTACTGAATTTCTCTAAGCCACACTTTCTTCATCCATAAATGTAGATAATCTATAATTTATAGTTTCATTTTAAAGACTGACAGAGTATCTGCAGAATTAAAGACAGTTGTAGGAAAACTGCCTGTTGCATGCAAGAGTGATGCCATCTTGAAGTGAAACCATCATGCTAACCAATTTTTTTCTTTTTTTTTTTGAGACAGAGTCTCACTCTGTTGCCCTGGCTGAGTGCAGTGGCACAGTCTTAGCTCACTGCAACCTCCACTTCCCAGGTTCAAGCGACTCTCCTGCCTTAGCCTCCCCAGTAGCTGGGACTACAGGCACCCACAACCACACCTAGCTAATTTTTGTATTTTTAGTAGAGATGGGGTTTCATCATGCTGGCCAGGCTGGTCTCAAACTCCTGACCTCAAATGATCCACCCACCTTGGCCTCCCAAAGTGCCTGGCCCTGACCAATGTTTGATTCCTGCATACCAAGGTGTTCTTCAGCAGAGTCTTTAAACAATGCCTGTAACATAGATAACCCCTTAAAAAGATGCTTATCTAACCTCCCCAGTGGTCATGACTTTGAGTAATAAAGTCTGAAACATGACCACCTGCACATTACCCTAAAGGGATAATGTCCCTAATGGACACTTTCTAGTGGTTGTAGGGATCTACTATCTCATGGCCAACCAAGACATCACTTCTGTTCCTAAGTTTCTACTGAATATGTTTTTCTAAGAAACTGGATTTCTTAGTCTCTTTCCCATTTTCTTACAGTTAATCTTTTTCACCCTCAAGTGTTTCTCTTTTGTAGCATCTAGTCTGCAGTTCCTTTCCCAGGAAGTCAAAATTAGTGACTAAAATCTGCATATTCTTACTGCATTGTTACTCACACAGAGAGCATGGCATCAATTTTTATAATTCTAATTACAGTTGGCTCTTGTCCAACAACTGGTTTGAACTGCACAGATCCACTTATATGCAGCCTTTTTTCAACCACACACAGATTGAGGCCAGGAGCAGTGGCTCACGTCCGTAATCCCAGTACTTTGGAAGGCTGAGCAGGGAGGGTTGCTTGAGCCCAGAAGGTTGAAAGCAGTGTGGGCAACATAGTGAGACTTCATTTCTATTTAATTAAAATTTTTTAAAAAATAATAAAAAATAAAAATAAAAAACACCAATTGAAAATACAGTACTCATGGGATGTGAAACCCAAGTCTATGGGAAGGACTTTTCACATACGCAGGTTCCACAGGGCGTACTTCAGAGCATGCACTGACGTGGTTATATGTGGTGGTCCTAGAAGCAATCCCCACATATACCAAGGGATGATTGTATTTATATTATGGGTCTCTCTTAGATTTTCATTTTAAGTTCTAGGACAGCAAAAGTGCTCTTATCTTCATCTCTTGTTTTCTGTTATAAGGGGACTAAAGTGAAACTTTATGCATTGTGTTTTCACTTGTTGCCTTTGTGTTATCTTCATAGACCTAAGAACAAAAAAACATTCTTTGTAACTTCACATTCATAATTAGAGACTCTTTTGAATAGGCTATTAGTGCTCTCATTTGGAGGAGAAATGTTAGACAGTGGTGAGTGTTTTGGATTGTAATACATACTTTTAAGCCTTTGTATGTCTCAGTAAGAAAGATGTCCTAAATTCAAGTCCTTTTGAGGAGTTAGAGAAAACTTTGCCCTGAGTATCATAACTTTTTTGTTTATTGGTTGGACAGATATGTGAGAGCAAAATCCTGTCTCTACAGAAAATAAAAATAAATTAGCTGGATGTGGTGGTATGTGCCTGTTGTCCCAGTTAACGGGGAGGCTGAGGCACAAAGATCGCCAGAGACCAGCAGGTAGAGGCTGCAGTGAGCTGTGATAAGGCCACTGCAATCCATCTTGGGCGACAGAGCAAGACCTCATCTCAAAAAAAAAGAAAAGAAAGAAAAGAAAAGCAAGCAAACAAGATTTAAAAACAAACAAGCAAACAAACAAACTAAAAGCCTTCAGAAGACCAGCCTGGGCAATACAGTGAGACTCCCATCTCTACAAAAAATTTAAAAATTAGCCAGATGCAGTGGTGCATGCCTATAGTCCCAGCTACATGGGAGGCCAAACTGGGAGGACCGCTTGAACTCAGGAAGTTGAGGCAGCAGTGAACCGTGACTGCACCTCTGCATTCCAGCCTGGGCAACACAGTGAGACCGTGTCTCAAAAAAAAAAAAAAAGCCTTCACAAGTACAGCAGTATGCAATCTATAGCTTTACTTAGCACTGTAAACCATTGTGACTGGAACCAATGAAGATACAGTTTGAATCTAAATCATGGCTGGGTGCTGTGGCTCACGCCTGTAATCCCAGCACTTTGGGAGGCCGAGGCGGGTGGATCACAAGGTCAAGAGATTAAGACCATCCTGTCCAACATGGTGAAACCCTATCTCCACTAAAAATTCAAAAATCAGCCAGGCATGATGGCAGGTACCTGTAATCCCAGCTACTTGGGAGGCTGAGGCAAGAGAACCGCTTGAACCCAGGAGGCGGAGGTTACAGTGAGCTAAGATCATACCACTACACTCCAGTCTGGGTGACAGAGCGAGACTCCATCTCAAAAAAGAAAAAAAAAAATCTAGTAACAATATTTTAAAACTCTATTACCTATTAGTCTGTCAGTTACAAAGAAACTCAAAACAGGGTCTTTTTTTTTTTTTTTGAGACAGGGTCTCGCTCTGTTGCCTATGCTAGAGTGATCGAGCTCACTGCAGCCTCAACCACCTGGGCTGAAACAATCCTCCTGCTTCAGCCTCCTGAGTAACTGAGACTAACAGCCACATACCACAGGCCCATCTAATTTTTTACAGGGAGATAGAGACAGGGTCTCACTATATTGCCCGGGCTAGTCTCGAACTCCTGGGCTCAAGTAAGTCGTCCTCCTGCCTTGGCCTCCCAAAGTGCTGGGATTACAAGGATAAGCCACTGTGCCCAGCTGGGTCAATACTTAGCACTTTATAAATTTTTTTTTTTTTTTTTGAGACAGACATTCACTGTGTCGCCCAGGCTGGAGTGCAGGGGCGCAATCTCCCCTCGCTGCAACCTCTGCTTCCTGGGTTCAAGCAATTCTCCTGCCTCAGCCTCCCTAGTAGCTGGGATTACAGGCATGCATGACATCTGGCTAATTTTTTTTGTATCTTTAGTAGAGATGGGGTTTTGCCATGTTGGCCAGGCTGGTCTCGAATGCCTGACCTCAGGTGATCTGCCCGCCTCGGCCTCCCAAAGTGCTGAGATTACAGGCATGAGCCATCACACCCGGCCTATAAATCATTTATTTTGAGTAATGTTTACTACTACACTAGAAAAATGTGACAGATAGAATGCCCAATATAGAAAGAAGGTGCTAAAACACTGCCAGAGGTAAAATTAACCTTAACATCTTACTGAAAAGGCAGTGGAAACAAAAATGTGGAAAGGGATAGACATACTTCAGAAGATAATTTCAGTAATATCTTGTCTCTTAAGCAACAAACATTTATAGCCTTATTTTAAATATGTATCTTATTTATAGAGAAATTATTAAACAGGATATTGTGAAATTTGCTTGGTTTATTTTCAGAAATAACACACCCAACATAATCAGATATTTTTACAGGCCACATCTATTGTGACTTAGAAAACCTTTAAGTAATTTAATATAGCCCTATATTTTCTTAAAAGAATCCACCAAAATGACATTTCAGAAGACACAAAAAAACTAAGGAGAAAAACTGCTTGTGACAGAAAGTCCAGAGTTCAAAGAGCTAAAGTATATAGTGGTATTCAGAGAACTAAACCCTAATGAAGTCAAACTCTCAAACAATCTTACTATAAAATACAGAAGCATGTGTGGTAAATTAGAAATACATACCGAGTAGTATGTCTCCCTTGGACAGGGCTACTCTGTCATGTTCCCAAAAACACTACTCAAGTGAAAAACTAGATCCCATTATCTAGGGGCACAGTAGCAAAGACTAGCTAGAAGGAACACAGGAACATTTTTAGATCCCATTCTCTGCTAATAATCACAAAGGACCTTAGCCAGGTGTGGTGGCAGGCACCTGTGATCCCAGCTACTTGGAAGCTGAGAATTGCTTGATCCCAGGAGGCAGAGACTGCCATGAGCTGAGATCACACCACTGCACTACAGCCTGGACGAGAGATCAAGACTCTGCCTCAAAAAAACAAAACAAAACAAAAAAAAAAACAAAGGAGCCGACTTTGGTGCATGGGCTACTGAAGGTATTGGTAGAAGGAATAAAAGTTTATTTAGATTGGAGCAGAGGGTAAATACCCATTTCCATAATTTAATTTCTCAGCAAAGCAAGTGGGAAGAAACCCAAAACCCCTCATGATAGGGAAGGCGGTTGCTTTCCCATTTACTAGGAAAAATTGACTTAATTGACTTAACAAGGAGGTAGAATATGAACCATTCTCTACCATGTAACAGTGACACTTTGGTTCTGAACATCACACAATGATCTCAGAACACTAAAAGCTCCTTTCCCACTTTCCAACCAAATACATCAGTATGGATTCTAAAGCATATGCAAAAAAGGACAATTATACTGTTCAAAGAGAAAAAGAGGAAGCTACAACTTTCGAGGTTCAACAGTATGAACACAGAATTTAAGGAAATTGGCACCAGGATCTAACTTTTAGCATTCATTTGCTGGTTTGAACTCTGTACCTAATATTCCAGAAGGTGATCTCTTCCCCTTTCTGACAAACAGCTTTCTGACAAACATTTCAAAATTAACTATTATTACAAGTTGTTTCTAGCTTTGACTACTGCTAGAGTTTAAAGCATTTGCCACAATAAATATAAATATTGTTGTACTACTATAAGTATTGTTCTCTTGCAAACAATGCTTGTGTGAAATTATACATCTAATTATATATAATGTTGAATTTCCTGGCTCTAAGGAATCCTTGTTTCTGGCCAGAGGTGATGCTTCATGCCTGTAATCCCAGCACTTTGCAAGGCCAAGGTGAGCGGATCACCTAAGGTCAGGAGTTCGAGACCAGCCTGGCCAACATAGTGACACCCTATCTCTGCTAAAAAAAAAAAAAAAAAAAACCACACACACACACACACACACACACACACACATAAAATTAGCTGGACGTGGTGGCATGTGCCTACTGTGGTCCCAGCTCCTCGGTAGGCTGAGGCAGGAGAATGGCTTGAATCTCAGAGGCAGAGGTTACAGTGAGCTGAGATCACACCACTGCACTCCAACCTGAGCGACAGAGTGAGACTCGGTCTTAAAAAAAAAAAATTTTCTTGTTTCTGACCATCTCTAAATATCTATACATTCTCAAAATATAAGACCCTAATAGCCAGGTGCGGTGGCTCACGCCTGTAATCCCAACATTTTAGGAGGCCGAGGCAGGTGGATCACGAGGTCAGGAGATCAAGACCAACCTGGCTAACACGGTGAAACCCCGCCTCTACTAAAAATACAAAAAAAATTAGCCAGGTGTGGTGGCGGGCGCCTGTAGTCCCAGGTACTTGGGAGGCTGAGGCAGGAGAATGGCAAGAACCCGGGAGGCAGAGCTTGCAGTGAGCTGAGGACATGCCACTGCACTCCAGCCTGGGCGACAGAGCGAGACTCCGTCTCAAAAAAAAAAAAAAAAAAAAGACCCTAATATCCACCATGCCTCATCCTTCCAGCAAACTTTCCTCAGATCATTTCTAAACATTATTTGAGAATTACAGGCAGCTGGGCACGGCGGCTCAAGCCTATAATCTGAGCACTTTGGGAAGCTGAGGCGGGTGGATCACAAGGTCAGGAGTTCAAGACCAGCCTGCCCAAGATGGTCAAACCCCGTCTCTACTAAAAATACAAAAATGAGCTGGACATGGTGGCGCATGCCTGTAATCCCAGTTACTCAGGAGGCTGAGGAAGAGAATTGCTTGAAGCCGGAAGGCGGAGGTTGCAGTGAGACAAGATCACGCCACTGCACTCCAGCCTGGGCGACAGAGCAAGACTCTATCTCAAAAAAAAAAAAAAAAAAAAGAATTACAGGCCTCGGCTGGTCCAACTGCTGCACTGGTATTTACAACTAACTGATCACAACCAGTTACAGATTTCTTTGTTCCTTCTCCACTCCCACTGCTTCACTTGACTTAAAAAAAAAAAAAAAAAAAAGAGGCCGGACACAGTGGCTCATGCCTGTAATCCAAAAACACTTTGGGAGGCTGAGGCAGGTGGATCACCTGAGGTCAGGAGTTCAAGAGCAGCCTGACCAACATGAATAAATCCCGTCTCTACTATAAATACAAAATTAGCCGGGTGCAGTGGTGCATGCCTGTAATCTCAGATACTCGGGAGGCTGAGACAGAAGAATAGCTTGAACCCAGGAGGCAGAGGTTGCGACGAGCCAAGATTGTGCCACTGCACTCCAGCCTAGACAACAAGAGTGAAAACTCCACCTCAAAAAAAAAAAAAAAAAAAAAAAAGAATTACAGACCAGTCCTGGTGGCTCATGCCTGTAATCCTGGTACTTTGGGAGGCTAAGGTGAGAGGATCTCTTGAGCCTAGGAGTTCCGAGACCAACCTGGCCAACCCAGTGAAACCCCATTTCTATTAAAAAAAATAATAATAAATACACACATATATATATCAGCCAGGCACAGTGACAGTGGCTCATGCCTGTAATCCCAGCACTTTGGGAAGCCGAGGCAGGCAGATCACCTGAGGTCAGGAGTTCGAGACCAGCCTGACTAACATGGAGAAACCCTGTCTCTACTGATAATACAAAATTAGCTGGGCGTGGTGGCGCATACCTGTAATCCCAGCTACTCGAGAGGCTGAGGCAGGAGAATTGCTTGAACCAAGGAGGCGGAGGTTGCAGTGAGCCAAGATTGCACCATTGCACTCCAGCCTGAGCAACAAGAGCAAAACTCTGTCTCAAAAAAAAAAAAAAAAAAAAATCTATCAAGCCCAAGACTGGCATGGTGGCTCACGCCTGTAATCCCACCCCCAATACCTTGGGAGGTCAAGGTAGGAGGGTCGCTTGAGACCAGGAGTTCAACACCAGCCTGGGCAACATAGCAAGACACTATCTCTACAAAAAATAAAAATAAACTACCCAGGCATGGTGGTATGCACCTGTGGTCCCAGCTACTCAGGAGACTGACACAGGAGCATCGCCAGAGCCCGAGAGGTCAAGACTATAGTGAGCCATGATCATGCCACTGCATTCCCGGCTGAGCAACAAAGTAGGACCCTGTCTGAAAAAAAATTTAAAAAAGGACTGGGCGCGGTGGCTCATGGCTGTAATATCAGCATTTTGGGAGGCCGAGGCAGGCGGATCACAAGGTCAGGAGTTTGAGACCAGCCTGACCAACATGGTGAAACTCCGTTTCTACTAAAAATACAAAAATTAGCCAGGCGTGGCGGTGCGTGCCTGTAATCCCAGCTACTCAGGAGGCTAAGGCAGGAGAATTGCTTGAAGCCAGGAGGCAGAGGTTTCAGTGAACAGAGATCATGCCAGTGCACTCCAGCCTGAGCTACAAGGCAAGACTCTGTCTCAAAATAATAATAATAATAATAATAATAATAATAGTAATAATAAAAAGAATTATTGGCTGAGCGTGGTGGCTCACACCTATAATCCCAGCACTTTGGGAGGCCAAGGCAGGTGGATCACTTGTGGTCAGGAGTTCAAGACCAGCCTGGCCAACATGGTGAAACCCCATCTCTACTAAAAATACAAAAAAATTAGCTGGGCATGGTGGCAGGCGCCTGTAATTCCAGCCACTTGAGAGGCTGAGACAGAGAATCACTTGAACCCAGGAGGCAGAGGTTGCAGTATGCTGAGATCACGCCACTGCACTCCAGCCTGGGTGACAAGGCGAGACTCCATCTCAAGAAAAGAAAAAAGAATTATCAAGTAAACTGAAAGTCAATACTGAGTCACTGAGTAATATGTATATGCACTTTATTAACAAAATTCATGCATTTTCCTTAAAAGGAGCCAAAAAGCATTGTTATTCAGATTGTGTCAAAAACCTAGAATAAAATGACACAAATAAGAGTTTACATCCAAGAGCCCTCAATACTAGGAAGGGGAGAGGAACCAAATTACCACTTACCTATTAGGAAACAACTAGGATTATGAAAGCAAAGTCAATTCTACATTCCAATTTGAGTCTGTAGATTTTCACCTTAGCATTCTATCCCAAGATTAGCCCCTCCGATTAAATTCAAAAAGAAACAGAATAGAAATACTATTCCAAAGAAGGCAAAATACCACATACATCTTATTTGTTCTCACAGGTAAACAAATGGAAATCTAAGAAAGATTTACTGATTGTCCAGTAAGGCAAAGATTTTTGTAGATATGACACCAAACACGTTATTCATTAAAGAAAACAATTGAGAAATTGAGTGTTTTGAGTATTTCTTTCCATTTTTTTTTTTTTTTTTAGAGACAGGGACTTGCTCTGTTGACAGAGCTAGGGTACAGTGGTGTGATCATGGCTCACTATAGCCTGGAACTCCTGGGCTCAAGGGATCCTACTGCCTCATTCTCCCCCAAATAGCTGGGACTACATACAGGCACACACGCCAGGCGCGGTCGCTCACGTCTGTAATCTCAGCACTTTGGGAGGCCAAGGAGGGCGGATCACGAGGCAAGGAGTTTGAGACCAGTCTGGCCAACATGGTGAAACCCCGTCTCTACTAAAAAAACAAAAAATTAGCCAAGCATGGTGGCGTGCGCCTGTAGTCCCAGCTACCCGGGAGTCTGAGGCAGGAGAATCACTTGAACCCAGGAGGCGGAGGTTGCGGTGAGCAGAGATCGCGCCATTGCACTCCAGCCTGGGCGACAAAGCAAGACTCCATCTCAAAAAAAAAAAAATTAGCCAGGCATGGTGGCACACACCTGTAGTCCCAGCAGGAGAATCACTTGATCCTGGGAGGTGGAGGCTGCAGTGAGCTGAGATTGCGCCACCACACTCCAGCCTGGGCAACAGAACAAGACTCCATCTCAAAAAACAAACAAACAAAAAAAACAGGCACACACCACCACGTCCAGATAGTTGTTTTTTTGTTTTGTTTCGTTTTGTAGACTTTGTTGGCCAGGCTGGTCTCCAACTCCTGGGCTCAAGCGATCCTCTCGCCTCAGCTTCCCAAACTGCTGGGATTACAGGCGCAAGCCACCATGCCTGGACTTAATGATGTCTTCTAAAGAGTTGAAATTTCAAACAGGCGCAGTGGCTCACACCGGTAATCCCAGCACTTCGAAAGGCTGAGGCAGGTAGATTACTTGAGACCAGGAGTTCAAGACCAGCCTGGCCAACATGGTGAAACTCCATCTCCACTAAAAATACAAAAATTACCCAGGTGCAGTGACACATACGTGTAATCCCAGCTACTCAGGAGGCTGAGGCAGGAGAATCTCCTGAACCCGGGAGGTGGAGATTACAGTGAGCCACGATTGTGCCACTGCACTCCAGCCTGGGTGACAGAGTGAGACTCTGTCTCAAAAATAAATTAAAAAAGGGTCAAAGTTTCTAATTTTGATTGCACTCAACTTCTTGGGCAGGGCCGGTGGCTCATGCCTGTAATCATAGCACCTTAGGAGGCAAAGGCAGGAAAATCACCTGAGCCCAGGAGTTTGACCAGCCTGGGCAACAATGCAAGACCCCATCTCTATTTTTGCAAAAAAAAAAAAAAAAAAAAAAGACATCATTAAGAAAATGGAAAGACAAGCAATAGGCTAGGAGATAAAATCTGCAAAACACATATCTGATAAAGGAGTTGTATCCAGAATTTACAATAAACTCTTACAACTGAGTAAGACAAACAACCCAAGCAAAGTGGATTACCTAAGGTCAGAACAGAAGATGTGGCCCAAAACTAGTATCTCTAGCATAGTTCAATGTTAATTTCATGATTTAAAATCACAGTTCACAGCAAAAAAGATAACAGGGAAATGAACAAAAAATATGTCATTGCTGTACTTGAGCCTATTCAGTCCTTCAAAAAATTACTAAAATATATAAAATGGAATATTACTCAGCATTTAAAAAGGAATAAAATTCTGACATATGGTACAACATGAAACCTGAAGACATTATGCTAAGTGAAATACACCAGACACAAAAGGACAAATATTGGCCAGGCGCAGTGGCTCACGGCTGTAATCCCAGCTGAGGAAGGTCAAGAGATTGAGACGATCCTGGTCAACATGGTGAAACCCTGTCTCTATTAAAAAATACAAAAATTAGCTGGGCGTGGTGGCACACACCTGTAGTTCCAGCTACTCGGGAGACTGAGGCAGGAGAATTGCTTGAACCTGGGAGGCGGAGGTTGCAGTGAGCCAACATCGCACCACTGCATTCCAGCTTGGTGACAGAGCGAGACTCTGTCTCAAAAAAAAAGGGGGGGGGGGGCCGGGTGCAGTGGTTCACGCCTGTAATCCCAGCACTTTGGGAGGCCAAGGCAGGCAGATCACGAGGTCAGGAGATTGAGACCATCCTGGCTAACACAGTGAAACCCTGTCTCTACTAAAAACACAAAAAGAAATTAGCCGGGAGTGGTGGCGGGTGCCTGTACTCCCAGCTACTTGGGAGGCTGAGGCAGGAGAATGGGGTGAACCCAGGAGGCGGAGGTTGCAGTGAGTCAAGATCGCACTACTGCACTCCAGCCTGGGTGACAGAGCGAGACTCCGTCTAAAAAAAAAAAAAAAAAAAGGACAAATATTGTATGACTCCACTTTTACGATGAGGTGCCTAGAATAGCTAAATTCACAGAGACAGAAAACAGAATAGTAGTTACCAGAGCAGGGAGGAGGTGAAATGGATAATTATTGTTTAATAGGTACAAGTTTCAGTTCTGGATGATGAAAAAGTTCTAGAGACCGATAGTGGTAATGGTCACATAACAAGGTAAATGTACTTAATGTCACTGAACTGAAGACTTAACAATATTTAAAATGGTAAACTGTATGTAATGTGTATTTTACCACAATAAAAATAAAACTAGGATATTTTCCTAATTTTCTTTGTCCCTTAGAGATGAAAACATCAATTTCTATATAAAATCAACCAGCCAGGCAGAATGAACACACCCCATTCTCCATTCCCTTCCAAAACCTCAGAAAAAAATGAAATAAAGGAATAAAAAAACATAAACCCCAAGGGCTAAAACAAAGGGAGAGAAGATGATAGTAGAGAGATGTAAGCAACATTCTGGGTAACGAAAAACAGCAGCAGCAGGGTTCTGCACATTTCAATATATACAGAATATAGTTTTTAATTAAGACCTATAGTAAATAGCTTTCCTCCAAAAAACTTAAGAACAGAAAAAAATAATCTGTGTGTTTGCTTCAGCAGCACATATACTAAAAAATTAGAACACAGAGATTAGTACATCCTCTGAGCAAAGATAAGGTTAAAATTCACCAAGTGTTCCATATTTTTAGATAAATAAATAAATAATCCAGACTCTCCTTTTGACTACTGACTTTCCACAGAAGCAAATGCAGTTAATCTCTCTCTCACATTATTTTCCTTCCCATTTCCAAAACAGCTATAATTAAATGAACCACCTAAAAATCTCTTTTAATTGCAGAACAAATGAATTCCAAAAACTAGGTTAGACCATCCTTCAAAAATAAAAGGAAAGTGCCTTTTTCATTAAATGAGATTTAGATTTAGCTCATTTGACCCTACTGCTGCATTTCTATGACAGGCAATTTTCTGTACTTTTTTAAAGGCCCAGTTCAGTATTTTTATTCATCCATGAGAAAAACTTTGCTATATCTCAGATATTCTTTTTTTTTTTTTACATCTTTTTTTTTTTTTTTTTTTTTTTGAGACAGAGTTTCGCTCATCGCCCAGGCTGGAGTACAATGGCGCAATCTCTGCTCACTGCAACCTCTGCCTCCTGGGTTCAGGAATTCTCCAGCCTCAGCCCACCGAGTATCTGGGATTATAGGTGCGCCACCACCCCACCCGGCTAATTTTTTGGTATTTTTAGTACAAATGGGGTTTCACCATGTTGGCCAGGCTGCTCTCGAACTCCTGACCTCAGGTGATCCTCCCGCCTTGGCCTCCCAAAGTGCTGGGATTACAGGCGTGAGCCACTGTGCCCGGCCTACATCTGTTTTTAATACAGATCTCAGATATTCTTAATACTCAGACTATACCTAACACACTATTCAGCTTACTTGCGAAAAAGACTATAGTCTCTAAAATAATGACATTTTGTATTTGGCCAAGAATGAGGAATAACTTCCCAGGTATGTTAAAAAAAAAAAAAAGTTTCATGAGAAGTATAAACAGAACAAAATCTAAATCTTATTTAGAAAATAACATCCTAAAAATCACTTTCTCAGGTTATGCTGAACATATTCTACCTTTCTACATTTATTGGTTTCTTCAGACATTCTGAATCATAATTTTTTTTTTTTTTTGAGACAGGGTCTCACTCTGTTGCCTAGGCTGGAGTACTGTGATACAATCACAGGTAAATCACTGCAGTCTTGACCTCCCGGGACCAGGTAATCCTCCCACCTCAGCCTCCTGGGTAGCTGGGACTACAGGTGCACACGCCACCATGCCCAACTAATTTTTTGTGTTTTTCGTAGAGACAGGGTTTCTCCATGTTGCCCAGGCTGGTCTTGAATACCTGGGCTCAAGCGATCTGCCCACCTTGGACTCTCAAAGTGCTGGGATTACAGGTGTAAGCCACCGCGCCCAGCCATATCAGTTATCTCAAGTTTCTGCAAGAAAATTCTACATCTTTCTAAGAGCAAGCCATTTGTCATTGTTTCCAAACCTTGGTAAATATGAAAATTCAATGTATAAACTAAGGTCTAATGAAATATACCAGAGGTTAACCGAGATAACCAAAAACCCCAAACAAGAAATGTGATGAGCAATTACACTACTTTGGTGGTTTTTTCTTTTTGAGACAGGGTCTCGCTCTGTCGCCCAGGCTGGAGTGCAGCAGTTCAATCTCGGCTCATTGCAACCTCCGCCTCCCTGTTTCCAGCAATACTCATGCCTCAGCCTCCCAAGTAGCTAGGACTACAGGAGTGTAACACCACACCCGGCTAATTTTTTATATTTTTAGTAGACACGAGGTTTCGCCCTGTTGGCCAGGCTGGTCTCAAACTCCAGCCTCAAGTGATCCGCCCACCTCAGCCTCGCAAAGTGCTGGGATTACAGGTGTGAGCCACCATGCCTGGCCTGGTTTTTCTTTCTATTCTACTTGTGCAAGCTGGGAAATCGTAAGAAAACGTATGTAATCCATCAACAAGGACACTGTTGGGACTGAGTAAGGGATAAAGCAAGATTCACAACATGAAAAGAGGAATATAGCCTGTACACAGTATCTTCCCATATCCCAGTTTGTACAAAAGTCAATAGAGAAAAAGCTTTCAAAATTGGCCCTCTTTAATGCAACCTTTTGTCTCTTATACAAGCTTTTCCCCCTTTATTTTCATTCCCACTGACACCTCCATAGCCTAGTCTCCCTGCCTCCAACCATAGTAAATACTACAGACCTCAATTTTGCCAAATAAATCTTCACAAAATACCATTTAATCCTATCAGCCAATAGGTCTCAAGGTTATTCAAAATAAGAGGCTTGACTCTTCTCAAATTTTCAAAACTTTTGCCTATTACCAGGCTCACACAAATCCTCTAAAATTAAACTCCACCCCCTGAAGTCCATTCCTGCCTCTGCACCTTGGCATATTCTGAATAACTAACTAACTTCCCTCCTTCTATCTGCCTTAATAATTATTCTACATACCTCTCATTCAGTACTAGACTGCTTTGAGGTATTGTTTGAACTGTTTTATTTATTTATTTATTTATGTATTTATTTTTGAGACACGGTCACACTCTGTTGCCCAGACTAGAGTGCAGTGACATATCAGTGACATGATATCAGTGCAGCGACATGAGCTCACTGCAGTCTCAACCTCCTGGGCTTAAGCGACCCTTGCACTTCAGCTGGGACAATAGGCGCACACCACCATCATGCCTGGCTGATTTTTATGAGGCTTTTTTGTAGAGACAGTGTTTCACCATGCTGCCGAGGCTGGTTAAATCTTTACGTGGGTAAGAACTTTCTTCTCAGAGGGCAGAAAACATGGGTTATGCTGCAGAAAGTCAAGCCCCAGATCAGAGGTTGTAAAGCAGCAAGCCACAAGACAAATTCTGCCCACAGTGGTAATTTGTTTGGCCCACAGTGTTTACACTATGAATTCATAAGTTGCCAACATTTAACAATAAAAATTTCTTACAAAATCTTGATTTCTAGCTTCTCCTTAGAAAAAAATTAAGATGTTCAGTCTGCACATGGTCTGCACTCTCCCCAAGGTCAATAGTAAGCCAACACTGAATTGTACACTTTAAAGTAGTGAATTTTGCCTCAATTTTTTTTTTAACCTTCTGAAAACTTTCCTTTTTAATTTTGAAAAATATAATGACGGGATCTCGCTATGTTGCTCAAGCTGGTCTCAAACTCCGAGGCTCAAGCAATCCTATCACCTTGGCCTCCCAAAGTGCTGGGATTATAGAAGTGAGCCACAGCAACTGGTAAAAAAAAAAAAAAAAAAAAAAAAAAAAAAAAAAATTTTAACTACCAATACATTGTGAGTGTATTCCCAAGACCTTAAGTAGTATTTTTAAATTATTTTAATTGACAAAAAAGGTATATATTTATCATGTAAAACAGGTTTTATTTATTTATTGAAATAAAATAAAGATGGGGTCTCACTATGTTATCCAGGCTGGTCTCAAACTC
The DNA here is from genome assembly GCF_000001405.40 of Homo sapiens. NCBI lineage: Eukaryota > Metazoa > Chordata > Mammalia > Primates > Hominidae > Homo > Homo sapiens. Next base: position 34,375,525 of record NC_000020.11, on the reverse strand, counting down.
CTGGCCTCAAGAGATCCTCCTGCCTTAGCCTCTCAAAGTGCTGGGATTATGGCATGAGCCACCATGACCAGCCCATAACATGTTTTAAAATATGTACATGTTGTGGAATGGCTAAATCGAGCTAAATAACATATACATAACCTCACATACTTACTTTTACCTCCATTAAAAAAAAAAAAAAAAAAGGCCAGGTGCGGTGGCTCACGCCTGTAATCTCAGCATTTTGGGAGGCCGAGGCAGGCGGATCACCTGAGGTCGGAAGTTCCAGACCAGCCTGACCAACATGGAGAAACCTCGTCTCTGCTAAAAATACAAAATTAGCCAGGCGTGGTGGCACACACCTGTAAACCCAGCTACTTGGGAGGCTGAGGCAGGAGAATTGCTTGAACCCGGAAAGCGGAGGTTATGGTAAGCCAAGATTGCGCCATTGCACTCCAGCTGGGGCAACAAGAGCGAGATTCTGTCTCAAAAAAAAAAAAAAATCACGCCAGGCGTGGTGGCTGACACCTGTAATCCCAGCACTTTGGGAGGCCGAGGCGGGTGGATCACCTGAGGTCAGGAGTTCAACACCAGCCTGGCCAAAATGATGAAACCCTATCTCTACTAAAAATACAAAAAATTAGCCAGGCGTGGTGGAGAGCACCTGTAATTCCAGCTACTTGGGAGGCTGAGGCAGGAGAATTGCTTGAACCCGGGAGGCAGAGGTTGAGGTTGCAGTGAGCCAAGATCATGCCACTGCACTCCAGCCTGGGCAACAAAAGTGAAACTCTGTCTCAAAAAAAAAAAAAAAAAATTGTAAGCCAAAGCTGCTTTAACAGCTGCTCCCTTGGAGGGGAATGAATTCCCTAGTTCACTTAAAGTCCCAGTCTGATCTGTCATTACTTACTAAATGTTCATCCAGCCCTTGCAGGCATTTAAATTTACAATGCTCAGCCTAAATAGGTTTACTGAATGATTTATGAACTCAGATCATAACTTTAAGAAAGATAAGGTTGATGGTAATGATGATAATGAAAACAACGACTAACACTTCACACTGTGAGCCAAGTCTTGTTCAAGCAGAAACACATAATACCTATGTATATATGCTATTACTATTCCCAATTTACAGATGAGAAAACTAAGGCAAAAAGAAGTTAGGCAAGTTGGCCAAGATCATACCACCACTACACAGTAGAGTCAAAATTCAAAATCAACCTAACTCCAGTAAATACTGTTAACTCCTACAATATAATCCTTTAGACTAAAATCCTTTCCTTTGTGACCAACTAAATTTGATTATTTGGAAAAATAATCAAGACAAAATTGTAGAACCTACTCTTTCTTTGCACGAATGAAGGCCTAACAAGCAAATCAAAGTTCACCTAAATGCAGATGGTTATTTCTGGAGCTTATCTTGTCTTAAAAAAATAAAAAATAAAAAGTCCATCCTGGCCAACATGGTGAAACCTCGTCTCTACTAAAATACAAAAAATTAGCCAGGCGTGGTGGTGGGCACCTGTAGTCCCAGCTACATGGGAGGCTGAGGCAGGGGAATCGCTTTAACCTGGGAGACGGAGATTACAGTCAGCCAAGACTGTGCCACTGCACTCCAGCCTGGCGACAAAGCAAGACTGCATCTTAAAAAAAAATAAAAAAAAAAAATGTTCTCTTGTAACTGACAAAGAAAAGGTTGCAGAATCCAGTAAAATAATAAACATTTTCTCAGAAAGCAAGCAAGTTAGTAGATATTTCTGGAGTGAGTTAAGCTCAATATGTAGATGAATTCTTAACCTGTAAGTGACGACATAGTATTAAAATTCTTCTCTTTTCTGGGACAGAAGGATAGATCTATTAGGGTAAGCAATTTCCAGACATGGAAAAAAAAAATGCGAGTTGCTGGAGGGCAGAGATTGCTTTTTCACCATAAGTCCCTGCAATGTCTAGCATACAGCAGCACTTAAAATACATTCAATTATGTTAGGCCGAATGCCTATAATTCCAGCACTTTGGGAGGCCAAGGCAGGCGGATCACCTGAAGTCAGGAGTTTGAGACCAGCCTGGCCAATATGGTGAAACCCCATCTCTAGTAAAAATATAAAAATTAGCTGGCCATGGTGGCAGGGACCTGTAATCCCAGCTACCCAGGAGGCTGAGGCAGGAGAATGGCTTGAACCCAGGAAACGGAGGTTGCAGTGAGCCAAGATTACACCACTGCACTCCAGCCTGGGCGAGAACAAGACTCTGCCTCAAAAAAAAAAAAAAAATACATTTGGCCAGGTGCAGTGGCTTATGCCTGTAATCCAGAACTTTGGGAGGTCGAGGCAGGTGGATTATTTGAGGTCAGGAGTTCAAGATCAGCCTCACCAACACAGTGAAACCCTATCTCTAGTAAAAATACAAAATTAGCTGGGCGTGGTGGCACATGCCTATAATCCCAGCTACTTGGGAGACTCAGGCAGGAGAATCGCTTGAACCCAGTGGGTGGAGGCTGCAGTAAGCTGAGATTGCACCATTGCACTCCAGCCTCGGCAACAAGAGAAAAACTCCGTCTCAAAAAAAAAAAAAAAAGGAATACATTCAATCATGTTAAAGGAACCAAAAAATCTGAACTTAATTTCTTAAATTGCAATGCAATGAAACTCTTGTAACATTTACCAACTTCCTTTTTATAATAATCAATCACTGGCAAGGAAGTCTGTTTTCCTGACAAAATCCTTAAACCAGGAGTTTTATATTTGAGTACCCCTTGGAACCTAGCACAATAGCAGCTCAACAGATCCTTGTCAAATATTACAAACTTAAACTTTCTATACTTACGTTTCCTACAGGTCTCTCAGTGCCAATGTTTAAAGTAGAACTTAAAAGGCCGGGTACGGTGGCTCATGCCTGTAATCCCAGCACATTGAGAGGCTGAGGCAGGCAGATCACGAGGTCAGGAGATCGAGACCATCCTGGCTAGCACGGTGAAACCCCATCTCTACTAAAAATACAAAAAATTAGCCAGGCATGGTGGCGGGTGCCTGTAATCCCAGCTACTCAGGAGGCTGAGGCAGGAGAATTGCTTGAACCCGAGAGGCGGAGGTTGCAGTGAGCTGAGATTGCGCCACTGCACTCCAGCCTGGGTGACAGAGTTAGATTCCCTCTCAAAAAAAAAAAAAAGTAGAACTTAAAATAACATGGTTTCTCATTTATAAAGCATCAGACATTATGAAGCCTTTTTTTTTTTTTTTTGAGACAAAGTATCCCTCTGTCACTCTGTCGCCCAGGCTGGAGTGCAGTGGCGTGAACTCGGCTCACTGCAAGCTCCGCCTCCCAGGTTCACACCATTCTCCTGCCTCAGCCTCCCGAGTAGCTGGGACTACAGGCGCCCGCCACCACGCCCAGCTAATTTTTGTATTTTTAGTAGAGACGGGGTTTCACCATGTTAGTCAGGATGGTCTCGATCTTCTGACCTCGTGATCCGCCCGCCTCAGCCTCCCAAAGTGCTAGGATTACAGGGATGAGCCACCGCGGCCGGCCGAAGCCTTATTATAAGATATTTCTGATATCAGTCATATATTGTGATGTCAACAAAGCCATGAAAAATCAGTGAGTTAGCACATAAAGCACAGAATATAATAGAGTGAGCTGGAAAGAACCTGAGAAATCATATTCAAAACATTCAATAGATAAGTGAGGAAACCAGGCCCAGGGAGATTTAAGTGAGCTGCCCAAGATCACAGAATTTAAGTGACCAGTAATACCAATGGTAGAACGCAGGTTTCCTGAATGTTGGCTCAAATACCTTTCCACAAAGAACTGCTTTGTGAGCTTGAGATGAAATGGATATGCTGAGAAATATTTTAAAGATATTTTAAATACTTTAATAATACTTTTAAATATTTTTTAAATTGCTTTATAGTAGCTATCACAAATCATTCCACCATCTCCTTCCTTTCTCTTGATTATAAAAAAGAACAGGACCGGGCTCAGTGGCTCACGCCTATAATCCCAGCACTTTGGGAGGCAGAGGCGGGCAGATCACCTGAGGTCAGGAGTTCAAGAGCAGCCTGGCCAATGTGGTGAAACCCCGTCTCTACTGAAAATACAAAATTAGCCAGGTGTGGTGGGTGCACGCCTGGCCTCCCGAGTCCCAGCTACTCAGGAGGCTGAGACAAGAGAATCACTTGAACCCAGGGGGCAGAAGCTGCAGTGAGCCAAGATCGTGCCATTGCACTCTAGCCTGGGGAAGGCTCCATCTCAAAAAAAAAAAAAAAAAAAAAAAGAAGAAGTGATTTTATTTCCTTTGGATATATACCCAAAAGTGGCAATGCTGGATCATATTTTAGTTCTATTTTACCAGTATCTTCCTATTCAGTTTTTTTTTTTTTTTTTTTGAGACGGAGTCTGGCTCTGTTGCCCAGGCTGGAGTGCAGTGGTGTGATCTCGGCTCACTGCAAGCTCTGCCTCCCAGGTTCACACCATTCTCCTGCCTCAGCCTCCTGAGTAGCTGGGACTACAGGCGCCCGCCACCACACCCGGCTAATTTTTTGTACTTTTAGTAGAGACGGGGTTTCACCTTGTTAGCCAGGATGGTCTCGATCTCCTGACCTCGTGATCCACCCGCCTCGGCCTCCCAAAGTGCTGGAATTACAGGCGTGAGCCACCGCGCCCAGCCTCAGCTTTCTTATCTAACAATTCACCTGCTCAACTTCATTCACTCCCTATTCTCTTACTGCTTAACTTTATGTTCTACTTTTTTTTTCTTACCCAGTAGTCTTCCTTCTCTCCTGACCTTTTAAAGTGATCTGTCTTGTCCTCATGTTTTCCTTCACAATACTACTCTCAACTTCTCTCACCTTGTGGATCTAGATAACATTTCTTTTCTTTTTTTTTTTTTTGAGACAGACTCTCACTCTGTTGCCCAGGCTGGAGTATAGTGGCACGATCTTGGCTTACTGCAGTGTCCACCTCCTGGGTTCAAATGATTCTCCTGCCTCAGCCACCCAAGTAACTGGGAATACAGGCACATGACATCACACCCTGCTAATTTTTGTATTCTTAGTAGAGATGGAGTTTCACCATGTTGACCAGACTGGTTTCAAACTCCTGACCTCAAGTGATCCGCCCACCTTGGCCTCCCAAACAAAGTGCTGGGATTACAGGTATGAGCCACCGTGCCTGGCCAAGATAACATTTTAAGTCATGAATTCATTTCCTTTTCTAAAGATTTAATAGGTATTATTTTATTTGATCCACACAACAATGCCAGGGATGGAGACAGGAATCAATACTTACCTATTTTACAGATGTATAAACTGAGGTCTGGCAAGATTAAATAACTCGCCGAAAGTCACACAGCTTGTCAGTGGCAAAATCAAATCGGAACCCAGATCTTTTCTTTCCAAGTCCTCTATTCTTTCTGCACTGAACCATGTTGTCTTTTTTTTTTTTTTTTTCCGAGACAGGGTCTCACTCTGTCACCCAGGCTGGAGTGCAGTGGCGTGATCATGGCTTACTGCAGCCTCAACCTCCTGGCTCAAGTGATCCTCCCATGTCACCCTCCCAATCAGCTAGGATTACAGGTACACGCCACCACACCAGCTGATTTTTTTTTATTTTGTGTGGAGTCAGGGTCTCGCCATGTTGTCCAGGCTGGTCCCAAACTCTTGGGTTCAAGTGATCCTCCCACCTTCGCCCCACAAAGTGCTGGAATTACAGGCATGAGCCACTGCACCTGGCCATGTTGTCTTCTTTTTCATTACCCACCTCTTAATCCTACACATGCACATGTCTAGATAGTATACAGAGATAAACGTGTATAAAACAACACAAATAGAAAAAGTATGCATATGTATAAGGGATCTACAAAAACAGAAAAGTCAGAAAACCCAAATTAAGAGCACAGTGTGGCTCACAGGCTAATCCCTGCAGAGGCAGCTTTGGGTTTCAGAACCAAGTGAAGCTGCCTATATGTTCAACCAACTGATGCAGCTAGCATCAACACTGCTCTCTCCTCACAGCAGGTATAAGACCAGAGCTTGGCCTCTGCATCACTCTTGCCCCCAATTTCTCTCACAGGATGACACCATACCTGAAGTTCTCACAGTTTGAGTCACTTCCTTGGGTTAAGGCGTTGTCTCCACAAGGCCACCGTGAAATGCATGGTACCTGAGAAAGGAAGGAGAGTCCATTAACACATTACTTCTATATTTTTTTGTTTGTTTGTTTTTGAGATGGAGTCTTGCTCTGTCGCCAGGCTAGAGTGCAGTGGCATGATATTGGCTCACTCCAACCTTCGCCTCCTGGGTTCAAGCGATTCTTCTGCCTCAGCCTCCTGAGTAGCTGGGACTACACTACGGGCGTGCACCCCCACGCCTGGCTAACTTTCGTATTTTTAGTAGAGATGGGGTTTCACCATATTGGTCAGGCTGGTCTTGAACTCCTGACCTCGTGATCCACCCACCTCAGCCTCCCAAAGTGCTGGGATTACAGGCGTGAGCCACCACACCCAGCTGACCTCTATAGTTAAACACATCAGATCTGCAACGACCTTGCGACTCTAAAAGCACAAAGTCTCTTTTAAAAATTTCATGGGATAGACAATTTTTAATGGAGCAGACAGGACAAAAGAAAGAACTGAGGGAAAATGATTCATACGTATTATGGGAAGACACCAATCTGAGTATGACGGCTATCTGGCAAAATGAGGATGGCCATATAAATACACCAGCCTATAAGGGTCACCATAATGATAGTCCCTGCAACTTGGAGACTCCTAGGGACAGGAAAAGAAAACGCACACCAAGGATCTGGATATAGTCAGTTCTGAAAAGAAGCAAAAAAGCTGAGCTGGCAGCAGTTTTTCAAGGACAGTACACTGCTAGACTGGAGGAGGATAGAGGCAGGAACAGCTTCTGGTTAACTGCTTCTAGTTGTGAGGATAGTTTCCAACTTAACGTTTTTAGCTGAAAGCCAACCTCCCAACCAGAGAATGCTGCAATTCAATTCTGTGAACCCCCTAACTAATTTATATTGACTCAAAGCCAGTATCATTTACAGCCATAAAAGTCAACATGCCTTTACTGAGTGCTTATTATGAGCCCAGAATTTGGCTAAGTACTATAAATACAAAAAAAAAAACCTTACATACTTTTGTCTTAATTCTTATAAAGGAAACCAATGTCCAAAACCCAAAACAGAGACTTAGGCAACAAGAAAGAAAGTGGCAAAACAACAAAACAGATGACTATTTCCTATCAGTACTAACACGAATTTTTTTTTTTTTTTCTTTTGAGACAGAGTCTCATTCTTGTTGCCAGGCTGGAGTGCAGTGGCACAATCTCAGCTCACTGCAACCTCCGCCTCCCAGGTTCAAGTGGTTCTCCTGCCTCAGCCTCCCAAGTAGCTGGTACTACAGGTGCATGCCACCACACCCAGCTAATTTTTTGTATTTTAGTAGAGATGGGGGTTTCACCACGTTGGCCAGGATGATCTCGATCTCCTGACCTCGTGATCTGCCCGCTTCAGCCTCCCAAAATGCTGGGATTACAGGCATGAGCCACCGCGCCCGGCCCTAACACAAATTTCTTAAGACAGAATGAATATAACAAAACTTACTTCTAGGCCAAAATTCCTTGTTAAACTCTTGCCTAAACAGTCAAGACGCATAGGCTAAAAATCTCCCTTTTCTTTTTCTAGTCTAATACCAGAAGCTCTTCAGTAGTGCACATTGATCTTTGTAAACCAGAGAATACCAGTCCCAGAGTTGCAAAACCCAGTTCTAGTTCTAGTTCTTACTCTTAACTAGTTTCAGGTAAATTATTTAACCTTTAAAACAAACAAACAACAACAAAACAGAAAACTAAGAGATTGGACTTATCTAAGAATAGCATATATTTGGCACATGTCTACTACCTACTAGGTAACTGTCCACAGGAGACATCATTGATCAACCATAATACAATTTCTCAGAGCACCTACAACCAGAATCCTTCCAAACACAGTGCTTCTGGCAGCTTCCAATTAGAGCTGGCCAATAAACCAAAATATATTTGCCATTATGGACTAGATAATCTCTGTAACTTCTCCCAACTCTAAAACTCAATGAGCAAGTTTCTACAGGCTGAGAGAAAAACACTCCCAACAAGCCTAGATCAATACTTTTTAGAGGCATAAATTTCAGTCCAAACTCCAAGTTCTAAATTAGCCAGGCTTGGTGGCATGCACCTCTAATTCCAGCTACTTGGGAGGCAGCTACTTGGGAGGCTGAGGCACACGAATCGCTTGAACCCGGGAGGTGGAGGTTGCAGTGAGCCGAGATCACATCACTGCACTCCAGCCTGCATGGCCGAGCAAGACTCCATCTCAAAAATAGTAACAATAACAAACTTCAAGTTCTCTTCCAAATTACACCTGACATAGTTCTTTCTAATTTCTCAAAGATGCTAATGAACAATTCACTCTCATACTATACATAACATATATAACCTGGCAATATTATTCAGACTTGCTAATGGGTTCTTTTGACAGAAAAGGAGCCCTTTACCCAGATTAGCTCTAAAAAAAAATCCTCATCTAGAAATATGGCAACAATATTGCACTAGTAAAAAGCTAAATCCAATCCTTTGATCATCCCCACAACCTCTCTCCAAGGTCAGGCTTTGTCATTTCTCAACTAGACTTCTGCAATAGCTAGTCCCTCATCCTTTCGCTCATCACCAGAGCAATCTTTCTTTTTTTGTTTTTTGATACCTATCTTTGTCCTGCAGTACACAGCAATTTTCTAAAACACATATGTACTCACATCATTTCCCTGTCGAAAAATCTGCATCTATTTCTTTTTTTTTTCCTTCCTTTTGGTAAAGACGGGATATCACCATGTTGCCCAGGCTGGTCTCAAACTCCTGAGCTCAAGCGATTCACCCGCCTCAGCCTCCCAAACTGTTGAGATTACAGGTGTGAGGCACTGAGCCCAGCCCTGTATCTATTTCTACCAACATAAAATTCCAAATTTTTAGCATTATACTTAAAATTTTTAGCCAGAGCACAGTAGCTTACACCTGTAATCCCAACACTTTAGGAGGCCAAGGTGGGAGGACCACTTGAACACAGGAGTTAAGACCAGACTGGGCAACGTAAAGAGAACCTTTCTCTACAAAAAAATTTTAAAAATTAGCCAGGCATGCTAATGCATGCCTGTTGTCCCAGCTACTCAGGGAGGCTGGGGTGGGAAGATCACTTGAGCTCTGGAGGTCCTGTCACTGCACTCCATCCTGCGTGACTGGGTGAGACCCAGTCTCAACAACAAAAAATCACTTTTCATATACTTGCTTCCTTTAACCTTTCTGACCTTGCGTTTCAAAATGCTCTCCTTCCCCATTCCACTCCACACTCCCTGAACCCTTTTTGTTCCATAATCCTCTGAATTTACACACAGCATTAAGGCATTCACTCAGCCTACCCTGTCCTTCTCTTTCCCCGCCCTTTTCACACTCCTACTCTTCATGTAAGACCCAATGTGGGTTCAGGGGCAAATCTTGCCTCTTCTAACCAATCCTCCACCCAGCCACACACACAGAATTGGCCACTTCCTCTTTCGTCTCAAAGCTTTTTGACCTTTCCTTGGTAAGTCTACAGTACCATTTGCCCTCAGTGGTTCCCAAGACCATCAGAATTACCTAAGGCATGTGTTAAAAATAAATTGGTTGAAGCCAACCCAGACCTACTAAATCCATCTCAGAAGGTAAGACCCTGGAATTTCTAAGCTCTCCTAATTATTCTAATGGTCAAATTTGGGGACTACTGGTTTGTCTGCCTCTCCCAATAAGTGAAAAGATGTATTTTTTAGGGCCAGGAGTGGCGGCTCATGCCTGTAAACCCAGCACTTTGGGAGGCCAAGGCAGGTGGATCACGAGGTCAGGAGTTCGAGAGCAGCCTAGCCAATATGGTGAAAACCCATCTCTACTAAAAAATACAAAAAAATTACCGGGAGTGGTGGCACGCGCCTGTAGTCCCAGCTACTACGGAGGCTGAGGCAGAAGAATTGCTGGAACCCGGGAGGCGGAGGTTACAGTAAGCCGAGATCACACCACTGTACTCCAGCCTGGGTGACAAAGTTAGATTCCGTCTCAAACAAACGAAAAAGATGTATTTTTTTCTAAAGAATGTAGAAATGTTTGATTCTAGAATACACTGAAGAAGTAGTCTGTACTCATTTTTTTAATTTCATATGATATCCTTGGTGACTTGACCTGTATGCTGAATGTAATGGAATTCCTTTTGGACTCACAAAACTTAAATTCACAGTTCAAAGAAGCAGTAGAATTTCCACCTTCATTTCTAAATTTTTTTTTTTATTTTTTGAGACAGGGTCTCACTCTGTCACCCAGGCTGGAATGCAGTGGCAACGGTAACAGCTCACCGCAGCCTCGACCCCCCGGAATCAGGTGATTCCCCCACCTCAGCCTCCTGAGTATCTGGGACCACAGGCGCCTGCCACCACACCCGGCAAATCTTTGTATTTTTTGTAGAGACGGGGTTTCACGATGTTGCCCAGGCTGATCTCCAATTCCTGGGCTCACGTAATCCGCCCACCTCGGCCTCCCAAATTGCTGGGATTACAGGCGTGAGCCACCACACCCATCCCATTGCTTTTTTTTTTTTTTTTTTTTTGAGGCGGAGTCTCGCTCTGTCGCCCAGGCTGGAGTGCAGCAGCGAGATCTCGGCTCACTGCAGCCTCCACCTCCCGGGTTCAAGCCATTCTCCTGCCTCAGCCTCCCTAGTAGCTGGGACTACAGGCGCGCGCCACCACGCCCAGGATTTTTTTTTTTTTTTTTTTGTATTTTTAGTAGAGACGGGGTTTCACCATGTTGGTCAGGATGGTCTCGAACTCCTGACCTCATGATCTGCCCGCCTCGGCCTCCCAAAGTGCTAGGATTACAGGCGTGAGCCACACACAGCACCCGGCCCATTTCTTAATTTTAAAAATAAATCGTAGCTTAAATAAACCTGTAAATACACATAGCAAGCTCTCAGCAGATCTGCCATGAGAACTTCACCTCAACTGATAAACCATTCCTTAGCCGATTTTGAGAATGGAAATACACTGCCTTTACATACTTCCTGAAGATCGAATTCTATCAGGAAAAGATGCAGGAGAACCCACCTAAGTGGGTGGCTGGCTCCAGGGTCTTACTAATTTTCAAGGCAAAAATCCCACAATTCCCCATCCCCCACTCCAAACCAAGTATACTGTAGCTGTGGAAGAATGGCAGAAAATGTAATAAGATTAGGATACGAATACAACCAAGAAAACAAGGTTGCGTTGTTATTGGGGATAATGAATTCCTGGCCCTTTACAAGTTCACCTGGTTACATGTCCAACTAACTTTAGGCCCAGCGTCTACTTCGGGCGCACAAATTCTGCGATTCTCTTTTCTGTCGCGGACGGGAACTGTCTTGGAAAACTTGAGTTCTCCACTTAAAAGTCATGTCATCATGCTTCGACCCTTAGAATACGTTCAACGGCTACTTTTTTCTTTTCTCTGCTAAAGAAAAGGGCACTCTCCGGAGGAAGGGCAGTGACAGCTCCACGTCTGCAAAAGTCGGCGCCGCCACGACGGTGGCGGACGTCGGGGAGGGCGCCGGAGCCGGGACCACCACGCCGGGGGGACAATGGAAGGAGGAGGCGAGTGGGAGAGAGAAGGGGAGGCAGCCGCTGTGCTGGGCCCTTCTAGCGACTGGGGGCTCGGAAAAGTCTCGAGAAGGCCAGCTGGGTGGCGGGGGACCCGGCCGCCGCCCCTCACAGGGCCACGTCGCCCGCGCCGGCCCCGCCGCCGGGCCCCGCGCGTAGGCCGAACCGCTGGAGAGTGGCCCCAGGCGGGGCTGAGGGGCGAGGGGCCGGACGGTACCCACGCCCGTCGTGGCCCAGCCCTTTCACAACTTGGAGCCCGCGAGGCGAAGGCCTCCGGAAGCCTGTGCCAGACACTGATCCCTCCGAACGTCCAGACAGCCCACCCCCACCGCCCGGCCCGGGCCAGTAGCCCGAGCTCCCCGCGCCCCCGACAGACACCGGCTCTGGAAGAAGGAGCAGCCGCGGCTCTGGGGTCCCGAACCGCGCGTCCCACTCCTCTACCCTTGTTCTCCCCGAACATTCTCATCCGGACTCCCTCCCTCTCCCGAGAACTGCCCCGAGTTCGCCCACGGGGGTTTACCGGGACTCGGGGCGGCGGCGACTCCTCAGTCCCTAGACTAAGATGGCAGCCGGTCCCGAGCCCCGACCACAGCTACTAGAGCGAGTTAGCAGCTAAAGCGCAGGCGCCTGAGCGCGGAAGTGGTCTAGACTACAAGCCCCAGCAGGCCTTGCGCGCCAGCCGTCCGGCCCGCCCCTGGCTTGAAGAGCTGGCTGCGGTGGTAAATCAGTTAAATCCCAGTTTTCCTCAGCTCCAGGTGAGATGGGCGCGAGCGGCTCCCAGCACCTCCAGGCTTTTTTTTTTTTTTAACACCCCGCCCACCAGAGCCTATAAGGACTGTGATTCTCAAACTATGGTGTGCATCAGAATCACCTAGAGAGCTTATTAAAACTTACACTGCTGACCCCCACCCCCAGAGTTTCTGATCAGAAGATCTGGCATAGGAGGATAGGGTCTGATAATTTGCATGTCCAACAAGCTGTCTAGTGATACTGCTAGTGAGTGAAATCATAATTTGAGAACCAATGGGCTATATAGCTTAGTTTATAACTTAGTTGTTCTTTTTTCTTTTTCTTTTCCTTTTCTTTTTTTTTCTTCTTTTTGAGATAAGGTCTCACCCTTCACCCAGGCTGGAGTGCAGTGGTGCAGTCATAGCTCACTACAGCCTCACACTCCTGGGCTCAAGCGAGCCTCCCACCTGGGCTTCCTGAGTAGCTGGGACAGCAGTTGAGCACCACCACACCCGACTAATTTTGTTCTATTCTTTGTAGAGATGGGGATGGGGTGGAGTGCGGATGGGATGGGGCGGGAATAGGGCCACGGTGTCGCCATGTTGCCCAGGCTGGTCTCCAGCTCCTGGGCTCAAGCGATACTCCCTCCTCGGGCCTCCCAATCGCTGAGATTACAGATGTGAGCCACTGCACCTGGCCTGGCTTAGCCTTTAACAATGTACATTAAAGGGCGTGGTTAAAAAGAAAATAAAAGAAAAAAAATGTACACTTGAGAGTTACACTGACCGGATTCAAATCCTCCCTTTTCTACCTTTTAACTGGGTGCCCTTAGGGATGATGACAACAGCTTAGTGGAGCCAACGTGGCCTGTCCGGTATTCTAAGAGCTGATACCAAGCTCCCTTTATTCTCACAACAAACCTATTACAGAAATACCATTATTATCCCCATTTTACAAATATATAAACTAAGTCACATACTTGATAAGAACCCAGGCAGTCTGGCGTGAAAGTCCGTTGTCTTAACCTTCTTCATGGATTGCTTGTGAGAAATAATAGGCTATGCAGGCAGAGACTCAGAGGTATGACTAAGTGCTCAATACTTAGTGACCTTTGCTATTACTGTTTAGCCTGTTTCCTCCTAATGAAAATAGTATTTTGCCATCTGGAAAGTCACATTTTTCAAAGTGACTTTTTTTTTTTTTTTTTTTTTGAGACAGAGTCTTGCTCTGTCACCCAACCTGGAGTGCAGCGGTGCAATCATAGCTCACTGCAGCCAACCTCCTGGGCTCAAGTGATCCTCTCACCTCAGCTTCCTGAGTAGCTGGGACTCCAGGCTCAAGCCACCACACTATCCTAATTGTTTTTATTTTTGTAGAGACGTGGACTCCCTGTGTTGCCCAGGCTGTTCTCAGACTCCTAGGCTTGGCTAGGGTCAGTGGCTTACACCTGTAATCCCAGGAGTTAGGGAGGCCAAGGCAGGCAAATCACTTGAGGTCAGGAGTTTGAGACCAGTCTGGCCAACATGGTGAAACCCCGTCTCTTTTTTTTTTTTTTTTTTTTTTTGAGACAGAGTATTGCTCTGTCGCCCAGGCTGGAGTGCAGTGGCGCAATCTTGGCTCACTGCAACCTCCGCTCGCCTCCTGGGTTCAAGTGATTCTCCTGTCTCAGCCTCCTAAGTAGCTGGGACTACAAGCGCATGCCATCACGCCTGGCTAATTTTTGTATTTTTAGTAGAGTTGGGTGAGCCACCACGCCTAGCCTTGTGAAACCCCTTCCCTACTAAAAACACAAAAATTAGCCAGGTGTGGTGGCGGGTGCCTGTAATCCCAGCTACTTGGGAGGCTGAAGCACGATAATTGATTGAACCCAGGAGGGGGAGGTTGCAGTGACCCAAGATCACGCCATTGCACTCCAGCCTGGGCGACTCAGCGAGACTCTGTCTCAAAAAACAAACAACAAAAGAAACATAAAGGCTGGGCGCAGTAGCTCACTCCTATAATCCCAGCACTTCGGGAGGCTGAGGCGGGTGGATCACCTGAGGTCAGGAGTTTGAGACCAGCCTGGCCAACATGGTGAAATCTTGTCTCTACTAAAAATGCAAAAATTTGTTGGGCATGGTTTGGGAGGCCGAGGCGGATGGATCAACTGAGGTCAGGAGTTCAAGACCAGCCTGGCTAACATGGTGAAACCCCATCTCTACTAAAAATGCAAAAATTAGACCGGGCACGGTGGCTCACGCCTATAATCCCAGCACTTTGGGAGGCCAAGGCGGGCGGATCACGAGATCAGGAGTTCAAGACCAGCCTGGCTATCATGGTGAAACCCTATCTCTACTAAAAATACAAAAATTAGCCGGGCGTGGTGGCGGGTGCCTGTAATCCCAGCTAGTCAGGAGGCTGAGGCAGAGAATTGCTTGGACCTGGGAGGCGGAGGTTGCAGTGAGCCAAGATCGTGCTACTGCACTCCATCCTGGGCCACAGAGCGAGAATCTGTCTCAAAAAAAAAAATGCAAAAATTAGTTGGGCATGGCACACCCCTGTAATCTCAGCTACTCGGGAGGCTGGGGTGGGAGAATTGCTTGAACTCAGGAGACGGAGACTGCAGTGAGCCAAGATCACGCCACTGCACTCCATCCTGAGTGACAGAGTGAAACCCCATCTAAAAAAAATAAAAAATCAAACTCCTAGGTTCAAGCCTTCAAGCCTCAAGCAAAGTACTTTCAAAACCACTTCATGTTTCCTGCAACATGCCTTAGGAAAGATTGCTAAAATACAGATTCCTGCGCCCCATCCTCATTCAGTTTCTCTAGTGCAGTGGTTTTCAAACCTCAGTACTTATCAGAATTGCCTGCAAAGTTAGTTAAACTGTAGGTTGCTGAGGCCACTCCTAGAGTTTCTGATTCAGTAGGTCTGGGGCAGGGCCTGAGAATTTGCTTTTTTTTTTTTTGGAGACTGAGTCTCACTCTGTCGCCCAGGCTTGAGTGCAGTGGCCCAACCTCCGCTCACTGCAACCTCTGCCTCCCGGGTTCAAGCGATTCTCCCGCCTCAGCCTCCCGAGCAGCTGGGATTACAGGTGCATGCCACCACGACTGACTAATTTTTGTATTTTTGTAGAGATGGGGTTTCACCATATTGGCCAGGCTGGTCTTGAACTCTTGAGCTTGTGATCTGCCCGCCTTAGCCTCCCAAAGTGCTGGGATTATAGGCGTGAGCCACCGCACCCGGCCAGTACAAGGTATTTTTATGACCATTATACAGAGAAGAAAACTGAGTGTGACAGAAATTAAATGGCTTGTTGAAGATCACTCAGCCAGGAACCAGGGATCTAACCCTAAGTCCTGTAGCTCCAGATTCTGTATTCACCTACAATTTTAAAAACTATGTAAGGTTAGGCAAAACTAGTCTATGGTGTTAGAAGTCAGGATACTGGTTACTCTTTGAGGGGAGGGTGTACCTGGAAGAAGGCACAAAGACACCTCTCAGGATAGGTAATAATGTTCTGTGCCCTGATCTGGGTGGTGTTACTGTTTCAGGAAAAGGGTCCTGATTCAGACCCCAAGAGAGGGTTCTTGGATCTCGTGCAGGAAAGAATTTGGGGCAAGTCCATACAATAAAGTGAAAACAAGTTATTTATTTATTATTCTTTTTCAGACAGAGTTTTGCTCTTGTCACCCTGGCTGGAGTGCAGTGGGGCAATCTCAGCTCACTGTAACCTCCGCCTCCTGGGTTCAAGTGATTCTCCTGCCTCATCCTCCTGAGTAACTGGGATTACAGGCGCACACCACCACACCCAGCTAATTTTTGTATTTTTAGCAGAGGTGGAGTTTCACCATGTTGGCTAGGCTGATCTTGAACTCCTGACCTCAGGTGATCCACCTGCCTCGGCCTCCCAAAGTGCTGGGATTACAGGCATGAGCCACGGCACCCAGCCGATAATGAGTTTATTAAGAAAGTAAAGGGGCCGGGCGTGGTGGCTAACGCTTGTAATCCCAGCACTTTGGGAGGCTGAGGGGGGTGGATCACGAGGTCAGGAGTTCAAGACCAGCCTGGCCAACATAGTGAAACCCCACCTCTACTAAAAATACAAAAATTAGCTGGGCGTGGTGACGTGCGCCTATAATACCAGCTACTCCAGAGGCTGAGGCAGGAGAATTGCTTGAACCAGGACCCAGGAGGCAAGGTGGAGGCTGCAGTGAGCCGACATCGTACCACTGCACTCCAGCCTGGGCAACAGAGCAAGACTCCATCTCAAAAAAAAAGAAAAAGAAAAAAGAAAGTAAAGGAGGCCGAGCGTGGTGGCTCACACCTGTAATCACACCACTTTGGGAGGCTGAGGCGGGTGGATCACTGGAAGTCAGGTGTTTGAGACCATCCTGGCCAACATGGTGAAACCCCATCTCTACTAAAAATACAAAAAAAGTTAGGCAGGCATGGTGACGCACGTCTGTAATCCCAGCTACTCAGGAGGCTGATGCAGGAGTATCGCTTGAACCCAGGAGGTAGAGGTTGCAGTGAGCGGAGATCCTGCCACTGCATTCCTGCCTGGGAGACAGAGCAAGACTCCCTCTAAAAAAAAAAAAAGAAAGTAAAGGAATAAAAGAATGGCTACCCCATAGTCAGAGCAATGGCTCGAGATGCTGGTCTAAGGATAGAGTTATTTCTTGATTATATGCTAAACAAGGGGTGGATTATTTATGAGTTTTCCAGGAAAGGGGTGGCCAATTCCCAGAGCTGAGGGTTACTCCCCTTTTTAGACCTTATAGGGTAACTTCTGGATGTTGCCGTGGCATCTGTAAACTGTCATGGCACTGGTGGGAGTGTCTTTTAGCATGCCGATCCATTATAATTAGCATATAATGAGCAGTGAGGATGACCAGAGGTCACTTTAATTGCCATCTTTGTTTTGGTGGGTTTTAGCTAACTTCTTTTTTGGCAAGGTCTTTATGACCTGTATCTTGTGCCAAACCCCTCTCATTCTGTGACTTAGAATGCCTAACCTCTCACGCCTGTAATCCCAGCACTTTGGGAGGCCGAGGCAGGTGGATCACAAGGTCAGCAGTTCGAGACCAGCCTGACCAATATGGTGAAACCCTGTCTCTACTAAAAATACAAAAATGAGCCAAGAGTGATGGCAGGCGCCTGTAGTCCCAGCTACTTGGGAGGCTGAGGCAGGAGAATTGTTTGAACCCAGGAGGCAGATGTTGCAGTGAGCAGGATCATGCCACTGCATTCCAGCCTGGGCAACAGAGTAAGACTCCGTCTGAAAAAAAGAATGAAGAATGCCTAACCTCCTGGAAATGCAGCCCAGTAGGTCTCAGCCTTATTTTGCCCAGCCCCTATTCAAGATGGAGTTGCTCTGGTTCAAAAGCCTCTGACAGTACACAGGCTTTCTCACTTTGTGAAAATTAATTAAGCCATATACTTATGATTTCTGCATTTTTCTCTATTCATATTATACATCAATAAAAGTTTACTTAAAACAAATACATGTTTTATTTTATTTCATTTTTATTTATTTACAGACAAGGTCTCTGTCACCTAGGCTGGAGTGCAATGGTGTGATCATAGCAGCCTCAAACTCCTGGGCTCAAGCAATCCTCCCATCTCAGCCTCTAAATATATATTTTTTTGTTTTGAGACAGAGTCTTGCTCTGTCGCCCAAGCTGGAGTGCAGTGACGCAATCTTAGCTCCTGCCTCAGCCTCCCAAGTAGCTGGGATTACAGGCGCCTGCCACCATGCCCAGCTAATTTTTTTGTATTTTTACTAGAGACAGGGTTTCACCATGTTGGCCAGGCTGGTCTTGAACTCCTGACCTCTGGTGATTCACTGGCCTCAGTCTCCCAAAGTGCTGGGATTACAAGTGTGAGCCACCATGCCCGGTCCCAAATATATGTTTTAAATGGATATTGGCCAGGAGTAGTGTCTCATGCCCATAATTCCAGCACTTTGGGAGGCTGAGGCAGGAGGATCCTTTGAGGTAAGGAGTTCTAGACCACCCTGCACAACACAGAGAGACTCCATCTCTAATAATAGTAATATAAATAAATAAATGAAACTCATTTTGTTTAAAAAATGCATCTCCAGCTGGGCGCGGTGGCTCACACCTGTAATCCCAGCACTTTGGGAGGACGAGGTGGGTGGATCACGAGGTCAGGAGATCGAGACCATCCTGGCTAACATGGTGAAACCCTGTCTCTACTAAAAAATACAAAAAATTAGCTGGGCGTGGTGGCAGGTGCCTGTAGTTCCAACTACTCGGGAGGCTGAGGCAGGAGAATGGCGTGAACCTGGGAGGCAGAGCTTGCAGTGAGCCGAGATCGTGCCGCTGCACTCCAGCCTGGGTGACAGAGTGAGACTCCATCTCAAAAAAAAAAAAAAAAAAAAAAAAAAAAAAAAGGCATCTCTTTCTACTACATATCAATGATTCTAAAACTTTATAGTGCACCAGAATCGCCTGAAGGACTTGATAAAACTCAGATTGCTAGGTGTCACCCAGGAATTTCTGAGTCAAGAAGCTCTGTTAGGACCGAGAAACTGCATTTCTCTTTTTTTTTTTTTTAGATGGAGTTTCACTCTTGTTGCCCAGGCTGGAGTGCAATGGCGTGATCTCGGCTCACTGCAACCTCTGCCTCCGGGGTTCAAGCAATTCTCCTGCCTCGGCCTCCCGAGTAGCTGGGATTACAGGTGCCCGCCACCATGCCTAGCTAATTTTTTGTATTTTTAGTAGAGACAGGGTTTCACCATGTTGGCTAGGCTGGTCTCGAACTCCTGACCTCAGGTGATCCACCTGCCTGGGACTCCCAAAGTGCTGGGATTACAGGCATGGGCCACCGCGCCGAGCTGAGAAATTACATTTCTAACAAGTTCCAGGTAATGCTGATGCCCACCTAGCATGATACTTTGAGAACCACTGGACTATGCTATCCTAACCTTCTTACTAATGCCAACAGGATGGGTCAGCTCTCATCTGCGAGGCAGCATCTAACAGGAGTTAGTAATTTCGGCTTCAGCGGCATATGTATCAAGGATCTAGTCCTTATTATGTCAATAAATTGCTTGTGGGGTGGGGGCGGGGGGGCAGGGGTTCTTAGGCAAAGTCACCTGAACCTCAGTATCCAAATCTCTAAATGAATCTAATAGAACCTACCTCCTAGGATGTTGTAAAGATTCTAGAACATCCCGGGTTTGTAGTTGGTGATTGTCCAAGAAGAAGCCGAGTTTGTGAGGGCAGGGAATCCCAGCCTGGCCATTTCCTCATTCTCCCATGCTATGTGGTTCTAGCTCCCAAGTTCCCTGATCCAGAACTCAGCCTGGTCTTGGCCTGGTCAGAATGCAGGATCAGTGGTTGATAAAACTGAGCCACCTTTACCTTCCTTCTGCCTATGACACCTGTGCCAATCCAGGACAGGACTAGCCCTGCTAAAGCAGGGGCCAGAAACCTGGAGGAGCCTGTCACCAGCAAGGGAAGGAGGTTCCTAGGCCTCCTAGGAGAGGAGGAGGGCAGGAAGCAGGGATGCAGAGCTGGAAGGAGTTGGGAGAAAAACCCCAGCGGCCCACATGCCACCTGCCTCTTACCAGATTTCCCTGCAGAACACTTAGTCATACTGCTGTCCCCCTCTTTCCTGGAGCCTCTTTGCTTTCACTTGCCAGAGGAAGGTTTGAAAAACTGTGTGTTAATGGAGAGAAGACACCACGAGACTTCTGAGGGCCTGAGATCTGGATCCAAAGAGACCACTTAAGGCTAGGTGTGATGGCTTATTATTTCTGTTTAAGAATGTTTACTTCTCCTTGAAATAAGGTACACAAGTTCTGTCCGTGGTCCCAGGTTGCCAGATTTAGAAAATAAATATATAGAATGCCCAGTTAAATTTGAATTTCAGATAAACAACAGATAATTTTTAGTATAAATATGTGCAGCTATTGCATGTAACATACTATTACTAAAATTTTTCTCATTGTTTATCTAAAATTAAAATTTAACTGGGCATTCTATATTTTATTTGGCAACTCTACTTCCAAGGCTTTATAATACACTTTCTAGATCAGGGGTAATAAAGTTAAATGCCTCCTAGGACCATCCAGGTAAAATAAAAAATAACATTTAGGCCAGCCTCGATGGCTCACACCTGTAATCCCAGCACTTTGGGAGGCCAAGGTGGGCGGATCACTTGAGGTCAGGAGTTTGAGACCAGCCTGGCCAACATGGAGAAACCCTGTTTCTACTAAAAATACAAAAAAAAAAAAAAATTAGCCAGGTGTGGTGGCATACACCTGCGATCCCAGATACTTGGGAGGCTGAGGCACAATAATCGCTTGAACCTGGCAGGTGGAGATTGCAGTGAGCCGAAATTGTGCCACTGCACTCCAGCCTGGGCAACAGAGTGAGGCTCTGTCTCAAACAAAACAAAACAAAACAAAACAAAAAACAAAAACCCACCTAGGCCAGGCACGGTGGCTCACGCCTGTAATCCCAGCACTTTGGGAGGCCGAAGCGGATGGACCACCTGAGGTCAGGAGTTCAAGACCAGCCTGACCAACATGGTGAAACCCCATCTCTACTAAAAATACCAAACAACTAGCCAGGCATGGTGGCAGGTGCCTATAATCCCAGCTACTCGGGAGGCTGAGGCAGGAGAACTGCTTGAACCCGGGAAGTGGAGGTTTCAGTGAGCCAAGGTCTCGCCACTGCACTGTAGCTTGGGCAACAGAGCAAGACTTTGTCTCAAAAACAAACAAACAAAACCCCAAAAATTCAGAAACAAATAGTAAATTGTAGTTAATGATAGGCATGCTGAAGTGTTTAGAGGTAGTGAACTCTGCAACTTCTTTGAAATGCATCAAAAATCAAAAAAATTAGATGGGACTGGGCACAGTGGCTCACACCTGTAATCCTAGCACTGAGGTCAGGAGTTTGAGACCAGCCTGGCCAACCTGGTGAAACCCTGTCTCTACTAAAAATACAGAAATTAGCTGGGCATGGGGGCAGACGCCTGTAATCCCAGCTTCTTGGGAGGCTGAGGCAGGAGAATCACTTGAACCTGGGAAGCGGAGGTTGCAGTGAGCCGAGATCACACCACTGCACTCCAGCCTGGGCGACAGAGCAAAACTCTGTCTCAAAAAAAAAAAAAAAAAAAAAAAAAGCTGGGTGTAATGGCTCATGCCTATAGTCCCAACTACTCAGGAGGCTGGGGTGGGAGAACTGCTTGAGCCCTGGAGGTTGAAGCTCCAGTGAGCCTTGATCTTGCCACTGCAATCCAGCTTGGGCAATAAAGAGATACTCTCTCTCAAAAAATAAATAAACAGGCCAGGCACGGTGGCTCAGGCCTGTAATCCCAGCTCTTTGGGAGGCCGAGGCAGGTGTATCACTTGAGGTCAGGAGTTCAAGACCAGGCTGGCCAACATGGCGAAACCCCATCTCTACTAAAAACACAAAAATTAGCCGGGCTTGCTGCCACATGCCTGTAATCCCAGCTACTTGGGTGGCTGAGGCAGAAGGATTGCTTGAAACTGGGAGGTGAAGGTTGCGGTAAGCAGAAATGATGCCACTGCACTCTGGCCTGGGCGACAGAGTGAAACTCTGTCTCAAAAAAATAATAGTAAGATGGATGGGAGGAGAGATGGAGAAACAGATGAATGAATAAATATGCAACAAAGCAAATGTAGCAAACAGTTAACAATTGTAGAATCTAGGTAATGGGTAGATGAGCATTCACTATACAGTTCTTTCAACTGCTTTATATGTTTGAAAATTTTCATAATATAGTATTGGGAGGAAATCTTGCACAAGCAAAATGCAGCCCAAGCCTGAGCAACATAGTAAGACCCTGTCTCTACTAAACTAAAATAAAAACATTAGCCAGCTGTGTTGGCAAAAGGCTGAGGGGAGAGGATCAAATGAGCCTAGGAGGTCAAGGCTACAATAAGCCATGTTCGCCCGACTGCACTCAAACCTGGGTGACAGAGTGAGACTTTGTCTCAAAAACAAACATATAAACAAAAACCCAAAAAGGCTGGGCACAGTGGCTCACGCATGTAATCCCAGTACTTTGGGAGGCCAAGGCGGGTGGATCACTTGAGGTCAGGAGTTCGAGACCAGCCTGGCCAACATGGTGAAACCTCATCTCTACTAAACACACAAAAATTAGCCGAGTGTGGGGGCATGAGCCCGTAATCCCAGCTACTCAGGAGGCTGAGGCAGGAGAATCGCTTGAATCTGTGAGGCGGAGTTTGCAGTGAGCTGAGATGACCCCATTGCACTCCAGCTTGGGTGACAGAACAAGATTCCATCTCAAAAAAAAAAAAAATGCAGTCGATTTTCATAGATGAATTTCCAGTCCCTGATCCATTTGCAGCCAGCTCCATCTTCTATTGTTCCTCTTTTTTGGGCTACAAACTAGCATGACTTTATTTACAAAGTTCCTTCCTCCTTGCTCTTTTCCCAATATTCCTCCTAATCGGGTTCAAGTTCCCTTCCTACTATTTATTTGCCATGTGACCTTGCCTCTCTGGGCCTCTGCTGACATCTGGAAATTGAGGTCAAATGTATTTTTTTTTTAATTTATCTTGAGGCAGGAGTTTGGACCATTTAATCTGGGAAGATTTCCTCCTTCCTCCCTCCCCAAACCATAAGCCTTTTTTTTTTTTCTGAGACGGAGTTTTGCTCTTGTTGCCCAGGCTGGAGTGCAATGGCGCGATCTTGGCTCACTGCAACCTCCGCCTCCCGGGTTCAAGCGATCCTCCTGCCTCCGCCTCCTGAGTAGCTGGGATTACAGGCATGCACCACCACGCCCAGCTAATTTTATATTTTTAGTAGAGAAGGGGTTTCTCCATATTGGTCAGGCTGGTCTGGAACTCCTGACCTCAGGGGATCTGCCCACCTCAGCCTCCCAAGGTGCTGGGATTACAGGCGTGAGTCGCTGAGCCTGGACTATCCATAAGCCTTTCAAGGAGAAAGAGCCAGTCTTGTCCATACTCATGTGTCTTCTGGCACGTAGTGACACCTTAAGGGTGCTCAGGAAATGCTTGAATGAAACCTCTCTGTAAACAGAAAGGAGGAGACAAGGACATATATTGAGTGCCCACCGTGTGTTTATGAACTAGATGTGCCTTTATTCATCCCACAGCTACCCAGTGAGGTAGGAGTCACTGTGATTCCCACTTTCATAGAGGAAGAAACAGGTTCAGAAGGCTAAAGTGACTGGCCAAAATTCACAGTGAATGCAAGAAACAGATCTGAGATTGGAACTCAGGATTGTCTCTTTCAACTTCATCACAACTGCCTCTTCCTGAATCAATGATAGGAAGAGTCTCTTTTTCTGTATCCTTCAAATTTTCTATACTGAATTAGAAGTAGGAAAAAAAAAGTTATAGGCCGGGCACAGTGGCTCATGCCTGTAATCCCAACACTTTGGGAGCCTGAGGTGGATGGATCGCCTGAGGTCAGGAGTTCAAGACCAGCCTGGCCAACATGGTAAAACTCCATCTCTACTAATAATACAGAAATTACCCTGGCATACCATGCCTGTAATCCCAGCTACTCGGGAGGCTGAGACAGGAGAATCATTTGAACCTGGGAGGCGGAGGTTGCAGTGAGCCGAGATCGCGCCATTGCACTCCAGCCTGGGTGACAGAGCAAGACTTCATCTCAAAAAAAAAAAAAAAGAAAGAAAGAAAGAAAAAGTCTGGGCATAGTGGCTCACGCCTATAATCCCAGCAATCTGAGAGGTGAGGTGGGCGGATCACGAGGTTAGGAGTTTAAGACCAGCCTGACCAACATGGTGAAACGCTGTCTCTACTAAAAATACAAAAATTAGCTGGGCATGGTGGCGCGCACTTGTAATCCCAGCTGCTCAGGAGGCTGAGGCAGAAGAATCGCTTGAATCCAGGAGGCAGAGGTTGCAGTGAGCCAAGATCACGCCACTGTACTCCAGCCTGGGCAATAGAGCAAGACTCCATCTCAAAAAAAAAAAAAGTTATAAAAATAGATCACCATAAGGAGCTCTCAGCACATCCCCCTGCAATTTTGGGGAGATTTGAGCTTCAGAGGGGCAACTGCAAGACTAAAGAACAGCCTTAGATAATAATCAGCATGTCAGAGCTTCTTCTAGTCCTGCTCATTATCCTCAGTTCCTTCTTTTCTTGTTCTCAAACCTAAAGTTATCCTTCTTCCAGGAAAGCCCCACTGGCCTATCTCTACAAATTACAGACCTGAATAATTTCTTGCCTAAAGTTCTCACTGGAGATTTCAGTCTCAAAAACAAACAAACAAACTTAACCTGCCTTACTTGCTTTTCTTTTCTTTCCTTTTAAAAATTTTTATCAGGCCGGGCGCTGTGGCTCACGCCTGTAATCCCAGCACTTTGGGAGGCCGAGGCGGGCAGATCACGAAGTCAGGAGATCGAGACCATCCTGGCTAACACAATGAAACCCCATCTCTACTAAAAATACAAAAAATTAGCCGGGCGTGGTGGCGGGCGCCTGTAGTCCCAGCTACTTGGGAGGCTGAGGCAGGAGAATGGTGTGAACCCGGGAGGTGGAGCTTGTGGTTAGCAGAGATCGCGCCACTGCACTCCAGTCTGGGCGACAGAGCAACACTCTGTCTCAAAAAAAAAAAAAAAAAAAAAAAAAAAGAATCAGCTTATATCATGCTTTGATTTGTTTCCTTTTAGTCACTTGCTTCTAGTTGATTTTAAAACCTATATAGCTAAAAGTCACATAGCTAAGCAGTATATAACTAGACTTCCACAACTTCCTTATAGATAACATCTCTGATGTATAGGTCACTGTGACAGTGGTTGCTTAAGTTGTTTTTCAGGAACTCACAGTCAGTTCTTATCCAGTTCAAGATGGCTGAGCCCACCGACCCTTCACCTCGGCCTGCTTGAGTATCTGATGGGTGACCTTTCAATGTTAGAGTGCCAAAAAGCCCTAAAGTCCATCCTTAGATCGTACTAATGATGTCATTTTCTGAACATGCATCCTATGAACCATAAAGCTTAACTGGCTTGCACAGATCACCAATGGCCCCACTTTTCTTTACCTCCAATCACCTTTCCCTACACCTTGGACCACCTTGCTTCTTTATCCCATAAACATCCCTAAACCCTGTTTTCAGAGATGCAGATTTCAGACATGTTCTCCTATCTCTTCACTGGGCTGCCTTGTGAATAATCTCTTTATTGGCTGCAAAACTTATCATCTCAGTGATTGGCTTACTGTGCAACAGGCAGAACGAACCTGGTTCGGTAATGTTGATTTTTCAGCTGAGGCAACTATCCCAGAGTGGTTAGGCGACTTCCCTGAGATCAGCTAGTAATTGATGGAATCAGGATTCACATTTGATCGGCCCGACCTAGAGCCCTCACTCTGAACCTTTAAACCAACATCTTTCAAGGGGTTGGGCAGTGACAGATGTACACAAGATGATTTTAGGTGGTGCCATAAATGGTCATTTAAAACAACTTTTGCTGGGCACAGTGATTCACATCTGTAATCCCAGCACTTTGGGAGGCTGAGGCGGGTGAGTCACCTGAGGTCAGGAGTTCAAGAGCAGCCTGGCCAACATGGCAAAACCCTGTCTCTACTAAAAATAACAAAAATTAGCCAGGTGTGGTGGCAGGCGCCTGTAATCCTGGCTACTCGGGAGGCTAAGGCAGGAGAATCGCTTGAACCCAGGAGGCGGAAGTCTCAGTGAGCCAAGATTGCGCCATTGCACTCCAGCCTGGGCAACAAGAGTGAAACTCCATCTCAAAAAATAAATAAATAACTTTTTTTTTTTTTTTTTAAATAGAGACTGGTTTTGCCATGTTGCCCAGGCTGGTCTCAAACTCCTGGGCTCAAGTGATCTGCCAGCTTCAGCCTCCGAAAGTGCTAAGATTATAGGCATGAGCCACCGTGCCCAGCCTAAAAATATGTTTTT
Source organism: Homo sapiens (assembly GCF_000001405.40). Taxonomy (NCBI): domain Eukaryota; kingdom Metazoa; phylum Chordata; class Mammalia; order Primates; family Hominidae; genus Homo; species Homo sapiens. The sequence continues at coordinate 34,349,221 of NC_000020.11, read as the reverse complement.
ATTGTGAAAAATATCAGAGATAGATAAGAAAAGAGAAAACAGTATAATGAATTTCTAGTGTCATAAGCTTCAAATACCAGTAACAATAGTTTTCAGACTGGGCATGTTTGTTCACACCTGTAATCCAAGCACTTTAAGAGTCTGAGGTGAGAAGATCACTTGAAGTCAGGAGTTGGAGATCAGCCTGGGCAACATAAAGAGACCCTCATCTCTAAGAAAAGGCTGGATGCGATGGCTCATGCCTGTAATCCCAAACTTGGGGAGGCTGAGGCAGGCGGATCACTTGAGGTCAGGAGTTCAAGACCAGCCTGGCCAATATAGTAAAACCCTGTCTCTACTGAAAATACAAAATTAGCCAGGCGTGGTGGCGCATGCCTGTAGTCCCAGCTACTAGGGAGGCTGAGGCAGGAGAATGGCTTGAACCTGAGAGGCGTAGGTTGCAGTGAGCTGAGATCATGCACTGCACTCCAGCCTGGTGACAGAGCAAGACTTGGTCTCAAAAAGAAAGAAAAATAGTTTCATCTACTACCTCCATTGATGGCTTATTTCAAAGCAAATCCCAGACATCATATAATTTCTTCTGTCAGTATTTCAATAGATTGTGTGGTAGCTTTTTATCTTAGCAGTTGCATTCCTTAGTAATGTATATACTGAAGCAGTGGGTGGCTAATGCATCGAGCTGGTCATTTCACACATATTGCTTAGGATGTGGCTAAAGTAGGATTTTAGCTATTAAAACTATGAGATGCCATGTTTTCACTATCAGATTGGTCAGGAACAAAAAAATTGCTATCTCAACAGTGTTACCAAGCAAGTGAGAAACAGCCATACTCCTGATTGGAGTATAAATTGACGTGATGCCAATTGTGTGGTGGAAGGACAATTTGGCTGTATCTATGAAAATTTTAAAAATATATGTCAGGACTGGGCACAGTGGCGTATGCCTGTAATCCCAGCACTTTGGGAGGCCGAAGTGGAAGGATTGCTTGTATCCAGGAGTTGTGGACAACCATAGGCAACATAGCAAGACCCCATCTCTACAAAAAATAAAAAATTATTTGTGCATAGTGGTGCAGGTGTGTAGTCCCAGGTACTCAGGAGGCTGAGGCAGGAGGATTGCATGAGACCAGGAGGTTGAGGCTGCAATGAGCTGTGATCCTGCCACTGTACTCCAGTCTGGGCAATAGAATGAGACCTTGTCTTAAAAAAAAAAAAAAGACATAGGAGAAAATCTTCAAGACCTTGGGTTAGGCAAAGATTTCTTAGATATGACAACAAAAGCTTAATCTATAAAAGGAAAAATTGGTCAATGAAACCATCAAAATTCAAATTTTTCTGTATCTTAAAAGACACCATTTGCTTTCTGTGTTACCCATGGAGGGGTCCATGTGACGTTGTTCTGGATTCCCATTGTAACTTCAAGGGAAACTTTCACAATGTCCAGAGCCCTTGATGTCCTGCCAATGAAGAAAGAGGATGTCTTCAAGTTCCTTGTAGCAGGATAGCAGGAACCCACTTAGGTGGCATCAGCCTTGACTTCCAAATGGAACAGCACTTTTTTTTTGGAGACAGTCCAGCTCTGTCACCCAGGCTGGAATGCAGTGATGCGATCTCAGCTACTGCAACCTCCGCCTCCTGGGTTCAAGCGATTCTCCTGCCTCAGCCTCCCTAGTAGCTGAGATTACAGGTGCCTGCCACCATGCCCAGCTAATTTTTGTATTTTTAGTAGAGATGGGGTTTCACTGTGTTGGCCAGGCTGGTCTCGAACTCCTGACCTCATGATCTGCCCACCTCGGCCTCCCAAGTGCTGGGATTACAGGCGTGAGCCACTGCGCTCGGCCACTTTTTTTTTTTTTTTGAGACAAAGTCACACTTTTGGCCAGGCTGGAGTGCAGTGGCGCCATATCGGCTCACTGCAATCTCTGCCTCCTGGATTCAAGCGATCCTCCTGCCTCAGCCTCCCAAGTACCTGGGATTACAGGCACACGCCACCATGCCTGGCTAATTTTTGTATTTTTAGTAAAGATAGGGTTTCACCATGCTGGCCAGGCTGGTCTCAAATTCCTGACCTCGTGATCAGCCCACTTCGGCCTCCCAAAGTGCTGGGATTGCAGGCGTGAGCCACTGAGCCCAGCAACTTTTGTATTTTTAGTAGAGGTAGGTTTTACCATGTTGACCAGGCTGGTTTCCAACTCCTGACTTCAAGTGATCTACCTGCCTTGGCCTCCCAAAGTGCTGGGAATACAGGCGTGAGCCACTGAGCCCAGCCCTAGAGCTAGCATTTAATCCAACTTGGGGGATAAGGGAAGTATCTAAAGCAATAAGAATATATTTTGTTGGCTGGGCGCAGTGGCTCATGCCTGTAATCCCAGCACTTTGGTAGGCCGAGGCAGGCGGATCATGACATCAGGAGATCGAGACCAGCCTGGCCAATGTGGTGAAACCCCGTCTCTACTAAAAACACAAAAAATTAGCCGGGTGCGGTGGCATATGCCTGCAGTCCCAGCTACTCAGGAGGCTGAGGCAGGAGAATTGCTTAAACCTAGGAAGCGGAGGTTGCAGTGAGCCGAGATTGCATCACTGCACTCCAGCCTGGGCAATAGAGCGAGACTCTGTCTCAAAAAAAAAAAATCTTTTGTTAAAATATTTGGCCTTTTGTCCTAGATCTTTGAAACCCCTCTTGGAATAGCTTCAGTGCCAGAAGGTGAAAGATAAAAATATTGTTATTTAAAACAATCCCTTTTCAAACACACTTGAGTTTATATTTTGTTTTGTTTTGAGAGGGAGTCTCGCTCTGTCACCAGGCTGGAATGCAGTGGTGCGATCTCCACTCACTGCAACCTCTGCCTCCCTGGTTAAAGAGATTCTTGTGCCTCAGCCTCCTGAGTAGCTGGGATTACAGGCACGTGCCACCACACCTGGCTAGTTTTTTGTTTTTTTTTTTTTTTTTTTTTTTTTAGTAGAGACGGGGTTGCACCATGTTGGCCAGGATGGTCTCAATCTCCTCACCTCATGATCCGCCCGCCTTGGTCTCCCAAAGTGCTGAGATTACAGGTGTGAGACACAGCGCCCGGCAGAATTTATGTTAATGACAGGATTCGGGGAAAGTTCCAAGATAACCACAGGATGGGAGAGTGGCTGCCAGAGGATCCAACCATTAGTTCAAAGGGTTGAAACTTTCAGCCCCACCCCCAACCTCCAGGGAGGGTCTCTAAGTGAAGTTAATCACCAATGGCCAATTATTTATCAATCATGCTTACCTAATGATGCTTTTTTTTTTGAGACAAGAGTCTCACTCTGTTTCCCAGGCTGGAGTGCAATGGCGTGATCTCAGCTCACTGCAATCTCCACCTCCAAGGTTCAAGCAATTCTTGTGCCTCAATCTCCCAAGTAGTTGGGACTACAGGCACCTGCCACCACAACCAGCTAATTTTTGTATTTTTAATATAGATGGGGTTTCACCGTGTTGGCCAGGCTGGTCTCGAATTCCCGACCTTAGGTGGTCTACCTGCCTAGGCCTCCCAAAGTGCTGGGATTACAGGTGTGAGCCTCTGGGCCCAGCCTGACGCTTCCATTATAAACCAAAGCGACTGGGTTCAGAGAGCTTCTAAATAGCTGAACACCTGTAGGCTTCCAGGAAGGTGAATGAGAGCACATCCACACGCAGGAGGAGGAGGTGACACCCCATCTCCATAGGGATAAAAGCTCCCGTGCTCCAGACCCTTTCAGACTTTACCCTTTGTTCTCTCCATCTGGCTGTTTATTTGTAGCGTTTGTAATGTATATGTTTCCCTGAGTTCTGTAAGTCCCTCTACCAAATTAATGGAACCCAGGGAGGGAGTTGTGGGAATCCTGATTTATGGCTGGTTAGTTTGAAGTTCTGGAGGCCTGGACTTATTACTGGCATCTGAAGTGAGGATAGTCTTGGGGACTGAGCACTCAACCTATGGGACCTGGTGTTATTTTCAGGTGGATAGTATCAGAGTTTATTTGGACTAGAAAACACCCAGCTGGTGTCCACTGCAGAACTGACTGATTGCCTGATGTGTGGGGAAAACCCCTATACATCTTGTGTCAGAGGCCTGTTGTGAGTATAGTGGGAGAAACTGAGTTTGTTTTTTCTGGTCATGGTGGTTGTACAACTCAATAAATTTACTATAAATCATTCAATTATACACTAAAAGTGTGTGCATTTTATGGTATGGCAATTATACCTCTATAAAGATGTCTTCAAGGCTGGGCGCAGTGGCTCACGCCTGTAATCCCAGCACTTTGGGAGGCTAAGGCGGGGGCGGATCATGAGTTCAGGAGTTCAAGACCATGCTGGCCAACATGGTGAAACCCCGTCTCTGCTAAAAATACAAAAAAATTAGCTGGGCGTGGTGCGTGCGTGTAATCCCAGCTACCCGGGAGGCTGAGGCAGGAGAATCGCTTGAACCAGGAAGTCAGAGCTTGCAGTGAGCAGAGATTGCGCCACTGCACTCCAGCCCGGCGACAGCAAGATTCCATCTCAAAAATAAAATAAAATACATAAAATAAAATAAAGATGTCTTCAAATATAAGGCCTCGGCCAAACGCCGTGACTCACATCTGTAATCCCAGCACCTTGGGAGGCTAAGGAGGGAGGATCGCTTGAGCCCAGGAATTCAAGACCAGTTTGGGCAACATAGGGAGACCCCAGTCTCTATAAAATACACAAAAATTAACTGGGTGTGCTGGTATGTGCCTGCCGTCCCAGCTACTCTGGAGGTTGAAATGGGAGCATTGGTTGAGCCCAGGAGGTTAAGGCTGCAGTGAGCCATGATCCTGCCACTGCACTCCAGCCTGGGTGACAGAGCGACACCCTGTCTAAGAAAAAAAAAAAAAAAGGCTTCAACCTGGGAACGTTGATTGTCTGCCCTCCCCGCCAAAAAAAAAAAAAGAAAAGAAAAGAAAAGAAAAGAAAAACCAGCCAGTGGTTCCTAGCCATTTCATCTCTAAAAATTTATCTCTTAGATAAATGTGCAATGAACAAAATAACTGATGAACATGGTTATTTGTCATAACAATGTTTGTAATAGGTAAACATTGGAAATAAGGTCAATGTTCAACAGTAGAGGACTAGATAAATTATGGTACTAGAAAAACTATGCAGGAACTAAAAAAAAAAAAAGAAGAAGAAGGTGGCAGGTATAGTGACATAAGCCTGCAATCCCAGCTACTCAGGAGGCAAAGGTGTTGAGAACTTTGCTCCTTAGTTCAGCTAAAACCAGGTCCTTGTCACACAACCAGGAAGAATTAGGAAAGTGGAGACATTGAAGGGTGAGGAGAATGGAATTCACTGGGTGAAAAGGAAAAAAGAAAAAAACTCTCAGCAAAGTGAGAGGCGAGAGGCGATCCTGCTAACGGGCCCCTACCTAGCAAATTGATTACCAGGCCACCACACAGGAACTGGAGAGGCTAGGCTACTCTCCGGGCATCCAGCTCGAACTTCCTGTGGCTCCACCCTGTTCTTCCAGTGTACAGGCAGGCCTTCCCCTTATCTGCCTCCTGCATCTATCAGCGGGAGGAGAGTTTCAGCCCAGGAGTTCAAATCCAGCCTGGGCAACATGGCCAGATACCATCTGAAGAAAAAATTTAAAAGGCCGAGCACAGTGGCTCACACCTGTAATCCTAGCACTTTGGGAGGCTGAGGCAGACGGATCACGAGGTCAGGAGTTTCAGACCAGTCTGGCCAGCATGGTGAAACCCCGTCTTCACTAAAAATACAAAAATTAGCTGGGCATGGTGGTGGGCACCTGTAATCCCACCTACTTGAGAGGCTGAGGCATGAGAATTGCTTGAACCTGGGAGGCGGAGGTTGCAGTGAGACAAGATGGAGCCAATGCACTCCAGCGTAGGCAAGAAAGCAAGACCCCGTCTCGGGGGAAAAAAAAAAAGAATGAGGCATATGTACGAATATGATTAGTATTCAAACTATTTTATTTAGAAAATAGGCCGGGCGCAGTGGCTCACACCTGTAATCCCAGCACTTTGGGAGGCCGAGGCGGGCAGATCACGAGGTCAGGAGGTCGAGACCATCCTGGCTAACACGGTGAAACCCTGTCTCTACTAAAAATACAAAAACCAAAAAAAAAAAAAATTAGCCAGGCATGGTGGCAGGCGCCTATAGTCCCAGCTACTGGGGAAGCTGAGGCAGGAGAATGGCGTGAACCCGGGAGGCGGAGCTTGCAGTGAGCCGAGATTGCGGCACTGCACTCCAGCGTGGGCAACAGAGTGACACTCCATCTCAAAAAGAAAAAAGAAAATAAATAGCCTGGCAAGGTGGCTCATGCCTGTTATCCCAGCACTTTGGGAGGCTGAGGCAGGAGAATTCCTTGAGGCCAGGAGTTTGAAACCAGCCTGGGCAACATAGTGAGACCCTGTCTCTACAAAAAATAAAAACAAATTAGCTATGCATGGTAGCTCGCACATGTAGTCCCAGCTACTCAGGGGTGGGGGTGCTGAGGTAGGAGGATTGCTTGAACCTAGGACGTGGAGGCTGCAGTGAGCCATCATCATGCCACTGCACTTCCAGCCACAGAGTGAAACCATGTCCCCCCCCAAAAAAAAACAAACACAAAAAAAGGCCAGGTGGCTCACACCTGTAATCCCAGAGCTTTGGGAGGCCAAGGTGGGCAGATCACCAGAGGTCAGAACTTCGAGAGCAGCCTGGCCAACATGGTGAAACCCCATCTCTACTAAAAATACAAAAATTAGCTGAGCGTGGCAGTGGGCACCTGTAATTCCAGTTACTCAGGAGGCTGAGGCAGGAGAATCACTTGAACCAGGGAGGCAGAGGTTGCAGTGAGCCAAGATTGTACCACTGCACTCCAGCCTGGGTGACAGAGGGAGACTCCGTCTCAAAAATAAAATAAAATAAAATGAATAAATAAATTAAATAAAATAAATGAAGTGAGTCAATTTAAAGAAAAATATGAGGCCAGGCCTGGTGACTTACACCTGTAATCACAGCACTTTGGGAGGCTAAGGGGGGCAGATCACCTGAGGTCAGGAGTTGGAGACCAGCCTGGCCAACATGATGAAACCCCATCTCTACTAAAAATACAAAAAAAAAATTAGCCGGGCGTGGTGGTGCACGCCTGTAATCCCAGGTACACGGCAGGCTAAGGCAGGAGTATCACTTGAACCCAGGAGGCGGAGGTTGCAGTGGGCCGAGATCGTGCCATTCATTGCACTCCAGCCTGGGCAAGAAGAGCGATACTCCATCTCAAAAAAAGAAAAAAAAAGAAAGAAAAAAAAACAAGAACAACTATTGCTACTTGCAAAAACAGGAGAATTACAGAAACATAATGATAGTGAAAGAAGCCAGACCAAAAAAATGCATACCATAAAAAATATACTTTACTATTTTATTTATTTATTTATTTTGAAACAGGATCTCTCTTTGTCACCCAAGCTGGAGTGCAGTGTGTGATCATAGCTCACTGCACCCTTGCACTCTTGGCTTTAAGTGATCCTCCCACATCAGCCCACCCCAAGTAGCTGGGACTACAGGCGTGAGCCACCACATCTGGCTAATTTTTTAAAAAGTTTTTGTAGAGACAAGGTCTTGCTGTGTTGCCCAGGCTGGTGTTGAACTCCTGAGCTCAAGTGATCCTTCCGCCTTGTACTAAAATATACCCTACGTTGCTGGGATCACAGGCATGAGCCACTGTGCCAGGCCTACTTTGTTTAAATGTTTTAAGAACAGGCAAAACAGGCCAGGTGCGGTGGCTCACACCTGTAATCCCAACACTTTGGGAGGCAGAGGTGGGCGGATCACCTGAGGTCAGGAGTTCAAGACCAGCCTGACCAACATGGCAAAACGTCATCTCTACTAAGAATACAAAATTAGCTGGGCGTAGTGGCACAAGCCTGTAATCCCAGCTACTTGGGAGGATGAAGCAGGAGAATCACCGAATCACTTGAACCCAGGAGGCAGAGGTTGCAGCGAGGCGAGATTGTACATTGCACTCCAACCTGGGTGACAGAGTGAGACTCCATCTCAAAAAAAAAAAAAAAAAGAACAAAAGAACAGGCAAAACAAACCTAGGGTGACAGAGGTAAGAATACTGGTAACTCTCAAGTGTCAGGAATTGGCTGGGAGAGATCACAAGAGAGGCTTCTAGGGGATGGGAAATGTTTCTTTGTTTGTTTGCTTTTTGAGATGGAGTTTTGCTCTTGTTGCCCAGGCTGGAGTGCAATGGCGCGATCTCAGCTCACTGCAACCTCCGCCTCCCGGATTCAAGCAATTCTCCTGCCTCAGCCTTCTGAGTAGCTGGGATTACAGGCATGTACCAACACGCCTGGCTAATTTTTTGTATTTTTAAAAGAGACAGGATTTCACTGGGTTAGCCAGGATAGTCTCAATCTCCCGACCTCAGGTGATCTGCCCGCCTCGGCCTCCCAAAGTGTTGGCGTTACAGGAGTGAGCCACTGCACCTGGCGGGAAATGTTTATATGTTGATTTGGTTACACAAAAATCTATACACACACATAAATTATTTGAATTGTACACTTAATATTTGCTCAGTTTATTATATGTATATTATATTTCAACAGAAAATTAAAAATAATGTGCAACAGGGAATGATGAGCATAAGGTTCAGGAGGATGGTTACTAGGGTTGGGAAAGAGGTTGGGTGGGGAGGGAGGTATATAGTCAGATGTAGGTTATTGTTAAGGTTCTACATTTTATTTTGGGATGGTGGCTTCACAAGTGACTGTCATTACTTTAAAAAACTAATTAAATAAAAAATTATTTCAAAATAATACAAATGGTACACATACTGATAGAGTTGTTATGCAGTGTGTCAATCAAGATTCTTAGTTGCAAACAAAACAAACCAACTCACTTCAGTTTAAACAGGAAAGAGTTATTACAGGATGTTGGGTGGCTCACAGAATCTCCATGAGGGGCAAAGCCATAGTATTGGGAGCTATGCATAGGTAGGAACAACTCCTAAAATCACCCTGGGGAGTCAGGCCAGAGGAGATGCCAGGATGCAAGGCAGAGACACTACAGCTTGTTCTGCCAACCCTGAGTTCTTTCTTCCTTTTTTTTTTTTCTTTGAAACGGAGTCTCGCTCTGTAGCCCAGGGTGGAGTGCAGTGGTGTGGATCACTCAAGCCCAGGAGGTCGAGGTTGCAGTGAGCCATGATCACGCTACTGCACTCCAGCCTAGGTGACAGAGTAAGACCACTTCTCAAAAATAAATAAATAGGCCGGGCGCGGTGGCTCACGCCTGTAATCCCAGCACTTTGGGAGGCTGAGGTGGGCAGATCATGAGGTCAGGAGATCGAGACCAGCCTGGCTAACACGGTGAAACCCCGTCTCTACTAAAAATTAGCCGGGCGTGGTGGCGGGCGCCTGTAGTCTCAGCTACTCTGGAGGCTGAGGCAGGAGAATGGCGCGAACTCTGGAGGCGGAGGTTGCAGTGAGCCGAGATCGCGCCATTGCACTCCAGCCTGGGCGACAGAGTGAGATTCTATCTCAAAAAGTAATAATAATAAATAATAAATAAATAAATAGGAATAAAAATAATTTATCTTAAGCTGGCCTTGGTCATAAGAAGGAGGCATTCAGTCAGGCACATATGCTAGTTACTGCTGAACCCCTGATGAAAGAGATAAAATCTGGTTAAAGTTCCCTGATTAAGCCAGGTGCTGTGGCTCACGCCTGTAATCCCAGCACTTTGGGAGGCCAAGGCGGGCGGATCACCTGAAGTCGGGAGTTCGAGACTAGTCTGACCAACATGGAGAAACCCCATCTCTACTAAAAATACAAAATTAGCCGGGCATGGTGGCACATGCCTGTAATCCCAGCTACTCCGGAGGCTGAGGCAGGAGAATTGCTTGAACCTGGGAGGCGGAGGCTGCGGTGAGCTAAGATCCCACCATTGCACTCCAGCCTGGGCAACAAGAGCAAAACTCTGTCTCAAAAAAAAAAAAAAAAAAAGTTCCCTGATTAAAAAACAAAGCTGCCAGGAGTGGTGGCTCATGCCTGTAATCCCAGCACTTTGGGAGGTCAAGGCGGGTGGATCACCTGAGATCAGAAGTTCGAGACCAGCCTGGCCAACGTGGCAAAACCCCGTCTCTACAAAAAATACAAAAATTAGCAGGATGCGGTGGCGCAAGCCTGTATTCCCAGCTACTCAGTATGCTGAGGCACGAGAATCGCTTGAACCTGGGAGGTGGAGGTTACAGTGAGCTGTGATCGTGCCACTGCACTACATACAGCCTGGGTGATAGAGGGAGACTTTGTCTCAAAAAAAAAAACCAAAACAAACAAACAAACAAAAAAAACAGAGGCCTGGCCTGGTGGTTCATGCCTGTAATCTCAGCAGTTTGGGAGGCTGAGGTGGGTGGATCACTTGAGGTCAGGAGTTCAAGACCAGCTTGGCCAAAATGGTAAAACCCTGTCTCTACTAAAAATACAAAAATTAGCCAGGCATGGTGGCGGGCGCCTGTAATCCCAGCTACTCAGGAGGCTGAGGCAGAAGAATTGCTTGAACCCGGGAGGTGGCGGTTGCAGTGAGCCAAGATCACACCACTGCACTTCAGCCTGTGCAACAGAGCGAGTCTCCATCTTGAAAACAAAAACAAAAACCACCAAAGTTGGTGTCAAGCCCAGCACAGGGCAGAGCCTGCATGTGAGAGCTAAGTGGCTTCCGCTGTGGGGAGAAGCTTCCTGGGGCAGGGCAGGGCGTTGAGCAGCACCTGAGAGTCCGGAGGCATTGACAATTTATTATTTCCATCCAATAAAGCATTCATACCTTGCTGTCTTGCTTCATTTTCTTCCCCCAACAACCCGGAAGCAAATATTCGCTATTTCTGCTTGGCAGACGAGGAGATGAGGCTCAAGGGGTTGAGTAACTTGACAAAGGACAAATCGGTAGCAGAGCTAAAATTTTTGTTTAGGTCTTTTTTTTTGAGATAGGGTCTCACTCTGTTACCCATGCTAGGGAACAGCGGCGCCATCACAGCTCACTGCAATCTCCACCTCCCGGGGTCACGTGATCCTCTAACCTCAGCCTCCTGAGTAACTGGGACTACAGGCTAGTGTATCACAGGACCAGCTAATTTTTGGTAGAGACGGGGTTTCCCCATGTTGGCCAGGCTGGTCTTGAACTCCTGACCTCAAGTGATCTGCCTGCCTCATCCTCCCCAAAGCACTGGGATTACAGGTGTGAGCCACTGTGCCCAACCCAGCAGAGCTAAAATTTAAACCTGCTTCTCAGAGATAAATTAAGGAGCAAAGGAAGCCTTTGTTGGATAGCTTCCAGAGGTTGGGAATGTCCCTGGAAAGTGCTGAGATGGAGTCAATTCTGTTGACTGGGGACTCCTAGTAGATAAGCAAGAAATTAGTTGATAAGTTCTAGTGGTGGGGATGATGAAGACTGAGCACCCGAAGGGGAATGCTTGCAGAGTGATAAATAGTCCCTACACTGCCTTCTAGGGAGATCAAGTTTCCCCATGGGGCTTCTGTCTTAGGAGGTTCTATGAAAATGTAGTCAGAGCTGAATTGCCAGGAAAATGAAGAGACTGGGGGTTGCTACTTCATCTTTCCTTTTGGCCCTTCCTCATATAGCTCTCAACCTCTCCTCTTGATTAGTGGAGACCATATAATAATACAGCAATATTGGTTCCTATCTGCTGTGCATTTGCTATGAGCCAGACTCTTCTTATTTTTATTTATTGGTTTATTTATTTTTTGAGACAGGGTCTTGTTCTGTGGCCTAGGCTGGAGTGCAGTGGTACAATCACAGCTCACTGTAGCCTCAACTTCCCAGGCTCAAGCGATCCTCCCACCTCAGCCTCCCGAGTAGCTGGGACTATAGGCGCACATCACCATGCCCAGCTAATTTTTGTATTTTTTGTAGAGACGGGGTTTCACTGTGTTGCCCAGGCTGGTCTCAAACTCCTGGGCTGAAGCGATCCACCTACCTTGGGCTACCAAAGTGTTGGGATTACAGGCGTGAGCCACTGCACCCAGCTTAGCCAGATTCTTTTCATGTATCATATGGAATCCTCATGATTATATAAAGCAAGTCCTCCCATCATCCTCATTTTAAGGAAAAGGAGGCAAAGTGTGATTGTATTCATTGTCTGTGGCTGTGTCAGGAATTACCCCAAAACTACAAAGCTTAAAACAGCAATAAACATTTATTACCTCAGGTATTTTCTATAGGCAAGGAATTCAGGAGCTGATTAGTTGAGTGATTCTCACCAGAAACATCTCATAAGTTTCAAGATGTTGACCAGGGCTGCAGTCATCTGGAAGCTGGACTGGGGTTGGAGGATACAGTTTCAAGCGGGCCCGTGCACACGGCTGGCAAAGCAGTTGGCTGTTGGCAAGCAGTCTCAGTTACTTCTTGCTGTGTGTGTCCCTGCATTGGGCTGTGCTTATAACATAGCATATAACATTGAGTGTGCTTATAACATAGCAGCTAAGTTCCCTTAGGGCAAGTGATCCAAGAGAGCAAGATGGAAGCTGCAGTCTCTTTGTTTTTTTGTTTGGTTTTGTTTTTGAGACGGAGTCTCGCTCTGTTGCCCAGGCTGGAGTGCAATGGTGCGATCTTGGCTCACTACAATCTCTGCCTCCCAAGTTCAAGCAATTCTCCTGCCTCAGCCTCCTGAGTAGCTGGGGTTACAGGCACGTGCCACCACCCCCGGTTAATTTTTGTATTTTTAATAGAGACGGGGTTTCACCATGTTGGTCAGGGTGGTCTCGAACTCCTGACCTCGTGATCTGCCTGCCTTGGCCTCCCAAAGTGCTGGGATTGCAGGCATGAGCCACTGCGCCTGGCTGTTTTTATTTTTTGAGACAGGTTCTTGCTCTATTGCCCAGGCTGGAATGCAGTGGTGTCATCTCAGCTCACTGCAACCTTGACTTCCTGGGCTCAGGCGATTCTCTCACCTCAGCCTCCCAAGTAGGTTGAGACCACAGGTGCTAATTTTCTTTTCTCTTTTTAGTAGAGGTGAGGTCTCGTTTTATGGCTATGTTGCCTGGGCTGATCTCAATCTCCTGGACTCCAGTGATCCTCCCACCTTAGCCTCCCAAAGTGCTAGGATTACAGGCATGAGACACTGTGCCCAGCCTTGCATTGTCTTTTCTGACCTGGCCTCAGAAGTCACACCTGTTTCTGCAGTAGCCTGGTGGTTATGTAGGAAGAGAGAATCATTGAGGGCCATCTTGGAGGCCACTACCACGATGATAAGTAATTTGCCCAAGGTCACATACATGGGAAGCGTTAGAGGTGAGCTTTGAAGCCAGGAAGTTACTATGTCACAGTAAATATTAGTTTGAAGGAGTAGGGGCAGGCATGTACCCACAGGTCTCCTCTATCCTGGAGGCATTCATGCTTGAGATCCTGAGCTTCTCATTCCAATGGGCAGGTGAGTCAGACACTATCTGATGTGTCAGACAGACATTTTGTACAAGCAACATAATTTGACATTTTCTTTCTTTTTTTTTTTTGAGTAGGAGTCTCTCTCTGTCACGCAGGCTGGAGCGCAGTGGCGTGATCTTAGCTCACTGCAACCTCTGCCTCCCAGGTTCAAGCGATTCTCCTGCCTCAGCCTCCCGAGTAGCTGGGATTATAGGCATGTACCACCACGCTGGCTAATTTTTGTATTTTTAGTAGAGACAGGGTTTCACTATGTTGGCCAGCCTGGTCTCAAACTCCTGACCTCAAATGATCCACCCACCTTGGCCTCCCAAAGTGCTGGGATTATAGGCGTGAGCCACTGCGCCCAGCCAATTTGGGCATTTTTAAAAGACAGAAACAAACAAACAACAAAAAACAGCAAAAGATCGCACAGACTTGCACTTAATGGTAGACATGCTGAATTAAAGGGAACCTGACTGTGGCTCCAGCTTTGCCACTGACTTACTGAAGGACCTTAGGCAAGCTCCAGCCCCCTTTGGGGCCTTTGTTTTCCCATCTGTACAATGGAGCAGTTTGATTCCATGGACACTGAGGTCCTCTGGCTGGGTGATTCTGGGATTCTACGTAGAGAGCTGTTCACGGAGAAAGCCCAGGGAGTTCTTTCTCCACTTTCCCTGGCTTCATCTGTCCTTTGCTGAAGGGGAGCGGACCCCTCAGGTGCAAGGGGCACTCTTCTGGACCCAGGCCAGACCCAGCCAGGCTGTTCAGCCTTGTTTCACCCGAAGCTGGCTGGCACCATTGTTCCCCCATAAAGCTGGGCCCCTTTCCAGCTGCTACTGAACTCAGGGCAGGGGAGAGGCTCAAAGGACTCAGTTGTGTGGATTTCCTCCCTCCCCCAGGGCAGGCCTGGGTCACCCAACAGGCTGATTCAGCCCTTACAGAGGAACAAAAGAGATGAGATATGGTTTAGGGACAGAATTTGACATTTACCATTTTCCCTCATAAAACTTAAAAGTAATCATCTTGGGGAAATCCCCTTATGTTTATTTATTTTACAGTTCAGGGACATTTTAAAAAATTGGGGCAAGGGCATTGTTTCCAATTTCAGTGCTTAGGGACTCATATTTTAATGATTCTATGATGCACATTTGTTTACCTTTTAATATCTTTGAAATTGGAATGCATGTAACAGTTAATGACATAATAAGCTAATTGCAGCATTTAAAAAGTACATAGGCCGGGGGTGGTGGCTCATGCCTGTGCCACCAGCACTTTGGGAGGCCGAGGTGGGCAGATCACGAGGTCAGGAGTTTGAGACCTGCCTGGCCAACATGGTGAAACCCCGTCTCTACTAAAAATACAAAAATTAGCTGGGCATGGTAGCGCATGCCTGTAGTCCCAGCTACTCTACTCGGGAGGCTGAGGCAGGAGAATCACTTGAGCTCGGGAGGCAGAGGTTGCAGTGAGCCGAGATCGCGCCACCACTGCACTCCAGCCTGGCAACAGAGCAAGACTCTGTCTCAAAAAAAAAGAACATAAAATAGTGGTGTATATTACAATGATGGATCTTAAATTTGATGAACTAGGATAATTAGCTTCTGTTCTTGGATTCTAGGCCTACTGGATCTTGGACCCCCCTCAACCCCACAACCCAGTCTTTTCCACCACCCACAGGCTTGTCTTTATCCTAGCGTCATTGTCTTAACCCTCTGTCTCCAATATAATCCTTTGCACTTTTTTTTTTAACTCAAAAATCTTTTTACAGAAACTCTTAGAAGGGAGGAGAGGCCCACCCAGGAGCTGGGGGCACTGCTCAGCCACAGCCACGTTCCGTGTGGGCTGGGTATGGTGGCTGCTTCCCTGCAGAGGGCATGATTTCCTTATTACTTTTGACCTTTACACTTTTTTTTTAACAGCTTTTCCTCCGCATAAGACCCTGAAGGAATGGTGAGGGGAGACTCTCCCCAACTTCTGATCAAGACAGAGATTATTATTATTATTATTATTTTTGAGATAGAGTTTCACTCTTTTTGCCCAGGCTGGAGTGCAATGGTGCGATCTCGGCTCACTGAAACCTCTGCCTCCTGGGTTCAAGCGATTCTCCTGCCTCAGCCTCCTGAGTAGCTAGGATTACAGGCATGTGCCACCACCTCGGCTAATTTTGTATTGTTAGTAGAGACGGGGTTTCTCCATGTTGGTCAGGCTGGTCTTGAACTCCTGACCTCAGGTGATCCACCCACCTCGGCCTCCCAAAGTGCTGGGATTACAGGTGTGAGCCACCATGCCCAGCAAGACAGAGATTATTTAGTACCATTAGTACCATGAAAAGTCACAGAAGAATGAAAACAAATTTAATTCCAACATTGTAGCAGGCACTACTATTCATGTTTTATCATGTTTTATGTATGTTAACTCACTTAATCCTTACAACCATTTATCAAGTAACTACGAATGTGTCCCTATTTTACAGATGGGGAGCCTGAGGCACAGAAGTGCTACAGTCTGCTCAAGATCACATAGGTAGTTAGTGACCAGAGTCCAGGGGAAAAAAAGCAACATTTCTCTTTTGGCTTTTCTGCCAATTCTATTTTTTTTTTTTTTTTTTTAGACTGGGTCTTGCTCTGTCACCCATGCTGGAGTACAGTAGCACAATCTCAGCTCACTGAAGCCTCAACTTAACCAGGGCTCAAGCAATCCTCCCATCTCAGCCTCCCAAGCCTCCCAAGTAGCTGGGACTACAGGTGTGTGCCACACCTGGCTAATTTTGTTTATTTTTTTTGCAGAGACGAGGTTTCACTATGTTGCCCAGGGGGGTCTCAAACTCCTGGGTTCAAGCAATCCTCCTGCCTCAGTCTCCCAGAGTGCTAGGATTACAGGTGTGAACCACCACACTCAGCCCCTTTCTGCCAATCCTTGCCCCAGAGATAACAGGTCATAAATGTGGTTTATATCCTTCTGATGCAGGATATTTCTCAGCCTTTTCTTTTTTTGGACTCACGGCAGGGGCGCCCTGTCTACTTGGCCTGCCGCACTCACCCCCTTACAGGAGGGAGCACGTGAGTGAGTGCGGGATCTGGCCAGCCACTCCAAGCACTGACACAGGAGCAAGCTCCATGCGGGCCCGTGGACACACCAGGTGTATTGCCTCAAGGGGGACATGGCGGCATCCAGGCAAGGATGCCTGCGACCCTGAAGCCCCAGAGAGGGTATTAGTGTGCTAATTAGCTCTTTTAGTTCCACTGTCCACAGCCCCCTGGATGGTCGGTGTGTTAGCAGCTCAGTCGGCCCCTGGCCCTGTCACGTGGGGTAGCTGCCGTCCTAGAAGGGCAGAGGGCCAGTGTGACAGCCTTTCAGGGTACCCGCACTTGGTGGGTCCCGAGCTCTTGTCCAGTGTTCAAGAAGAATGAGGTCACGTGGAGGACTGAAGGGTGATGAGGGCAGATAATTTTACGGAGTGACGGAACAGCTCACAGCGGAGAGGGGATGTGGGGGTGGGGGTGGTTTCTCTCTCCTTGTGGCTGGGTCTGGGGCTTTTTATGGCCTCAGAATGGGGACTACATGCTGATTGTGAGTATGCAAAAAAGGTTAAAGCAAAGACATCACTCAAAGGTGGGCATGGACAGTGTAAAAAACCAATTAGGAAAGGGTAGGTAAATGTAAACTAGGTGAAGGGTGGGGACCAATCAGAGGAAAGCGCACCAAATAGGAAGACAGGTTCTCAGTCTCATTCGTGGATTTGACTTGTAGCTTGGCTTTCAGGCTTCAAGCTGTCTTTGTCTTGGAGGTGGAGTTTCGCCAGGGACCTGCCCCGTCTGCCTAGGCGTTTGTCTGCCTCCTGCCGTGATCACTTCCAAATCTTATTTTTATGCATTTGTGGCATAAACATGTAGAAATACATAATTTTGCTCTACATGGGGGCCATGTTGTTCTGCAACTGGCTTTTTCTACTTAACCCCGTGACTAAGAGATTTATTTTCTCTCTTTCTCTCTCCTTTTTCTTATTTAATTAAATTAATTAATTTCTTTATTTTAAGAGACGGGGTCACACTCTGTCACCCACGCTGGAGTGCAGTGGCATGATCTTGGCTCACTGCAGCCTAGAGCTCCTGGGGTCAGGTGATCCTCCTGCCTTAGCTACCCAGTAGTGGGGACTACTACGGTGAGTGCCATCACACCCAGCTAATTTTTTTGTTTGGTATTTTTTTTGTAGAGATGGAATTTCACCATGTTGCCCAAGCTGGTCTTGAACTCTTGAGCTCAGGCAATCCGCCCACCTTGGCCTCCCAAAGTATTAGGATTACAGGCATGAGCCACCATGCCTGGCTTCTCTCTTTTTTCTTTCTTTTTAAAATAGAGACAGGGTCTTGTTATGTTTTAGCAGACTGGTCCCAAACTCCTGGCCTCAAGTGACCCTTCTACTTCCACCCCTCAAAGGGCTGGGATTACATATGTGAGCCACTGTGCCTGGCTGAGGTTTCTTTTCTATGTAGATACATATAGAGTTACTAGTTGTTTTTTTTTTAGACGGAGTTTCACTCTTTCGCCCAGGCTGGAGTGAAGTGGCGCAATCTCGGCTCACTGCAACCTCTGCCCTCTGGGTTCAAGCGATTCTCCTGCCTCAGCCTTTCAAGTAGTTGGGATTACAGGCGCATGCCACCAAGCCCGGCTAATTTTTGTATTTTTAGTAGAGACGGAGTTTCACCATGTTGGCCAGGCTGCTCCTGAACTCTTGACCTCAGGTGATCCACCCACCTCAGCCTCCCAAAGTACTAGGATTGTAGGTGTGAGACACCTTGCCCAGCCAAGTTACTAGTTCTTTATAACAGCTGCACGGTATTCCTTAGTATGTATATTATGAAAATACACTTAAGGAGGCCGGACGTGGTGGCTCACGCTTGTAATCCCAGCACTTTGGGAGGCTGAGGCGGGTGGATCACGAGGTCAGGAGTTCGAGACCAGCCTGGCCAACATAGTGAAACCCTGTCTCTACTAAAAATGCAAAAATTAGCTGGGCATGATGGCGTGCGCCTGTAGTCCCAGCTACCCGGGAGGCTGAGGCAGGAGAGTCTCTTGAACCCAGGAGGTGGAGGTTGTGGTGAGCCGAGATCGTGCCACGGCTCTCCTGCCTGGGCAACAGAGCAAGACTCCGTCTCAAAAAAAAAAAAAAAAAAAAAAAAAGCATCATTATGTAGGCATGATTGATAAATAATTGGCCTTTGGTGATTAACTTCACTTTGAGCCCCTCCCTGGAGGTTGGGGGTGGGGCTGAAACTTCCAACCCTCTGACCAAATGGTTGGATCCTCTGGAAGCCAGCCCCCGTCATCCTGTGGTTATCTTGGAACTTTCCCCAAATCCTTTCATTAACGTAAACTCAAGTGTGTTTGAAAAGGGATTGTTATAAATAACAATCTTTTTATCTTTCACCTTCTGGCACAGGAGGCGGAGGTTGCAGTGAGCAGAGATCACGCCACTGCACTCCAGCCTGGGTGACAGAGAGAGACTCCGTCTCAACAACAACAACAACAAAAAAAAAAAAAAGAAAGAAAAGAAAATACAACCAAGGGCCTATGTGGTACCAGCCTCCATCCTCCATCCTCTGTGCTTCACGTGTCGCATTTCCACCTTTCCATCACAGTCTGTGCTCATAAGCATTTTTCTTTTTTTTTTTTTTTTGAGACAGGGTTTTTATCTGTCACCCAGGCTGGAGTATAGTACAGTGGTAGGATCATCGATCACTGCAGTCCTGAACTCCCAAGCTCAAATGTCCCAAGTAGCTGAGACCACAGGTGTGTGGCCACCACGCCCTTCTAATTTTTAAATTTTTTTAAGAGATGGGGTCTCCCTATGAAACTAGTCTTGAACTCCTGGGCTCAAGCTATCCTCCCTCCTCAGCCTTCCAAAGTTTGCTGGGATTACAGGCCTGAGCCATTGTGCCTGGCCCTCTCTCTCTCTTTTTTTAAATTAAAAATTTCAACCTCCAGATTCTCACCTTCTTGTCTTTTAAATAAGGATAATAATCTCAACTTTGTAGGGAATTGTGAGAATTAGAGGGAATGTTTTTAAGGTGCCTGGCATTCAGAAAGTGCTTAATAAACAGTGCTTAATAAATGATGCCCAGTAAATAGTTCTGATTTAATTGTGAGATATTAAACGGGAACACTCTTGGCACCTCACTCGGAGAGGCTGATCACACGTTGCTCATGGAAGAATACATTCCTTGAGGCCACAATCATGAGGAAAAGGCCAAGAGAATCACAGAGACATTGGCCGTAACACTGTTAAGCCAGTAAAATAACATGAGCAGCTCCTGGGCCGGAGTGCGGTGGCGCCATCATCACTCACTGTAGCCTCGACTTCCTGGGTCTCAGGTGATCCTCCCACCTCAGCCTCCCAAGTGGCTGGGACTACAGGCATGTGCCCCCATGCCCAGGTAATTTTTTTTTTTCATGAAGGGCATGATAGTTTATTTTTTTAAATTGTACCACACTGATCATGATGACCAGCGTACACATGATAATGGCTTTTCTCTTGGGTTTAACATTACAGTATTTCTGCATACTGCAATGTTTCAATAGGACCAAGAATGTTAGAGAAAAAAGATCTTAGATGAAAATGAACACTAATAATTCTAGTGTTCTCCCCCATAGAATTAATGTAAACCCCTTATGAGTCAGTGGCATTATAATGTTATGTGGTTATGAAGAATGAAAGTTCTCTTAGAAGTAGGCAGCATGAATTTATACTTGTATAATTTATACTTGTGCTTCCTTGTACTTTCATCTTTAGTTTTTATAATTTAAGCTATGTCCACCCTGGTTAAAATACAATCATACAGTACACCTCAGATAATTTCCATGCTACCATTGCACAAGTTTAGTGATTTTACTATTTTAAAAAAATAATAAATTTTTTTTTTTGAGACGGAATCTTGCTGTGTCACCCAGGCTGGAGTGCAGTGGTATGATCTCAGCTTACTGCAGCCTCTGCCTCCCAGGTTCAAGCGATTCTCCCATCTCAGCCTCCTGAGTAGCTAGGACCACAGGCACATGCCACCACGCCCAGCCAATTTTTTTAAAATTATACTTTAAGTTCTAGGGTACATGCACACAACCTGCAGGTTTGATACATAGGTATACATGTGCTATGTTGGTTTGCTGCACCCATCAACTCATCATTTACATTAGGTATTTCTCCTAATGCTATCCCTCCCCCAGGCCGCCACCCCCTGACAGGCCCCAGTGTGTGATGTTCCCCACCCTGTGTCCAAGTGTTCTTTTTGTTCAATTCCCACCTATGAGTGAGAACATGTGGTGTTTGTTCTTCTGTCCTTGTGATAGTTTGCTGAGGATGATGGTTTCCAGCTTCATCCATGTCCCTGCAAAGGACATGAACGCATCGTTTTTTATGGCTGCATAGTATTCCATGGTATATATGTGCCACATTTTCTTAATCGAGTCTATCATTGATGGACATTTGGGTTGGTTCCAAGTCTTTGCTATTGTGAATAGTGCCACAATAAACATGTGTGTGCATGTGTCTTTATAGTAGCATGATTTATAACCCTTTGGGTATATACCCAGTAATGGGATTGCTGGGTCAAATGGTAATTCTAGTCCTAGATCCTTGAGGAATCACCACACTGTCTTCCACAATGGTTGAACTAATTTACACTCCCACCAACAGTGTAAAAGCATTCCTATTTCTCCACATCCTCTCCAGCATCTGCTGTTTCCTGACTTTTTAATGATTGCTATTCTAACTGGCGTGAGATGGTATCTCATTGTGGTTTTGATTTGCATTTCTCTGATGACCAGTGATGAGCATTTTTTCATGTGTCTGTTGGCTGCACAGATGTCTTCTTTTGAGAAGTGTCTGTTCATATCCTTTGCCCACTTTTTGATGGGGTTGTTTTTTTCTGGTAAATTTGTTTGAGTTCTTTGTAGATTCTGGATATTAGCCCTTTGTCAGATGGGTAGATTGCAAAAATTTTCTCCCATTCTGTAGGTTGCCTGTTCACTCTGATGGTAGTTTCTTTTGCCATGCAGAAGCTCTTTAGTTTAATTAGATCCTATTTGTCTATTTTGGCTTTTGTTGCCATTGCTTTTGGTGTTTTAGTCATGAAGTCTTTGCCCATGCCTATGTCCTGAGTGGTATTGCCTAGGTTTTCTTCTAGGGTTCTTATGGTTTTAGGTCTAACATGTAAGTCTTTAATCCATCTTGAATTAATTTTTGTATAAGGTGTAAGGAAGGGATCCATTTCAGCTTTCTACATATGGCTAGCCAGTTTTTCCAGCACCATTTATTAAATAGGGAATCCTTTCCCCATTTCTTGTTTTTGTCAGGTTTGTCAAAGATCAGATGGTTGTAGGTGTGTGGTGTTATTTCTGAGGCCTCTGTACTGTTTCATTGGTCTATACATCTGTTTTGGTAGCAGTACCATGCTCTTTTGGTTACTGTAGCCTTGTGGTATAGTTTGAAGTCAGGTAACGTGATGCCTCCAGCGTTGTTCTTTTTGCTTAGGATTATCTTGGCAATGCAATGCCCAGCCAATTTTTATATTTTTAGTAGAGATGGGGCTTCACCTTGTTGGCCAGGCTGGTCTTGAAAGCCCGACCTCAAATGATCCTCTGGCTGTGGTCTCTCAAAGTGCTGGGATTACAGGTGTGAGCCACTGTGCCTGGCCCCTGGCTAATGTTTTGGGATTTTTTGTAGAAACAGGGTTTCACCACATTGCCCAGGCTGGTCCTGAACTCCTGGGCTCAGGTGATCCTCTGGCCTCCGCATCCTAAACTGCTTGATTACAGGTGTGAGCCACCATGCCTGGCCTAAGCTTATGGGTTTTTGATGATACCATGAAGCTGCCATACCAGCCCTGGATAGCCTACCCACAAGCCAACCTCCAACTGCTTTGTCCATAAGAAGCGTTTCTTTCTTTTTTTTTTTTTTTGTGAGATGGAGTCTTGCTCTGTTGCCCAGGCTGGAGTGCACTGGCACAATCTCGGCTCACTGCAACCTCTGCCTCCCAAGTTCAAGTGATCCTCCTGCCTCAGCCCCCAAGTAGCTGGGATTACAGGCACGCGCCACCATGCCCGGCTAATTTTTGTATTTTTAGTAGAGACAGGGTATCGCCATGTTGGCTAGGCTGGTCTCGAACGCCTGACCTCAGGTAATCCACCAGCCTTGGCCTCCCAAAATGCTGGGATTACAGGCGTGAGCCACTGCACCCAGCCACGTTTCTTTTTTAATACACTTTGACCCATCAACATTTAGTTTAGTCAAGGTTAGGCAATGTAATTCTGGTCACTAGGGAAGTTTATTTTATTATTATTATTTTTTTTTTTGAGACGGAGTCTCGCTCTGTCACCCAGGCTGGAGTGCAGTGGCATGATCTCCACTCACTGCAAGCTCCGCCTCCCAGGTTCAAGCCATTCTCCTGCCTCAGCCTCCTGAGTAGCTGGGACTACAGGTGCCTGCCACCACGCCCAGCTGATTTTTTGTATTTTTAGTAGAGACGGGGTTTCACTGTGTTAGCCAGGATGGTCTGGATCTCCTGACCTCGTGATCCGCCCACCTCGACTTCCCAAAGTGCTGGGATTAGGCATGAGCCACCACGCCCGGCCTAGGGAAGTGTATTGACAAGTAGTGGGAGTAGGAGGAGAAGGAGAGCACATCTGGAAAAGTTTTCCTATCTTCTGACTCTGGCCATTGTTATAAAGGGGTGATAGTTTCGTCTGGAGTAACGTGAACATGTAGGGAGCCAGTTTGATGAGAGAGTCAATACCTGAGGGCAGGAGAATAGAATGACAGCAAGAACCTGGGTCCTTGATGAAGTCCACAGAGCGTCCACTGAATTGATATACCCTTGAGCCACGCAGCCTCCAGATTCTTGTTACATGGGATAATAGCATCCACTCTGTTGTTAAACCCACTTTGAGTTGGGTTTATGTTATTTGTAGCCAAAATTCTGACTAGAGCCAGCAGTATGATACGGTCCAAAGTGTGGCCATTGCAGTGGGTGGCGGAGACAAAGTGGAGGCCAGGGCCAAGGTGTGTGATGGGTCAACCTCATGGGATGTGAAATCGCCCGAGGAGACAGCAGGCTTGGGAGGAAAGGAAGAGTTTGGGGCAGGGGCTGAAGTCCTCAGCAAACGGAGAGCGGGAGGATGGCAGGAACTGCTTTTGTCTCTCTTGACTAGAGCAGGGGAAGAACAAAAAAAAGAACTGGGCAGGCACGGTGGCTCATGCCTGTAATCCCAGCACTTTGGGAGGCCAAGGCAGGGTGATCATTTGAGGTCAGAAGTTCAAGACCAGCCTGGCCAACATGGTGAAACCCTGTCTCTACTAAAAATACAAAAACTAGCCAGTCATGGTGGCAGGCGCCTATAGTCCCAGCTACTTGGGAGGCCGAGGCAAAGGAATCGCTTGAATCCGGGAGGTGGAGGTTGCAGTGAGCCCTGATCGCACCACTGAACTCCAACCTGGGTGACAGAGCAAGACTCTGTCTCAAAAAAAAAAAAAAAAAAAAAAAAGAACTGTTTTTCTTCTTTTTTTGTTTTTTTGTGTGTTTTTTTGAGACAGGGTATCACTCTGTCTCCCAGGCTGGAGTGCAGTGGTACCATCAGGGCTCACTGCAGGCTCTACCTCCCAGGCTCAAGCAATCCTCACACCTCCTTTGGAGTAGCTGGCAATATAGGCGCCTGCCACCACACCTGGCTAATGTTTTACTTTTATTGTAGAGTGAGGGTCTCTCACGCTGTCACAAGAGCAGAAGTTTTGATGTGAAGAGGGAGAATGTGTCAAGCAAGATCGAATTGATTGTAAGAAACAGAGACTAATCCTGCCCCTCAGAGATCCTGCTTTGTGAAATGCCTGTTCAAGTCCTCTGCCCAGTCTTTCTTCCTTTCTTCTTTTAATGAGATTTGTCTTTTTCTCATTGACCTATAGGGATCCTGGTGTCAAGAAGGAAAAGGAAAGGAAGGGGCATCATCCTCCCTGCACAAGCTCACAGACCTCTGTCCCCTGGCTGCTTCATGACCTAATTTCCTCCCCTCTGCCCTCAGCTCACTTCACTGCTAATTCAGCAACCTCCTTGCTAGTCCCGGAATGTGCCAGACACGTTCTCACCTAAAGGTCTTTGTTCATGCTGTTTCCTTTGCACAAAATGTCTTTCTCCAAACACTTACTTTGGCACTCAGTTCTCTGCCCTGCAAAGAGGCCTCCCAACACCCCTCCCCACAGTGTCTCCTACCTCCTGGTCACTCCCATCTCTTTTAGTTTTTTTCATAGCACTCACTACCACCTGATATTATATGGTTCATAATATATTTAGTTTTTTGTTTTTTTTAAGAGACAATGTTTCACTCTGTCACCCAGGCTGCAGTGTAGTGGCACAATCATAGCTCACTGTAACCCTGAACTCCCGGGCTCAAGCAATCCTCCCACATCAGCCTTTCAAGTAGGTGGAAGTACAGGCATGCACCACCATGCTCGGCTAATTTTTACAATTTTTTGTAGAGACAAGTCTTGCTGTGTTCCCAGGCTGGTCTTGAACCCCTGGCCTCAAGCGATCCTCCCACCTTGGCCTCCCAAAGTGCTGGGATTACAGGCATGAGCCACTGAGTTCCACCATATTTGTGTATATCTATACACAAATATCTTTATGTGTGTGTAGATAGATATGTTTTTATATATATTATATATGTAATATACATTTATATATGTAATGTTTATACATGTGCAGTATAACTATGTAATGTTTATATATGTGTAGAATAACTGTGTAATGTTTATATATATATATATCCCCCCTCTAGGACATTAGCTCCTCAAGGACAGGGCTTCGCTCACTGCTGTAGCACAGTTCCTGGCCCTTAGTAGTGTTAAAAGAAAAACTAGCTGAATTAAACGTAAAAGAGTTTAATTGAGCAAAGAATGGGCAGCCTCCCAAGCCAGTGTAGGCTCAGAGACTCCCACGCAGCTGTCACTGGAAAGGGGTCCTAATCTAGCTAGACTCCAAGAGACGGTTCTTGGACCTCACGCAACAAAGAATTCAGGGCAAGTCCACAAAGTGAAAAGTTTATTAAGAAAGTAAAGGAATAGGGCCGGGTGCGGTGGCTCACGCCTGTAATCCCAGCACTTTGGGAGGCTGAGGCAGGCGGATCAAGAGGTCAGGAGATTAAGACCATCCTGGCTAACACAGCGAAAGCCCGTCTCCACTAAAAATACAAAAAATTATCCAGCCGTGGTGGCATGCACCTGTAATCACAGCTACTCAGGAGGCTGAGGCAGGAGAATTGCTTGAACCTGTGGGGCAGAGGTTGCAGTGAGCCGAGATCGCGCCACTGCACTCCCGCCTGAGCGACAGAGTAAGACTTGTCTCAGAAAAAAAAAAAAGAAAGTAAAGGAATAAAAGAGTGGCTACTCCATAGGCAGAGCAGCAGCATGGGCTGCTCAACTGATTATACTTATCATTATTTCTTGACCATATGCTAAACAAAGGGTGGATTATTCATGAGTTTCCTGGGAAAGGGTTGTGCAATTCCTGGAAGTGAAGTTTCCTTCCCTTATAGAGTAACTTCCAGCTGTTGCCATGCATCTGTAAACTGTCGTGGCACTGGCGAGACTGTTTCTTAGCATGCTAATGCATTATAATTAGCGTATAATGAACAGTGAGGACGACCAGAGGGCACTTTCATGTCATCTTGGTTTTTGGTGGGTTTTGGCTGGCTTCTTTACTGTATCCTGTTTTATCAGCAAGGTCTTTGTAACCTGTATCTTATGCTGACCTATCTCATCCTGTGACTTAGAATGCCTAACTTCCTGGAATGCAGCTCAGCAGGGTCTCAGCCTTATTTTACCCAGCCCCTATTCAAGATGGTGTTGCTCTGGTTCGACCTATGAGTATAGCCTATGACACAGCCACGTGGTGGAAGAAGATTTATGAACAGAAAAAGGAAAATGTTGTTTCTGTAGAAACAACCAGATTGGTTATAGCATGGCGTTTTTGTCTTATTTGAACACGGTTTGAATAGCTGGCCACACCTGATTGGCAAAACTCGGTGACTGGCACAAGAGTAGGCTGCAGTCTGTTTACAATTCCATTTAGGTTATAGTTCACAATGTACAGAGAAACCTTTAGGCTGAACTTCAAAATATGTGAGGAGTCAGGTTTAGGCTAAACTTCACTTAAAAGTCAGTACTGAGTAAATGTTTGTTGTATGAATGAACGAATTAACCACTAATTATGATGGGGATGAGGAGGAAGAAGGCCCAGATGTGCAGCTGTCATCTAAACTAAGAAGGCAACTGTGCGTGGGAAGCACTTGACCCTAATAGGGTCCCTGGCTCCTTGCCTGAGTGAGATTAGGAACTTCAGAAAAGCTTTTCTCCACACCCCTCCACCTGGCTCGCCTCATCTTCCCAGCTGGTCACAGTACCCAGAGGTTCATTTGCTTTGAACATCTCTGTAAAGCTCTGAAAGTGTTCTTTGTTTCGACATTTTCTCATTTTTTGCAAGTATCAGGCATGGACAAGCACCTTCTGGAAAACACATAACACTCATACACACATACACACTCAATCTAACACACATGCTTGGCCATATCTCATATTCTTATAACCCTCACCAGCTAACTTACCCACACACAGTCCTAATTATGCACAGTTGTAGACACACATGCTTACACTTGACCTCAAGGTCTCACTCCTCTGTCCCACACACTCACAGACATCCATAGTGTTACAGGAAAGGGGTCCCGATCCAGACCCCAAAGAGGGTTCTTTGATCTCACGCAAGAAAAAATTCAGGGCAAGCCCATAAAGTGAAAACAAGTTTATTAGGAAAGTAAAAGAATAAAAGAATGACTACTCCATAGGCAGAGCAGCCCCAATGGCCGCTGGTTGCCCATTTTTATGGTTATTTCTTGATTATATGCTAAACAAGGGGTGGATGATTCATCCCTCCCCTTTTAGACCTTATAGGATAACCTCCTAACATTGCAAAGGCATTTGTAAACTGTCATGGCTGCAGTGGGAATGTAGCAGTGAGGACGACCAGAGGTTACTCTCGTGGCCATCTTGGCTTTGGTGGGTTTTGGTGGCTTCTTTACTGCAACCTGTTTTATTAGCAAGGTATTTATGACCTGCATTTTGTGCAGATCTCCTATGTTATTCTGTGACTTAGAATGCTTTAAACCTGCCAATCACGGTGGCTCACACCTGTAATCCCAGCACTTTGTGAGGCCAAAGCAGGCAGATCACCTGAGGTCAGGAGTTCGAGACCAGGCTGGCCAACATGGTGAGACCCCCAGTCTGTACTAAAAGTACAAAAAATTAGCCAAGCGTGGTGGTGCACACCTGTAATCCCAGTTACTTGGGAGGCTGAGGCAGGAGAATCGCTTGAACCTGGGAGGTGGAGTTGTAGTGAGCCGAGATCACGCCATTGCACTCCAGCCTGGGTGACAAAAGAGAAACTCCACCTCAAAAAAAAAAAAAAAAAAAAAAAAGAATGCCTTAAACCATCTGGGAATGCAGCCCAGCAGGTCTCAGCCTCTCATTTTACCCATTTCCTCTTTAAGATGGAGTCCCTCTGGTTCACACGTCTCTGACAATAGCACTGCATGTGCCCTCATGTATGTAAACCCCTGCCCAAGTTTCCACTTACACACCCACTCACACTGACAAACACATACACACACTCATTCATTCCCTCAAGCTCAGCTCCCATGGCATGTGCACATGGACCCATTCGAACACATATCCTTGAACACCTCTCCAGGTTTCATAACACACATACAAACAGGCAATGGCCTGGGGCAGTGAACCACACTGGTCAGAGCTTAGTATGATGACCTGTTCCAACAACAGTGATACCCACTGAACATAGGTCGTGGGCTGGATATCCTGCACTTTGGGTCTTTATCTCACTCAATTCTCACAGTAATCCCCTGAAAGCAGTGCTACTATCAGTACCATTTCATAGATGAGGAAACTGAGACTCATAGGCATTAAATAGTAAAGCTAGGATTCTAATCCAAGCATCTGACTCCAGAGCTCACCCCCTTATCTGGTGCGACAAAGTATATTTTTCAGAAATGGTCACAACATCTCCCATCCCTCATGCTCTTTGTGAAAAAGCAAAATCTTGGGACCCCAAACTCACTAAGCCAAAGGGAAAAGTCAAGCTGAGAACTGGGTCACGCAAACCCATCTCCCATCTCCCATTTGGTTCCTAAATCAGAAAGCTACAAAGACAAAAGCTACATACCTCTCTCACAATTTGCCCATCTTTACCCTAAAACAGTTCTGTTGAATTTCACTGTGGCAATGTAAATTGATCATTATATTCACAGGCTTTTGACAAAGGACAGATAGAACTCAAAGGCAGCCCTGTGCTCACCTGAGACAAACGCATATCTGATTGCTTCCTCTGCCCTATTGTTTACATTATCTTATATAAAAATGCAGATCCACTGAGCCAGACAGAGGCATAAGTTACTATTTCTCTACCCCACCTCACATATAAATTGTGTATTCAGTGAAAGGCTGATCAAAGATTCAAAAGGATGTAATCATTTGTCTCTTATCTAGCCACATCTTTAAAAAATTTCTTCCTCTCCCCCAATATCCACCCCTTCCCCTGTAAATACTGAAGTCCTCAAAATCACCTTTCGAGAAAGGCATAAACCTGCCTCCTTGGTACACATCCTTAACTTTGGCAAAGAAACCTCCTAAAATGATTGAGACTTGGCTTGGTCATTTTCATTGACTTACATCTTTTTTTTTTTTTGAGACGGAGTCTTGCTGTGTCACCCAGGCTGGAGTGCAGTGACACAGTCTCAGCTGACTGCAACCTCTGCCTCCCGAGTTCAAGCGATTCTCCTGCCTCAGCCTCCCGAGTAGCTGGGATTACAGTCACTCACCACCACACCCAACTAATTTTTTTTTTTTTTGTGAGACGGAGTCTGGCCCTGTCGCCCAGGCTGGAGTGCAGTGGCATGATCTCGGCTCACTGCAAGCTCCACCTCCTGGGTTCACACCATTCTCCTGCCTCAGCCTCCCAAGTAACTGGGACTACAGGCGCCTGCCACTATGCCCAGCTAAATTTTTGTATTTTTAGTAGAGACGGGGTTTCACTGTGTTAGCCATGATGGTCTCGATCTCCTGACCTCGTGATCCACCCGCCTCAGCCTCCCGAAGTGCTGGGATTACAGGCTTGAGCCACCACGCCCGGCCACACCCAACTAATTTTTGTATTTTTAGTAAAGACGGGGTTTCACCATGTTGGCCAGGCTGGTCTCAAACTCTCAACCTTAAGTGATCCACCCACTTCGACCTCCCAAAGTGTTGGGATTACAGGCATGAGCCACTGAACCTTTTTTTTTTTTTTTTGAGATAGGGTCTTATTCTGTCTCTCAAGCTGGAGTTCAGTGGCATGATCACAGCTCACAGTAGCCTTGACCTCCCGGGCTCAGGTGATCCTCCTACTTCAATTATCTTTACATTAGGTAAAGATTATCTTTACAGGTAGGTGCCACCATGCTTAGATAATTTTTGCAAAGACAAGTTTTGCCATGTTTCCCAGGCTGGTCTTAAACTCCCGGGCTCAAGCAATCTGCCAGACTTGACCTCCTAAAGTGTTGGGATTACAGGTGTGAGCCACTGCTCCCAACCATTTATTGATTTACATCTTCTAGAACCTTGTCACTCCCCCATCAACAGCTAGTTGCTGCACTTTGGATGTTTGTCTTCTCAAACTTTATGTTGAAAGTTGATCTCCAATGTTAGAGGTGGGGCCTAATGGGAGGTATTTGGGTCATGGGGGTGGATCCCTCATGAATGGCATGTTGCCATTCTCATGTTAATGAGGAAGTTCTCGCTCTATTAATTTCCACAAGAGCTGATTGTTAAAAGAACCTGGCACCTTCCCCCTCTCTCCTCCATCCATTCTCTCACCGTGTGATGTCTGCACAGGATGGCTCCCTTTTACCTTCTGCTATGAGTGGAGCAGCCTGAAGCCCTCACCAATCACCAGAAGCAGATGTGGGCACCATGCTTCTTGTACAGTCTGCAGAATCATGAGCCAATAAACTGATACAGCAGGTAGAAAGGAATTATTTAGGCAGATAGTGAGGGCAAAACAGTCCTCTACAGAGCATCCCTTTTAACAAAAAGCAGCTCAAGAAATTATTTTTTTCTAACAAAGAGAAGCCTGAAAAATTGAGCTGCAAACATAGATAAGCAAGCTGGAAGCTTGCATGGGGAAATGCTGGCAGCTGTGCCAATAAAATTGGGCTACCTAGGCACCAGGGATATCCAACAGGGAGGCTCCATCTTTCCTTTGTTATCACGTGTACAGTAAAGGAATGGGCAACATGGGTAACAGGCCAGGCAAAGAACCTACCTGCATAGTAAAAGATAAGGGTGGGGGCTACCAGAAATTTGTGCCCTATGCAAATGGCATACCTGGTCCAACCAATCTTTCACACCCTATGTAAATCAGACACTGTCTCCTCACCAGGCATCTATAAACTCCCTTGCATTTCACCATGGATCTGGCAACCCATTTCTCTGGGACCCCTCTCTCCAGCAGAAAGCTATTCCCTTTCTTCCGCCTATTAAACTTCTGCTCTTAACCTCACTCTTTGTGTGTCCGTGTCCTTTATTTCCTCAGCTGTGAGACAACAAACCTCAGGTATCACCCCCCAGACAACAAGGCTGCTTCAAAACCACTTTTCTTGATAAGTTACCAAGCCTCAGGTATTCCTTTATAGCAACATAAATGAACTAAGACAATAGTGTATGGCCCCTTCTCTTGAACTTGGGTGGGGCTTTGTGACTACCTCAACTAAATATGATGGAAGTGATGCCACATGACTTCAAAGTCTAGGTCATAAATGGTGATACAACTTATGCCTGGCTCTCTCTCTTAGGATGCTTATCCTTGGAACCCTTGGAACCCAGCTACCATGCTGTGTGGAAGCCCAGGCCACATGGAGAATCCACATATCATATCCTTGCTGGAAGCCCCATCTGAGGTCCCAGGTAGCCAGCATCAACTGGCTATCAGGAGATCTTCAAGCTGACTCCAGCCCAGCCACCACCAGACTGCAGCCATATGAGAGACCTTGAGCAAGAATGGCCTAGCTGAGTCCAATCAATGCTCCCTCCCCAAGAAACAAAAGAAATGAATAATAAATGATTGTTGTGGCCAGGCCTGGTGGCTCATGCCTGTAATCCCAACACTTCGGGAGGCCAAGGCAGGTGGATCGTGAGGTCAGGAGTTCAAGACCAGCCTGGCCAAGATGGTGAAACCCCATCCCTACTAAAAATACAAAAATGAACCAGGCACCAGTAATCTCAGCTACTTGGGAGGCTGAGGCAGAGAATCACTTAAACCCGGGAGGCGGAGGTTGCAGTGACCTGACATTGCGCCACTGCACTCTAGCTTGGGTGACAGAGCGAGACTCCGTCTCAGAAAATAATAAATAAATAAATAAATAAATAAATAATTGTTTTATGCCAATAAATATGGGTGGTTTGTTATGCAGCAAAGAATCACTGAGGCCAGGGCAGAGAATTACCCACAATCAGCCTCAGACCATGATGGGGAGGTGATGCCAATCTTTGTCCCTTTCTGGACCCTCTGCTTTTACCCCCAAGGTCCAGGATCTCAGACCACAACTCCCCATGATGGGCTCCTTCATAGCAAGTGAACACCGGCACAGCAATCTCCCTATATGGGCATGAGCTCTCCAGGCCCCAGGCTCTCATCCACAGTTGACTCTGTGGTACTTTAGGCAGGTGCTCATCCCTCAGTTTTCTCTTCTGTAAAATGCACTGTCTGATGATCCCAGCCCTGCCCACTCACACAGAGGCTATGAGGAGCCATCCTTGAAGCTGAAGTTTAAGGGGTTATTGTCAATGTTTGCATTTTAAGATCCAGGTTGGCAACTAGAACCACACAATGTCCTAAAAAGACATTTCAGGACTATCATATTCAGCATTCTATATATTATAGAAGGGGAAACTGAAATATTAATTGTGAACACAGTCCTGGCACTGAATAAATGCTTATGAATATGAGGAGGTGCGAGAAGGGAGAAACAGGCAGCACTGGCCGAAGGATCCAACTCTTATTTCTTGAGAAGCCTCACTACTGCCCTCCTCCTTCTCTCTGCTCCTACGGTTCCCTGCCCATCGCCCCTTCCCCTTTTGGGTTGCCCCTCTGCCCAGGCCTGGAATGGGCACCTGGTGTGAACTCCTGAACTTGGGATGCCAGCCCTGGCTGATTTGCCTCCCTAAAGGCTCACTCCACCATCCTCTCAAGAGCTGTTGCCTTAGAACACTTCCTCCATGTGCTTACAATAAAAGGCATTTGAGAAGAAACCCATGGCTCTCCAAGATGACTCATTTCCTGGGAGGCATTGGAGCCCTGGGGTGCTGGTTGGGATGACCGCCTGAGCCACTCTTGCTGTTGCCCTTAGCACTTCAGCCTTCTCCATATTCTCCACCTCCAAGGCAGGACAAGGGAAACTGAGTCACCAGAGTCACAAGATCAGGCTTCCGCCCCACCTATCTCCCCCATCTTCTCTTCCCCTTTCCATCTGTATTAGACTCCCAGAGCTGCCATTATGAAGTACCACGCATTTGGTGGCTTACAACAACAGAAATTTATTCTCTCACAGTTCTGGAAGCCAGAAGTCCAAAATCAAGGCATTGGCAGGGTGGGTTCCTTCTGGAGGCTCTGAGGAGAGTCTGTTCCCTGCTTCTATCCTGGTTTCTGGTGACTGCTGGCAATCCCAGGTTTCCTTGGCTTGTAGATGCATCACTCAATCTGCTTCTGTCTTCACCGTGTGGTCTTCTCTGTGTCTGTCTTCTTCCCTTTCCTTGTGTTGTAAGGACACTTGATGCTGGATTTAGGGGACACCTTAATCCAGAATTGTCTCAACTCAAAATCCTTAACTTAATTACATCCACAAAGACTTTTCTTCCAAATAAGGTCACATTTGCAGATTCTAGGTGAACATATCCTTTGGGAGGAGGGCCATCATTTAACTCAGAACACCTCTTTTCCCCGTATTTCTGGAATAAGGTAGAAAACCCTCCTAGTTCCTGGAAATTGGCAATTGACAGTGTTAGTGGTTCCTGGAGTAGCCCCTTCCTGTGGATCCTACTCCTGTTTTTGGCTGGATGGGTTCAACTCCATTAGGAAGAGAGCAGGGTATGTGAGGTGGCCTCACTGACATCAGCAATAGGAAGAAGACAAAAGGAGGAGATAGGTAAATCATAAGCAACACAAGAATCCTGCAACGTGAGGACATTGAATGTAGAGGAAAATGACTCAGTTGGTGCTATGCAAATGAGAACCAAGGTTATTTAATGACAACCAATGCTCATTGGGATGATCCTGGTCCACTGAGAAAACTTCAAGTCAGGGATCAACAACCGATATGGGCCAGGGATGGGGACATATGTTGGCCTCGAGAACTTATGCATCATTCAAAGAAGGCAGCTAACATTTAGCTCACCCACCCATTGCTATGACAACATAAGTCTAGTTGCTAGATAATTTTCTCAAGAGAAGCTGGAAATATGGGGCTCCATGCAAACTCCCCCAGTTTTTATATTTATTTATTTATTTGAGACAGAGTCTCGCTCTGTCGCCCAGGCTGGAGTGTAGTAGCATGATCTCTGCTCACTAAAAACTCCACCTCCCAGATACAAGTGATTCTCCTGCCTCAGCCTCCCAAGTAGCTGGGATTACAGGCGCCCGCCACCATGCCTGGCTAATTTTCATATTTTTAGTAGAGATAGGGTTTCGCCATGTTGGCCAGGCTGGTCTTGAACTCCTGACCTCAGGTGATCCTCCTGCCTCGGCCTCCCAAAGCGCTGGGATTACAGGCGTGAGCCTCTGTGCCCAGCTATTTTGTCCCCACTTTCTTACTCTGCCATGACTTTGCAAATGTGATTCCCACACCTGCACAGTTCTCTCTCTACCTGACTCATTTTGAAGACTTTGGTGGACGCCTCTTCCTCTGAGAGGTTTCCACAGCCCCTAGGCCTAGTGAGTCACCCTCTCCCTCCACCTTGGACTCTCTGCTCTGACCTGCCCTGGCATCCATGATCTGTGTCGTGAACATTGGTGAGTCTTTTTTCCCCACTGGCTAGGAAATTCCTTGAGAGCAGGGCCCAGGTCTGAGTCATCTGTGTTGCCTGCCCTGAGTGGGCAGTTAACAATGTTTGTGGGATCAATGGAAGGGAAGAGGAAGGGAGTGGTGTCACAAACAGCTCTCAGATTACTAGCTGAATCTTGGGCTCCAGGTATCTGGCAGTTAAAGCACAGGTCAATGTTATAGGGATGATCTTAGCCGGATGTGGTGGCTCACGCCTGTAACCCCAGCACTTTGGGAGGCCAAGGTGGGAGGATCGCTTAAGCCCAGGAGTTTGAGATCAGTATTGGCAACATAGTGAGACCCTTACTCTACAAAAATTTTTTAAAAAATAAAAAGAGCTGATTTTTGTCTAACCTAACAGAGTGTGTGCAAAGGTGAGGGTCTGAATATGTGTGAGTACTTGAGAATGTGTGAATGTATGTATGAAGTGTATGAGTGTGGATATACATGTGTGTGTGTTTGAGACGGAGTCTCGCTGTGTCGCCCAGGCTGGAGTGCAGTGGTGCGATCTTGGCTCACGGCGACCTCTTCCGCTGGGTTCAAGCTATTCTCCTGCCTCAGCCTTCTAAGTAAGTAGCTGGGTCTACAGGTGTGTACCAGCATGCCCCGCTAATTTTTGTATTTTTAGTAGAGACGGGTTTCACCATGTTGGCCAGGCTGGTCTCGAACTCCTGACCTTCAGTGATCCACCTGCCTTGGCCTCCCAAAGTGCTGGGATTACAGGCATGAGCCACCGCACCTGGCCTTATTTCTGTAGTATGTATGTACATAGGTGCATGAGCATGAGTATTCGTGTGTGATGGTGGGATGTGTGAATGAGTATGTGTTTGAAGGTTTGTATGGATGTATCTGTAGGTGTAAACATGTTCACTGAATGGAACTCCATGGGAGCAGGGACTTTGTCTTGTCCTGTTTTTTTGTCCTTGCCTCTAGCACACTCAAATGAACATGTCTGGCATGGGGGTTGCAGCAGGGAGCATGATTGCAGGAAGGGTAGCCCAGTGGTTACCAGCAGCGACTCTGGAGTCAGACAGCATTGGTGCTTCCTAACTGTGGGCAAATCAACCACTAGGAGCCTCAGTTTTTCCATGTGTTAAATGGGTACCTACCTTATAGGGTAGCATCTATAAAGTAGGGCAACATCTACCTTACAGGGAAGTTCAAAGAGCTTAGAATTGTGTGTGGAGCATTGGATATAATAAATTTGGACTAGTATCATTATCCTGGGTGTCACTGTCAACACCCAGCAGTCCCAACAATGTGGCTTATGCCTGTAGTCCCAGCACTTGGGAGGCCGAGGTGGAAGGATTGCTTGACCCCAGGAGTTTGAGACCAGCCTGAGCAACATAGTGAGACTTTGTCTCAAAAAAAAAAAAAAAAAAAAAAAAAAAAAGCTGGATGTGGTGATGCATGCTTGTAGTCCCAGCTACTGGGGAGGCTGAAGCAGGAGGATTGCTTGAGCTCAGGAGTTTGAGGCTACAGTGATCTCTGATGGTGCCATAGCATTCCGGCCTGAACAAGAGTGACACCCTGGCTCAACAAAACAGAACAGAACAAAAACATCCCGACAAATGCTTCCAAGGGCTAAAGCCCCTTCAAAACAAGTCCAAAGACCACTTACTAGCAACATTCATTGCTCTTCTCTGAACCTCAGTTTCTTCCTATGGGAGGGAGCGATAAGCTGTACTTTGCTTTCTCCCAGGGCAGCTGGGAGGTTATCATCACAGCGCTCCAAATCCTGCCCCTGGAGGGAAGAGTTTGCACTGCAGCAGTCTGAAGCCAAAGCTGGGAGCAGGGTGCCCTCTCCTGGCACAGTGGAGTCAAGGGCGACTCCAGCTGCAGGGCACAGGCTGACCTCGGAGGTCCAGGGGTGCTATCCGCAAAGGAAGGTGGGCAAAATGGAGCCGTCTGGGGAGGGCACCTTACAGCTCCCTACTCTTGCAGCGTGGAGCCCGTGCTCCCTTTCTGTGGACTGAGCTCCTCTGCCTCAGATCTCGCTCCAAGGACGTCTCCCACCCTGCCCCCGCCCCGTCAG
This sequence comes from Homo sapiens, assembly GCF_000001405.40. Taxonomy (NCBI): domain Eukaryota; kingdom Metazoa; phylum Chordata; class Mammalia; order Primates; family Hominidae; genus Homo; species Homo sapiens. The sequence continues at coordinate 34,312,601 of NC_000020.11, read as the reverse complement.
ACTGGACCAACCCCCCACTCCTCCCCATTACAAGTTCTCAGAGTGTTCCTTTTGCTTTTCTATCATCTGAGAAATGAAGGGCAGGGGCAGAACCCCTGGCTGTGTGACTCCTAAGGTCCCTGGACGAGGCTCTTAGCAAATATTAGGATAAAAGGGGCGTGGAAGCTCAGACAAGGCTGGGAAGTGAACCCAGAGGCCATCCAGCCCCACTGGGGAACGATCCAGCCTCAGCGGGGGACGTCAGAGACCTGGATTAGGGGACTCCCTGGCTCCACCCTGAGGAGAGCCAGGACTGTGGGCTGAAGCCAAGGGGCACCACAGCGTGGGTTCCGGGGCAGACATCTGGGAACATTAATTCATTCCCAAATATTGTGTGCAGTCTGTGTGCCAGGCACTGAGCTGGACCCTGGGGACACAGCAGCTGGCAAAGCCATACAGGTTTCTGTCCCTCCTGGAAGTAATGGGACAGGCACATAATCAGATGATTTCGATATAATGATATAGAACCACACCACCTCACATCCCCCTTTCGGGGTGCCTCTTAAAGCCTGTCGCTTAGAGATGGCCCGCGGCTAGGGAGGGGCGCTCTCTTATATTCTACGAGTCTGGAGGGCTCCCCCAACGGAAGAAACCCGCGGATGGGTGGGCCGGCAGCTCCTGGGACGCCCGACTCACAGCGGAGCCGCGTGGGATGAGAAGGATTGAGGGAGAGAGGGGGGCCCTGTCCCAGGGTCTCTAAGAAGTCCCCCACCTCTGTACTCCCCAGCCCAGCGGTGACTTCGAGGTGGGCCCAGGGGGCCTGGAGGGAGGGGCGTGGATACAGCGGGAAAGGAGAGACCCCTAGCGGGGTGGACAAGAAGGGAGGAACTCCACAGAACTGCTTAATCCGGCTCCATCCCCATCAGCGGGCTTTCTCAGCGCCTGCACCCCTCTCTATCCCATCTCGAAGCCTCCAGTTAATCCAGAGTGAGACGCAGGACCGCCGGGAGGCGAGCGGGGATGCTGAAGCTAGGGCAGGCTAAAGCCCCGCGGCCAAAGGGCAGGCTTGTGCGCCCTCCGCCCCCTCTCCGCCCCCTCTCCGCCCCTCCGCGCCCAGGACCTAATTGTTTGCAAAAGCAAACACGGAAAAGGCAGGTACAAAGGTCGGGAGGAGGGACCGGGACCTGCTTCTGCCTGGGGTTTCGACCTTCCCGCCAGAAGCTCCACTGGGGCCTGGACCTGGAGAAGGGACATCAACAGTTAACGTCCAGGGCAGCTTTCAGCGGCGTGGGCGGGGATCCCCAGGGAAGCACTGTTAGCAGTTTCTTGTACATCCAGCCTGGTATATTTTCTGCATGTATAGGCAAATACCTGTTTGTGTGTTCTTTTCTTTCTTTTACATAAATAATCGCATACTAGGCGCACCGTTCTGCACTTTGCTTTTTGTCCTTCATTATATGTTTTGTTGTTGGTTTTGTTGTTGTTGTTGTTTTGTTTGTTTTTTAGACAGAGTCTCACTCTGTTGCCCAGGCTAGAGTGCAGTGGCACAATCTCGGCTCACTGCAACCTACCGGGCTCAAGCGATTCTCCTGCCTCAGCCTACTGAGTAGCTGGGATTACAGGTGTGTGCCACCACGCCCGCCTAATTTTTGTATTTTTAGTAGAGATGGGATTTCGCCATGTTGGCCAGGCCGATCTCGAACTCCTGACCTCAGGTGACCCGCCCGAATCAGCCTTCCAAAGTGCTGGGATTACAGACATGAGCCACCACGCCCGACTGTCGTTTTTTTAAAATACGGACAGGGTCTCGCTTTGTTGCCCAGGCAGAGTGCAGTGGCGCTTAGGCCTCAGGCTTGGGCCATCGCACTGGGCCACCATATCTTGAAGATCATTCTATATTGTTAGATAAACAGCTCATTTAAACAAAAAAATGGCTATCTGCATATTCCATCATGTGGACTGTACCAATATTTATTTAACAAGTCTTCCATGGAAGGACAGTCTTTTGTTCTTAACGTCATTTTGCTCATGTGTACAAACATCTTTGGAATAAATTCCTAGAAGTGGAACTGCTTGGTCAAAGGGCATGCGGGTTTGTAATCTTGTTAGTTATTACCAGAGTGTTGTTCATTAAGGTTGTGCCAATGTACAATCCCAAAACCAAAGTATGAGGAGGCCTGTTTCCCCACACTCTTACCAATAGTATGTTATTAAACTGTAAACTTTTTATCCATGTGATAGTAAACTTAAAAATAAAATTAATCAGCCGGGCATGGTGGCTCACGTCTGTAATCCCAGCACTTTGGGAGGCCAAGGCAGGTGGATCACGAGGTCAGGCGTTCAAGACCAGCCTGGCCAACATAGTGAAACCCCATCTCTATTAAAAATAAAAATAAAAATAATTAGCTGGGCGTGGTGGCAGGCGCCTGTAATCCCAGCTACTTGGGAGGCTGAGGCAGGAGAATCGCTTGAACCTGGGAGGTGGAGGTTGCAGTGAGCCAAGATCGCGCCACTGCATTCCAGCCCGGGTAACAGTGTGAGACTCTGTCTCAAAAAAAAAATTCATCATTCAATTTCCCCAAGCCACATAGGGAGCCTGGACTTTCACCCCCAACCTGGCACTAAGAAGGCACCCCTCCACCTCCATGGTTCTTCTATTGTTTCCTTCCTTCCCTTCCCTCCCTCCTTCCCTTCCTTCCTTCCTTCTTTCCTTCCTTCCTCCCTCCCTCCTTCCCTCCCTACCTCCTTTTCTCCCTCCCTCCTTCCTTCTGTCCTGCTCCTCCTCTCTCTTTTCTTTTCTCTTTTTTCTTTCTTTAATTAATTAATTCACTTATTTATTTTGAGACAGAGTCTTGCTCTTGTAGCCCAGGCTGGAGTGCAATGGCACGATCTCGGCTCACTGCAGCCTCCCCTTCCTGGGTTCAAGCGATTCTCCTGCCTCAGCCTCCCAAGTAGCTGGGATTACAAGTGCCTGCCACCACGCCCGGCTAATTTTTGTATTTTTAGTGGAGACAGGGGTTTCCTCTTGAAATCCTGACCTTGTGATCTGCCAGCCTCGGCTTCCCAAAGTGCTGGGATCACAGGCATGAGCCACTGTGCCTGGCCTAATTTTTTATTTTAAGAGAGGAGGTCTTGCTGTTAATATATTGCTCGGGCTGGCCTTGAATTCCTGGGCTCCAGCGATCCTTCCAACTCACAAGTAGCTGAAGTTACAGGGCGCACCAAAACTCCTGGCTCATTTTCATTATTAATGATAAAAGGTCAATCCACTAAGAAAACATAGCACTCCGAAGTGTGTATGTATGGAAAACAGAGCTGCAAAATATGTGAAGCAAAAACTAATAGATAGAAATAGATAAATCCGGCCAGGCGTGGTGGCTCACGCCTGTAATCTCAACACTTTGGGAGGCCAAGGCAGGTGGATCACTTCAGGTCAGGAGTTCGAGACCAGCCTGGCCAACATGGTGAAACCCTGTCTCTACTAAAAATACAAAAATTAGCCGGGTGTGGTGGTGCATGCCTGTAATCCCACTTATTTGGGAGACTGAGGCAGGAGAATCACTTGAACTCAGGAGGCGGAGGTTGCAGTGAGCTGAGAGTGTGCCACTGTACCCTAGCTTGAGCAGCAGAGGGAGACTCCATCTCAAAAAAAAAAAAAAAAAAAAAATTGGCCAGGCGCAGTGGCTCACGCCTGTAATCCCAGCACTTTGGGAGGCCGAGGCAGGCAGATCACCTGGGCTCAGAAGTTCAAGACCAGCCTGACCAACATGGTGAAACCCCGTCTCTACTAAAAATATAAGAATTAGCTGGGCATCGTGGTGGGTGCTTGTAATCCCAGCTACTCAGGAGGCTGAGGCAGGAGAATCGCTTGAACCCGGGAGGCGGAGGTTGCAGTGAACAGAGATCGCACCACTGCACCCCAGCCTGGGTGACAGAGCAACTCTCTGTGTCAAAAAAAAAAAAAAAATTGCCAAATTAATTACCCTTCAGAAATTTGGTTCCTAGTCTTGATACTCTCCAAAATTGGGTATAATTATGGATTTCAAATACTTAAAAAAAATTTTCTTTTTCTTTAGACAGAGTCTCTCTCTGTCACCAAGTCTGGAGTGCAGTGGCATAATCTTGGCTCACTGCAACCTCCACCTCCCAGATTCAAGCAACTGTCCTGCCTCAGCCTCACAAGTAACTGGGATTACAGGTGCATGCCACCATGCCCGGCTAATTTTGTATTTTTAGTAGAGATGCGGTTTTGCCATGTTGGCCAGGCTGGCCTTGAACTCCTGACCTCAAGTGATCCACCTGCCTTGGCCTCCCAAAGTGCTGGGACTATAGGCCTGAGCCACCACACCTGGCCAAATCTTTTAAAATTTAACAGGTACTATTCACAATAGCAAAGACATAGAGTCAACCTAAATTCCCATTAATGGTAGACTGGATAAAGAAAACGTGGTACATATACACCATGGAATACTATGCATGCATAAAAAAGAACAAGATCATGTCCTTTGCAGGAACATAGATGCAACTGGAGGCCATTATCCTTAACAAACTAACCCAGGAACAGAAAACCAAATACAGCATGTTCTCACTTATAAGTGGAAGCTAAATAATGAAAACACATCAACAGAGAGAGGGAACAATGGACATGGGCCCTATTTGAGGGATGAGGGTGAGAAAAGGGAGAGGTTTAGAAAAAAAAAAACTTAGGTGCTGTGCTTCGTACCCAGGTGATGAAATAATCTGTACACCAAACCCCCAACTCACCAGTTTACCTATGTACCAAACTGGCACAGGTACCCCTGAACTAAAATAAAAGTTAAAAAATTTTTTTAATTTAATGGGTGACAAAACTTTGCCATACACTCACCAACAATGAACATTATCATTTGTAATTAAACCTTTTATTTTGAGATAATTGTAGATTCATGTGCAGTTGTAAGAAAACACAGGGGGCTGGGCACGGTGGCTCACGCCTGTAATCCCAATACTTTGGGAAGCCAGGGCGGGCGGATCACCCGAGGTCAGGAGTTCGAGACCAGCCTGACCAACATGGAGAAACCCCATCTCTACTAAAAATACAAAATTAGCTGGACACGGTGGCATGTGCCTGTAATCCCAGCTGCTCAGGAGGCTGAGGCATGAGAATTGCTTGAACTTGGGAGGAGGAGGTTGCAGTGAGCCAAGATTTTGCCATTGCATTCCAGCCTGGGCAACAAGAGCGAAACTCCGACAAAAAAAACAAAAAACAAAAAACAAAAAAACCTCAGCATGTTGGGAGGCTGAAGCAGGTGGATCATTTGAGGTCAGAGGTTCAAGACCAGCCTGGCCAACATGGCGAAAGCCCATCTCTACTAAAAATATAAATATTAGCCGGGTGGTAGCGACATGCACCTGTAATCCCAGCTACTCAGGAGGCTGAGGCAGGAGAATGGCTTGAGCCTGGGAGAGGTGGAGGTTGCTGTGAGCCTAGATAGCAGACCCTGTCTCAAAAAAAAAAAAAAAGAAAAAGAAAAAAGAAACAAAGAAAACACAGAGAAATCCCAATGCCCTTTGCTCGCTTTCTCCCAATGGTGACATCTTGCAAAACCATAATAAAACATCTCAACTAGGATACTGACAATGATAAAGCAAGATCCAGAACATTCCATCACCACAAAGTTTCCTCATGTTGCCCTTTTACAGCCACATTTACCTCTCTCTTGCTCCCGTCCCCTACCTAATACCTGGCAACCACTAATCTGTGGTTCATTTCTATAATTTGGTCATTTCAAGAATATTATAGAAATGAAATAATATACTATGTAATATATTGGAATTGGTTTTTGTCACTCAGCATAATTCTCTAAGGATTCATCCAGGTTGCTGCATTTATCAAAGTTTATTCCTTTTGCTGAGTATTATTTCATGGTATGGCTGTACCAATTTGTTTAACTGTTCATCCATTAAAAGAACCTGGCTGGGCGTGGTGGCTTACACCTGTAATCCCAGCACTTTGGAAGGCCAAGGCGGGAGGATCACTTGATGTCAGAAGTTCAAGACCAGTCTGGCCAACATGGTGAAACACCGTCTCTATTAAAAATACAAAAATTATCCGGGTGTGGGAGCGTGTGCCTGTAATCCCAGGTACTTGGGAGGCTAAGGTACGAGAATCACTTTGAACCTGGGAGACAGAGGTTGCAGTGAGCCGAGATCACACCATTGCACTCCAGCCTGGGCAACAGAGAGACACTCTTTCTCAAAAAAAAAAAAAAAGAAGCTGAAATAATAGGAAATTGGCTATATCAATTGCAATATATCCATAGGCTAGAACATTCTGCTGCTAGAGAGGTTGCATAAGGCCAGACTAAGGTGCTTAGACCTTCTCCTGAGACCAGCAGTCTCCAAAGTTTTGTTCATATGAACTTAACGGTACAAATATTAGCAAATATCTCATTAGCTGATATCTCAAAGCACGATATACAGTGAGGATGAGAGTCATCATTAATTAATGAGAGGGCATGTAAATTCACATTTCTTTTTTTTTCTTTTTTTTTTTTTTTTTTTGAGGCAGTCTTGTTCTGTCACCCAGGCTGGAGTGCGGTGGCGCAATCTTGGCTCAATGCAACATCCGCCTCCTGGGTTCAAACAATTCTTGTCCCTCAGCCTCCTGAGTAGCTGAGTTTACAGACGTGCACCATCACGCCCGGCTAATTTTTGTATTTTTAGTAGATACAGGGTTTCACTATGTTGGCCAGGCTGGTCTGGAACTCCTGACCCCAAGTGATCCACTCGCCCCGGCTTCCAAAGTGCTGGGATTACAGGTGTGAGTCACTGCGCCTGGTCCGTAAATTCATATTTCAAAGTGTCTTTTTCATTGTTTTCTCAAATTTTATTACATTCCTTACAACATGGCTGACAAAGACCAGCATTCATACCAGAAAGAGACCTGTCAGCTGTGTCCTTTTCTACTTGTTTGCTGTGCTGGTAATTTTCACAGTATCTGGAACTTGCCATTTCTTTGCAGGAATATTTTGAAGCCATTTTTCTGTTCTCGTAGGACAACCTAGTAACATGATCCTACGTTTAGTTAGACTGACACGACTCACTACACACTGCAATGCACTGCAGAATGCTGAAAGGGATGCGTGAGGACCCTGCTGCCCACCTCCCAGGCGTGGACCCTCGTTCCCTCAGGAAGTCTCTGCTTGACATCGGCCCTCATGACTCTCAGACAGAGGTCAGATGTACAGATCAAGTGAGACCAATACATTTACTATGTCATAGAAGACCTTAATTCTTATTTTTATTTTTTATTTTTTGAGACAAGAGTCTCCCTCCGTCGCCCAGGCCGGAGTGCAGTGGTGCGATCTCGGCTCACTGCAAGCTCGGCCTCCCGGGTTCACGCCATTCTCCTGCCTCAGCCTTGCGAGTAGCTGGGACTACAGGCTCCCGACACCACGCCCAGCTAATTTTTTTTTTTTTTTGTATTTTTAGTAGAGATGGGGTTTTACCCTGTTAGCCAGGATGGTCTCGATTTCCTGACCCCGTGATCCGCCCGCCTCGGCCTCCCAATGTGCTGGGATTACAGGCGTGAGCCACGCGCCCGGCCAGAAGAGTTTAATTCTTTTCTCATTTTTAGGTTAAAAAATGAGTAGAGGCCGGGCACGGTGGCTCACGCCAGTAATCCCAGCACTTTGGGAGGCAGAGGCTGGCGGATCACCTGAGGTCGGGAGTTCGAGATTAGCCTGACCAATATGGAGAAACCCCGTCTCTACTAAAAATACAAAATTAGCCAGGCGTGGTGGCTCATGCCTGTAATCCCAGCTACTCGGGAGGCTGAGGCAAGAGAATCGCTTGAATCCGGGAGGCAGAGGTTGGTGTGAGCCAAGATCATGCCATTGCACTCCAGCCTGGGCAACAAGCGCCAAACTCTATCTCAAAAAAAGAAAAAACAAAATTAGCCAGGTGTGGTGGTGCGTGCCTGTAATCCAAGCCACTCGGGAGGCTGAGGCAGGAGAATTGCTTGAACCCGGGAGGTGGAGGTTGCAGCGAGCCTAGATGGTGCCACTGCACTCCAGTGTGGGCGACAGAGTGAGACTCCATAAAAAAAAAAAAAAATTCAGGGGAAAAAAAGCAATTAAAAAAACATAACTATAAAAATAATACAAATTACAAAACAACCATTTGCATAGCATTTACATTATATTAGTTATAAGTAATCTAGAGATGATTAAAGTGTACGGAGGAATGTGCATAGGTTATATGCCAATACTGCCTCATTTTATATGAGGGACTTGAACATAGAAGGGTTTTGGAGTCCACAGAGGTCCTGAAACCAATTTCCCCTTCCCATGCCTGGGATGACTGAATTATACAGCAGCAAAAATGAATATACTCAAGCTATATGCATGAGTCTCATAAATATAATGCTCACAGAAAAAAGCAAGTTGCAGAAGGGTAAATACGGTTGATATATAAAGGTGCTAAACACAGAACTATTTAATGATATACGGATGCAGTAAAAGTATAAGAAATGTATGCAAACTTACTTAAATTCAGGGTGTTGGTTACTTGGAGTAAGGCGAATGTTTGGGATGTCAGTAGGTACCTGACAAATGGCAACTTAACTTTGTTTTGGTTTTTTTGAGATAGGGTCTTGCCCTTTCGCCCAGGCTCAAGTGCTGTGGTGGGATGATAGCTCACTGCAGCCTCGATCTCCAGGCTCAAAAGATCCTCCCTCCCGCCTCCGCGTCCCAAGTAGCTGGGACCACAAGCGCGCGCCACCACGCCCGGCTAATTTTTAATTTTTTTTTGTAGAGTTCAGGTCTCACTGTGTTGCCCAGGATGGTCTTGAACTCCTGGGCTCAAGCGATCCTCCCGCCTTGGCCTCCCAAAGTGCTGGGATTACAGGTGTGAGCCACCGCGCCTGGCCTGCAACTTTACTTATAATAATCTGTGTGGCAGATGTCATTTGGCCCATTTTACAGATGAGGAAATTGAGGCACAGGGAAGTGAACTGGCGGAATTTCAGTTCCGCTGGGTTTTGACACTGAATCAACTGGCTGAACCAGCGAGAGGACGGCCCGGCTGGCTCTCAGGCCTCTCCCGGCGCTCCCTTCCGGACCGGTGAGTGAGACTCCTGGGGCCACGCCTTGTGAAATTCTGAGGCTTCTTTTCAGGGATCGAAATCCCCTCCGGCTCCGCCCTGCGCGTTGGGCCCCGCCCCAGCGGGTCATGAATATGCAAGTGCGAGGAAGATATTTAAAGGCGTCGGCGCCACGCGCATATCCCTGCTCGGCGCTGCCCGCCCAGTTCCTGTTCCCAGACTGAGGCCCAGCCCCCTTCGCCCGTTTCCATCACGAGTGCCGCCAGCATGTCTGACAAACTGCCCTACAAAGTCGGTGAGTCCCAGGACCTGCAGCCGGTTGCGGCCGCCCGGCACCCGCCCGGGGCTTGTTCGTGGCGGGGGCTGCAGGGCCGACTCGGGGCTCTCTGGACCCCCTGGAATCGCAGCCTCGGCGCGTTTCTGGCCGCGCGAAGCCAGCTGGAAGTTGGAGTTCTCGCGCGGCCATGAGCGGGCCGTTCCGGGTGGCCGTGGACTACAAGTCCCAGCATGCCCCGCGACGCCGGGGCCGCCGCGCGGTCTGCGAGCCGCAAACTGGCGGCGTGCTCCGCGGGAGAGCACACCTGGCCACGGCCTGGGACGGCTGGCACCTGCCGGACCCTGCTCGGGGGGCCTGCGCCCGGCCTCCTAGGCCTGGACCGGACCCTGTCCAGCTGGGCGGCCCCGACGAGCGTCCACCCCTCTCTGGGCCTCCTACAGGGACGGCGAGGGCACCCCGGAGGGTGTATGAGGAGAGGCCTGGAAAGCGAGCCCCAGGCCGGCTCCGATCCTCCTCTCCCCTGGGACTTTGGGCCAGTTACCCAACCTGTGGGGTCCCCCACCCCTCCAGCAGGGGCAGCCTTGCAGAAATCTCGAAGAAAATTTGGAGTGGTTTGAAAAATCCTGCTGTCCCACCGATTGAAGTGTAATACAGGGATAGTTAACGTTTACTTAGTGTTTCCTGTGGGATCGGCACTGCCTTCTAGCTTTATTCTAGTCTCATGGCTCTATAGGGAAACTGTTCTCATTTTATGATGAGAATCCTGAGGCAGAGGTAACTTGCCCTCAGTCTTACAGCTGGTGGTGATGGAGCAAGATTGGAACGCAGGCCATCTAGATCTCTGAGCGCACCCTTTCACCACTGTGTGCAAGCGAATACACGCGGAACAATCCTAGTGAATTTTCAGCAAAAACCAGTTCAGTTTGGCTGGTAGCTTTTCAAGTAACTTTGACACTATTGGACCGGGTGTGGTGGCTCACCCCTGTAGTCCCAGCACTTTGAGAGGCCGAGGTGGGCGAATCACTTGAGGTCAAGAGTTCGAGACCAGCCTGGCCAACGTGGTGAAACGCTATCTCTACCAAAAATACAAAAACTAGCTGGGCGTGGTGGCGGGCGCCTTCATTCCCAGCTACTCGGGAGGCTGAGGCAGGAGGACTGTTTGAGCCGGGGAGACGGAGGTTGCAGTGAGCCGAGATTGCACCACCACGCTCCAACCTGGGCAACAGAGCAAGACCCTGTCTCAAAAAAAAAAAACAAACAAAAAAAGACACTATTAAGTCTGGAGAATGCCATCCACATTTATGGAAACACTTGCTGTATATCTGGTGATTTACGTGTGTTTACACAATAATCTTCATAGAGGTGGACGTAATCCCGTTATATAGAGCATGAAACTGAGGCCCTTGGGAGGTGACTTGCAAAGATTCTGTTGAAGTAGTTCATCAAGTTGCTACCAGAGTAGACTGTCTCCATTGTGTGGATGCTGAAACTGAACCCAGAAAGGTTATGTGAAGGTCACATCAATAGTAGAGCTGGAATGGGGGCTTGTCATACTGTGGAGAGATTAGTGGGTCAGGATTGGGGCCATTGGGTTGTGTGGGTGGAGATAAAGCTGGATTTGGGGATGGGGAGCTTAGCTGGGTGGGGCTGGAGGAAGGAGGCCCTGCTGTATGCCAGATCTTGATCATATGGCATTATCTTTACTTAAGGCGCATAGCAAGCTAGGGATGATTATCCACACTTTACAGATGAAGAAACTGATGTTTACAGGGGCTCTTGCTGTTCCTCTTGGCTTGTCCTGGGGACAGGTGTTCCTGTGACTTTTGCAAGTCCTTAGCTCCAGAGATTGCAGCATCTAGCCTCTCCTGTGCCTTTGGAGTTGAGGGTCCCAGGGAAAACTGTGGGGCTGGCACAGTGTCCTCGAGGGCACTGAAGGAGTTATTTTTAGCTGGAGGGACATGTGGTGGTGGAGGGGTGGAGCTTAGCAGCACAGGGCATAACCCATTGTCCCATACAGCCGGGCCCCTCCCAGGAGGGGCCTTGAGAGGGGCCTCTGCTCTAGCCCTGCCTGGCTGCCAGTTCTGGTTCTGCGGTTAATTGGCTATGGAACCTGCAGCAAACTCCTCTCTGGGTCCTCTCTGGGTCATTAGTAAATGCTGGGACTCAGACTAGGTTCAGATTTGTGTTGTTTTTCTTTGCCACCCTTGTCACGTGCCAGCCCCTCTCATGGATCTTTCATTCAGTTCTGAGGACAGATATGGTCGGTAAACAGTTGCTGACCCCTTCTCTGAGCCAGGTCATGCTGGAGACACAAAGGTGACCCAGAGACAGGGGTGGCACAGACATGCATACAGATAAAGTAGTATTGTCTCCATTTTATGTGAGCAGATCTGCCACTTGTCTGTCTCCACGGTCACCACCCCAGTCTGGTCTCTCTCCTTGCAGGTCTCCCTGGATCTCTTGCTCCGCAGATCCACACAGCAGCCAATGGGGTCTTTTCAAAAGACAAATCTGGTCTCTGAATGCTGGCCCCTGAAAACTGTAGGTTCCCCACTTCACTGGGACTGAAGTCCCAACTCATCTTATGCCTCTATTTGAGTCACCCTGGTGCACTCTTGGTTCCTCTAGCAGGGATATACTAGGTTCTTTCCTGTTTCCAGGTTTTTTTCAGCACCTACTGTGTGCCAGGTACTGTATTAGGTGCTTGAGAGGAGCCTTCCAGGCCGAGAACTGCTTGGGTTAAAGCCCTGAGGTGGAAATGAGTGGAGCTTGCCTGAAGTCAGTCAGGAAGCCTGTGTGTTGAACAGCTAGTGAGTGGGGAAAGTGGAGAGATGGAGGAGGGGCAGGCAGTCATGCAGATAGGGCCCGAAGATTGAGGGAAGCCATTGGAGGGTTTGCTTGTTTAGTTTTGTTTACTTTAGTAGAATGATGGAGGTGATGTAACTTAAATTTTTAAGAGCCTCCCTCTTCTGGCTGCTGTGGGGAGAATGGCATGTTAGAGCATGGGACCAGTGAAGAGAGTGTGGCAGTGTCCAACTGAGAAGTGGCAGTGTATTTATTTCTTTATTGTTTTTTTTGGAGACAGAGTCTCCCTCTCACCCAGGTTGGAGTGCAGTGGTGCTATTTTAGCTCACTGCCACCTCCGCCTCCCAGGTTCAAGCAATTCTCCTGCCTCAGCCTCCTGAGTAGGTGGGATTATAAGTGCCCACCACCACGCCCAACTAATTTTTGTATTTTTAGTAGAGATGGGATTTCACCATGTTGGCCAGGCTGCTCTCGAACTTCTGACCTCGGGTGATCCGCCCACCTTGGCCTCCCAAAGTGCTGGGATTACAGGCTGTGAGCCACCGCGCCCAGCCTGAGAAGTGACAGTTTAGATGAAGGTGGTGAGATGCAGTTGGATTGCTTATATATTTCACTTGTTGAGCCAAAAACGTGCTGATTGAGGTGAAAGAGGAAAAGAGGAATCAAATCTTAAGTTTTTGGGCAGAGTAGCTGGTTGAATGGTGGTTTCATTTCCTAAAATGGGAAGATTGGGAGAGTAACCGGTAGTGGGGGCAAAGGAGCCATGAGGACTCCAACATGACACATAATAGATCCAACTGGACATCCAAGTGGAGGTGCTGTGGAGGCAGTTGGATCACATCGAGTCTCAAGTTCAGGGGAGTAGTTTGGGCTGGATATAAATACGTGGGAGTCATCCCCGTAGAGAAGGTATGTAAAGCCATAAGACTGGATGAGCTTAATTGGTAAACATAAGAGAACTGGGAGATGATGGAGCCCTGAGGGCCCCCAAACCCTAAAGTCTGTTAGCTAAAGAGGAACCAGGAAGGTAGGTGGAAAAGCACAGGACAGTCACAGAAGCCAAGTAAAGAAAGGGTTTCAGGAAGGAGGGCAAGTCATTCATGCAATCTGTGCTGCTGGTAGAAACATGGTCTTAGGTAATTTTGCATCAGGTATGGAGATCAGGCTGGTCTTTGGACGGAAGAGCAGTTTTAGTGGAGTATGGAAGTCCTTAAGGAGGAGAGGGGATATGGAATCAGGCCCCATGGAGCAGGGATAGTGTAGTGACCAGCCCCATAGGGTCGGTGGGTCTCTCCCTGTGTGCGGCGACGAGAGAGTGTAGAAATAAAGATACAAGACAAAGAGACAAGAGAAAAGGCAGCTGGGCCCGGGGGACCACTACCATCAATGCGCGGAGACCGGTAGTGGCCCCGAATGTTGGGCTGCGCTGTTATTTATTGCATATAAGGCAGAAGGGGCAGGGTAAAGAATGTGAGTCACCTCCAAGGATAGGTAAGGTCATGTGGGTCACGTGTCCACTGGACAGGGGGCCCTTCCCTGCCTGGCAGCCGAGGCAGGGAGGGAGAGGAGACAGAGAGAAAGACAGCTTACGCAATTATTTCTGCATATCAGGGACTATTAGTATTTTTACTAATTTACTACTGCTATCTAGAAGGCATAGCCAGGTGTACAGGATGGAACATGAAGGCAGACTAGGAGTGTGACCACTGAAGCACAGCATCACAGGGAGATGGTTAGGCCTCTGGATAACTGTGGGCGAGCCTGGCTGATGTCAGGCCCTCTACAAGAGGTGGAGGAGCAGAGTCTTTTCTAAACTCCCCTGGGGAAAGGGAGACACCCCCCCCCCTCCCGCCGCCGCCACTTCCCAGTCTGCTAAGTAGCGGGTGTTGTTCCTTGACACCTTTTGCTACCGCTGGACCACGATCCGCCTGGTAACGGGCGTCTTCCCAGACGCTGGCGTCACCGCTAGACCAAGGAGCCCTCTGGTGGCCCTGTCCGGGCATAACAGAAGGCTCGCACTCTTGTCTTCTGGTCACACCTCACTATGTCCCCTCAGCTCCTATCTCTGTATGGCCTGGTTTTTCCTAGGCTATGATTATAGAGCAAGGATTATCATAATATTGGAATAAAAAGTAATTGCTACAAACTAATGATTAATGATATTCATATATAATCATATATAAGATCTATATCTAGTATAACTATTCTTGTTTTATATTTTATTATACTGGAACAGCTCGTGTCCTCTGTCTCTTGCCTCGGTGCCTGGGTGGCTTGCCGCCCACAGGACAGCTCATCTATTTTATTTTATTTTTTTGAGACCGAGTCTCACTCTGTCACCCAGGCTGGAGTGCAGTGGCATGATCTCAGCTCATTGCAGCCTCTGCCTCCCAGGTTCAAGTGATTCTCCTGCCTCAGCCTCCTGAGTAGCTGGGATTACAGGCACCCACCACCACACCCGGCTAATTTTTGTATTTTTAGTAGAGACGGGGTTTCACCATGTTGGTCAGGCTGGTCTTGAACTCCTGACCTCAAGTGATCTGCCCACCTTGGCCTCCCAAAGTGTTGGGATTACAGGTGTGAGCCACCGCGCCCATTCAACTCATCTGTGGTAACAGGAAAGAGTGCCTGGTCTGAAGCTGTAGATGACTGCTATAGGTGACTAGTGGATTCCATAGGGGAAAAGTGGCCTGGTTCTGAATTCATCTCAGTGAATTGGGAAGTGAGATTGTCATTCAATGGGGAAAGGTGTTGGAGGGTTGAGGAGAGTAGAAAATGGGAGTAAATTTACTAGGAAAATGTCATAGGATTGCTGCAATGTGCTATGTGTCTTTTATGGTCTTAATAAATATGATATCTTGGCCAGGTGTGGTGGCTCACACCTGTAATCCCAGCACTTTGGGAGGCTGAAGCAGGTGGATCACGAGGCCAGGAGTTCAAGATCAGCCTGGCCAACATGGTGAAACCCCGTCTCCTCTAAAAATACAAAAATTAGCTGGGCATGGTGGCGAGTTCCTGTAATCCCAGCTATTGGGGAGGCTGAGGCAGGAGAATTGCTTGAACCGGGACCTGAGAGGTGGAGGTTGCAGTGGGCCGAGATCGCGCCACTGCACCCCAGCCTGGTCTACAGAGCCAGACTATGTCTCTAAAATAATTAATTAATTAATTAATTAAATATGATGTCTTGGTGGGGTTGTGATTGTCCTCCTGCTGGGTTCAGTGGGTCCGGTGCAGTGGAGGGTCGGGTTTAATTGGGCTGAGAGTTTTGCCAAGTGAGTTCTCAAAGGGAAAGGGGGTAGAAGGGACACTAGAAATTGGTAGGATGAATTGAATAGAGGTTCTCACCTGACAGGCCACAGCCTTGTTGGAGCTTGGCCTCTGGAAGGAGAAAACCAGAAAGATGAGGCGTGGCTAGAGTTGGGTGCTTGAAGTCCAGATTTCCAAGGAGAGCTATCACTGGTGATGGCCTACTAGGGTAGGAGGGCTGGGGTGGGTGGCTTGAGTTGAGGCACAGCCGGAGTGGTCTCTCATGCGGGAGGCGTGTTTCATCTCTGAAATTGTTAAAATGCACTGTAGGAAGCTGACTGACAGACAATTTTATTGATTATTAAATTCTTAGATTATTAAATTCTCTACAGAGTCCTTTGCCTCCCACCGCCTACCTCTTTGGGTGTTTGGCAGGATCTCAGCTTCCCTAAAGATAAAAATCACCAGGAGTCTTAGACCTGCTGAATCATATTTTCCAGGGGAGATTTACAAGCATGCCAGAGGAACATCCCTTACCGGGGAAGTCTGCAAACTTTGACCTAGGGACTGACCTAGGGTATGACCTTGGAAGTGGACCAGTGTGGTAGGGGAGAGTATTGAGATAGTGAGTTAGCTCATAATAATATCCTTCTTTCCTGCCTGAGAATTTGAACAAATTCGAGACATTTTAGGTGGCAGATAGCACCTGAAATACTTTTTGTTACTAGTAACCATGAAGCCAGAGGATGTAGATTAGTATTTTAGGTGGCAACACCTGAAATATTACCTTTTATTACTAATAACCTCAAAGCCAGAGGATATAGATTAATATGAAATCCAAATGATCCTGCTTATTGAACCCCCAGATTCAGCAGTTACCCAATCAGTTGCAGGCAAGGTGGGCCAGGGTAGGTTGGTCTCTGGAAAAGCAGAGAACACCAGCTTCCTGCAAGTGGGCAGGTGAGTGCTTGCTTGCAAAAAGAAGGGAGAGCTAAGCTGAGCACACCATTTTTTCCTCTCAGTTTTACTGGTCAGACAAGCTCACCCCACCTCCCCTGGGGCAGAGAGGCCAAGAGCATTCGTTATACGGATGAGTTCCTCCAGGTGGAAAGAAACATCAGGAGTGGGGAAGCATTTTTACATCTAAAAGGAGATCAAGGAACTGTCAAATCCAAAATGTTAGATAGTATTTATAAGTGTTGAATCACCGAGAGTGATGACTGAGAGAGGAAGATGGAGAACCAGCAGCTAACATCTTTAGGGAGTCTTTAGGGAGTGAGGAGTGGCCTGGAGGTTGGTAGGTGTCAGCAGAAAGGCAGGGTAGTGGGAAGTATCATGTGAGCTATTTTTCAAAGGGACGCTTCTTTATGTTGTAATTTTTGTGTCCCTGTGTGATTAAATGTGTTCTCCCACAAGTCAGAAAGGTGCAGGTAGGCAGGGACCGTGTCTTTCTTGAGTACTCTGGCTTCATAAATACTTGTTGCATGAGTGAGAGAATGCGGTGACAGAGTGCTAAGCCCTAGTGTGTTGAGTCCACACGTGGATCGGGGTCCATGCAGTGACCGCCCCTCTTGGTTGGTGGGATGAGGGGACTCACGGAACTCCCACCTGTTTCCTCCCGTAGCCGACATCGGCCTGGCTGCCTGGGGACGCAAGGCCCTGGACATTGCTGAGAACGAGATGCCGGGCCTGATGCGTATGCGGGAGCGGTACTCGGCCTCCAAGCCACTGAAGGGCGCCCGCATCGCTGGCTGCCTGCACATGACCGTGGAGACGGCCGTCCTCATTGAGACCCTCGTCACCCTGGGTGCTGAGGTGAGGCCCACAGCTGTATCACCCCAGAGTCCTTGCCCTCCCTGGGTTCAGCCAGGGAAGAAGACGACTGTGCCAGGGTGGGGACCTTCCAGGTGTGGAGCTGACCGCGGGCCTGGAGGGGTTCCTCCCTCTCACTCGGTTTCCTCCGTTTCCCAGTGCTGCCACCCCTTGTGGTGAGTGTTCTGCAGATTTTCTCCCTGGCTGGGAAGGTCACTGTTGGCTACCCTCAAGGCATCCTCCTGATGGATGCTCTGGCAGGAAAAATTCAACACCCATGTCCTACTTAGTCTCTTAAGGGCCAGCTTGCCTTGGCCCTTCGGGGGTCACAGGCCTACCCTGGACCCATCATGGCTGCTGGATGATGGCAGCTCTGATTGGTTCAGCCTGGGTCATGTGTGCCAATGATTAACAGCTCTCCTAAGGTCTCAGAGAGTCAAGAAGCAAGCTGGTTTCCCAAAGCAGGGTAGGGCAATGGAGCCAAAATCCACAGAGGGGCTCAGGGCTGAGTCCTTGGACCTCTTCTTTCTTTTCAGCATTCACTCTTGGCGGTCTGATTTTATAGCTTTAGACACTATCTGGTGATGACTGTCACATTTTTGTACTAGCCTGGACTTCTCCTGGAACTCAAGACTGGCATATCCAGGAGCGGGGGCGTTGACGCTCCCTGGAGGTCTAGTACTCATCTCAGGCAGAACGCGTTCAAACAGACTCAGGATTTTCTGCCCCCTCTTCTTCCCAAAGCCTTCCCCACCTGAGTAAATGGAACCTCTGTTCCAGCCTTCTGGGTTCTCTCAATTCACGAATCTGGGAGTCATCTCCTCCCCTCCCTTTCCTCCCCACTCCCAACTCCCTTTACTCCAACAACTCATCCCTCTGCAAATCCTGTCAGTGCAGCCTTCAGAGTAGACCCAGGATGTGACAACTTCTCATCATCTCCACTGCTACTGTCATATTTCTTGTCTGGAGTCTTCTCCAACAGTCTCTGCAGTTGTCCCCTTGCTTCCACCCTTTCCCTTCCACACAGCACTGGAGTGAGGTTTTAAAACCTGAGTTGGATCTCGCCCCTGCTCTGGCTCCCATCTGCCCACCCAGCATCCCCAGCCTGTGATCCTAGAGCTTGCTGTGCCTAGATCCCAAGCCTCTCCCCACTACCCGAAGCTCTCCCTTTTCCTCGCCCAGCGTCCCTGGTGCTTTTGAGCCATCAGTGACCAACAGCCTTGTTTTGATGGCTCTTCTAGGTGCAGTGGTCCAGCTGCAACATCTTCTCCACCCAGGACCATGCGGCGGCTGCCATTGCCAAGGCTGGCATTCCGGGTAAGTCCTGCTTGCTTCTGAGACGTGGAATTTGTGAAGGGATTCTGCCCTCTTTGCTTCACTGACTGCTAGAGCAACAGACTTCCTTACATATCAGAAAGGGAGAGGAGTCACCGCCACAAAATCCTAGCCCAGCGACCCCACAGGAAAGAGCTGCTTTGTCCCATCATCATCTAAAATCCTGTGGAAGTTGTTTATTGACCCAGGTCAAGCCGTGTAACCAGGAAGAGCAAGATCTTATGATTGGGAACTACATGATGAAGCGGAGGGGAAGTTCATTAAAGGAAGGATGTGGATCTCTTTCCAAAGAACTGGGGAGGGCTACGGGGCAGAAAAAGAGGTTCACTGCCTAGGGTATGGCGGTCTAAAGGACTGAGGAAGGACCAAGTCTAACGAGAATGGAGTTTTCACAGGCTGGGCACATGTCTGCTTGGACTTGGGGAGGGGAGTGGTTAGATCTGACCCAGTGATTAGGACATTCAAGATTGCTTCTAACCAACCACAGGTGGACAGGAGGGGGTGGCACAGCACTCCTTCACAGACTGACCAGGGCTGAATGGGCATGATCCCCATTCCTCAGCCTTGGCACCGTGGCTTTCTTCTTTTTTTTTTTTCTTTTTGAGACAGAGTCTTGCCCCGTTGCCCATACTGGAGTGCAGTGGTGCGATCTTGGCTCACTGCAATTCTTAAGACTATTGTCTGCTCCAGTTGTGGGTAGAAGCAGCTGGCTCTGCTTGGCCAGCGTCCTTTGCTCACAAGAGGCTCCTGGGAACCCCACACCTGTGCCCTAGTCATGCCACATGGGAGGAGTGTGGGCTGGTGGTCAGTAGCCCTCAGTTCTGGTGTCTATTCTGGAATTTCATTTAGAGTGGCCCAAGTGCGTCTTAGCTCCTCTCTGGGCATCTGTAAGTGATGATAATGGTCATGGCTGCCTCACAGGGTTTCTATGAGGAAGAATGAGATGGGGTATGGAGGATTTAGAGTCATGTCTGGCAGAAAGCAAGTACCCCACACATGGTAGCTGCTCGTAGTCATTTTTTGGCCAGACTTTGCCTGAGATTCCCCCACACAGAGGCTGCTAGTGCTCCAGTCCTTTCAGTGCAGAGCAAACCCTGGATCCTGCCGTGTGGATCCTGCTGAGGGGGAGGCGTTGTGGGGTATCAAGCCCTGGTCACTCAGGGTTGATGCCTCAGTCCTTGGCGCCCAGGCAGAAGGGGATGGGAAAGGAAAGAATGATTTCCTGATATCTATATCTGGGGCGGGGGGCTGTACATGGCTTCTGTCTCACTTAATCCATACTATTGTGAGCCCTATTTACAGAGGAGAAGACTGAGGCTCAGAGAGGTGAAGTGATTTGCCCAAGGTCACACAGCTGGCAAGTGGCAGAGCCAGGGTTTGAACTCAGATCTATCTGGCTCCAAGTTGTGTCCTGACCACTGCTGAGTTTTCAGAGGGGCCGGAGGTGGCTGGGGATGGGAGTTGGGAAGGAGGTAGTTTTGGCTCTGCCAGAGTTGTTCCCTGGAGCAGGTACCAGTTGGGAAGTCCAGGCCCTGATGTGCCACTCACCCTCCAGTGTATGCCTGGAAGGGCGAAACGGACGAGGAGTACCTGTGGTGCATTGAGCAGACCCTGTACTTCAAGGACGGGCCCCTCAACATGATTCTGGACGACGGGGGCGACCTCACCAACCTCATCCACACCAAGTACCCGCAGCTTCTGCCAGGTGAGCAGGGCGGGGCAGGTGGGCTGGGTGCTGGTGGCCTGGGTGGGGCCTGTTTGCCCACATGATGGCCGCAGGCCTGGCAGGACTCCCATCACCTCAAGCAGCAGGATCTGGAAGATGGGAGGATGGCAGGCTCTGGCATTCATGCTGGGGCCTCCTGACTTCTGAGGGTGCGAGGCTAGGGCAGCTGAGCTGATGGCCCAAGGGCAGGCACAGACAGGGCCATGGTTGGGAATAGCTGGGAGGGAGCCAGCTTTGTTCAAAGCAGGTACGCAGAGTGCAGAGGCCCTGAGGCAGGAATGGCTGGAGTGTTCAGGAAACAGAAAAGAGGCCCACAGGATAGCAGTGAGCAAAGGGAGCCTTCACTGCGGGTATGGTGTGAACTTCGTGAAGACCAGATGTGTCAGGGCCTAATAGGCCAATAGAAAAGTGTTTGACCTGATTTGCAGAGCAAGGGGAAATAACTGGAGGGCGTTGAGAAGATTTCTCTGAGAAGATACATGTTAGAAATGGCTGCTGCATGGAGGATGGGTTGTGGTAGGGAGACTGGGAAGAAGCGACAGGGTCACGGACTAGAGCAGCGGCAGTGAGAATAGAGAAGCTGGGAGTTGTTCGGAGGCAGAGTCACTAGGCCTGGTGGTGGCTTCCCTGTAGGAGGGCGTTGGGGACTCCTCCCTCACGCGGGTCTGGGTGATTGGGGGGCCTGTGGGATCAGTCACAGAGATGGGAACCCAGAAAGAGGAATGGCTTTAGGGGGTAAAGATGAGGAATTTGCATGAGCACAGGTGTGGCATCTCTGAGGCTTGTCCTGTCCCCTCTTGTTTAGGCATCCGAGGCATCTCTGAGGAGACCACGACTGGGGTCCACAACCTCTACAAGATGATGGCCAATGGGATCCTCAAGGTGCCTGCCATCAATGTCAATGACTCCGTCACCAAGGTGAGCCGAGGGGCAGTGACAGCTCCCGCTACAGTGGCTGCAGCTCAGGACGAGGCCTCTGAAGAAGAGTGCCCAGGAAGGCTGAGATTAGGGACATGAAGCCCTCATTTGAGGGGGCAAAAGCGGTTATAGACAGGCTAATGAGTGCGTTTAAAAGGGGTGTCAGAGCTGGGTGTTAGGAGCTTTATGGCTTTGGGAAGAAGAGCTTTCAAGTTAAGCAAGGTCTTTGACCGGGCAATCTCTCCTAGTAACTGATGCCTAGGAAGGCTCCACACTGGCAGAGAAAGATTAGAGAGAAGCTCTTTGAGCCGATCGGGGTGAAGGGCTTGTGGGGGCATTGGGTGCTGGAGGGGTTCAGCCCAGGCCGGGATGCTTGGTGGGCCCATGATGCCTGGGCTCTTCAGAATACTCTGAGGCCAAGTTGTCCTGGCCCCAGGGCCTTGCCTGCCCCTATTGTCTCCTTACCCCCTTTCCTTTCAGAGCAAGTTTGACAACCTCTATGGCTGCCGGGAGTCCCTCATAGATGGCATCAAGCGGGCCACAGATGTGATGATTGCCGGCAAGGTAGCGGTGGTAGCAGGCTATGGTGATGTGGGCAAGGGCTGTGCCCAGGCCCTGCGGGGTTTCGGAGCCCGCGTCATCATCACCGAGATTGACCCCATCAACGCACTGCAGGCTGCCATGGAGGGTAGGATAGGGCAAGGGTTGGTTGTCAGCCACTGGGGCCAGAGGGAGGGGCAAGGCCACCGTAGATGACCCACAGCCACTGTCTCTGCACAGGCTATGAGGTGACCACCATGGATGAGGCCTGTCAGGAGGGCAACATCTTTGTCACCACCACAGGCTGTATTGACATCATCCTTGGCCGGTAGGTGCCAGATGGGGGGTCCCGGGGAGTGAGGGAGGAGGGCAGAGTTGGGACAGCTTTCTGTCCCTGACAATCTCCCACGGTCTTGGGCTGCCTGACAGGCACTTTGAGCAGATGAAGGATGATGCCATTGTGTGTAACATTGGACACTTTGACGTGGAGATCGATGTCAAGTGGCTCAACGAGAACGCCGTGGAGAAGGTGAACATCAAGCCGCAGGTGAGAAGCTCCCGCCTTGCCAGTGGGCTGGGCAGATGGGAGTGCAGAGGAGTGCTGGCTGCCAGGGAGGAGAGCTGAGGAGATGGTGGCAACCTGTGCAGGGGGATGGGGAGAAGAGGGCCTAGCATCAGAGCCAGCCAGACGTGGCAACCTTATCCTGTGGGCAGCCGGCATCCCTGAAGGTATCAGGCAGGTGAGCTGTATGTGGTGAGGCTGTAGTTTTAGAAAGATCACTCTAGCTACTGTGTGCAGAATAAAAGCAACAATGGCGGGTGGTGGGGAGAGAGGCTTTTAGAGGAGGCTCGTAGAATCCCTGCAGGGGATGATGGCAGCCTCAGCTTAGGGAGTGCTGGGGTGGATGGACGGCATGTGGGGTCAGGATGGAGGCAGAGTAACAAAGGACACAGCTTTGGCCGGGCATGGTGGCTCAC
This sequence comes from Homo sapiens, assembly GCF_000001405.40. Lineage (NCBI taxonomy): Eukaryota > Metazoa > Chordata > Mammalia > Primates > Hominidae > Homo > Homo sapiens. Next base: position 34,289,900 of record NC_000020.11, on the reverse strand, counting down.
ACCTGTAATCCCAGCACTTTGGAAGGCCGAGATGGGCGGATCACCTGAGGCCAGGAGTTCGAGACTAGCCTGGCCAACATGGTTGAAACCCCGTCTCTACTAAAAATACAAAAAAATTAGCTGGGCCGGGTGCGGTAGCTCATGCCTGTAATCCCAGCACTTTGGGAGGTCGAGGCGGGCGGATCACATGAGGTCAGGGGTTCGAGACCAGCCTGACCAATATGATGAAACCCCATCTCTACTAAAAATAGAAAAATTAGCCGGGTGTGGTGGCGGGCACCTGTAATCCCAGCTATTTGGGAGGCTGAGGCAGGAGAGAATTGCTTGAAGCTGGGAGGCGGAGGTTGCAGTGAGCCGAGATCGCACCCTCGCACTCCTGCCTGGTTAATAAGAGTGAGACTCCATCTCAAAAAAAAAAAAAAAAAAAAGGCCAGGTACAGTGGCTCATGCCTGTAATCCCAGCACTTTGGGAGGCCTAGGTGGGCAGATCACGAGGTCAGGAGTTTGAGACCAGTCTGGCCAACATAGTGAAACCCCGTCTCTACTAAAAATACAAGAAGTTAGCCGGGTGTGGTGATGTGCACCTGCAATCCCAGCTACTTGGGAGGCTGAGGCAGGAGAATCACATGAACCCGGGAGATGGAGGTTGTAGTGAGCCGAGATTGTTCCACTGCACTCCAGCCTGGGTGACAGTGCGAGACTCTGTCTCAAAAACAAACAAACAAAAAAATCAGCTGGGCATGGTGGTGGGTGCCTGTAATCCCAGCTACTCGGGAGGCTGAGGCATGAGAATCGCTTAAACGTGGTAGGCAGAGGTTGCAGTGAGCCGAGATTGCGCCATTGCACTCCAGCCTGGGCAACAGAGCGAGACTCCATCTCAAAAACAAAACTAAAAACAAAAAACAAAAAGGGACACAGCTTGAATCACTGTGTGAGGAGCAGGCCCATGCACTGAGCTGGGAAAGAACAGGTTTGCATTGGGCATTGGGGCACTGAAACTGGAAGATGAGTTCTTATAGGGGGTGTGAAGTTTTACTTGAGTTGCAATTATTATGAGTTTATTTTTTTCTCTGATTATAAAAGTAGTATGTTTCTGGAAGACATTTTGGCTTTGGATATCAAGAGCTTTAAAGTTAAGCAACCTCTTTGACTGGGCAATCTCTCCTATAATTGGTCCTTAGGATAATTAAATATGTATGTAGAGATGTTCATCATTTTTTTTTTCTTTTTTTGAGATGGGCTCACTCTGTTACCCAAGCTAGAGGGCAGTGGCATGATCATGGCACACTGCAGCCTTGACCTCCTGGGCTGAAGGAGCTGATCCTCCTGCCTCAGCCTTCCAAGTACCTGGGACTACAGATGTGCACTACTACACCTGGCTAACTTTTTATTTTTTGTAGAGACGAGGCCTTGCTGTGTTCCCCAGGCTGGTCTCAAACTCCTGAGCTTAAGTTATCTCCCAAAGTGCTGGGATTATAGGCGTGAGCTGCCACACCAGGTCCACCACATTTTTTAAAGGGAGAAAAGCCCACCTATGTGAGGTTCTTTGAGTTGGTGCTGTGCCGTGTTTGAGATATGATAAGGAAGATACAGACACAGAGTTGGCCAAAGCCCTGACACCCACCCAGTCACAGCCACACCAGAAGCCCAAGTCCCAGAGAGGCAGACAGGCAGCTCTATGAACCCACATCCCCTACACTGCTCCTCTTGGGTGCTCTGCTCCTGCGTGGGAGTTCTCCTTGGCTAGGTCCTGCACTAGTCTAGGGTGTCAGTTCCCGGCTAGGCAGAGGGCACCTCCATCTCTGCCTAGAAGGCCTGGCACTCATCACAGTGTGGGGGTGGCCAGGGCGTGCTTCTGTGGCAGCCACACCCCTGACAGCCATCTGTCTAGACCTCCTTTTTGCAAAGGCATCACAGGTGAAACCTGCTACATTGGGGTGATGGGCACCTTTCTGCCAAGCTGCCCTCCAAAGCTGGACTCTATGCCCACCCTCAACATCCTTGACAGTCTTGCCAACCTTCTGCCCAACATTATCTCTTGTCCGTCCTCTCAAGGGCCTCTGTACTCAGGCCATAATTGACCACTCCCTGAATACCCACTGCAGCTCCTACTTCTGCTCATCTGTCCAGACAGCTGCATTTGTCTGGAACAGAACACATGCCCTTCTCCTTGTTCATCTTCTCAGCCCAGCTCAAGAGACCCCCTTCTGGCCAGGCACGGTGGCACACACCTGTAATTCCAGCACTTTGGGAGGCCGAGGCAGGCGGATCACTTGAGGTCAGGAGTTTGAGACCAGCCTGGCCAACATGGTCAAACCCTGTCTCTACTAAAAATACAAAAAATTAGCTGGGCATGGTGGCTCATGCGTATAGTCCCAGCTACTCTGGAGGCTGAGGCAGGAGAATCGCTTGAACCCAGGAGGTGGAGGTTGCAGTGAGCTGAGATCACACCACTGTACTCCAGCCTGGATGACAGAGTAAGACTCCGTCTCAGAAAAAAAAAAAAAAAAAAAATTAATAAAATAAAAAAGAGACCCCCTTCCTGGCCAGCTCCTCTGGCAGAGGCAATGCCCACACTCTTAGTACAGACCCCTAGTGCAGCATCCATCACTGGCTTTGGTCTCTGACCCCACTGTTGTACCAGGAGGGTAGAGTCCAGGTTGACGTGTCCCTGCAAGGGGCTTAGATGGGTATCAGTGAGTGCTTATTGATTGAAGCATCAATCAATGCCTGATGGGCATCAGAGACCTTTCCTTGGATCGGTACTAGGCCTCTGGAGCAGCTTGGAAACCTGGGCTTTTGGGGAAATGTTTGGGAGGCTGCCTGAGGGTGGAGGGATGGCAAGGGAAGAGCTGGGAGTGGGGAGAAAGCAAGTTTGTGTGTTCAGACAGCTGGGACAGACGGAGGACTGGGGCACTGAGGCTGGGGATTTCCATGTCACGTTCACTCACTAAACCGGGAGTTCTCAACCTTGGCAGTCACCTGGGAGCCACACTGTGGGCCACAGGAATAGGAGTCTCTGGGAATGAGGCCAAGGTATCTTTTTTTTTTTTTTTTTTTTTTTTTGAGACGGAGTTTCGCTCTTGTTGCCCAGGCTGGAGTGCAATGGCGCGATCTTGGCTCACCACAACCTCCGCTTCCCAGGTTCAAGCGATTCGCCTGGCTCAGCCTTCCTGAGTAGCTGGGATTACAGGCATGTGCTACCATGCCTGGCTAATTTTGTGTTTTTAGTAGAGACAGGGTTTCTCCATGTTGTTCAGGCTGGTCCCGAACTCCCGACCTCAGGTGATTCCCCCCGCCTTGGCCTCCCAAAGTGCTGGGATTACAGGCATGAGCCACCGCGTCTGGCCTGGGTATCCTCATTTTTTAAAGCTTCTGAGGTGATTCCAATGTGAGCGCCACGGCATTCAGCTTTTGCTAAGCTGCATTCAAAACTATTTCATGGTTATTGAGAACATGGGATCTGTCCTCAGACCGTCCAGACTCAAATTGCAGCCTCCTCTTAGTGTGTGGCTCTGGACAAGTGACCTAACCCTTGTAAACTTCAGTTTCTGAATCTGAAATGGGGATGACAGCAGTACTGAAATCACAGGGTTGTTTCTGGGATGAAATGTGGTAGTTACCTGTAAAGGACTTAGTACAGGGCACATGACAGTGATCATAACGATAACATTAGCTGCTGCTTACTGAGTGCCTCATATGCGCCAAGCAAGTGTGAGCACGTGAAGTTCTCACAGCAGAACTGTGCAGTCTGCAGCTCAGCATTTCTTTGTTGTTTTTTTGTTTTTTGTTTTTTGAGACAGAGTCTCGCTCCGTCGCCCAGGCTGCAGTGCAGTGGTGCGATCTCGGCTCGCTGCAAACTCCACCTCCCAGGTTCACGCCATTCTCCTGCCTCAGCCTCCCGAGTGGCTGGGACCACAGGCGCCTGCTACCACGCCCGGCTAATTTTTTGTATTTTTTTTTTAGTAGAGACGGGCTTTCACTGTGTTGGCCAAGATAATCTCGATCTCCTGACCTCATGATCCGCCTGCCTCGGCCTTCCAAAGTGCTGGGATTACAGGCGTGAGCCACCGTGCCCCGGCCAGCTCAACATTTCTTAATAAATATTGGCTGTTATTTTTGTGCTAAGCCATGTGCTGGAGGTTGTTTTGGAGCAGTTCGGACTCCTCATGGGCACTGTTGGAGGCAGAGAGGCCTGCCAGATCAGAGGGTGGGCTGTGGGAGCGGGGCCCTGCCTGCCTTCACTGTTGCCCTGCCTGCGTGTAGGTGGACCGGTATCGGTTGAAGAATGGGCGCCGCATCATCCTGCTGGCCGAGGGTCGGCTGGTCAACCTGGGTTGTGCCATGGGCCACCCCAGCTTCGTGATGAGTAACTCCTTCACCAACCAGGTGATGGCGCAGATCGAGCTGTGGACCCATCCAGACAAGTACCCCGTTGGGGTTCATTTCCTGCCCAAGAAGGTGGGTTTATTCTTCTACCTCAAGCCAAGGGTCACGTGTCTAATCCTGGGATCCCCACACAGGGCTTGCCAGAGTTTATAAAGTGCTTGCCTGTCTGCCCTCTTAGAGGCCCTCATGGGGTCCTCTACAGTGCAGAAGTCATTCTCCCCATTGACAGAAGAAGAAACTGAGACCCACAGTAGGGAGTGGCTCCCTGGAGCACAGCAGAGCGGCAGGACCAGGTGGTGAGGAGAGCCTGGGCCTTGGAGCGGGACACACCCCAGTTTGAATCTCAGCCCCACCACTTACAGGCTGTGTAATCCAGGCAAATTCTTTCTCTGTCTTCATTTTCTCATCTGTGAAATGAAGGTAATAGCAACCCCCTTCAGGATTGTGAGGATTTCCTGAGATCATGAACCCACACACCCACAGGGGCTAGGCAGGTAAATGAGTGATGCCAGCTGAACAAGGACTGGAAGAGCTGAAGGGGTAAAGGGCTGGTTGCCACCTAGGAACCCAGGTCCGTCTGACCAGGGCTTCTAACCTTTCAGGAGAGCCAGAGATACCAAGATCTCTATACAAAATGATTTTCAAATACAGGCAACTCATTAAAATTTTATTTTGATTTTGATTTTTTTGAGATAGAGTCTCACTCTGTTGCCCAGGCTAGAGTGCAGTGACGTGATCTCGGCTTACTGCAACCTCCACCTGCCGGGTTCAAGCAATCCTCCCACCTCAGCCTCTTGAGTAGCTAGGATTACAGGCAGATGCCACCACACTTGGCTAATTTTTTTGTATTTTTAGTAGAGACGGGGTTTTGCCATATTGGCCAGACTGGTCTCGAACTCCTGATTTCAAGTGATCCACCCGCCTCGGCCACTGCACCTGGCCTCATTATAATTTAAAAAATAACTGGGTGGGTTAACTTGGACATGTGTATAAGCTGAGTGCAGTCTGCAGGCTGCACGTTGTGGCCTTGTAATAAGATGATACATCCCTGGCCAGGCGCGGTGGCTCACACCTGTAATCCCAGCACTTTGGGAGGCCGAGGTGGGCAGATCATTTGAGGTCAGAAGTTGGAGACCAGCCTGGCCAACATGGTGAAACCCCATCTCTACTAAAAATACAAAAAAATGAGCTGGGCATGGTGGCGCATGCCTGTAGTCCCAGGTACTTGGGAAGCTGAGGCAGGAGAATTGCTTGAACCCAGGAGGTGGAGGTTGCAGTGAGACGAGATTGTGCCACTGCACTCCAGCCTGGTGACAGAGTGAGACCCTGTCTCAAAAAAAAAAGATACATCCCTAAGCATGGCATCTCACTATGGTTGTATGGTCTGCATACTCATGAAGATGAAGTCCTCTGACATGAAATCCAGTGCTCACCCTAACACCCCATGCAGTCCACCCTTCCCTGGGGTCAGGACAGATGTTTTAGTCCTGGCTTTTCTTGGCAGTTTTACAGGTGAACTTTGCTTTGTCCCTTACCCTGTCCAATCCTCAGTCTCCTTATGAGCTAAATGGTAAGAGTAGCTCTTGCTCTTCCAGCCTTTTGCTGCTGGAGAAGCTGTGATGGGGTCTACATACCATCCCTTCATCTTTTGAAAGGCTGGTTCTACCAATTGAGGAAGACGCAGGAAGAGGCCTGGGGCATCTGCCTCCAGGGCCAGCCAACAACTAATCTCCCTGGAGCAATGTCTTGCTGGACCAAACATTTTACTCATAAGGACCTCAAGGCATACCTTGTTCTGTGCAGCTGGTTGTGGGGTTGAAAGATTCTCACTTGATCCCCATCTAATCCCAGTTGGGAGAAATATGGCTATGAGTTTGGTGAGAAATTGGTCAGGCCTTTGAAATGAGGGCAGGGTTGGAAGTGAAAGAGGCAAAGCTCCCGCCTCAGCACCTGACCCTGTCCTTACCACTTTTCTTCATCATTGCTAACATGTGGCTTGGGGACAGGACACTCTTGGCATCATGCCTCACATGCTGTATGCAGGCAAGGGACTAGGTACCTTGGTCAACAATGACAGAGAAGGCAGCCACCATTTATTAAGTCACCTACTGCACGAATGACTCTGAGTAGCACTGATCTTTGTAACAGCCTTGAGAGATGAGTGATCCATCCATCCTGCGAATGGGGAAAGTCAGGTGTAGAGACCGACTTGCTCTCACAGATGTTAAGTATCAGGCCAGGAATAGAACCTAGCTCTGTCTGTCCAAGGTGTTGACCTTAGGACGTGACACACACCTTCTGGTTCAGGGTGCTGGGAGAAGGAAAAGTTCTGGGCTAGTCCGGGCCAAGCAGAAGGTTGATTTCAATGTGTACTGTGGGGGTTGGAGGCCATCGTTCTACCTCTGGAACTGACGTGGACTCAGTTCTAGGCTGGGCCCTGGTCCTACTGTTGCCCGCCTCTCTGCTGAGCACATCACCTTCTGCAGGCTCTTTGCTTCATCTGAAGATACAAGGATAAACCGCACCCATCCTACTTCTTAAGGGTGTTTGGGAGGCTCTAATGAAACAGTAGATGTGAAACCACTTGGGAATGTAAAAGCTGTGGGCTGAGCTGTGGTCAGAGGCCGCCATGCCATCATGGGACAGGATGGGGTCCCTTAGGGGTAGGGAGAGGCCTACCTCATGAGAGAGTTAGAGGCTTGCTTGTATTTAACTCTTGCCTCTGTCCTCCTCGGTTTCTGCATAATCTCTTCAAAGCTGCTCTAGAGGCCATAAGCTGGGATGCTTGAGACACATTTTGGGGCTTTGAAGCCAGATAGACCTGGGTTCAAATCCTAGCTCTGTCATTCACTAGCTTGGTGACCGTGGACACGTCATTTCACGTTTCTGAACCTTGATTTCCTCATTTTATAAAAGGAGGATGGCAGTGGATTAGAATCCTTTTGGTCACAAGTGATAGAAACACTATTCAAACCAGTGTATCAGTTATCTTGCTGCATAACAATCTAACCCCCAGACTTACTGGCTTCAAATAATAAATATTTATTATTTCAGTTTCTGTGGGTCAAGAATTTGAGATCAGCTTAGCTGGCTGCTTCTGACTCAGGCTCTTTCATGAGGTTGCGGTCAAGATTTCTGCCAGGGCTGCAATCATCTGAAGGTTTGACTGGGTCTGGAAGATCCTCTTCACATCGCTGTTGACAGGAGGTCTCAATTCCTCATGCATGGGCCTCTCCAGAGGGCTGCTTATGCATCCTCAGGAGATGGCATCTGGCTTCCCCCAGAGTAAGTCATCCAGAGGAGAGCAAGGAGGAAGCCACAGGGTCTCTATGAACTTGTGTCCAAAGTCACACACCATCACTTCTGCTTTCTTCTATTCATTAGAAAGGAATCACTCGGTGGGGTGGGGGGAGGCGGTGGGGATTAGGCTCTAATTCTTAAAGGAGTATCAAAGAATTTATAGATACATTTTAATCAAAAAAAGCAACCAGTTTAATCCAAAAAAGAACTTTATTCTCGAATCTGCCAGGCACGGTGGCTCACGCCTGTAATCCCAGCACTTTGGGAGGCTGAGGCAGGCAGATCACCTGAGGTCAGGAGTTCGACACCTGAGGTCAGGAGTTCAAGAACAGCCTTACCAACATGGTGAAACCCCATCTCTACTAAAAACAGAAAGTTAGCTGGACGTGGTGGTGCACGCCTGTAATCCCAGCTCCTCGGGAGGCTGAGGCAGGAGAATCACTTGAACCTGGGATGTAGAAGTTGCAGTGAGCCGAGATCGTGCCACTGCACTCCAGCGTGGGCGTCCGAATGAGACTCTGTCACAAAAAAAAGAACTTTATTCTCGGATCCAAACACTGGAAACCTAGGATTCCGTGTCATCATGGCTCTGTCCTTCTGTCTCTCGGATCTATCTTCATTTCACTTGTAAAATAGACTTGGAACTGGTGAGCTGAGATTGATAGATACCCTTCCCTGTTTAGGAATCCCAGTGGGGTTGGAGCACCTTGTCTCTGCCTGTCATGGAAAATATGTCCTGTGCATAGATCAATTCCAGAGAAGCATTTTGGTTAGCTGCTTGAGTTGAAGAATGAGGAAGGAGATGTGATTGATGGTCCTGTCAAGCCACATGTAGGGGAGGGTGTGGCATGGTTCCCTTTTGAGGGGGGCTGGGCAGCCAAAACAACACATTAACTGAGGCTGGGTGTGAGGATAGAAAGAGTTAACATGAGTACCACACATGGCAGAAACCCTAACAGAACACTTCTGCCTCTATTGGCAGCCAGACGCGTGTAGGGGTCCCAGAAAATGGCACTGATTCCCGGTCTTCCTTTGTTTCTCCCCAGCTGGATGAGGCAGTGGCTGAAGCCCACCTGGGCAAGCTGAATGTGAAGTTGACCAAGCTAACTGAGAAGCAAGCCCAGTACCTGGGCATGTCCTGTGATGGCCCCTTCAAGCCGGATCACTACCGCTACTGAGAGCCAGGTCTGCGTTTCACCCTCCAGCTGCTGTCCTTGCCCAGGCCCCACCTCTCCTCCCTAAGAGCTAATGGCACCAACTTTGTGATTGGTTTGTCAGTGTCCCCCATCGACTCTCTGGGGCTGATCACTTAGTTTTTGGCCTCTGCTGCAGCCGTCATACTGTTCCAAATGTGGCAGCGGGAACAGAGTACCCTCTTCAAGCCCCGGTCATGATGGAGGTCCCAGCCACAGGGAACCATGAGCTCAGTGGTCTTGGAACAGCTCACTAAGTCAGTCCTTCCTTAGCCTGGAAGTCAGTAGTGGAGTCACAAAGCCCATGTGTTTTGCCATCTAGGCCTTCACCTGGTCTGTGGACTTATACCTGTGTGCTTGGTTTACAGGTCCAGTGGTTCTTCAGCCCATGACAGATGAGAAGGGGCTATATTGAAGGGCAAAGAGGAACTGTTGTTTGAATTTTCCTGAGAGCCTGGCTTAGTGCTGGGCCTTCTCTTAAACCTCATTACAATGAGGTTAGTACTTTTAGTCCCTGTTTTACAGGGGTTAGAATAGACTGTTAAGGGGCAACTGAGAAAGAACAGAGAAGTGACAGCTAGGGGTTGAGAGGGGCCAGAAAAACATGAATGCAGGCAGATTTCGTGAAATCTGCCACCACTTTATAACCAGATGGTTCCTTTCACAACCCTGGGTCAAAAAGAGAATAATTTGGCCTATAATGTTAAAAGAAAGCAGGAAGGTGGGTAAATAAAAATCTTGGTGCCTGGAAGAATTTTGAGCCTTTATTTTATAGATAATCCTCTGCCAACAATGTATGCCATGAATAGGGGGTTATAGTCGTGCTGATGAAGCATTCACGGGGTACTCTGCAGTGGAACGGCTGTCTGTGGTCCTTAGGCTTGAAAGAATGGGTAAAGTGAAGAGGGAACTCTTTCGTTTTTTTTTGAGACAGAGTCTCGCTCCGTCACCCAGGCTGGAGTGCAGTGATGCAATCTCAGCTCAATGCAACCTTCGCCTCCTGGGTTCAAGCGATCCTCCTGCCTCAGCCTCCTGAGTAGTTGAGATCACACCCAGCTAATTTTTTTTTGGTATTTTTAGTAGAGACGGGGTTTTACCATGTTAGCCAGGCTGATCTTGAACTCCTGACCTCAAGTGATCTGCCTGGGATTATAGGCGTGAGCCACTGTGCCCGGCTGTTTGCAGTATTTTTAAAAGTGCACTAAGTGGGGACTCACATTAAGTTCTAAAGATACAATGTCAAGTAAAACCCTTAAGTCACACTCAATGGCCCATGATCAGTGAGGCATGAGGGGCTGAAAACTGCTCACTCTGGCTTAGATGCTCATCAGTGTGTCCTGCCTGACAATTAATTCTTACCTTTTCTTTTTCCCTGAGTGCACATAGTTTAAGTTGCATAAGTTACGTGTGTATGTGATGTGACTCTGCTGTAAATAGTGTACAGACTTTGGTACTTCAACTATTATTAGTACCAAATGACAGGGCACCCACTCCCAACTGACCACAACACAAGTGGTCAAAACAGGCTGAGATCTTGCACACTTGGGTGACAGGCATGGTGCAAGCATCTTTTAGAGTTGTTGTTTTTTTTTTTTTTCTAGACAGTCTCGCTCTGTTGCCCAGGCAGCAGAGTGCAGTGGTGCTATCTCAGCTCACTGCAAGCTCCACCTCCCAGGTTCATGCCATTCTTCTGCCTCAGCCTCCCGAGTAGCTGGGACTACAGGCACCCGCCACCACGCCCGGCAAATTTTTTTTTGTATTTTTTTTTAGTAGAGATGGGGTTTCACCATGTTAGCCAGGATGGTCTCGATCTCCTGACCTCGTGATCCACCCGCCTCGGCCACCCAAAGTGCTGGGATTAGAAGCGTGAGCCACCGTGCCTGGCCTTTTTTTTTTTTTTTTTTTTTTTGAGACGGAGTCTCACTCTCGTCGCCCAGGCTAGAGTGCAGTGGCACAATCTCAGCTCACTGCAACCTCTGCCTCCTGAGTTCAAGCAATTCTCCTGCCTCAGCCTCCCAAGTAGCTGGGATTACAGATGCTCATCACCACACCTGGCTAATTTTTGTATTTGTAGTAGAGACAGGGTTTCACCATGTTGGCCAGGCTGGTCTTGAACTCCTAACCTCAGGTGATCTGCCCACCTCAGCTTCCCAAAGTGCTGGGATTACAGGCATGAGCCACCATGCCTGGCCTTAGTGCACTAAGTGGGGACTCACATTAAGTTCTAAAGATATGATGTATCTTTACATCATATGTAAAAAGGTATGGTCTTATTTATTCCTCATAGAGACTTGAATTCCCCTGTCTGAGGCTCTGAGAGGAGCCATAAGCATGAGCTGACTTTTGTATGTGGTAGGACTTAGACCAAAATCCAAGCCCCTTCCACACCAGCAAGGTCAGGTTTAGGAAGGGAGCCTGGATTCAGATTTCCCAACATTAGATCAGGAACTCTGGAACTGTAAACCAGAGGGCTACCCAGAGCCCTGCCTCAGTTCTTCTACTGGGGTGGCTGCTGGGACGATAACTTCACAGTAGAAAAAAGGAGAGGCTGCTGTTCTTCTAAGCCAGAGAGGTTGAACGCCTTCTGCTGCACAGCCGCTGCCTGTGTGTGCGCATGCTCCCTTCCCTCTAGCGTGTCTCCTCCTGGATGTGGGAAATGCTGTCAGAATGCTTCCTCCTGCCAGATCCCATGTAGCCCCCCACCTCCCTTCTTCCAGGAGTTCTGGTTTCTGTTATGCCAGCCTCTTCCTTTCCTGTTCGGAGGTGTCCTGTCAGTTCCCAGAACCTTTTGTTTCAGAAAACACAGCCCCTCTTTTCACATCTGGTCTCAGACTTACCTCTGATTTCAGGTCTGCTAATCTGTCACATGTGTGACACTGACCGGGTACCCACAATGAAAGATGATGTGTCTCCTGCTCCACCCCCAATACCCCAATACTCCACTCCTGATATCTGGGCTGCCCCCATCAAAGCTTCATGGAGAAAGAAGGAATTGGCCAAGGGTCCTGCAGTATCCAGGCCTAGCCCTGGTTGGATTTTTTCCAGGAAAGAGATGGGAAGATGAGGCCTGTGGTTGGTGGAAAGTGGCTGTTTATGGAGCAGTGGACTGAACTTTGGAAAGAGGAGCCCTGGGTCTGCTGCTGACTCACTGTGTTCCCCGCAGGGACAGAAATACCTACTTCAGATGGCTGTCTTGACGCTCGAATGATAGAACATTAGTGAGGAGTTTTTATGCTGAGTTTTTTTTTTTTTTTTTTTTTTTTTGAGATGGAGTCTTGCTCTGTCGCCCAGGCTGGAGTGCAGTGGCGCGATCTCGGCTCACTGCAAGCTCCGCCTCCCAGGTTCACGCCATTCTCCTGCCTCAGCCTCCCGAGTAGCTGGGACTACAGGCGCCCGCCACCGTGTCCGGCTAATTTTTTATATTTTTAGTAGAGATGGGGTTTCACCGTGGTTTCGATCTCCTGACCTCGTGATCTGCCTGCTTTGGCCTCCCAAAGTGCTGGGATTACAGGCATGAGCCACTGTGCCCGGCCTTTATGCTGAGTTTTAAGGGCTGTATGAGACACCAGGTGGTGGGAGGGAGCTGTTTTGAGAGCAGGGAATTTAGGATACTTAGGAAATTAGAAAATTAGAGAAGTCATAGGATCTTGGAACTAAGGGAGAACCTTAGAGTCCTGTGGAGCAGAACCCAGCATTTGTATGTGGAGAAACGGAGGCCCAGAGAAGTTGTGACTTATCCGGGTCACTCTGCAGGTCTGGGTGTCCCACCCGAGTCCATGTCAGGGCTCTTTCTGCACACCAAGCCCCATGCCCACCTCTGTGTGACTGGCTGTGGTGGGAGGGGCCTCCTAGGCTAGAGGTGCTGGGATCCCTTTTCAGTCCAGAAATAATGAGCTTAGAGGGTCTGGAAGTAGCATGGACTAAAACCCAGGAAGGATCCACAGGGACTGTTGATGCCAGTGAGGACTCCAGGAAGCCGGATCACGGGGACTGTTGATGCCAGTGAGGACTCCAGGAAGCTGCTGTTGGGACAGCCCTGCTTTGGGAGTCTGAGGTTCCAGGAAACCCCAGGAATCCGGATTCTCATCCCTGAGACCTACTCAGGACTAGCCCAGGGGACCGAGCTAGGAAACCTGCTTGAGGTGGTAGAGGCAGCCAGGGGTGTGCAGTGGTCCGGGCGGGCTTCGATCAGTTCCAGGTTGGTTGCTTCTCCAAACTGGCTCCAAGACAGGCATGTGGCTCAAGTTGGTCTGGACTCAATCCCGGGACTTTAGGACTTTTGCTAGAAATCTGGTGTGGTGCAGGAGCGACTCCAGGATTCACTCTGTGGGCTGCTTGGACTCAGACTCCCCCAGGACTAGAGGCTGCTTCTCCCTGGTGGGAGGAGTTACAACCTTGCAAGGGTTCTAAAGACCCCCGGGTGCTGGGTGGTGGGCTTTTCCTGACAACTTCCATAAGTTATTGGAACCTAAATTCACACTGCTTAGCATCGTAATAGTCTGATCAACCCTGCTCAGTGTTGTCATACTTGCCCTATTACCAGGGAGAGAAATAGAGAGGTGGGTGCCTCCCTAGAGTATCCACCCACACTGTGTACTGAATGCCCCTCCTCAACCTGTCTCTCGTGGGGACCTGCACCTGCTTTTCCTACTAACTGCTGGCTTGTATTTATTCCCCTAAAGCCTGTTCCATAACCCAGTGTGGTTCTTAGACTTGAGCAAACCTCAGAAACACCTGGAGGGCTTATCCCCAGTCCTGATTCTGTAGGTCTGGGGTGAGGCCTTATAGTGTGCATTTTAACAACGTCCCCAGTGTTTCCCAATGCTGCTGGTGCACACCAAGTGTAGAATTTGCCTCTGTGCCTGTTGCACAGTAGGTGGAGGTGGCAACTGTAAAAGAGACCCAGCTATCCTAAAAACAGAAAAGGTACTGTCTTCAGTGGGGCTGCCAGGATTGGAAGGAATGTGAGCCTGTAGCTGCTCCTTTGCCCCCACGAAGGCCAGCTTGCCTTAGGATGAAGCCAACACAGACCGGGTGCAGCAGCTCACACCTGTAATCCCAGCACTTTGGGAGGCCAAGGTGGGCAGATCACCTGAGGTCAGGAGTTTGAGACCAGCCTGGCCAACATAATGAAACCCTAGCTCTACTAAAAAAAAAATAGAATAAAAAAAAAAATTAGCCGGGCATGGTGATGCACGCCTGTAATCCCAGCTACTCAGGAGGCTGAGACAGGAAAATCACTTGAACTGGGAGGTGGCAGTTAGAGTGAGTTGAGATCACACACTGCACTCCAGTCTGGGGGACAGAGCAAGGGCTCATCTCAAAAAAAAAAAAAAGAAAGATATAAAGCCAACACAATTGAGAGAGAGTGACACATTCCAGAGAATATTTGAGTAGCTGAATCTAGACATGTTTTACACTAACTGGATCTAGCCCCTTTTTAGTGAAATGAACCCCCCAGAAAGTTACCTTCTTTCCCTAAACCCATCTCAATAGGTTGCTGTCTGACAATTCTGAGTCTCGCTGTAGTGGAGAAGACATTGAAGACACCAGGTTATAGAAAAACAACAGAGAAAAGAAAACAGAGGGCCGGGTGTGGTGACTCATGCCTGTAATCCCAGCACTTTGGGAGGCCGAGGCAGGCAGATCACCTGAGGTCAGGAGTTCGAGACCAGCCTGGCCAACGTGGTGAAACCCCGTCTCTACTAAAAATACAAAATTAGCCTGGCATGGTGGAGCACACCTGTAATCCCAGCTACTTGGGAGGGTGAGGTAGGAGAATCGCTTGAACCCGTGAGGCGGAGGTTGCAGTGAGCGGAGATCAAGCCACTGCACTCCAGCCTGGGTGACAGAGCGAGACTCCATCTCAAAAAAAAAAAAAAAAAAAGAAAATAGAGAACTTGGGCCAGGTCCCCTCCCAGCTGCACCATGAAGGGGACTGGATTCGCCCCCAAGACTGCCTTGTCCAATCCCTTCATGGTGCAGCTGGGAGGGAATTTTGCCCAAGGTCATACAGCAGTGAGGGGCAGTGCTGGAACAGGAATTTGTACCACCTGACTCTTTTAAAGAGACAAAGTCTCATTTTGTCATCCAGGCTGGAGTATAGTCACATTCATGGCTCACTGCAGCCTTGAACTCCCGAGCTCAAGCGATCCTCCTGCCTCAGCCTCCCAAATAGCTCAGACTACAGGCGCGTGCCACCACACCTGGCTAATTTAATTTAAAATTTTTTTTTGTAGAGATGGGGGCTCGCCATGTTGCCCAGGCTGGTCTCAAACTCCTGGGCTCAAGCAATCCTCCTGCCTCGGCCTCCCAAAGTGCTGGAATTACAGGAGTGAGCCACCATACCCCAGCCCCTCTTGATTCTTTATCAGTGCCCTATCCTGTACCTCTCATGGCCTCTTGAGTAAGTACTGACCCAAGAAAAGAAGATGCAGCTGCTTCTCTCCAGAAGCTCCACTAGTGAGACTACTCCCTGGGGTGGTGTTGACAAGGTCTCATTAGAGAGCTGGGGAGTCACATGGGGAGTCTGTTGGGTACACCTCTTGGGCCGAGTCTCTTGCAAGGTGTTGGCTCTACGCAGGCAGAGTCCCCTCTGCCTGGTTTTCAGTGGCCTGGTGTTTAAGGGCCTAGGCTCTGGAATGACATGGGCTGGATCTGAATCCCCATGCTGAGGTGTGAGGTCTATCTAGACACATTGCTTAACATCTTTGAGCCCCAGTTCTCTTATTTACAGTGATACTTAGGTCAAGACGTTAATTTGATAGTCTTGGTGTCATGCCTGGCATGAAGTAGCTGCTCAATAAATAATCACTGTTAGTATGGCACTATGATAACTGCAGACCACACAGGCCTCGAGCAGTGAGCAGCAGCCCAATATTTACTATTGCTCTGGTAGTCTATACAGCCATAGAGTCCACGAATTCTAAAGAGGAGCTCTGGAAAGTGTGAAAGCCTCTGGACTCCAATGAAGCTATTTGCTGGGCTCCCCAGGCAAAAAGAAGGCATAATAATTGTCAATATCATCATTCTCACCATTAGAAGGTGCCACCTCCCAGACTCTACAACTCGTATATCCAGCTGGGAGAGCTTCTATTTCTCTGCAGGCAATCAATTAATAGAAACCTCCTTTCTGTAATGAACATGAAAGCATTTGACAGTTTTAAAGGATTTTACCAATTAAACAAAAGTCATTCCTTTTCCTCCTTCCTGAACCCAATACCCGCTCCCAACATACACACCTTCTACTCCTGGTACATGGAAGAAGAAAGGGTAACTCGTCTACTCTAGACTCATCTTAAATTGACTACAGATGGTTTGGCTAATTCAGTTCAAATTAAATTCTTTTCTTGCCTATCCTGTCCTCTTCGCAAATGGGAATTGGCCCTTGGAGTTAAATTTCTTTCTAAAGTTCCTACTGTATGACTGGGGTAATTTCTCAACAATGGCTGGTGATGTTAGATCTGTGGTTGCTCAAAAAGATGGAGGGGCTGGCTGCAGCGGCTCACGCCTGTTATCCCAGCACTCTGGGAAGTCGAGGTGGGTGGATCATTTGATCACCGTTCTGGGATTACAGGCAATGAGCCACCACACCCAGCCTGAACAAGTCACTTTTGATGCTACCATTTCCATGTTTACAAAGTGAAAAGTAAATCAGTCAGAGTATATTAGTTGCAAACAACAGAAACAACTCTAGCTAGCCTGAGAGAAAAAAAAGGTAGAGGGTTAGTCTCCTGGAGAGATTTGGGGACCTCAAAGGAAAGATTATACAATGTGCCTCCAAAAAAAAAAAAAAAGGGTCACCACAAGGGCAAATGCGTGATTTAATGGGGTTGGGACTTTCAGCCCCATCCCCCAACCTCTGGGGAGGAGAGAGGGACTGAAGGTCAAGTTGATCACCAATGGCCAATGGTTTAATCAATCATGCCTACATAATGAAGCCTCCATAAAAACCCAAGAGGACAGGCTTCAGAGAGCTTCCTGATAGCCAGACATGCTGGGGTTCCTAGAAGGTGGCAGGCCCAGGGAGGACGCAGAAGCTCTGCACCCCTTCCCATACCTCACCCTATGCATCTCTTCATCTGCAGCCTTTGTAATAGCCTTTATAATAAACTGGTGTGTTTCCCTGAATTCTTTTTGGTTTTTTAATTTTTGAGACACAGCCTGGAATGCAGTGGTGTGATCATGAATCACTGCAGCCTCGACCTCCTGGGCTCAAGCGATCCTCCTGCCTCAGCCTCTTGAGTAGCTGGGACTAGAGGCTTGTGCCACCATGCCTGGCTAATTTTATTATTTATAGAGATGGGGTCTCACTCTGTTGACCAAGCTGGTCTTGAACTCCTGGACTTAAACGATCCTCCCACCTTGGCTTCCCAAAGTGCTGGGATTACAGGTGTGAGCTACTGCACCTGGCCTTGCTTCCCTGTGTTCTGTGAGCCTCTCCAACAAATTAATTGAGCCCAAAGAGGGTTGTGGAAACCCCAACTTAAAGCCAGTTGTCAAAAGTTCTAGAGGCTCCACTTTTGACTGGTGTCTGAAGTGAGGGCAGTCTTGGGGACTGAGCCCTCAGACTGTGGGATCTGATGCCATCTCCAAGTAGATAGTGTTGGAATTGAATTGGAGGACACCTAGCTGGTGTCCACTGCAGAACTGATTGTTTGCCTGCTGGTGGGGGGAAATCCCCTCTCATTTTGGGGTCACACAAGTCTGTTGTGTGTTGATGACTGTTGTGGTGGTGTGAAAGCAGAGGGAAACATGGTTTGAGAATTTTTTCCTGAACAATGGGACTGTCAGTCAAGGTGGACCACCCTTTCTTGGCCCCACATCAGGTGAATCAGCCTCTCCTGGGAATTACTTTGAATGGTCCAGTGCAAGGACTGAAGAGGTTGGAGCTGACATTCCTGTGGCTTTGCTTGGAAGACATTGTCCGCTTGGCTCCTCTAGCACCCCTCAGGGGCTATTTTTTTTTTTTTGGAGGCACGTTGTATAATCTTTCCTTTGAGGTCCCCAAGTCTCCCCAGGAGACTAACCCTCTACCTTTTTTTCTCTCAAGCTAGCTAGAGTTCTTTCTGTTGTTTGCACCTAAAATACTCTGACTGATTTACTTCTCACTTTGTAAACGTGGAAATGGTAGCATCAAAAGTGACTTGTTCAGGCTGGGTGTGGTGGCTCATAGCCTGTAATCCCAGAACTTTGGGAGGCTGAGGTGGGCAGATAGTTTGAGGTCAGGATTTTGAGACCAGCCTGGCCAACATGGTGAAACCCTGTCTCTACTAAAAATACAAAAATTAGCTGGTGTGTTGGCGCATGCCTGTAATCCCAGCTACTCGGGAGGCTGAGGCAGGAGAATCACTTGAACCTGGGAGGCAGAGGCTGTGGTGAACCCATATTGCGCCACTACACTACAGCCTGGGTGACAGAGCAAGACTCCGTCTCAAAAAAAAAAAAAAAAAAGGCTTGTTCAACGCCACACTATGAGAACTTTGGGCACAAGTTTAAGGCTATGCCCTTCAGGAAGAAATGATCCTGAATCAATCAGTGGCCACAAAGGTAGGGCAAATCTTCCTAGGTCAAGTTCACCCTATGTGTGTGAGACAGAAATAGAATGAATAATGGTGTTGGAGACGGCGGTCCCAGATTCTCACAACAATCAAACCATAACTCTGAGTCACAAATGTGAGTTTCAGTTCTGGTCATTAGACCAGCAGAGTTTTGAGAGGCCCAGGACCATGCTCTTAGCACTTTAGGCTTGAGGAGGAATTCTGAAAAGGAGAAGGAGGTGGGGCGTGGTGGCTCATACCTGTAATCCCAGCACTTTGGGAGGCTGAGGCGGGTGGTTCACTTGAAGCCAGGAGTTTGAGACCAGCCTGGCCATCATGGCGAAACCCTGTCTCTACTAAAAATACAAAAATTAGCTACTTGGGAGGCTGAGGTTGGGGGATAGCTTGAGCCTGGGAGTTGGAGGCTCCAGTGAGGCAAGATTGCACCACTGCACTCCCACCTGAGTGACAGAGTGAGACTCTTTCTCAAAACAAACAAACAAACAAACAAAAGCAAGAACTGGCTGGGCCCAGTGGCTCATGTCTGTAATCTCAGCACTTTGGGAGGTTGAGGCAGGAGGATTGCTTGAGGCCAGGAGTTTGAGACCAGCTTGAGCAACATAGCAAGACCCCATCTCTAAAGAAAAACCAAAACTGATAGTCTGAGGGAATAGACCACATATGCTAACAACGGTTCTAACCTCTAACAAGAGACAATGGCCATGGGTCACTGGCCCATAAGCTCTGTAAGGAGAGGATCCATATTGGACTTCTTCACCACTATGTCCACAGCACCTGGCACACACTAGGTGCTCAATACACATTTGCTGAATGAATGAATGAATGGGTTGGTCTTCCATGTGGTTGTCTGGACCCAGCAGCCAAGTGGCTTTGTTACTAATCGACTGAGTCTTTAGCTTTGCATCCTGGCCTCACCCCTGGGGGCCAAATGGTGCCTGCTTGGTGAACAGTGTCTGGAAAACACGAGGAGTGACTGCGGTATCTTCCCAATATGACATTTACTCAGCAGCAACTGTGGTACAAGGAACAAAAGGTTCTTGCCCTGTAGGACTGCAACCTAAATAACAGAAAACAAAACAAGCATCTGGCAGCTTTCCTGTGTGGGGGTGTGTGTGTTTGTTTCTTGTGTTAAGGAACAGAGAGGGAACAGGACACTACCTTGGATTTATAACAAGAACAGGAATGATTATTTCCTTTTTTTTTTTTTTAACCAGAGTTTCACTCTGTGGCCAAGCCTGGAGTGCAGTGGTGTGATCATAGCTCACTGCAGCCTCCAACTCCAGGGCTCAAGTGATTCTCCTGACTTAGCTGCCTGAGTAGCTGGGACTACCGGTGCATGCCACCACACCCGGCTAATTTTTAAAACTTTTTGTACAGACCGGTGGGGTGGCGGGGAGTCTCTCACTATGTAGCCCAGGCTGGTCTTGAACTTCTGGCCTCAAGTGATCGTCCAGCCTCGGATTTCTTTCTTTTTTCTTGTTTTTTTTTTTTTTTTTTTTTTTTTTTTTTTTTAAGACAGAGTTTCTCGCTCTTGTTGCCCAGGCTGGAGTGCAACGGCGTGATCTCAGCTCACTGCAACCTCCGCCTCCCGGGTTCAAGCGATTCTCCTGCCTCAGCCTCCCAAGTAGCTGAGATTTACCGCATGCGCCACCACACCCAAATAATTTTATATTTTTTGTAGAGACGGGGTTTCTCCATATTGGTCAGGATGGTCTCGATCTCCAGACCTCAGGAGATCCGCCCGCCTCGGCCTCCCAAAGTGCTGGGATTACAGGCGTGAGCCACCGCGCTTGGCCTCTTTCTTTCTTTCCGTTTTTTTTTTCCCCTGGGGAGAGGGGAGCACCTAGGAGGAAATGTGTGAGACTGAAAGGCTGTTCCTTTCTTCCTGGCTGGTCTGAATTTCCTGGTTTTGGAGGCAGCCTCGGGTGTTCCCAGGTTTAAAGGCAGGGGATAGCCTCGTTCCTAACCCCCAGGTCGGCAGCAGCGGTGACTGGGAGTGCAGCTGTGAGGCTGGGACGCCCGGGTTTCCTGAGCCCCGGGAGAGCAGCGCGGGACTCCGTGGCGAAGGGACCGAGAACTTTCGGGACCTTTACAGAAACAGCCGCACACCTTCGAGCAGCCTATATATATTGTATTTCGATTTTAGCCCAAGCCAGGTCTCCCTGAAGTCCCATCTCCTGGAACCTCCGCCCGCCTGCAGCCCTGGGAAGCCGCCCTGTTAGGGATCACCCGCCCGAGAAGCGCCCCGCGTCCCCGAAGCCCTGCCTGCTCGCGGCCGGGAGTGGGGGCGCTCAGCAGTTGAGGCTGAGCACGCGGCAGGAGCAGGCGCTGCGGAAGAAGCGGCACTGGCAGGAGGCGCACGGGTCGCAGCAGGCGGGTGCCGGCGGCTTGCAGCTGTTGCGGGTGGCCACGCAGGGCGCAGATAGGGGGGTCCGGGGCCGCACCACTTTCTTCATCGAAGCCTCCTTCTGCGTGGGAAACGCCGGGGCTTTATGAGCCGGCCACGCCCACCCCTCCGGTCCTCACCTCTGCCTGGGAGCTCCTCGGGCTAGGGAGATCCCGGACCAGAGGTTTCCCCGCTGGCTTGCCCACCGCCCACCGCCCGCTCCCCCAGTCAGATTCCCTCACCTCCATCCCCATCCAGACTTACCTGGCTCTTGCCTGGCCCTGGTCGTCTTCTCCCTAGTTTGTGTTTTTTTTGTTTGTTTGTTTTTTGTTTTTTTTTTAGACAGGGTTTCACTCTGTCAGCCAGGCTGGACTGCAGTGGCGCGATCTCGGCTCACTGCAATCTCGATCTCGGGCTCAGGCGATTCTGCCACTTCAACCTCCCAAGTAGCTGGGACCACATGTGCGCACCACCACGCTTGGCTAAATTTATTTTTATTTTATTTTCTATGTTTTTATAGACGGGGTCTCACTTATTGTCCAGGTTGGTCTCAAACTCTTGAGCTAAAGTGATCTGCCTGCCTCGGCCTCCCAAAGTGCTGGGTTTACATTACAGGCGTGAGCCACCGCGCCCGGCCTAAGTGGTTTCTCTTTGAACTTAAAATGAAACATGAACTTTCTTTTGGCCTTTGAGATTTGGCCCTTGCTTGCCTCTCCGACCCCTGTTAACTTCGCTGCCCCGCTGTGCACCGAACGCAGCAGGTGAGTTCCTGCTGCAGGAACCCAGCAGGAGCTGTCTTGGACACTGCTGCCACAGCTTGCTGCTTCTTTTCCTGGGAAGGAAATAGCCACTGGTTTTTGTACCTTCGATACAGGTAGCCACTGGTCATCTGTGGCTACTGAGTACGTGAAATGTGTCTAGTGCAACCTAGAAACTGAATTTTCAAATTTAATTTTAATTAATTTAAATTTAAAATGTAAAACTGAAGCAATATAAAAATATTCTTCCTCTTAAACACAACTTTTTAGTTAGAACTACATTTTATGCTTGTCAAAACTGAGCATTGGAATGAGATGTGCTGTAAACTATGCACCAGATTTCAAAGATTTAGCACAACAAAAATAAATTATTTCAATAACTTTTTAAATTAATCACATATTGAAATGTTAACATTTTGAATACACTAGGTTAAATAAAATATTACAATTAATTGCACCTTTTTTTTTTTTAAATATGGTTATCAACTGGGTGTGGTGGCTCATGCCTGTAATCCCAGCACTTTGGGAGGCCTAGGCAGGCGGATCACCTGAGGTCGGGAGTTTGGGACCAGCCCGACCGACATGGAGAAACCCGTCTCTACTAAAAATACAAAAATTAGCCCAGCATGGTGGCACATCTGTAATCCCAGCTACTCCCGGGAGGCTGAGGCAGGAGAATTGTTTGAACCGGGGAGGTGGAGGTTGCTGTGAGTGGAGATTGCGCCATTGCACTCCAGCCTGGGCAACAAGAGCAAAACTCTGTCTCAAAAAAAATAAATAAATAAAGTGGCCATAAGCAAATTTAAAATTATGTAGCTCACATCACAGTTCTTTTTTTTTTTTTTTTTTTTTTTTGAGAGCCAGTTTCACTCTTGTCGCCCTCCCAAAGTGCTGAGATTACAGATGTGAGCCACCGCGCCTGGCCTCACATTGTATTTCTATTGGACGCTGCTGCTCTAGGTTACTGAGTTTTTCACTCTATTTAAATGCTACTTCCTTACAGAGGCCTTCCCAGACCACTCTTCCCTTCAGTCTCATTACCGTGCTGTAATTTCTTTGCACTCTTTAACATCTGAATTTATTTACCTATTTATTGATTTACTTGCTGTTCACCTGTTTTCTCCACAAGAATGTAAACTCCATGAGACCAAGGATAAGATATATCTTTCTTATTCACTGCTATGTTCCCAGTGCTTAGCATATAAATATATTTGTCAGTTATATATTTTTATCTGTCAATAATCTCATCTTGCTTGTTCACTTTACAGCCAACAAAATAGGCCTAGAAAAGAGCAGGGACTTTCAAGATCACACAGTGCCAGATCCTACCTCCTAATACCTAATCCAGTGCTCCTTGCTTTGGTTACAGTTGATATGATAAACTGAGGCACACTAAGACAGGAATAAGGTGTGCATTTCAGCAATGCCTCAGTCCAGTATTTCCCAAAGTGGGAACCTGTGTTAATGGTGGTATGATTTTAGGTGGTACGTGAATGTTAAATGATCCTGAATTATACAATAAAAAAGGATTCTTTTTTCAATCTTTTTCAACTTGAAAGGGTCAGTTTGGTGCTAACGTGTCCTTAGTGCCTTTCTAACACTTTATAATCTGCCTTTTTTGTTTGTTTGTTTGTTTGTTTTTGAGATGGAGTCTTGCTGTGTCACCCAGGCTGGAGTGTAGTGGTGCCATCTCGGCTCACTGCAACCTTCATCTCCCGGGTTCCAGTGATTCTCCTGCCTCAGTCTCCCAGGTAGCTGGGATTACAGGCGTGCACCACCACGCCCAGCTAATTTTTGTATTTTTAGTAGAGACGGGGTTTCACCATGTTGGCTAGGCTGGTCTCTAACTCTTAACCTCAGGTGATCTGCCTGCCTCAGCCTCCTGAAGTGCTGGGATTACAGTTATGAGCCACCGTGCCTGGCCTAATCTGCCTTTTATTTTTTGTTTTATTTTATATTATTTTTGAGACGGAGTCTCGCTCTGTCACCCAGGCTGGAGTGTAGTGGCACGGTCTCGGCTCACTGTACTCTGCCTCCCGGGTTCACGCCATTCTCCTGCCTCAGCCTCCCAAGTAGCTGGGACTACAGGCGCCCGCCACCACCTCCGGCTAATTTTTGTATTTTTAGTAGAGACGGGGTTTCTCCGTGTTAGCCAGGATGGTCTTGATCTCCTGACCTTGTGGTCCACCCACCTCAGCCTCCCAAAGTGCTGGGATTATAGGCGTGAGCCACCGTGCCTGGCCATTATGCCTTTTAACACAGAGATTTAGGCCTCAAATTTAGAGCCTTTGGTAGGCAATACCATCCATTCACCCAGAATTTACTAACAATGTTTTAACTTCCCCCCCTCCGCTTTTGTTTTTTTTTGAGACAGTCTTGCTCTGTCGCCCAGGCTAGGGTGCAGTGGTGTGATCTTGGCTCACTGCAACCTCTGCCTTCCAGGTTCAAGTGATTCTCCTGCCTCAGTCTCCTGAGTAGCTGGGATTACAGGCGTGCAGCACCATACCCAGCTAATTTTTGTATTTTTAGTAGAGATGGGGTTTCACCATGTTGGTCAGACTGGTCTTAAATTCCTGACCTAAGGTGATCCACCCTCCTTGGCCTCCCAAAGTGCTGGGATTACAGGTGTGAGCCACTGTGCCCGGCCAACTTTACTTATTTTTATAGTTACCTTCTATTTATGGTAAGTGATACTAGTTTTCTATCATAATTATATACAGTTGACCCTTGAACAATGCAGGGGTTAGGGGCACAAACTCTTTACACACAGTCAAAAATCCTTTTTTTCTTTGAGACAGGGTCTTATTCTGTTGCCCAGGCTGGAGTGCAGTGGTATGATCACAAGTCACTGTAGCCTCGATATCCCAGGCTCAAGCGATTCTCCTACTTCAGCCTCCTGAGTATCTGGGACTACAGGAGCACACCACCACACCCAGTTAATTTTTTAAATTTTTTGTAGAGATGAGGTTTCATCATGTTGCTCAGGCTGGTCTTGAATTCCTGGACTCAAGTGATCTGCCAACCTCAACCTCCCAAAGTGCTGGGATTATAGGTGTGAGCCACCGTGCCTGGCCCTCATATTATTTTTGACTCCTCAAAAACTTAACTACTAATAGCCTACTGTTGGCCAGAAGGAAGCCTTACTGATAACATAAACTGTGGATTAACATCTTTTTATGTTATATGTATTATATACTGTACTCTTATAATCAAGTAAACTGGCTGGGCATGGTGGCTAATGCAGGTAATCCCAGCAGTTTAGGAGACAGAAGCAGCGGATTGCCTGAACTCAGGAGTTTGAGACCAGCCCGGGCAACACCGCAAAACCTCATCTCTACTGAAAATACAAAAATCTGCCAGGCATGGTGGTGCACACCCGTAGTCCTAGCTGCTTGTGGGGCTGAGGCAGGAGGATCACTTGAGCCTGGGAGGTTGAGGCTGCAATGAGCCGAGATGGTGCCACTGCACTCCAGCCTGAGTGACAGAGTGACACCCCATTTCTAAAAAAAAAAAAAAAAAAAAAAATGAAGTAAACTAGGGAAAATAAAATATTAAGAAAATTATTGGATAAGTAGAGATCGATTATAAGAAAATATAAGGAAGTGAAAATACATTTACAGTACTGTACTGTATTTATTGATACCGTAAGTTTACTTCATCTGTTTACAAGATGTATTGTCTGTCTGAAATAGTAAGCAACCAAAGCTTCAGACCTCAACCTATAGTATCAATCAAGTAATTCAAGCAACTTTTTCTTGTAATGTCATGACTCTTCTTTGCTTCTTGGGAACACTTCCAGAATCACTAGTAGCACCTAGTATGGGTCCCTTGGTACTACTC
Source organism: Homo sapiens (assembly GCF_000001405.40). Taxonomy (NCBI): domain Eukaryota; kingdom Metazoa; phylum Chordata; class Mammalia; order Primates; family Hominidae; genus Homo; species Homo sapiens. The sequence continues at coordinate 34,264,474 of NC_000020.11, read as the reverse complement.
AAGGTTTACAATATTGCATTAAACACATTGAAAAATACACGAGAACCTTGAGGGATCACATTTTACTGCAATATGTGATTTCCTGGTGAGACTCCTTGTGCAGAGATGATTAGCTCACAGAGCGTTGTAAGCACGTACTCGCAACACCTGAGCATGCCGCAATGGCAACAGGAGGTATCTTCACAATTATGATGGTAGTACAGTATGTACTGCAGTTGTTTACACAGTTATGATTTAGTACTACATCTTTACATTTGGTTATTTTCTTTCTATTTTGAATGGTATGTACTGTCTGTGTGTACATATGTTTTGGGAAATTTTAATTTTTTATAATAGATTTATGTATATTGTATGATAGCAAGTGATAAAATAGACTAGTATCTACATATATTTTATGCATTAATGACATACTTTTTTTTCATTTTTTAAATATTTCTAGGTAACAAGATTCACCTGTTTTTTCTAATTGTCAATCTTCAAAAATATTTTCCAATTTAAAAAGTCAGCTGGGCAAGGTGGCTCACCCCTGTAATCCCAGCACTTTGGTAGGCTGAGGCAGGTGGATCACCTGAGGTCAGGAGTTCGAGACCAGCCTGACAAACTTGGCGAAACCCCATCTCTACTAAAAATACAAAAACATTAGCTGGGCATGGTGGCATGTGCCTGTAATTCCAGCTACTCGGGAGGCTGAGGCATGAGAATCGCTTGAACTCGCCAGGTGAAGGTTGCAGTGAGCCAAGATCACGCCACCGAACTCTGGCCTGGGCAACGAGAGCGAAAACTCCATCTCAAAAAAAAAGAAAAAAAAAAAAAGACATAAAATAACCAATGTATAAGTGGACCCATGAGTTCAAACACATGTGTTCAAGAGTCAACTGCATTTTTTAAGTTTTAATTTTTTGTTGTTGTTGTTTTGAGACAGAGTTTCACTCTTGTCACCAGGCTGGAGTGCAATGGCTCAAGCTCACTGCAACCTCCACCTCCCGGGTACAAGCAATTCTCCTGCCTCAGCCTCCCAAGTAGCTGGGATTACAGGCGCCCACCACCACGCCTGGCTAATTTTTGTATTTTTAGTAGAGACGGGGTTTCACCATGTTGGCCAGGCTAGTCTCGAACTCCTGACCTCAGGTGATTCACCCACCTTGGCCTCCCAAAGTGCTGGGATTATAGGCGTGAGCCACCGCATCCGGCCTAAGATTTAATTTTAAACAAATATGTTAAATAAATAGGTGGAACTCAGATATGGCAAAGTTATAAATGTGGTTCTGAAATGACTGAGGTTTGGGAAACACCACATTCATCCAAAAGTATGAGTGATGGTGAAATTTCAGGCAGGGGCTAACTAGTAGAGGAAGCTGCTTTTCGTAACCTATTTTGCTCAGTGGACTTCAGCTCCCTGGGCTTCTGTGGGTGTCTGGCTCAGAGCTCAAGCCAGGAAGTCTTTAGTAGCTTTCAGTTTCTTTTGTTAATATAGGCCTGAAAAATCTTTCATTTAGTTCCTAGCCAGAGGTTGGGGGTCCTCCTTCTTTAAGTCCAGTCTCACCCCAACAATGAGAACTCCCAGAACTTCCCTGCCCTTACCTTAGAAGATCTTTTCTTTTCTGCTGCTTTTCTGCCGATCTGTTTGGATTTCTTGTTCAGCGCTTCAAAGAGAGACAAAAGGAGCAAAGTCAGATGTTTCTGGGGACGTTGAGCTGCAGTGAAGTGAGAGGGGCAGAGGGGGCTTGGGAAGTCACAAGGTCAGGGAGAGGAGAAGAAGCGTGCTGGATGAGTCACACTGTAGGACTCAAGCCAGTAGGTTCTTGTTAGCCCGGCTACTGACCTGGAGCCAGGCACTGATAGCAACGTGTCCTCTGAGGGAAGGCAAATGGGAAATCCAAGCAGGCACTGGGATCTGCCTGTGACACTCTTGTGGGGCCTGGTCCCTCGACCTAAGTGAGCTTGGGCCACTCAGAGCCACCCCAGGTGCCCCTTCCTTCATCTCCATTGTGGCAGGCACAGGAACATTGTGATACCCAGAAAATGGACTCCTGTCTTGTACACAGATGCACCTGTGTTTCCTATTTTCCATTCCTGAGAGCTCTGGAGCCAGGAGGACCTGATTTGAATCCTGACTCTGCCAATATAATGACTATGTGGCTGTGGGTAACTTACTTATCCTCCATGAGACTCAGTTTTTTCATCTGCAAAAAAGGTTCCATAATATCTGCCTTGCAGTATTGTCTTGAGGATAAATGAAGTCTGTTTATAAAGTGAAAAGTCTGTTACACTGAAGATCAATAAATGTTGATGTTCCTCCCTTCCCTGTCTGATATGTGTAGAATATCCTCTTTCTTTCTTCTTCTTCTTTTTTTTTTCTTTTGAGACAGAGTCTCACTCTGTTGCCCAGGCTGGAGTACAGTGGTGCGATCTCGGCTCACTGTGACTTCTGCCTCCTGGGTTCAAGTGATTTTCCTGTCTCAGCCTCCCAAGTAGCTGGGATTACAGGCATGTACCACCACACCTGGCTAATTTTTGTATTTTTAGTAGAGATGGGGTTTTGCCATGTTGGCCAGGCTGGTCTCAAACTCTTGACCTCAGGTGATCTGCCCACCTTGGCCTCCCAAAGCGCTGGGATTAGAGGTGTGAGCCACCGCGCCTGGCCGATTATTTATTTATTAAAAAATTTCTTTTTTGAGTCAGGGTCTGTCTGTCACCCAGGCTGGAGTGCAATGGTGTGATCATAGCTCACTGCAGCGTCGACCTCCTGGGCTCAAGCAATCCTCCTGCCTCAGCCTCCCAAATAGCTGGAACCATAGGCATGCACCACCATTCCCGGCTAGTTTTTGTTTGTTTGTTTTTGAGACAGGATCTCACTCTGTCACTCAGGCTGGAGTGCAGTGGCACAATCATGGCTCATTGTAGGCTCAAACTCCTGGGCTCAAGTGATCCTCCTGCCTCAGCCTCCCAAGTAGCTAGGACTACAGGCGCATGCTACCATGCCTGGTTAATTTTTGTATTTTTAATAGGGACGGGGTTTCACCCTGTTGACCAGGCTGGTCTTGAACACCTGAGCTCAAGAGATCTGCCCGCCTCAGCCTACGAAAGTGCTGGGATTACAGGTGCATGCCACGTGCCTTGCTAGTTTTTAAATTTTTCTGTAGAGACGGGGTCTCCCTATGTCGCTCAGTCTGGTCTTGAACTCCTAGGCTCAAACAATCCTCATGCCTCCAGCTTCCCAAAGTGCTGGGATTACAGGTGTGAGCCACCTCACCCAGCCTCAAATATCCTCGTTTCCTAGCAAAAGCCGAGGTAGTAAGAGATATTAGTTTTGAGCTTAGGTTCTGGAGTTAAGTACCTGATTTTGAATTCTGGCTTTGCCAGTTAAAAACTGTGTGATCCGTGCTAGTTACTTAATTCTCCTAAGCCTCAAGTTCCTCAACTGTGAAATATGAATAAAGACCATACTCACCTCACAGTGCCTACCACACAGTATGTCTATGATTATTATCAGGTGAAGTCAAACCAGATCTCCAATGCCAGGCTCCAGTGCCCCTCATATTTTCCCCTGAGCCTTCATTCCCAACCCTGACATGACAGGACTGGTCCATCCCAGACTTGCATATGTTCTGGAGCATTTCCTGAAGTTTGTTACTGTTGACAGGAGTTCTGTGATTCATTAAGTTTCAGAAATGCTAAATTAAACAAAGTTCACCAAGTGTCTTAACTTCAGGCCTTTCAGAGCCTCTACCATATGCTAAGCTGCTTATTAGACTGGTGGCATGCAGAGCTTTCCCAAACCAAATGAGTCAAGGGCCACCTTATTCTCCCAGGATTATTTCCTGGAACGAGCAAGAAGGAGCCGTGACCATGGCGGTGGATCCTGGTAGCACCCTGGGAAGCATGCTTGATCTCCTGCAGCCCCTCTCCTGGGCCAGAGCCCAGAGGCTAGGTGACTTACCCACAATAGAGACAGAAGGGACATCCAGTAGGTTCACAGAGGAGTTGCTTCTCAGGCTCCTGTCATCTCGGAGCTTCTCCTCAGGTGGCAGGTGGCTGTTGGCAGTGAAGAAGCAGAGGAAGACCAGCAGGGTGGCCAGGAGTAAGCGGGTGACATCCATCCCAGGAGGCCTGAGTGGGACAGAGAAGGTGGTCAGGTGGGTGGGTCAGGGGTAATGGTAAGAGGCCTTCCTGCTTTCTTTGTGCTTCTTTGGGCTGGTGTTGTGACCCTGTTAGGCAAGTGTCCTGGTGGAGCTGGAGGATTAGCAAGGCTTAGGATGGGGAAGGGGAATTGATGAGGGAAGAAGAGAGAAGAGAGATGGGAAGAGGAAGAGAGAAAGACAAGGAACAGAAGGAGATTGGAGCAAAGAGAAAAAGCAATGCATTGCACTGGTCTCTGCTGTCCAGAGGGTGGTGTGTTGGCTGCTTCTGTGTGTTTTTTTAATGTCTGTGGCCCCAGGAGACCCCAGGCCTGGGCAGAGTTGTTGAAAGGCCCCCAGTAGGGCCTCACAGTAGCAGAGATTTTATTAAGATGTACAGAATAAGGCTAATAAATTAAGTCTCAGTGAGAAAGATGAAGAGGTAAGTGGCCCCTTCAGACAAGCATATATGTTGGCTCATATCCTAGATTCCCAAACCCAGAGAGAACGAATGCAGGTATAGTTTGTGTCAGGAGGATGGAGCTGTTGACATAGGCCCCCTGGATTTATGTATTTATTTATTTGCTAGCTGGATTTTTTTTTTTTTAGATGGAGTCTCTCTCTTGTTGCCCAGGCTAGAGTGCAGTGGCATAATCTCGGCTCACTGCAACCTCCACCTCCCAGGTACAAGTGATTCTCCTGCCTCAGTCTCCTGCCCCAGTAGCTAGGGCTACAGGTGCCCATCACTATGCCAGGCTAATTTTTGTATTTTTTGTAGAGACAGGATTTTACCACATTGGCCAGACTAAGCATTTTATATTTTCTAACTCTTTTTATTTTTTTTGAGACAGAGTCTTGCTCTGTCAGCTAGGCTGGAGTGCAGTGGCACGATCTTGGCTCACTGCAACCTCCTCCTCCCAGGTTCAAGAGATTCTCGTGCCTCAGCCTCCAGAGTAGCTGGGATTACAGGTGCCCACCACCACACCTGGCTAATTTTTGTATTTTTAGTAAAGACGGGATTTCACCATGTTGGCCAGGCTGGTCTCGAACTCTTGTCCTCAAGTGATCCGCCAGCCACTGCCACTGCACCTGGCCTATATTTTCTAACTCAAGCTCATATAGTTTTTTTCTGTTGTCATTGTTTGTTTTGAGACAGAGTCTCACTGTCACCCAGGCTGGAGTGCAGTGGCACAATCTTGGGCCACTGCAGTCTCAACCTCCCAGGCTCAAGCCATCCTCCCACCTCATCCTCCTGAGTAGCTGGCACTACAGGCATGTGCAAACACACCTGGCTAATTTAAAAAAAAATTTTTTTTTGTAGGGATGAAGGCTCACTCTATTACCCAGGTTGGTCTTGAACTCCTGGGCTCAAGTGATCCTCCCACCTAAGCCTCCCAAAGTGAGCCACCACTCAGCCATATTTGTTCATTTGTGTGTATGTGTGTATATATATATACACTATATATATAATACTATATATATAGTATTATATATATCATATATTATATATACACTATATATATAATACTATATATAGTATTATATATATCATATATTATATATACACTATATATATACTATATATATTATATATATCATATATTATATATAGTATATATATACTATATATATTTTATAATATATATAATATATATATATAGTATGTATATATATATATATATGGCATCCCCCTTCTAAGATATTAACTCCTCAATGACAGGGGCTCTCCACCATGATTTCCAGCTTTATATTTTCTCACAGGAAGTAATAAATTCCATCCAAGCTTGGCTACTTCCTGGTCCCCATATGATGCTTGTCCTTTCCCACTGATCGCAGTGCTTAGCTTGCTATACAAACATTTATTTACTTATCATTTGTTAATGGTCATCAAAGCCCAAATGAGTGACTACAGTACTTATTTGCCCTTCTCACATTTCATATGGCATTTATCCAGTCTGGAGATAAGAATGGTTTTTACATTTTTAAATGATTCTATTAAAAAAAAAAAAAGAATATCCAACGGAGACCCTATGTGTTCCACAAAGCATAAAATATTTATTATCTGGCCTTTTACAGAAAAAGTTTGCCAACTCCGTCTAGATTGTAAGAATCATGATGGATTGGAATAAGAACATCATGTTTGCTCCATCAATATCTACTAACCGATGGAGCACTTAACTATTTCTTTTCTTTCTTTCTCTCTTTTTTTTTTTAAGATGGAATCTCACTCTGTTGCCCAGGATGGAGTGCAGTGGTGCGATCTTGGCTTACTGCAACCTCTGCCTCCCGGATTCAAGCAATTCTCCTGCCTCAGCCTCCTGAGTAGCTGGGACTACAGGTGCTTGCCACCACGCCCAGCTAATTTTTGTATTTTTTGTAGAGACAAGGTTTCACCATGTTGGCCAAGCTGATCTCAAACTCCTGACCTCAAGTGATCTGCCTGCCTTGGCTTCCCAAAGTGCTGGGGTTACAGGTGTGAGCCACCGCACCCAGCCCAACTATTTCTTCAGGAAAAGATATTGATGACCTTTATTAAAAGGCTAATGTGCCAATAATATTTCTCATTAATTTATCAGACTTCAGATTTGTTTTAGTACAGGACTGGGTCCTAATGAGACAAGAGCTAGGACTGGTAAACTTGGATTGTGGAGGCAGAGGAAAAATTACATCATGAATAGTTATCATAATGTTTTGAAACTTATTATTATATCATGCTGTCTAGAATTCATAAAGATTCAATACAGTAACATTTGGAATAGAAATATGAAATATTTGTAAACTAGATAATATTTTAGTTACATAAAATTAAATATATATTTAAAATTTTTATTCTGTATCATTGATCTCTTCCAAAAGCAATATTGTTTTTAATTTTTAGCTTCTGATTGTTGCTAAAAAGACCATTTTTCAAATAACAGCATCTAGCTTTAATGGGTATTAATTAGGAAGGCAAATTAGAAATAAATTCAACCCGGCTGGGCTGGTGGCTCACGCCTATAATCCCAGCACTTTGGGAGGCTGAAGCGAATGGATCACTTGGGGTCAGGAGTTCGACCTGGCCAACATGGTGAAACCCCGTTTCTACTAAAAATACAAAAATTAACCAGGTGGTGGCCTCCTGAGTAGATGCCTATAAATCCACCTACTCAGGAGGCTGAGGCAGGAGAATCGCCTGAACCCAGGGGGAGGAAGTTGCAGTGAGCTGAGATCGTACCACTTCACTCCAGCCTGGGTGAAAGAGGGAAACTGTCTCAAAAAACAAAAAACAAAAAACAAAAAAAAAAAAGAGAAAGAAAGAGAGAGAGAAAGAAAGAAAAAGAAAGAAAGAAATTCAACTTTAAAAAACAAGGAAAGTAAAGGATGGAGATGTGGTGGAATGTGGTGGGAAGCTCTGATTAACAAAAGGCTCTTAGCAGGGAGTGGCGGCACAAGACTGTGTTCCCAGCTACTCGGGTGGCTGAGGTGGGAGAATCACCTGACCCCAGGAAGTTGAGGCTACAGTGAGCTGTGATTGTACCACTGCACTGTTACCCAGCCTGGGCAACACAGTGAGACTCTATCTCAAAAACAAAAACAAATGAGCTCGATTAAGGCAAGTTACAAGAGGCATGTTATAAATTAGGAGGCGGTACGTGTAGTTATTTTGTGTCTTTGGGTTTTCCTTACCATAAATAATATACTCATGGGCCAAAAACTGTAATGGGAATTTCTACAAAGAAGTGAGAGTGGCCGGAAAATCTGAGCTAGAAAAAGAGGCCAGGCATGGTGGCTCACGCCTATAATCCCAGCACTGGAGGAAGCCACAGGAGGAGGATTCCTTGATCTTAGGAATTTGAGACCAGCCTGGCAACATAGAGAGACCTCATCTCTACAAAAAATTTTTAAAAAATTAGCCGGGTGTTATCGGGTCCAGCCCTACTGGGTCTGTGGGTTTTTTCTCCTCATGTGTGGAGACGAGAGATCGTAGAAATAAAGACACAAGACAAAGAGACAGAATAAAATACAGCTGGGTCCGGGGGACCACTACCACCAAGGCACAGAGACCAGTAATGGCCCCGAATGCCTGGCTGTGCTGTTATTTATTGGATACAAGACAAGGGGGCAGGGTAAGGAGTGTGAGCCATCTCCAGTGATAGATAAGGTTACACAAGTCACGTGTCCACCAGACAGGAGGCCCTTCCCTGTTTGGCAGCCGAGGCGGAGAGAGAGGACAGTTTATGCCATTATTTCTTCTATGCATTTCAAAGACTTTAGTACTTTTACTAATTCTGCTACCACTCTCTAGAAGGCGGAGCCAGGTGTACGGGGTGGAACATGAAAGCGGACCAGGAGCGTGACCGCTGAAGCACAGCATCACAGGGAGATGGTCAGGCCTCTGGAGGCTGCGGGTGGGCCTGACTGATGTCAGGCCTTCCACAAGAGGTGGTGGAGCAGAGTCTTCTCTAACTCCCCCGGGGAAAGGGAGACTCCCTTTCTCGGTCTGCTAAGTAACCGGTGCCTTCCCGAGCACTGATGCTACCACTAGACCAAGGTCCACTAGGTAATGGGTGCCTTCCCAGGTGCTGGCATTACTGCTAGACCAGGAAGCCCTCTAGTGGCCCTGTCCGGGCGTAACAGAGGGCTCACACTCTTGTCTTCTGGTCACTTGCTCACCGTGTCCCTTCAGCTCCTATCTCTGTATGGCCTGGTTTTTCCTAGGTTATAATTGTAGAACAAAGATTATTATAATATTGGAATAAAGAGTAATGCTACAAACTAATGATTAATGATATTCATATATAATCACATCTATAATCTATTTCTAGTATAACTATTCTTATTCTATATATTTTCTTTATTATACTGGAGCAGCTTGTGCCCTCGGTCTCTTGCCTTGGCACCTGCGTGGCTTGCCACCCACAGGTGTGATAGTACACACCTGTGGTCCCAGCCTCTTGGGAGGGTGAGGTGGGAGGGAGGATTGCTTGAACCTGGGAGGTTGAGGCTCCAGTGAGCTGTGATCATACCAAAAAAGAAAAGAAAGGAAGAAAGAAAAAGGTGGCAGGAGTTTGGGGAAGATTAAGTTAGACCCAGGAACAGGATTGAGAACGAGGGGGCTGAATCAACAGTCCAGTTCAATATTCACAAATCCAAGGGGTAGTGGGACAGCTCATGACCAGAGGCCAATATCCATGGGACTGGATGTCCATGGACTGGCCAAAGTCCACAGTGATCACTTGCTCTGAACACTTCATAATGTAGGTACAAGCTCAGTTCACCATCAGAGCAGCCATAAGCCTAATGTAAACACTATTCACTGCACAATGGGTAGGCAGGAGATCTCACCAGGTCAAATCCCCAGCCTAACTCAGGAAAAGTGAATCCTAGGGGTTAGTTTAAGACAAACAGACCAACCCCCGGCAAAACAGTTCTCCTGGTAGAACCATACAGTTGGACTGAGTCTTGGATTGGTAAAGTCTCAGTGGAGTAAATCTTATTTGGGTATAATAGGGAGAAAGTTAAAGACCAGTATTCCTTACCTCAATTCTGGAGGGATATGTATATTCTAAATGTAATACAGGTCCATAATGTTTAGTTGTATTAGGATTCTTGGGGTCAGATGTTTTTTAGAATTCAGAACTTTGTGAACGTTAGAAAAATAGTATCATCCATATATTATGTTAAACCACATATAAGGGGTCTGGGAGAACCCTATAATGAAAATATTAATGCTTCTATAGCAAAAAGGCATGGATCTTCATAATAGGCAGGATGAATACAGACTATGAATTGATTCACATCAATTCGGGACGGGTTTTGTTGCCAAATGTCTTCAGGTAAGTTCAGATTTTGCTGCCAAATGAGTTGCCAAAGGGGGAACAAAACCTTATACTTTTCAGGGTGTTGGGATTTTGCAATTACAGGTAAACGTTTTTGGATCTGTACAGACCTTGTTGCTGTTATTACTCATTAGAGAAACACACTCCCTGCTATTAATACAGGACAATAATGCTAGGCCGGGCCCTGTGGCTCACGCCTATAATCCCAGCACTTTGGGAGGCCAAGGCAGGTGGATCACCTGAGGTCAGGAGTTCGAGACCAGCCTGACCAACATGGTGATAGCTCGTCTCTACTAAAAATACAAAAATTAGCTGGGTGTGGTGGCGCATGCCTGTAATCCCAACTACTTGGGAGGCTGAGGTAGAAGCATCACTTGAATCCAGGAGGCAGAGGTTGCAGTGAGCAAAGATTGTGCCACTGCACTGCAGGCTGGGTGACAGAGTAAGACTCTGTCTCAAAAAAAAAACGAAACAAAACAAAACAAAAAAACAGGACAATAATGCTGACAGCAATGAGTAGCTGTGTAACTGGGTTTCTCAACTGTCTTTCCACTCTGCAATGATGAAGACTGTTATTTGATGTGTGATATCTCTGATGACAGTTCTCCTTTTAAATTCATCATCTGTATTTAGGACTTAAGATGAGTTTCTCTTCAGCATGGTGGATAAAAAGAAGGATCCAGACACACGAGTCAGATCACTTGGATGAACCTGTCATTTAAATGGCTGCCTGACCCTAGGTCCACCTAGGTCTCAGCTTTCTCAGTTTTAAGGGCCCGGCACTCACGCCTATAAGCCCAGCACTTTGGGAAGCTGAGGTGGGTGCATCACTTGAGGCCAGGAGTTTGAGACCAGCATGGCCAACATGGTGAAACCCGTCTCTACTAAAAATACAAAAATTAGCCAGGCTTGGTGGTGCATGCCTATAATCCCAGCTACTTGGGAGGCTGAAGCAGAAGAATCGCTTGAACCGGGAGGCGGAGGTTGCAGTGAGCTGAGATTGTGCCATTGCACTCCGGCCTGGGCAACGGAGCAAGACTCTGTCTCTAAAAAATAAATAAATAAATAAATAAATAAATAAATAAATAAAATAAAATAAAAATAAGAGCGTAGGGAAAAGAAAGAGAGATCAGGCTGGGCGCGGTGGCTCACGCCCGTAATCCCAGCACTTTGGGAGGCTGAGGCAGGCGGATCATGAGGTCAGGAGATCAAGACCATCCTGGCTAACATGGTGAAACCCCGTCTCTACTAAAAATACAAAAAAATTAGGCGGGCGTGGTGGCAGACACCTGTAGTCCCAGCTACTCGGGAGGCTGAGGCAGGAGAATGGTGTGAACCCAAGAGGCAGAGCTTGCAGTGAGCTGAGTGAGCCACTGCACTCCAGCCTGGGCAACAGAGCGAGACTTCGTCTAAAAAAAAAATAAAAAAAAAAGAAAGAGAGATCAGGTTGTTACTGTGTCTATGTAGAAAAGGAAGACATAAAAAACTCCATTTTGATCTGTACTAAGAAAAATTGTTTCTGCTTTGAGATGCTGTTAACCTGTAACTTTAGTCCCAACCCTGTGCTCACAGAAACATGTGCTGTATTGAATCAAAGTTTAATGGATTTAGGGCTGTGCAGGATGTGCCTTGTTAACATGTTTGCAGGCAGTATGCCTGGTAAAAGTCATCGCCATTCTCCATTCTCGATTAACCAGGGACACAATGCACTGGACACAATGTCCGCAGGGACCTCTGCCCAAGAAAGCCTGGGTATTGTCCAAGGTTTCCCCCCACTGAGACAGCCTGAGATATGGCCTCGTGGGAAAGGAAAGACCTTACCATCCCCCAACCCGACACCCATAAAGGGTCTGTGCTGAGGGGGAGTAGTGAAAGAGGGAGGCCTCTTTGCAGTTGAGATAAGAGGAAGGCATCTGTCTCCTGCTCCTCCCTGGGAATGGAATGTCTCAGTGTACAGCCGACCATTCCCATTCATTTTATTCTAAGATAGGAGAAAATAGGAGAAAACCGCCCTGTGGCTAGAGGGGAGATATACTGACAACAATACTGCTCTGTTACTCTTTGCTACACTGAGATGTTTGGGTAAAGAAAAACATAAATCTAGCCTACGTGCACATCCAGGCACAGTACCTTTCCTTGAACTTACTCATGATACTAATTCCTTTGCTCACATGTTTCCCTGCTGACCTTCTCCCCACCTGTTGCCCTGCTACACTCCCCTCACTAAAATAGTAAAAATAATAATCAATAAATACTGAGGGAACTCAGAGACTGGCACCAGTGCGGGTCCTCTGTATACTGAGCACCGGTCTCCTGGGCCCACTGTTCTTTCTCTATACTTTGTCTCTGTGTCTTATTTCTTTTCTCAGTCTCTCGTCCCACCTGATGAGAAATACCCACAGGTGTGGAGGGGCAGGCCCCCTTCATAAGAGGATAGGACTATATGACTCACTATAGAGTCTGAGGCACAGAGTGGAAACTTGACAAAAATTTGTTATATGAATGAAAGAATCTACCTTCTATCCTTAATTCTATGAATCCTGTCTTAGTCTGTTTAGGTGACTATAACAAAATATCATAGACTGGGTGGTTTCTAAACAACGGAAATTTATTTCTCATGGTTCTGGAGGCTGGGAAGTCCAAGATCAAGGTGCAGGCAGATTCGATATCTAGTGAGGGCCTATTTCTTCATAGACAGCCATCATCTCTCTAATCTCACAAGGTGGAAGGGCTTTCCCTTGGGCCTCTTTTGTAAAGGCACTAGTCTCATTCATGAGGGCTCTGCCACCATGACCTAGTCACCTCCAAAAGGCCCCACCTCCTTACACTATAACCTTGGCAGTGAGGATTTCAACATCTGAATCTGAGAGGGCATAAACATTCAGAACATAGCAAATTCCTCATTTCCAATTCTTGCCTCCCTGTCATTGTGCCACTGGGCAGCTTAAATAGTTACACAGAGAAGGTCAGGCGCGGTGGCTCATGCCTGTAATCCCAGCACTTTGGGAGGCCGAGGCGGACGGATCACGAGGTCAGGAGATCAAGACCATCCTGGCTAACACGGTAAAACCCCGTCTCTATTAAAAAATACAAAAAAAAATCAGCCGGGCGTGGTGGCGGGCACCTGTAGTCCCAGCTACCTGGGAGGCTGAGGCAGGAGAATGGTGTGAACCGGGGAGGTGGAGGTTGCAGTGAGCCGACATCACGCCACTGCACTCCAGCCTGGGCGACGGAGCGAGACTCTGTCTCAAAAAAAAAAAAAGTTACACAGAGAAAGATTTATAAGGGTCACTTATTATGTTTCCTTAAGAGCTGAAGAATTTACAAATGCATAAGTGTGACTGAATCTGACTAAGTTGTGGAAAAGAGGGCATGGAAAGTCATGGAAAGTTTGTACAAGCCCACTGCAATTGTATTAATAGCAGTGAGTGTGTTCCTCATGAGTAGTAACAGCAATGAGGGTTTGTACAGGTCCAGTGCAATTGGTTGATGTAACCCAGGAGTCTTGTTGACGTGCGTGCACACATGTATGCTAATGTGCAAGATCTCTGCTTGAGGGAATATAAGAGACAACAGTGTTGAGATCATCCCTGAGTAGGGTACACTCAGCGTCCTGAGTGTGCACTGAAGGCATCCCCTTAGCGACAGCACTGGGGAGAGTATTGTATCTTAATCCTTCAGGGATAAGGCCTTGTTCCCCACAGCAAAGGAAAGGACTACAGTCTCCCAGTCATGTGGCATGGCTAAGTACCTACTGAGACAGAGGTGTAGTGAGAGATGAGAATGGAAGAAGAGGCAAAGGCACCTCCACCTCCCGGGTTCAAGCGATTCTCCCATCTCAGCCTCCTGAGTAGCTGGGATTACAGGCATGCACCACTACGCCCGGCTAATTTTGTACTTTTAGTAGAGATCGGGTTTCACCATGTTGACCAGGCTGGTCTCAAACTCCTGATCTCAGGTGATCCGCCCGCCTCAGCCTCCCAAAGTGCTGGGATTACAGGTGTGAGCCACCGTGCTCGGCCTTTTTAATTTTTTTGAGATGTGATCTCACTGTGTTGCCCAGGCTGGCCTGAAACTCCTGGACTTAGGTGATCCTCCTGCCTCAGCCACTCAAGTAGCTGGGACTATAGGGGCACCACTGCACCTGGCTCCCCTTTTAATTTTTATTTTAGCATTGTTTTAGTATTTTTTGTTTGTTTGTTTAAGTAGTCTTCTTGAAGACAGTGAACAGTGTCAGCTGCTGACCATACTAGGTGTTCATGAGGCACAACTCTGACAGCCTGCCCTGGGCTTTGCTAGTGGCACTAGTCAAGGCAGCCAGAGTGTCTGGGTAGCCAGCAAGCTGGCATTGGAGGGGAGGTGACTGGGCTCAGTTAGTCATAATAGTGGCTTCCACCAGCCCTGCCAAGCACCAATGGCCAGAGACCTGGGGGTTCTTGGTAAAGCTCATCCCTGTGAAGGACAGTGAACACAGATCAAGAAGTATCAGCTGGACCCCAGCATGGAGGAGCAACTGCAGACTTCAGCAGACTCATTCAGGTTAGTTAAGATGAAGGCAGGCTTTCCTTTGATCAGGCTTTTGGAAAAAAGCATATACTTGGGAAGAAAGGGAAATGATAGAGCAAGAGGGAATTCTTGACCTTGAAATTGTCTGTGAAACACTGTGCATATGTGATTTTTCAGGGGAGAGGGTCCATAGCTTTCTCTGGGTCCATAATGGGTTCTCTGGCCCTGAAAAACTGAATCAAGTTGCTTTATGTTCTGCATATGTGAATAACGGATGCCCTACCTTTAAATGGCTTTCAGTGCAGGGAAGAGAGACAAGTAACTAACAAAAGGAGGAGGGGGAAGTGTTAGAGTTGAGGCACAATTTGCCAGGCCCTGTGAAAAATGAAATGTAGGACCCCTTGTTAAAAAATTAAGAGATGGTGACAGGAGAGCATTAAACCAAGCCATTGGCCCTTTAAGCACGAGGCCTGGTGCAGCTACACAAGCTGCATGCTCATGAAGCCAGCTGTGGTTACAAGATTGAGAAAGTTGACACTGATCATATGACACAGTGGTTATGAAGAAGTTTGCGGATTAGGGGAAACATTACATTACACTCAGTAAAGTTTCAGCAGTAAGTCATATAATAATGAGACTGCTTATAGACATCACCTTCAGCTGTCTAACCAGGGCTCTGGGCATCGGATATCTCAGTGGAGGCGAGGAGATAGGGGATTGGGGGCGGGGGATGGGAATGCGTTTGGGGAGTCAAAGAATGAACCAGCATGTAAAAACCTGGGTTCTGGTCCCAGCCCTGCCACTAGCTCCCTGTGTGACTTCTGGCAAGTTACTTTCTCTCTATGGATAACTTTTTCTTCACCTGTATGAGAAAAAATTTGCATTATTAGATTTTTTTTTTTCGAGACAGGGTCTCACTCTGTCACCCAGGCTGGAGTGCAGTGGTGCCATCTCAGCTCATTGTAACCTCTGCCTTCAGGGTTCAAGCAATTCTCCCACCTCAGCCTCCCTAGTAGCTGGGACTACAGGCATGTGCCACCACACCTGGCTAATTTTTTTTTTTTTTTTGTATTTTTGGTAGAGATGGGGTTTTACCATGTTGCCCAGGCTGATGAATTATTAGATTTTTAAGTTCTCTTCGAACGTTGAATTGCTGTTATTCCAAATGAGTGGCATCCCCTTCAGAGAGGCTACAACATATTCTGCTGAATATTTCTTTCTTTCTGTTTTTATAGATAGGGCCTTGCTCTGTCACCCAGGCTGGAAGGCAATGGCAAGACCATAGCTCACTGCAGCCTTGACCTCCTGGGCTCAAGCAATCCTCCCACATCAGCCTCCCAAGGAGCTGAGACTACAGGTGTGAGCCACCACACCAGGCCAATTATTTTTTTAGTAGAGGTGAGGTCTCACAATGTTGCCCAGGCTGGTCTCAAACTCCTGGGCTCAAGAGACACTGCCTCCTCGGCCTCCCAAAGTGCTGGAATTACAAGCGTGAGCCATCGTGCCTGACCTGAATATTTCTTTTATGGTGAGGATTTGCCCTCTGAGAATAAATCTGACCTCTGAAAATAGACAATGATTTCCAGCTAACTCTGGTAAGAATAATAATGTTTTTGACTGAAAATGAGCTGTGGCCTAAGTAATGGGATTTTTATAACTTAAAAGTGGTTTTAGTTTTTAGCTAATATAACCAGAATTGAGACAGTCAGTAGAATGTTTTTCCCCAAAGTTGTAATATTGAGATGTCATAAGTTCATTCTAATGCTGCAAGTAGCTTAAAATATCTTTGAATTCTAGACATACCTTCAGAGGCAATTTTTTTTTTTTTAGATGGAGTCTTGCTCTGTCACCAGGCTGGAGTGCAGTGGTGCGATCTTGGCTCACTGCAACCTTCACCTCCCGGGTTCAAGCGATTCTTCTGCCTCAGCCTCCTGAGTAGCTGGGATTACAGGCGCCCATCACCATGCCAGGCTAATTTTTCTATTTTTAGTAGCGACAGTGTTTCACCATGTTGGCCAGGCTGGTCTCGAACTCTTGATCTCAGGCGATCTGCCCTCCTTGGCCTTCCAAAGTGCTGGGATTACACGCATGTGCCACTGCGCCCGGCCTTCAGGGGCAATTTAAAAGTCATACAAGACAGGGCACCATGGCTCATGCCTGTAATCCCAGCACTTTGGCAGGTGGAGTCAGGAAGATTGCTTGAGACCAGGAGTTTGAGACCAGCCTGGGCAACACGGCAAGACCTCATCTCCACAAAAATTTAAAAAATTAGCTGGGCATGGTAGTTTCAGCTATCTTGGGAGGCTGAGGCAGGAGGATCACTTGAGTCTAGGAGATCAAGGCTGCAGTGAGCTGTGTTTGTGCCACTGCATTCCAGTTTGGGGAACAGAATGAGACCATGTCTCAAAAAAAAAAGTCATATAAGAAAAAGCATCAGCAGGGTACAGTGACTCATGCCTGTAGTCCTAGCACTTTGGGAGGCTGAGGTGGGTGGATCACGAGGTCAGGAGTTCAAGACAGCCTGACTAACATGATGAAACCTCGTCTCTACAAAAATACAAAAATTAGCTGGGCGTGGTGGCATGTGCCTGTAATCCCAGCTACTCGGGAGGCTGAGGCAGGAGAATCGCTTGAACCCGGGAGGCGGAGGTTGCAGTGAGCCGAGATCACACCATTGCACTCCAGCCTGGGCAACAGAAGGAGACTCTGTCTCAAAAAAAAAAAAAAAAAAGCATCATATAATGTAATAATCATAGCTTTCGTAATAAGATGGAAACCTGTTTCAATTGAGGACCATGTGAGGCAAATATCAATTTAAATCAGTCTTTTCTAAAAATAGCTATTTAGGAGAGAGGCATATACAATGTTAAACACAACGGGCTACATTGGCTCATGCCTGTAGTCCCAGCTACTTGAAAGCATGAGGCAGGTGGATCACCTAAGCCTGGGAGGTTGAGGCTGTGGTGAGCCATGATCATGCCACTGCACTCCAGCCTGGGTGATAGAGTGAGACCCTGTCTAAAACAAAAAACAAAAAACAAAAAAACAAAAACCAACAACAATGACAACTAAAACAAAAAAAACTAAAAACATAAAATGTTAAACTCACTAGGTTTTTAAATTAAAGAGAGGAGTATAAAACAGGCAGAAAAGGAAAGGAGAGAGGAGAAAAGTACAGAGGAAAAGAAATAAATAGAAGAGTTGTGGGAATTGGAGTTAATCAGTAAAGGGAGCTTCAAGTTTATCTGCAATTTTAAAAAATATAAAAGATGAAGGCCCGGCACAGGGGCTCACGCCTGTAATCCCAGCACTTTGGGAGGCTGAGGTGGGCAGATCACTTGAGGTCAGGAGTTCAAGACCAGCCTGGGCAACATGGCGAAACCCCATCTCTACCAAAAATACAAAAAATTAGTCAGGCATGGTGGCATGTGCCTGTGGTCCTAGGAGGCTGAGGTGGGAGGATTGCTTGAGCCCGGAGGCAGAGGTTGCAGTGAGCTGAGATTTCTGAATCCAGTGGGGCTGATTGCAAAGGAGACCCAAGGAACAGTGCCAAGTTAGATGCCAATTACCCACTTCGAGTCCTTTATTGTGGAGTCTGTTCATTACCAACAGAGTACTGTGAATATATGCCTGATGTTGCTCATTGTAAACAATGGTTAGAGAAGAATTTTCTAAATGAACTTGCAAAATTTACTGTAGAAAATTCACCCAAACAAGAAGCTGGAATTAGTGAGGGTCAAGGAACAGCAGGGGAAGAAGAGGAGAAGAAAAAACAGAAGAGAGGTGGAAGAGGCCAAATAAAACAAAAAAAGAAGACCATACCACAAAAGCTTACTAAGGCCAAAATTCCTAGAGCAAAGAAGAAACATGTGACAAGAGTGTGTGGCCTTGCAACTTTTGAAATTGATCTTAAAGAAGCACAAAGATTTTTGCTCAAAAATTCTCCTGTGCTGCCTCAGTAATGGGGAGGATGAAATTATTCGGGGAGACTTTACAGATGACATAATTCATGTCATTCAGAAAAATGGCCAGAAGTAGATGATGACAGCATCAAAGATCTTGGAGAAGTAAAGAAGTGAATTTGAAAATTTGTCTGTATTTAATGGCCTGAACTGAGAGTTGATATGGCCAAAGGGAGAGAGGCCTTTATATATACATATATATATATTTACTGTAGAATATATATATATTCTACAGTAAAACTGTAGACTGCCCTCGTCCTTGGCATTTTCACTGTTTTGTACAAGGTTGCTTGTTTTTTTAATTGCCAAAGTCAAATAAACAGGGAGACTGTCATGCTCATGCATGAATAGAATTTAGTCAAATAAAAAATTTTGGTCATTTGCTGGGCGTGGTGGCTCACGCCTGTAATCCCAGCACTTTGGGAGGCCAAGGCGGGTGGATCATGAGGTCAGGAGTTCGAGACCAGCCTGGCCAATATGGTGAAACCCCGTCTCTACCAAAAAAAATACAAAATTTAGCCAGGCATGGTGGCGCACACCTGTAGTCCCAGCTACTCAGGAGGCTGAGGCCTGAGAATCGCTGGAACCTGGGAGGCGGAGGTTGCAGTGAGCCGAGATCTGCCATTGCACTCCAACCTGGGTGACAGAGTGAGACTCTGTCTAAAAAAATAAAATAAAATTTGGTCATTTGGTACTGACTTTCTCTTTGTCTCTCTCTCTTTTTTTTTTTTTTTTTGAGACAGAGTCTCACACTGTCGCCCAGGCTCGAGTGCAATGGCATGATCTCAGCTCACTGCCACCTCCGCCTCCCAGGTTCAAGCGATTCTCCTGCCTCAGTCTCCTGAGTAGCTGGGATTACAGGCGCCTGCCACCACGCCCAGCTAATTTTTGTATTTTTAGTAGCGACGGGGTTTCATCATGTTTGCCAGGCTGGTCTCGAACTCCTGACCTCGTGATTTGCCCACCTTGGCCTCCCAAAGTGCTGGGATTACAGGCATGAGCCACTGTGCCCGGCCTGACTCTCTCTTTGTCTTTTTATTTTTTGAAAAACCCGGTAGACTTTTTATGTGGAGCATTTTTGTTGATTATTTTACTGATCTAAAGCTGAGTGATTTTTAAAAATAATTTGAATTTGGCTTCCTAACCAGTAATACGTCTCCTTGCTTCATTGATGTGACAGTTTTGAGATGGGTGTGAATCTAATAAATTTGTGGTTCAATTTGCTTTGTTGTTACAAAGTCCACCCTACGGGCACAATAACATACTGTTGGTAGGAGTTGTTCGAGCTATTCTGGAGATTATTTGATAAAGTATGCTAAAAGCCTTAAAACCATGAATGTGCGCTGTTTGAAACAGTAAGCCACTTCTTTGACATTAGAAGACATTAGAAGAAATAACCAGCCTTGCGTAAAACTTATGGATGAAAGTATTCATCACAATATTATTTATAATGAAAAATTGCAAATGTTACAAATGAACAATTGGAAAATGATTAAACAAGTGATGGCACATTGTGTGGTAGAATATTACGCATATGTTTAAAGAATCATATTTTCTAAGATTACTTGGAAACATTTTGGTAATGTCAAAGGCGGGCACCTCAGACACATTTTAGACATTAATCATCATCATTGTTCTGAGTGGAAGGCCATTCAGAGAGGCTAGAGGTTCTTATTCTGGCTATAAATTATGTGAGTAAAATTCTGCTAACCAATGAAAAATACTGTACACCCATGCTCAAGATGTAGTCCTGGAAATAGCAAGTGAAACATGTCTTCTCACAAGAGAAGTTTTAATGACAAGAGAAGTAAAAATGACAGTTTTAATGATGCATTAGATGAATTTAAACTTTAAATCAGATGCTGCAAATTGGAAGGAAGACTTGCGGTGTTTGTTCTAAATTGCTGCGGACACTTCTAAGAAACTTAGAGCCCACAAAACCATGGTTTATTGTCATGCAAATTACGATCTTGAATGAGAGTTTTTTTGTTTGTTTGTTTGTTTTGAGATGGAGTCTCACTCTGTCGCCCAGGCTGGAGTGCAGTGGCGCAATCTCGGCTCACTGCAAGCTCCGCTTCCCGGGTTCACGCCATTCTCCTGCCTCAGCCTCCTGAGTAGCTGGGACTACAGGCGCCCGCCACCACGCCCGGTTAATTTTTTTGTATTTTTAGTAGAGACGGGGTTTCATCGTGTTAGCCAGGATGGTCTCGATCTCCTGACTTCATGATCCACCCGCCTCGGCCTCCCAAAGTGCTGGGATTACAGGCGTGAGCCACCGCGCCCGGCGAGACAGTTTTTTTTTTTTTTTTTTAAATACAATATTAGAAAAATGTAAAGTATTAGAAAGATGTAAAATTTAAAAATGAAATTCTGCATTAACTGTGAATTCTACTAAATAGAATTACTGGTGGAGCAAATTTATCCATCGAGACTATCTGGTATGTGTTACATATGTATTCTGTTGGTGCTGGCAGATGTCTGTGTGCCTGTATCAACATGTGCTCCACAGTTCTTAGCAAATGCAGTTTCAATCCATAGCTAGCCAGCAGTGGATGTTACCACAGGAAAATGCAGGATTAAAATTGTCCTTGTGTAAAAAAAAATTCAGAATAATTTTTTCTTAACAACACTAAAATTATTTGATCTCTTGGGCTGTATCTACATACACGTACCGATTTCACTATTGTGACTGAATTGGCTAGTCTAATTGTTATGCCTAACAGATGCCAAATTGAATAATATTTTAATGGGTGGTTTGAATCTTCTGTAGACAACCTGCTTCAGAACTCTTCTTTGAGACCAAGAACCATATGGCAGGCCCAGACTGCCTGAGGGGTCCTGAGTTAGAACTTGAGAGAAGACTTGAGGCTGTGTCCCTTCTCAAGGGACAAAAGGACAAGACTCCTTCAGGCAGCTGTTTGTCAGTGTGAAATCTGTCTCCCTGTTCCACTGAAACAGGGGTCAGAGTCTAGGCTTCCCAGATGTTCATTCCCACAGTGTACAAGGAATACAATGCTGATAGGCGATGCTAAATGATTGTTTTAGATCTCCTGACATCATTCCCTTTAGGCTGTTTTATCTATCATTACTCAACAAAGACCTTAGTGGGTACTATATTGGTTTTGTTTATGCTCTCCAGAAATCACTTCTCTGCCTTTTCTCCTTCTCAGTAATCATGTCTTTTGATTTCTGAATTCCTTTACCTGGGGTGCATTCTGCACAAGCACTCATTAAGCATAGCTGAAGCTGAGCTGACAGTCTGTGACAGCTCTCAACAACTTTACAGCAGAAGGAGGGAAGAGGCTTTGATGTGAGATGAAATTTTCTGCAGAAGAGGATTAAGTCAGAACCAAGGAGATATAGCTGAGCAAATCTTAAGAATATGTATGCATTAGTTCTATTTGGAGAAAGTAGAAAAGGTTTTGAGACAGACATTTATGAAAGTGTTTTTCATTTTGTTTTGTTTTGTTGTTTGTTTGTTTTTTGAGTGGGTCCCAGTAAGGCATCCAAAATAACCAAAGAAAACCCAAAATGACTGGCTGGGTGCTGTGGCTCACGCCTGTAATCCCAGCACTTTGGGAGGCTGAGGTGGGCAGATCACCTGAGGCCAGGAGTTTGAGACTAGCCTGGCCAACATAGTGGAACCCTGTCTCTACTAAAAATACAAAAATTAGCCAGGCGTGGTGGTGTGTGCCTGTTGTCCCAGCTACTCAGGAGCCTGAGGTGGGAGAATCGTTTGAACTCAGGAGGCAGAGGTTGCAGTGAGCCAAGATCATGCCATTGCACTCCAGCCTGGGTGACAGTGAGACTCCGTCTCAAAAATAAATAAGTAAATAAATAAAATAAAATAAAAATAATAAAATAAAATAAAATAAAAATTTTAAAAAGGAAACCAAAAATGACTTCACTATGCCATCCCATTTAGCCTCTTTAATCTCCTCCAATGGAAACAGCAGAACAAAATGTTCCATATCACTGAAGCAGAGCGAACTCACCTACAATTGAAAACATTAACCTGAGCTTCCTTTAATGGGCATTAAAATGTGTGAATATGGATATCCATTCAGAAAAGTCAAACATTTACAAAGGAAAAGGAGAGTCTGCAATAAATGGAATTTTGGTCATCTGTTTCATCTCTAATAAATATGAAATGAACAAATGCTACACGTGCAGACTGATCCCTAAATCCTAAATTCTGCTCTGTAAGAGTTATTAGAAATCTGAAACCACAAGCAACTTTCTGAAGACATTTAAAGAAGCATTAAAGTGTGACTTTGGGGTCAGGGTCGATATTTAGGAGTACTTCTTTCTTAGATATACATATAGATATATTTATTTATTCGTTTACTGCTAGGCAATGGAAAAGGCACAGAGTAAAGAGAAAGAAGCCACTAGTTAGCAAAAGATCAACTGCTTTCTTCACACTGAACTCCTCTTAACTACTCTGACCCACAAAAGTGAATCAAAAAAATCTGTTTAACTTTCCAAGAAAGGAGGGATAACTGTTAAGTCCTTTCAACTTTCCAAAGTAGCAGCAGCTTCACTCCTGAAAGCAGATTAAAGTTGCCATCTAAACTCACATGCTTTCCCGCAAAGAGCCCAGGCCAAGGAACTTCCTTTTTCACCTTGCAGCTGTAGAGATTTGCTGCTTGCTCATCTATAACTTCAAAGACAAGAACAAGAAAACAACCAATCATACTACAAAATTATTTCAAACTTCACCACATCTCACAGGCAGGAAGGTTCTTTCAGATCCACAGTGAAAATAGGAAATGTTTCATCAGCTGAAAGGCAGCTGCAAGCAGATCAAGAGAGGTTTTACAAAAGAAGCAAAAGGTAAAGGGTTATCCTTTATTTTACAAAGGAGCTCTCTAGCAACCCAGTTCATATAAAAGTTAAACTTAGAGAAGAAAATAGAATCTCTATAGGCGGCAGAAGAAAAGAAAATTGTTTCCTCCTATTTACGGTGCAAGTGACTGTGCCTCTATTAGCCCCTCTAAGGGTCGCCAAAGCAGAGCGTCTTTCCTGTCCGTGGATAGCAGAGGCAAGGCGTGTTGCTCTGAGATTTTTTAAAGATCCCAGGATCTCCCAGAGCTGGCTTCCCCACCTCATCTCTTTGCTTTCAGCCAAGCAAACGTCATGCCTTCATACTCATTCTGGTTGCCAGAAGTCTTGTGGTCTGTTCTTCCCATATTTCTCCCAATTCTTTAGAATTGGAATTGATGTTGACATTGAGGTTACAAGGGATTGGAAGGGAAGTGGTTGCATCAAGGATACTCCAAGGGCAGAGTTTAATGAAAATTTAATTCAGAATGGATCCCAAGAGACGGAATAAAACAGTCTAATTGAGTTAACCTAGAAAAACAAGTCCTGCCAAAGAAGGGTCTAATTCAGCTTGTTTCAGAAATTCCGGGTGAGTTAAGGAGTAGTTGGTGGAGAAGCTAAACTCTTGATGGGCAGATTGCTGAGGCCCAGCCCACCTTATTAGTAAAATCTCTTTGGGACCTTTTTTTGCAGGAATATTGGTCTCATAATTTTCAGATTTCAGTCAAAGGGCTGTACTTACACAGACTCAAAAACTATGACGCTGCAGTTCTTTTCTTCTCCTTACTTAGTTGGTTTTCCTTGGATCAACTAGAATTTACAAGGTTATGTGAAAGCTGATCACACAAACTGGGTCATTCTTGTCATACCCAACTAAATCAGAGTCTAGGGACCAGGAGGGAAGAAGCACTTGGGGCACAGCACCTGCTCCATGAATTAAATTTTTCACAAGCCCAGCTGCTAAAATGGCCTGCTGTAACCCCAAGACTAGTTTAGTAGCTGCTGAAACATGACTTTAAGAATAGTTTTGCCTACCACCATCACTCACCAATCAGAGTTTGCCAGCTCCCAAATGCTTCTTTTTTCTCTTTTTTTCCCTTCTTTCCAAATGATTCTTTAGTGCCAATGAGCTTTCTTTCAAAACAGTATAGAACATTTCTCTAATAAAACTCCCAACCTTCTTTCTGTTCCTCAGACACACTGAAGACCACCTGGTTAGTGTGTATGCCTCAAACTGCAATCCTTGCTTCCAAAATAGAATGCTTTAAAGTTAGAGATTCATCGCTATGTTTTATTTTGACTTCAACAGTCACAATGTATTGCTTCCTGGATAATGTGGAGCTTAGAGGCTCTGCAGAAGAAAGTAGGTTAATATGGGGCCCTGCAATAAACATTGTCTGTTTTCGTGGTGATGGGTGCAGAAGAGTGGGATAGGGGATGGCACACCCCTACATTATCCTTATTTCTAGGAACCAATTTCTTTTGGTGATTTGTAGAGACAAGGGCAACTGGAAAGATAAGTGAATAGGGAGTCAGGAGATCTGGATTCCAGTTTAGGCTTTGTTACTTTCTCTCTGATCTTGGACAAGTCACATAAACTGTCTGAACACTGCTATCTCATCTACCAACCACACTGGGCTGAAAAGAGGATCCAATGAGATAATGTAGACGCCTTGAAAACTCTGAAGCATTCCACAAATGTGAATGTTTTCCAAATTTTAGTTCATTATATGACCCACCAAGTAAGGCTTTGGATAAAGAATTTGATTGGGAGGCCGAGGTGGGTGGATCACCTGAGG
Source organism: Homo sapiens (assembly GCF_000001405.40). Taxonomy (NCBI): domain Eukaryota; kingdom Metazoa; phylum Chordata; class Mammalia; order Primates; family Hominidae; genus Homo; species Homo sapiens. The sequence continues at coordinate 34,239,446 of NC_000020.11, read as the reverse complement.
TCAGGAGTTCGAGAAGAGCCTGGCCAACATGGTGATACCCCGTCTCTACTAAAAATACAAAAAATAGCCAGGTGTGGTGGCAGGTGCCTGTAGTCCCAGCTACTTGGGAGGCTGAGGCAGGAGAATCGCTTGAACCTGGGAGGCAGAGGTTGCGGTGAGCCAAGATTGTGCCACTGCACTCCAGCCTGGGCCAGTCTCAAAAAAAAAAAAAGTATTTGAACATGGGGTTGGGAGGAGAAGAGGAACATACTGAGTCTGATGGATATTAGGTGGTGAGATGGGGGATGGGAGTGGAACTAAGTGGAAAAGAAAAAGCAGGGAAAGAAAGCAGAAAAGATATCAAGTTTCTAGAGAAAGACTTGGCCCAGGTGTCTTTGGGGGCTTAAATTATTCCCTTAGAAATAATTAGCCAGGAAAGTATTCTGGGAAGATGGCAGAGTAGGAAGCTCTAGGATTCTGTTTCCTTACCTAACCAAAACTTGTACTGGCAGAATCTGTAACTATTTTAAAGCCATGGAGTCTATTGAAGGCTTGCAACTTCTAGGTGAAGGCTTGGATGGCAAAGTGTCCTTGGCACAGAGATAGCCTATAACAATAAAAAAGAAACATCAACAATAACAAAAAACAGTAACAAAATAAAGTAAACCCTGAGGAAAGGGGAGAACCTGGTTTCTAGAGTTACCACATTATTAAACTAAAATGTCTAGTTTTCAACCAAAAAATCACAAGGCATACAAAGAAAAGAAAAAATATGGCACATTCAAAGGAAAAAAGTCAACAGAAGCTCTGAAAGTCCTCATGGCAGACCTACTAGACAAATATATTAAAACAATTGTCTTAGAGATGCTCAGAGAACTAAAGGAAGATGTGGAGAGTGAAAAAAACAAGTACAAGCAAAAGGGGAATATCAATAGAGATATGGAAAACCTAAAAAGAAACCAGAAAGTACAAGAACTTTTTGTAGTATTGATTAGTACAATAACCAAAATTTAAAAATGCACTAGAGGGATTCAAAGGCAGATTTGATTAGACAGAAGAGAGACTCAATGAACTTGAAGATAGAACCATGAAAATTACTGAGTCTGAGGAACATAAATAAGATTGGAGAAAAGTAAACACTGCCTAAGGGACATGTGGGACACCATCAAGCAGAAAAACATATGCATTCTCTCAGAAGTCTAGCCATCCCAGAAGGAGAAGAGAGAAAAAAACCCAGAATATTTGAAGAAACATTGATTAAGACTTCCAAAGTTTGATTAAAGATATGAATATAAACATCCAAGAAGCTCAATGAACTCCAAGTAAGATGAACTCAAAGAGATCCACACAAAGATACGGTATAATCAAACTTTTGAAAGCCAAAACCAAAGATAAAATCTTGGAAGCAGCAAGAGAGATGCGACTCATCACATACAATAAATCCTCAATAAAATCATTAGCAGATTTCTTATCAGAAACTTTGGAGGCCAGAGGCTGTGGGCTGACAAATTCAAAGTTCTGAAAGAAAAAAACTGTCAACCAAGAATCCTATATCAGATTATCTCAATTGATGCAGGAAAAGCATTTGACAAACTCTAACATAATTTCATGATAAAAAAAAACACTCCACAAACTAGGAATAGGAGGACTGCTTCAACATAATAAAAGCCATATATGAAAAACCCACAGCCAACATCATACACAATGATGAAAGAATGAAAGATTTTCCTCCAACATCAAGAACAAGACAAAGATGCCTGCTTTCACCACCTCTACTCAAAATAGTACTGGAAGTTCTACCTAGAACAATTAGGCAAGGAAAAGAAAGCAAAGCCATCCGCATTAAAAAGGAAGGAGTAAAATGATCTCTGTTCACAGATAATATGATCTTAAATGTAGAAAAGCCTAAAGATTCCACAAAACACTGTTAGAACTAATAAATCAGTTTAGCAAAGTAGCAGGATACAAAGTTATATCAGTTACATTTCTATATATTAACAATGAACAATCTGAAAAGGAAATTAAGAAAATGATTCAATCTACAAAAGCATCAAAAGAATTAGGAATTAACATAGCCAAGGGGGTGAAAGATGTGTACAATGACAACTATAGAACATTGCTGAAAGAAATTAAATAAGACATAAATATAAGCAATCTACAGATTCAATACAATTCCTAACAAAATCTCTAGGAGGTTTTTTTTGGCAGAAATAGAAAAAAAACCCATTCTAAAATTTGTATGGAATCTCAAAGGACCCCAAATAGCCAAAATAATCTTGAAAAAGAATAAAGCTGGAGGACTCACACTTCTTGATTTCAAAACTTACTACAAAGCCACAGTAATCAAAACAGTGTGGTACTTGCATAAAGACAAATGTGTAGAAAAATGGAATAGAATAAATAAACCCATAATAGAATAAATAAAGGCCCAGAAATAAACCTTTACATGTGTGGTCAAGTGATTTTTGACAAAGGTGTCAAGGCCATTTAATGGGGGAAATAAGAGTTTTTTTCAACAAATGGTACTAGGAAAAGTGGATATCTACATGCAAAACAATGAAGTTAGACTCTTACCTAACACCATATACAAAAACTTACCCAAAATGAATCATAGACCTAAATGTATTAATAAGACCTGAAACTATAAAACTCAAGAAGATTTTCCCAGGCAAATACAATCACCTTATCTAGAGTTTCCCAAAATTCTTCAGCTGCCTTCGTATCAGCACTTGCATATTGCTCTCTCACATTCACATTATATAATGCATAATGATTTATTTTTAAGATGGGGGTCTCGCCATCTTGCCTAGGCTGGTTTCAAACTCCTGGGCTCAGGCAATTCTCCCACCCCAGACTCCCAAAGTGGTAGGATTACAGGCGTGAGCCACTGTGCCAGGCTGAATAATGATTCTTTTTTTTTTTGAGACAGAGTTTTCACTCTTGTTGCCCAGGCTGGAGTGCAGTGGTGCAATCTCAGCTCACTGCAACGTCCACCTCCTGGATTCAAGCGATTCTTCTGCCTCAACCTCCCAAGTAGCTGGGATTACAGACACGCACCACCATGCCTGGCTAATTTTTTTGTGTATTTTTAGTAGAGACAGGGTTTCACCATGTTGGCCAGGCTGGTCTCAAACTCCTGACCTCAGGTGATCTGCCCGCTTCGGCCTCCCAAAGTGCTGGGATTATAGGCGTGAGCCACTGCGCCCAGCCATGGCCATGATTCTTGAATCATTTAAACCACCTAGAGCTAGCAGTAAATTCAATATCATAGTCAGGTTTAGCCTTTTCTTTCTTTCTTTCTTTTCCCTCCCTCCCTCCTTTCTCCTTTCCTCTCCTTTCCTTTCCACTCCTTTCCTTTCCTTTCTTTCTCCTTCCTTCCTTCCTTCTCTTTCTCTTTCTTTCTCTCTCTCCTTCCTTCCTTTTCTGTTTCTTTCTCTTTCTTCTTCTCTCTCTCTTTCTCTCTTTCTCCTTCCTTCCTTCTTTCCTTCTTCCCTCCCTCCCTCCTTCCTTCCTTCCTTCCTTCTTCCCTCCCTCCCGCTTCCTTCCTTCCTTCCTTCCTTCCTTCCTTTCCTTCCTTCCTTCCTTCCTTCCTTCCTTCCTTTCCTTCCTTCCTTCCTTCCTTCCTTCTTTCTTTCTTTCTTTCTTTCTTTCTTTCTTTCTTTCTTTCTTTCTTTCTTTCTTCTTTCTCAGAGTCTCACTCTGTCACACAGGCTGGAGTGCAGTGGCATTATCATGAGCCCACTTCAGCCACGACTTCCTGGGCTCTAGCAATCCTCCCACCCCTGCCTCCTGAGTAGTAGGGGCCACAGGCATGCGCTACCATGCCCAGCCAGACTTTTCTTTCAACATCACAAACAAACTTTTTGTTTTGGCCATGATTGTTATCGTGCTAAGAAAGATATACTTCTGTTGCCTGGTCTTCAATCTAGGTCATTAGAAGTTTCTCCATATCCCATATAGAACCTTCGTGAACTTTTGTTAGTCTCATTGCCTTCAGTGAAGCAGATTCTTCTTTTTTCTTTGTTTTTGAGATGGAGTCTCACTGTGTCACCCAGGCTGGAGTGCAATGGCATGATCTCGGCTCACTGCAACCTCCGCCTCCCCGCTTCAAGCGATTGTCCTGCCTCAGCCTCCCAAGTAGCTGGGATTACAGGTGCCTGCCACCTCGCCTGGCTAATTTTTGTATTTTTAGTAGAGACGGGGTTTCACAATGTTGATCAGGCTGGTCTCAAACTCCTGACTTCATGATCTGCCCACCTCGGCCTCTCAAAGTGCTGGGATTACAGGCGTGAGCCACTGCGCCCGGCTGAAGCAGATTATTTAACAGCTTCGGTCACTTTGCTCTTGCTCTTCAAGATGGTAGCTATGGTGGAATGGGATATGCCTGACTGGTGAGCAATAATCATCACTGACTTTTACTTTAAATTTCATTTCCAGGTCAATCACTTGATGTGGCCTCTTACTGGCAACATTAGCCATGGATTTTGTACCCTTAGGAGCTATGATGAAAAAAACAACACAAGATTAAATCAAATGCGAGAGAAAATAATGTGCAAACAAGAGATGCGGTAAACATGAAATATATGAGGATACTGTGGGTATAACATGACATACTGTTTTACAGTAAACTGTTTGTTGTTGTTTTTGTTGTTGTTTTTCTGAGTCTCGCTCTGTCACCCAGGCTGGAGTACAGTGGCGCAATCTCGGCTCACTGCAACCTCTGCCTCCTGGGTTCAAATGATTCTCCTGGCTCAGCCTCAGCCTCAGCCTCCCGAGTAGCTGGGATTATAGGCGCCTGCCACCACGCCCGGCGAATTTTTGTATTTTTAGTAGAGATGGGGTTTCGCCATGTTGGTCAGGCTGGTTTATAGGACCACTGTCATATATGCAGTCCGTCATATACACTTGGGCAACAGAGTGAGGAAGAAAGAAAGGAAAGAAAGGAAGGAAGGAAGGAAGGAAGGAGAAAAGAAAAGAAAAGAGAAAAGGAAAAAGAAAGAAAGAAAGCTGATAGCGCCCACTGGATGCCTGGCCTCAACCACAACTCTGGAAGACCTACTGCATTAAGGGTCAATTAGCACAATGGTCTAAAACAAAAGCTATCACCTTTCCCTTAGGACTGACTAGTTATGCTATATTTTTACTGATTCTTAGGCACTAGTGGTCTTGTCTGCTACTTAGAAGATTACAGACTGGCAGATTAAAGGCACTTCACTTTGGGTCATGAGCCCTGGAAACAAATTGTAGCCACCAAACAGTCTGGATCACTGTTGTGGTGTGCATGGTAAGGGCTCATTCTCTGATGAGACCAACTAGAATCAAGCTTTTGATCAAGCTTGTGCCACTCAGATGGCCACAGTTGCCACTTAGATCCATCATAACATTGGACATGGTGACACCATCATCAACTGGGCACAAAGTAAGGGACTCTGTGTTTCTGAATCAGAAGCTACCACTACATGCCAGATTTGTGACCTCTGCCAAAAGTTAGCCTATTTGTCTCATGGTGAAAGAGGCCATATTGCACTGAGTGTTGACTGGCTGCAGAGTGTTGACTGGCTCCTGGTAAATTGGTGACATCAGACCTTTGACCTCTTCCAAGCTATTCCACTGGTATCTCATTCCTGTTGACTTTTTCTCAGGTAATGGTTTTGCTGTTCTAGTCTGATCAGCCAATTGTGGCCACATCATTGTGGCCCTTGAAACTAATCTGTGTCATGATTTTGGCTTTCTGGATGGTGATAATACTGCATTTTTTAGTGCAAAAACTCATCAACAATGGGCTTATAGTCAAAGTATTTGGTAGCCAATTCATTATCTTCAGACTGGTGGTACCATTGAGAGATGGAATAAACTTTTAATTAAAAAACAGCTTAATTGAGATGTAATTCACATATCATAAAATTCACCCTTTGGAAGGTTTTTAGTTTATTCACAGAGTTGTGCAACCATCCTACAGTATGTAGTCTTTGTGGCTGGCTTCCTTCACTTAGCAAAATGTTTTCAAAGTTTATCCATGTGGGCCGGGCGCGGTGGCTCACACCTGTAATCCCAGCACTGTGGGAGGCCGAGGTGGGCAGATCATGAGGTCAGGAGATCAAGACCATCCTGGCTAACATAGTGAAACCCCATCTCTACTAAAAATACAAAAAATTAGCCGGGCATGGTGGTGGGTGCCTGTAGTCCCAGCTACTTGGGAGGCTGAGGCAGGAGAATGGGGTGAACCCAGGAGGCAGAGCTTTCAGTGAGCTGAGATCACACCATTGTACTCCAGCCTGGGCAACAGAGCGAGACTCTGTATCAAAAAAAAAAAAAAAAAAAAAAGCTCTTGTCCCATTCACAGTTGACTCTTCCAGATGAAAAATGTTGGTGTGAGTGGGGAAGAATTGGAGAAAAGGTGAAGTTACAGCTACTGGGTTGGGACACACTGATTTTGTAGCTGTGGAAGGAGAACAACGATCCCAGTACCTGGAGGGAGAACACGTTAAACTCCAGGAAGTGTGGAGAGGTAGGGAACAGTTAATGTTCTCTATGTCCCTTAGATCCAGCACTGCAACCTGGCAAATAGTTACATGGTTTGTTTGAGGCACACTGTCATCAGGCTGCCAATCTCATCTGCTGCTGGGTTTGTCAAACCAGTCCATGTGCTATTAAAACAGAGAAACTCATGTGGACATGGCCTGACACTATGCCTTCTGTGCCTGGTGCTGTCAAAGGTGGACATACATCTACATACATGTACAAACACAGACTGGCACAACTATGTTTTAAGCTGACTCATACAAAATCATGTGCTTCTCCTGATGCCTGAGTGGCCTTGGTTATGCTATGTATGGTGATTACGACTGGCCTTAAACTATATACTGGATGTCTCAAATAAGACCTACAGATCCTCCTGAGACTTATTCACAGGTGGTTGAATCTGGTACTCTGAGGTCAATACTGCAGGTTTGTCTCATCTTGCTGCTTGGGGATTTATTGACAGTGGTCTATGCTGTATGAGATAAATTGGACGGATTTGGTTCCAACCTCTACTAATCAGATTAATCAAAGTGGCCTACAGAATGGCATGCTCAAGTGAAAATCTCTCAAGAAGTCAAGATGATGTAGAACTGACGGTGGATGCTGTTGAGAGACATTCTGCCATGAGTCTCTTATGCTCCTCCTCATCTTATAGAGTATACCAAGAATGTAAGGTATTGACTGCTCTTTAGCCAGGCCATTTCTCAGGATTGTCTTTGCAGCAAGCAACTTTGAGCTGTGAAGTAATATCTCCCTGGGTTAAAAAGCAAGCTCACTTACTGCTTTCTATAAAATGTGGGTTCCCCAAACTCAGTGCTATTGTCATGTAACACATTTACCACATGTGTAGACCTTCATCTGGGCCTTTGTGTTGTCCCTGTTGGACTCAGGGAGCAAGAGCTGATGCAAAAGTTAATGCTCATGCTGCTTGCTGTGTGATGAATAATAAAGTTCATTGTCTCTGACCTGAGTCTCATATCTTCTGTTAGAATTCATGAAACAACAAGCTAACTTACTGGCTTATAAGTAGGGTAAAGTCAAATCCTACCCCTGACATATATGAGAGTTCCATTACTCAATGTCCTTGCCAACACTTGTTATGGTCAGTCTTTTTAATTTGAGAAATTCTAATAGGTACATAGTAGTATCTCATTGCAGTGATAATTTGTATTTCCCTAATGAGCTTATTTCCATCTGTATGAGCTTATTTCAATTTGCATATTTTTTGGTAGAGTATCTGTTCAAATCTTTTGTTCATTTAAAAAACTGGGTAGTGTTTCTTATTTTTAAAACTATATTCTGGATACAAGTTCTTTGTCAGATAAGTTATTTGTATATATTTCTCCCAGTCAGAGGATTGAATTTTCATTGTTCTTAACAGTGTCCTTTGATAGAAGTTATTAATTTCGACAAAGCCCAATTTAATGTTTCTGTTATTGATTGTGCTTTTCTTGTCATATTTAAGAAATCTTTGCTTAACTCAAAGTCACAAAAGATTTCTTCTATGTTTTCTTTTGAAAGTTCTAGCTCAGTCTTTGCCGCCGCGCCGGCGAGCGCCGCCCGGGAGGCAGCGGCTGGAGGAGCGGACGGGCCCCGCGGGGCCCGAGGGCAAGGAGCAGCCGCCTGCCTTGGCCTCCCAAAGTGCCGAGATTGCAGCCTCTGCCCGGCCGCCACCCCGTCTGGGAAGTGAGGAGTGTCTCTGCCTGGCCGCCCATCGTCTGGGATGTGAGGAGCCCCTCTGCCTGGCTGCCCAGTCTGGAAAGTGAGGAGCGTCTCCGCCCGGCCGCCATCCCATCTAGGCAGTGAGGAGCGCCTCTTCCCAGCCGCCATCACATCTAGGAAGTGAGGAGCGTCTCTGCCCGGCCGCCCATCGTCTGAGATGTGGGGAGCGCCTCTGCCCCGCCGCCCCATCTGGGATGTGAGGAGCGCCTCTGCCCAGCCGCGACCCCGTCTGGAAGATGAGGAGCGCCTCTGCCCGGCCGAGACCCCGTCTGAGAAGTGAGGAGACCCTCTGCCTGGCAACCACCCCGTCTGAGAAGTGAGGAGCCCCTCCGCCCGGCAGCTGCCCCGTCTGAGAAGTGAGGAGCCTCTCCGCCCGGCAGCCACCCCATCTGGGAAGTGAGGAGCGTCTCCGCCCGGCAGCCACCCCGTCCGGGAGGGAGGTGCGGGGGGGTCAGCCCCGGCCAGGCCAGCCGCCCCATCCGGGAGGGAGGTGGGGGGGTCAGCCCCCCGCCCGGCCAGCCGCCCCTTCCGGGAGGTGAGGGGTGCCTCTGCCCGGCCGCCCCTACTGGGAAGTGAGGAGCCCCTCAGCCCGGCCAGCCACCCCGTCCGGGAGGGAGATGGGGGGGTCAGCCCCCCCACCCGGCCAGCCGCCCCGTCCGGGAGGGAGGTGGGGGGGTCAGCCCTCCGCCTGGCCAGCCGCCCCGTCTGGGAGGTGAGGGGCGCCTCTGCCTGGCCACCCCTACTGGGAAGTGAGGAGCCCCTCTGCCCGGCCAGCCGCCCCGTCCGGGAGGGAGGTGGGGGGGTCAGCCCCCCGCCCGGCCAGCCGCCCCGTCCGGGAGGGAGGTGGGGGGGTCAGCCCTCCGCCCGGCCAGCCGCCCCGTCTGGGAGGTGAGGGGCGCCTCTGCCCGGCCGCCCCTACTGGGAAGTGAGGAGCCCCTCTGCCCGGCCAGCCGCCCCGTCCGGGAGGGAGGTTGGGGGGTCAGCCCCCCGCCCGGCCAGCCGCCCTGTCCGGGAGGGAGGTGGGGGGGTCAGCCCTCCGCCCGGCCAGCCGCCCCGTCTGGGAGGTGAGGGGCGCCTCTGCCCGGCCGCCCCTACTGGGAAGTGAGGAGCCCCTCTGCCCGGCCAGCCGCCCCGTCCGGGAGGGAGGTGTGGGGGTCAGCCCCCCGCCCGGCCAGCCGCCCCGTCTGGGAGGGAGGTGGGGGTGTCGGCCCCCCGCCCGGCCAGCCGCCCCGTCCGGGAGGGAGGTGGGGGTGTCGGCCCCCCGCCCGGCCAGCCGCCCCTTCCGGGAGGTGAGGGGTGCCTCTGCCCGGCCGCCCCTACTGGGAAGTGAGGAGCCCCTCAGCCCGGCCAGCCACCCCGTCCGGGAGGGAGATGGGGGGGTCAGCCCCCCACCCGGCCAGCCGCCCCGTCCGGGAGGGAGGTGGGGGGGTCAGCCCTCCGCCTGGCCAGCCGCCCCGTCTGGGAGGTGAGGGGCGCCTCTGCCCGGCCACCCCTACTGGGAAGTGAGGAGCCCCTCTGCCCGGCCAGCCGCCCCGTCCGGGAGGGAGGTGGGGGGGTCAGCCCCCCGCCCGGCCAGCCGCCCCGTCCGGGAGGGAGGTGGGGGGGTCAGCCCTCCGCCCGGCCAGCCGCCCCGTCTGGGAGGTGAGGGGCACCTCTGCCCGGCCGCCCCTACTGGGAAGTGAGGAGCCCCTCTGCCCGGCCAGCCGCCCCGTCCGGGAGGGAGGTTGGGGGGTCAGCCCCCCGCCCGGCCAGCCGCCCTGTCCGGGAGGGAGGTGGGGGGGTCAGCCCTCCGCCCGGCCAGCCGCCCCGTCTGGGAGGTGAGGGGCGCCTCTGCCCGGCCGCCCCTACTGGGAAGTGAGGAGCCCCTCTGCCCGGCCAGCCGCCCCGTCCGGGAGGGAGGTGTGGGGGTCAGCCCCCCGCCCGGCCAGCCGCCCCGTCCGGGAGGGAGGTGGGGGTGTCGGCCCCCCGCCCGGCCAGCCGCCCCGTCCGGGAGGGAGGTGGGGGTGTCGGCCCCCCGCCCGGCCAGCCGCCCCGTCCGGGAGGTGAGGGGCGCCTCTGCCCGGCCGCCCCTACTGGGAAGTGAGGAGCCCCTCTGCCCAGCCACCACCCCGTCTGGGAGGTGTGCCCAACAGCTCATTGAGAACGGGCCAGGATGACAATGGCGGCTTTGTGGAATAGAAAGGCGGGAAAGGTGGGGAAAAGATTGAGAAATCGGATGGTTGCCGTGTCTGTGTAGAAAGAAGTAGACATGGGAGACTTTTCATTTTGTTCTGCACTAAGAAAAATTCCTCTGCCTTGGGATCCTGTTGATCTGTGACCTTACCCCCAACCCTGTGCTCTCTGAAACATGTGCTGTGTCCACTCAGGGTTAAATGGATTAAGGGCGGTGCAAGATGTGCTTTGTTAAACAGATGCTTGAAGGCAGCATGCTCGTTAAGAGTCATCACCACTCCCTAATCTCAAGTAATCAGGGACACAAACACTGCGGAAGGCCGCAGGGTCCTCTGCCTAGGAAAACCAGAGACCTTTGTTCACTTGTTTATCTGCTGACCTTCCCTCCACTATTGTCCCATGACCCTGCCAAATCCCCCTCTGTGAGAAACACCCAAGAATTATCAATAAAAAAATAAATTTAAAAATAAAAAATAAAAAAAAAATAAAAGGCAGATTTTACTGAATGTAAATTACATATTAATAAGCAACTGCCACAAAACCAACAAAACCCAGTTGCTTTGGTGTCGTAGCATGTGCAGCTCCATGACCCTTGAGGAGGCTCAGCACGCTTTTCAAAACATCCACGTGTGATTCCGACATTCTAGCATTTGTATTTAGAAAGGAAGTGAAGACTTTTCTGCATGTTGTTTTGTTAAAATGTTGAACTGAGGTTTGAGTATGTAAATATTATTTTTTCCTGTGTAAACACATCAGCCAAAAATATATTGACAAATACATATGTTCAAAAAAAAAATAAATAAAAAATAAAGTAGTTTCCAAAGGAAAAAATAAAAAAAATAAATAAAAATTAATCAGGAAAAAAAAAAAAAAAAAAAAAAAAAAAAAAAAAAAAAAAAAAAAAAAAAAAAAAAAAAAAGAAAGTTCTATAGTGTTAGATTTTACATTTATGTCTACAGTCCATTTTGAATTAATTTTTATATGGTGTGAAGTTATGAATTGAAGTTCATTTTATTGCATATGGCTAACTGTTCCAGTACCATTTGCTGAAAAGATTATATTTTGTACCTTGTGGGAAATCACTTGACCATACATGTGTGAGTCTATTCCTAGACTCTCTATTCTGAACTACTGACTTGTCTATCTTTATAGCAATACTACACTGTTTTGATTATTCTCCAAGTCTGGAAGTCAGGGAGAGTGAAGTCTTCAAACTGTTCTTTTTTGAAGTTGTGATTACTCTAAGTCCTTTGTATTTCCACATGAATTTTAGAATAAACTTGTCAACTTCTACTAAAACCTACTGGGAGTTTGATTGGAGTTGTGTTGAATCTATTGATAAACCTGGGGAGAACTGACATCAGAACAATATTGAGTCCTCTGATCCACGAATATGGTATATCTCTTTTTTTTTTTTTTTTTGAGATGGAGCCTCACTCTGTCACCAGGCTGGAGTGCAGTGGCACAATCTCGGCTCACTGCAACCTCCACCTCCTGGGTTCAAGTGATTCTCCTGCCTTAGCCTCCCGAGTAGCTGGGACTGCAGGTGTGCACCATCATGCCCAGCTAATTTTTGTATTTTTAGTAGAGATGGGGTTTCACCATGTTGGCCAGGATGGTCTCGATCTCTTGACCTCGTGATCCGCCTGCCTCGGCCTCCCTAAGTACTAGGATTACAGGTGTGAGCCACTGTGCCCAGCCTGGTATATCTCTTTACTTATTTAAGTATTAATTTCTCTCATTAATGTCTTATGGTTTCAGTATATGAGTCTTGCACAGATTTATCATTAAAAATTTAATATTTTTGGTACCATTATAAATGGCATTTTTTAACACGTCAATTTGTATTGTCTTTGCTACAATATAGAAATAAACTAGTTTCTGTATATTAATCTTGTATGCTTCAAACTTGCTAAACTCATTTATTAGTTCTAGCAGACTTTTTAAGGACTTCATTGGATTTTTTACATAAACAATCATGTCTTTTGCAAATAAATAGTTTTACTGTTTCATTTCCAAGCTTATTGTTTTTTATTCCTTGTTCTTGCCTTACTGAATTAACTGGAATGTCCAGTAGAGAGTTCAATAGAAGATGTGAGAGCAGACATCCTTGCCTTGTTCCTTATTGTAGAAGAAAACATTTGGTCTTTAATCAAGTATGGGGCCAGGTGTGGTGGCTCACACCTGCAATCCAAGCATTTTGGGGAGGCCAAGATGGGAGGATCACTTGAGGCCAGGAGTTCAAGACCAGCCTGGTCAACATAGCAAGACCCCATCTCTATAAAACATAAAAAAAAATTAAGTATGTAAGTTAGCTGTAGATTTTTTGTAGATGAGCTTTATCAGACTGAGGAAGTTCCTTTCTATTATTAGTTTGTTAAGACTTTTTAAAAAATCAGGCTGAGTGCAGTGGCTCATTCCTATAATCCTAGCACTTTAGGAGGCTGAGGCGGGTGGATCACTTGAGGTCAGGAGTTTGAGACCAGTCTGGCCAACATGGCAAAACCCTGTCTCTACTAAAAAATATAAAAATTAGCCGGGCCTTGTGGTGTGCACCTGTAGTCCCAGCTACCTGGGAGGCTGAGGCAGGAGAATCGCTTGAACCCAGGAGGCAGAAGTTGCAGTGAGCCAAAGTCGTGCCACTGCACTCCAGCCTGGGTGACACAGCGAGACTCCATCTCAAAATAAAAAAGTTAAAAAAAAATCAGAATAAATGTTGAATTTTCTCAACTTTTTAATGTATTTATTGAAAATGTCATATAGCTTTTCTTTTTTAGTCTGTTAAAATGGCAAATTACATGGACAATAATGGTAAGCTGACATAAGAGACACACGTTCTAAAGTAGGTACACGTCAGCTGAGCGTGTGGCTCACGCCTGTAATTCCAGCACTTTGGGAAGCCAAGGTGGGTGACCTCCTTACCTGAGGTCAGGAGTTCAAGAATAGCCTGCCCAACATGGTGAAACCCCGTCTCTACTAAAAATACAAAAATTAGCCGGGTGTGGTGGCACATGCCTGTAATCCCAGCTACTCAGGAGGCTGAGGCAGGAGAATCGCTTGAACCTGGGAGGTGGAAGCTGCAGTGAGCCAAGACTGCGCCACTACACTCCAGCCTGGGCGACACAGCAAGACTCCGTTTCAAAAAAAGAAAAAAAAAAAGTAGGTGCACATCTAGTTATTACATAAGTATTTTAAAATCAGTGGTTTTTGTATATGCCAACAAGAACCCATTAAAAATGAACAAAAACAAATCTCATTCACACCCAAAACAACAAAAATAAAATAATTAGGAATATATTCAAGCAATTATGAGAACTTATACAAAAAAAGCTATAAACTCTACTGAGAGACATGAGAAAAAACATGAATCAGCGGAGAGAGAAGCTATTTTCCTTCATGGTAAGAATTATTATTACGAAACAAGACTTCTCCAGATTAGTACATAAATTTAACATAATTTCCACCTAAATACCAATGTAATTTTAATTTTTTTTGTAAATTACATGTGAAGTTGATCTGAGAAAAACTGTGAGAATGATAAAATATTGAAAAAGAAGGATGATAAGGGGAGCACATCCTGTCAGATGTTAAAAAGTATTATAAAGCTATAATTTTAATGTATGGTACTAGAACCAGAATAGTTCAATAGAACAAAATAAAGTCTAAAAGTAGACAATAATGTTGATAAGAATTTTCTATATAACAAAGGTGCAGGCAGGGCGCGGTGGCTCACACCTATAATCCCAGCACTTTGGAAGGCCTAGGCAGGCAGATCATGGGATCAGGAGTTTGAGACCAGTCTGACCAACATGGTGAAACCCCGTCTCAATAAAAACACAAAAATTAGCCGGGGGTGGTGGCACGCACCTGTAATCCCAGCTACTCAGGAAGCTGAGGTAGGAGAATCGCTTGAACCCAGGAGGCAGAGGTTGCAGTGAGCTGAGATTGTGCCATTGCACTCCAGCCTGGGTGACAGAGCGAAACTCGGTCTCAAAACAAACAAACAAACAAACAAAAACAAAGGTGCTATATTTCAGGAAGCCTAGTGGTAGGGCTGCCAAAAGTATAATGATAAAAAAAACATGCAGGATCCAATCTAGAAAGAAGGTTGAGACAAGAGCACAACTTTTAATACAAAATAAAAAGAATTAAGTGGCATATGGGACAAAAAATTAGGGAACTAAAATAATTCAAAGGAAAGAGAAAAAGTCTTGGTCATGTTTGCCAAGCTTTGAATATTAGACCTTGCTTTTTTCCCAGAGATTGTCAGTGCACCCTGGTTGTGCAATATCAACCAGGATTAGGCAGGTGTGGGAGCCACAGAAGCCACTCCACCACACTTTTAAGTCATTTCATTAGAGTCGCCTCAGAAGTCCTGGTGAGACAATCCTAGGAGTCCTCTTTGGCTGTCTTGCTTGATATTCTCAAGCAAGTCCATTCTGCTAGACGCCTGCATCTGGGTACTCCTCCCTTTTTAACTCATCCCCACAGGGTCATTTAAGAAAATGTATGCATGTTTCTGATTCATAACTATATTATGATGATTATTCTTATAAACCCTTTTGACGTCTAAAAGCCTTAGAGCCACTCAACAGTCCTGTTTGGGCCAGTCTCCTGGAATATGAGATTCCTTCTGTATGGCCAGTGGTGCAGAATGGCTTTCAATGGAGAGAACAGTCTGGCAGTCTTAAGGCTTGGTGTGGTAAAGTCACTTGGATCCAGAGAAGGCATATGCACAGACACCAGCCCAGTCATCCCAAGGAGACAGCTTATCTTTCCCTAAGTATTTCTAAAAGGGTCTCCTGAGTAACTTTTTTTTTTTTAATTTATTTTTTTATTGATAATTCTTGGGTGTTTCTCACAGAGGGGGATTTGGCAGGGTCATGGGACAACAGTGGAGGGAAGGTCAGCAGATAAACAAGTGAACAAAGGTCTCTGGTTTTCCTAGGCAGAGGACCCTGCGGCCTTCCGCAGTGTTTGTGTCCCTGATTACTTGAGATTAGGGATTGGTGATGACTCTTAACGAGCATGCTGCCTTCAAGCATCTGTTTAACAAAGCACATCTTGCACCGCCCTTAATCCATTTAACCCTGAGTGGACACAGCACATGTTTCAGAGAGCACAGGGTTGGGGGTAAGGTCACAGATCAACAGGATCCCAAGGCAGAAGAATTTTTCTTAGTGCAGAACAAAATGAAAAGTCTCCCATGTCTACTTCTTTCTACACAGACACGGCAACCATCCGATTTCTCAATCTTTTCCCCACCTTTCCCGCCTTTCTATTCCACAAAGCCGCCATTGTCATCCTGGCCCGTTCTCAATGAGCTGTTGGGCACACCTCCCAGACGGGGTGGTGGCCGGGCAGAGGGGCTCCTCACTTCCCAGTAGGGGCGGCCGGGCAGAGGCGCCCCTCACCTCCCGGACGGGGCGGCTGGCCGGGCGGGGGGCTGACCCCCCCACCTCCCTCCCGGAGGGCACGGCTGGCCAGGCGGGGGGCTGACCCCCCCACCTCCCTCCCGGATGGCACGGCTGGCCGGGCGGGGGGGCTGACCCCCCACCTCCCTCCCGGACGGGGTGGCTGCCGGGCGGAGACGCTCCTCACTTCCCAGATGGGGTGGCTGCCGGGCGGAGAGGCTCCTCACTTCTCAGACGGGGCGGTTGCCAGGCAGAGGGTCTCCTCACTTCTCAGACGGGGCGGCTGGGCAGAGACGCTCCTCACCTCCCAGACGGGGTCTCGGCCGGGCAGAGGCGCTCCTCACATCCCAGACGGGGCGGCAGGGCAGAGGCGCTCCCCACATCTCAGACGATGGGCGGCCGGGCAGAGACGCTCCTCACTTCCTAGATGTGATGGCGGCTGGGAAGAGGCGCTCCTCACTTCCTAGATGGGATGGCGGCCAGGAGGAGACGCTCCTCACTTTCCAGACTGGGCAGCCAGGCAGAGGGGCTCCTCACATCCCAGATGATGGGCGGCCAGGCAGAGACACTCCTCACTTCCCAGACGGGGTGGCGGCCGGGCAGAGGCTGCAATCTCGGCACTTTGGGAGGCCAAGGCAGGTGGCTGGGAGGTGTAGGTTGTAGTGAGCCGAGATCACGCCACTGCACTCCAGCCTGGGCACCATTGAGCACTGAGTGAACGAGACTCCGTCTGCAATCCCGGCACCTCGGGAGGCCGAGGCTGGCGGATCACTCGCGGTTAGGGGCTGGAGACCGGCCCGGCCAACACAGCGAAACCCCGTCTCCACCAAAACCAGTCAGGCGTGGCGGCGCGTGCCTGCAATTGCAGGCACTCGGCAGGCTGAGGCAGGAGAATCAGGCAGGGAGGTTGCAGTGAGCCGAGATGGCAGCAGTACAGTCCAGCTTCAGCTCCGCATGAGAGGGAGACCGTGGGGAGAGGGAGAGGGAGACGGAGAGGGAGAGGGAGAGGGAGTAACTTTTGCATTACCATTACCTTAGAGCTTGTTAAAGATTCCTGGGTCCCACTTCAGATCTGCAAAGCAGGATCTTAGAATCTAGGGCCTGAAAAAAATATATATTTTACAAGTTTCTCTGCATGTTAGGCTTCTACAACGACATCTGTTCTGCATCTAGTTTCAGAGTTGCTCAATACGGCCCTCGAAGCAATGATTCTGAGTCATGGGTCCTTACTGGTTATTCAAAAGAAGCTCTGGAGCCCTAAACCACAAATGAAAACACCTAAGGCCTGGGCTACTTATTTGCTGTAGATCATAGCAGTTACAGCCTCATCCTCCTCCATCTGTAGCCTTTTTTTTTTTAATTATCCTTCCTCCCTGTAGCCTACCATTGCCAACTCAAATTCTTTTAGGTTCTATGAGCTGTAACTGGGTATTTTCTATGGCAAAAGCTGGTATCCTACAGCTAAAGATTCTTTATATCCACATGCCTGGTCAATCTTTTCTTTATATTTATTTATTTATTTATTTTTGAGATAGGGTCTCACTCTGTTGCCCAGGCTGGAGTGCAGTGGCACAATTATGGCTCACTGCAGCCTCTACCTCCCAGGATCAAGCAATCCTCCCACTTCAGCCTCCCAAGTGGCTGGGACTACAGGCACATGCCACCACACCTGGCTAATTTTTGTATTATTTGTAGGGACAAGGTTTTGCCATGTTGCCCAGACTGGTCTTGAACTCCTGAGCTCAAGCAATCCACCCACCTCGGCCTCCCAAAGTGCTGGGATTACAGGTGTGAGCCACTGTGGCTGGCCTAATCTCTTCATTACAGTGTCCTTTGCTCTTTTCTTTCTATTCCTTCCGCTATGCCCTAGAGACCTTCACTGCCAGAATTAGGCTCACACACACCTTCTTAGTCTGTATGGTTCCAGTTTTCTTTTTCTAAAATCTTTTCCACCTACTTTCTGCTCAAAAACCTAAAAGGACTCCTGGTATCATCCACATCAAGTCTAAATGTGTCTGTTTTCCAGGCCCTTTATAACCTATCCCATTTTGCTTATTAGACTTTACTTCTAACTATGCTACATATGCTTTCCATTTATTGCCCACATACGTATCCTGCTGATTTCAACCCATGGATCAGATTCATCTCAGTGTCCCTGGAACATGATAAAAAGAGGCAGGGTAGGGCCCAATAAATGCAAGCTGACTGAGTCAACATTTGCCATTTGTTTCCCTTTCTTTTTCTTTTTTTTTCTTTTTTTGAGACAGAGTCTCGCTCTGTCGCCCAGGCTGGAGTGCAGTGGCGCGATCTCGGCTCACCTTAAGCTCCGCCTCCCAGGTTCACGCCATTCTCCTGCCTCAGCCTCCCCAGTAGCTGGGACTACAGGCACCAGCCACCACACCCGGCTAATTTTCTGTATTTTTAGTAGAGATGGGGTTTCACCGTGTTAGCCAGGATGGTCTCGATCTCCTGACCTCGTGATCCACCCGCCTCAGCCTCCCAAAAAGCTGGGATTACAGGCGTGAGCCATCGCGCCTGGCCCTGCCATTTGTTTCCCTTTCAACATCCTCTTTTTATATTCCACAAATTCTTCAAGTCCCACATTCTGCTTGAAGACCTCCTCAGTTTCTCCAGCTCTTATGACATCCTCCTTCACTGAAGAAAAAAAAAAAAAAAAAAAAAAAGAAGGAAAGAAGAAAGGAAGAAAAACATCCACACAACAGAGAATGGGCTTTCGGAGTGACAAAAGCATAGGGAAGAGAAAGGAAGATTAATAGTCTGAGAGCAACCACTCTTTAGTTGTTCAGGAAATACATCAATCATGAGTCATTGACTTTCTATGGTACCATATAATCTGTATTATTCTGTTCAGAACACGTATATTGTCAGTGTTCCGTGCTAAGCATGTCAAATGAATTCATTCTGCCTCCCTATGTCAGTTCAGGAGTCATTCCTTCCTGCTTCCCTGATTCCCCGTGTTGAGTTAAATGCTTGCTCTCCATGGTCTCATGACACCTTGTGCTTACTTCTTTTTTTTTTTTTTGAGAGAAGGTCTCGCCCTGTCATCCAGGCTGGAGTGCAGTGGCATGATCTCAGCACACTGCAACCTCTGCCTCCTGGGTTCAAGCGATCCTCCCACCTCAGCCTCCTGAGTAGCTGGGACTAAAGGTGCATGCACCACACCCGGCTAATTTTTGTATTTTTGTAGAGACAGGGTTTCATCATGTTGCCCAGGCTGGTCTTGAACTCCTGGGTTCAAGTGATCAGCCTGCCTCAGCCTCCCAAAGTGTTGGGATTACAGGCGTGAGCCACTGCACCCGGCCCCTGTGCTTACTTTTAACTTAATCTCTTGTATTGAAAATGCCCATTTATTAGTCTGATTCCCCCTTAGACTTTGAGTTTCATGAGAGAAGGTCCAGACTTACTAGTCTTTTTATTATCTGTTCCTTTTATGGGTATGTCAGTTCTACACGTGTAGATGGCACATAAACCATCTCTGAAGTAACTAGACTGTAAACTTTGGAAGATAAAGTTCATTTTTTTTTTTTAAGATGGAGTCTCGCTCTGTCGCCCAGGCTGGAGTGCAGTGGCACGATCTCGGCTCACTGCAAGCTCCGCTTCCCGGGTTCATGCCATTCTCCTGCCTCAGCCTCCCTAGTAGCTGGGACTACAGGCACCCACCACCACGCCCAGCTAATTTTTTTGTATTTTTAGTAGAGACGGGGTTTCACCGTGTTAGCCAGGATGGTCTCAATCTCCTGACCTCATGATCCGCCTGCCTCGGCCTCCCAAAGTGCTGGGATTACAGGCGTGAGCCACCGCTCCCAGCACATGTTTTGTATTTTTTATCTTTATATTCTGGGTTCCCAGCTCAGTGCTCAGGTGTTCAGAAAGTTTGTGAATGTTAACATTTCTGTGCTCTGTTCCTCTCACCACCCACAAGCAACCTTACACTTGCCCAGCAAAACCTAGTAACTGAGCACTTTTATTCTAGTAAGTGCTTATACAGTGTTATTCACTGAGATTAATGCTGTTGACCACTATGAGAGAGAAAGAGTAAACAAATTTATTAATTATATTTTGCTTGGAAACTCTATTGCAGAGTCTAATTGTTTAAATAAGAACTTCTGCCTCTCTTTCCTACTTTCAGAGAATAAGTTTTGGAGCCAGGCAGAATTAGATTTGAATCTTGGCTTTGCAAATACACTAGCTCCTGGTCTTGGGTGTGGCCTTTTGGGAGATTAAATTAAAAATGGGGATAACAATACCTATTCTGCAGGATCATTATGATGATTGAATGTGTAAAGATAGAAAAGGTGTTTAAGCACCACACTTGGCACATAACAAGCATCCACAAAAGTTAGTTTTTACTCCTTGATTCTCTCCTTCCTCAAGAGGATCACTTGGATCACCTCTTTCCATATAGTGTCTAGTCTAGTGTATTACATGACATTATCTAGTTTAGCCTAAGGTTAGGCTTCCTTTTCTTATACTACCTGTTCCCTAGGAGCTTTGAGTCTATATTTATATACATTTGAACATGTAATGTGTATGTGTTTGGAAGTCTATACAACTGCCTATAGTGTACATCTGTATACAAGAGCCATAGGTTTCCAGCTATTCTCACATTTAGTTTGAGAAACTTCAGAGGGTTACGTTAAAATTGCTGAAAAGGGGCCAGGCGTGGTGGCTCACACCTGTGATTCCAGCATTTTGGGAGGCCGAGGTGGGAGGATCACGAGGTCAGGAGATCGAGACCATCCTGGCTAACATGGTGAAACCCCGTCTCTACTAAAAATACAAAAAAATTAGCTGGGCGTGGTGGCGGGCGCCTGCAGTCCCAGCTACCCAGGAGGCTGAGGCAGGAGAATGGCATGAACCCAGGGGGTGGAGCTTGCAGTGAGCAGACATCGTGCCACTGCACTCCAGCCTGGTCTCAAAAAAAAAAAAATTGCTGAAAAGGACACATGCTCCTTTTCCCTTGCTACTGCCATCTCCACCAGCCTGATTCCCCCTGTTAAATGACAGCACTGTGAAAAATTCCTGGGATTAAGCTAGGGTGGGTGAGCAGATATCTAAAAGCAAATAGGAGGAGTGCTCCCCAGAAGTATCCAGCTATAAGACCTGCATGCTGCTATTGCTCAGTAATAAAAAATGATAAATGGGTGATGCCACTTTGCCTCAGTGGGACTGGATAAAAGTAATGAACAAGGCTATATTTTTCCCAATCTCTCCTTTTTAGAAGGGAGTGGTGAAGAAGTGGTAGGTGTACAAGGCACACCAAATAGCCTTAGTGAACAGCTCCAAATATCATATCCTGCTTGTGGGCTCTGTCATTCCAATCTGAGGATTTGTGGGAGTTTTTTACCCTCATAATGCTGAAGCCAAACCTCCATGCTCGCAATTTCCCAATTGTCTCCAAAATCATTAATAAAGTCTGAACGTATCTTCCAAAACAAAGTTAATCTTAATGAACTTATATTTCTAAAAATGTGTGTCATAGAGTTCCATTTCTGGCAAAGGCTGACTAGTTGGTCTTTTTCAAACATCTTGCTGAGAACAATTACAAATGCTGAACAAATTAGCACTTTTTAAAAACAGCAATTTGGAGCTATGGAAGAGCTACAAAAGCAGTGAGAATTTGCTAGTCCAAGATCTGGAGAAAAAGAGAAGCCAAGTAAGGTGAGACTGGTATTTGGAGACACTTTACTCTGAAGACAATTGCTGATTCCAAAAGCAAAAGCAGCGCTGAGAGGCTGAAAAGAGCTTTCAGCGGGCTGGGCGCGGTGGCTCACGCCTGTTAATCCCAGTACTTTGGGAGGCCGAGGCGGGCGGATCACGAGGTCAGGAGATTGAGACCATCCTGGCTAACACGGTGAAACCCCGTCTCTACTAAAAGTACAAAAAAATTAGCCGGGCGTGGTGGTGGGCGCCTGCAGTCCCAGCTACTCGTGAGGCTGAGGCAGGAGAATGGCGTGAACCCAAGAGGCGGAGGTTGCAGTGAGCCGAGATCGCGCCACTGCACTCCAGCCTGGGCAACAAAGCGAGACTCCGTCTCAATAAATAAATAAATACATAAATAAGCTTTCAGTAGATTCCCAGCCAGGGCTGATGAGACATAAATTGTAGTAAGGTACCTGAAAAGGAGGAAGGGTCCTGGTAAATATCCCCAGGCTTTCTTTTTCTTTTTTTCTTTTTTTGAGTTGGAGTCTCATTCTGTCCCCCAGGCTGGAGTGCAGTGGCGAGATGTCGGCTCACTGCAACCTGCGCCTCCCAGGTTCAAGCGATTCTCCTGCGTCAGCCTCCGGAGTAACTGGGACTACAGGCACCCACCACCACGCCCGGTTAATTTTTGTACTTTTTGTAGAGATGGGGTTTTGCCATGTTGCCCAGGCTGGTCTTGAATTCCTGCGCTCAAGTGATCCACCTGCCTTGGCCTCTCAAAGTGTTGGGATTACAGGCGTGAGCCACCGCGCGCAGCCTCTCCAGGCTTTCAGCTGGGACCATGAAGGGCTCCACTCTAGGGATAAGGGCAAATTGGAAAGAGATCAGCTCTCACAAGGATTAAAGCCCAGCTTTGACTTCCTCAGACACTTACTAGATGAAAGTTTCAGCCTCTAGCCTATTCGCTTGACAGAAACAAAAGTAAACCCTTCTGGAGAGAGATAACATCATATAGAACCTCAAATCGTCTCCAGAGCTCCACAGGCTTTTTTGAAGAAATTGACAACATGGTTCTAAAATTTATATGGAAATGCAAAGGACCTAGAATAATCAAAACAATATTGAAAAAAGAACAAATTTAGAATATTTATACTCACAAGTTCAAGATTTGCCACAAAGCTAGAGTAGACAGATACAGATGAATGGAACAGGATCAAGTCCAAAAATAGATCTATACATATATAGTCAACTGATTATCAACCAAGGCATCAGATCAATTCAGTGAGGCAAAGGAATGCCTGTTTAACAGATGTGTGAAAAAAACTGGGTATCTCTATGGAAAGACAGCTCTAACCCCTATGGCATTCCATACAAAAAATTAATTCAAGATGGATCATAGACCTACATTAAAAACTAGAACCATAAAACTTCTAGAAGTATATCTTTGTGACTATGGAGTAAACGGAAATTTCATAGGTAGAACATAAAATGTACTAACCATAAAAGTAAAAATAAAATATTGGACTTCAAGAAAATTTATTTTTTTGCTTATCATAAGACGCCATTTTGAAAGGAATAAATAAGAAATAGACAGGAGACGGCCCCAGCCCGCGGGCTGCCGCCCGCACTCTCCATGAGACTGCTGGCGCCAGCGCCCGCCCGCGCGGCACCTACTCGGAGAGGGCGCTTCGCGCTGACTCAGCGGCGACGGCGGCGGCGGCGTTAGCTGGCCCTCGCGCTCTTTCCCTTCTTGGGGCGCTGACCCCGCCCGCTTGCTTGCTTGCTTGCCTGCCACTCAAGAGAAGGTGCCAGGGGACGCGGAGCGACGAGAGGCGTGCAGTCCCGGCCAACTCCGTCTCTGGCGTTGGCGCTGCGGTCGTGGCAGAGGACTACGGCGACAAGGACGAGGGCCGCTGTCCCAGCTCTCTGCGAGCTGCGCCGCTCGGCTCCGTTCCGCTGGCTGACCATGGAGTTCAGGCTGGGAGGCGGGCTGGAGTGATAGGGAAGATGTTTATAAATTCTTCTGTGGGATCAGAGGGCAAGCCTATTATAACCAGAAAACTCCAAGTATAGCAGCAAGGATGGATAAACAGGCTCTATTAGGGCTAAATCCAAATGCTGATTCAGACTTTAGACTAAGGGCCCTGGCCTATTTTGAGCAGTTAAAGATTTCCCCAGATGCCTGGCAGGTGTGTGCAGAAGCTCTAGCCCAGAGGACATATAGTGATGATCATGTAAAGTTTTTCTGCTTTCAAGTACTGGAACATCAAGTTAAATACAAATATTCAGAACTAACCACTGTTCAACAACAACTAATTAGGGAGACGCTCATATCATGGCTGCAAGCTCAGATGCTGAATCCCCAACCAGAGAAGACCTTTATACCAAATAAAGCCGCCCAAGTCCTCGCCTTGCTTTTTGTTGCAGAATATCTCACTAAGTGGCCCAAGTTTTTTTTTTGACATTCTCTCAGTAGTGGACCTAAATCCAAGGGGAGTAGATCTGTACCTGCGAATCCTCATGGCTATCAACTCAGAGTTGGTGGATCGTGATGTGGTGCATACATCAGAGGAGGCTCACAGGAATACTCTCATAAAAGATACCATGAGGGAACAGTGCATTCCAAATCTGGTGGAATCATGGTACCAAATATCACAAAATTATCAGTATACTAATTCTGAAGTGATGTGTCAGTGCCTTGAAGTAGTTGGGGCTTATGTCTCTTGGATTGACTTATCCCTTTTAGCCAATGATAGGTTTATAAATATGCTGCTAGGTCATATGTCAATAGAAGTTCTACGGGAAGAAGCATGTGACTGTTTATTTGAAGTTGTAAATAAAGGAATGGACCCTGTTGATAAAATGAAACTAGTAGAATCTTTGTGTCAAGTATTACAGTCTGCTGGCTTTTTCAGCATTGACCAGGAAGAAGATGTTGACTTCTTTTCAGCATTGACCAGGAAGAAGATGTTGGCCAGATTTTCTAAGCCGGTAAACGGAATGGGACAGTCATGGATAGTTAGTTGGAGTAAATTAACTAAGAATGGGAATATTAAGAATGCTCAAGAGGCACTACAAGCTATTGAAACAAAAGTGGCACTGATGTTGCAGCTACTAATTCATGAGGATGATGATATTTCTTCTAATATTGGATTTTGTTATGATTATCTTCATATTTTGAAACAGCTTACAGTGCTCTCGGATCAGCAAAAAGCTAATGTGGAGGCAATCATGTTGGCCGTTATGAAAAAATTGACTTATGATGAAGAATATAACTTTGAAAATGAGGGTCAAGATAAAGCCATGTTTGTAGAATATAGAAAACAACTGAAGTTAGTGTTGGACAGGCTTGCTCAAGTTTCACGAGAGTTACTACTGGCCTCTGTTCGCAGAGTTTTTAGTTCTACACTGCAGAATTGGCAGACTACACGGTTCATGGAAGTTGAAGTAGCAATAAGATTGCTGTATATGTTGGCAGAAGCTCTTCCAGTATCTATCTCATGGTGCTCACTTCTCAGGTGATGTTTCAAAAGCTAGTGCTTTGCAGGGTATGATGCGAACTCTGGTAACATCAGGAGTCAGTTCCTATCAGCATACATCTGTGACGTTGGAGTTCTTCGAAACTGTTGTTAGATATGAAAAGTTTTTCACAGTTGAACCTCAGCACGTTCCATGTGTACTAATGGCTTTCTTAGATCACAGAGGTCTGCGTCATTCCAGTGCAAAAGTTCAGAGCAAGATGGCTTACCTGTTTTCTAGATTTGTCAAATCTCTCAATAAGCAAATGAATCCTTTCATTGAGGATATTTTGAATAGAATACAAGATTTATTAAAGCTTTCTCCACCTGAGAATGGCCACCAGTCCTTCCTGAGCAGCGATGATCAAATTTTATTTATGAGACAGTTGGAGTGATGATTGTTAATAATGAATACCCGGCAGAAAGGAAAGAAGCCTTAATGAGGAATCTGTTGACTCCACTAATGGAGAAGTTTAAAATTCTGTTAGAAAATTTGATGCTGGCACAAGATGAAGAAAGGCAAGCCTCTCTAGCAGACTGTCTCAACCATGCTGTTGGATTTGCAAGTCGAACTAGTAAAGCTTTCAGCAACAAGCAGACTGTGAAACAGTGTGGCTGTTCCGAAGTTTATCTGGACTGTTTACAGACATTCTTGCTGGCCCTCAGTTGTCCCTTACAAAAGGGTATTCTCAGAAGTGGAGTCTGTACTTTCCTTCATCGAATGATTATTTGCCTGGAGGAAGAAGTTTTTCCGTTCATCCCATCTGCTTCAGAACATATACTCAAAGATTGTGAAGCAAAAGACCTCCAGGAGTTCATTCCTCTTATCAACCAGATTACGGCCAAATTCAAGGTACAAGTATCCCCGTTTTTACAACAGATGTTCATGCCCCTGCTTCATGCAATTTTTGAAGTGCTACTCTGGCCCGCAGAAGAAAATGACCAGTCTGCTGCTTTAGAGACAGACTTTTTCAGTGTTCACTTCAAAACTGTCTCAGTCTCTACCTATGACTCAATTCCAAAGCCACTTTCACATTTTTCAGGTGTTGGTTATAGCAACACTCCACTCTCTGGCATTAACTTTCTGTCTTAGACTGTTTTGTGCTGCTATAAAAGCATACCACAGACTGGGTAATTTATAATGCAAAGAAAGTTATTGGTTCACAGTTCTGGAGGCTGGCAAGTCCAAGATAGAAGGGCTGGCATCTGGTGAGGGCCTTTTTTGCTGTGTCATAACATGGTAGAAGGCATCACATGGCAGAAGGATAAAGAAAGGATGGAGGAGAAGGAGCAAGAAGGGTGAACCCACCCTTGCAATAATGATAGCAGCATTAGGTCTATTCACAAGCGTGGAGTCCTCATGGCCTAATCACCTCTTAGAAGTCTCACCTGTTGATACTGTTACAATGGCAACTAAGTTTAAAGTGACTTTTGGAGGGATAAACATTCTAGGAGGCTTCTTGCTTATAGTAGTATGTCAAGTGCTGACTGGTAAGTCCTACAGTCACTCAAAAGCAGTGCTGGAGTTGGAAAATCTTAATTTTGCAACCATCATAGTAAGAATTGATTCAAGTAAGAATCATCAATAGATGCAAGATATATGCACATTCTTAAAGTATTTCCCCTACAGATTGCTTATTAGTTATAAGGGTAAAGAATGGAAATATCTCAATGGAGTGATCAAAATTAACAAGGGCAGGTGGGAAAACATCAGATAAACTCAAAATTAAAATAATTCTATCACACAAAAGAAGAATTTTTTTTCCTCAAAAATGTCAATGTCATAAAAGACAAAGAATGGCTGAGGAACTGCTCCAGATTAAAGGAGATTGTACTGAAGGAAAATAAATACTATATAAGACATTATTGGGTCAATTGTTAAAATTGTA
Source organism: Homo sapiens (assembly GCF_000001405.40). Taxonomy (NCBI): domain Eukaryota; kingdom Metazoa; phylum Chordata; class Mammalia; order Primates; family Hominidae; genus Homo; species Homo sapiens. The sequence goes on along the minus strand of NC_000020.11, from coordinate 34,212,566 downwards.
AAATAGACAGTAGATAATGTATTGCATCAATATTAAAATATACTAAATAAGTTTATAGGAGTGATAACTGTACCATGGTTACTTAAGAAAATATTCTTATTCTTTGGAAATTCACAATGAAATATTTAGTAGAAAAGGGTCATAATGTATATGTATGAAATTTACTCTCAAATTTTATGTGTAAAAAATGTGTGTGTGCATGAATGTGTGTGCACATTTGAAGAAAGAGAGTGAACACACAGGCACAAAATAATAAAGCAAATGAGACAAAGTATTAACAATCAGAGATTGGGTGTATGGGAGTTGTTGCAATTTTTCTTACTAGTCTTGTAACTTTTCTTTACGTTATGAAATTATTTACAAATAAAAGTTTAAAGAGTAATCTATTAGGTGAGTTTAATAATAAATTAGACTCAGCTTAAAGCAGAATTGGTGAAATGAAAGAAAATTCAGAAGAAAATACACAGACTAAAACATGGAGTTACAAAATGATGAAAAATACAGAAAAGAATGTAAAATCATATAGGACATAGTAAGCAGTTATAATCTTAGAAGGATAAGAGAGAGAAAATGGGACACAAGCAATATTTGAGAAGATAATTACTGAGAATGTACCAAAGCTTTATATACTTGATATCTTTATCTGGTTACAGATTCAAGAAATGCCACAAAGCCCAAGCAGGATAAATGTACACCTAGGCATGTGACTGTACATCTATAAAAAGCTAACGACCCAGAGAAAAATCTTAGGAGTAGCACAAGAAAAAAGTCAGTTTACTTGCAAAAGATCAAAAAGTAAGACTGACTGCTAATTTCTCAAAGGAAACAACATAACTCAGAAAACAATGGAATGATATCTTCAAAATGAAAGAAAATAACTAAGTTGGGATTCTACATTCAGCAAAAACATTTTTTCGTAAATGAAGGTGGAAATAAAGACAATTTCAGACAAATAATACCTGAGAAAAATTTGTCACCCGTAGACCCATATTAAAAGACATTCTAAATGGTATTTTTCAGGCAGAAAGAAAGTAATCTCAATGGAAGCACAAAACTGAAAGAAGAAATATAGAACAACATTAAGTTAACAACAGTGGGTAAATCTTAACAAATGCCAATTGTATAAAACAACAGCACTGACAACAATAACAACAACATTTTGTAGAATTTAAAGTATATATAAAATTAAAATATATGGCAATGAGGCCGGGCACGGTGGCTCATGCCTATAATTCTGGCACTTTGGGAGGCCGAAGTGGGAGGATCATTTGAGGAAGGCCAAACTGGGAGGATCATTTAAGATCAGGAGTTTGAGATCAGCCTGGGCAACAACAGTGAGAACCTGTCTCTATAAAACATTAAATAAAAATCGAGCCAGGCATGGTGGCATGCTCCTGCAGTCCTAGGTACCTGGGAGGCAGAGGCAGCAGGATTGCTTAAGTTCAGGAGTTCAAGGTTGCAGTGAGCTATAATCAAGCCACTAAGCTACTGTACTCCAGCCTGGATGACAGAGCAAGACCTGTCTCTTTAAAAAAGAGAGAGAACACTACAAGAGAAAAATTACATATCAAATTTTAAAAATAATATACATGTAAAAATCTTAACCAAAATATTAGCGTACCCAAACTAGAAATATATAAAAGGACTAATACTCCATGACCAAATAGGGTTTATTCCAGGAATACAAGATTAAGTTATCATTCAAAAAAATCAGTCACTGTGGTTCATCATAAAATGAATAAGGTCCCCACAGCTAACAGCATGCTAAATGGGGAAAAACTGAAAGCCTTTCATCTAACATCTGGAACAAGACAAGGATGACTGCTTTCACCACTTTTATTCAACCTAGTACTGTTGCAGGATCCTCGGGGTGTCACTTTTCTGGCTGGAAACCTCTGTGGCTGGTGGCACCTTTGCCTGAGTTTTGCTCAGGCCCGCTGGTCTTATTCTGCCCACTCAGCCTGGCAGGTTGTGCTTGGTCCACACTACTGGCCTGGATCCCATGCCTGCCAAAGGCAAGCCAGGCATGGAGTGGCAGCAGGTGTGTGAGTGAGCAAGCATGGGGGTCTGGCCACTGCGCACAGTCAAGCATGTCAGCTGCTGTGGGGCAGGCAGCTCCAGGTGCTGACGTGGGTGCTGACTCTCTGTGAGGCTGCAACTGGACCAGACACACTGCAAGCAGCTTCCACACCTGCCACTGGGGAATGTGGTGGCTCCCAGAAGCTTGGAGACTCCAGGAGTCACAGGGCCCCAAAGACGGAGTCATAGCCCTGGCTCAGGGAACTCCCAGGTCTGGGCTCCCCAAAGGGCCACAGCTCTTCTATCCTTCTCTTCACCCTCAACGTGGTGAGCAAGGGACGTTTCAGCCCTGTTTGTGTTACACCTCTTTTAGTCCCACCATTTGGTAGGTCCCGAGTTCTTGTCCTGCGTCCAGGAAGAATGAGGTGTGCAGACAAATGGAGGGTGAGCAAGGTGAAGAGAAGCTTTACTGAGTGACAAAATAGCTCAGAGGAGGCCCTGGAGTGGGCAGCTCCTCTCTGTAGCAGGTTGTCCCAAAATCTGCTCAGCTCTGGCTGAATTGGGGGCTCTTATGGGCCTCAAAAGGGAGGAAGTGCACACTGATTGGTCCATGGGCAGCCATGGGTGGGCTGGGAAAAGGCACCACTATTTCCCACTCTGGTCTGTGGGACTGGCAGCCAGACTCCCAGCCTTCAGGCCCTCCCTTCTACCCAGGAGCCTGTCTGCCTCCCACTGCTGTCCATCGCACCCAGGTTATCATGCCAAGGGACACCTGCAGGCCAATGCCAAGCTGCCCTCGGCCCCTCCTTAGCTTCCCTCCCATTCTCGTTGGTGCCCCAAATCCAGAGGGGCCCAAGGCAGCAGGGGACTGTCATGTCAACACTGCCCCAAGTGTATGCACACACGGCTGGGTTGTGACAGTGCCTGGGCCCAGCCCCAACCTTACTCCAAGATTGGAGTGGGTGCTGGGAGCAGGGAGAGGCCAGGCAGTGGGAGCAGACTTCTCTGAGCCTGGTTGGGGGTACAGGGGGGTCTTCCCAGGCTGCCAAGAGTGCAGAGATGCCTGGCTCTGCAGCTGTGACTTGGGTGGCTGTAGCTGCATCCAGGAGGGTGGGGTTCCTGCCTGCTCCTGGACCACCCAAGAGCACAGGAAGGCCCAGGTCAGTAGCCACAACTTGGGCAGCTGTAGCTGCACCCGTGAGGGTAGGCCTCCTGCCTGCTCCGTGGAGTGGGAGGCCTGAGTCTGCAGCCATGACTTGGGCAGCTGTAGCTGCACCCAGAGAGCTCCCACCCCACCAACTTGGAAGGGGTAGGGCTCCCACTTGTTGCCGGCTCCCACCAGCTCTGTGCAATGTGCAGCTGGAGTGATGGCAGCAGCTGCTCCAGATGGACCACTGCTATCATCAGTACTACAAGTCCTAGCCAGAGCAACTATACAAAAGAAAGAAACAAAGGGCATCCAAATTGGAAAGGAAACTGTCCAAACTGTCCTTGGTTGCAGACACTATGATCTTATGTTTAGAAAAGCTAAAGACTCCACCAAAACCCTATTGGAACTGATAAACAAATTAAGTAGCAGGATACACAATCAACATACAAAAATTAGTATTATAGAATTTCTATATTTCAACTGTGAACAATTTGAGAAAGAACACAAAGCAGTCTCATTTACGATAGCTACAGAAAAAAATACTTAGGCATAAACGACCAAAGAAGTGAAAGATCTCTACAATGAAAACTATAAAACATTGATTCAAGAAATTGAAGAGGTCACCAAAAAATGGAAAGCCATCTCATGTTCATAGATTGGAAGAATCAATATTGTTAAAATGTCCATACTACTTAAAGTGATTTACAGATTCAATGCAGTCCTTATCTACACACCAGTGAAGGCCAGGTGCTGTGTATCGCTCATGTGTATAATCCTAGCACTTTGAGAGGCCAAGGTGGGAGGATCACTTGAGCCCAGGAGTTTGAGTCAACCGAGGCACACAGTAAGACCCTGTCTCTTCAAAAAATAAAAAAATTAACCAGGAGTAGTGGTGCACACCTGTAATCCCAGCTACTCAGGAGGCTGAGGCAGAAGGATTAATTGGGCCCAGGAGGTAGAGGCTTCAGTGTGCCGTGATCACACCACTGCACTCCAGCCTGGGTGACAGAGGGAGACTGTGTCTCAAAAACAAAAGAAAACAAACAAAAAAATACCAATGACATTCTTCACAAAAATATTTTTAAAAGTCCTAAAATTTATATGGAACAGCAAAAGACCCAGAATAGCCAAAGCTATCCTGATCAAACAGAAAAAAGCCGTAGGCATCACATACCTGATTTCAAGTTATACTACAAAGCTATAGTAACCCAAACAGCATGGCACTAGCATAAAAACAGATACATAGACCAATGGAACAGAATAGAAAACCCGGAAACAAATCTATACATTTACAGTCAACTCTTTAATAAATGGTGCTGGAGGCCGGGTGTGGTGGCTCACACCTGTAATCTCAGCACTTTGGAAAGCCGAGGCGGGTGGATCACGAGGTCAGGAGAGCGAGACCATGGTGAAACCCGGTCTCTACTAAAAATACAAAAAATCAGCCAGGCGTGGTGGTGGGCGCCTGTAGTCCCAGCTACTCAGGAGGCTGAGGCAGGAGAATGGCATGAACCTGGAAGGCGGAGCTTGCAGTGAGCCCAGATCGTGCCACTGCACTCCAGCCTGGGCAACAGAGTGAGACTCCATCTCAAATAAATAAATAAATAAATAAATAAATAAATAAATAAATGGTGCTGGAAAAACTGGATATCCATATGAAGAAGAATTAAACTATACCCCCATTTCTCACCATATACAAAAATCAAATCAAAATGGATTAAAGACTTAAGTGTAAGAACTGAAACTATGAAACCACTAGAAGAAAACATTGTGGAAATGCTTGAGGATGTTGGTCCTGGCAAAGATTTCTTGAGTAAGACCTCAAAAGCACAAGCAACCAAAGCAAAAATGGACAAATGCGATAATATCAAGGCAAAAACCTGCACAGCAAAGGAAACAATCCATAAAGTGAAGAGATAACCTACAGAATGGGAAAATATTAATACACACTAGTCAACTGACAAGGGATTAATAACCAGAATATGTAAGGAACTCAACTCACTGGTTTAAAAAAATCCAATTTAAAAATGAACAGGCATTTCTCAAAAGAAGGCATACAAAGGGCCAACAGGCATATGAGTAAATAGTCAATATCACTAATCATCAGGGAAATACAAATCAAAACCACAGTGAGATTTCATCTCATCTCCAGTTAAAATGGCTATTATCAGAAAAGATAGAAAATATCAGCAGTAATGTTTGGGAAGAAGGAAAAGAAATTTAAAAAAATAACAAATGCTGGTAAGGATGCAGAGAAAGGGGGATGCTTGTATTCTGTTAACGGGAATATAAATTAATACAGTCACTATGGAAAACAATATAGAGATTCCTCAAAAAACTAAAAATAGAACTACCATATGATCCAGCAATCTCACTGATAGGTATATTTCCAAAAGAAAGGAATTCAGTGTATCAAAAAAATATCTGCACTCCCATGTTTATTGCAGCCCTATTCACAATAACGAAGATATGAAATCAACCTAACTGTCCATCAACAAATGAATGGATTTAAAAAACGTGGTATATGGGCCAGGCATGGTGGCTAATCCCAGCACTTTGTGAGGTCGAGGCAGGTGGATCACGAGGTCAGGAGAAGTTTGAGACCAGCCTGGCCAATGTAGTGAAATCCTGTCTTTACTAAAGATACAAAAATTAGCCAGGCGTGGTGGCTTGCACCTGTAGTCCCAGCTACTCTTGAGGCTGAGGCAAAAGAATTGCTTGAACCCAGGAGGCGGAGATTGCAGTGAGCCAAGATTGCACCACTGCACTCCAGCCTAGGTGACAGAGCGAGACTTTGTCTCAAAAAACAAAAACAAAAACAAAAACAAAAAAGTGGTATATGTATACAGTGGAATATTATTCTGCCATAAAAAAGAATGAAATTCTGTCATTTGCAACAATATAGATGGAACTGGAGGTCATCATTAAGTTAGATAAGGCAAACACAGAAAGATAAATGTCACATATTCTTACTCACGTGGAGTTAAAAAAATCGATATCAGAAAGGTAGTGAATGGAATGGTGTTTTTGAGAAGGTGGGAAGGGTAGTAGGGAGGAAGATATAAAGTAGGGTTGGTTAATGAATACAAAAATACAATTCGAGGCCGGGCGTGGTAGCTCATGCCTGCAATCCCAGACTTTGGGAGGCTGAGGCAGGCAGATCACTTGAGGCCAGGAGTTCAAGACCAGTCCGGCCAACATAGTGAAACCCCGTCTCTACTAAAAATACAAAAAAAAATTATCTTGGTATAGAGGCGGGCACCTGTAGTCCCAGCTACTTGGGAGACTGAGGCAGGAGAATTGCTTGAACCTGGGAGGCAGAGGTTGCAGTGAGGTGAGATGGTGCCACTGCACTCCAGCCTGGGTGACAGAGCAAGACTCTGTCTCAAAAATCAAAACAAAACAAAATACAATTAGAATAGAAGAAATAAGACCTTGTGAGAGGTGAAGCTGGCTGGGCTTCTGGGTTGGGTGGGGACTTGGAGAACTTTTCTGTCTAGCTAAAGGATTGTAAATGCACCAATCAGCACTCTGTGTCTAGCTAAAGGTTTGTAAATGCACCAATCAGCGCTCTGTGTCTAGCTAATTGGGTGGGGACTTGGAGAACTTTTTTGTCTAGCTAAAGTATTGTAAATGCACCAATCAACACTCTGTGTCTAGCTAAAGGATTGTAAAAGCACCAATCAGCACTCTGTAAAACGGCAAAATCAGCGCTCTGTAAAATGGAGAAATCAGCGCTCTGTAAAATAGACCAAGCGACAGGATGTGGGTGGGGCCAAATAAGGGAATAAAAGCAGGCAACCAGAGCCAGTAGCAGCAACCCGTTTGGGTCCCCTTCCACGCTGTGGAAGCTTTGTTCTTTCGCTCTTCGCAATAAATCTTGCTGCTGCTCACCCTTTGGGTCTGCACTACCTTTATAAGCTGTAACACTCACCGAGAAGGTCTGCAGCTTCACTCCTGAAGCCAGCGAGACCACGAGCCCAGCGGGAGGAATGAACAACTCCGGATGCGCCGCCTCTATGAGCTGTAACACTCACCACGAAGGTCTGCAGCTTCACTCCTGAAGCCAGTGAGACCACAAACCCATTGGGAGGAATGAACAGCTCTGGACGTGATGCCTTTAAGAGCTGTAACACTCACTGTGAAGGTCTGCAGCTTCACTCCTGAAGTCGGCAAGACCACGAACCCACCAGAAGGAAGAAACTCCGGACACATCTGAACAACTGAAGGAACAAACTCCGGACACACCATCTTTAAGAACTGTAACACTCACCGTGAGGGTCCATGGCTTCATTCTTGAAGTCAGCGAGACCAAGAACCCACCAATTCCAGGCACACTTGTACTTGGTAGCACAATAGGGTGAGTATAATTAAGTATAATTTATTGTACCTTTCAAAATAACTAGAAGAGTAGATTTGGAATGTTCCCAACACAAATAAATGATAAATGCTTGAGGTGATGGATATTCCATTATCCTGATTTGATCATTACACATTATATGCTTGTATCAAAGTATCACATGTACCACATAAATTGTACAACTATTACCTATCCATAAAAATAGAAAATAAATAAAATGAATAAAGTGTAAAAATCACAGGCTCATTTTAACTGATGAGAAAAATACATTTCATAAAATTCACCATCTGTTAATGTTTAAAAATTATATCAAACTAGAATTAGAAGAAAAATTCCTCAATCTGATAAAGAGTAACTACAAAAAGTAAACTCCAGCAACCATCATATTTAACTGAAATTATTGAGTGCTTTCTTTCTATCAGAACTAAGATAAGGATGCCTGCTATTTTCACTTTTATTCATCATTGTTCTTAAGGTTTTACCCAGTCCAATAATTCAAGAAAAAGAAGTTAAAAAACGGGCCAGGAGCAGTGGCTCACACCTGTAATCCCAGCACTTTGGGAGGCCAAAGTGGGTAGATCACCTGAGGTCAGGAGTTCAAGATCAGCCTAACCAACATGGAGAAACCCCATTTTTACTAAAAATACAAAATTAGCCAGCATGGTGGCGTGTGCCTATAATCCCAGCTACTCGGAAGGCTGAGGCAGGAGAATCGCTTTAACCCACGAGGCGGAGGTTGCGGCGAGCCAAGATTGCACCATTGCACTCCAGCCTGGACAACAAGTGCAAAACTCCGTCTCAAAAAAAAAAAAAAATTAAAAAAATAACTATCTGAAAGAAATCACTACACACACTACACATACTACATGATTGTGAATCTATAAATAAACTATAAGAATTATTAAGTTAATTAAGCAGGGTTGCTGTATGCAAGTATAAATACAAAATTTTAATTATTATGTCAATATGCCAGCATCAAACAACTAAAAATGAACATTAAAATATGCCATTTATGGCCGGGCGTGGTGGCTCACGCCTGTAATCCCAGAACTTTGAGGCCAAGGCAGGTGGATCACCTGAGGTCAGGAGTTCGAGACCAGCCTGGCCAACATGGTGAAACAACCCCATCTCTACTAAAAATACAAAATTAGCCGGGTATGGTGGCGTGTGCCTGTAATCCCAGCTACTTGGGAGGCTAAGGCAGGAAAATTGCTTGAACCTAGGAGGCAGAGGTTGCAGTGAGGCAGGATCGTGCCATTGCACTCCAGCCTGGGCAAAAAAGAGCGAAACTCCATCTCAAAAAATAAATAAATAAATAAAATTAAAATACGCCACTTATAAGGCTGGGTGCATTGGCTCATGCCTGTAATCTCAGCACTTTGGGAGGCCGAGGTGGGAGGATCACTTGAAGTTAGGCGTTCGAGACCAGCCAGGCCAACGTGGCGAAACCCTGTCTCTACAATAATGCAAAGATTAGCCACGTGTGGTGGCAGGTGCCTGTAATCCCAGCTCCTTGGGAGGCTGAGGCATGAGAATCACTTGAACCCAGGAGGCAGAGGTTGCAGTGTGCCAAAATCATGCCACTGCACTCCAGCTTGAGTGACAGAGTGAAACCGTGTCTCAAAAAATATATATATAATATACATATATATATGCCACTTATAAAATAAATAGAAAATAATTGGGAATAAATCCAATGAATAATATACCAGGTTTCTACATAGAAAACTATAAAACATCAAAAAATTTTAATAAGACTTCAACTAGTGAAGGGATATACCATATTCATGGATAAAAAAATTTAATATTGTAAAGACTTTCATATTAATTGATGGACAGATTTAATGTAATCCCAATAAAAATTCCAGCAGGGTTTTTTTTGGTAGAATTTATAAAGTTATCCTAAAGTTTATGTGGAAATATAGAAGTTCAAGAATAGCCAAGGCTCACGCCTGTAATCCCAGCACTTTGGGAGGCCGAGGCAGGCAGATCATGAGGTCAGGAGATTGACACCATCCTGGCTAACGCGGTGAAACCCCGTCGCTACTAAAAATACAAAAAATTAGCCGGGCGTAGTGGCGGGCGCCTGTGGTCCCAGCTACTCGGGAGGCTGAGGCAGGAGAATGGCGTGAACCTGGGAGGCGGAGCTTGCAGTGAGCCGAGATCATGCCGCTGCACTCCAGCCTGGGCAACAGAGCAAGACTCCATCTCGAAAAAAAAAAAAAAAAAAAAAAAAGAATAGCCAAGGCAATCTTGGGGAAGATGAGAGGCATGAAGGACTTATTCTACCAAATATCAAAACTTATTGCAAAGTTACAGGAAATGGAAACAGGGTGCAAGTGGCAGAAAGACAGACTAATGGACAAATGGAAAAGAATGGAGATTCCAGAACAACACACACATATTAGATAGACAATGGATTAATAATAAAAGTGGGAAATTAATAGTGTTTTCGGTACATGATGCTGGATTGATTGAATATCCATACAGAAAAAAAAGGGAAACTTGACCTCACATCATACCTGAAAATCAATTCCAGGTGGAACAACATTGCCAGAACTACATTGCCATTCACCACAATTCATTTAAATTATTTAAAAGTAAATAAAATTTAAAATTCATTTCATCATATGTACTGTTTCAGACAAGATTGACACAATCATTTTGGAAAACTGACAATATCTGTAAAATATTTCAGGGTGGTATGGCCGTAGACCATATGTAGTATTTCAATTGCTCAATAGCCATATGTGGCTAGTGCTATTTCAAGCGCTCAGTAGCCATTCAGTGGCTACATGTTGGACAATGCAGGTATCGAATATTTCCATTATTGCAGAAAGTTCAAGTGGACAGTGCTTGCTGTTCTAGAAGATATAAGATAGAATATCTTTAAGACTGGGTAAAACAAAATTTGTTATAAGGGATTTTAAAAAGGCACTAATCTTTTTTTTTTTTTTTACAATTTTATCATTATTTTAATCAAGTAACTTAGCTGTTTGAAACAAATCCTTAAGACAGTTCAATAGAACAAAATGAAGAATTACTCTATTAGGATAACCTGTGAACAAAGTTCAGATTATGTGAATTTGAATTCCATTGGAAGTTTGGCACCAGACTGAACACTGTTCTAAGTCAAAATTTTTAGTGTTCTAGAAGCCCTGAACATGTTTTCTCTCAGATTAAAAGTAGAAGCTTTATAACAGAACCTCATTAGCTTGACACTGAGTATGTTGAATGCAACTTAGCTTAGGTCACCAGTATCTCCTACAAAATTCCAGTTAGTGAAAGCAAATCAGCCTTGCGGCAAAGAATTTGAAACCTAGGCAACATGCAAGTTTGAAGAAAAAAAATCCTCTTTGGTGTGACAAACCACATTCCCTCCAGGTATATGGCTCCGGCTCCACTCGCACCCGAATCTATCAAAGGCAGCTGGAGACCAATTCTTGTCTCTCCAGTAAGATTGCTAGATTTCAGTTCCTTAAAATATCAAGCCAACAAGGTTTTATTACATCAAATGTTTGTATCATTTCAATGTGAAATTTTTTTACACCTGTTTGTTATTAAGGTCTCATTATCTGTGAGATAAGTCACAAAAAAACAAAGAGGTGAATGGTATAAGCCACTGCTCCAAAATTAACCCTATCAATTCTCGATTTCCACTGTGCACTTTGTGAAAAGCAGTAACTGCCAACAGGTTTAACCTTTACTCAAACACAGTCAGAATCCATATTGAGTTTAGATCAGGCAAGGAGTTCATAAGGAAGTTATCAACTCTTGTGTGTCCAAATCTAAAGCCCTGCATGGGCTCTGTCAGGTCCTTGTCACCCGCACTCCGGTGGCCATCAGACTTCTTGGGTGCCTGTCTATATTCAATGTGAAGTAAAAAATATCCCAAGTGTTATACAAAAATAGAGGCTCTAACTTAGAAGTATACTTTTAGCTTTCTTTTTAAATAAGACATTCTGGAGGAAAAAAAAGAAAGAAAGAAAGAAAGAAAGAAAGAAAGAAAGAAAGAAAGAAGGAAGGAAGGAAGGAAGGAAGGAAGGAAGGAAGGAAGGAAGGAAGGAAAGAAAGAAAGAAAGAAAGAAAATCAAGTTTGAAACACAGCTAACACTTATTTTGGCAAGATAGCAACCAAAATCTAAAAAGCATAAACTATGTGTCCAAATGTAAAAGGCATTAAAGAACAAACCATAGGGGGGAAAATTAAAGCCACACTGAACAAAAAGATACAGTATGTCTAACATTTTGGAATTGTAATTTAAACCTTAAGGGCAAAAGCTGAAAAATTATTCTTAGGTTGCTAGTAAGTGCACCCTTCCCTGTTTCTCCCAAATAAAATCAGTTTATTGTTTAATTGCACCCCAAAGCAAGTTCTCTCAGTACAAAGTAACTACTACATACACACAAAATGCTTGTTAATGTAATAATTTCCCTGGCTCATCCAACGTGCAATGCACATGACTTCAAAAACTACAATTTGGGGCAAGTGTACATGAAATGAGAAAACAGCTCTCCAAGTTTGAAAACCTGCTCTTACATTATTTATAGGACACTCAGATCATATTTACTTCTTGGTAAGATGTTGCACTGTCATTTGATTATCAGTCTACCCCACAATGTACATTACCAGATGCCAATTTGAGGGATGCCAATTTGAGGGACTAGAGATAAAACTTTAGTACTGTATTTCTTAATCGGCAGAATAAAGTAATTACAATTAAGTTTGCTTTACATCCTGTTGAAGACCTCTTTACAGCCTGAGGACCTAACACTATCTAGCAGGCTCCAAGAAATGCTCATCGGGTGAAATGATGGCACAACATTTAAAAAAAGGAACCAGTTACTTCAGCTTAAGTCATTCAGAGCCAAACATCTGAAGAATGACCAAAATCAAATCTTTATTTTTATAACTGTATAAATGTGATCCAAATGAAAAGGCACTAATCTTAAAAGAAAAGCTTGAACATTTGGACTTCATTAGATTAGAAACTGCTTTTCAACAAATAACAATATATATTAAAGAGCATGACAATGCAAGACACAGAATGGGATGGGCCAGGATTGGGGTGAGGCAAGTGAGGCTCTTGCCTTGGATACAGTTCTTTACGGGGGTGACAAAAAACTCAGTAATCAGGAGAAATAAACATTTGATGCAATATTTTAAAAAATCAAATTTAATGCAAAAAAATCCATGGTGAACAAAATATCAAAATCTAAAATAAAGACAGGAATCAGGATTTTTATTTTTTCTTTTGCCTGAAGCTCCAGTGTGACTCCACATAGCCTTGTGGGAGATGATATTTGCAACATGTACACAACAAAGGGCTCATATCTATATTTAAAGAACTCTTATAGGTCAATAAAAATGTCAGACAACCTAGTAGAGAAATGGGTTCAAAATCTGAACAGATATTTCTCAAAACAGGATAGTCAAAAGGCCAATAAATATGTAAAAAGGTGCTAAACGTCATTAGTCTTCAAGGAATAAAAATTAAAATAAAGAAGCATTCCACTATACACCCATCAAAATGGCTAAACGTAAAAGACAGACAATACCAACCACTGATGAGGATGTAAGAAAAAACAAATCTCAGACATTGCTGGTGGGAGTGTAAAATGATACAATCATTTTGGAAAACTGACAATATCTGTAAAAGCGGAACACACATGTCCTATGATTCAGCAATTCTACTTCTAGATAGAAATGCACTCATATGTTCTTTAAAAAAAAAAAGTATTCACAGATGTTCCTAATGCTTCTGTTCAGTAATAGCCCCCAACTGCAAACACTCCATGTGTCCATCAATAAGACAATGGATAAATAAACTGTGGCATTTATCCATGTAAATTGTAGATAAATAAATTATGGATAAACAAATGGATAAACAAATTGTGGTATTCATGTAATACCACACAATAATGAGAACAAATAAAATATTACCATATACAACATAAATGAATCTCACAAACTTAATATTAAGCGAAAGAAGCCACGCATAAAAACACCTACACACACATATAAAGCCCCCAAACAGGCAAAATTTAATGTATGGTGTTAGAAGTCAGGGTAGTGACTAACTTTGGTAAGAAAAAGGGACTTGAAGGGGGAATGAGGAGGCTTCTGGGTGCTGGTAATGCTCTGTTTCTAGATCTAGATTCTAGTTTTCTGGGAGTGTTCACATAGTGAAAATTCATCGATATGAACACTTTTCTGTAACTGTATTTTAAATCAATAAAAACTTACAAGAAAATAAGGGGCTAGGCATGGTGGCTCAGACCTGTAATCCCAGCACTTTGGGAGGTTGAGGTGGGAGGTTCACTTGAAGTTAGAGACCAGCCTGGGCAACACAGCAAGACCCTATCTCTACAAAAAATTTAAAAATTAGCTGGGCATGGTGGTATGTGCCTGTAATCCTAGCTACTTGGGAACCTGAGGGGGAGGATCACTTGAGCCCAGGAGTTCAAGGCTGCAGTGAAGGATGATCACACCACTGCACTCCAGCCTGGGTGACAGAGGGAGATCCTGTCTCTGAAAAATAAATAAATACATACATACATAAATACATAAAAAAGAAAATAAAAGTGTATCCAGGCCATTTAGGAGCCCAGGAAAATGGAAGATGAGGATTTAAAACGTTAAGCAATGACCGGGCTCGGTGGCTCACGCCTGTAATCCTAGCAGTTTGGGAGCCTGATGTCGGCAGATCACCTGAGGTCAGGAGTTCAAGCCCAGCCTGGCCAACATGGTGAAACCCCGTCTCTACTAAAAATACAAAAATTAGCTGGGTGTGGTGGCATGTAGCTGTAGTCCCAGCTACTTGGGAGACTGAGGCATGAGAATCGCTTGAATTTATTTACCATTGAGGAAATGCAGAAGCAGATCCTGGAGGTGGAGGTTGCAGTGAGTTGAGATCACGCCACTGCACTCCAGCCTGAGTGGCAGAGTGAGACTCCGTCTCAAAAAAAAAAAAAAAAAAATTAAGCAATCAAGTAAAAAAGTCAGCTACCACAACATCAAGGGTCTGACCCCATTCTCTCTTCCCCAGCTGTGGCAAATACTTTTAACCTGTCATGGTATCTACAAGAATTCTTGCTAGTAGAGGAGGTGAGTCTTTGTTTTCCCATTTGATTCATAGGAAGATGGAACCCCTGAGGCGGTCAATATGTAGATTAAAGTCTCACAGGTAGTTATACGCAGATGCAAGCCTGACTCTGGTCTCTTAATTCCTGATTATGAGCTTGGTGCACTACAGCCAGTTGTCAGGCTGCATGACCTTGCGGAGTCTGGGTTCCAAGCAATGAATGCCTTCACTAGGAGCCAGCAAGTTTTTCTCTGTGTCCCTAATTTATAATAATGCTGAGGATGAGAAATTTGTCCCTAACTTATAGAAATGCCAAGGACTAGGTATCTGCTTTAAGTCAGTTCTACCATGAAATAAGCGGATACCCACTCAGTGGTCACTGCGTACACTTCCCTGGATGCACACGGGGTGTAGCTACAGGACATAAGGAGGCAATTTTACATAAATACTTTTCCTCTTTCTAAAAGCCCAATTACTGACTGTATTGAACAAGTCCTGAAGGCACTTGAGAGGAGGCTAACCCGAAGGAAGAGTGAAAATGCGTAAGACCTGGGATCCCGTCTAGTACAGCTACTTCTTTTTTTCTATTTTTGAGACGGAGTCTTGCTCTGCTGCCCAGGCTAGAGTGCAGTGGCACGATCTCTGCTCACCGCAACCCCCGCCTCCTGAGTTCCAGCAATTCTCCTGCCTCAGCCTCTAGAGTAGGCACCCGCCATCACACCTGGCTAATTTTTGTATTTTTAGTAGAGACAGGGTTTCACCATGTTGGCCAGGCTGGTCTCAAACTCTTGACCTCGTGATCCACCTGCCTCAGCCTCCCAAAGTGTTGGGATTATAGGTGTGAGCCACTGCACCCGACCTGCTATGGCTATTTCTAAACAAGCCAAGAGAATCACACTTCTCATCCTTCCATCTTTTAAACAAGATTCAAATTGTGGGTTTGAATTTAAAAAAAAAAAAAAAAAGAATGTTTAAGTTCAGTATTTTTGCTTCAAGCTGATTCTTCTGAAAAATACCTGAATGTCAAATCCATAAGCACAAGTTTGGGGAACAGATGGAGACGGAACTGGTGACTCTCTAGCAGGCAATTTATAGCTGGATCCTACCTTTGTGGTGATGATCAGAGGGGCGTATGCCCTCCATAACACTCCCATTCTTCATCTTTTTCCTCAAGACAGCTGCCCTGTGAGCAAAATGCAGACCTCTAAGGGCTCTAGGGAGTACTTCACCCCTCAGAACCGGCTACGCAGGTATGGGAACTAATTACAGACTCTAGCTTTATAGTTCTTTCCAATTTCTTCCCAAAATCTGAATAAATCTCCCCAACACAAGTCAGGTTTTTCTCAACTCACAGTCTCTTTGTGTACATTTCCCCTATGAATCGTACTCTTTTTTATTTCAAAGATGACGTCCCGCCCGCATCTCCTCCCAGACATCTGAACTTTTTGTTTCCTATTTTCTATAAGAAATCTTCCTTTTCAGCCGGGCGCGGTGGCTCACGCCTGTAATCCCAGCACTTTGGGAGGCCGAGGCGGGTGGATCATGAGGTCAGGAGATCGAGACCATCCTGGCTAACACAGTGAAACCCCGTCTCTACTAAAAATACAAAAAATTAGCTGGGCGTGGTGGCGGGCGCCTGTAGCTACTCGGGAGGCTGAGGCAGGAGAATGGCGTGAACCCGGGAGGCAGAGCTTGCAGTGAGCCGAGATCACGTCACTGCACTCCAGCCTGGGCGACACAGCGGGATTCCGTCTCAAAAAAAAAAAAAAAAAAAAAAAAGAAATCTCCCTTTTCAATGAGAGTTCTGGCTCTGGTTCCTTATCTCTTTTGCCCAACTCTTGGCTCCTTTTATTTCTCCGTGCCGGACTGTAATGGCATCTTTGCTAGAATGCTTACCCATAGGCAGAAGTGCTTGGAAGAGAAACACTCATAGTGGAACCAAGATATGGCAAGTTTTATGTTATTTTAACTTTGAAGTTTCCTGCAGGCTGTCTCAAAGAAGCAGAAACAGGCCCTTTCCCAGACTGCCTTCCAACCCAGAGCCAGTTACAATATATGGGGGTTATGGGGGTTACTGCGCTGGACAGTAAAATAGACTATTAAAAGTAATTGTTCCTCACTCGAGCTACTCCAGCAAAAAAAACAAACAAAACAAAACAAAAAAAAAGGTAATTGTCTCAATTTTGGCTATATCTGTCCTTATGTACTTGAATTTGCAAGAGCTCCAAAGCAAGAGTCTGGTATATTCTGTTTTTTCAAAGCCCCAACCTGCCAGAGGCTGAAACCAAATCCTTCAACCTGCAATTTGTCACTTTTAGGTAAATGTCGGTCAGCTTTCTTACATCTGTCTAACAGTATGTTGGAGTGACCAAATCAAAGGGCTGTAATGGGCCCACCATTCCTGGTAATTATCTTTGCATGGGGCCCTCCTGCTGAGGGTTGTGCCTAAAGTGAAGCCATCAGCGTAAGTGCCCTGATCCTTAATGAGATCCCTGTGGCTTGAGGAGAGGAGACACAGATGCACTCCTTACCTTCATCGTGGATCAGATTCTTCCTCATTTTCACAGAGCCACTTGGCCAAAGGAACCATCTTATTCTCAGGGCTCAGCTCAGTTGGGAGACTCCCAACCAAACGCTTCCAGGGCCTGGTTCCATTTACGCCCTGGGTTTGCTCTTTCCATTGCCCGTGTTGTCAGCTCAGTACAACATGGCTGCTCCTTCCATGAGGAGCAGCTCAGTAGGGTTCTGCATTCCTACAGCTCAGTAGGGCTCTGCATTCTGGTACAGTGAAGGGTACAGACCTGCAGCCTTTTTTTTTTTTTCTGGTACCTTCTCAGCTGCCTGTCTACAAGGCATGGGCAGTGGCCAGCAACTACAACAATAATTTAGGCACTTAAACACTTTTGAAAATTCTGCACCCAAGCAAGAAACTGTGATTCTGAAACTCCAATTAGCAGAATGTACCAGGCAAAAATCATCCAGGCACATTGGCTTTCAGAAAGTTTTACTATAGAAGAAGCAAATAAACAAAAAAAATAAGGAGATGAGGAAGGAGGGGGATGGAGAAAGAGGAAAACGAGGAGAAGAAGAAGTCAAGCCCATAGATATATTACTATAGCATAGATATTGTACTGTACCAAAGCACCCGCTCAGAAAGCGAAAGAAATTTCTTCTTCCCTCCCTGGAGCTCACCTCTCTCTATACAGGGCCCTGTTCCAGGAAATCGTCAGTGGCTGCTCTCTGTGGTCAATAATAGATAATTCCAGATCAAAAGAAGTGTTCTGAAGTCAAGACGTAGTTTTTAGATCAATGGTTTTACAAGTGGAATCTGGGGATCTCTGGTGGGTCTGCAAAATTTCTTCCAGGCGTTCAGCGGGCTGAGTCGAAATGCAAGCGTGTTGGGTGGTTCTTTCTTTTTTTTTTTTTTCCTTTGAAACAGATTTTCCACTGCAGATTTGAAATAAAATTTAAATGCACCAAAGCAAATATTTTTGAAAGGAGCTATAAATAATCACAAGGGATTCAGCAAAAACACCTCAAGGGTGTTTTTTGTTTGCTTGCTTGTTTATTTAATCTAGTAAATAGGTGAGACTCTTGTTCTGCTTAAGTAGTCTAAAGACTAAAAATTTCGAGACTCACCAGATTAAAAGATGAAAAGATGAACCTTGCAAAGTGCATCTTTTTCAGGGGAAGAAAGTAAGATTTTTTTCTTCTCTGGGTTTCCCATTTCCCAGTGTCATTTATTCCTGGTTCTCTCTCTCAGCACTGCTTTCTAGTTCAGTGCCCACAGCTTGGAGTCAGGAGCAGCCACTATCAAAAATAATCCCTCTCTGCTGCCACTGGTATATTTATTTAGGGTTTTCCTCCAGGGAGCAGGAGTTCAATTGTGGGGTAAAGGGGACATTAAATGTGGCTGCAGCTTGGGGATATCTGTTTTTCTTTTTTCTTCATTCTAGTCCCATGGGAAGAGGTAACCTCAGGAAACTCTGGGCTGCTGGAGAAGAGTTTTGTGAGTTATCTAATAACCTGGTTGTCAGCCACATGGCACAACAAAGCTGTCCAGACATTTAGGTTCCTCGGATGCCATGAGATAAAAATTTGCACTTATGCCTGCATCTACTTTTCCCTTTCTAACAGAGTAACATGCACATTTGGCTATTTGTTGGACTGATTTGCACGGCCATAGTTTCCTAGAAGGATTTTAAAACAGACTGGGCTGCCTACACTGCAGATAAACAGTTTGGAAGCTGTACATTAAAATGAACTTAGAGGTCTCTAGTTGGATTTTGGTGAAGTGTTTGCAACACCATTTACCTATCTGGATAATTCTGTCATGTACAAAGTACTCTCCAATAATTCAGATGTCCAATAATGCAGATCCTGTATTACCCATATGCTGTTAGCCCTTTCAATCCTTTGTGCAGGCTTACCTAGAAATAAAGGAAAAAATGTTCTTCCCACCTTGCTTGATAAGATAACAACAATGTGTTTGGTTTTTAATGTAACTGGAAAAAAAAAAAGATGGAAGAAAAAAAGGCCAATTCCAACATCTGGATGAAATTTATTACATACCTCTCTGGGACCCCCTGGTTCCTGAATGATTTGGCTTATTATCCCTTTTCCAAGTCTTCAGAGACTCAATGACTCGAATGTCAGGGAATGATACTTTGCTGCCGGATACTACAAAGTTGGTTTAAAGAGGTTGTAGAAATGCTGTAGCTGTAACCAAGCTCCTCACAGGGGGAGGTGGGGCAGCACATGCCATGTAAGCATGCTCACATATTTCTGTGTGGATACCCAGTTGGAAAGTTATTTGCCACTTCTGGAGAAGCTGGAAGTTGTCGACTATACAGATAGATAAAGAGAGGGGTTGGTTAATGGGTACAAAAATACAGTTAGATACAAGGAATAAGATCTAGTGTTGGGTAGCACAAAAGGGCAACTATAGTTAACAATAATTTATTACATATTTCAAAATAAAAGCGTAGAGTTGGAGTATTCCTAACACAATGATAAACGCTTGAGGTGATGGATATCCCAATTATCCTGAGTTGATCATTATATATTTTATGCATGTATGAAAATATCACATGCACCTTATAAAATGTGCAACTATTATGTATCCATAAAATTTTTTTAAATGTTTTAAAGCTTGGGGGATCCAAGTTTGCTGCTTACTTCCAATCTGATGCATCACCAATCTGAGGCAGGCCCCAAACTTTGGCAACAAGGTATGAGGTAAGCACCACTTTAGTGCAGGGAGGGTAACCTGGTTGAGAAATTGACTGATTTTCTGTAGTGTCTGCCATTTCTGTTCTTCACAAAAGAATAGACCATTCCTATCTTCCTCCACACTCCCAATCCCAAAGGGTAACCAGGGCTTTTTGTTCTGGAGATCAGGCTTTCTCTCATCTCAGGAAAAAAAAAAAAAGAAGAAGAAAAAAAAGGAAAGGAAAAAGAGAAAGAAACAAAGAAAAGAAATTGAGCTGCGTGTGGTGGCTCATGTCTATAATCTCAGGAGGTTGAGGCAGGAGGAGCACTTGAGCCTAGGAGTGAGCTATGATCACACCACTGCACTCCAGCTTCGGCAAGAGAGCGAGACGCTGTTTCAAAAAAGAAAGAGGCCAGGAGCAGTGGCTCATGCCTGTAATCCCAGCACTTTGGGAGGCCAAGGTGGGTGGATCACCTAAGGTCGGGGGCTTGAGACCAGCCAACATGGAGAAACTCCGTCTCTACTAAAAATACAAAATTACCTGGGCTTGGTGGCTCATGCCTGTAATCCCAGCAACTTGGGAGGCTGAGGCAGAAGAATCACTTGAATCTGGGAGGCAGAGGTTGTGGTGAGCCGAGATCGGGCCATTGCACCATGGGCAACAAGAGCGAAACTCCATCTCCAAAAAAGAAAAAAAAAGAAAGAAATCAGGCCAGGCACAGTGGCTCACGCCTGTAATCCCAACACTCTGGGAGGCCGAGGCAGGTGGATTACCTGAGGTCAGGGATTTGAGACCAGCCTGGCCAACATGGTGAAACCCCGTCTCTATTAAAAATAGAAAAAATTAGCTGGGCATGGTGGTGGGCACCTGTAATCCCAGCTACTCAGGAGGCTGAAGCAGGAGAATCGTTTGAACCTGGGAGGCAGAGGTTGCAGTGAGCTGAGATTGTGCCATTGCTCTCCAGCCTGGATAGCAAGAGTGAAACTCTGTCAAAAAAAAAAAAAAAAAAGAGAGAGAGAGAGGAAGGAAGGAAAGAAAGAGGGAGGGAAGGAAGGGAGGGAAGGAAATAAAGCGAAGAAAGAAATCAACAAGCTTTTGTTTTAAAAAATTAACCCAGTCTTAGAGGCAATAAAACTGTTTTGTCTGAGAGGAGGAAGGATTTGTAGAATTAGAAGAGGGCAGAGGAGAATTTCCTGAGCCTGGCTTTGAGGCATGGTGCTGAGGAGCACTGCAGCCTCCTTTTGTGGCCAGGTCCTGCTCCAGGCCTCCCACAGACCGCTGGGACCAGAGGGCCTTCAATGGGGATGACAGTGTGCTCAGGGAGGTAAGCAAAGGCACTGCTGATCCCGAGCCTCAGCAGAGGTCTTCATGCCATAGAGAAACCTGGAGAAAGGGTCGTAGAATTGTTTTGGGCAAAGAGCGCCAGGGGTGACAGGCACCCTCATCTAAGAGACATCTTCCCCCCAGTATGTGTAAGCTCCTGATAAAGGACCAAGATTGGATTTGCTACTCATTGTTGGATGGAAGCCAAGGGTATTTAATTTAGAAAATTAAAGAAATGTGACATTTCCACCACCTGTATGTCAGGGAACAAAGTAATACCTGTTTAACACCAGGCTCCACACTTTCCTTTAAAGTCTTTTAGGTTTCCTGGCTCAAAGAAGCCTCCAGCTTGATTTGTTGAACTGTGCCTCTCAGGAGCTGAAGGCAGGCAGTGTTCCAGGATATGTGCATATGGGGGTGCATGCTGCTCTGTGAAGGAGCTTTGCACTTGGGCCCCATTCCAGTCCCTCCCTTACCAATTCAATAGGAGCCTGAGTCAATGGTGGACTCAGACAAAGACATTCCCTGAAAAAGAGAGGAAAGGAAGCTGGGCAGAAGTTGCATGCAGGACTGGGATTGCTCAGGATTGGGGCTCCTGAAGCCTTGCTGCGAAACACATCCTCAAGTCTGCACTGCCTCCCGGTGGCCACACCAGAGCTCAGCTCTGCACTTGGTATGGAGAAAAGACTGCATGGGATGTGTGTGTTTCTTCCGGCTGGAGCTCTTTGGAGACTCATCAGAAACCTTGATGAGATACAGAATTCCGAAGGAAGAGGAAGCCTTAGTGAGGAAGGGGGTGAGTTCTGTTTACTCTGAAGTATCTGTGGAATACACTGAAATATAGATATCTAGGAATCTGTCAAAATAAAAATCTAAAGGTCAGGAGAGAGATCTAAACTAGACATGCAGATAGGAGTGTTATTATCATATACGTAGTAATTAAAACCAGGGGAACAGATGAGATCACCCAGGGAAAATGGGAATAGTGACAAGGGCTGAGTTCCAAGGACTACACTCTAGAGTGGGCGGAAAGGTTTGGTGATATCATCTTATGTATTTTTCTGGGGCTTTGGAATTTCTCAACTCATTATCATACTCATTATCTTTCATACTCATTATCTTAATTCTCATCTGGGAGGTTCTATAAAATACCTGGTAAAACGAGGTGTGACTGGGATGATGCCAACACTGCAAGAAATCCAATCTATCGGACAGGCAGGAGGTGGGGCCTGGACACAGTGTCACAAGGGATAGTGATTCCCAATGGTAGGCTTGAAGCCCCAGGTTAGCATCACACGGAATGACTCCTAAGAGCACTTGAAGCTCTTGCCTAGGCTATTGGTGAAGAGCATAGCTGGTCCATGGCGCTGGGTTAGAAAGGCTGTTGCGGGACAGTGGCCAACCTGACAAAAGCTCTGCAGCGGGAGCTTATCTCCAGAAGCAGATGCAGCCTGCCTGCCTCTGCATGTCCTACAGGCAGCAGTCCACCGGACCGAGCTGAGGAATGGTCTTCCCAACTGGGAAGACAGGCATCCTTTCCAGAGACAGAAATATGGCAACCAGAGTACTTGCTCCTTTCTGAGTGACTGGGGTTGGTGGGAGACATGAAGCCTGACCTGGCCCTACAAGGAGGTCTGTAAGGCAGAGGGGTAGAATGCAAGGCAGAGATAAATGCAATGAGGTGACTCCTTTGGTAGAGTCCCCACTTCCTTCAGTTGGTCTCACCTACTCTGAACGTACTTCCTCCCATAGTATTTCAGAGTTTCCCTGTGTTATAATGTGTTATTGTGCACCTATTCACATGCTCCCTTGAGTTCCTCAGGCTGTTCATCCGTGTGGCTTCTCCAGGGTTTGCCTAATACTTAGGGGGAGCAGGGCCAGGTGTGGTGGCTCATGCCTGTAATCCCAGCACTTTGGGTGGCCGAGGTGGGCGGATCACATGAGGTTGGGAGTTTGAGACCAGCCTGACCAACATGGAGAAACCCCGTCTCTACTAAAAATACAAAATTAGCCGGGCGTGGTGGTGCATGCCTATAATCCCAGCTACTCAGGAGGCTGAGGCAGGAGAATCACTTGAACCCGGGAGGTAGAGGTTGCGGTGAGCCGAGATCACGCCACTGCACTCCAGCCTGGGCAACAAGAGCAAAACTCCATCTCAAAAAAAAGAAAACAAACCTTAGGGGGAGCAGTTAAGCTACCCACATGGCCAGAAGTTCTAGGCACCAGACCGTGGCTCTGCTCCTTATTGCTTGAGGTTTTGTTTAACCTCCCTGAACCTCAGTTTTCTCATCTGAAAAATGCCTCACGGTCGTTGTGAGAATTAGAGAATACTCAAAAAGTCTAAATGACAGCACTCGATAGTGTCATTATTGTGACAGTTTCATCTACTACAAATATATTATCCTGTCTTTTTAGAAATTTCTACCATTAAAATGACTCTTTAGGTTAAAGATCTCAGAGCCCTATCATAATGCTTATAGGGAGAAGTATGGTTCTTATTATATTATTGGTCATTATCATGATCCTGAATTGGTTTAGGTAAAGCAGAGGGCAGGAATGGGTCACAAATAGTAATTTTGTTTGGGCTCCGGGTGGGGGAAAGAAGTGTCTCCCAAACTTCAGTCATTTGAATAGCAATGTCAGGATTTCAACCATATCTCCAACCCAGCTATATTATTATTTACTCAATATTTTTCTTTAAATCAACTAATAACTTTTTCAAAGCTTAAATACATTCGTGTAAATTGGAAAATTTATAGCATGTTACTGTCATTTTTCATAAACAGAATATAATCCTAGAAAAAATTAATAATACAATGTCAATAAATTCTAAATAACTACTGTTACCAGGAGAGCACTCCAGTTCTGAGGTCTATTTTCTTGATTAAAAAGGAATATGTTAAAAGGGAATAAGTTTTGGAATATGTTAATGACACATCAACCCCCACTGAGACTTTCTTCTAGATGAATCCAGGCTTGAAAGCAAATTAAAAAGGAAATTACTTTTCCATGATGTGATAATCTTATGCTTGTCCATCTACCGCCTAAAGTCATCTTCTGTTTAACTTAAACCATCTCACATACCACCAGCAGTACATGTTCTAAGCTTTCGGAGACAAAAGGGCTGAAAGCAGGCTAATGAGTTCCCCAAGTAAACTGAAAAAACTAAACTGGCCAACTTCACCTCCTTTACGATTTTGTGTAAATGCTCTACCATCTTGCGTATAATTTCGTTTTTGTATCCCCTTTGGGAACTAGGATAGAATGGCACACATAAATATGCTCAATAAATATCGGGATGCTGGGTATGGGTAAAATGGTAGCAGAACAAGTCGATCTGAATAGGACCCTGGAAGTGCGAGGGGAAGATGGGTTTTCTGAAATACACTCCCTCATTTCCCACAGCCAAACAATTACAGGCTCAGCCTGAAGTCTAAACAAGATGTGGAAATGCCATACACAGCAGAGGAGAATTGGTTCTAAGGACTGAACTATATGAATAATAGTTATTTCTCTCCTTTTGGACTTGGAGATCTGGCTTTTCATAAATAACTATATTTACTCTTGTAATGGTCCTGCCCCATTTTCAAGTGATAGAGTAACTCCAAAGTATCTTTTCCTCTTAAAGGTCATTTATAGTAAGTGATGTGCTTCAGGAGTGTCTTGCACTGAACTGAAAACAAACCATCAAGGAACACTCCTCACCTGCCATATCCAAAAGGCACTCTAGGTTTGTATCCACTGTAATATATCTTCTTGATTTTGTACAGATAACATTAGCAATGGATACATAACATCTGTCACTGCCATTTATAAAATAAAATATCTGAGTCTCTCAAAGACAGTTTAGGAAATTCACGATCCTCCTAAGAGAAAGACGAAAACACCGTCAGTAGATTCTCAGCCCCAGGACAGGCCAGCTTAAAGTGATTAGGCTTGTGGACAGAGATTAAACTGACAAACCTTACACACTTGGCCCTAGCCTGGAGCAGGGGATTGATTTTTTCTCTGAGAAGAACTTTAGAGGCCAAAGGAAAAGACAAGTTGAAAAGAAATTCCTCTCTGAACAGTTACACAGCTAAGGCAAAGATTTCAGAATTCTGCCCCGAGAATCTTTCTTCCCAGCCTAGTTTAGTGCTATGACCAAATACAAAAAAAAGAACCAATTTAGGACTACCACCAGAATTATTTATTTATGACTCTCACACCCCTTTGTGGATCACTGATGGCAAGTTCTAAGTGACTGATTGATTGGTTCTCCTTTGTGCCTCATTGATCAATCAGGGCATTCCCAAAGACTACTAATTATTTCAGTTTTCAACCCAAGTTAAACATAATCAGGAAGTTAAATCCTACTGCTTCGGATCATGAGGTCAGGAGATCGAGACCATCCTGGGTAACACGGTGAAACCCCGTCTCTAGTAAAAATACTAGGTGCCACCAGGTGTGGTGGCACGCACCTGTAGTCCCAGCTACTCAGGAGGCTGAGGCAGGAGAATCGCTTGAACCCAGGAGGTGAAGGTTGCAGTGAGCCAAGATCGCACCACTGCACTCCAGCCTGGCAACAGAGCGAGACTCCATCTCAAAAACAAAAACAAAACAAAACAAAACAAAAACAACCTACTGCTGCCAAAGCTACCCCAAATTCCAAAGTCAAATATAAGTGAATTGTGGATTGTCTACTGTCTAGAGAATTCTTACCAAGCTCCCAATAGAAAAATGAGAACTGGCCTCATTATTAAATCATGTCACCATCAGTGGCCCATTTTCTTTCCAGCTTTGGTGATGACATCCTTGTATCAGCAGAGCAGAGTTAAATTGTCAGATTCCCAAAGCAATTTCCCTTTGGACTTACCTGTAGATATTACTGAGTAGGAAGGATCGGTGAACTCAGGGTCCAGGCTACCAGCGACTTTGGTAGCCTGACCAAAGCTGTTCACTCCCTTCACATTGCTTTTTATGCAACCCCGGACTATTAATGACTTCCAGCTGTGGGGCGATCCCTCTGACCACTCTGCCTGGCTTCCCAGATCTTCAGTGCTTTCATGTCTAAGAGGACTCTATATTTTCCTGCTCCATGACCTTCTGTCTCTCAGGACTCCTACCACCCAGGGTGCTGACAACTCAGCAAGGGTTTCCTTGGTGTGAGTTCTTTTGCTTATGGCACCTGAGCTATCACATTTCTAATCAGGAGCAGCCTGAAATTACGGTGCAAAAATTAAATTGTGGAGACTAAAGGCATTTGGTGCAACTGAATTTCAGGCAGAGTCTGAAGTTCCCTGGAGTAGAGCTTGCTGTGTGGGGGCCTCCTGCCCATGGCTTTGGAGCACTTTGATAATCTGAAATGTCTTTTAGCCGTGTTAAAGCTCTGGTAGAGCCAGCATCCAAAAAATTTTCTGAACTAGAACTCCATCTGCTACCAATCTCCAAGCCTGAATCATGGCTTTGCCACTTACTAGCCGTGACCTCAGACAAGTTATTTAACCTCTTTTGGCCTCACTTTCCTAAGATGTAAAATGCGGGCAATGAGACTTACTCTACAGTGCTAATGTGAGCTTTAAACAAGCTACGATATGTATAGTACATGGTAGATGCTCAATGAATTTCACTTCCCTTAATTCTACCCTCTACATTTTAGAGGAAATCTGTTTACCTGCCTTACCTCTTGCTTAGTAGACAGGATGAGGCTTGGGTTGAAGAATATATTACTCGGGCAACTCTAGAAAGGACGTGGGGTGGATACTGTAGATAGTCACAGGGATTGGTGTTTCTCTTCCTCAAATCCTAGGTTGTAATGATAAGACCAAGTGATTCTTTGACTTCAAGAATGCTTGCAATGTTCATTTCTGGGACAAGTCTCTCAGTAGGCACGACCAGAACTCCTTGTTAACATAGCCCAGCCCAGAACCTTGAAGATGGCAATGATTTTAATCTTACAGTATGGGGTGGAATAAGCTCAGCCACATATATACATGGCTTTTATATACGGCTCTTAAGAGCATAAGTAGTTGTCACAAGAACATGACATTTCCAGATCTATATTATGGATAATAATTTACGTGACTATCAACTTTTGAAGCAGGAATCGTCTCTTCTTCACGTTTATTCTCTTAAGTACATATTGCTTTGCATGTTGAAGTTGTTCATTAAATCAAATTGAATTGATTCAGTATCAAAGGACATGAAACTGAAGGAAAAAATGGAACTTAAAATTGTTGATGAGCAAGATCCGGACTGACCAAAAGAACCGAGAAGAAACCAAAGCTGAGCACTATCTTTTTTTTTTTTTTTTTTTGAGACGGAGTCTCGCTCTGTCGCCCAGGCTGGAGTGCAGTGGCGCGATCTCGGCTCACTGCAAGCTCCGCCTCCCAGGTTCACGCCATTCTCCTGCCTCAGCCTCTCGAGTAGCTGGGACTACAGGCGCCCGCTACCACGCCCGGCTAATTTTTTGTATTTTTAGTAGAGACGGGGTTTCACCGTGTTAGCCAGGATGGTCTCGATCTCCTGACCTCCTGATCCGCCCGCCTCGGCCTCCCAAAGTGCTGGGATTACAGGCGTGAGCCACCGCGCCCGGCCGAGCACTATCTTTTCTATATACCGGGCTTTGTTCATATAACTTTTATCTATGGGCTTTCATTATCTTTTAGAAAGTTATCATTGCATTGGAAGACTAGCTTAGGAATGTGTTGTTAGTAGGATAGCTGGTTAGAATAAGGGCTGGAATAGATAGTTTTATTCCTAAAGCCATCCCTAGTTACCAGAAAGTGAGACTCTTCCTCACTGATTCCCTCCATGGAGTGGGTTAAGACAACAGTGTGCCACCAGCCATTATTTTCTTTTTCTCTTCATTTTTTTAGTAGAGATGGGGTCTCATTTTGTTGCCCAGACTGGTCTTTGAACTTCTGGCCTCAAGTAATCCTCTTCCTGCCTCTGTCCCCCGACCATGCCTGGCCCCACCCGCCATTGTATATTGCCACAGGGCTGAGACTTTGGCGGAAACCCGTCTGCCTGCTTTGCCTGGGAAAAGCACTGTCCCTTAGGAGAATTTAAGTTTTAAGTCAACTTAAGGTAACAACACAGTTGTTACCTCTGCTGTGTTTTGTCCTTGGGGCTTATAGGGTATTTGCTGCAGTAGTTCATTAGTTAAAATTCTCCTTTTCCTTTTCCCTGAAGGCTTGGTTTTGCTACTTTCAGGCTTATTGGTATGATAATGAGAGCTGAAATGTAAGTGTTCCAAACTAGGGGAGAGAGAAGTAGAGAAAGTGATTTACTCTTAGAATGGATTGGGGTGTTTATAAACTGTTTTTTTTTTGTTGTTGTTGTTTGAGACAGAGTTTAGCTATTGTCGCCTAGGCTGGAGTACAATAGCATGATCTCGGCTCACTGCAACCTCAGCCTCCCGGGTTCAAGCGATTCTCATGCCTCAGCACCCCAAGTAGCTGGGATTCCAGGCACCCGCCACCACATCTGGCTAATTTTTTTATTTTTAGTAGAAACGGGGTTTCACCATATTGGCGAGGCTGCTCTCCAACTGCTGACCTCAGGTGATCTGCCTGCCTTGGCCTCCCAAAGTGCTGGGATTACAGGCGTGAGCCACTGTGCCCAGCCCAGGGTGTTTATTCACTACCAGTGGTGTTGTTTCCTCTATTAGATTTTAACTCCTGAGTTCAAGGGCTGTGTCTTATTCACCTGTGTATCCCCACTGCCTAGGGGGTCTATGGTGGTTGTTCAATAAATGCTTACTGATTGATATATAAATCAAATATAAGCAACGTTCCAAAGAGTTACAGCTGTGAAATTGGTGGTACAGGTAATAAGCACTAGAGAAGCTCAGAAGAAGAAGTCATTGTGGGCCAGAATGGTCAGAGAAGGTTCTGCAGAAGGGGTAGAAATATTTCATGAAAGAATTTGACTCTCTGGACAGAGATGGAATGGAATATGGACAGTGCACAGACTTCCAAATCATTTAAACTCTGAGAGCCTCAGTTTCTCATTGATGCAAAAAGTGTTTTTAAAATGGGAACAGTAAACCTACATCATAAGCAAAGAGTAAATGAGATAGTTATATAAAGTAATTAGCACAGAATGTGATACACACAAAAGGATTTTCTTTCCTCTGTACTTTTTCTTTTACTGACCTGTATAGTCATCCCATTGGATTTGAAAGCTTTCCTGAGTCTTCTGGAGCTCCTGGTGCCATTTCCTTCATAGCTCCAGGAGCTCTCCAGACACCAGAGGAGATATTCCTAAGCCAGGGAGGCTTTGTTCACTCTCTATGGATAAATAAGATAGATAAGCACTCTAAATACTTTTTATTGTCTATCCTTGAGCACATATGACCATGTTGGGCATAGGGACTTTGGCTAGGCAAAACATTTCCAATTTTATCTTCATTTCTACTTCACAGAACTTTATTATTAGAAGAGCTCTGGTAGGGCTCAGTGGCTCACACCTATAATTTGAGCACTTTGGGAGGCCAAAGTGGGAGAATTACTTGAGGCCATGACTTTGAGACCAGCCTGGGCAACATAATGAGACCTGCCTCTACAATTAATAAATAAATTAGCCAGACGTGGTGGCACATGCTTGTGGTCCCAGCTAGTCTGGAGGCTGAGGTGGGGAGAATTGCTTGAGCCCAGTAAGTCAAAGCTGCAGTGAGCCATGATCATGCCACTGCACTCCAGCCTGGGTGACAGAGACAGACTTTGTTTAAAAAAAAAAAAAAAAGTTCTTGGAGATAATACAGTATATAACTTTTATTTTACATATTTTTAAAAAACCAAAACAAATTTAGCCTAAAGCAATTAAGTGATTAGTTAGTGGCAGAACTGTGAAGTATAGTTGGGTGTCTTTTGATGTCTTTCCCAGTGCTCTTTCCAATATATCAGGCTATTATATACTTCTATATGTTGGAAAGTCCCATTCACTTTTCACATTTCCATCAACATTGGCAACCCAGTTTTTCGGCGAAATTCAGAGACATCCTATATGGGACCTTTGGCTTGTTTACCAAAGGACGAGGAAGATCAAGTGATTGATACAAGTTGAGAATCACTAATCTGAAAATCTGAAATGTTCCAAAAGCTGATGCTTTGTAAGTGCTGACATGAAGCTCAAAGGAAAAGCTCACTGGAGCATTTTGGCTTTTGGATTTGGGATGTTCAATCAGTTCATTGAGTTAACCATTTCTCTAAGGAGTCCTGGTTCCATGAATAATTTTTTAGGCCAGGCACGGTGGCTCATGCCTGTAATCCCAGCACTTTGGGAGGCCGAGGTGGGCAGATCACTTGAGGTCAGTTTAAGATCATCCTGGCCAACGTGGTGAAACCCCGTTTCTACAAAAATTAGCTGGGCATGGTGGTGCACGCCTTTAATCCCAGCTACTCAGCAGGCTGAGGCAGGAGAATCGCTTGAACCTGGGAGGCAGAGGTTGCAGTGAGCTGAGATCATACCACTGTACTCCAGCCTGGGTGACAGAGCAAGATTCCGTCTTGGGGGAAAAAAAAAGTAAAAAAGAAAAAAGAAAGATCTCAATAAACATTAATTGATTATGAAGGTGTGGGAATCTGGGGGCACAAATGTCAATAAATGAAAGTTTTTTTTAGGGGGAACATTTTGTAATCATTGAGGCAGGAAAATAGGGTCTAGAGGCAGGGAACATAAGGCCAATTCCCACTTCAGCTAGGACAGGAAATATCCTCTCCATAGGGCATAGGCCAAGTAAATAGCTTTGTATCTTTACTTCATCCTCTCTATTTGCATAGGGCATACCTGAAGTAACCAATAGAATCCTCTAGAGGGTATTTAAACTCCCCAAAATTCTGTAATGGGGCCCTTGAGCCCCTACGCTCGTACCTGCTCCCACACTGTGGAGTGTGTACTTTCATTTTCAATAAATCCCTTCATTCCTTCCTTGCTTTGTTTGTGCATTTTGTCCAATTCTTTATTCAAGATGCCAAGAATCTAGACACCCTCTTAAATGTGACAATCATCTTAAATGTTACATTTTTTCCCCTAGGTACAACTCTCCTAGGTATAATAATCTTACCTGTTTCTTCTGCTGAGTGTTCATGTGTGAAATAAAAAATGAGTATAAGGAACACTTTATTGAACCTGAGGGTGCTCATGGACTGTCAATATAGGGGAGAAGATATTGCTCAGAAAAATTTAAACCCTGCAAAAAGTTTGCCGGGAATGTTAATTTGAAAGTGCCCCCACCATAGAATGAGAGAGCTTTAGTGAGGAGGGCAAACAGCATCATGTAAAGTGCCCAAGATTAAGGAGAAACAGCTGGATGGCACAAACTGTTTTAATTGTGTGGAAGATAATTGGCCCAACTGGTTTGTGAAATATTAGGAAACAAAGGCACACCAGAGAAAAACAAATAATGATGCAAAACTGCTGAAGCGCAACAATGAGATTCATTTCAACCTAAATTATGCCTTAAGGCACAGTCTCTGCAAACTAGGAAAGTATTTCTTTTTTTTTTTTTTTTGAGACAGAGTCTCGCTCCATCGCCAGGCTGGAATGCAGTGGCGCAGTCTTGGCTCACTGCAACCTCTGCCTCCTGGATTCAAATGATTCTCCTGCGTCAGCCTCCCAGGTAGCGCGGATTACAGGCATGTGTCACCATACCCAGCAAATTTTTGTATTTGTAGTAGAGATGGGATTTCACCATGTTGGCCAGGCTGGTCTTGAACTCCTGACCTTCTGATCCGCCCGCCTCGGCCTCCTAGAGTGCTGGGATTACAGATGTGAGCCACCGCGCACGGCCCAGAAAATATTTCGATTGAAGTTTTCTAAACCTGCTTTGGAGCTTTAGGAAGTTGTAAATATATCAGATTTTGAAAAATGGTCTCCAATAAAACTTCAGTTCTCTTCCTTATTAGAGGATTTTATATTGTCTTGTTGTTTGATCAAATTTTCTATAAAGGCTTTGTGAGTTATAAGGTCTCTGTGACAGCTACTCAACTCTACTTGTCCAAAAGCAGCCACAAAGGTTTGTAAACAAGTGGGCACGACTGTCCAGTAATACTTTATTTACGAAAAAACGGGGTGGGCCAGATTTGGCCTGCTTGCTGATGTAGTTTACCAACCCCTGATCTATCTGATCAAACCCAAATGCTTCACTCTGGCAGAACATTTCATCATTTGTCTCTGCCGAATCTTTCATTGTTTTCAACATTTAGTCTAGTTCCAGTCCAGATGTCCTCCCATCTCCCAAGTGGTCTGCTCATTCTTGCTTTCAGAACTTTGCATATGTGGATTCCTCATCAGCCTCTTCCCTACATTCCGCCTTTTCAAGTCCTACCCATCCTTTAAGTGTCTGACTATAGCTTCTTCATGATGCCTTTACGGGTAACTCCAACAAACATCCTTTCTCCTTTTTCTCAAGCTTTTGTGACTATCCATAACTCTTAGTATAGCAAAATATTTTGAACTCACTGTGGGGCCGTAATAAATCAATAAGTTAATGGAACCAGGAAGGAACCAGGCTGGTGGAATAGGGACTTAACCTGGTTTGTAATTCCTTTAAAGGGTGTGGAAAAACCGCAGCCACTATCTTGCAACTCCAGAAATGAAAGGCATGCTGGTTGCAAGATGGCTAAGAACAGCAGAGTGTTTCCCTTGGGCACCTGAAGAGGAAAGGCCTGGCAGTGAAAAATTACTGCCACGTATTCTTAGTATACAGCACAAGCTCACTTGTACATAGATCTCTCCAACACTGTCCTATAAAACCCTCTTGCCGGGCGTGGTGGCTCACACCTGTAATCCCAGCACTTTGGGAGGCAGAGGCGGGCAGATCATGAGGTCAGGAGTTAGAGACCAGCCTGGCCAATATGGTGAAACCCCGTCTCTACTAAAAATACAAAAATCAGCCAGGTATGGTGGCGAGTGCCTGTAGTCCCAGCTACTCAGGAGGCTGAGGCATAAGAGTCGCTTGAACCCAGGAGGTGGAGGTTGCAGTGAGCCGAGATCATGCCACTGCACTCCAGCCTGGGCGACAGACCCTGGGTGACTCCGTCTCAAAAAAAAAAACAAAACAAAAAACCCTGTCACATTTCTGCCTCTTGGCAGATAGCAGCTCTCTCACTACTGCCTGTTGCTGCTATAAAGCAGCATTCCCCTAATAAATTTCCTTCTGTTTTCTTTTGTACCTTTTTTTTTTTTTTTTTTTTTTTTTTTTTTTTGAGATGGAGTCTGTTTGTGTCGCCCAGGCTGGAGTGCAGTGGCACAATCTTGGCTCGTTGCAACCTCCCCCTCCCAGGTTTAAGCGGTTCTCCTGCCTCAGCCTCCCGAGTAGCTGGGATTACAGGTGCCCGCCACCACGCCCGGCTAATTTCCGTATTTTTAGTAGAGACGGGGTTTCACTGTGTTGGCCAGGATGGTCTCAATCTCCTGACCTCGTGATCCGCCCGCCTTGGCCTCCCAAAGTGCTGGGATTACAGGCATGAGCCACCGCGCCCAGCCGCTTCTGTTATTTTATTTCTGTCTTAGTAAATTCTTTTACTACCCAGGACTGTCACTGCACACGGCACTTATTTCAGGCACTTCAGTCAATTATAGTATGACAAAACACTAGCTTATATAGATCTCTGTCTTTTTATTTTTATTAAGAGACAGGGTCTCAACCGGGAGCGGTGGTTCACGCCTGTAATCCTAGCACTTTGGGAGGCTGAGACGGGCAGATCACAAGGTCAGGAGATCGAGACCATCCTGGCTAACACGGTGAAACCCCGTCTCTACTAAAAATACAAAAAATTAGCCGGGCGTGGTGGCAGGCGCCTGTACTCCCAGCTACTCGGGAGGCTGAGGCAGGAGAATCGCTTGAACCCGGAAGGCAGAGGTTGTGGTGAGCTGAGATCGGGCCACTGCACTCCAGCCTGGGCTACAGAGCAAGACTCTGTCTCCAAAAAAAAAAGGAGAGAGACAGGGTCTCACAGCCAGGTGTGGTGGCTCATGCCTGTAATACCAGCACTTTGGGAGGCCGAGGTGGGCAGATCACTTGAGGTCAGAAATTCAAAACTAGCCTGGCCAACATGGTGAAATCTCATCTCTACTAAAAATACAAAAGTTAGCCAGGTATGGTGGCACATGCCTGTTGTCCCGGCTACTTGGGAGGCTGAGGCAGGAGAATGACTTGAATCGGGAGGCTGAAATTGTGCCATTTGCACTCCAGCCTGGGCGACAGAGTGAGAGACTCCATCTCAAAAAAAAAAAAAAAAAGAGAGAGAGAGACAGGGTCTCACTCTATCATCCAGGCTGGAGTGCGGGGTGCAATCATGGCTCATTGCAGCTTTGAATTCCTGGGCTCAAGAGATCCTCCCATCTCAGCCTCCCAAGTAGTTAGGACTATAGGCATGAGCCAATTAGCCCAGCTATTTTATTTTATTTTTTTGTAGAGATGGGGTCTCGCCCAGGCTGGTCTGAAACTCCTGGCCTCAAGCTGGTCTTAGCCTCCCAAAGTGCTGGGAACCTGGCCTCTAATTGTCTTTTTCAGGCAAATCCTGACTGGATGGCAGAAACCCACTCAGAGCTAGATTTACTGTAAAGCTAATTTAGCTTTAAAGACCTTTGCTTGCTCAGTTTTCTGTACTTAATTTTGTATCTATAATTCTATATTCTCTTACTTAAAGAGGGCCTCCAAATTTGTACACGCTCCAGGGTCCATAAGCTCTGGGCTCACCACAAGGTCTTGTACAAAGTTGGTACAGCAGAGATTGCTAACCATCCCTCAATATCCATTTTCCTTGCTGGAATGCCAATCCTTCATGTTGTTGTGTAAGGAAGAAATACACATTTATCTTGTTTAAGTCACTGGTTTTTTTTGTTTTTTGTTTTTTTTTGGTCTCTCTGTAATAGCAGCTTAGATCTTGCATCATAAGCTGGCCACAGTAAGTGCTCAATAATATTTATTAAATTAAATGTGGCCATTAACTGCTGGGCATAGTTGCACTTGTAGTCCTAGCTACTAGGGAAGCTGAGGCAGGAGGATTGCTTGAGCCCAGGAGTTTGGGACCAGCCTGGGCAAGACCCCGCCTCTAAAATTAAAAAAATTTTTAAATGTTTTAAATGTGGCCATTAATTAGGAAATTGATGCAGACCTGCTATTCAGAATCATTCAGCTCCTCACCTTCCCAAAGAATTTTTGCTACGTTTGCATTTTATAGAATATAGATAGAAAGACAGGATATATTTACATCATAAAAGAATGTGTAGTTATAACTACATTTTCTCTTTTAGAGAGGCAATTTACTTTTGGAGCAACTATATAAGGCAAATTGGAGTAGCAGATTGTATAGGTGACCACTTACTTTGTTCGCTTGGGCACAGGTTATCAATACTTTGCTTACCAACTCCTAACTCGGCCCCCTGTTGTGTGGTAGGTGAATGGGCTTAATTGTACTATTCTCTCTACTTCTGTGTGAGACTAAAATTTTCCATAATAAAATGTTTAAAAATTACTTGGAACATCTGTAAAATATTTAGATTTCTAGGCTTCTCCCGTACCCCACCCTGCCATTTGGAGATTCTAAATTAGTAAATCTGACATGGGATTCAAGAAACTGCAATGTTAATAATCTCTATTTTTGTCCAGACCCAACCCCTGGGCCTCACCCTCAACCCCATCATGCAGTTGTTCCTCAGACCACTCTCTGATAAATAATCTAATAAAATGTCTCTTTCATTTCAAGCAACGCTTTGAAATGGAGATTTTTTCATTACAGATACTTGTTATTCTGTTAGATATTTTGCTTTGATTTTAAAATAATACCCCTGCAGAGAGATCCCTCTACCCTCCAAGAATGACTGAATATGTTAGCTGTAGATCTCTCCCACTGTTCTGAAGGTAAATTGCCAAGAAATTTGTCAACTGACACATTAGAATACATCTGATTCCCTGTACCTGTTAGAAACCTTTAGGTTCAAACCAGATTTTGGGCTATTTTAATGATCTTCGCTGTACTTCTAAAATGTGTATAACCTACTCTTGAGCACTCTTCATATTTTGCCCTCCTCCTTTACTCTTGTTTTGCTACATTTTCCGGTTCCCCTCCAGAGAAAACCCCATACTCAGAATCAAAGGCAGTGATCTGTCTAGAGAGTCTAGGCAGATGGTTTTTTATAAAAGGGAAGGAAGAGCCAGTAGGAGATATTGTAGGGTATGTTTAGGAGGAGGACAGGATATATTTTGTCCTGGTTTTCAGCTCTGATTTGAAGTCTTCAGCGGATCACAGTACACTGTTTTGAATGTGAGTGGTTATTCTATGTCACAGCCTTTTCCATTCTCCTCAAGCCTTCTTTGCAGCACATGACCTTGTCTCCTACTTTAGGAAGGAAACGAAACTGCCAGTAGTAAATTCCCTTAAGCTCTATCTCCTCCACTTCTTTCTTTCAACTCACTAAAAGAGGAGTCACTCCCTGTGTTCAAGCCCCACCCTTCTACTAGACCTCTTCGTTACACCTCTTTGCCCATCTTTTCTCTCTGTCTTTTTTTTTTTTTTTTTTTTTAAACGGAGTCTCGCTCTGTCGCCAGGCTGAAGTGCAGTGGCGCAATCTGGGCTCACTGCAACCTCTGACCTCTGCCACCCAGGTTCAAGTGATTCTCCTGCCTCAGCTTCCCAAGTGGCTGGGACTACAGGCACATGCCACCATGCCCAGCTAATTTTTGTATTGTTTAATAGAGACGGGGTTTTACCGTGTTGGCCAGCATGGTCTCAATCTCTTGACCTCGTGATCCTCCTGCCTCGGCCTCCCAAAGTGCTGGGATTACAGGCATGAGCCACCATGCCCGGCCTTCTCTCTTCTATATTTACCTTCTTTGTGGAAATAGAACACTTTGGCTAAGCTCTTCAGTCTTGTTTTTTCTATTGTTCTTTTCTCCCTTCCCTCCTCCTGCCTTCCACACCCCTTCTCAAATTCCACTCTATTTCCTTTTTCAGCCCAACACTGCAGTGAAAAAGAGACAGTCTGTCGTCTTCCAGGAGCTTAGAGATTAGTGGGGGCCACAGATTAATAAACCAAGGAAGAGAAGGACATTTCCAGACAGACAATAGCATATGTAAAGGCATAGAGGCCAGAGCAGTACAGCTCTTTCCACGAACTGTACCATGTGGTTAGAGGACTGGGAACAGATGTGGAGGATAGGGTGCCGAGATTGGAGAGAGTGAAAAGGGTCACATATGCCATGCTAACAAAGCTTTACTTGCAGTGCTAAGAGCCTGGATTTTAGTCAATGGTCAGTGAAGAGTTCTCTAACAGTGGTGAAGAGGAAAAGACTGGTGGGGAATTATATTAGAGGCAGGGCAATTAGTTGGAGATTATTGTAAAAGTTCAGCTAAGAAATGAAGAGGACCTAACCTAAGGCACTGGAGATGAAGAAGATTTTTTTCTTTAACAATAGCTTTAAGCAAATTGATTATAAAGTTCCTTGGTGTCATTTTCTTCATGCTTCCCATGTAGGGTTTGTTGAACTTCTTGGGTCTATGGGTTTATAGTTTTCATCAAATTTGAAAAATTTTGGGTCTTTATCTGCTCATTACTATTTGGTCATTATTTCTTTTTTTTCTGTACCCTCCCTTCTCCTTTGGGGTCTCTAATTACACATATATTAGGCCACCTGATGTTGTCTCAAGGCTCGCTGATGTGCTCTTTTTAAAGTCTTTTTTCTCTATGTGTTTCATTTCTTATTGTTTTTATAGCTATGTCTTCAAGTTATTTAGTCTTTCCTTTGGCAATGTTTAATTTGCTGTTAATCTTATCCATTGTATTTTTCATATCAAATACCATATTTTTCATCTCTAGAAGTTAGACTTAGATCTTTTAAAATAACTTCCATGACTCTACTTATCATTTTCAATCTTTCCTCTAGCTTCTTGAACATGTGGAATACAGTTATAAGAACTGTTTTAATGTCTCTGTCTACCAATTCTATCTTCTGTATAATTCTTGATCTGTTTTATTGATTTGATTTTTCTCCTCATTATGGATCACATTTTCCTGTTTCTTTGCAGGCCTGATAACTTTTTTTGAATGTCAGACATAGTGAATTTTATCTTGTTGGGGCTGGTACTCTGAGGATTGTTCCTTCTGCTCTTTTCTGGTGCTACTTTCTCCAGCCTCAGGTAGTTTCTTCAAACTTCTGTTCTGATCAGCACTAATTTCAGGAGGGGGACTAGAGAATAGGAAACAGGGGTAAAAGTCCAGGAAGTAAGTACGCTTAACTTTCTGAATTTCTCATATTGTTAGGCTAACAGAATTAAGTCTCGCTAGGATTCTTGGTAGATCTTAAGGAAATACTGCCATGCTGTAAAAGGACTGAAAAAAGATCAAACTTTAAGAATAGGTCACAGCCTATGATGAGAAGGGTCAAAAGTCAATTCATAAATAAATGACCCAGGAAGTCCCTGGATTGTTCTCTCTACTCTAGAGTCCTTTCTTTATTTGCACGACTAGGTGCTAACTTTGTTCCAGGTCTAAAACGTTTACCTCCTAATTCTAAGGGTGATGATCTTATCAACTCTAATCCTATCTTAAGGGACCAATTTGATTTTTGTATCTCACTGTATGAGTCAGAGAAAAAAGATTTTCTTTGTACATTTGAAAAGTTATTTGTGATTAAGACGTTACTGCTAAGCCCATATTTTTGATAACTCGCCAGGGATAGATTCTATTGACAATTATGAGTGTATGATGCCTTAATTTGTAACTTTTTTTTTTGAGATGGAGTCTCAAAGTCTCCCAGGCTGGAGTGCAGTGGCACGATCTGGGCTCACTGCAAGCTCCGCCTCCCGGTTTCACGCGATTCTCCTGCCTCAGCCTCCCAAGTAGCTGGGACTACAGGCGCCTGCCACCATGTCTGGCTAATTTTTTGTATTTTTAGTAGAGACGGGGTTTCACCGTGTTAGCCAGGATGGTCTCGATCTCCTGACCTCGTGATCCGCCTGCCTCGGCCTCCCAAAGTGCTGGGATTACAGGCAATGAGCCACTGCACCCAGCCAACTTTTTATTTAAGGATGAAAGTGTGGGAAAATGTAAGCTGTTCCTGGAATATGATGAATATACTTTTCAAATCAACACACTCTTTCAGAGACGTTTTTCTTTACATAGAAGAGCAACTAGGCAGCCCTAGCACATTTTAAGAAAAGGGTTTAATAGCAGAAGCTCCAAGACTACCCCAAAGTAGTCAGATTCCAGCAAATCTTAGGAGGGAGGACAAGCCAAGGCATCTTCAAACAACAAAAACTGTAAATCAAAAAAGTGTCTAAGACAGGTCTCAATTGATTTAGAGGTTTATTGTGCAAAGGCTGAGAACACACCCAGGAAAAAGAGAAACAACTTACTACAGATCTGTGGCTTGTGTTGTCCAAAGAGGGTTTTGAGGACTTCAGTATTTAAAGGGGACGGAGCAGGCAGGAGGGGAAAGAGGAACAGCCAATTTATCTGGCACTCAGTAAATCTGCATTTTCTGTAAGATAACAAATATAGAGTAGAGGAAGAAGTCAAATATGCATTTGTTTCAGGGTGGCCAGAGGGATGATTTCTATTTTATTTTTTATTTTTTTTATTTTTTTTTTTTGAGACGGAGTCTTGCTCTGTCGCCCGGGCTGGAGTGCAGTGGCGCGATCTCGGCTCACTGGAAGCTCCGCCTCCCGGGTTCACGCCATTCTCCTGCCTCAGCCTCCCCAGTACCTGGGACTACAGGCGCCCGCCACCATGCCCGGCTATTTTTTTTTGTATTTTTTAGTAGAGACGGGGTTTCAGCGTGTTAGCCAGGATGGTCTCGTTCTCCTGACCTCGTGATCCGCCCGCCTCGGCCTCCCAAAGTGCTGGGATTACAGGCGTGAGCCACCGCGCCCAGCCTGGGATGATTTCTGTTCTTGTCTTTGTCCTCTACCTGGGAAGATAAGCGGTTAATTTACATTATTAGGGTGAGGGATATCCCCACCTGGGGATATTGGTGGCTTCTACATTGAAGTTATCTGTTTAGAAACGAAAGCAAGGCAGTTTTTTGCATGACTCAGTTCCCGAGCTTAACTTTTCCCTTTGGCATAGTGAGTTTGGGGTTCCAATATTTTCTTTTCTTTTCACAAACCCAAGCTTTCTGTTGAGCCTTCTTTTTAGAGACCATGTTTGTCCTTTAATGCCTGCCTGACTTGGCTGTAGGAGAAAGGAGGAAACTGTCAACAGCTCCGTGTTACCCTGTAGGAGGCACAAGAACGTTTGACAAATGGTTTTCCTACTTTGAAGACTAGCTGTTCTCTCCTCAGATATTTTCCAGTCAAAGTAAATTTCTACATCCCTTTAAAGAGCCGCAGCTTTTCTATAATGGAGAAAACTGGTGCCAGCTTCCAGAGAGGAAAAAGCTTAAATCTTCTAAAATCAATTATATATCAGGAGAAACGACTATGGCCTGCACTTTGAAGTGTTCTATTTCTAGGCCTTCTCCCACTTGCTTAGAAACTTTACTCCATCCAAATCTCCCCTCCAAAGCAGATGTCAGTGAGAAAGAAGGGACACAGCACAAAGATATTTTTCTGATAGTAATTCCCAGATGTGAGCTGCCCAGAATGATGAAGTGCAGCCCTGCTGTCAAATCCCAGGGCAATCATGCTCTGAGTTCTCTTGACACATGCTTTCATGCAGTTT
The DNA here is from genome assembly GCF_000001405.40 of Homo sapiens. NCBI lineage: Eukaryota > Metazoa > Chordata > Mammalia > Primates > Hominidae > Homo > Homo sapiens. Next base: position 34,171,766 of record NC_000020.11, on the reverse strand, counting down.
TAGCAAAAGAGGCCTAAACGGCCAGGCGCAGTGGCTCATGCCTGTAATCCTAGCACTTTAGGAGGCCGAGGTGGGTGGATTGCCTGAGCTCAGGAGTTTCAGACCAGCCTGGGCAACACAGTGAAACCCCGTCTCTACTAAAATACAAAAAAAAAAAAAAAATCAGCGACTGGGTGCGGTGGCTCATGCCTGTAATCCCAGCACTTTGGGAAGCCGAGGCGGGCGGATCACGAGGCCAGGAGTTCGAGACCAGCCTGGCCAACATAGTGAACCCCATCTCTACTAAAAAAAAAAAATACAAAACAAAAAAAAATTATCTGGGCGTGGCAGCGTGTGCCTGTAGTCCCAGCAACTCGGGAGGCTGAGGCAGGAGAATTGCTTGAACCCGAGAAGCAGAGGTTGCAGTGTGCCAAGATCGCGCCACTGCACTCCAGAGCCCGGGTGACACAGCAAGACTCCATCTCAAAAAGAAAAAAAAAGAAAAAGGCCTAAACTTATGAACAGGTGACAGAATTCTATCCTTTTGACCACTACACTCTCGTGCTAAAATGACCTTTTCCACCCAAATCAAACATGATTTGTGGATGGGCTGTGATCTAAGGTGAGGATAATTAAAATATAACTGAGTTTTAGGTTTTTGTCCTAATGTAGTCATCCTAATATTTCAATGAAGGTGATTGAGCAACACAATATATGCAGCTCTGTGCTTGTAGGTGACATGATGAGGCATTTTTAGAAAAAGCTGTAAGGAAAGCTTGACAGGCTGAGGATGGTGTGAACAGATGGACTAAGGTGTATGACGTGGAAGGGAATGGGTAGTCTGGACATTTTTTGCAGGCAGATTTCAAAGTGGTACTTTAGTAGTTGGGGTTCAAGAGGCTCTGAAGTGGGCATTTTTAACCCAGAAGTTAGGAATAACTGTGGAATGTAGCTTGGGAAATTGCTACTTCTACCATGGCTAGAAAAGTTACAGGTGGAATTCTAGTATGGGCTGGGAATAGACAAGGAAGTTATCTGTAAATAACTGTAAAAGCACGATCTATGTGTAAACCCATGCCAAACTGAAGTAATATGATTGTGTGTATAATTAATTGTCTATGGGTTAACTAATATTGCTATAAAGAAAATGAATTCAGGCTCTTTAAAAAATCTCCTTACTATTGGTCTAGGTAATTTAGATGGCAAAGGGATGTTGTTACAGGATGTCAGCTATGAAGGATTATGGTATTAATAGTCATTAAATGTTAACTAAAGTAGCAGCAAGTAGAACACCTGGGAAACATGGGCAGAGGGAGAGAAAGGATATGTAAAGGCAGAGGAAGGAAAGCCTGGGCTTTCCCCTCAGAGGAGTGGCTGGCTGTGGTCTAGAGGTGAGTGCTCATGCCAGAAAAAAGAAAGAAGCCAGCAGATACAGAGAAGACTGGGAAGGCATGCATTCCTCTGACCCTATTGGTTTTAGGGAGCAAGTTTGGCAGGCTTCAGTTTGTTCTGCCCTGGAAAGAAGGTGAATATGGAATTTTATGGTTTGGCTTTTTGATTTTTTTTTAAACCTCTGATTCCACTATCAGAAAAAATGTAAGTTACAAAAGATGGCTGAAATGCAAATATTAAAAGAATCAGGCTGGGCACGGTGGCTCACATCTGTAATCCTAGCACTTTGGGAGGCCGAGGCAGGCAGATCACCTGAGGTCAGGAGTTCGAGACCAGCCTGGGCAACATGGCGAAACCCTGTCTCTACTGAAAATACAAAAATTAGCTGAGCATGGTGGCGCATGCGTGTAATCCCAGCTATTCAGGAGGCTGAGGCAGGAGAAACACTTGAACCTAGGAGGCAGAGGTGGCAGTGAGCTAAGATCACGCCACTGCACTCCAGCCTGGATGACAGAGGGAAACTCTGTCTCAAAAAAAAAAAAAAAAAAGATACAAAATAAGGCCGGGTGCGGTGGCTCACGCCTGTAATCCCAGCACTTTGGGAGGGCAAGACGGGCAGATCACGAGGTAAGGAGATCGAGACCATCCTGGCTAACATGGTGAAACCCCCATCTCTACTAAACACACACACACACACAAAATTAGCCAGGCATGGTGGCACGCGCCTGTAGTGCCAGCTATTTGGGAGGCTGAGGCAGGAGAATTGCTTGAACCCGGGAGGCAGAGGTTGCAGTGAGCCGAGGTCACACCACTGCACTCCAGCCTGGGTGACAGAGCGAGACTCCATCTCAGAAAAAAAAAAAAAAAAAAAAAAGCCCAGCATGGTGGCTAATACCTGTAATCCCAGCACGTTGGGAGGCCAAGGCGGGTGGATCACGAGGTCAGGAGTTCGAGACCAGCCTGGCCAACATGGCGAAACCCCGTCTGTACTAAAAATATAAAAGTTAGCTGGGCGTGGTGGTGGGCGCCTATAATCCCAGCTACTTGGGAGGCTGAGGCAAGAGAATGGTATGAACCCAGGAGGCAGAGGTTGCAGTGAGCTAAGATTGTGCCATTGCACTCCAACCTGAGCGACAAGAGAAAGACTGTCTCAAAAACATGAATAAATACATAAAATAAAAAATAAATTAAAAAAAAAGAAGCAACCTCAAATGTAGATCATTAGTCAGTCACCTAGTGTAAAGATTTGTAGACAATACCTACCTTTTCCAGTTTTGTTGAAGAAACCTGGGAGTGAAGAAAGCTAGTGGTTCTTTAGAATCTGAATTTTTTTTTTGGGGGGACAGAGTCTCACTGTGTCTCCCAGTCTGGAGTGCAGTGGCGTGGTCTTGGCTCACTGCCAGCTCCGCCTCCTGGGTTCACACCATTCTTCTGCCTCAGCCTCCCAAGTAGCTAGGACTACAGGTGCCCGCCACCACACCTGGTTAATTTTTTGTATTTTTAGTAGAGACGGGGTTTCACTGTGTTAGCCAGGATGGTCTCGATCTGCTGACCTCGTGATCCGTTTTTATTTTATTTTATTTTATTTTTATTTTTTTGAGATGGAGTTTCTCTCTTGTTGCCCAGGCTGGAGTTCAATGGAGCATTCTCAGCTCACTGCAACCTCCACCTCCTGCGTTCAAGTGATGCTCCTGCCTCAGCCTCCGGAGTAGCTGGGATTACAGGCATGCGCCACCACGCCCGGCTACTTTTGTATTTTTAATAGAGACAGGGTTTCTCCATCTTGATTGGGCTGGTCTCGAACTCCCGATCTCAGGTGATCCACCTGCCTCAGCCTCCCAAAGTGCTGGGATTACAGGCATGAGCCATTGCACCCAGCCTAGAATCTGAATTTTAAGAAAGGATCAGCAGGGCATGTTGGCTTATGCCTATAATCCCAGCACTTTTGGGAGGCCAAGGTGGGATGATTGTTTGAGACTACCTTGGGCAACACAGTGAGACTCTGTTTCTACAAAAACAAACAAACAATTAGGCATGGTGGCACAAACCTGTGGTTCCAGCTACTGGGGAGGCTGAGGCGGGAAGACTGCTTGAGCCCAGGAGTTCAAGGCTGCAGTGAGCTATGATTGTACCACTGCACCCCAGCCTGGGTGACTAAACAAGACTCTGGGTCTCTAAAGAAGGGATCAGGGCCAGGCGCAGTGGCTCATGCCTGTAATCCCAGCACTTTGGGAGGCCGAGGCGGATGGATCACAAGGTCAGGAGATCGAGACCATCCTGGCTAACACGGTGAAACCCCGTCTCTACTAAAAATACAAAAAATTAGCCGAGCGTGGTGGTGGCGGGCGCCTGTAGTCCCAGCTACTCAGGAGGCTGAGGCAGGAGAATGGCGTGACCCCGGGAGGCGGAGGTTGCGGTGAGCCGAGACTGCGCCATTGCACTCCAGCCTGGGCGACAGAGCGAGACTCTGTCTCAAAAAAAAAAAAAAGAAGGGATCAGATCAGAAAAAGTGGATGCCTCATCATTGTCTACAACTGTATTTAAAACTTATTAGCCTGGTATTCAAAGCCTTCCATAAATTAGTCTTAACCCCTCCAACCTTATTTTCCTTTACTACCCAGTCTAGACCACTGATGAGTAACTTGTAGCCCACTAGCTTCCCAATCTAATTTCAGATTCAACCTTTCAGCTGGAAGAGTCCTAGGAATTTATTTAATCTGCTATGGGGAAAATTTTCTTGTCTTACTCTGGCTTGATATATTTCTTTGGTTGGAACTTCACCATCCTTTTGTGAAAGTGTAGGCTCCACAAGGGCAGGGACTGTGTCTGTCTGGCTCACTATGCATCTCCAGTGCCTAACACAGTGTCTGACACATAGTAGATACTCAATAAACATTTATTGAATGAATGAATAAAAGAATGCCCTAAAGGCCTGGAAGACTATAAAATTGGGATGGCCAGAGAGTGAGTTGGGGATAGGAAAAGAAGTATACTAGAAAGGCAGAACAAGGGCAAAGTCTGACGTAATCTTAAGGACGATACATTCTGGGCCAGGCACGATGGCTCAAGCGTGTAATCCCAGCACTCTGGTAGGCAGAGGCAGGCAGATTACTTGAGGTCAGGAGTTCGAGACCAGCCTGGCCAATATGGCGAAACCCCCATCTCCACTAAAAATACAAAAAAATTAGCCGGACATGGTGCCTGTAATCTTGGGAGGCTGAGGTAGGAGAATCGCTTGAACCTGGGAGGTGGAGGTTGCAGTGAGCTGAGATTGCACCACTGCACGCCAGCCTGGGCAACAGGGCAAGACCCATCTCAAACAAAACAAAACAAAAAGAATGAAGAATGATACCTTCTGTTTTGTTTGTATTGCTTTTAGAGACAGGGTCTTGCTCTGTTGCCCAGGCTGGAGTGCAATGGCATGATCATGGCTCAAGGCAGCTTTGAAATCCTGGCCTGGAGGGATCCTCCTGCGTTGGCCTCCCAAAGTGCTGGGATTAAAGGAGTAAGCCACCACGCCTGGCCCAAGGATGATGCATTTTTGAGGCCTACAGGTGAGACAGCTTTGTGGGAATTTGTGGACAGAGAAAACGGTCAGAGCTAAGAAAGGGGCAGAATTAGAACAGTATTCAAAGAGGACAAATGATGGCAGGAACCCGAAGGACAGATTAAGCTGGATGAGGCTGGAGTCAGGAAACTAAGTAAAGAACCTAACACAGTCCGTGGCCATAAGAATAGACCAGAGGTAACTCATCAGAGAGACAACACAGAGGTGAAATCTATTGTTCTTATAAAGGACAGAAGAGTCAAAGGTGGCTTTAAAGTGCCTGGCTGGCCAAGTGTGGTGGCTCACGCCTGTAATCCCAGCACTTTGGGAGGCTGAGGTAGGTGGATCATGAGGTCTGGAGTTCGAGACCAGCCTGGCCAACGTGGTGAAACCCTGTCTCTACTAAAAATACAAAAATTAGCCAGGCGTGGTAGTGTTTGCCTGTAATCCCAGCTACCCAGGAGGCTGAGGCAGGGGAATTGCTTGAACCTGGGAGGTGGAGGTTGCAGTGAGCCAAGATCGCACCACTGCACTCCAGCGTGGGCGACACAGCAAGACTCCGTCTCGGAAAAAAAATAAGAAATAAAGTGCCTGGCCTAGTAAACAGCCACAGAGGTGATGATGGCAGCAGGAGTGGCAATCACAGAAACAGGGGATGCTGGAACTAGACCGGTCACCAAATCACCAGAAAAATTAACACCATAAAAAACTATAGTAGAGTGTTAAGAAAATAAAAACAATTAAACTTTAAACACTCTACCTATGAGGGCATACTAGCTGGGTGTGGTGGCTCAAGCCTGTAATCCCAGAACTTTGGGAAGCTAAAGTGAGAGGATCCCTTGAGCCCAGGAGTTTGAGACCAGCCTGGTCAACATAGTGAGACCCTGTCTCTATAAAAAAAAATTAGCTGGGCAGGGTGGCACACCCTTGTAGTCTCAAATACCGGGGAGGCTGAGGCGGGAGGATCGCTTGAGCCTGGGAGGTCAAGACTGCAGTGATCCGTGGCTGTGCCACTGCACTCCAGCCTGGGCAACAGAGCAAGACTGTGTCTCAAAAACAAAAACAAAAACAAAAACAAAAAAAGGGAGAGCTATGAATGAGGACATACTGAATAAATATGCTGGATCCTTAAGTTCGATTTTTCTCCTCTCCTCAAATCTCTTTGTCCTCACTGGGGCAGAACTAGTCCTGGCCTCAGGGGTAGCTGTTTCAACTGTTAACAGTTGTTTGAGCCTGGACACCCAAGACACTTAACAATTAGTGTCAACTCTAAGCACTTGAGACACAAAAGAAGAATTTTTTTTTTTTTTTTTTTTTACCAAGTTTTGCCTGCATAGACTCCCGAGATCTGCCACATGAGCCTGCTTTGATGAACTCCACGATGAACTCTTTCCTGTCTCAGGGCTATAAACATGGCATTTCCTCTGCCTGGACTATTCTTCCCCCATTCTTCTCAGAACTAAATCTTACTTATCCTTCAGGTTTCAGTTTCAAAGTCATTTCCTCAGCAATCCCACATCTGAAGGATTTGAGTGAGGTATGGAATTTATAGAAATGCTAATTATTATATGTAATAACAAACTCAAGCCAAAATTTTCTGGAATCATTTGTTGTAACAACAGTATTACTAACAATATGTTGACATTCACTATGCATAAATTATATTAAACAGAATAGTTCTTCCTCAAGAGACAACAATGAGAAATGAAACATGAATACAAAGTCTGAAATAGGAGACACTTGGGAAAGTCTGTTTTTCCTTTTCTAGTGTCTTTTCTAGTTTTTGCTTTTTATTTTCATGTTCCTTCTGAGGCTCTCTTTCTCTTTTTTTTTTCCTTCTTTTGTCAATGTGCTCTCTTTCCTTTGTCTTAGTGATACTAAATCTGCCCCTACAAATTCTAGCATTTATTGAAATCAAACCAAATTTTTTTCTTTTCTGGTAATCAGATCCAAATAGCCCACAGAAGAGTCATGTTTTTCTCAGATGTTGATACAACTACTACCCAACCAGCTCCTGTGACCTAGGGATCCCTTCTAGAAGAAAGAGGTACTCTAAGGCTCACATCCAGGACTCATAGCAGGCAACTCAGTAAATCATAGCCACTATTGTTCTCTGTAACAAATATCTGCTTCCCACTCCCACCTACAGACATAAAAGTATCTTTTAGGGATACCAAGTGCAATAAATAACATGTGTACAGATATTTAAAATACTTTTCATGGGCTGGGTGAGGTGGCTCATTTTATCTCTCTGAACTTCCATTTTATGATATGTAAAGTGGAGATGATAATTTCTACCATGCAAGTTTGTTAACATAATTAAATGAGATCAGGCCAGGCACGGTGGCTCATGCCTGTTATCCCAGCACTTTGGGAGGCCGAGGTGGGAGGATCGCTTGAGCCCAGGAGTTCGAGACCAGCCTGGGCAACATAATGAGATTCCGTCTCTACAAAAAATTAGCTAGGTGTGGTGGTGAGCACTTGAAGTTCCAGCTACTCAGGAGGCTGAGGTGGGAGGATCACTTGAGCCTGGGAAGTTGAGGCTGCAGAGAGCCATGATCACGCCACTGCACTCCAGCAAGATCCTGTCTCAAAAAAATAAATAAATAAAAATAAAAAATAAAAGTAGTTTTCATTCATGATGTCATTTAATTCTGTTTTTTTTTCTTTCTTTTTTTTTTTTTTGAGACGGAGTTTTGCTCTTGTTGCCCAGGCTGGAGTGCAGTGGCGCAATCTCAGCTCACTGCAACCTCTGCCTCCTGGGTCCAGGCAATTCTCCTGCCTCAGCCTCCCAAGTAGCTGGAATTACAGGCGTGCACCACCACACCCGGCTAATTTTTGTATTTTTAGTAGAGACGGGGTTTCGCCATGTTGGCCAGGCTGTTCTTGAGCTCCTGACCTCAGGTGATCCACCCACCTTGGCCTCCCAACTTGCTGGGATAACAGGTGTGAGCCACCCTGCCTGCCTGATCTCATTTAATTATTTTGACAAACTTGCATGGTAGAAATTATCATCTCCATTTTACATATCATAAAATGGAAGTTCAGAGAGATAAAATGACTTTCCCAAGGTTATTCACCCAGTAATTCCAGAACGTAGAATCCAAGTAGGGCCCAATTCCATGTTTTGTGGATTTTTTGATATAGGAGTTAAAAAGAAATTATTTAGGCAGATAGTAAGGGTGAGGAAGTCCTCGGTAAGGTTTCCCTTTTAATAAAAAGCAGCCCCCAAATAATTTATTTTCCAACAAAACGCAGACTATAAAATCAAGCTGCAGACATAAGCAAGCTGGAAGCTTGCCTGGGTGAATGCTGGCAGCTGTGACAATAGGAAAAGCCTTTCTCCCTCTTCAAAGCAAATGTGCATAAACATCCTGTATGAAATAATTCATCCTAGTGGGAAGTCATCAACCGCTCATAAGCCACTCTATCTATAGGTGATTTATATTCTAATCAGGTGTCAGAGAGTAGGCTAATTCAGGCTTTTATCATTTATTTGCCTGGGAAATTCCAAAAGACTCTAACAAGCCTTCATACCTCTTCTCTTTTCCTCCTGCAGTCCATTCTCCACACTGTTACCAGTAATGTTTTCAAGTATAGATCTGTTCTTGCCCTTCTCTACTTAAAAGTCTTCAGGCTGGGCACGATGGCTCACACCTGTAATCCCAGCAATTTGGGAGGCTGCGGTGAGTGGATTACCTGAAGTCAGGGGTTCGAGACTAGCCTGACCAACATGGCAAAAGCCCATCTCTACTAAAAATGCAACAAAATTAGCCGGGCATGGTGGTGGTTGCCTGTAATCCCAGCTGCCTGGGAGGCTGAGGCAGGAGAATTGCTTGAACCTGGCAGGTGGTGGTTTTTCTAAGCCGAGATTGCACTACTGCACTCCAGCCTGGGGGAGAGCAAGACTCTGTATTAAAAAAAAAAAAAAAAAAAAAAAAGTCTTCCATGTGAACTAGCCACAGTGGCTCATGCCTGTAATCTCAGTGCTTTGGGAGGCCAAAGTGGGAGAATTGCTTGAGCCCAGGAGTTCAAGACCAGCCTGGGCAACACAGTGAGACTCCATCCCTACAAAAAAAATTTTTTTTTAAGTCTTCTATTCGGCCGGGTGCAGTGGCTCATGCCTGTAATCCCAGCACTTTGGGAAGCCAAAGTGGGCAGATCACGAGGTCAGGAGTTCGAGACCAGCCTGGCCAACATGGTGGAACCCCATCTCTACTAAAAATACAAAAATTAGCCAGGCGTGGTGGCACGTGCCTATAATCCCAGCTACTCAGGAGGCTAAGGCAGGATAATCGCTTGAACCCGGGAGGTGGAGGTTGCAGTGAGCCAAGATTGTGCCACTGCACTCCAGCCTGGGAGACAGAGCGAGACCCCATCTCAAAAAAAAAAAAAAAATTCTTCTATTCATCTTTCCAGGGAACATATCTGATTGGTCTTAAAAAACTAGACAATTATGTAAATGGTGGCTGGAACATCTATTTTTCTACAAAACTGAAAAAATGAACCTGGTTCTAGAAGAATATACAACAAAATAAAACATATGAAGTAGTGGAAAGAAAGTCTTTGATGGCTCCTCTTACGGGCTGAATTGTTTTCCCATAAAAATCCATATGTTGAGGCCTGGCATGGTTGTTCATCCCTGTAATCCCAGCATTTTGGGAGGCCAAGGCAGGTGGATCACTTGATGTTAGGAGTTCAAGACTGGCCGGGCATGGTGGCTCACACCTGTAATCTCAGCACTTTGGGAGGGGGATGTGGGCGGATCACGAGGTCAGGAGTTTGAGACTAGCCTGGCCAACATGGTGAAACCCCATCTCTACTAAAAACACAAAAAAATTAGCTGGGTGTGGTGGTGGGTGCCTGTAATCCCAGCTACTTGGGAGGCTGAGGCAGGAGAATTGCTTGAAATCAGAAGGTGGAGGTTGCAGTGAGCCGAGATCACACCACTGCACTCCAGCCTGGGCAACAACAGCAAAACTCCATCTCAAAAAAAAAAAAAAGGAGTTCAAGACCAGCCTGGACAACATGGTGAAACCCTGTCTCTGCTAAAAAGACAAATTAGCCGGGCGCGGTGGCACACACCTGTAATCCCAGCCACTTGGGAGGCTGAGGCAGGAGAATTGCTTGAACCCAGGAGGCAGAGGTTGCAGTGAGTTGAAATCATGCCATTGCACTCCAACCTGGGTGACAGTGAGACTCTGTCTCCAAAAAAAAAAAAAAAATTCATATGTTGAAGTTTGTTGAAGTTCTATGCCCTAGTACCTTAGAATGTGCCTGCATTTGGAGACATGGTCTTTAAAGAGGTAATTAAAGATGAGGCCATGGCCAGGTATGGTGGCTCATGCCTGTAATTCCAGAAATTTGAAAGGCCAAGGCTGGAGGATTGCTTGAAGCCAGGAATTTGAGACCACTTTGGGCATCATAGTGAGACCCCATCTCCAAAAAAAATTAGAAAAATTAGCAGGGCATGGTGGTGCACACTTGTAGTCCTAGCTACTTGGGAGGCTGGCATAGGAGGATCACTTAAGCCACTAAGTCCAAGGCTGCGGTGGGCTATGATTGCCTCACTGCACTTCAGCCTGGGAAAGAGAGTGAGACCCAGTCTCAAAGAAAAAAAAGGCCCTAATCCAATATGACTTGCATCTTTATAAGAAGAGGAAATTTGGCCACAGACACATAAAGAAGGAAGACCAGGTGAAGACACAGATACAGGGAGAACACGGCCGTGGGCAAACCAAGGAGAGAAGAGAGAGGCCTCAGAAGAAACCAAACCTGCCAACACCTTGATCTCAGACTTCTAGCTTTCAGAACTATGAGAAAATAGATTTCTGTTGTTTAAGTCACCCAGTCTGCAGTACTTTGTTATGGTAGCCCTAACAGACTGATACAATTTCCCAATGTCTACAACATAAAATGCAAACTTCTTCTTTTCTTTCTTTTTTTTTTTTTTTTTTTGAGACAGAGTCTTGCTTTGTCACCCAGGCTGGAGTGCAGTGGTGTGATCTCGGCTCACTGTAACCTCAGCCTCCCAGGTTCAAGTGATTCTTGTGCCTCAGCCTCCCGAGTAGCTGGGATTACAGGTGTGCACCACCACACCCGGCTAATTTTTTTTTATTTTTTTGTTTTTTGTTTTTGAGACAGAGTTTTGCTCTTGTTGCCCAGGCTGGAGTGCAGTGGCGTGATCTCAGCTCACTGCAACCTCTACCTCCTGGGTTCAAGCAATTCTCCTGCCTGAGCCTCCTGAATAGCTGGGGTTACAGGTGCCCACGACCACGCCCAGCTAATTATTTATATTTTTAGTAGAGATGGGGTTTCACCATGTTGGTCAGGCTGGTGTTGAACTCCTGACCTCAGGTGATCCACCCACCTCGGCCTCCCAAACTGCTAGGATTACAGGCATGAGCCACTGCGCCTGGCCAATTTTTGCATTTTTTAATTTTGTATTTTAATTTCAGCCGTATCTACTATGTCCATTCTCTTCTAACCTCTAGTTTCTTCTTTATTAGGTTTATTTCAGACTCCCAATTTTGTCTAAACATGAGTGTTCCTGTCTGGCATAAGTCTAATTTATGGAGGAGGCAGGGATTCTTTCTGTCTCCCCCACCCCATTTTCCCTTACTCATTGTTCTGATTTTCTCCTGCTGTAGAAGGGCTGCCTCTATACAACCAGTGCAGAAAATTGTGGTCAGGAGTTCAAGGCCAGCCTGTATAACCTCAAGTACACATTGTCCCATTTTAGCAACCCAAGAAGAAATTTTTTTTTTCTTTCTTTTGGGAAAAGACTCTAACTAACCTTTCTGGGTCATATGCCTGCTCCTTGGACCAATTACTGTTGCCAGGGGAATGAGGAACTATGATTGTCCGGGCCTGAGACAAATTCTTCATGCTGCCCTCCCCTCTACTCCTGGCCACACATACATATACTTTGGCTAGTGGTGATGGGGTAGTAGCATCTTCCTAGACAAATTTATTAGCTATACCATACGTTAAAGTGAGTGCTGACAAAGACTTGTATACAAATGTTCACAGCAGCCTTGTATAGCTAGAAACTGGAAATGACCCAAATGTCCATCGAAAGTTGACTAGATAAACAAAGTATGGTATATAAATCTTTTTACATTAATTTTTCAAATTACTTTTTTATTTTTTAATTTTTTTGGAGATTTAGTCTTGCTCTGACACCCAGGCTAGAGTGCAGTGCCATGATCATAGCTTAGTGCGGCCTCGAACTCCTGGGGTCAAGTGATCTTCCTGCCCCAGCCTCCCAAGCTGAAGGGGGCCTACTCCTGTCTCCCAAGGTGGAGACAAGAGACTGAGAAAAGAAATAAGACACGGAGACAAAGTATAGAGCAAGAAAAGTGGGCCCAGGGGACCAGCGCTCAGCAGGTGAGGACTTGCACCAGCACTGGTCTCTGAGTTCCCTCAGTATTTATTGATCACTATCTTTACTATCTCGGCCGGGGAATGTGGCATAACTATAGGGTAATGGTGGGGAGAGGGTCAGCAGAAAAACATGTGAGCAAAAGACTCTGTGTCATAAATAAGTTTAAGGAAAGGTGCTGTGCCTGGATGTGCACGTAGGCTAGATTTATGTTTAACTTTACATAAACACCTCAGGGCAGTAAAGAGTAACAGCAGTATTGCCGCCATGATGTCTCACCTCCAGCCATAAGGAGGTTTTCTCCTATCTCAGAATAGAATGTGTGGTCGGTTTTATACCAAGTCATTCCATTCCCAGGCATGTGCAGGAGACAGATGCCTTCCTCTTAACTGCACAGAGGCCTTCCTCTTTCACTAATCCTCTACAGCATAGACCCTTTACGGGTGTCAGGCTGGGGGGCTGTAAGGTCTTTCCCTTCCCACGAGGCCATATCTCAGGCTGTCTTAGTGAGGGGAAACCTGAACAATACCCAGGCTTTCTTGGGCAGGGGTCCCTGCAGCCTTCCGCAGTGCATTGTGTCTCTGGTTAATAGAGAATGGAGAATGGCGATGACTTTCACCAAGTATACTGCCTGCAAACGCATTTTTACCAAGGCACACCCTGCACAGCCCTAGATCCATTAAACCTTGATTGAATACAGCACACGTTTTTGTGAGCACAGGGTTGGGACAAGAGTTACAGATTAACAGCATCTCAAAGCAGAACAATTTTTCTTAGTACAGATCAAAATGGAGTTTCTTTATGTCTTCCTTTTTCTACATAGACACAGTAACGATCTGATCTTTCTTTTCCCCACACCAAGCAGCTGGGAATACAGGCAGAAGCCACCACACCCGGCTAATGTTTTGTTTTGTTTTGTTTTTTTGTAGAGACAGGGTCTCGCTATGTTGCCCAGACTGCTTTCAAAACTCTCCTGCCCTCAAATTGATCCTCCCACCTTAGCCTCCTGAGTTACTGTAATGCCACCATGCCCAGTATTTGTTATATAAGTCTAATTAAACCTTAGCAAAAAACAGAATGAACTAATGTACAACAACATGGGTAAACCTCAAAAACATCATGCTGAGGGAAAGAAGCCAGACACAAGAGTATATAGTATATTATTCCATTTAATTGAAACTTTAGGAAAGACAAATCTAATTTATAGTGACAGAAATCCATAACAATTGCCTTGATATGTGTGTGTGCACTGGGGGCGGGGGGTATGGGATTGACTGAGAAGAGGCACAAGCGGAGTTTCTGAGGTAATATTGTGTCTGGAATTGGTTCCTTCCGGTGGGTTCTTGGTCTCGCTGACTTTCAAGAATGAAGCTGCGGACCCTCGTGGTGAGTGTTACAGTTCTTAAAGATGTTGTGTCTGGAGTTTGTTCAGATGTTCAGATGTGTCCAGAGTTTCTTCCTTCTGGTGGGTTCGTGGTCTTGCTGACTTCAGAAGTGAAGCCACAGACCTTCGCAGTCAGTGTTACAGCTGTTAAAGGTGGCACGTCTGGAGTTGTTTGTTCTTCCCAGTGGGTTTGTGGTCTTGCTGACTTCTGGAATGGAACCACAGACCCTCGTGGTGAGTGTTACAGCTCATAAAGGTAGTGCTAACCCAAAGAGTGAGCAGCAGCAAGATTTATTGTGAAGAGTGAAAGAACAAAGCTTCCACACTGTGGAAGGGGACCCGAACGGGTTGCCACTGATGGCTCAGGTGGCCAGCTTTTATTCCCTTATTTGGCCCTGCCCATGTCCTGCTGATTGGTCCATTTTACAGAGCGCTCATTGGTTCATTTTACAGAGTGCTGACTGGTGCGTTTACAAACCTTTAGCTAGACAGAAAAGTTCTCCAAGTCCTCACTTGATGGAGGAAGTCCAGCTGGCTTCACCTCTCAATACCCCCTCTAAACAGGACAACCCAACTGCTGTTGGGAATTGGGCAATGACCACTCTAGCTACTTCCTGCTGGATAGGGGTGAAGAAGGGGCCCTGCAGTTGTAGTGTCCTCCAGAGGGGAACTCTTTAGGCCAGTGAAAGGGCCCGCAGATTGGTCCAGGGGTCCTTGGTAGAAGTTGTTAGTTGAGCTCATTCGGGATTCCATTTGTAAGACCATCTGTAGCTTGATGGCCTCGATCCTAGAGGAAACAAATTTGACAAGGAGGTTAAAAATACAGGGCCTGAAGGCAAGTAATAGCAAGATGGCTGCCACAGGACCTAGAAAGGGGAGAAGCCACGTTGCTGAACTCCAGAGGTTGGTGTAAGAGTTTGAAAGCCATTGTCTGATTTCAGAAACCTTTTCCTGTAAACGCTGGGTGGCATCTTGTACTATCCCTGACTGGTTAGTGTAAAAACAACACTCTTCCCCTAAGAAGGTGCAGAGTCCTCCTTTCTCAGCAGTGAGGAGGTCTAGGCCTCAGTGGTTTTGGAGAGTCAATGCTATCAAAGAGTCTATTTGGGATTGTAGAGTAAGGATAGATTTCGTTTTTTCTTGCAAACTGTCTGAGAAATCCTTTGACAGTGTGTGGTAGTAGGATAATACATGTTACACTGTTAACTTTTAGCAAACTTTACTTTAGTTGAAAACCTTGTAAGTTTGGGATTTTAATTTTTCTTTGCTATTAATAAAACCTTGTTCAGTTCATATTAACTCAGAATTGGTATAGATGGCTCCTTCCTGATTCTGTAAGTACTTTAAGGTTTGGCTGAGTGCAAACAGCTCACATATTTGAGCAGACCAATTATTAGGCAATTTTCCTAATTCTGCTTCTACAAGAGTTTCCTTATCACTTACTGAATACCCATTGTGTCTTTTTCCCTTAATCGCCTGGGAGGAAACATCTATCTCCTGTCCTGAAGGGAATTCCTCCTTGGTCTGGTCAGACCTTTGTATGGTAATTAATTAAGATTTAGATCCCCTGTTAGGAAACTTGCTGGGTTAAGGATTTTTGATAGGAAGGCTATGGCTTGTCAGTGGCCTCAGTGCTTTCGGGCTATACCCTTGTTTACACTAACAACAAGATGGTATTGGAGTGTTATAGGGTTACAGAGAAGGCCTTCAATTATCAATTATAGGTTTTAACTTTACCCTGGCTTTTAAAGGAATAGGGTACACTGTTTTTTCTTTACTACTTCTATCTCTTTCTCTCTCTTTGACTCCTTTGCCTCTTCCTCTATTTCCTTCTCTCTTTCTGTCTTCCCCCACCCCTTTTCTTTCTGACTCCCTCTTTGTCTTTATCACTTCATCTCTCTCTCTCACTTTCTGTCTCTGTCTCTCTCTGTCTCTCTCTTTAACTCTCTGTTGGTCTTTCCCTGCCCCTGCCAGCCACTTATGCTGTTGTTCTCCCCTTCTCCTTCCCTTTTGTTCTCCCCTCTCACTTCCCTTCGGCAGTGTAAGACTGCCACCTCTTTGGGGTTTTGCACTGCGTGCAGTAACTCCATCTGCCACCTCTTTGGGGTTTTGCACTGTGTGCAATAACTCCATGGTTTCCTTGTGATATTTAATGGGGGTTTCCCCAGAGGTTAGAAATTCCCTTTTTTCCATATTGCAGCATAGGCATGTAGGATTAGATAAGTATACTTACTATCTGTAGAAAAGTCTCCCAATTACAACTGAAGAGGTGGGAGAAATACCTGGTTACATGCTGTCCCAGGATTCCTCAGATGGTAACAGACCTTGAGGACAGCTGTCCGGGACAGGAGATTAACACTGAGAAAGCTGCGCCAGTGTCCAGGAAGAAGTCAATTTCCTGGCCCTTAATGGTTAAACATACCTGGGGCTCAGTGAGGGTGATGACATGAGCTGGCGCTTGCCCCAGGCACCCTCAGTCCTGTTGCTGGATCATCTGGTTGGGGGCTTCTCGCCCAGAGAACCTTTGTCCTCTGGGGCAGCGTGCCTTCCAGTGATTGCCTCGGCATAGTGGACATGGGTGAGGGGGCAGCTTGTTTCTTGTTGGACAATCTTTTTTAAGGTGTCCTTGCACACCACTGATAACAAGCCCTACTGGGTGATTGACCTGCTCCATTTTCTCTCCTTTCTGAACCACCAAGGTTTGTTTGTCTGAGGGCCATGACTAAGGCTGCAGCCTTTCTCTGATCTCGCTTTTCCTTTTTGGCCTGTTCCTCTTGGTCTCTATTATAGAACGCTGAGGTTGCCAGGTTTAATAATGCCTCCAGATTTTGTTCAGGGCCCAGGGCTCACTTTTGGAGTTTTCTCTTGATATCTGTGGCTGATTGGGTAATAAACTTATCTTTTAGGATCAATTGGCCCTCGAGTGAGTCAGGCGACAGGGGAGTATATTTTCTTAAGGCCTCTCATAGCCGCTTGAGGAAGGCAGAAGGATTTTCTTAGTTTCCCTGAGTTATGGTGGACATCATTGAATAATTCATGGGCTTTTTCCTAATTCTCCTTAATCCTTCTAGAACACAGGTCAACAGATGTTTACAACTCCAGTCCCCATGATCTGAGTTGAGGTCCCAGTGGGGATCCATACAGGGGACAGCTTGCTGACCGGTAGGGAATTTGTCCCTTTCTTCAGCTGTCATTCTATCATTTACTTGACTAAGATACCAGGTATCTCCAAACTCTCAGGCTGCAGCTAAAGCCACATTCTTTTCATTAAAGGCCAGGGTTTGATCTAACAATAGCATGACATCTCTCCAAGTGAGATCGAAGGTTTGCCCTAGACCCTGTAGGACATCTATATACCTATCAGGATCATCTGAAAACTTCCCCAGCTCTGCCTTGATCTGCTTTAAATCAGAGAGGGAGAAGGGGACATGTACCCAGGTTGGGCCAAATTCCCCTCCCCCTACAGCTTGAAGGGGACATAACTGATAGCCTGGAGGTTTTTGTGGTCCCTGGGAGATTTCTTTGATTGTTTCCTTCTTGGTGGGGGAGATTAGAGGAGGATTATCATTAATAGGAAGGGGAGTTATAGGGAGGCTAGGATACGGGGGTAAGCTGAGAGGTCTTCCTGTGGGATGTAAATTGCAAGCTTTGCATAGTTGTGTATTCTCCTTCAGTGAAAAGAAAGCTTGGACATAAGGTATTTCACTCCATTTGCTTTCCCTCCTACAGAAAAGGTCAAGCTGCAGGATAGTATTGTAATTTATACTTCCCTCAGGTGGCCATTTTTCCCCATCAGAGATAGAATATTGGGGCCAAGCCATAGTGCAGAAAAAATTGAGCCACCTCTTTTTCAGGATTTGCAGGTCGAATTGGTCCCAATGGCTTAGGATGCATTTCAAGGGTGAGCCTGTTGATGCCTGAGTGTTTCCCATCTGAAAGACAAAACCACCCATGGTTTTGGTTTGTTTGTTTCTCCCCCTGCCGAAGAACCCACAACGGTCCCTGGACCCTGCTGATCAGAATAGTTGCGCTCACCGACGCAGCAGCACAAACACTAGTTTTCCTCCTAGACCACAAGGAGGACCAAGGAAAGTCGGATTTACTGGCCCTTACCAATGCATTCTTAAAAACCTGCGCCCTTGCCTGTTCTCCTAGACCACAAAAAGGACCAAGAAAAATTGGATTTAGTGGCCCTTACTGACGCATTCTCAAAAACCTGTTAGAGTCCTAAGTGTTCTCCTGTTAGTATTGGGACTTTACCCCATCCTATAAAGATGTTATGCCCCAAAAATGAAGTGGAGGGCCATACTCTGAGGGAGGGAAGGGATCTCCAGGGTTGGAAGACTGATGCCTTTTGTCCTCACTTGAACAGGAAGGATATCATTTCTGAGGCTCCCCATATCCTAGCTTCAGGAATAGCTTTTGTTAGGCCTGCTAGTCTGAGGAGGGATACTAAAATTCCAGATAAGATAGTCCCCCGCCCCCAACGGGGCTTTGGGCAAAAATTGTGTCTTTCTGATTAGTGAGCCTGGGTGCCTAAAGAAGGGAATAGAGTCCTGTAGTTTATACTAGAGATCATTCTTATAGGAGAAACTAGAAAAGCACCAGAGACAAGGAGTGGTTTTTAGAAGTGGGACTAGCCTTGGAGAAGAGAGGTGAGAGGAAGTTTGTCTGACAAGCATTAGGACCCAGGAGGCAAGGGTCAGGATAGATATGATAGATGGGCGAGTCTCGCTTGGGTGACATGACTTTGAGAGTTCCACTCATGGCTGCAGTGTCAACCGACTTGTTGTTGGGACCCCAGAGCTGAATGGCTTTCCATTCTGTCAACCCTCAGCTCAGCCCGGAAGTACAGGGAAAGCGGCAGCTGGTTCCAGGCAAACCAACGCTCCCAACTATGAAGAGTTGGGGGTTGTTAGAGAGTGCTTTCCCAGAAAGCCTGACACCCATGTCTTTAGTCTGGTGGCCGCACTAGTCGCTTTTAACTGGTTGACAGGTGCCCAGTATTTAACCCCCAAATTCTAAGGAAAAATAGGACAGAATAGCAAGTGAAAGGGGTCCAAAGGTACTCACTGCTTGGTGACTGTCCTGGTGGAGTCACCAAAATGTGTCCCATCTGGGTTGTCAAAATGTGTCCGGAATTGGTTCCTTCTGGTGGGTTCTTGGTCTTGCTGACTTCAAGAATGAAGCTGCAGACCCTCGTGCTGAGTGTTATAGTTCTTAAAGATGGTGTGTCCGGAGTTTGTTCAGATGTTCAGATGTGTCCAGAGTTTCTTCCTTCCGGTGGGTTTGTGGTCTCGCTGACTTCAGAAGTGAAGCCGAAGGCCTTCACAGCGAGTGTTACAGCTCTTAAAGGTGGCACGTCCAGAGTTGTTTGTTCCTCCCATTGGGTTCATGGTCTTGCTGACTTCAGGAATGAAGCCACAGACCCTCATGGTGAGTGTTACAGCTCATAAAGTTAGTGCAGCCCCAAAGAGTGAGCAGCAGCAAGATTTATTGTGAAGAGTGAAAGAACAAAGCTCCCACACTTTGTTCGAGTTAATTAAAAAGAAAAAGAAAATTAAAGAGAAAAAGAAAAAATTCTATAAATTGTTGTTGGTTACCTAGATGTATAAATTTGTCAAAAGTCACACTGTGGAAGGGGACCCAAGCGGGTTGCCGCTGCTGGCTCGGGTGGCCAGCTTTTATTCCCTTATTTGGCCCCACCCACATCCTGCCGATTGGTCCATTTTACAGAGCGCTGATTAGTCCATTTTACAGAGTGCTGATTGGTCCGTTTTTACAGAGCGCTGACTTATGCATTTACAAACCTTTAGCTAGACACAGAGCACTGATTGGTACATTTTTACAGTGTGCTGATTGGTGTGTTTACAAATCTTTAGCTAGACACAGAGTGCTGATTGGTGCGTTTTTACAGAGTGCTGATTGGTGTGTTTACAAACCTTTAGCTAGACAAAAAAGTTCTCCAAGTCCCCACTCAACCCCACTTGACCCAGGAAGTCCAGCTGGCTTCACTTCTCAATATAAAATTCTAGGCCAGGCATGGTGGCTCATGCCTATAACTCCAGTGCTGTGGGAGGCCAAGGAAGGAGGATTGCCTGAGTGCAAGAGATTGAGGCTGAAGTGAGCTATCATTGCACCACTGAACTCCAGCCTGGATGACAGAGCAAGACTCTGCCTCTAAAAGCAAGAAAGAAAGAAAGAAAGAAGAAAGAAAGAAAGAAGGAAAGAAGGAAGGAAGGAAGGAAGGAAGGAAGGAAGGAAGGAAGGAAGGAAAGGAAGGAAGGAAGGAAGGAAGGAATTCTAAAGATTGATCCCATAAATATGTACAATTATTAGATATCAAAGAAAAAGTAAAAAGAAAAAGAAAAAATTCTATAAATTGTTGTTGGTTACCTAGATGTATAAATTTGTCAAAAGTCACCAAGACACACTTGAAATTGGTGCATTTTATTGTATATAGATTATCCTTGATAAAGGTAATTTTAAAACATATTTATATAAGTGAGTGCTGAGGCCAGGTGCTGTGGCTCACACCTGTAATGCCAACACTTTGGGAGGCTGAGGCGGGAGGATGACTTGAGGCCAGGAGTTTGAGACCAGCCTGGGCAACATGGTGAAATCCTGTCTCTATTAAAATTTCAAAAATTAGCCGGGTGTGGTGATGCATGCCTGTAATCTCAGCTACTTGGGAGGCTGAGGTGGGAGGATGGCTTCGGCCCAGGAGGCAGAGGTTGCAGTGAGCTGAGATTGTGCCACTGCATGCCAGCCTGAGTGACAGAGCCAGGCTCTGTCTCTAAATAAATAGAGGGCTGAGATATTGTGATAATAATCATAATACTGATCTTTCAGGATAAAGTCGAATCCCTCTTTAGTTGGACTTCTAACTGGTCCTGCTGCCCCATCTCTCACTGTGTCCCTTTCCTATAATATAGTTTGGCATAGCAAATTAATTGCAGTTCCCTAAAAATTCCAACCTGTTTTCCTGCCTCTGAGTCTTTACACATGCTGCTCCCTCTGCCCATCATAGTCTACCAGGCAAACAGCTCTTCTTTTAGGACTCAGCTCTAGCACCATCTGTCCTGCCTTTTTAGATTCCTTCAGGTAGAATGTACTAACCCCTCCTTTTCTTTGCGGCATACCCTGAACATTCGATTGCACGTAGGTGGGAAAGAAGTTTCTTCCACAGAAATAAGCTTAAGGGTGTTTGAAACATTTGAAAAATTGAGATTGTGCCAAAATTCCTTAAGTGTGTACTGTGTGTCTGAAACAGTGTGAGATGTTTTCATCTCCTGGTCGGGACTATTTGTTCAGCAACATTTTGCATTTCTCAAGCATCTCAAATATTATCCCACATTTTTTAAATTATGAAGAACTTTCCTGCTCTTCATAAACTCATATGTAATTCAAGGGAAGTATGTATTTCATGTGTATTAAACCCACATGTGTTTCAAGGGAAATTTAATCCCTGTTTGATTAATTCCCTCTGTCCGTCACGGTTTTACTTTTAAGAGCTATTTGATGTTCAAGAAGCCATTAGAACCCCCATAACGTCCATTTCCGAGAAAAGTGATGTGGGTAAAATTAAGCAAAACCAAATATTAACAAAATAGTTAAGTATTAAGCAGAATCCTAATGAGGAACATTACACTATCCTGTTTTTACTTTTCAGACTCCAATAAATCAGTGATGACTGGAGAGGCCCTCACATGTTTATTGCATATTTTATCCCAAGGGACTCTGAGGAGTTGAGAGAAGGAATAGTTTAACGCCATTCTGTTTCCAGCAATATTTCAGTCTAGATTTTCTGAAAACCCTCAGCCACAAGATGCCTAAAATTGAGGACTAAAATATCGTAAACATTATTTTAAATGCATATTGCTCTCCGAAGAAAGTAAAAGTCTAGGATTGATCTCTCTCTCTTCCTCTCTCTTTGTCTCTCTCTCTCTTTCCAGAGACTAAAAATAAAGAGGGATCTAGGCCAGGCACGGTGGCTCATGCCTGTAATCCCAGCACTTTGGGAGGCCAAGGTGGGTGGATCACCTGAGGTCAGGAATTTGAGACCAGTCTGGCCAACATGGTGAAACCCCATCTCTACTAAAGATACAAAAATTAGCCAGGCGTGGTAGAGTACACCTGTAGTCCCAGCTACTCAGGAAGCTGAGGCAGGAGAATCACTTTAACCCAGGAGGCAGAGGTTACAGTGAGCTGAGATCACGCCATTGCCATTGCACTACAGCCTGGGGGACGGAGAGAGACTCCATCTTAAGAAAAAAAAAAAAAGGCGCTAAAACTGGAAGATAAACACAAATTGATCCTAATCCTATAGATAAGGGAGTGGAGAAGATTGCTTATCTCAGAAATCAAGGACCTGGTATTCTGACAGACACACAGTAATAGAAAATGAAGCAGGATATTAGAACTCAAAAGTCCAGGGAAAACTTGGACCTTAGTCAAAAAATGAACTAGTTTTTCCACCATCATAGAGAAATAATGAGGAAGTATGCCTTGTTCTGCATAAAAAATTTTTAAAAAGGCTTCCTTAAGAATGTATAACCATAGGCCCACCCTCAGGTGGATTTGAGGATCATATTTACACTAACCACATGTTTTTAGAACCTTCAAGCCAAAAAATTAAAGTAAAAAATTAGTCCTACGTTGAGGTATTTGACAAGAGCAAATACTCAATCTCTCTGGAAAGACATAGCCCCAACCCAGATCACACAAAATTCACAGAAAAAGCCCTGCCAAACATAAGCTCTTAAAAATTATAAAATGTGGCCAGGCACAGTGGCTCACACCTGTAATCCCAGCACTTTGGGAGGCCAAGGCAGGCGGTTCACAAGGTCAGGAGTTCGAGACCAGCCTGGCCAACGTGGCAAAACCCCGTCTCTACTAAAAAAAAGTATAAAAATTAGCTGGGCATGGTGGTGGGCGTCTGTAATTCCAGCTACTCGGGAGGCTGAGGCAGGAGAATTTCTTGAACCTGGGAGGTGGAGGTTGCACTGAGCCAAGATCGCGCCACCGCACTCCAGCCTGGGCGACAGAGCGAGACTCCGTCTCAAAAAAAAAAAAAAAAAAAAAAAAAGAAAATTATAAAATGCCACCATCACTACTAGCACTACTAGCCACTCCAATCTTTCTTTCTTTTTTATTTATTTATATTTTTATCCTGGGTACTTGCAACCCAGGATAACTGGAAAAGACATTAGAAAAGGTATCCGTATCATAGTTTCAAAATTCTTTTCCATAATTTAAAATCTCAAAGTCATGCTCTGTTAAATTAAGTAATACATAATCATAAAACATCTGAGTCATTTCTAGGTAAGTTAAAATACTGAAACATTAATTATTAAACATAAGTTTAAGTTTATATACTTTGACTTTTATATGGTATGGAAATAACTAATATATTTAGATGTTAATAAACAAAAATTTAAGGCTAAAAATTACAAAATGTTTTTCATCTACAAATACTAGTATACAACAGTTCAAAATTACTTACTTCCCAGGTTTTTCACCAGAAATTAGGGTTACTAAGAGTTAAAATTATAGTTAATATATGTAATGAAAACTGCTAGATATAAAAGAAACAATTCTATATAGACAGCATATAAAGAAAGAAGGATGTGTTTCTTATTTTAAAAAAAGTTAAAAAGAGGCTGGGTGCAGTGCCTCACGCCTATAATCCCAGCACTTTGGAAAGCCGAGGTGGGTGGGTCACCTGAGGTCAGGAGTTTGAGACCAGCCTGGGCAACATGGTGAAACCCATCTCTACTAAAAATAGAAAAATTAGCTGCGTGTGGTGGTGCGTGCCTGTAATCCCAGCTACTCGAGAGGCTGAAGCAAGAGACTCGCTTGAACCCAGGAGGTGGAGGTTGCAGTGAGCAAGGTTGTGCCACTGCACTCCAGCCTGGGCAACAGAGCAAGACTCCATCCCAAAAAGAAAAATAAACAAATAAAAATTTTAAAAAGAGATAGAGTAATTTTTTCTTTCACATGACAAAATACCGTGTGTGGTCAAAATGATGAAGAAGAAAGAAAGTAAATTTTTGCCCTAAGCTAGAATACTCCCACCCCACAAAAGAAATGTACAAAACTGAAGGTTTAGACAAGTTGTAAATGGTTTGGGAAAGATTAGTCTGATGAAAGAAATTTTGTGTGTGATCAAGTTAGCTAAAATTAAAAGAAAATTATTTGTAAATTTTAGTAAAAATTGAACACTAATTCAAAAGCACACTGACACAAGGCCAGAGTTGGGGTCCCTATTTGAAGCAACAGGGCGTTCTTGAACATTGATTTGCTCTTTAAGAAAAATTGTAGGGCCAGGCGCGGTGGCTCATGCCTGTAATCCCAGCACTTTGGGAGGCCGAGGCAGGCGGATCACGAGGTCAGGAGATTGAGACCATCCTGGCTAACACTGTGAAACGCCATCTCTACTAAAAAAAAATACAAAAAATTAGCCAGGCGTGGTGGTGGGTGCCTGTAGTCCCAGCTACTTGGGAGGCTGAGGCAGGAGAATGTCATGAACCCAGGAGGTGAAGCTTGCAGTGAGCCGAGATCATGCTACTGCACTCCAGCCTGGGTGACAGAGTGAGACTGTCTCAATTAAAAACAAAACAAAGCAAAACAAAAATTGTAAAACGTTTTTCTTTACCTTCCTAGTAACTGGCCTAGGAAATAGAGATTCCATTTTGTGTTTCATCAATTTCTGTGCTTTGTGCCTTTAAGATCTTTTGTCACTTTGGTTTCATTTCATAGTGACCTGTGGCCTCATTTTGATCAAGCGTTTTAAACCTTTGATATTTGACAAGCTACTCAAAATTAAATTTCAATTTTTTTTTTAATTTTTATTTTTTGGCGATGGAGTCTCACTCTGTGGCCCAGGCTGGAGTGCAGTGGCGCAATCTCGGCTCACTGCAACCTCTGCTCCTGGGTTCAAGCGATTCTCCTGCCTCAGCCTCCCGAGTAGCTGGGACTACAGGCACGCACCACTGCGCCCAGCTAGTTTTTGTATTTTTTTTTTAAAAGACAGGGTTTCACCATGTTGGCCAGGCTGGTCCTGAACTCCTGACCTCGTGATCCGCCCGCCTCGGCCTCCTAAAGTGCTGGGATTACAGGCATGAGCCACCGCGCCTGGCTCAAATTTTAAAATCAATTATTTTTTACCCAGACGTAGACATAACAGGAACCCCTAAGGTCTGAGAAAGACATATTAGGCTTATTTGGTATGCTAAAATCACACAGGAAGCATTGTCACATTTTAAAATGGTGTTTAACTTTGAGTTGTATTTATATAAATGTATTATTAATATTAAATTAATATTAATAACACATTATATATGTTAATATTAATGTGTTTCCAAATCATATCATATTTCTAAATTCTGACATGTCTTAGTATATATTATCACAGTCATAATTATGGTTATTATATTAAATTGTTTTATGCCACACAAATAACCAAATTTCTTTGCCAATTGCATCTTTAATTATGGCTACCCTAAGTTTTTGTAGTCCACAGTTATTGTCTTTTTTTTTGAAACAGGGTTTCATGGCATGATCAGGACTCACTCTCACTGCAGTCTTGACCTCCTGGGCTCATACAATCATCCTGCCTCAGTCCCCTGAGTGGCTGGGACTACAGGTGTGCACCACTATAGCCAGCTAATTTTTAAAAAAAATTTTAGTAGAGATGAGGTCTCACTATGTTGCTTAGGCTGGTCTCGAACTCCTGAGCTCAAGCGATCCCCCTACTTTGGCCTACCAAAGTGCTGGGATTACAGGCGTGAAGCACTGTACCTGGCTCACATTGTCTTAAATCCTTCTTATAATAGGCCTAAGTACCTAGCTCCTCTTTATAGTTATTCTTGTCTGCATTAACAAATGTTTTACCAGTTCTCTAACCCAGATTTTGATCACATGACACGTCTAGGTTTTTGTTTTTGTTTTTCAGAGATGGGACTCACTATACTGCCCAGGCTGGTTTCAAACTCCTAGGCTCAAGTGATCCTCCAGCCTCAGTCTCCCAAAGTGCTAGGATTACGGGCATGAGCCACCACACTCAGCCTGCTTCCAGATCTTATCCATAGACTTAACCAGTACTACCAAACGTCAATAAGAGACACTGATAAGGATCTAACAGGTGCCTGCTTGTCCTTCTCACCCTGCTTGGTCCAAATTGTTTAAACTGGCCATAAGTCTCTCAGCCACGTGAGTCCCACTGAGGGACTAGATGGACCCACCCTAGCAACAATAAGGGACATAGCATAAGTTGGTCATCAGTGCTGCCTACAACAGGTTTCAACTAAAAGGAGGAAATGTTGAATTATGCCCCCAGTTAACAGACAAGATGGACTCCTTGTGGTTCAAAAGTAAAAGCAGACCCAAGAGGCCATGGCAGGGCAAGGGAGTGCTCATGTTCTCTGTGACCTTAGAAAGCACCGCAAAACCTGGTTTTCTGCAACCAAGTCAAAGAACAATGCCTGGAAACAACTATAGCTGGGAATTTCCCAACTGACCCCCAAGAGACCACCTGGTGCCAACCAACTAACCACCTGAAACAAGCCTATTAAGAGAGACTGGTGATTTTGGGCTTAAAGGCCATCCAATCAAGACTCTGTTCCTCATTCTCCTGATTACCCTCACCTACCATGCAGGTTTTGTGTATATAATCTCTAACTCTTCACCCACCCCAAAACTTCAGAGCACATTTTCAGTTTGCATGGAAGGCTACATCTCCTTAGTCTGCAGATTGCTTTGATAGATTGATTGATTGATTGGAGACTGAGTCCCGCTCTGTTGCCCAGGCTGGAGTGCAATGGCGTGATCTCAGCTCACTGCAACCTCCGCCTCCCGGGTTCAAGCGATTCTCCTGCCTCAGGCTCCCGAGTAGCTGGTGTCAGGCCTCTGAGCCCAGGCCAGGCCATCGCATCCCCTGTGACTTGCACGTATATATCCAGATGGCCTAAAGTAACTGAAGATCCACAAAAGAAGTAAAAACAGCCTTAACTGATGACATTCCACCATTGTGATTTGTTCCTGCCCCACCCTAACTGATCAATGTACTTTGTAATCTCCCCCACCCTTAAGAAGGTTCTTTGTAATTCTCCCCACCCTTGAGAATGTACTTTGTGAGATCCACCCCTGCCCACCAGAGAAAAACCCCCTTTGACTGTAATTTTCCATTACCTTCCCAAATGCTATAAAACGGCCTCACCCCTATCTCCCTTTGCTGACTCTCTTTTCGGACTCAGCCCGCCTGCACCCAGGTGAAATAAACAGCCATGTTGCTCACACAAAGCCTGTTTGGTGGTCTCTTCACACGGACGCGCATGAAAGCTGGGATTACAGGTGTGTGCCACCAGGCCTGGCTAAGTTTTATACTTTTAGTAGTGATGGGGTTTCACCATATTGGCCAGGCTGGTCTCGAACTCCCGACCTCAGGTGATCTACCTGCCTTGGCCTCCCAGTGCTGGGATTACAGGTGTGAGCCACAGCGCCTGGCCAGCAGATTGGTTTTAGAAAATAAAGTTCTCCTTTTTCCTCTGCAGAGTTCATGGTCTTTTATTAAACATGCATAATAAAAATTGTGGAGGACTTTCATTTTTTGTTTCTGGAATGTTTCATTTTTTTTTTAGCCATTATTTCCTTCGTAACCAGAAAATATAAATTTCTATTTAAAAATACTAGGTGCTTTTTTCTTCAAGATGGCAGATTAAAAGCTTTCAGCATGCATTAGCCACTTGGAAACAACAAAACAGCACATAAAGACCAACTATGAGAGCTTTAATTCAAGAAGGAAGACAGGAATTCACTGAAATGGTAAACAATAACCCAGACCCTGGGGAGGAGAAGGTGGACAAGCAGCCTCCGTGGTGGTGTTTGGCTGATAAATGTGAGTGAAGCTCCAGTATATGACAGGGGCAGTCGGTCTCCCTCTATGACTCACCTTTCCTCTACGGATCTGTGCAACCCAGGCCACGGAAAAACACTCGTTTCTCCCAAGCCCTGGGAGACAGAGAAAGGGAAAGATACTGGGAAAAGTGCAGACAGTTTCCCAGATCTGGGGCCAAGAGGAGGATGCCATTTTTATTTTTATTTTTATTTTTTGAGACGGAGTCTCGCTCTGTTGCCCAGGCTGGAGTGCAGTGGCACTATCTCGGCTCACTGCAAGCTCCGCCTCCTGGGTTCACGCCATTCTCCTGCCTCAGCCTCCCGAGTAGCTGGAACTACAGGGGCCCGCCACCACGCCCGGCTAATTTTTTGTATTTTTTTTTTAGTAGAGACGGGGTTTCACCGTGTTAGCCAGGATGGTCTCGATCTCCTGACCTCGTGATCCGCCCGCCTCGGCCTCCCAAAGTGCTGGGATTAGAGGATGCCATTTTTAATCCAGGCTCATACAAAGCCAGACATTGTTTGGCAACCTGGCAGTGGCAGCCACAGCAGGCATTTTAGTCTCACGCTAGAGATTAGAGTGCTTGCTCTGGAATGGGGGAAGGGCCCACAGCCAGAATTGGTCACTGAGTGTGAAGAGTGCCCCAGCCATAAACACTGAATTAGGCTGTCTCCCATCATAGGACTGGAGTGAGAGGAGAGTTGCTGAAGCTGAAGTTTCTCACCAGTGGTGAGACTTGCAGCTAGGGACAGCTTTGTGACCTGGAACCAGTCTGCATGTGTCATTGCTTAGTGCCCTAACCTGCTCCCTTGGTCAGTTGGGGTATAGTGTCCCACCAGCTCCAAGAAGCAGAAGAGAGGGGCAGACCCTACGCCCCTGGAGATCTAACCCTTGGTGCAGTCCATCCCTATGGGAGGGGGAACATGGCCTGCCAAAGCCCCCCTTGGGTCACAGGAAATGCAAGCTCAGCACCAGTTGCTGAAGGCAGTACCACCAAAGCCCATAAATAGACATAGAGAGAAGGTCATCTCTCTCCCCTTACCCTTGTCCTCAGTGCACTGTTGTGGACTTGACAGTGGCTGTTCCCAACAGGGCTGGGGAGCATGGGCTTACAGAAACCACTTCTTGGGCTTCTCCGGCAGCTTCACCTTCACTGAAGGTGAATACCCTGAAGGAAAGTGCTTTTTGTGATTGACTCTCCATTGCTTCCACCCGCACACCTCCCTGATGGCTCTTACTCTTAAACACCATCTACTGGACGGCAACTGAATTATACCACTGAACAAAAGTGCATGCATCACTACAACAAATAATGTTTCAGAAAGCCACTGCATGAACTTATCTACAACCAAGGAACCTGTACAGAACCTTGGCACCCTGAAAACACCCAGAAATAAAGCCAATCAATCATAGACAACATACACCACAGTCATGCCAACAAGGGAAAAAAAGAATAAAAAATCAAGAAGCCACCAGGTGCAGTGGCTCATGCCTGTAATCCATCCTAGCACTTTGGGAGGTCGAGGCAGGTGGATCACCTGAGGTCAGGAGTTTGAGACCAGCCTGACCAACATGGCGAAGCCCCATCTCTACTAAAAATACAAAAATTAACCGGGCATGGTGGCAGGTGCCTGTAATCCCAGCTACTCGGGAGGCTGAGGCAGGAGAATTGCTTGAACTGGGGGGGTGGGGGAGGGGGGCAGAGGTTGCAGTGAGCCGAGATCACACCACTTCATTCCAACCTGGGTGAAAGAGCAAAACTCTGTCTCAAAAAAATAATAATAAATAATAATAATAATCAAGAAGCCCCATCCAAATGATAGCAAATTCAAAAAAAGGAAGTGTCAGTTCCTTCAGATGAGAAGGAACCAGGGCAAGAACTCCAGGAAAACAAAAAGCCAAAGTGTTTAGCCAAAGGACCCCATTGTGTCTCAAGCAATGGATCCTAACAGATATAGAATTTAGAATATGAATGGCAAAGAAACTCAATAAGATCAAAGAGAAAGTTGAAATCCAACACAGGGAAGTCAGAAGAACTATCAAAGATTTGAAAGATAACACAGCTGTATTAAGAATGAATGAAGCAATTTCTCGAATTAAAAATTCACTAACAGAATTTCAAAATATAGCTAGAAGCCTTAACAACACACTATACTAAGTAGAAGAAAGAATTTCAGAGCTCAAAGACTGGTCCTTTGAATCAACCCAGTCAGACAAAAATAAAGATAAAAAAATTTAAAAAAAAATGAACAAAGCCATCAATAAATATGGGATTATATAAAGTGACCAAATTTATGACTTACTGGAATTTCTGAGAGAGAAGCACAAGTAAGCAACTTGAAAAATATATTCAAGGATATAATTCAGGAAAATTTTCCCAATCTGGCTAGAGAGTTCAATATGCAGATACAAGAAATCTAGAGAATTCCTGTGAGATAGTATGCAAGATGACCATCCTCAAGGTCCATAGTCATCAGAGTATCCAGGGTTAATGTGAAAGAAAAAATCTTAAAGGCAACTAGAGAAAAGCATCATATTAGACTAAAAATGAATTTCTCAGCAAAGACTTACAAACAAAAAGAGACTGGGGGCCCATTTTTAGGATTTTTTTTTTTTTCAGGTAGAGACAGGATCTTGCTCTGTTGCCCAGGCTAGAATACAGTTGTGCAATCATAGCTCACTGCAGCCTCAAACTCCTAGGCTCAAGTGATCCTCCTACGTCAGCTTCCTTAGTTGCTGGGATGACAGGTGCATGCCACAATGCCTGGCTAATCTTTTTTAACTCTTTGTAGAGACAGGGTCTCGCTTTGTTGCCCAGACTAGTTTTGAACTCCTGGCCTCAAGCAATCCTCTTCATAAATGAAGGAGAAATAAGGTCTTTCCCAGACAAATAATTGCTATGAGAATTTGTCACCACGAGACCAGTCCTACAAGAGATGCTTAAGGGAGTTCTAACTGCAGAAACTAAAGAATGATGCTTGCTACCACAAAAGCACATAGCCCACAGACTCTGTAAAGCAATTACACAATCAAGATTATAAAGCAATTAGATAACAACACTACAATGGCAACAAAACTTAACATATCAATATTAACCTTGAAGTAAATGGTCTAAGCACTCCACTTAAAAGACATAGAGTGGCAGCCAGGTGCAGTGGCTGATACCTGTAATCCCAGCACTTTGGGAGGCCAATGTGGGCGGATTATGAGGTCAGGAGATCGAGACCATCCTGGCTAACATGGTGAAACCCCGTCTCTACTAAAAATACAAAAATTAGCAAGGTGTGGTGGCACGCACCTATAGTCCCAGCTACTCAGGAGGCTGAGGCAGGAAAATCACTTGAACCCGGGAGGCGGAGGTTGCACTGAGCTGAGATCGTGCCATTGAACTCCAGCCTGGGCAACAAGAGCGAAGCTCTGTCTCAGAAAAAAAAAAAAAAAAAAAAAAAGATATAAACTGGCAAGTTGGATTAAAAAAAACAAGATCCATCCATTTCTTCTGTCTTTAAGAGATCCATCTCACATATAATGACACCTATAGGCTCAAAGTAAAGAGACAGAGAAAGATCTATCGTCCGAATGGAAATAACAAAAAAAGCATAAGGATCGCTATTCTTGTATCAGATAGAATAGACTTTAAATGAACAACAGTAAAAAAAGACAAAGAAGGCATCACATAATGATGAAGGGTTCAATTCAACAAGAAGACCTAACTATTCTAAATATATATGCACCCAACATTGGAGCAGCCAACTTTATAGAATAATTACTTCTAGACCTAAGAAAAAACTTAGACACACAATAATAGTAGGGGACTTCAACACACGTTTGATATTATTAGCCACATCACAAAGGCAGAAAACTAACAATTGTAATAGCAGGCACATCACGTGGCAAAAGGAGGGGAGAGAGACAGAAGTTACCACACAATGTTTTTTTTTTTTTTTTTCTTCCTGAGACGGAGTCTCACTCTGTCACCCAGGCTGGAGTGCAGTGGCGCAATCTCGGCTCACTGCAACGTCCACCTCCTGGGTTCAAGCAATTCTCCTGCCTCAGCCTCCCCAGTAGCTGAGATTACAGGTGCGTGCTGCCACACCCAGCTAATTTTTATATTTTTAGTAGAGACGGGTTTCACCATGTTGGTCAGGCTGGTCTCGAACTCTTGACCTCATGATCCGCCCACCTCGGTCTCCTAAAGTGCTGGGATTACAGGCATGAGCCACCACGGCCAGCCGGCGCCACACATTTTTAAATGACCGGATGTTGTGCTATTGTGAAGACAGCACCAAACCATGAGAGATCCAACCCCATGACCCAAACACCTCCCACCAGGCCCCACCTCCAGCACTGGGGATTACAATTCAATGTAAGATTTGGCCAGGGACAAATATCCAGACAATATCAGTATCTTACAGGAAATATGATAATTTACACCTTTTATTTTCTATCTTTCCCAATACTGTTATATCACAATATATTTTATTAAATCAATATTTCATGTTAACCTTATTATGACTCTCCTATACTAATGTGGTTTACTTCTGGATCAATTAGACATATTATGATCACATTTCCTTTCTCTCTCTTTCTCTCTCTCTCCCCCTCTTTCTTTCTCTCTTTTTCTCTCCTCTTTCTCTCTTTTTCTTTCAATGGGATCTCTCTCATTCAGGCTGGTCTGGAACTCCTGAACTCAAGTGATCCTCCTACCTCAGCCTCCTGAGCAGCTGGGGTTACAGGTGCATGCCACCGTGCCCAGCTACATTTCCTTTCTTACACGATTTTTGGTTTTTCTTGGAATTAACAATTGCCTCAGTTTTTGTTTGCCAAATTTTCTGTCATTATCACTAATTCTTCCAGAATTTCCAACATAAATGTAAAAATGCCTACATTATTTTCAACATAGTCAAACATGTCAGATACTCTATCAGGTTCACTGGAAACAACCCCTAGAGCACTTCTTTCTCCAGTCTCTCTAAGTCTGCATACAGCTGTCCTCTTGGGACTTCCTTCTGCTTCCTTCCTAGGTTGATCCCACTTCCTAAAACCTATTCCCTTTGTCTTTCTTTTTTATTGATACATAATATTGGTACATATTTATGGAGTACATATGATAGTTTTTTACGTACATAGAATGTATAATGACCAATTCAGGCTATTTAGGATATCCATCATCTTCAGCATTTATCATTTCTGTGTGTTCAGAACATTTCAAGTTGTCTCTTCTAGCTATTTTGGAATACATAATATACTGTTGTTTAACTATAGTCACTTTACTCTGCTATTAAAAATCAGAACATATTCTTTCTATCTAACTGTATGTTTGTACCTATTAACCAAACTCTCTTCCTCCCCACTCACACACCCACACCCCTTTTAGCCTCTGGTAACTAACATTTTACTCTCTACTTTCATGAGATCAACTTTTTTTAGGCTCCCACATGAGTGAGAATATGTCATATTCGCCTTTCTGTGTCTAGCTTATTTCACTTAACATAATGACCTCCAATTCCATCCATGTTGCTACAAATTACATAATTTATTTATTTATTTATTTATTTTTGAGACAGGGTCTCACTCTGTCACCCAGGCTGGAGTGCAGTGGCGTGATCATAGCTCACTGCAGCCTTGACCTCCCAGGCTCAAGCGATCCTCCCATTTCAGCCTTCCAAGTAGCTTGGACTACAGGCACTCCACCATGCCCAGCTAATTTTTGAATTTTTTTGTAGAGATGGGGTTTTGCCATGTTGCCCAGGCTGGTCTCGAACTCCTGAGCTCAAGTGATCCACCCACCTTGGCCTGCCAAAGTGCTGGGATTGCAGGCATGAGCCACCATGCCCAGCCTAATTCATTCTTCGCACCCTGCATTTTTTTTTTTTTTTTTTTGAGACGGAGTCTCACTCTGTTGCCCAGGCTGGAGTGCAGTGGCGCGATCTCGGCTCCTGCAAGCTCCGCCTCCCTGGTTCCCATGCCATTCTCCTGCCTCAGCCTCCCAAGTAGCTGGGACTACAGGTGCCCGCCACCATGCCCGGCTAATTTTTTGTATTTTTAGTAGAGACGGGGTTTCACCATGTTAGCCAAGATGGTCTCGATCTCCTGACCTCGTGATCCGCCCACCTCGGCCTCCCAAAGTGCCGGGATTACAGGCGTGAGCCACTGCGCCCTGTCTCCCCACCTTTTTTTTGAACGGGCTGTTGCTCTGTTGCCCAGGCTGGAGTGCAGTGGTGCAGTCATGGCACACGGCAGCCTTGAAATTCTAGGCTCAAGTGGTCCTCCTGACTCTGTCTCCTGAGTAGCTGGGACTAAAGGCACAAGCTGCCATGCTCAGCTAATTTTTTATTTTATTTTTTGTAGAGACGTGGTCTCACTGTGTTGCCCAGGCTGGTCTCGAACTCCTGGCCTCAAACAGTCCTCCCACCTTGATCTCCTAAAGTGCTGGGATTACAGGCATGAGCCAACATGCCCAGCTTTCAGTCTTTTTTACTGCCACATAATATTCCATTATGTATATATATCACATTTTCTTTCTCAGTCATCCACTGATGGACACAAAGTTGATTCAATATCTTTGCTATTGTGAATAGTGCTGCAATAAACATATGGGTGGAGCTATCCCTTGATATACTGATGTCCTTTCCTTTGGATAAATACTCAGTAGTGAGACTGCTACCTCGCATGGTAGTTCTACTTTTAGTTTTTTTGAGAAATCTCCATACTGTTTTCCATAATGGCTGTACTAATTTACATTCCCACCAACGGTGTGTAAGTTTCCTCTTCTCTGCATCCTGACCAGCAACTGTTTTTTTTTTTTTTTTTTTTTAATCTTTTTCATAGTAGCCATTCTAACTGGGGTGAGACAATATCTCATAGTGGTTTTGATTCCCCCCCCTCTTTTTTTTTTAGACAGAGTTTCTCTCTTGTTGCCCAGGCTGGAGTACAATGAGTACAATGGCACGATCTCAGCTCACTGCAACCTCTGCTTCCTGGGTTCAAGCGACTTTCCTGCCTCAGCCTCCTGAGTAGCTGGGAGTATAGGCGTGTACCACCACGCTGGCTAATTTTGTGTTTTTAATAGAGACGGGGTTTCACTATGTTGGCCAGGCTGGTCTTGAACTCCTGACCTCAGGCCCATCTTGGCCTCCCAAAGTGCTGGGATTACAGGCATGAGCCACCAAGCCTGGCCTTGATTTGCATTTCTATGATGATTAGTAATATTGAGCATTTTTTCATATACTTGATGGCCTTTGTACGTCTTCTTTTGAGAAATGTCTGTTCAGATCCTTTGCCCGCTTTTAAAAATGGAATTGTTTTTGCTGTTGAGTTGTTTGAGTTCCATGTATATTCTGGATATTAATCCCTTGTTAGATGAATGGTTTGCAAATATTTTGTACCATTCAACAGGTTGTTTCTTCATTCTGTTGTTTCCTTTGCTGTGCAGAAACTTTTTAGTTTAAAATAGTCCCATTTGTCTATTTTTGTTTTTGTAGCCTGTGCTTTTGAGGTCTTAGTCATAAAGTCTTTGCCTAGACCCATATCCTAGAGTGTTTCCCCATGTTTTCTTCTAGTAGTTCTACAGTTTGGAGTACATTTAAGTCTTTAATGCATTTTTGAAGGGAGGCTGCCCCTCCACACCTGTGGGTATTTCTCGCAAGATGGAGACGAGCGACTGAGAAAAGAAATAAGACACGGAGACAAAGTATAGAGGAAGAAAAGTGGGCCCAGGGGACCGGCACTCAGCAAGTGAGGACCTGCACTGGCACTGGTCTCTGGTTCCCTCCATATTTATTGATCACTATCTTTACTATCTCTGCGAGGGGAGTGTGGCGGGGCTATAGGGTGAAGGTGGGGAGAGGGTCAGCAGAGGAACATGTGAGCAAAGACTCTGTCATAAATAAGTTTAAGAAAAGGTGCTGTGCCTGGATGTGCACAATCGCTAGATTTATGTTTAAGCTTACATAAACAACTCAGTGCAGTAAAGAGTAACAGAGCAGTATTGCCGCCATGATGTCTCACCTCCAGCCATAAGGTGGTTTTCTCCTGTCTCAGAATAGAATATATGGTCGGTTTTATGCTGAGACATCCAATCCCAGGGACGTGCAGGAGACAGATGCCACGCTCTTATCTCAACCGCATAGAGGCCTTCCTCTTTCACTAATCCTCCTTAGCACAGACCCTTTACGGGTGTAGGGCTGGGGGGCTGTAAGTTCTTTCCCTTCCCATGAGGCCATATCTCAGGCTGTCTCAGTCGGGGGAAACCTGGACAATACCCAGGCTTTCTTGGGCAGGGGTCCCTGCAGACTTCCACAGTGCATTGTGTCCCTGGTTAACAGAGAATGGAGAATGGCGATGACTTTCACCAATATACTGCCTGCAAACACATTTTTAACAAAGCACATCCTGCACAGCCCTCCCTTAAACCTTGAGTCAATACAGCACATGTTTTTGCGAGCACAGGGTTGGGACAAGAGTTACAGATTAACAGCATCTCAAAGCAGAACAATTTTTCTTAGTACAGATCAAAATGGAGTTTCTTTTGTCTTCCTTTTCCTAGATAGACACAGTAACAATCTGATCTCTTTTTCTTTTCCTCACACTTCCCCCTTTTCTTTTGACAAAACCGCCATCTTCATTATGGCCTGTTCTTGATGGTTACTGTCTCTTCGGAGCTGCTGGTTACACCTGTAGACTAACAACAGACAGAATAGGCACACAAGGATTAATATGAAATTTACAATAGTGGAACTTCTGAGGGTTTTAACCCAAGTGACAGGGTTAAGATTTGTGAAGCCATCAGCAGCTCCTGCGATTGCCTAAGTTCCTGGTACGAAATGTAAATGGGCTTTTGATACTTTGAAAATTTGCTCTTTTAATTTTGAAATGTCTAAAGTAAGATTATCTTCTCTTCCCTGTAGATGGCGTCTAACCATGTCCCAGTGATGCTCAGACTCATTATAGGCTCGGGGTGTAATACAAAAATCTGATGTATTCCAGTCACAGTGTAACTGAAAACGATTTCCAAGCTCATGAGCTTATCTCCCATCCAAATGACAGTTTGTCTAAGATCATTAATTGGGTTCGACAATTTTTGATCAATACCAGATTGTGAATTCCACAATCTCATAGAATTTTTTTGCCAATTGTTAACAAAGCGTACTGTCTGAACAGAAGAGTGCAATGCAACTTCTGCCGCAGCAGCCGTAGCTGTGACTGCAATTAATCCCATAATCACTGCATCAAAGTAAAAATGAATCTTTTGAATCTATTTAGAACTCCTTTTAATACTTCAGTCAAAATATGGACAGATGGCGAAGCCTCCCACGGTCGGTCCATGGACACAGGAATCCACACGCCCTCTCTTGCTCTCACTAGTAGAATACGGTGCTGCCAATTAAAAGTCGAATCAATGCTAGTAAACAATCTACAATTTTCATAGGTTATAGTTTGGGAATCTGGTTTAATAACTATGTTTCCTACAATTAGCATATAAGGGGGTTTTACACAACTTTGCAAAGGAATTGTCAGACTGGAATTTAGGTCAATAGTATAAGATGGCTTACGGTCTTTTGTTCCTATAACTTGATTTCCAGACCAAATTCCAATGTGGTGCGAGGCCACATAAGCCTCCATAATTCTAGATGTTCAGGACCAATGACAGGACTTATTATCTTTGGTCTTGTAGCAGAGATTCCTTTTTCTGCCCATTCCCAAGGGTAGGGAGATTCTAACCTTTTGTACTTATTTTTATCTAAACCTTCTCTGAAGTCACTGTTCACAGCCGGACTCACATGTGCACTGGAACAAGATTGAGTTTGTCCTGTGCAACTGCGGTAGAATTGACCTCGAGATGCCCAATCTATAATAGTTCTGAATTCATTGTTTTGTAGTATCACCGCACTATCAGCCACACATTCTTCCCAAACTAAAACTTCTGGGCTTTTTGATCCTTTGGGAATTTCCTTGGGCCAAGGCTTCCCCTTAGACTTAGATTATAATGATCTTTAATAAGAAGGGTCCTGTAAATAATTTACCTGTGGCCTGAGTGACATTCCACTCACCATGTGATAAGTAAATCTACTGGTGGTACTGACAGTAGGTACTTCTACCAACCAATTTTGGGTTTCAGGCATTAAGCATCCTTGTGCCCTCCCTAGGCAAATAGGAGTATAACGATACTCAATTGAAATATTCATCATCATTCCTTCTTCCTCGAGTTGGGCAGGGCAACGATCCTCTATGGGGCCAGGTACCCATGCACTATTATTAACATATACTTCAATAGGATTATCCATCCATGTGACTGCCCGAATTAAGGGTGGGAAAGGCACATAGGCCCAGTAGGTATAATTAGCTGCAGCTGCTCCTGCAGACATGGGGTGACTTACCACTGTTGATACAATCATCAAAGCTGCAAGCAGCATACTCTCTGGAGTTTGTGTCACCCTTGTGTTCTCTAGGCTTTTTTCAGAGAACTGTGTCAGCTTTTTCTTTTTTTTTTTGTTTTTTTTTTTTTGTTTTTTTTTTTAATTTTTATTGATCATTCTTGGGTGTTTCTCACAGAGGGGGATTTGGCAGGGTCATAGGACAATAGTGGAGGGAAGGTCAGCAGATAAACAAGTGAACAAAGGTCTCTGGTTCTCCTAGGCAGCGGCCTTCCGCAGTGTTTGTGTCCCTGGGTACTTGAGATTAGGGAGTGGTGATGATTCTTAACGAGCATGCTGCCTTCAAGCATCTGTTTAACAAAGCACATCTTGCACCACCCTTAATCCATTTAACCATGAGTGGACGCAGCACATGTTTCAGAGAGCACAGGGTTGGGGGTAAGGTCACAGATCAACAGGATCCCAAGGCAGAATAATTTTTCTTAGTACAGAACAAAATGAAAAGTCTCCCATGTCTACCTCTTTCTACACAGACACCGCAACCATCCGATTTCTCAATCTTTTCCCCACCCTTCCCCCCTTTCTATTGCACAAAGCCGCCATTGTCATCCCGGCCCGCTCTCAATGAGCTGTTGGGCACACCTCTCAGACGGGGTGGTGGCCAGGCAGAGGGGCTCCCCACCTCCCAGCAGGGGCGGCCGGGCAGAGGCGTCCCTCACCTCCCGGACGGGGCGGCTGGCCGGGCAGGGGGCTGACCCCCTCACCTCCCTCCCGGACGGGGCGGCTGGCCGGGCAGAGGGGCTCCTCACTTCCCAGTAGGGGCGGCCGGGCAGAGGTGCCCCTCACCACCCGGACGGGGCAGCTGGCCGTGCGGGGGGCTGACCCCCCCACCTCCCTCCCGGACGGGGCGGCTGGCCGGGCGGGGGACTGACCCCCCCACCTCCCTCCCGGATGGGGCGGCTGGCCGGGCAGAGGGGCTCCTCACTTCCCAGTTGGGGCAGCCAGGCAGAGGCACCCCTCACCTCCCGGATGGGGCGACTGGCCGGGCGGGGGGCCGACCCCCCCACCTCCCTCCTGGACGGGGCGGCTGGCCTGGCGGGGGCTGACCCCCACCTCCCTCCCGGAGGGCCCCCCACCTCCCTCCCGGACGGGGCAGCTGCCGGGCGGAGGCGCTCCTCACTTCCCAGAAGGGGCGCCTGCCGGGTGGAGGGGCTCCTCACTTCTCAGATGGGGCACCTGCCGGGCGGAGGGGCTCCTCACTTCTCAGACGGGGCAGCCGGGCAGAGACGCTCCTCACCTCCCAGATGGGGTGGCGGCCGGGCAGAGGTGCTCCTCACATCCCAGACGGGGCAGCGGGGCAGAGACGCTCCCCACATCTCAGACGATGGGCGGCCGGGCAGAGACGCTCCTCACTTCCTAGATGGGATGGCGGCCGGGAAGAGGCGCTCCTCACTTCCCAGACTGGGCAGCCGGGCAGAGGGGCTCCTCACATCCCAGACGATGGACGGCCAGGCAGAGACGCTCCTCACTTCCCAGACGGGGTGGCGGCCGGGCAGAGGCTGCAATCTCCGCACTTTGGGAGGCTAAGGCA
The DNA here is from genome assembly GCF_000001405.40 of Homo sapiens. Classification (NCBI taxonomy): domain Eukaryota; kingdom Metazoa; phylum Chordata; class Mammalia; order Primates; family Hominidae; genus Homo; species Homo sapiens. The sequence continues at coordinate 34,132,216 of NC_000020.11, read as the reverse complement.
GGCGGCTGGGAGGTGGAGGTTGTAGCTAGCCGAGATCACGCCACTGCACTCCAGCCTGGGCAACATTGAGCACTGAGTGAACGAGACTCCGTCTGCAATCCCGGCACCTCGGGAGGCTGAGGCTAGCAGATCACTCGCGGTTAGGAGCTGGAGACCAGCCCGGCCAACCCAGCGAAACCCCGTCTCCACCAAAAAAATACGAAAACCAGTTAGGCGTGGCGGCGCGTGCCTGCAATCCCAGGCACTCAGCAGGCTGAGGCAGGAGAATCAGGCAGGGAGGTTGCAGTGAGCCGAGATGGCAGCAGTACAGTCCAGCTTCGGCTCGGCATCAGAGGGAGACCGTGGAAAGACAGGGAGAAGGAGACCGTGGGGAGAGGGAGATGGAGACAGAGATGGAGAGGGAGGGGGAGAGGGAGAGGGAAAGGGAGAGTTCTTTTTTGTTTAACCAATTGAGTTTTGAGTGTTCTATTAGTTCTTTCAACTATGGCCTATCCTTGGGAATTATAGGGAATTCCTGTTGTATGTGTAATTTTCCACTGATTTAAGAATTTTTGGAATGTTTTACTACAGTATCCTGGCCCATTGTCAGTTTTAATTTTTTCCAGAACTCCCATGAGAGCAAAACAATATAATAAATGTCTTTTAACATGGGAAGTACTTTCTCCTGTCTCGCAAGTTGCCCATACGAAATGTGAATAAGTATCAACTGTCACATGGACAAATGATAATTTTCCAAATGAAGATACATGTGTGACATCCGTTTGCCATAACGCATTAGGACATAGACCTCTGGGATTAACTCCCGCCTCTTGAGTGGGCAGGTGTAGGACTTGACTCTGGGTGCAATGTTGTACAATATTTTTTGCCTGTTTCCATGAGATATCAAATTTATTTTTAATCCTGCTGCATTTACATGAGTCAAAGCATGAAGTTCTTGTGCTTTTATGAATGCAGATGATACCAGTAAGTCAGCTTGTTCATTTGCTTTAGTTAAAGACCCTGGTAAATTAGTGTGTGCTTCAATGTGAGTAATACAAAATGGGAAATTTCTTTTTCTCACAGTTTGTTGTAATAAGTTGAACAGCTGGTTTAACTGATCATCAATACTATATTTGATTAGGGCTGTCTCAACATCCCTTGTAGCCTGTACTACATATGCAGAATCTGATACAATATTAATAGGCTGATTAAAATCTTGTAACACTGTAATGACTGTAACCAACTCTGCTCTTTGAGCCCAGTGATATTGAGTTTCGATGACTTGTTCTTTTGGCCCAATGTAAGCTGCTTTTTCATTGCTGGAACCATTAGTAAACACCGTCAGAGCATTTTCTAAAGGTTCATGTCTGGTAATTTTAGGTAAAATCCAAGTAGTCAATTTTAAAAACTGGAAGGTTTTTGTTTTTGGGTAATGATTGTCAATAATTCCCACAAAATCAGCAAGACCAGTCTGCCATGTACAAGAATTGATAAAGGCTTGTCTAACCTGTTCCTTGTTTAAAGGAACAATGATTTTGTCTGGGTCACTTCCACACAATTTTATTATTCATAACCTTGCCTGACCAATTAATGTAGCTATTTGATGCAATGTAAAAGTCTTAATTGTACTGTGAGGAAGGAATGACCACTCCACAAGATCAGTATTTTGAACAATGATGCCTGTCAGAGAATGTGCAGTAGCAAAAATCAAAAGTTGGAGTGGGACCAAGGGATCTATTCTATTTACTTGTGCTGACCAAATTTTTTCTTCAACTAATTCAATTTCTTTTGCTGCCTCTGGGGTCAATATTCTTTTACTATTTAAGTCCGGGTCCCCTCTTAAGATAGAGAACAAATTTGACATGGCATAAGTAGGAATGCCTAAAATTGGCCAAATCCAATTAATATCTCCTAGCAATTTTTGAAAGTCATTTAATGTTTTTAATGTGTCTTTTCTTATTTCTATTTTTTGTGGTTTAATTTTTCTATTTTTTACCTGCATCTATGTTAACTGGGATTGGCGGCCCTATTTTTGCGGATCTGTTGTTGTACCCCATCAATCCACCAGGTCTTAAATTGTAAAAATTGAGAAGGTGAGAGTGATGATTTGGCCAAAATTTCCCAGTCATAAGGAATAAGTCTATTTCCATGAGCAATGGAATCTAATAATGTTCTCATATAAGGAGAATTGGGTCCATACTGTTTTACTCCCTCTTTCATGTCTTTTAGCATTTTTATAGAAAAGGACTCATATCTGGCATCAGCTTGGGGAGGGCCCTTCTCCAGGTAGTATGGGCTCTAATATTACTTGAAATTAAAACGCCTCAGTATCTCTCCTTGTTTTCTTGCCTTCTCAATAATTTCATGTAATGCACCATCCTGTCCACTAGGTGGTGGTGTAGGATTAAGTCTCATAGTGGGCAGCTGAGGCTATATCGCCGTGCGTGCCCTGTGGTGCTGGAAACGTTCCTGGCTGTCCATACTGATTTTCTGGGGGGCGGCTGATACTGAAGTTCGGCTGGCGGTCAGTATTGATAGGGTACTGGCGGTTGGGTCTTACTTTCTACCAGCTGATATTGTGAATACTGTATCTGGATTGGCATTGCTGTGATAGAGACTATCCTTTTCTATCTGATATTCTCTTGGGGTTTGTACTTGTCTAACCTGCATTTGAGGTTGTAATGTTACGGGCATCTGAACTGTGGGAGGAGGAGTTGGCCATCGTGGGTTAGACTCTGATGGCCCCAATAGTTCTAGACCTTTTCCCCCCAATTTTGATGGTTCATAATATATTACCTCCTGTAATTGGTTGTAGTCAACATTTTCCGTTGACTGAGCCATTACACTCTTCTACCCTTTTTTTCTTTTTTTTTTTTTCGAGACGGAGTCTCGCTCTGTTGCCCAGGCTGGAGTGCAGTGGTGCCATCTCGGCTCACTGCAAGCTCCGCCTCCCAGGTTCACGCCATTCTCCTGCCTCAGCCTCCCGAGTAGCTGGGACTACAGACACCTGCCACGACGCCTGGCTAAGTTTTTGTATTTTTTTAGTAAAGACAGGGTTTCACTGTGTTAGCCAGGACGGTCTCGATCTCCTGACCTTGTGATCCATCCGCCTCGGCCTCCCACAGTGCTGGGATTACAGGTGTGAGCCACTGCGCCCAGCCAGACTCATCTACCTTTTTATACTGTGAACCTTGCGTTACTTTCTTGAATTCTGTCCCTGCCTCTTCCTCACAATCTATTACACAGCTTTCAGGGGCATCAGAAACTGAAACGCTATCTTCTTCTGTTTGAAATGATTCTAAACCTATTTTAATAATGGCCCAATCATTCCATACTGTAAGTGGGATGATTTTATCCTCCCTATTTGCTTGTTTTAATTCTTTGCCAATTTTTTCCCAGTCTTTTAGATCTAACGTTCCCTATTCTGGAAACCATAGGCAGAATTGTTCTATTGTTTGAAATAGCATGATTAGATTTCTGTGGAGGCTCTAACTCCCCCTCTTCTTAAAATAACTTTAATAAAGCTGAGATAAGAGGCATATTTGCTTTCAGTTTGACCCATTCTTACCCTGGGTTTCTCTGAGTGCACAAGCTTACCACAAGGCTGATCATGGAAGTCTTCGGGAATCTCTCGTCGATTTGTCTTCAATGATCACACTCTAGCGTATCTTCACCGTAGAGAAAGGAACCCACATTGGGCACCAGATGAAGAGGGCCTGCCCCTGCACACCTGTGGGTATTTCTCGCAAGGTGGAGACGAGAGACTGAGAAAAGGAAATAAGACATAGAGACAAAGTATAGCGGAAGAAAAATGGGCCCAGGGACCGGCGCTCAGCAAGTGAGGACCTGCACCAGCGCTGGTCTCTGAGTTCCCTCAGTATTTATTGATCACTATCTTTACTATCTCAGCAAGGGGAATGTGGCGGGGCTATAGGGTGAAGGTGGGGAGAGGATCAGCAGAAGACCATGTGAGCAAAGACTCTGTGTCATGAATAAGTTTAAGAAAAGGTGCTGTGCCTGGATGTGCACAATCGCTAGATTTATGTTTAAGCTTACATAAACACCTCAGTGCAGTAAAGAGTAACAGAGCAGTATTGCCGCCATGATGTCTCATCTCCAGCCATAAGGAGGTTTTCTCCTATCTCAGTAAATAGAATGTATGGTCGGGTTTTACACCGAGACATTCCATTCCCAGGGACGTGCAGGAGACAGATGCCACACTCTTATCTCTACCGCATAGAGGCCTTCCTATTTCACTAATCTCCTTAGCACAGACCCTTTACGGGTGTCGGGCTGGGGGGCTGTAAGGTCTTTCCCTCCCCACGAGGCCATATCTCAGGCTGTCTCAGTCCGGGGAAACCTGGACAATACCCAGGCTTTCTTGGGCAGGGGTCCCTGCGGCCTTCCACAGTGCATTGTGTCCCTGATTAATAGAGAATGGAGAATGGCGATGACTTTCACAAAGCATACTGCCTGCAAACACATTTTTTTTTTTTTTTGAGAAGGAGTGTTGCGCTGTCGCCCAGGCTGGAGTGCAGTGGCACGATCTCGGCTCACTGCAAGCTCTGCCTCCTGGGTTCATGCCATTCTCCTGCCTCAGCCTCCCGAGTAGCTGGGACTACAGGCGCCTACCACCACGCCCAGCTAATTTGTTGTATTTTTAGTAGAGACGGGATTTCACCGTGTTAGCCAGGATGGTCTTGATCTCCAGACCTCGTGATCTGCCCGCCTCAGCCTCCCAAAGTGCTGGGATTACAGGTGTGATTTTTTTTTTTTTTTTTTTTTTGAGACGGAGTCTTGCTCTGTCACCCAGGCTGGAGTGCAGTGGCTCAATCTCGGCTAACTGCAAGCTCCGCCTCCCAGGTTCATGCCATTCTCCTGCCTCAGCCTCCCGAGTAGCTGGGACTACAGGGGCCCGCCACCACGCCTGGCTAATCTTTTGTATTTTTAGTACAGACAGGGTTTCACCATATTAGCCAAGATGATCTCGATCTCCTGACCTCATGATCTGCCCGCCTCGGCCTCCCAAAGTGCTGGGATTACAGGCATGAGCCACTGCGCCTGGCTGCAAAAACATTTTTAACAAAGCACATCCTGCACAGCCCTAAATCCCTTAAAACTTGAGTCAATACAGCACATGTTTTTGTGAGCACAGGGTTGGGACAAGAGTTACAGATTAACAGCATCTCAAAGCAGAACAATTTTTCTTAGTACAGATCAAAATGGAGTTTCTTTTGTCTTACTTTTTCTAGATAGACACAGTAACAGTCTGATCGCTCTTTCTTTTCCCTATACATTTTGAGTTGATTTTTTGCGTATGGTGAGAGACAGGAGTTTAGTTTCATTCTTCTGGATATGGATATCCAGTTTTCCCAACAACATTTTTCCCCAATGTATGTGCTTGGTACCTTTGTCAAAAATCAATTGGCTGTACGTGGATTTATTTCTGGGTTCTCTTTTTGTTCCCTTGGTCTGTGTTTTTATATCAATACCATGCTGTTTTGGTTATTAGAGCCTTGCAGTATATTTTAAATTCAGGTGGTGTGATGCCTCTAGCTTTGTTCTTTTTGCTTAGGATTGCTTTGACTATTTGGACTTTTTGTTCCATACAAATTTTAGGATTTTTTTTCTGTCTTTCTTGTTTTACTAGAGCAAATCCTCCAGTGCTTTCCTAAGAAAAGTTATGTGGGGATGAGGGGTAAATTTCTGATCCTTGCATGCCTAAAAATATACTTATTTATTCCTCATACTTGACTGATAATATGGCTTAGTATAGGAGTTCTAGATTGAAAACGTATTTTCTCTCAGAATTTTGAAAGCCTCCCTATATCGTCTTCTAGCCACTAATGTTACTATGGACAAAAATGCTATTCCTATTACCTGCTCTTTCATAAGTAACCTGTTGCCCTTTCCCTGCCCCCTCCTCACCTCCTATCACCAAGATTTTTGATTTTCTCTTTATCCTTTGTGTTAAAAAATTTCATGATGATGTGCCATAATGTTTTTCCTTTGTTTTGTTTTCTTTCATTATGCTGGGCACTCAGCAGGCTCTGCCACTCTGGAAACTCAGTTTCTTTGATAATTTTCTTCCATTTCTTCTGTATTTCCAGAACTCCTGTTAATCTAATGGTCGACCTTATGGATTCATCCTCTAATTATCTTTTCTCTTTTATTTTTCCATTTGTATTTCTGTTCTACTTTCTGAGAGATTTCCTCAACTTTATATATTAAGACTTATATAAATTATTTATTTTTCTATTATTATTATTTGAGAACAGGTCTTGCTGTATTGCCCAGGCTGGAGTGCAGTGGCATGATCATAGCTCACTGCAGCCTCCATCTCCTGGGCTTGAGCAGCCCTCCTGACTCAGCCTCCTAAGTAGCTGGGACCACATGCATGAGCCACCACAGCTGGCTAATTTTTTTTCTTTTTTTATTATTTATTTATTTATTTATTTATTTATTATTTTTTTGAGATGGAGTCTCGCTCTGTTGCCCAGGCTGGAGTGCAGTAGTGTGATCTCGGCTCACTGCAAGCTCTGCCTCCTGGGTTCATGTCATTCTTCCGCCTCAGCCTCCCTAGTAGCTGGGACTACACGTGTTCGCCATCATGCCCGGCTAATTTTTTGTATTTTTAGTACAGATGGGGTTTCACCATGTTAGCCAGGATGGTCTCGATCTCCTGACCTCGTGATCCGCCCGCCTCGGCCTCCCAAAGTGCTGGGATTACAGGCGTGAGCCACTGAACCAAGCCTAATTTCTCTTTTTAAAAGAATGTTTAGCAGAGAAGAGGTCTATCTAATATTGCCCTGGTTGGTCTTGAACTCCTGGCTTTAAACAATCCTTCTACCTTGGCTTCTCAAAGTGCTGGGATTACAGGCATGAGCCATAATGCCCAGCCAATTTTTCTATTATATTTTTAATTCCCCAGAGCTGTTACTTACTCTATTTTTTTTAGAGCATTTTATCTTTGCTTTATGGATGCAGTATTTTCTATTATCTCTCATAGACTGCTTATTGTTTTTTAAAAATATTTTTCTGTTCTCTTCAGTTTCTGTTCCCTTTGAGTTTCTTTTTTCTCTATTTGATGCTGTCTTTCCTGGTGGAGGTTTATCTTAAATATCTGGTGACCCTTTGTTGTCTCTTCATATTTAAGAGTGAGTCACTAAGTATTTGGAAGCTCTGTGTTAACAGGAAGTTTATCTGTAGGATGATAAAGTGGGTACCTAGGTGTTTTGTTGGGGGACCTCAAATATCAGTATGTATAGATCTTTCCTCTGGGGTTAATTAATTAAAATTAATTCCCTGATATCTTGCCTGGAGAATACAAGCCTTGCTGTCAGCATTCCTGGAATAAATTTCAGCAGGAGGACTGAGTGCGCTTCACCATTCAGCATGTAGACAATTCATCTAATCTCTGTTTTCAGTCTGAAATCCTCCTACCTTAGCCTCCCTGCTATTATATCTTTAGCTGTGCCTGGTATCTCAGTGTCTGGAACTTCTCTACCTCAATTTTGTCCCAGGGGCTGCTAGGGAGATGAAAGGGTAGTTGTCTAAGTGAGTAGGATGGAGAAAAAGACCTGGCAGTTTCACTTCCTATAAAGGCTTTCAGCCAAACCCTCTCTCTTCTGCCTCTCACATCACCTCTGATCTGCTCTGTCCCAGTCCTGACATTCTAGTGTTCTGCAGTACGAATCTGTTTGTCCCTTGTTAGTATAACCCTCAGCAAACATTTAGAATTGTTTTCTCAGCTCAGCTATGGTTTTCCATCTTCCAAAAATTTGTTGATATCCTTAATCTGCTATTGATTTCTTTCTTATTCTCTTTGTCTGTAGACTGGTAAACCTAAAAATGTTAACTCACTGTCACTTCAGTGATTTGGGGAGTGAACAGGGATAAACATATGTGTTTAATCTGTCCAAGCATAAACAGAAGTGCAAGACTGTCAAGATGTCCACTCTTTGCTCCTATTAAAAAAAGTTAGAACCAGAAAATTCATAGATATGGCTGGGCGAGGTGGCTCACGCCTGTAATCCAGCACTTTGGGAGGCCAAGGCGAGTAGATCATGAGGTCAGGAGTTCAAGATCAGCCTGGCCAAGATGATATAACCCCATTTCTACTAAAAATACAAAAATTAGCCAGGCACAGTGGCAGGCGACTGTAATCCCTCCCAGCTACTTGGGAGGCTGAGGCAGAAGAATCGCTTGAAGCTGGGGGACAGAGGTTGCAGTGAGTCAAGATTGCACCACTGCACTCCAGCCTGGGCGACAGAGTAAGACTCCGTCTCCAAAAAAAAAAAAAAAAAAAAAAAGAAAATTCATAGGTAAAATATAGATAAAATTCTACTCTCATAGGCCAATGTGGAAAAAGTAGGAGTCTGAGAGTTGCGGTACATGTGTCCAAGCCCTGTTATTATCATTTACTGGTCTGAAGCTAGGTAAGTTAAATTTTCTGACCATCTGTTTCCTCATCTGTAAAGTGGTGATAATCATCCCTAGATAGTCTATCTTACTTGTAATGATGAAGTAAAATAATTGATATAAATATATAAACATCAAATATATATCATTTATCATAAACTCTATTAGAAGTAGGCACAGTTAAATATATTTTCAGAGGCACTGTAACATAGTAGAAATAATATGGGCTTCAGATTCACACAGACTTGGGCTCAAATTCCATCTCTGTTACTCACTGGGTTATGTTGGGTAAGTGACTGACACTCTCTGAGCCTTCATTAACCTGTTTATAAAATGGGTATAATACTTTTAACCTGACAAGGCTGTTGTTGAGTATTAAATGAGATAATGCATGTAACATCTATAGGGCCTGACACTTAGTAAGTACTCAACAGATATTAATTCTTCCATGTTGGCCCCTAATTTGAGACCAGCTTTTTTTTTTTTTTTCAGGCTTAATTCAGTTTGTTTTTCTTGTATAAAAACCCTATGCTGTAGCCACAGCTGGAGCCTGGGTCCTCTGCATGGAGACTCTGGTGTGGGTCTTGACGAGGTGGTCAGTGAATTCCTGATAGGGAGACTTGGTGAATATAGTCTCCTTCCAGAGGTCGAGGGTCAGGTAGCTGTAGGTCTTAGAGATGGTGTCAAAGGTGGCCTTGGCGAAGTTGCCAGGGTGGCAGTGCAGCCCCTGGCTGAGGTGTGGCAGTCATCAATACCAGCCATCATGAGGAGCTTCTTGGGCACAGGTGCGGAGACGATGCCAGTGCCCCTGGGTGCAGGGATGAGGTGCACCAGCACAGAGCCGCAGCGGCCTGTCACCTTGCAAGGGACGGTGTGGGCTTGTCCATCTTGTTCCCCCGTAGCCTCTGCGCACGGGGACAATGGAGTGCTTGGTCAGGATGACGGACCCGCGGATGGCAGTAGCCACCTCCTTGGAGCACTTAACGCACAGACCGACGTGGCCATTGTAGTCCCCGGTGGCAACAAACGCCTTGAACCTGGTGCGCTGGCCCGCGCGGGTCTGCTTCTGCACCGGCATAATCTTCAAACCCTCTTCCTTGAGAGAGGACCCCAGAAAAAAGTCAATGGTCTCAGATTCCTTGATGGGCAGGGAGAAGAGACATCCTCCAGGTACTTGATCTTCATGTCCTTGACCAGGTGGCCCAGCTTGGTGACGGGCATCTACTCCTTATCCTCGGCCTTGCCTCTGCGAGCTCCATGGCCTCGGCTCCGGCCCAGTCCACGGCCATGACCCTGGCCCCGGATGCCACCGCCGAAACCTCCGCGGAAGCCACCGCGGTTCCCCATCCCTCCCAGGGCTTGCGGGGGCCTCCGCCCGGCCTCCGCCCGGCCTCCACCCGACCTCCGCACCCCACGCCCTGCCGCCCCCTGCACAGGCGTCATCCGCCATTTGGGGATTTGTTGAAGAAGAGCTTTTTTATACTAACATGAAAATCCTGAGCTTGTATTTCATTAGTTCATGCTAAACTACATTGATAATTAGCATCTTAGATCATAAATAGTCCTCATAAAAGTTTATTTATTTGCTGTTTTCCCAGGACCAAATTATAAGGTGAATAGCCCAAATTAAAAGGATTCCTCATACAAGACCTTTGAAGTCAACTGGCTATTGCTGAGGCATCTTTAGCATTTCATTATGAAATAAGATGTGAAACTTGTAACAAATATCAAGAGATCAGAGGCTCTGGAATATTGAGAACAACTACAACTCAAAAAATTATTTTAAACGTTTGTTTTTTTTGGTTTTTATTTGATCCTCATACAAATCTAGACTCCACAGTCTTTTTTATCCTGTTTAAAGATGAATTAACAGAAACAATGAGTAAAGAAGCTTCCTTTACTCAACTTCCTTGAGTACTTCCTTGAGTTTCAAGGAAGTCTCAAATTCCTTGAGACTGATCTATCTGTGGAAAACAACCAAGAACTCCAACCTTGGTCTTTTGTCTCCCAGTTTAGTGCTCTCTTTTTAAAAAATATGGTAAAATACAAATACCATAAAATTTATCTTTTCAACTATTTTTAAGTATATTCACATTGCTGTACAACCAATTTCCAGAACTCTTTCCATCTTGCAAAACTGGAACTCTGTACCTATTAGACAACAACTCTCTCTTCCCCCCTCTCTCCCTAGCCCCTAGCAACCGCCATTCTACTTTCTCTTTCTATGAATTTGACTATTCTAGGTACCTCAAATAAATGGGATAACACAGTATTCGTCTTTTTGTGGCTAGCTTATTTCACTAAGCATAATGTTCTTGAGGTTCATCCATATTGTGGCATGTATCAGAATTTCCTTCCTTTTTAAGGCTGAATGATATTCTATTGTATGTACACACCATATTTTGATTACCCATTCATCCACTGATGGACACCCGGGGTGCTTCTCAGGTATGAATAATGCTGTTGTGAACATGGACATAAAAATATCTCTTTGAGACACTGCTTTCAGTTTTGTTTTGTTTTTTTTTTTTTTCTGAGACAGAGCTTCGCTCTTGTTGCCCAGGCTGGAGTGTGATGGCACGATCTCAGCTCACTGCAACCTCTGCCTCCTGGGCTCAAGTGTTTCTCCTGCCTCAGCCTCCTGAGTAGCTGGGATTACAGGCGCCGGCCACCATGTCTGGCTAATTTTTTGTATTTTTAGTAGAGATGGGGTTTTACCATGTTGACCATGGCTGGTCTCAAACTCCTGACCTCAGGTGATCCGCCCACGTCAGCCTCCCAAAGTGCTGGGATTACAGGTGTGAGCTACCATGCCCAGCCCTTTCAGGTTTTTTTTTTGTTTTTTTATTTTTATTTTTTAAATATACGTAGTAATTGAATTGTTAGATTATATGGTAATTCTGTTTAAAAATGTTTGAGGAACCACCATACTCTTTTCCATAGGGCTGCACCATTTTACAGTCCTGCCAACATACACAAGCGTTCCAGTTTTTCCACATCTTGATAATATGTGTCATTTTCTGGAGGTTTTTTTTTTAATTAATAGCAATTCTACTGGGTGTAAGGTAGTATCTCATTGTGGTTTTCTTAAGAGTTTTGAAGTCTTCTGTACAGATGGCAAGATACTAAGTAACCTTGGATAACATCATCAAAAAACATTCATATTCTTTTTTTTTTAATTGATTTTTTAAAAGAGAACAGGGTCTTGCTGTCACCCAGGGTGGAGTGCAGTGGTGTGATCATAACTCACTGCAGCCTCGAACTCCTGAGCCCAAGAGATTCTCTTGCCTCAGCCTCTTGATTAGTTGGGGCCACTGGCACATGCCACCATGCCCGGCTAATTTTTTTTTAATTACTTTTTTGTAGAGACAGGGTCTCACTATGCTGTCCAGGCTGGTCTCAAACTACTGGCCTCAAGCAATCCTCCTACTGTGGCCTCCCAAAGTGTTGGGATTACAGACATGAGCCACTGCACCCAGCCTCAACAAATGTTTACTGAGCTCCTAATAGGTGCTATGCACTGTGCTGGGTACTGGGGTTATAAGTCTCTTAAGAGCAAGGGAGAAAGATGGGCAATGAATAGTGACCAAGGTGCTGAGTGTATACAAGGTACACTTAATTACTTCTTACTGAAAGTCTGCTAATCTTTCAAGAAGACTATCAGGTGCTTTTATGGCTCACGCCTGTAATCCCAGCACACTGGGAGGCCGAGGTGGGAGAATCACTCGAGGCCAGGACTTTGAGACCAGCTGGGGCAACACAGTGAGACCCCCATCTCTACAATTTTTTTTTTTAATTAGCTGGGTGTGGAGGTACTTGCCTGTAGTCCTAGCTACTTGAGAGGATAAGGCAGGAGGATTGCCTGAGCCCAGAAGTTTGAGGCTGCAGTGAGCCATGATCATGCCACTGCACTCCAGCCTAGGTGACAAAGTGAGACCCTGTCTCAAAAAAGTGAAAACAAAAACTGATCACCTCCTTTTATAGTGAATCATAAAAGGAGTATGTAAAACATATTTATTTCCTATGCTCACATCCAATTATTCCAAACAGAATACAGCTGGGAGGTTTTCCCATCCTCTCTTGGGAAGGAGGCGACATTCAAGAAGTGAAGACTGGTGCAAGTTAGTAATTAGCACTTATACCTATCGCCCCATACGGGTGCCTGCATTCACAAACATGTGCTAGGTTTTGGGAAAGCAAAGAAATATGAGTAAGGTACAGATCCCACCCTCCAGGATCTCAAAGACAGCTACAACATAATATAAGAGCTGTAATAGAAAAAAGACAAGTAGAGAGAAAGGAATCATTTTTTTCCCTTGTACAGAAATCAAAGGCTTCTTTAAAAAAGTAAAGTCTAGATCTGGATCTTAAAGGATGACAGGAGTTCATCAGATTCCGGGAACAGGAGGGAAGGACGTTCTAGAGAGGGAACAGCATGGAAAAAATGAAATGGCACAGCATGTTTATGAAATATTAAATGATTTAGTATGACTGAAACAGCATACACAATGGAGAATGGTAAGAAGGGTAGACAGTAGCATGGTGAGAGGGGCTTGGAGGCAGACTGTGGAAATCTATTCTTCTGAAGGTAACAGAGAATTAACTGATTTTTAGGCAAGGGAGCAGCTTGATTAGTGTTTTTTTCCCGGCCCCAGGAAACTCGATGGGCTAGATGGAGGATGAACTGGAGTTACAAGAGAACCAAGAAAAAGATATGGGAGAAGGAGGTCAGGGACTAACCAAATAAGATCTCAAAGACCCTTGTTTTGTTCCACAGCAGTCATTGAGGATGACTTGTTGTGAAAAATACCCAGAGCTTTTTATTTGTTACAGAGACAGGGTCTCACTATATTGCCCAGGCTGCTCTCAAACTCCTGAGTTCAAGTGATCCTCCTGCCTCAGCCTCCCAAAGTGCTGGGATTACAGGCATGAGCCACCACGCCCAGCCATTCAAAGACTCCTGGAGTAGAGCACCAGAGCTGAGGAACTCACGTATTTGGCCTCCAAAACCAGAAATCTGATTTTCCTAAAGCATGTATCATGGAACAGATACTTGAGGATTGATTCACAATAACCAAATTCATAAGAGATTGTGGTATAAAGGATAATCCTAATTTACTAATGTACATTCATTCATTCATCAAATAGTTGTAAAGAACCTACTTTGTGCGAAGCATTATTCTAAGGAACTAGGGACACAGCTGTCATTAACAATTTCCTATCCTCACAGTTACAGTCTCTGTGGAATATAACATAGAATGTATGTTTCCAGTGAGTAAAATATTTGTTTGCTGTCTAGAGCATTTCCTTCCCAGTGCAAAGGAACCAAGGATTTTAAGTCACTAATGAAAATGTTATTTGGCAAATGATCTTCTGATCATTTGAAAAAAGAGATGGTATTAAGACCCATTTCATTCAGGTCACAGGTAAGGCCTGAGCTTATCTTCGCTCTAGAACAAGTATACCTCTCTAATGACTAGCTTTTAACCATGTTCTTTGGATTCATAATTTCTCTATCCTGAACACTGCTGAATGGAATAAGCCATCCTGGCTTATTCTTCTCCTTCTGGGTTCCAAGTAAACCATTTCAATTCTAACATATTCTTTCAGATATATTATAATACAACTGAGATTAATTACGTTAGCTTTGGTCATTTTTAGTATATATGATGAAATAAAGGCTCCAACCTCAACTATTTCATTGTAAGCAATGTAATTTTGGGGACTAATGGGTTTTCAACCATTAATTCAGTAAATATTTATCAAATATTTATTTATTATTTTTTTGAGACGGAGTCTCGCTCTGTTGCCCAGGCTGGAGTGCAGTGGCTGGATCTCTGCTCACTGCAACCTCCACCTCCCGGATTTAAGCAATTCTCCTGCCTCAGCCTCCCAAGGAGCTGGGATTACAGGTGCCCACCACCATGCCCAGCTAATTTTTGTATTTTTAGTAGAGACAGGGTTTCACCATGTTGGCCAGGCTGGTCACGAACTCCTGAACTCAGGTGATCCGCCCACCTCGGCCTCCCAAAGTGCTGGGATTACAGGCATAAGCCACGGCACCCAGCCACCAAATATTTATTAAGTGACTATGATGAGTCAGGCACTCTGCTAGGTGCTGGGAATATCAGAGTTAACAAGACAGATTTTTGTATTATGTTCAAGAAATTTGCATACATTCTAGTAGTGAAGTGAGATTAAGAAAACTACAAGTATACAACAGACAAATTAAACAAATTGTGGTGAGTGTTATGAAGGAACAAGAGAAAAGCTGCAGTATCCCAAAACTGATGACAATCACCTGGACCAGGTTAGTGGCAGTGGCGAGAGAAGAGATTGTATTTGAGATCTATTTTGGACATTGAATCAACAAGACAATAGTGAATTGAATGAAGAAGTGAGGGAAAGGAAGGAATCAAGGCTAACTCCTGGGTTTTGACTTAAGCAACTGGGTAAAGAGCAGTACTCTTAACTGAGATGAGGATGACTTGCTGTGGAAAATACCCAGATTTTCTATGTGGAAAATCTTGCATTTCCACAGAAAATCTGGCTATAATCCACACAGAAAATACCAATTTCTACGTGGATTATAATTTTTATCTTAATCATGTTTTCTGTAAGTTAAATATTACCCATGAGGATGTGTGACCTTGCTTACTAAATAAAAAGAGTATTGCACTAAGAATCATGAGATCTGGGTTCTAGTTCAAGTTCTGTCACTATTTAACTTTAAGTCACATTCTCTACAGGCCTGCTATTTTATGGGTCAAGTGGAGACTGTGGAATAGTTCAAAGCCAATGAAAACATATAATTAAGCATACAATTGAAGTACTATCATCATTAGCTTACTGTTGGGCAGTTGGAGATCTGGGGTGGTATTGAGCATGGCCCAGAATGAAAAGTCCAATAGTCTTGTTTCTGTATCTCTGCTTGGTGTGTGTGTGTGTGTGTGTATTCCATAACTTGGCTTCTGTATTTATAAAACAAAATTACAGTATTTCTCTCACAGGTATTGAGAAGAAAATCCATAAGTGTCTATATGCATTGCAGATTCCTGGAGGAAAGAAGTTATGAAAATATAAATTATTTGTGTTGTTAGTAGGATCAATCTCTTGGAAAACCAGGAAAAGTTTAGCTATCGTTGCTTTGTGACTTTTGCCAGGGAATCTTGGCTTTTCCTAGAAAAGAAATTGCTACCTTGGAGGAAGCCTGAAATCTCTGAAGGAAGTCTTCTTGCACATAGCCAGTTCAGGGAGATTACACCTGGTACCATGCTGTAAGGGAAAATAAATTTTTTCATAAAAGTGGTCAAGAGTATTTGCTAAACACAGCAGCATTTCCCAAACAGGGAGTGAAGGTACAACGAGGTCTCATTAAGACTTTCTTGGCTGGGTGTGGTGGCTCACGCCTATAATCCCAGCACTTTGTGAGGCTGAGGCCGGCAGATCACGAGGTCAGGAGATCGAGACCCGTCCTGGCTAACACAGTGAAACCCCATCTCTACTAAAAATACAAAAACAATTAGCCGGGCGTGGTGTCAGGCGCCTGTAGTTCCACCTACTCAGGAGGCTGAGGCAGGAGAATGGCGTGAACCCAGTGGGTGGAGCTTGCAGTGAGCCGAGATCGAGCCACTGCACTCCAGCCTGGGCGACAGAGCAATACTCCGTCTCAAGAAAAAAAAAAAAAGACTTTCTTAGTTCTCTTAGTGTCTTCGTTAGTGTGAACTAACAAGCTAACTTCCTTGGTGTGATCTGAGTAACTTAAGTTAGTGTGAACTAACTTCTTTGGTGTGATCTGAGTAACTTATTTTTTAATTAAAAAAAATTTTTTTTTTTGTAGAGATGGATCTATGTTGCCCAGGCTAGTCCCAAACTCCTGAGCTCGAGCGATCCTCCCACCTCGGCGTCCCAAAGTGCTGGGATTACAGGTGTGAGCTACCATGTCTGGCCCACAGATCATTTCATAAGCTCCTTTTCCACTTGTCTTCTTTCATTTTTCCATTTCATTTATTTTTCCTTTATCTGTCATTTTTGTAGTTGAACAGGCTTTTCCAAAACTTAGGCCACACTGTTTCCCTCTCTTCTCTTCAAGGCATCCCACTTAAAATGATTTGGGGACTGTCATGTACCAAATGTTTCTCTCTCAAAGATCCAAAAAATGATGTACACCAGTGGTTCTCAAACAGGGGTGATTCTGTCTCTCCCAGGGGATATTTGGGAGTGTCTGGAGACATTTTTGGTTGTCACAACTAGGGGGAGGGTGCCACTGGCATTTATTATATAGAGGCTGGGATGCTGCTAAACATCTTACAATGCACAGAACAACATCCCACAACAAAGAATTATCTGGCCTGACAAAGAATTGTCTGCCAATATGTCAATAATGCTGCCATTGAGTAACTCTGGTATGCACAAATATCAGTAGCTGAAAATGACTGAGGTTTGATGGCACTAGTCCAGGCTCCTTAGGGATTCAGATTCTCAAGGTGGTAAAGGGGCAGCCACTGGCATCAGATTGTCTGGACTTGGATTCCCAGGTTACCTGTTTTGCTGGCTGTATATGGCTTCTGACTAATTATTCAGTGCCACAAAAGCAGTTTCCTCATCTGGAAAAAGGGGCTAATAAACCATCCATCTCACTAAGATGTAAGCTCCTTGGAGGCAAGGAACTGCCATGCTTAGATTAGGGACTAATATCCAGTAGAGAGTACTAGGTGTCTGTGGATTATCTCACACAGTTGTGTTGAGACCTAAAGCAGCAAATATGATTAAGTAATGTGGAACACAGTGAAAAGAGATGCAGCCCGTGATAGCAGGAAGCCGGCTGGCACTATTAACTAGGATGTGCTGCCCTGTTGAACACTAACAATTTCAGAACACCAACATCAGACAAGGCCATTCTGTGAGCACGGCGGGTCCAAACAAAAACAAAACCACTCCACAATGATGTCTGAATATAAACAAACAAAAATAAACATTGTGCCAACCACAAAAAAATGACCAGATATAAGGCCGGGCACGGTGGATCACGCCTGTAATCCCAGCACTTTGGGAGGCCAAGGTGGGCGGATCACCTGAGGTCGGGAGTTCGAGACCAGCCTGATCAACATGGAGAAACCCCGTCTCAACTAAAAACACAAAATTAGCTGGGCATGGTGGTGCATGCCTGTAATCCCAGCTACTTGGGAGACTGAGGCAGGAGAATCGCTTGAACCCAGGAAGTGAGGTTGCGGTGAGTCGAGATCGTGCCATTGTACTCCAGCCTGGGCAACAAGAGCGAAATTCCGTCTCAAAAAACAAAACAAAACAAAACAAAAAAAACAGATATGCTCCTATCTCCTATCTCTATCCTTTTTTTTTTTTTTGAGACGGAGTCTCGCTCTGTCGCCCAGAGCTCTGTCGGCTGGAGTGCAGTGGTGCGATCTCGGCTCACTGCAATCTCTGCCTCCCGAGTTCAAGTGATTCTCCTGTCTCAGCCACCTGAGTAGCTGGGATTACAGGAGCACGCCACCATGCCCCGCTAATTTTTGTATTTTTAGTACAGATGGGGTTTCACCATGTTGGTCAGGCTGGTCTCGAACTCCTGATCTCGTGATCCGCCCACCTCGCCTCCCAAAGTGCTGGGATTACAGGTGTGAGCCACCGTGCCTGGCCTTTTTTATTACTACCATTATTTTGAGATGGAGTCTAGCTCTGTCGCCAGGCTGGAGTGCAGTGGCTTGATCTTGGCTCACTGCCACCTCCGCCTCCCGGGTTCAAGCAACTCTGCTGCCTCAGCCTCCTGAGTAGCTGGGACTACAGGCGCGCACCACCACGCCTAGCTAATTTTTGTATTTTTAGTAGAGATGGGCGTTCGCCATGTTGGCGAGGATGGTCTCGATCTCTTGACCTAGTGATTCGCCCGCCTTGGCTTCTCAAAGTGCTGGGATTACAGGCGTGAGCCACCGCGCCCAGCCAGTTCTACTTTCCTATTATGTAACAATTATAGGCTGGGAACAGTGGCTCACGCCTGTAATTCCAGCTACTCGGGAGGCTGAGGCAGGAGAATCGCTTGAATTCGGGAGGCAGAGCTTTTTTTTTTTTTTTTTTTTTTTAACCAATTGCAGCTTTAGCCTCACTTGGTTCTACCTTCCCTCCTTCCTTCCTTCCCTCCCTCCCTCCTGCTTTCTTTCTTTCTTTCTCTTCTTTTTGAGACGGAGTCTCACTCTGTCACCCAGGCTGGAGTGCAGTGGCGCAAACTCGGTTCACTGAAACCTCTGCCTCCCGAATTCAAGCGATTCTCTGCCTCAGTCTCCAGAGTAGCTGGGATTATGGGCGCCTACCACCACACGCGGCAAATTTCTGTATTTTTAGTCGGGACAATGTTTCGCCATGTTGGCCAGGTTGGTCTTGAACTCCTGACCTCAGGTGATTCGCCCGCCTTGGCCTCCCAAAGTGCTGGGATTACAGGCGTGAGCCACCACGCCCGGCCAGTTCTACTTTCTTATCATGTAAGAATTATAGGCCAGGCGAGCTGGCTCACGCCTGTAATTCCGGCTACTCGGGAGGCTGAGGCAGGAGAATCGCTTGAATTCAGGAGGCAGAGCCTGCAGTGAACCGAGATCGCGCCACTGCACTCCAGCCTGGGCAACAGAGCGAGTCTCAAAAAAAAAAAAAAAAAAAAAAAAGAATTATTAAATTACCCAATCATAGAATTACCCCCACCTCCTGACTGCATCTAATCCAGAGAGAAGCTCTGCTTCCTTAAACCCTGCCCAAACCCTGTAAATTCTTTCCAACACCCTCTTCCAAAGACGTCCCGGTGTTTCCCACGGCGTACTGCCCTACTTGCAAGACCATAAACTCCACTTTGTCCAGCTACAGGAGTGTTCTCGATGGTCTTTGGCTGGAGAGCACAGCCGCAGTGAGAGCTCCCTAAAGGGTCGCTGCTGTTGTTAGGTCTCAAGGGAAATTGCGTGGCGCACCCATTCAATCAGATTTCATAAACAAGTATTCTGAGGCTCCCCGACAGCTGCCTCTTGCGTGGTTGTTTCTCCTCAGGAGATGTTATCTCTCCCGGGGGAAGACCGGGAAGATACTTTGGTTTCTGACCTCCCAAGCAGAAAACCAGCCGTCAAATTTCTTACGAAGTAAAAACCCTTAGGGAGGTGGGCGCCTCTAGCTCCAACTCAGAATTTCTCAAACACCATGACGCCCGGGGGTCATGTGGGAAACTAAAGCTCCAGCGGGTTCATATGACTCAGTGTCTAACCCACTACCCTAACCCAGGAGGAAGGGACCCCAATTCACTCTACAAGCAGCGCAAAAGAATGCTCCAAAAGGCTGAGGCAATATCAACAACCGAATGTTCTTCCGGCTGCAGCTCGCTCAGACGCCGCGCACAGGTCGCTGGGCGGCTACAGCGCAAGCGCAACCCTCTTATAAATGGACTACAAGTCCCGGCATGCCTGGCGACGCGGCGTCGCCTGGTAACTCGCGCCACACGAAGCGCGCTAGGTTGGCTCTTCTGCGCGCCTGCGCCTTGGCGAGCTCTGCGCAGGCGCATTTCCAACGCTTGGAGGAGAGGGCGGGGTGTCGTTTCCTTTCGCTGATGCAAGAGCCTAGTGCGGTGGTGGGAGAGGTATCGGCAGGGGCAGCGCTGCCGCCGGGGCCTGGGGCTGACCCGTCTGACTTCCCGTCCGTGCCGAGCCCACTCGAGCCGCAGCCATGTCTGGGGACGAGGTGAGGATCTGAGCCCGGCGTAAGGGCTAAGGATTGAGGCGAGAAGCCTAACCCACTCCAGTGTGGGAGAACGGGCCTGCGGCCTAGCAGCCGGCCGCCGCCATGTGAGGCAGCCGCGCCTAGGCGGCCCGGAGCGGCAGAGCCGGCGAGGACTCCGGAGCCGCAGGCTTGGCCGCAGCCCGCTTTCCTCAGGGCGGCAGCGCTGAGGCGGACCTCCTGCCGTGGTTGGCGTTTCCGGAATGGAGAGCACACGTTGAGTCGTCCTCCCGGAAGGGGCTCGAATGCCCGGTTAATAACCCCGAACGAGACTGGGGCTGGCGATCCCTGCATTCCTTTCTGCTGGGCACTGCCGCCCCAGCTCGCCTCACTGGGTGCCGGGGGTGCCAGGGGTGCCGCGAGGAGCCTCTCTTGGCTTGGTATAACGCCCTCGTTAAAACTTTCTAGGCTATCTTGTCGGGGCCGGTATCCCGCCCTTGTTTGCCTTCCTAGCATTGTTTTTTAAAAAGACGAGGGGGTGATGGGGTTAGAACGAGAGAAAAAGATTCTGCAGCCTCAGGAAGTGACTGACCTTCCCGGAAAGTTTCCGGGCGAGCCCCTGAGCTTCCCTTAACAGAGGGCTACCGGCGACGTGAGCGGGAAGTGCGGGCTGTGAAACTGGCTGGATCTTTTTTTACCGTGGTACTTGGATCTCAGTGAATTTCCTCAAATCCCTTTCCCTCAGATTTATCCTAGTTGATATAACGTCTAACGACTTAAAATGAAGTTGATGTTAAGTACTCCCAGTAGGTATTGCTTAACATTGGGGGAGGCCCCGTAAGTTGTTGAGAATTTCCTCAGGCAATAGGAAGCCTTGATCACAAGGGCAAAGGAATGGTCGAGAAAGGCCAGTAAATGTGCTCACAGGAAGTAGAATAATCTCCAGTTTGATTAGAGTTAAGGGGTGAACACTTGCCAAGCAGGTAATGACTAGTTCATGGAGGGCTGTGAAGACGAAGTTAAGGAATTTGGAATATATTCTGGACGGGATTCCAGTCTCTTACTTGGTTCTCACAACAGTCCTGTAAAATAGGTCTATTGTTGTGCCCATTTTAGAGATGAAAAATTTGAGTGTTACAGAGTTGTATAATGCCCATGATCAAATACTAAGTGGCTAAACCAGTAGAATTCCAGATTGACTAGGATCTTAATGGGTTAGAGAAACTGAAAGTTTGTATATGGTCCTTGGCGGTTATAGACATTGCTCTAGGCTGCTGTATTTCAAAAGTTCTGAGAGTGGCAGTGTTTCACACTTGTTTTGTTTCTACTCATTTTTCAAACTTCTCATAACCTTTGGCAAATACAGTACTTACGTGTGCAAGATTCCATGGGGTGTTATTCTGTGTATGGGTC
The DNA here is from genome assembly GCF_000001405.40 of Homo sapiens. NCBI lineage: Eukaryota > Metazoa > Chordata > Mammalia > Primates > Hominidae > Homo > Homo sapiens. The sequence continues at coordinate 34,110,706 of NC_000020.11, read as the reverse complement.
AACTAGATGACACACAAGGTAGAAATAGGACCATCAACGTAGTGACTTGGAGGGCTAGAGGGATCAGTGGGATTAGGCTTTGAAAGAAGTGGAATATGAATGCATTACTGCTGGATGAACAGAATTTTGTGAAGCAAAGATGGCAGAACCAGCATTTCGGCATAGGACTTTGGAAGCCAATAAAGTATTAGTTTGGCCACTTAGGGGTGCCGGTCCAACTGTATTTTACAGGAAACCAGGGCCGAGGGAGATTAACTTGTCCAAGATCATGCAGAAAGTTAGTAGGACAAGAACCCTGGTCTTTGGCTTCCATTCTGCCAGGTAGAAGTTAGGAGTAGAGAGGGGTATGAAGAATAGGGTATAGGGCCTGGTTCCTGTAGTGCTGTTGACTAGGTAAGTATTTTTAGGCCATTCCTTTAACATCTGGCTACTGTACAGACTTGTGAGGATCAGATAAAACTCTGTACTTGAAAATGATTTATAAACTGCCAAGGACTTTCCCAGAGTGGAAGTAATCCTGCCTGGTGGTCAGGCTAGACAATTAAAGAGGCTGCTATTAAAAAGTAATTTTCTGTTTTATTCATATTTCTGTTTTTTTTTTTTTTTTTTTGAGATGGAATTTCGCACTGTCGCTGGACTGGAGTGCAGTGGCGTGATCTCGGCTCACCGCAACCGCCTCCTGGGTTCAAGCAATTCTCCTGCCTCAGCCTCTCCTGAGTAGCTGGGATTACAGGCGCCTGCCACCATGCCCAGCTAATTTTTTTTTTGTATTTTTAGTAGAGACGGGGTCTCACTATGTTGGTCTTGAACTCCTGACCTTCTGATTCGCCTGCCTCAGCCTCCTGAAGTGCTGGGATTACAGGCGTGAACCACCATGCCCAGCCTTCTGTTTTTGTTTTTTTTTTTTCTTGATGTATAATTGAAATAAACTGCACACATTTATTTTTAAACCTGGTAATTAAGCCAGAAACTTGCCAAAACATAACGATTTTCAACCTAGTAGAACTATGATTTTTTTTGTTTGTTTTTGTTGTTTTGTTTTTTTAGAGACAGGGTCTCGCTCTTGTTTCCCAGGCTGGAGTGCGGTGGCACAATCATAGCTCACTGTGGCCTCTGTCACCTGGGCTCAGGGGATCCTCCTGCCTCAGCCTCGCAAGTAGCTGGGACTACACGTGCATGCTCTTGCACCCGCTAATTTTTTAATTTTTGTAGAAATGAGGTCTTGCTTTGTTGCCCAAGCTTGTCTTGAACTCCTGGCCTCAAACAGTCTTCCTGCCTCAGCCTCCCAACATGGAACCATGATCTTTAAAAAGCAGAATCCTAGAAATATGGCTGCTACCTGGTAAGGGAAAAGAAAAATCCCCTACTCAATAGGCATTCAGTAATTTTCAGACTATTTGTTAAAAGCAGCATCAATATTTAATACTTGCCTACTTGCTACTAGGTCCCATTCACAAGGAGTCAGAACATTGGGTTTTCATAAAATATGGTAAGGTGTTTTTGCAAAAAGAAGCTTTAAATTAAAAAAAAAAGTATTTGATTCAAAATGGGATGTGTGTTGTGTGAAGTTAATGAAACACAAAAGAATACAAAGAAAAACAGCAGAATCTAAGCCAGGCATGGTGGCATTCACATGTAATCTCAGCTACTCAGGAGGCTGAGGCCAGGAGTTCGAGGCTGCAGTGCGCTATAATTACAATTGAGAGTAGTCACTACATTTCAGCCTGGGCAACATAGTGAGACTCCCGTCCCTAAAAAAAAAAAAAAAAATCCCACAATCCTATCACACAGAGATGGCAACACTTAGCATTTGTTCTGGTCACCTTTGGAAGGAACTTTTAGATCAATGTCTTGCTTCTCTGTGGGTTCTTTTGTGACTCACACCTGCTTCTGGGTATAGTATGACTATAAAGTTGATTTCTTGGGTAAGGTATGATCTATGAGAGGAAGCTTCTAATTTGATGAGCATCAGGGTAATTTTAGCTGGTATACCTTTTCTTTGCCCTCTCCAATCAAACGTGAGAAGTTGAAAATAGAAAATTTATGCTTTTGAAGGCTTTGTTGTGAACCTAAAATATAACTCAAGTGATCTGTAGTTTTCCATATGTGCACTGTCAACAGCTATTTGCTTTTCAAATCCAAACTAGTTTCATAAAAGAAAACCAATTTGGAGTGTAGTCAGCTTATAATTTGGAAGCTAGACATGAAAGTCTTAAAAAGCCATTTTAGTCAAGACTAACATGGCCTCATTTTTGGGGAGGTCTGCTTTGGGTGCTGCTTCGGGATCCCTGGTCCTTATTTGTAAACTGTACTTCGCAGGATGGTATGAATAAAATAAGGCAATGAGTATGTATGTTAAGTATCCAGACAGTAATTGAGAGAGATGTTAATTATTTCAGTTTATGATTCCTGGATGTTTATTATCCTTTACAAGGCTACAACCAAACTGTTTAGCTGTAGACCATAAGGTTTTTCAGGGGATAAGAAGGCACTTGTGAGGCTGTCTTCTGGTGATATCAGGATCCTTGCCATCTTCAGTCTGTCTTGATGAATAATGGTTAAAAGGCAATTAATATTCTAGGGAACTTGATGCTTGAAAAAATGCAATAAATGGATGGTAATCCCTTCCAGAACCAAATTTATAGTGTCTAGAGTTTTGTCTGTCCTTTTGCCAAGTCTCCCTATTTCTAGAATGAAGATGAAATGTAGCTACTTCCCTGTATTATTGCAGTACTCCTTGCAGTGGGGGACTCTTTCCTCTTTGCTCTTCTATCTTGGTAGGGACACTTCTTTAAGTTGGCCAGATAATGTTCTTCAGACTGACTGCATTTCAGATTTAATTATTTATACAGTTGGATCCTTGTTAAGGGAGAAAAGACTAACTTTGAAAATGCTATGCAAATACCATACTTCTCTACTGGGCAAGGACAGTAACTGTATTACCTTATTACAGACTGTAGCTTGGTTTCAGTCTAGTTCCATTAATGATCTTGGGACATAAATAAGTTTATGTTATAATCAATTTTGGGAAGCTTTTGAGAGTTTTATATGTTTGGGAAATTAGAGCACCTGAATTGATGAAATTTCAGTGATAGGAATCAAGAGAAAACCATGCTTTATGAATGGTAAAGTATTATATAAATTACAATTGCTAATATTTATCGAGTACTTACGTACCAGGCACTATGGCAAGTGTTTTACATTTACATACTTCTTTAACCCTCCCAGTAACCTTGTGTGGTTTGTTGTCATTCTGCTACTTGTCTCCATTTTACACATGAGCCGTGGAATAACACAGGTACAAGCCAGAGTCAGAATTTAAATCTAGTCAGATGGGCTCCAGACTTGTGCTTTTAAACACTTTACTATTAACGCTGTCCACAGCAGATCACTGGGCAAAATGCTGAATTTAAGCATGGTATTAATAGAATATGGAGAGAGATTGGTAAGGGGTTCAGGAAAAAAATACTTGGGATTTGAATCAGGTTCTATTTGACTTCAAAGACCCTGCACTTTCTTTTTTTTTTTCGAGACCGAGTCTTGCTCTGTCACCCAGGCTGGAGGGCAGTGGCACGATCTCGGCTCACTGCAAGCTCCACTGCCCATGTTCACACCATTCTCCTGCCTCAGCCTCCCGAGTAGCTAGGACTACAGGCACCCGCCACCTTCTGCTAATTTTTTGTATTTTTAGTAGAGACGGGGTTTTACCATGTTAGCCAGGATGGTCTTGATCTCCTGACCTCATGATCCGCCCGCCTCGGCCTCCCAAAGTACTGGGATTACAGGCGTGAGCCACCGCACCCAGCCTCCTGCGCTTTCTACTCTATCAGGTGTCTGCCCTGTATGTTGTTTAAACTATTATGTCTAGATAACTTTTCTTTCTTCAAGTGATCAGTGCAAGCAGATAGTCTACAAATTATAAATTAGTTTTTCACCTACTCTATAGTGGACATTTAGATAAGAATAAGAGAATTTTGGGGCAAGGCATGGTCCTCACACCTGTAATCCTAACACTGGGAGGCTGAAGCTGGTGGATCATTTGAGCCCAGGAGTTCAAGACCAGCTTGGGGAGCATGGTGAAACCCCATCAATACTAAAAATACAAAAAATAGCTGGGTGTGGTGGTGCACTCCTGTAATTCCAGCTACTCAGGAAATTGAGGTGGGAGGATGGTGTGAGTCTGGGAGGTCAAGGTTGGATTCAGCTGAGATCATGCCACTGCACTCCAACCTGGGCAGCAGAGCCAGACCCTGTTTCATTTAAAAAAAAAAAAAAAAAAGAACCTTTAATGTTAAACAAAAAGCAGAGTGAAATGTTGTATAGAGGTTTCTCTTACTCAGAGATTTGCTATATGAAGAGTTGCTGATGGATTTCCTTGAAGATTTGTAGTTAAAAAAAATTTTGTTTTTTTAATCAGGTCAAAAGTCTCTCAAGTCTCTGTGTAACAGCCCCAAGTTACCAGCCTTGAATAAAACATTGATACCCCTGGCCAGGTGCGGTGGCTTACACCTGTAATTCCATTGCTTTGTGTGGCCGAGGTGGGAGGATTGTTTGTGCCTGGCAGTTTGTGACCACCTGGGACAACAGAGGGAGACCCCGTCTCTACAAAATAAAAAAATTAGCTGGGCATGGTAGCACATGCTTGTGGTCCCAGCTACTTGGGGAGCTAAGATGGTAGGATCACTTGAGTCCAGGAGGTTGAGGTTGCAGTGAGCTGTGATCATGCCACTGCACTCCATCCTGGGCAACAGTGAGACCCTGTTTCAAAGAAAAAACAATACAAAAAAATTTACACCCCGCTTAGGTATTGTTTTCCTATATCTGTAAAGTGAGGGGCATAGCATAGGTTGTTGCCAAAGTCCCTTCCCTAAATTCCATGATTCATTCAAATGTCCAAATTTGCTCATGAAAGTGAAAGTGAAGTATCTGTGATACTTTACAAATTGAAAGATGTGTACATGTTTCAGTTCACCTGATGTTTAATAGTAACAAGAAGGTTGGGTGGACAATTTATTTTATTTTTTGGTAAACTCCCCTTTGGTGTTTTAATGTATCACATACTCTTTTAAGAGTATGCCTTTTGAGGATAAAGCATATTTGGAATGTGAGCATCATTAAAAACAATCATTTGGTCCCTTTTTGTTTTTTGTCTTTTAAACAGATGATTTTTGATCCTACTATGAGCAAGAAGAAAAAGAAGAAGAAGAAGCCTTTTATGTTAGATGAGGAAGGGGATACCCAAACAGAGGAAACCCAGCCTTCAGAAACAAAAGAAGTGGAGCCAGAGCCAACTGAGGACAAGGATTTGGAAGCTGATGAAGAGGACACTAGGAAAAAAGGTGCGTGGTTGATGTGAGAGAGTTACTGTTGTCATAGAAGCCCTGGTTCTATGAGCGTTTTGGCTTTTGGATATGCAGCGACCTCTCAGCCTGACAAGGCTGTTCCAGTGAAGTCAAGGCCATCAGTAGTCTGTATGCAGTGGACCTTTTTAGATTTCTGATAGGCTTGTTGCAGGGATGTTTCCATTTAATTCACAAGTTGCAAAGATGAAACCTTGCTGTTCCAGAGCTGGTTTTCCAGTTGAACCCATCAGGTCTCTTCTCTGACTTTTTAATGGTAGTTGTATTTGAGTGTGGGCAGAAAGAAATGGTACTAAGATAGGCAGTTTTGTGTCTTAGCAAGTCTGAAAATGTATATGAGAGATTAAAATTATAGCCTAAAGTATTTGGGGTTAGACACCAGCTTTAGTTACTTACCCCTGTGCTGTAACATAGACATAATTTGACTGTTAGAGAGAAATGTTTCTATAAACATTGTATGTGTCTGTTGAATATAACACTGTGCCAGGATAGAGACAACTGACATTCACTGAGCATCTGCCCTGTGCTAAGTGTCTTCTACATGTTTAAAACAAATTTGGAAAGTAACTCATTCCTGTTGTAATAAGATAAAATGGATTTGTAAATAGTTTCTTGAAAAACTTTGTAGCAGAAGGATCCTAAAATATTTCTAGTTTATAACATGGCAGGTCAAATGGAAAACTTGTTGAACAGAACCTATTATTACTCATTAATGGTAGGTAAAATTTCACTGATAACTTGTATTTACTGCACAGCTGTATTTTAATGAATGTGAAATAATTTGTTAGGCCTTTTGATGATTAGTTGATTCAATAAAATGTTGAGCTAGACAGTAGAATTTAGGTGAACAAGGCATATACTCTTAGTATTGAGTAGGGAGATAGATAAGCAAGCTGGTAATAAGTACCTCAGTTGGAGTAAGCAGAAGATACTATCCAATCACTCTGGGGATACCTAACCCAGTTGTGGGGAAAGATGGATAAGCTTAGAGAAGGCTTTGGTGGAAGTAATTTAACCAAGATCCTGTGAGATGGAGGTAAGAGGGCCCACGGGAAGGTTTGTTGGTGAGAGACCGCACGTATATTGCAGTAGGAACTGAAAGTAGTTCAGTAGGGTTAGAACCAGGGATTGAAGTGAGGAAGGCAAGAAGCAGAAGTGGAAGATTTAAAGTTGGAGAGTTGGAAATTGTGTTAGAGCTCTGACTTTGTCTTGGGAACAGTGAAGAGTGATATGGTCAGATTACTAAATAAATATTCTCAACATGGTCCCCTAACCAGATTTTTCCTATAGATCTTTGAGATGACCTACCATTTTGTTTTTCAGAACCATAACTTTTGTGGCCGGGCGCGGTGGCTCACGCCTGTAATCCCAGCACTTTGGGAGGCTGAGGCAGGCGGATCATGAAGTCAGGAGAGCGAGACCATCCTGGCTAACGTGGTGAAACCCTGTCTCTACTTAAAAAAATACAAAAAATTTGCTGGGCATGGTGGCACATGCATGTAGTCCTAGCTACTCAGGAGGCTGAGGCAGGAGAACCGCTTGAACCCAGGAGGCAGAGGTTGCAGTGAGCTGAGATTGCGCCACTGCCCTCCAGCCTTGGCGACAGAGCAAGACTCCATCTCAAAAAAAAAAAAAAGAACCATAAGTTTTGTGATTGTGGAGGGACTAATTAATAGTCAGTCTTTTCTGGTGACTTGATTAATTGCTGAACTATGTTTGTGTAACTCATAATTTGATGCTTTGCCTTTTAGTTGTTAATAATTATGCCTTGGTCTTTTTAGATGCTTCTGATGATCTAGATGACTTGAACTTCTTTAATCAAAAGAAAAAGAAGAAAAAAACTAAAAAGATATTTGATATTGATGAAGCTGAAGAAGGTGTAAAGGTAGTATTGCTTTCTTGTTGAAGGTAAAATTTGACCTCTTGCAAGGTTGCTAATGGCTGATGTTTCCCTCTCTTTGACTCATCTCTTACTAGCTTTGCTTTTGTTATTAGCACTTAATTGCCACTGGTAGCGTCATTTTCTTGGGAGTGTGTCTGACTAGGTATCTTAAAGGGATTGTGGTTCAAGGAATTTAAATTTAGGTCTTACATATTGTATTGTGTGCCATTAAGATGATCACAAATGTCCCTTGTCCTTAACTATACTGAGATTTTTGGCTGTGGAGAACTATTTCTATGAGTGAGAAATCCTTCTGAGCAAATATTCCTTTGGTTTCTTAAACTTTTGGTAACATATTGAATATATACAAATTGATATGTGTACCTCTAAGCAGCAAAGAATGAACCACAGTGGTGGTTGGTAGCTGATGACAATGTGGCCTGTAGGCAAACCAGAGCACTCAGGCTAGTTTTATGGAGTTCTCTGATCTTGTGGATACTTGAGACCCTGTGAGTCTTATTACTGAATTGATTTCTAATACAAATATCTCAAAATTCTTTTGGACAGGGAGTAAGTAACAGGTGGGCAGGAAGGTGAATAGGAGGGAGGGTAGGTGGATGGATGAAAGGGGAAGGAGCTGAAGATCTGTTTTCCTCCCTAGAGTTACCATTTTAAAGACCCTGCCTAGGAATCACTTTAGCAGAATCCACATGTCTATTTATAAAACCCAAGATAATAGCAGTACACACACTCACTCACATAGAGCGCGCACACACACAACAGCAAACATACACCAAATATCTTGTGCCCTCTACTCAAAATTTTCTTTGATAAGTAGTTTATTTGCTCAAACTCAAGTGAATAAAGTACATCCCACATGTAGCAGGAAATGTATACAGTAATTCATTGGGTTTTAGAAATAATGTCATAATTTTATGACAGTTAATTCAGTAAATAAGTATGAGTGATTACAGCAAGTCAAGCTTTTGAAGTATTGTGTGGTAATTGCTAGAGTACTGAAATGAGTAAGATATTTTTCCTGTTTGCAGAGATATTTTGGTTCAAGGATAATTTAGAATCCTTGAGAACAAGCTGGTTTTATCTGGATTCATCTTGTTCTCTCCCTGTTTGGGGATTCTCTTTTCCTTCTACTATAGGGAAATTGAGAAAAATGCTCAGATTATAATCAGAAATGGGATTTAAATATCCTGGGTAACAGGGCGACATGTAGAGATGTGCTACAGAAAGTTTTGGTTAACAAGGCTTTGTTGGTTGATTCCTCCAGTAGCTTTTATTGGAAGATTAGTTCTAAATAAGTGCTTGAATACTATTTTTGAAGGCATAACATAAGAGGATGTTAGAGGTATCCTGGTCATCAGGCAAGGCACGGACATTCACTTGAAGGGTTTTTGAGGTCTTGGGCTACTCTCCCACCTGAATTTCCAGACCATCCGAGGGCTTTTGAAAAGCCTTGAAAAATGCTTTTTGCAGACTGGACGTGCTGTCTCATGCCTGTAATCCCAGCACTTTGGGAGGCCGAGGTGGGCAGATCACCTGAGGTCAGGAGTTCAAGACCAATCTGGCCAACATGGTGAAACCCCATCTCTACTAAAAATACAAAAATTAGCTGGGTGTGGTGGTGCACACCTGTAGTCCCAGCTACTTAGGAGGCTGTGGCAGGAGAATCGCTTGAACCCAGCAGGTAGAGGTTGCAGTAAGCTGAGATAGCGCCACTGCACTCCAGCCTGGGCAACAGAGCGAGACTCTGTCTCAAAAAAAAAAAAAAAAAGAAAAATACTTTTTGCTGTTCTCCACCTTCTGCTGTGTCTTGGTGTCAATATGGAAGTAGATCTTACTGGGATAAAATAATAATAGTATAGCACTAGAAGTTGGCTAGTGTATGCTAACTTATATTCAGCATTTCTAAGTTCTTATTTATTGACTTAGAGACTAGGTGAGTATCTGGTGTCCTGTTTGTATGGTATGTAGCTAATACCATGGGCAGATTTATTTATTTACTTATTTATTTGAGACAAAGTCTCACTCTGTCGCCCAGGCTGGAGTGCAGTGGCGCAATCTCGGTTCACTGCAACCTCCGTCTCCTGGGCTCAAGCGTCCCTCAGCTTCCTGAATAGCTGGGTTTACAGGCACCCGCCACCACGCTGGGCTATTTTTGTATTTTTGGTAGAGAGGGGTTTCACCATGTTGGCCAGGCTGGTCTCAAACTCTTGACCTTAGGTGATCCGCCTGCCTTGGCCTCCCAAAGTGCTGGGATGACAGGTGTGAGCCACTGCGCCTGGCTGGCAGATTGGTCTTGATAGCCACATGTGGCACTAAGACTACACAACTGGATTTGGGATCCCGAATCTGAGCTTTATTTACTCCCAGCTATTCCAACTTTTCTGCTGGTAAGATTTCTGAAATGACTGTAGCCATTGTCCCAGGTCAGGATGTAGGCACACACAAAATAGATATTAATGAATGAGTAAGGTTGACAGCACAGTTCAGGATAGGGAGCTGGATAAGCTGGTAGAAGGAAGGAGAAATCAGAAAGCTGGAAACTGAGACTGGCCTTTTCTGCTCTTCTGGGATGTTTATGACTCATTTCTAGGTTTTAATATGCCCTGTTTACATCCATGCCTCTGGCAACTAATCTTGGGGTCAAGCTTTACTTTGTTTCCATTCCATTCCATCACTTGATCCTAATTCCCCATGGCTTCTGCCTTTCCCTCTTTGATAATGTCATCTATTGGAGTGATGCCCAAAGACCACGCCACAGACTGGTGCCAGGCTGACTGTCATATAATAAAAAATAAATATTTGTTCTTTACGTTCTTGGCTCACAACTGCTAAAATCCTTGGAATCTCCGAAGTGATAACAGGGTCTTTGGTACGCTAATGAGATTTCTGAAATGACTGTAGCCATTGTCCCAGTTCAGGATGTAGGCACACACAAAATAGATACTAATTAATGAGTAAGGGATCCCTTATCTGGGGATCTCTAGATAGCTTTAGGATGGGGGCTGGTCACCAGAAGGACAAAGCTATGATTTTAGAGGGTTGGAACTTTCAGTGGTCCCCCTGCCACCTCCAGAGAGGGAAGGTGTGGAGATTGAGCTCAGTCACCAGTGGTTAATAATGTAATCAGTTGGCCAGGTGCAGTGGCTCACACCTATAATCCCAGCACTTTGGGAGGCCCGGGCCGGTGGATCACCTGAGGTCAGGAGTTTGAGACCAGCCTGGCCAATATGGTAAAACCCCGTTTCTACCAAAAATACAAAAATTAGCTAGGTGTGGTGGCGTGCGCCTCTAGTCCCAGCTACTCAGGAGGCTGAGGTAGAAGAACCACTTGAACCCGAGAGGCGGAGGTTGCAGTGAGCCGAGATCATGCCACTGCACTCCAGCCTGAGTTACAGAGTGATACTCAGTCTCAAAATAATAATAATAAGAAGTAAATAATGTAATCAATTGGTCATACCTTTGTAATGAAACCCCTAGACATGGGTTCGGAGAGCTAACATGCTGGTGAGCACAGCAAGGTGCTAGGAGGGTGATGTCCCTGGTGTGGCAGCTCCACGCCTGCCCTCCTTGCCACCCCTCAGCTCCCACCCCCATAACTTGTCCTATGCATTGCTTATGTTTGGCTGTTTGTGAGTTGTATCCTTTATAATAAATTGGCAGTAGTAAGTACTTTCCTGAGTTCTATGAGTCGTTTTGGCAAATTATTGACTCTTGATGGCGAATGTGGGAACTTCCGAGTTTATAGCCATGTTGGACAGAAGCAGGCAGCATGGGAACCCAATACGTGGTGACTGGCATCTGAAGTGAAGGCAGTCTTGAGGAACTGAGCCCTTAAACCTGTGAAATCTGATGATAACTCTGGATAGTGTGTGTCTGAAATAAACTGGAGGACACCTAACTGGCATTGGAGGGTTGGTGTGGAAAAACACATATTTGGTGTCACCCGGAAAAATCTTTCCCAATGACTATATCAAAATCACTTAGAAACTTCTTTAAAGTACTCCTGAACCCTGTTCCTGCTGAAGATCATCAATCCGATTTAAACTTTTAAATTTTCTCAAGTGATTCTTTTTTTTTTTTTTCTTTGAGACAGAGTTTCCCTCTTGTTGCCCAGGCTGGAGTGCGGTGGCACGATCTCAACTCACTGCAACCTCTGCTTCCTGGGTTCAAGCGATTCCTCTCAAGTAGCTGGGATTACAGGTGCCTGCCACCACATCCAGCTAATTTTTGTATCTTTAGTAGGTGTGGGGTTTTACCATGTTGGCCAGGCTGGTCTTGAACTCCTGACCTCAGGGATCCACCTGCCTCGACGTCCCAAAGTGCTGGGATTACAGGTGTGAGCCAAGACGCCTGGCCTCTGCCGTGATTCTGACAGTAGCCTGGTTTGGAAATAAGGACAATAATTATAAGATCCTAAGGCTGAAGAATAAAGAGATGAATGAGGGGGAAAGATCCCACAAGTGTCTTGAAGAATTCACAGTTCAAATGGCAGAGTCTCTGTGAGCCAGTTTGGTCCATTTCTGACAGGCGTTTCTTATCTGTAACTTCAATTTTGAATATGTGATTTTTTTCCCTGCCAAAATAATGTCAGCCCACGTCATTTTTAAAAAAGAACAGGCTGGGTGTGGTGGCTCATGCCTGTAATCCCAGCATTTTGGGAGGCCAGGGCGGGAGGATCTCTTGAGGCCAGGAGTTTGAGACTAGCCTGAGCAACAAAGCAAGACCTCCTCATCTCAACAGAAAATGTAATAAAATAAATAAAAAAGAATAGTCCCAGTATCAAATGTTCAGACTCATCTCACTTTCTTAGGATCTTAAGATTGAAAGTGATGTTCAAGAACCAACTGAACCAGAGGATGACCTTGACATTATGCTTGGCAATAAAAAGAAGAAAAAGAAGAATGTTAAGTTCCCAGATGAGGATGAAATACTAGAGAAAGATGAAGGTAATGCTGAGGACTCAGCAGCACATTTAGAGGTTACTCAAGCCTTTGGCCCTGGTCTCCTTGATGGGGGTGGAGGGTGCTTTTAAAATTTTTTTCTTGCCCCTTATTTCTACTGACTGATAATGGAAGCGAAAGGAAACAGTGTTTGGCTTGATAATGGCAGTTAAAGAATTTGTTAACTGTGATTACATTAAAAACATACTGATTCAGGCTTGGGAAAATTACTATAACCGGATTTTTTTTTTTTTTTTGAGACGGAGTCTCACTCTTGTCGCCCAGGCTGAAGTGCAATGACACGATCTTGGCTCACCACAATCTCTGCCTACCGGGTTCAAGCGATTCTCCCGCCTCAGCCTCCCGAGTAGCTGGGATTACAGGCATTCGCCACCACTCTCGGCTAATTTTGTATTTTTAGTAGAGATGGGAGTTTCTCCATGTTGGTCAGGCAGGTCTCGAACTCCCAACCTCAGGTGATCCGTCCGCCTCGGCCTCCCAAAGTGCTGGGATTACAGGTGTGAGCCACAGCGCCCGGCCCCGATTTTTTAATTAAAAAAATTTTTTAAACTCGTGTTTACAGTTTTATTAGTTTCTAAATGCTATAGGGTCTTTAGAGAACTTTTGTCAGTAGATGAGTTTTATGGATGTTGATGTTTCTTAAGTGCTCAAAACAGTTGGACTTTTTCCTCTAATTATTCCAATGCATTATTTTATCTTTGATTTGTTAAATTAAGAAACATTTCAGTATGTTATCAACTCCTAATTAGAGAGGTCTCTATTAAGGGCCTTTTTTGAAAGTCATAACATCCCTGTTTCTAAGGAAAAGGGTTGTGAGCTTTGGTTTCTTTATGCTTAAGGCTGTTGTGAATGCAGCTGTGGAAGGGAAGACAGATGTCTTTGAAACTCTTCATTTCTCTAGACCCACCCCACTTTTGTATTGTAGTAGGGCCCACCCCTCATTCTTAAAATCTTTTTTATCTGTAGCTCTAGAAGATGAAGACAACAAAAAAGATGATGGTATCTCATTCAGTAATCAGACAGGCCCTGCTTGGGCAGGCTCAGAAAGAGACTACACATACGAGGAGGTAAGACAAAATCTGTTGTGAAAAGGGGCTAAGCTATTCACTAGTGCTCAAAGAAGAGCAAGATAAATCTTATTGGAACGGCCGTTGAAGTAATGACTGATGGTGGAACAGATGCAGAGAGGTCACACAGCCAGTGCACAGCAATTCCTGGTGCGCACCCGTGGGGCAGCCTGCCCAGAGTGCAGCAGTCATTGTAGTACTACTCACTGTCCCCACCTGAATTTGTGGACTGCTGAGGGCATGCAGCCCTCTAGGAATTAGGAGGGCAGTGGTGAATTAGCTAATTTAGGGCCAGGGTAGTCTGGAGTTTGCTAGTTTGGGCTTTCCTGAATCTTACTTTTCCATGTATCATGTACTTTGCCATAGAAACAACAGAATGAGTGGTTGTTCATTCATTTCACTTTGGACAAGGAGTTGCTGAGCATCTATAATGAACCAAATGCTGGTTGGGGATGAACCTCTGCCCTCAAGGAGCTCCCAGACTTGTAGTAATGCATGTGTATATTTAATCAGAAGTGAAGTATTTGCTGTTAAGCAACATGACTCAAAGGGGAACTTTATACCCCTGCAGTTACTAAGCGTATTCATGAATACCACTTTATTTTTATAGCTGCTGAATCGAGTGTTCAACATCATGAGGGAAAAGAATCCAGATATGGTTGCTGGGGAGAAAAGGAAATTTGTCATGAAACCTCCACAAGTCGTCCGAGTAGGAACCAAGAAAACTTCTTTTGTCAACTTTACAGATATCTGTAAACTGTAAGTTGGTTAATGGAGTACCTTCATCCCAAATGCCAGATTCTCATTGCAGTTTTAAGAATGTTAAATGTCCTTATTGTCGACTTTATTATAGATGGAAAGAACACACAGGTGTAGGGGTTGAGGGAGTTCACCGTTCAAGCCTGTCATTTTCTTCAATTCATAAGTCTCAGGGCTGTTTTATTTTATTAAAGATAACGGTCTTGCTTTGTCGCCCAGGCTGGAATGCAGTGGAGTGGTCATGGCTCACTGCAGCCTCAATCTCCTGGGCTTCAGCAGTTCTCCTGCTTCAGCCTCCTAAGTAGCTGAGACTACAGGTGCACACCACCATGCCCGACCAATTTAAAAAAATTTTTTTTTTTTTTTGTAGAAACGTGGGTCTTGCTGTGTTGCCCAGGAGGGCTTGTTTTATTAGTGCATTCAGAGGTGAGAGAAATCAACTCATGCTGACCCACTGAGGATGGATCCTAACTAGATGTAGTGAAGAGTGAGGAGGCTCAATGTAGTTCTCAGGAGCCTTGGGAGCCCAGGGAGTGGAAAGGCTCATCAGTTGCTCTAGGATAGGCCTGCCAAGCAAGCAGTGAGCTCAGGGAAAGTGCCTGAATTTGGGTGCCTCTTCCTTGGATGATCATTGCCAGGACACAATTGATGAGATTGTATCTTTCTTAATTACCATCACATTCTATGCCAGAGTCAGCCCTGGGTTACTGTCTGGGAATGGCTTTTCTCTGAGCTCCTCAGCTGCATGTTTTCTGGCAGTTTCCTTAGGACCACTGAGTTTATCCACTCTTTGTTCTTTAATTTCCTAAGTGCTACATGCTTGTTGTAGAAAATATGGTAAACACAAAAGAGATAATATTCACTCAAAATTTTACCACCCAGAGATAACCACTTGTTGTCATTACTTACATATATTTAAATAGTTTAGATTTTTTTGGCTAATGACAATAGTAGTATATACTCATTGTAGAAAAATTAGAAGATAAAGACATGCTAAAGAAAATGGAAAATCATCTGCAAAGTCCACCATTAAGAGGTAGATAACTGCTGGGCGCAGTAGCTCACGCCTGTAATCCCACCACTTTGGGAGGCCGAGGTGGGCGGATCACAAGGTCAGGAGTTCGAGACCAGGCTGGCCAACATAGTGAAACCCCGGCTCTACTAAAAAATACAAAAAATAAGTCAGGCGTGGTGGCACGTGCCTGTAATCCCGCTACTCGGGAGGCTGAGGCAGGAGAATCACTTGAACCTGGGAGGCAGAGGTTGCAGTGAGCTGAGATTGTGCCATTGCACACTACAGCCTGGGCAATAGTGTGAGACTCTGTCAAAAAAAAAAAAAAAAAAAAGAGGTAGCTAACTTATCATAGTTTAATATTTTTCTGTTTAGCCAGTTTTATGTACATATTTTAAAAATAAATTGCTATCATACTGGTTTTTAACCTATTTTCTCAATATATTGTGAAAGTTTTACTCATGTCATTAGTCTGAGTAAGTGTTTTAAATAGCTACACAACATATTTTAACAGTTCCATAAGTTGGACGTGGCTGCTCCCAGGTTTTTATTATCAGAGGCAAAACTTCACCGAACATCTTTATACATGTATCTTTCCAGTAGCTCAGAATAGAATCTTAAGGCAAGATGAAATTGCTGAGTTAAAAGGAATGGATATTTTTATGGCAAACATTAGCACATTGCTTTCTAGCAAGGTCGTGCCAGTTCATACTCCCGCTAGCAATGTAGGAGCTTACCTATTTTATTATATTTTTACCAGTTCTCACCTATTGCATTTTGGGGAAAAAAGCTTAAAAATTGTTGTAGTTAGCACCTGCTTGTTGGAACAAGTTCAGTGCCACAGTATAGATTTAAAAAATGAAATGAAAATATTGAATGGCATTGCTCTATATTTGTGTTTTTTATTTTATATGTGTATGTACATTTTTTTTTTTTTGTATATTGAGATATTTCTAAAAGTAGAATACACCCTTGAATGGATTTATTTAACCACTCCTCTAGTTGGTGAATATTTAAGATGTTTCCATTTTTCTGTTGTGCTACCATGGAACCCTTCTAGACATACACTTTCTTTTAATGAAAATTTTACACATGAAATATATATGGATTAACATATATATTTATTAGCCTGTTTGATAACATCCAAGTATCCATCACCTAGGTTTGGTATATGTTGAACTTTTGACACATTTGCTTCAGATTTTTTTACTTCTTTAAAAAGAAGGTTTTATGCTATTTTATGATAGTCTCAAAAACAAAAGAAAAAGGTGGTTTTATAGTTATAATTAAGGCCACCTTTGTATCTTTTCCTGGCCCCTTTTTCCTTCCCAGAGGAAGTTGTTATTCTCTGAAGTCGGTGTTGATGTTTTCCATCCTTGTTTCTAGATGCTTACGCACATGTATGTAGTCATAAAATGTAATATGGTCTTATGGGCATTGAAGTGTAAACAAGTGCTATCTGGCTCAGTTCACATCTGTAATCCTGGCACTTTGGGAAGCTGAGACAGGAGGATCATTTGAGACCATGAGTTCCATACCAGTCTGGGCAACATAGTGAGACCCCATCTCTACACAAAAACTAAAGAATTAGACAGGCATGGTGGCACACACCTGTAGTCCTAGCTACTTGGGAGGCTGAGATGGGAGGATGGCTTGAGCTCAGGAGTTTGAGGTTACAGTGAGCTATGATCATCACTGCACTCCAGCCTGGGCAATAAAACAAGACCCTGTCTCTTAACAATAAAAAAAGTGGTGTCATATACTGTATCTTTATTTCAAAGTTTAAATAAATGGTGCAGTGAAATTCACTTAATAGCTAAATAATCACAGATCAAAACAATGAACAGATTTTTTAGAAGTTTGGTGAGATTTCCATGAGAGATAAGGTTTATATATTTTGATTTTCTTTTTAGATTACATCGTCAGCCCAAACATCTCCTTGCATTTTTGTTGGCTGAATTGGGTACAAGGTAAGAAACTGTATACATTTACATACAGTACTGCTGGACATTTCATAAGAACCTTTCTTGAAAAGGATATGTAACACACTTAGAGAAAATGTTCACCTGATTATTAGAGAAACTTTTAGGCCAGTGGAGGAGTGAAATCACTTCATTTCTGTGGGAGAGCTTGGCTGCTTAGGAATAGGGCACAGAGTTGACATCTGAACAGGCCTGCTGGTGTACCAACCAGAGGACCACAGAACTGCCATGTTTAGACTTTCCTGTTACTAACTGAAACTCTTGAGTCTTTTTATGGAGCAAATATTAGATTTTTAGAGGAATTGGTTTTCTTAAAGTCAGACTTTTTTTTCCTAAATTGGTAACAGGCTGTTGAAGAAATACAGCTAGTAAGTTGATGAGTGGCACTGGAGAAACCATTGAAACCAGGATCTGTGATGAAATAGGTACTTACCTGTCTTCAGGGCTCACCTTTTGAAGGCACTGAGCAAGTCATTCCCATTCAGGAAGGCCAAGATCTCATGGACCCCATGCCAATGAGTTTGACTACTATCTGGAAGCCTAATGTCCCTTTAAAAATAAGTAATGTAGAGTAGGTCATGATAATGATGACTAATGCATATTGAGCACCTCTTTTGTGCCAAGTGCTTTTTTGGGTGCCATCTCAATTAATCTTCACAATAGTTCTATGAAGTAGAAAGTAATATTCCTATCTTCACGTTCGGAAACAGGTTCAGTAAAGTGAAGTTGTAGTTGGTCACATAGCTAGTTAGTGGCACAGTCAAGATAGATACAATCAGGTCTATCTGTCCCTGCAGCTTGATCACCTAACAGGCTTGACACCTGTGCGTCACTGGCAGTACAGAGATAATTAAGGTGTTCTCTTCCTACTCTCTTTAAACTGTTGGGATTTGCTACACTTGGTGTGGGGTTAAGGGGTAATTTACTTGACCGTGGTGGATACGTAGGCTCTGTTGTAGAAGAATTGTGGGTTTTGTTGTTTTGTTTTGTTTTTTTGAGATGGAGTCTCGCTCTGTCACCCAGGCTGGAGTGCAGTGGCACAGTCTCGGCTCACTGCAAGCCTGCTTCCCGGGTTCATGCCATTCTCCTGCCTCAGCCTCCTGAGTAGCTGGGACTACAGGCGCCCGCCACCACGCCCAGCTAATTTTTTGTATTTTTAGTAGACGAGGTTTCACCGTGTTAGCCAGGATGGTCTCGATTTCCTGACCTTGTGATCCGCCTGCCTTGGTCTCCCAAAGTGCTGGGATTACAGGCGTGAGCCACCGCACCCAGCATGTTTTAAATATAAATTTGTTACCATCGTTATTTGTAACTTGCACAAACTAATGAGGGAGCAAAAGCTAGCATTGTTTTTTCTATTGTTAGAATAATCTAGAGGTTTTGTTAGAGGTGGGATAAACTATTATAACAAGTTGTGGCCAGTAAACTTATGGTCAATGGGTTAAATGGGTTTTCGAGAAAATTCCATTTATTTTGACAGTGAATGAAAAAGAATTTCTACATCAAGCATTGCAATCACTGTAGCCTGGAGATTAAGGGTTACAATCTGTGGAGGAGGAAATTTAACCCTGCTTGACTGAATTTTGTTGTTTCACTTTATGATTTATAATTTTGAATGAATGATAATATCTAGCCTAGAGCTTTGCTTTCTCAAAAGTGCCTGTCAACAGTTTCCTATCAGTTTATCATTAAGTACCATTGACAGTTTGTGGCTTGTGATTCAACTATCCTTTTTTTTTCTTCAAACAGCTTTATTGAGATAACAGCTTACAAATTTAAAGTGTATAATCCAGGAGAGTCCCACTCGGACGTCCGTCTCTCTCGCAAGACAGAGCTATTCTTTCTCTTTTGCCTATTAAACCTCCACCCTTGGACCCCCCCCCCCCAAAAAAATAAATATATATAAATAATATATACAATCCAATGGGGTTTTTTTTTTTTTTTGAGATGGAGTTGTGCTCTGTCGCCCAGGCTGGAGTGCAGTGGCGTGGATCTTGGCTCACTGCAACCTCTGCCTCCCAGGTTCAAGCAATTCTCCTGTCTCAGCCTCCCCAGTAGCTGGGACTATAGGCGCCCACCACCACGCCTGGCTAATTTTTTTGTATTTGTAGTAGAGACGGGGTTCCACCATATTGGTCAGGCTGGTCTCGAACACCTGACCTCAGGTGATCAACTCGCCTCAGCCTCCCAAAGTGCTGGGATTACAGGCGTGAGCCACCACACCTGGCCCCAATGGTTTTTAGTATGATCACATATTAAACTTAATATGTATAACTGCTACCACAATCAATTTTAGTATATTTTTATCAACTATACTTCTAACCATGCCTGAATCAAAATATTTGGTGCTTAGAATTTTAAAAAACAAACGTAGCCCCTTTCCTGTTTTTATATTTCTAGGTCTCTCCTTTGCCTTGCTTTGTACATGGTATGATGCAGTAAAAGATTTTTTCCTTTGTTGGATGGACTGTCACATACAATGAAGGAATCAGTTTGTTTTAGACTTAAAATCAATTATAAATCTGATTGTTATCACTGGAGATTTAATTGGATTTGATGTTAGTATGGGTACATCATTAGACGCAAACTATTTAATTAAAAATAAATTTTGAGGCTGGGTGTGGTGGCCTACACCTGTAATCCCAGCAGTTTGGGAGGCCATAGTGGGAGGATCACTTGAGTCCAGTAGTTTGAGACCAGCCTGGGCAACATAGGGAGACCCCTCCATCTCTACCAAAAAAAAAAAATTAGCAGGGCACAGTGGGGAGTGCCTGTAGTCCTAGCTACTTGCTAGGCTTAGGTGGGAGGATTGCTTGAGCCTGGGAGATTGAAGGTGCAGTGAGCCATGATCACGCCACTGCACTCCAGTCTGGGCGACAGAGTGTGAGACCCTGTCTCATAAATAAATAAATTTTGGGAAACCAAGTAGTATAGCACCAGTCCTAGAGTTTATCCTATGCTACTGAATATATTTTAAGTTCATTAAGTTTAAAGGTGCTGGAATTTGGTTCCTTTAGGAAAAAACAATAATAATGGAGATATTTTTGTTTTCTTTCATAGTGGTTCTATAGATGGTAATAACCAACTTGTAATCAAAGGAAGATTCCAACAGAAACAGATAGAAAATGTCTTGAGAAGATATATCAGTAAGTGTATAATTCATTTCATTAGATCACCCTGAAATGTTCTCATGAGGCTGCAGTGTTAGAGGAAGAGCCATTTGATTGCAGTGAGCTGGGAAAAGCTGGCCTTAAAAAGATCAGAGACAAAATGATAGTGAAAGGGAGGTGGCTCTTGCCTACTAACTAGGGGTATAGATAGAAAAGGATTTGGATTTTTAAAGAAAGCCCAGCTGATTGAAGCTGCTGGTTGATTGTAGGGCTGAAGGCCAAGTCAGAGAAACTTGCCTGTGATTCAGGCCTGGCCTTGGCCCCCTTTTGTTCCTAGTTATTTAAAATTGGCATGTCTGTCAACATGTTTGAGTGGCTCTCCTCTAGACAGAAACGAGAATAAGCAAGCTGGCAGGCTTCCTTGCATCCTGGGGCATTGAGTATCAGCCCATGTTTAGTGCCGGAAGCGCCACAGCAGACAGCTTGTGTTTTCTTACCCCTCGAATAGCTGCGCTTCCCTGGTCTGGGTGCCCAGCTAAATTCTCAGCCTGGGCTTGTGGAGTTCTTTGTAGATGTATTTAAGAAGGCAGAAACTTCTCTACCTCACTGCAGCCACCAGGTAATTCTGTGTGTTGCTTTATTTGCAGAGGAATATGTCACTTGTCACACATGCCGATCACCGGACACAATCCTGCAGAAGGACACACGACTCTATTTCCTACAGTGCGAAACTTGTCATTCTAGATGTTCTGTTGCCAGTATCAAAACCGGCTTCCAGGCTGTCACGGGCAAGCGAGCACAGCTCCGTGCCAAAGCTAACTAATTTGCTAATCACTGATTTTGCAAAGCTTGTTGTGGAGATGTGGCTGGACAGGTTTGCCATCAGAGTGGATATACCGTTGTATTAAAAACAAGATAAAAAAGCTGCCAAGATTTTTGGCGAGTGGTTGGTCTGAAGTCCTTGCAAGACGCTGATGCTCAAGCTGTTGACATACTCATTGCCTACTTTAACACCTGTCAGAGAAACGTGATATGGGGTAAGGAGGTGCTTTTTTAAAATCGTTCATAGACTTCTGTAAAATGCAAGATAAATTAAAGTTATTATAACAGTGATTCTTTCAATTTGGTTTGTCCTTCAGTTTTCTTTTCTATAAATGTGCTTGGTGAAATCAGCAAGAAACCAACCATATAAAACAGTGTGTGCCGGGCTCTGACTGAGAAACTGAACAATGGCAGGCGCTTCATCTGGGCAGCCATTTTTCTTCTCTGCTTCTCTTGAGATACATAGTTAAAGTAGACACGGCCTCCCACGCGAGTGTGGTGGGACCTTGAGACTTAGGAGGATTGCCTGTTTTCAGTGTCCAGGGAATGACTCCATAGATTTGAATTCTTTTCCGTATGTGGGGATGGTTGCTACTACCTCACCGCCAAGTCCTCCCCCAGCTGTTACCACATGAGGGAATACAAGGTGCTAGGTACCCTCCTTCCTCGTTGGCCACTAAGAGGTCTTAGAAACATAGCCTGTAAATGTGTCTTGTAACTGGCACACTAAAAAAGATCCTAGTTGAGCATCTCTCTTGGTGAGGAAGCGATGTGTGTGCGGTTCAGGAAACTCCTCCAAGAGGAGGAGGAGTCCAAACAGGGATGCCAGAGGAAGCTTTCCGTTTTCCTAGCCAACTTGTGTTCTGGGTTTGAAAAAGACCCACCACAAATGCTTTTTCTATTTTCTGATTTAAAAGTCGCTTTTGAATATGACCATGAGAAACCAAGAAATGCTGCTTGTGTGGTGCTCTGCTTCCTGAGGATTTGGCTGGAAGGGGATTCTCCGCTGGCACATGGGAGAAGGCCATCTTCTGTGTCGGTGCTGTGATCTGCCTTGTTCTCACTTGCTGAGGATAAGGGCATACACGCTGCTCCTCGCTTTCTTGTTGCCCGACTTCGTACTAAGCAGCTCAGGAGCAGTCACTCAGACCCAAATGTCTTGACTGTGTTGTTTTTAATCACTGTGACCCTTAAAGTACAGGCCAAGTGTTGTCAAACACCTTGGCTAAAACAGTGGAGGGTGATGGGTAAAGCAGTAGAGGGCCCTCAACCCACACACTGGCTGAAACTGCCACCAACTGCCACGATGAACCCAACTGCTGTTTATGCCCCCATTTTCCTTTTTTTGTATCTACACCCACACGATTCCCAATGTTGGATATTTCTACATGAATAAAGCAAGGATCAGTGCCTCTTATGTAATTAACGCTCCATTGCTTTTGTGTATGTATGTGTGTTTGGGTTATTCTTTACTTAGCGGGACCCTTTAGGAGAAGGAATGATACTCTTCAGTTTGGTGACAGGTTGACAAATAGACTGGTGATTTCAACCCGTTTTTAACTTCATTCTTGAAGCAGATTCTCAGGACTGATGCAGCCCCTGTAAGAGTCCAGTTGAGATAACTGACTAAATTGGATTGAAAACCCATGAAAAATAATGGGTTGCCCTATGTTACTCAGACACAGTAGCATCAACCTCTTCTGTCTCTACTGTCTCTCACCAAACACAGCTCAGCTGAAGGAACCTTGCAATGTGGTGACAAAGCAAAGGCAATCAAGAGCCCCTTTCTAGTTTTGGAAGGGAACCAGATCATCATTTCCAAAGTGTCTTAGGAAACAACGTTGAGGACCCTTCCTAATTATGAAAAGGAAAAGGAGGGGGGTTCCATGGTAAAGAAAAGTCAGAGTAGGCTGGGCGTGGTGGGGAGGCCGAGGTGGGCGGATCACAAGGTCAGCAGTTCACGACCAGCCTGGCCAACATGGTGAAACCCTGTCTCTACTAAAAAAAAAAAAAAAAAAATTAGTTGGGCATGGTGGCTGGCGCCTATAATCTCAGCTACTTGGGAGGCTGAGGCGGGAGAATTGCTTGAACCCAGGAGGCGGAGGTTGCAGTGAGGCGAGACCCTGCCACTGCACTCCAGCCTGGGCAACAGAACAAGTCTGTCTCAAAGAAAAAAAAAGTCAAGAGTAAGTAAGTGGGTTTCATAACTGCCTGACAAGTCTTTAATATGGTGATGTGCATTTTCTTTTGTTTTTTGAGATGGAGTCTCACTTTGTCACCCAGGCTGGAGTGCAGTGGCAAGATCTCGGGTCACTGCAACCTCCGCCTCCTGGGTTCAAGTGATTCTCCTGCCTCAGCCTCCCGAATAGCCAAGATTACAGGCACCCGCCACCTTACCAGCTAATTTTTTGTGTTTTTTAATGGAGACGGGGTTTCACCATGTTGGCCGGGCTGGTCTCAAACTCCTGACCTCAAGCAATCTGCCCGCCTTGGCTTCTCAAAGTGCTGGGATTACAGGCGTGAGCCACCGTGCCTGGCCAGTGCTGTGCATTTTCATCAGCATATAGAAGACATGCAGTTGCAGCTCTACTTTTTAGAAAACCTTGATTCCATGCCCCTCACTCCCACCTACAGGAAAGTTTGAAAAGCTTTTCCCGAGGTGTCTACCTGGCTCACTCCCACACTTCCTTGGGTCCCTGCCCACTATAAAGATGGTTTCTCCAGCACACCATAATGTTAAGTGTTGAGGGCAGACACTTTTGTTCACTCATGTATCCCCAATACTGACAGCAGGCAATGCCTAGAAAGTTGTAGGTGATACGTATTTGAATGTGTTTCTTTAAAGGGAGTATAAAATATGCAGAATTTTGCACACCTCTCCCCCCACCTGACAAACATAGGATAGGTTCTGCAGAAAAAGTGCTGGGCCAGACAGTCTGGAAGAAGTGCTGCTGTGGTATGTGAGGTCCCAGCTCCGCACCTGGGCTCCCCTTCCGGATCTTTGCCCTGACAATACTGAGGCTTCGCAATTGAACAGAACGTTAAATTTTGCAATGTGTTCTTAGAAGCTGGGCTTTGTAGCAGGTGAGGTGGTCTTTTTTAATTGGGAAGATGAGATTATAATTTAAAATGTTAAATTCCCATAATCCTACCACCATATAACTTTTTAGTATCCAGACCATTTTTCCAAGTTATTACAGGCTTCATAATTTTAAAAGACTACTTAAGAGTCCATCCACATTATGCCATAGTTTGTTAAGTCAGTACCCTAATGGCAAGTGCTTGCTCATTCTTGATAATGCTGAGCATGGTCTTTGAACAGTCCACATTGGCAGTCCCCAAATGCCACTGATTATTATCCTGTATTCTCAGCTGTAAAGTGGGAAAATGTCCACTTTAAAGAGGTAATGGTAAGATAGTATGTTTAACCCAGGCCTGCCTGGCACATAGAACTATTTTCCTTTTATTGGGCTGGAATTTCAGGATCAGAATTTCCTGAGCTCAGGAATTCAAGACCAGCCTGGGCAACATGGTGAAACCCCATCTGTACCAAAAATACAAAAAAATTAGGCAGGTATGGTGGCACATGCCTGTTGTCTCAGCTACTCAGGAGGCTGGGGTGGGAGGACTGCTTGAGCCTGGGAGACAGAGGTTGCAGTGAGCCGAGAGATTGTGCCACTGCATTCCAACCTGGGTGAGACCCTGATCTCAAAATACATTTTATGTGTGTGTGTGTGTGTGTGTGTGTATGTAATAATATAATAGATGGTAAGATCTGTGATGGAAGTAGCACGTGAGAGGGCAGTTCTAATTCAGGCCAAGAAAGTGTCTTTGAGCAGGCAACTTCTGAGCTGTTATAAAGGATAACAAGGGTTAGCCAGTGGGGGAAGACAGCATTTGAGGTAGAGATAACAGCATGTGTAAAGGCACAAGCCAGACAGCACAGGTCTTTCCACAATTTATTCCACGTGGCTTGAGACATGGAGGAGGCAGATTACGGGAGGGGAGGTGTTGAGAAGGGGTCAGTCATATCTTGGACATCTTAGGATGTCATGCTAAGGGGTGTGGATCTTACCCAATGGGATGGTGATAAAACGGATAGCCGAGTAGGAAGAGCAGCAGGGAGCCTAGTTAGAGGTTACTGCAAAAGTCCAATTAAGACACAGAAAGGACCTAAGATAACCAGGGAAAAATTAACACAGAGGGAAAAATTAATGGAGCAGTGGAGGAGGTTGACACGGGCAAGTGGGGGCTGGACAGGTCCTTGTGGACATCGAAGTACAGTTATTAGATGGGCATCTGTACCTACTCCCCTGGTGTTCTTGGGAGGAAAATGAGTTAGAGGTGAAGATTATGGAGCCATGAGTGGAGTCTGAAGCCACGGATGAAGTCATCCAGGGAGCAAGTACATAGAAAAGAGGGTAGACAGATGCAGGCATATGGGTAAGAGTCAGCAAGAGACGGAGTCTTGCTCTGTCGCCCAGGCTGGAGTGCAGTGGCGCGATCTTGGCTCACTGCAAGCTCCACCTCCCAGCTTCACACCATTCTCCTGCCTCAGCCTCCCAAGTAGCTGGGACTACAAGCGCCCGCCACCACACCCGGCTAATTTTTTTGTATTTTTAGTAGAGACGGGGTTTCGCCGTGTTAGCCAGGATGGTCTCGGTCTCCTGACCTCGTGATCTGCCCGCCTTGGCCTCCCAAAGTGTTGGGATTACAGGCGTGAGCCACCGCGCCCAGCAACAAAACCTATACTCTTAACCTAGCCCCCTGAGAAGCACAGCAAGCTACTGAACCTCTGTGGGCCTGTGTCCTGGTTATCTACTGATACAACAAATCACTCCAAAAGTTAGCATCTTCAAACAACGTTTTATTATCTCTCATGGTGCTGGGCTTTGAATGGCATCAGTGAGGCAGTTCTTACTTTGTTCTCAGACGGTGGCTGGGCTGGAGTCATCTTGAAGCCTTCCTCTCTCATGTCTGACATTTGATACTGCTGTCAGCTGAACATGTACACGTGGCCTCTCTGTGTGGCCTGGGCTGCTTCACAGCATGGTGGTTGGGTCCCAAGAGCTAGAGTCCCAAGAGATAATAAGTGGAAGCTGCTAGTGCTTCAGTCTGGGACTGGGAGACTGGCAGAGCACCACCACCATCATATGCTATTGATCGGTCACAGAGTTTAGATAAAGGCGAGGATAGGATAGAGATGCCACCTTTACTTGGGGCCATGCTTTTAAACCTCATCTACAAAATCTATAGAATAGACATAACCACACAGTGGATGCCTGTTTTTGTTAGCCAAGCCTTGCTCTCCTTTTGGGGATTCTCCCCTCTGTCCCTCTATTCTCACAGGCCCTATGGCCATGCTCTACCACTTCTTGGAACCTGCCCGAAAACCAGATTTTTTCCCCTTGAGTTGGGGTCTCGCTTTGTCACCCAGGCTGGAGTGCAGCGGCAGGATCATGGCTCACCGCAGCATTAACCTCCTAGGTGCAAATGATCTCCCACTGTAGTCCCCCAAGTAGCGGGGACTACAGGCACGTGTCACCATGCCTGGCTAACCGGATTCTCGATGGCAGCTTTTGAACCCAAGTCCCCATGTCTGAAGATCCCTGGACTTTACAATTTGTGAGCCAATAAACTTCCTCCCACTAAGCAGGACTGAATTCAGTTTCTGTAACTTGTAACCAGAAGTCCTTACTACACCTACTGAGGGTGGTTGTGGAGATTAAGTAAATGTAAAATGTGCTTTTTAACAGCAGGTGTTCAGGAAATGGTTTACTGTTATGGAGGAAGTTTATTATGAAGAATCTGGCTACTGGTGGAGGGATTTTGATTTGCCTAAAACCTCAATCAATCAATGATCTGGTTGGGATGAAAACCAAGGATGCCTGGCTCAGAATCTTTTGCTCTGCTTTGCCTTCTCTATTTCTGTGGTCTTGTCAGACAGGCCTACTGCATATAACATCCTATGGGGCAGGTTATGACCTTACGGGTCAACCTGGCCAGGGATGGCAAATACCTGACGCTCACGTGCCCACACTTGAATTCCATGCTCATAAGAGAAACTGCCAAACTATCATGTCAGTATTTCCAAACAGTCTGAAAATTGCTGCAGATCCTCAAAAGGCACTCCAGGCAGCTGCTACTAAAAGTTCTGAGTTGGCAAGTGAAATGAGTCCTGAGGTAGATTTTTTAAATATGGCCATATTTTGAAGCTCCTCCTGTTAAGAAGAATTTGGGCTTAGCCATGTGACTTACTTTGGCCAAAAGATACGTCATAGCAATATCCTCAAGAGCACTCGCATACTGGGCTTGTCTTCTCTTGCGGTTTTTGGAACTCAGCCATGATGTCTAGAATCCTGGGTCAGCCTGCTAGATGCTGGAACGTGTGGCCCAGTTGCCCAGCCAACCACCTGACAGGCGGGCGAGGCCATCTGAGACCAGCCAGTCCCCAGCTGATCTGCCAGCTCACTTCAGCCACACGAGGGCCCAGATGAGATAAGAACCACCACACTGAACACAGCCCAAACTGCCAAGCCACTCACTCAGGAGCTAATAAATGTTTATTAAGGCTACTAAATTTGGGGGTGGTTTGTTATACAACAGTCAGTAACTGAACAAAGGCCCATTTACTATCCCTGATCCAGATCAACCTCTCATTTTACAGCTGAGGAAACTGAGACCTGGTAAGGAAAAAGACTTGCCCAGGGTCATCAACCTGGCTGGCAGCAACAGGGGGAAAGTCCCAGGCCTCTTAGCTCACAATCCAGTATACCCACTGGCTGCTCTATTCTTTCAAGATGGCTGTGAGGATCACAAATGAGGCTTTCAATCTGAAAACATCTAAAGACTGATCCTTTAGGCAGAATCCGGTACCACATTTATCACCATCTCCTTCTGGAGTTTTCAGATGTTAGAAAAATGACAACTGTTGCGCAGCGGAATGGATGTTTTTGCTGCCCCGACTCAGAGGAAGGGCATGTGTATGCACTGTTAGAAGCCAACCTCCCACCCAAGGGCCTGGCTGTGTGCTTTCCCAGGGGCTGGAGCATCCAGGGGCTTTTCTGGAGTTCCAGGATGGGACTCTCGTTCTCCCTGTCCAGCATATGACCCGGTGCCAGCATGACCAGGCAAAGCCTTATGGGCCAAGGTGAGTAGAGCTGATGCCTGCTACCCTTGAAGGTATCTTCCCTGCTTTTCTCACGGTTCTCCAAGCCTGGCATACTAAGGAAGCCTATGGTCACAAGCCCATGATCAACCTGACCCTCAAGCTCTGAAACGTTGAGTTCCTCAGTAAAGCATGCTTGGGTAGGACCTGCAGCAGGCATATAGCACTAGGCTCTGGGGGCAGTGCCTAGTGCTATTGTGCCCTCAGTGTGAGGTTCATTCAGCTCTAAATCCCATTCTTTGGACTTTGCCCAAGTTCCAATCCAGGCTAGCAGCTGTCCCCCATGTTTCACAGATGGGGACACCAAGAGCTAAGGGCAGTAATGACTTGCCAGGGTATTGAAATGGGTCTGTTATAGCTGGCTCTCGCCTTCTGGGCAAGGAAAGATGTGGGTACATGGATGGGTGAAGTATGTTCCACTGAGAGCTCTTCAGGGAGATGAGGCACTCCTTGCAGACCTAGCCCCTTCCTCTGTACACCCTCTTCAGCTCTCCAAATAGAAGCCTTTTGATTTGACTAAGCTGGGCCAAGGCCCAGCCCAATTCCAAGGGGCCTGTTTCTCACCCCATGCCTGCATCTCATGGCCTCAGGGCCTCAGCCTCCACCATGGGCTCTTGACAAATCTCTACTCTCTCCCTGCTGCCCAGGGTCCATGGCAAGCAAATATATGGGGACCGTGATCCCCCTGGGGCAGCTAATACTCAGGCAATGGCCAAGCATGGATTGGGGCTTTTGGCTCAGGTATGAAGCCAGAACTCTGGCCACCTTGGGGCTGGCCTAGTCAGGCCCCAGCAGAGCTTGGGAATATCAAAGCACAGAGCTACACTGGGGCCTCAGAGTGCTCGCCTGCCCAGGATGACAGGCAGGAGGGCTGCTCAGTGAGAGAGACTTCCCGGTGGAGTTTGAGCACTGCCCAAAGCCTCCACCCTCTACCAAAACATGGAGCCAAAGCCCAGGAGGAAGCTTCCCTGGAGGCTGTAGACCGGGTTGGTTTGAAATGGGGAGTTTTCAATAAGGATTCCAGCAGATCTGCAAACTTTGATCAACACGTAAAGATGGAGGGAAAACCTAAAGCCCTTTTTGATGATGGGATTGAATTTTTCTGTGTTGGGGGAAGGCTTCCAGAGGAGAGAACAGGCAATTAAAGAGCAGTCGGAGGGTCTGGGAGACTTCTCAGAGGTGGCGACACCACAGCAGCAGCTTCGTCCTGAGCGGCTATTTCCCAGGTAGAGAAAGTAGGAGCAGGAGGAGTACGTGCCAGGCCTGGAACAAAGCCTATTTCTGGGTGCTGCCCTCCCACAGCTCCATACCAACGAGACCAGCCTAAGTGGCCACATATGAATCCCGCAGTTCACTGGACCAGGGTAGGTACTTGTAACCTATGAGTGATTAGGAAAAAAAATTACAGTGGCAGTCGATTCTCTCTTGGGAACTTGAACATGGGGAAAATGGATCCATTCATTGTGGGGAATGAAGGGGGAAGTAGGTGACATTAGCAGTACACAATGAGCATGTATAAGCAGCACACGTTTGAAGGAACCCGGCTGATTGTTAGAGAACAAATGTCTAGACGGGTGGCCCAAGACAGGGGCAGACAGGCTGCGTGTCTCCGGATGCAAACTTCCTACTGATTGCTGTCACTGGAGTACGCTCTATTCCTTGCTACCAAACCTGCCCGGAGTGTGAAGAACTTGTGTGTTTTGTGAGACTGAGATGTAGGGTTTGTGTCAGGGGCAGGAAAGGGGTGGTGACAAGAAACAGGAGAGGCTGGAGTAAGCAGGATCTTACACCCTACATTCAGGAGGTAGGGTTTTGTCCTGATGATGAAGAGTCAGTAAAGGGATTTTAGGCAGGGAAGGGATACGTTTCAGAAAGACTGCGTGGCTGCTGGGAGATGGTACAGGGCAGAGGCAGAAGACTGGGAGGCTGGTGGGAGGACAACGTCCAAATGAAAAAATTATAGTGTCCTAAGCCAGAAGAGAGAAGGTAGAGACTGGCAGACTCTAGAATCCTTTTAAGAGCTGGGAAAGACCAGACTTAGAAGCTGGGGAAAGAGATAAGGTCTTGACCTACTATGGGGTAAACCAAGTGGGTCACAACTGCTTGACACTTCAGCCAGCAAGATGCTCATGGGCCAGCATATCCAACCCTCCCCAGTGGCCCCACTGGCCATTTTAATCACCACTGAGGACACTAAGGTCCAGATGGATCAGTATTAGGCACCCTAGACCAGCTTTTTGGTTGGCAGAGGGGCCGGGATATCTTCATGAGAAAACACAAACCATCCCATCTCAGAACAGGTTGGGATCCAATCTCTTTATTGTCAGGGTCCCCTCCCTGTGGCCCCCCGCCAAACCTATAGAAAAAACCCAAGCCTGGGAGTGTCCTGGGGAGGGGAGGTAGTATGGGGAAACCCCTGTGCTCTACCCTCTGGCCTGGGCAGTGCAGACAGGGAGGGCTCATGGGGAAGGAGTAGGCCAGTAACTCCACCTGCAGAGGACATGGCACTGGCTGGGATGCGTTGGGGGAGGAGGCGCCTGCTGCCAGCTTTCCTCTGGTACCCGCTGGGGGGTGGCATCCAGGGTTGGGTGCCCGGCTTGAGGCCTGGGGCAGCGATGCCCTTCACCTGCTGGTGGCCATTGCTCCTGTCAGGCTGAGAAAGAGAGAGAGAGAAAGAAGAGACTAAGGCTGAGAGGAAGAGACCCTGTTGCTGATAAAAGGGGTAGGGAAGAAAGGGTGGAATGATGTCTGGAGACAGAGAGATTCTTGCACTCTGGCTGTGGCCTCATAATTTCCTGGCCATGTAACCTTGGGCAAGTCTCACCCGCTCTCTGAACCTCCATTTCCTCACCTGAGCCCATATAACTCACCTGTGAACTATTTTAACAAGCTTTGGAAAGCACCAGGCACAAAGGGGTGTAGCAGGATGGCTGGATATGGAGGTTTGTTTGCATCCCAGGCAAAACAAACCAAGAAGTTCCAAAAGAAGACTGCATATGTACAATTTTCTAAAGCTCTTCTGGAAGCCTTTGCTGGTGGGATATCTTACTACAGCATAAATGTGTCATCTATCCAGACACCTCCCTGGAAACACTAGTGTTTGAGACCTTCCTCCACCCAAGCCACCCCAAGGGAATGGGTCAGAGAGTAGTAGGCACAGCCAGGTGTGGCCTGGCTTTCCTTTAAGGTAGGGCAGAGTAGATGGTAAACAGTGGCCAGAGAGTGGGCTTTGAAGCCACACACCACTGGGCTGAAATCCAGGCTCCACCAACTACTACCTTATCTCCCTGCACCCTTTAGTGTCTGTTTCCACATCTATTATATTGGTACAATCATCAGCTTGTGGGATTGAAGATGAACTCAGAGAAAGCAGGTGCAGCTCCTGTCACACAGGGCATTTCCTCCCCATGAAAGAATCAAATCCCAGCCCCTAAGCCTGACACATACGGCCCTTCACAATCATCACCCTCTGACAATAAGCAGAGTCCTCTACCAACTAGGGGGGCACTGCAGCCACAGGAGGCTCTTGGCCTCACCACATACCAAGGACTGTCACAGCTCTGTATGGCTAAGGCCATTCCCCTGGTGTGGAACATTGCTCCCTCAATCACTAGCAGGCTCAGCTACACATCATCTCTTCCATGACCTGGCCTCGCTCTATTGTTATCCTGCTCACACTAGGTGGTAATGGCTTATGTCTTCCTCTACCAGACTAGGAGCTCCTCAAGGGCAGAGACAGGCAACATGGCTGAGTGTGCTGAGGGAAGGAACCCTTGCTAGGTGGGCCCGCCTGGCCCATCTACGGCACCTGCTTCCTCAGCATGGCAAGCCCCAAGCATGAAGGGGTGTGACGGGATGGCTAGATATGGAGGGGACTTCATTCTTGGGTATAGTCAGTGCTACTTGGCCAGGTATGCTTCGTGACACTTCCTGCCCAATCCAGGGAAAAGGCACAACCTCCACTTCACTGATTCCCCACCCTCTGCCCATCAGGACAGGACCCCTGTACCTGCTTACTGCAAGGCCCCATCATCCGCGTCTGTGTCCTGGCTGTGTTCCTGATAGGGAGGAGGTAAGAGAGACCACACATCACTCATTGCCAGCTCTGAGTCCTGCCCTGAGCCATTTGTCCAGAAAAACTTCATGGTCCAGAGGGCATCTAGAGGACACAGTCAGAAGACGCAGGAACAGCCAAGGGGAATGACTATGGGACCAGCCAACAAAGCTGGCTTGGGAACTTGGAAGGGTGGTCTGAGGACCCCACACAGGCCAGTGAAGGGTGTTCTGGGAGTGGCAGGAGCCCCATTTCTGTGCAGAGAGCCTGCACTGGAGAAGGCTGAAAGCCTTATAGACTGGTGAGCTCCCCATCTCTGGGGGCATCCAAGTCTTTGTTAGGGCCTTTATGGACACTGCTATGCCTGAGAAAATAAGATGAAGGATCAGGCTACGCTCAAAGGAGAGATGAGCTAGCATAAGGCAGACCTCCTAACCGTCATGGCCATGAGCCCATCTGTTCTCACGATAGAACCCAGCAGTGCTGAAAAGGAGAAAGCTGCAGATCCAGCAAGTCAGTCTGGACTCCAACCCTGGCTCAGTCCCTACGAGCTGATGCCCTGAGCATGCCACTCAGCCTTTCTGAGCCTCGATTTCCTCACAGGGTAAAATGTGGGAACAGAATACTCTGCATAGTACAGGGCTCTTGTTAAGGTTATGTGAAGTTAGAGAGTATGATCTGGGTCTTGGTGCTCAATGAGCGCTCATTAAGTAAATGAGCAGCAAGTGTACAACCCATATCCCACAGACTCAGAGTTTGGTCCACCCTCCCACTCAACATAAGCTCCTTGTCAAATGGCCTGCCGGCCTCAGCCTGAATAGTTCTAGTAACAGGCGGGGAGCTCACCCCCTTATGAGACAGCTTTTGCTTCATGCTTAAGCAGCAATGGCTTTTAGAAAAACCCACCTCCTGGCTGTGGCCTCCACAAGCCACCCCAGCCCTGCTCTGAAGCTCTGCAGGCCGTGTGTGCTCCCTTATGTCCGAATCTCCCATTCTCCAACTCATGTGGAAACCGGAGGCCAGAATGTGCCCGCATTTGGGGGAGGTCTGCCCTAGGCCTCAGTGGGACTTCTGATGGTGTCTGAGATAGGCAAGTGCCCCCTGCTCATTCTTCCCTCTTTCCCCCAGGACCAGAACCCCTGGGAAGGAGAGAACAGGAAGTTCACAGTGGGGGCAACCAGCTCAGGCTGCCCATTCCCCTGTTGGCCTCCTGAGAGTAGGAGCACAGTCGAGTCCCAGTCGTGCCCCTGGCCAGGCCCTCACCAGCTCTTCCTCGCTGTGTGTCAGGAGCCCTTCCTCATCGCCGTCGTCTCGGGTCCGTGCTTCCCCCTGGGGCAGGCCTGCCTCAGAAGTTGTGTTCTCTTGGGGGGCTGGTGGCCGGCTGCTGCCACCGCCACCGCCACCACCACTGCCACCGCCACCGCTGCCACCACCACCGCCGCCGCCGCCGGCGCCACCTCCATCACCCTTCTTCTTGCCATCTTGAGGGGAAGGGGTGGAGGAGGGGAGAATAAAACTCAGCCTGGGGTAGCTGTCTAGGGCAGCACCTTAGCGGAAGCTGGCCTCAGCATGGTGAGTGCAGGTGGTCCAGGATCTGCAGGGCCACCCTAGCTCCTCTCTCCCATGTACTATTTCCCCATGCTCTGCCCTGTGCCCTGGTCATGGAGGTGGGTGAGAATCCTCAGAGGCTGACCTGGATTGGCCTTTTGCTCCGCAGCGATCTGCTCCAAGCGGCTCAGCAGGGCATCGATATTGGACTTGATCTGTGTCAGCTCCGTCTTGATGGCCTGCAGCTCACTGCTCTTTACTGGGAGTGGAGGGGGGACAGGGCTGTCACCTAGGGGGCTGGAGGCTTGACACTAGCACAAAACCTCAGCCCTGTTCTTTCAACCAGGAAAGCAGTTATTTTTTGTTTTGTTTTGTTTTTTCCCTGCTTAGGAAAAAGGTCTCCTCCTTAGACTACCTGGCGTCCATCCCTACAGTGACAGCACACACTTCTGAACCTGGCTATCTTTTCTCCTGATCTCTCAACTCTGAAAGGGACCAAAGACAGACAGGAGCACAGGTGTGTATGTGTGGTGTGCTCTTCTGTGTGCACCTGAGCAAGAACATGTGTCTTTTGGAATCTGAATTCCTGGGTGATTAGTTAAGCAGCATGTGTGTACCAGAGTGAATGTGGAGTAATGGGCCTGGGTAGACCTGTCCTTATCCTTACTAGAGGAAAGATGGCACCATTTCTTCACTGGGCACCATATCCAGCACTGGACTCTCTGTGCCCAACACAACCCCTCCTCCTAAAACATCAGCTGTTTCCTCTTAGAAATGCATGAAAATACTTGGCTGTGTTAGAGCAGCAGAACTGTGGAAGACTTGTTGTTTTATCTATGTTCCAATGTAAAAAATGTGATTCTATTATTTTGCTAATGATAAAAATGCAAATTACTTAGGAATATGATACAGTCACTCACACTTGATCTTGGCTGAGCTGGTGGTGACAGCTGTGGAGCGGGCAAAGAGCTTGACAGGTACGTTAGTTTTGACACGCCGGACCAAAGGGACTGTGACCCGGGGTCGCTTCACAGGGACCGCCCTGGGCACTGGCACGGGCGACAGACGGCCCCGGTAGTCGAAGAGCCTGTGAGGGCAGATGGGCCAGAGGCTGCAGCATGGCTTGTGGCCACCAGGGCGGTATTGCAGCTCCGGCTACAAACGTGTGTGGCTGGTGAGGGGCTGGGAGGCCTGCACTACACACCTCTGCTGGCTCCTAGCAAGCCCTGGAGTGAAGAGGAAGGGCTTGCCGGACCCTGATGGCTGTTGGGATCCTCACTACCTCACTACAACCTCTCCAACCATCCAGGCCCAGTAAGGGCAGGCAAGGCATCAGGTGGTAGCAGTTATACCCCATTCAAAAGAGGAGACATCCCTAGGTCCCCTGGCACCCAGGCCTGCTCTATTACATGACCTGGCTTCTGCTTGGTCAACTGCCACCCCAACCTCTGCTCAGAGTTTGCAAATCTCAAAGCAGCACAAATCCCCAGCTAGGAATAGAGAGGTATGGGAGTGGGGGTCAACTGAGCCTACCTGAGCCTCAGTTTCCCCATATGCCAAATGAGGATGGCTATCCACATTCAGTGTCCACCCAAGGGCACAGCATGAAAGAATTCGGTTAAAAACACACTTTAGAACGTGTAATAGATGAAAGGTCAGGGTACTGAGACCCTCAATTCACGAACCCATGACCTCAGAGGCATAAGACTGAACTCTAAGCCCTTTCCTTACTTGACCTCCTTAATCACCACATCCTTCGTGCTCCATTCCAGAGACAAAGGCCAGGGGCTTGGTAGAGTATCAAGGTTGGGCAGCTCAATCAGACCCCCCCAGGGCTCCCAGGCTGTGCACTGCCCCCAACCAAAGTCATCTCCAAGCCCTCTCTAGGAGGGCTTCCTTTCCAGCTGACCAGGCAGAAACTCAGTAGGCTGAGAAGTGGTCTCTCTGACATCTGTTGCTGCCACCTTTTTCAGGGAATCGCAGCCCAGGGGGTAAACTTTGGGTCAATTTTCCTGACAACGGCCAGGAAACCTGCCATCACTGGGCAAAAGCCCCATTCCTTGGGGCTCCTTTGTTCAGGGAGCCCCTTCCTGGAGGTGGTGATGGCTGCAGATGGAGAGTCTCTGGGAATGGATCCGATCCCAGACCCTGCATTTCTGCCCCCAAGGGGAGGGAACGGCTCTGGCCTTGGTCAGAATCACTGAACCACAGAATCCCAGAGCTGGAGGAGCCTGGAGAGATCACTTGGTGCAAGCCCATTTCACAAACTGGGAAGGGAATTTGCCCAAGATCACATAATCCATTCAGTGGCAGAGCTGAGATTAGCATCTAAATCTTCTGACCCCCAGGCTAAGACACTTTCCACTACACCACACTGTCTCCTGAAACGACTCACAGGGGCGGGGTGGGGATGGGGGCGGACGACTCATGCTCAGAGAGGCACTGTTCTTCTTGGGCTGCCTGGGGTGGGCTAAGCTGGACAGAGGGAGAGAAGCAGGGAGGAGGAGAGATTTGAGTTAGTATCTACCATGATTTCTACTCAAGAATGTGGCTAGTGCTGTTGTAGTGGGAGCCCACAGCCTCTGGGCTGGAGTCTGGGTAGGGCTTGGGAGTGCAGGGTAGACCACAGCCCGCCAGGGACTAATTAGACTTCCAAATGGCTGCTGGCCTCTTGTCTCTAAATATAAACCCAAGAAGCTTAGACTGAGCTCTGGGGCTCCTACCAGCTGCTTGGGCACCTCACAGAGGGAAGGGCTCAAACTCCCTGCAACCAGCGCTGTACCCTGTTGTGTATTCCAACTAGCCACACTTACATAGCTCTTGGCTGTACGGTCTCCTTGAGCCTCACCCAAGGACAAGAAGGAAAAAGGGCAGTTAGCATGGCAGACAGTGTTGTATGGTGGTAGGAGCTCTGGCCTGAGCACCTGCAGCACAGGACCCCAGTCTCAGCTCTGCTACCGACTGGTGGAGCAACCCCAGGCAAACCTCTGGGTTTTGGTTCTCATTTGGAGAACTCAGTGGGCTGCACCAACAATCTCTCAAGACCCTTCCAGCTTGGCTGTTTCATGCCTGGGCACGCCCCTCCCCTGCTCACCTGTCGTAGAAGTCGTCCCGGTAGTAATCATAGTCAAAGATGTAGCCACTGGGGAAACAAAGGGGAGAGGGCTGGAGCTTAGGGACGGCCACTCAGCCCACTTTCCACAGGCCCTCATCTCCAGACACCTCCCCAAGTTCTAGATTCAGCACACTGTCACACCAGCATTTACTCCCTCTGTGGAAAGAGAGAGTCATCCCACCAGACAGACAGACAGTCAGACAGCCCCACCTGTATATGGCAGATGCTGCTCTCTTTAGCCCCTTGGGTCTGTCAGGCTTAGGCTCTCCAGCCATGTTGATGTCTGTGTGGAGGGAGAAGGCAGAGTTGGAATGCTAACATGACAGTGTGCCCACACACATCAACCTCATGCACACGCACAGCAATTCATGTGCTTACACGGTATACACATGGATTCTGCTCACTGATGGTGCCAACAAAGGTCTTCATACATCTAATCTTCAAACATTAGATTCATATCCAGGTATCACATGGATATGCCTGTTTATATGTCCATACACTTTCAGATCCATCCAGGCATGCTCATAAACATGTCCTCCCCCCCGCCCCACCACACACACACGTCGAATATTCCTATATGCATTCTCAAATACACTCATGTAAATGCGTAACACATCAGGTACATGGGAACGCATACACAGAGCCACACTCACACATACATTCACATATCCAGGTAAGAAACTCACACACAGGTAACGTGTATTCTCAAGTACACTCAGTATAGACAACTACCCACATGCAAATGAGCCAATGCACATTCACATGGATGTTCTACCAAACACCTTCATGCCTAGAATAGTCCTTACTACATGAAAAGGTCTCAATAAATACCTGGTAAATGAATATATGTATATCTGCTGACACATTCAAATATGTTCTCTCTCTCACACACACACACACACACACACACACACACTACATCTATACATACAAGGGTTGTGTCCACATATCTCCACATGTTCAGTCAATCCATATACTTCTTGTTCAGGAAAAAACACATACAGATACCCCTTTTCAAACATACACATATACACAGGAGTAAATGCACATGCATGAACACTGTACATACTTCAAGAGAGACCACTAGCATAGTCATATCACATGGACATGACACCAAAACCAAGCGTATTCACACTGTCCTTGTGCTCTCAGGCCCTCCTGCTCGCTCTCAGAAAGGGTTCTAACCTAAGTCATCTGTACCCGGTGTAACAGGCTGTTCTAGGCCACTCTGTTCTCTTTCTCTGGAGAATCTGCATTTTAACTGGAACTGTAAAGCCTGTCACTAAGAAGCTCTGAGAAAGCAGAGACAGGTCAGAAGTGTTTTCCAGAGGCTTCTAAAATTCTTCCCTATAGGGATTAATTTTATAACTATTTAAAACTTAAACATAGCTTATAAATTTATAAAATCTCAGAGCAGTGGTAGCGGTGAGAGAAAGAGAGAAGGGGGTTGAGAACTGGATAGTGATAGCAGCTATTCTAGAGAATACTAGGAGAATATAGTGAAGAGAGGCTTACCCAGGGTCTGCCCGGCCAGCACCCGCCCATTCTCTCCCAGCACAGCTGCCCGGGCATGGCGCTCATTGGAGTACTGAACAAAGGCATAGCCCTTGTGCACAGAACAGCCGGCCACACGGCCAT
Organism: Homo sapiens; assembly: GCF_000001405.40. Taxonomy (NCBI): domain Eukaryota; kingdom Metazoa; phylum Chordata; class Mammalia; order Primates; family Hominidae; genus Homo; species Homo sapiens. Next base: position 34,072,207 of record NC_000020.11, on the reverse strand, counting down.
ACTTAGAGAAGATGGTCTCCACATCTGATTTCTTCACCAGAGCTGTGTTGAGGTTTCCAATGAAGACTCGAGAGTTGATGGACTTGGGGTCATTCTTGTTGGTTACATTGCTTGCCTGAAGCTTCAAGGACATGGTGCCCACCTGAAGAAAAAGAGCCTCGGTGAAGCTGGGTCCCTGGGCTGGGCTCAAGGACTGCCCACGGCCCATATCCTGGATAAATGAATTGCCTCTTACCTTCCTTAACCCTTATAGCATCCAGCCTACCTGTTCCTGCATCTTGTTTTCTTGTCATATTACCAAGAGTTGCCACATATTGGCTGCTGACCTCATGCCAGGTGCTTTACATACATTCCCTCATTTGTTACTCACATGATATGCAGAACCACAACATTTTACAAGGGAGAAATCTCACATTCAGAGAGACCACAATGTTAGTGAATGGCAGGGCTGGGATCTGACCCCCTGATCTGCTTGACTCTAATTCTTTTGAGTCTACTCCTTTAATGCTCATCTCAAATGTTATCCCATTCAGGATCTAAATTTGAAGATCTTCAATGTAGAACCATGGTCACATGGTATTTGCAAGTGATGTTTACTCTAGACCACCACCATATGATGAAAATTGCAGGGGCCGGGCATGGTGGCTCACAACTGTAATCCCAGCACTTTGGAGGCCGAGACGGGTGCATCACCTAAGGTCAGGAGTTCGAAACCAGCCTGGCCAACATGGCGAAACCCCGTCTCTACTAAAAATACAAAAAATTAGCCAGGCGTGGTGGCGGGTACCTGTAATCCCAGCTACTCGGGAGGCTGAGGCAGGAAAATTGCTTGAACCCAGGAGGTGGAGGTTGCAGTAAGCCACTGCACTCCAGCCTGGGCGACAGAGCCAGACTCTGTCTAAAAAAAAAAAAGAAAAGAAAAGAAAACTGCTTAGTCTGATCCAGACACAGACCTGTCTGAATTGCTACCAACCATTTTGAAAAGGGTATGCTAGCTAAGCCCGATAATGGTTTGAATTTGTGTCCCCGCCCAAATCTCATGTCTAATTGTAATCCCCAGTGCTGGAGGTGGGGCCTGGTGGGAGGTGACTGGATCATGGTGACTGAAATCATGCATTTCCCCCTTGGTGCTGCTCTCATGATAGTGAGTGACTGCTCGTGAGATCTGGTGTTTAGACGTGTGTAGCACCTCCCACTGTCTCTTTTCCTCCTGCCCTGGCCATATGAAGACGTGTCTACTTCCCCGTCGCCTTCCACTATGATTGTAAATTTCCTGAGGCCTCCCAAGAAGCAGAAGCCTGTACGGCCTGCAGAACTGTGAACCAATTAAACTTTTCATTATAAATTACCCAGTCTCAGGTATTTCTTTATAACAGTGCAAGAATGGACTAACACAAAGCCTCACCAGGCACTCGCTGTGGCTAAGGGTGGTATACAATACTGAATAATCCCAAGATCCCACAAGTTAATGTCATGATTACTCATATTTTACCAGAAACTGATTGACAAGTTCATTAACTTACTAGTAATGAGCATTCGAACACAGGTCAGTCTGTCACTAAAGTCTATTTCTTTCAACTTTATCATTTTGCTTCCCAGAGCTAAAGCCAATTTAGATACCACAGAAAGTCAGCACATTCACCTGAGAATTATTTTTAATAAATTTATTTTTTAGTTACCCATATTAATACTAACTCGTTCAAATTTTGTTCTGTTTGGCTTAGAGATGAGACTGCACCTACCCTTTGCTCTCTATATTCTGGCCAGGTCTTTTACCCCAAAGGGCTGTACAAATTTTTCCCGTACAGTTTACGGCTGGGCATAGGCTCCAAGAGGAAAGGGGAAAGGAGAGAAGCTCAATTTCAGTAGGAAAAGCCTCAAGTTAAGCCTTGGCAGTTCCCGGCCCAGTCTTCTGCTCATTGGTACAGGTTGATGCCACTCCCTTTTGGAACCCTCCTATCTCAGTAACCTAACCTTAAGGCCATTTCAGGTGATAAAAGACTCCAAATAGCATATATAAAAACTTTCATCAGTCTGCCAACCTATTTACCTAATATTTTGGGGGGACTTCTTTTCAGTGAACTGGAAAAGATACATCTGTATCTCTTATCCCACTAGGGGATAAGAGACTCTTTTTCTCTTAAATCCTCCCAGCCTGGAAGCTGGCACGTTCTGACCAGCAGGTGGTACTGTTTACAAGGGAATCATAGGCTGGACGTGAGCCCAACTTGGGAAGAAACTGCTCCCAGGGTTAGGCTTAAAGTGAACCCAATGGATATACTAGAGTCAGCAGTGCATTATCTCAGATAAAGGAAAGGGGCTGAGAGGGTCCCATCACTGCTACTGATGAAGGGGCTGGTGCCAGCTTTGGAACTGACTTGGAAAGAGACAGACTCTTGTTACTCAGTTTGCCTTTGGTTCCACTCATCTACACTTATCAGGCAGTGAGGGACACAAAGGTAGTAACACACTGTGCATACGAGGCAGGAAATGCTCAATACATGTTTTTCCCATGGGCTTGCCATTCCTCACAGTTCTCGCTGACAGTCCCTCTCCTACATGGATGACAAGCCATTCAAGGGTTAATTCCTTGTCTATCCACGGGTATACAAGAAGTTAATAGGGCCCCTGTGTGGGCATCAGATGATTCTCTCCTAGGTGGTTCAGCTCAAAGTGCTATAGTTTTGGCCTAGGGAGAAGCCACCTGCTTTGGCTAGAGGGAGTCAACCAAGCCTGGGGTGTGGATAGAGATACAAAGAGTGACCTCTACTGGGAGCCACAAGCACCACTGAGCAGGAAGCATTTGCTGAACAGCTGTTCGTGGTATTGTGACGAGATCAGGACTCACCTTGACTGGTGAGCCAAGTTTTTAAGGTTTGGCCCTGCCAGTCTTTTCTCTCATTCCTTGGGGTTTGGAATGATGTACATAAAAGGACTTTGCAAACCCTAAAGCCCTTCACAAGATCTTGTAATTACACTGGCTTGCACCTCTTTATTCCAATACTGCCATCTGCGAACCCCATTCTAGATGAGGGTAAAGGTCACAGTGGAACACATTCTGTATAATGCCAAGGAGGGGCAGCCAGAAGCCATGGCATATGAAGATCAGTTTTCTGATCTGTAGAGGAGAGACTTGGGAAGTGTATGTATGTGGTTGCAAATGCTGCTCTGGGTGAGAAATCTGCAGTTAAAAGGAGAAATGCTCACCTATGGCATGCGCTAGGTACCCAACCTCTTGAGCTCCTCGTCTAAACAGCCCCCTATCCACTTTCATGCCCTGTACACTCCTTTGGAAAGTGGGATGTGCTACAGTTGTGTGGACTCCCTCAGCCCAAGGAGACAGGTATCTGTGGGGGTGTGCAAAGGCTTGAGTGACCACACACATGTTGATGAGGCTCCTCTAAGTGAGGGATAGAGGTGGGAAAGGGAATGAAAAGGAGGTAGAGCCAGGCTAGGTCTCCCTGAACTGCCAGGTTCAAGTACAGAATCCTAATGAGTCCAAGAATTCTAAATTAAGACATGGTATTCCAGGTTGTTGGGAACATCACAATTTATTAGCTTCATTCAGAACCTTCAAATGTTTAAACATATGGTACATGGGTCTCTATTTGTACTCTTATTACTCTGCCCTGCAAATGTTATAGGGCAGGCCTGACAAAACTCGGGGCACAGTAAGTGTTCAATCAATGTTAGGGAGGGAGTGGTTAAACATATGTCCCAGGAGGTGGTCAGAAGGTCTAGCTGTGGGCTGCCTTAAGTGGTTAGGACCACTAGGGCAGAGGTCCCAGATACCATTTTCTAATCTTTCAACCAAACACCCACTTCCACAGACCAACTCAATCCCTCCCACCCAATTCTTCCTATGCTTTTCAAGGTACCCCCTAGCTTAGAGTGGCAGCCCTAGAAAATATTGACATCCATTCAGCAGGAGCTACTTCACTTGGTAAGCTATTTCCTGCCCTGGGCCAAGCTCTGCCTCACAGATTAGCTGTGTAATTGAGAGCAAGGTGTCTGCAGCCCCCAGGGGTCCTAGGTTTAGCAATGAGCTGAGGAGAGGTGGGTAGAAGGATTGTTCTTGGTGGCTGGGGGAAAGGAGAGAAGCAAATTTATTCCTAGAGACTTCTGCAATGTCAGATGAGCAGAGACCTGTGTGCACATGGAGCTTATAAATGCTCTTACTCGGAAGAACAGAAGAGAAGTTTTACCCACAGTAAAAACTTGGCCAGGATGCTACAGCTAGTGAGTAGCAGAGACAAGATTACCCCATGGGTCTTCTGACGCTAAGTCTAGGGTCCTTATATTCCATTTTTCATTTGGGGCTGGTAAGAGACAGGCCCCCAGGACACTGAGGAGCTGGGAGAGAGCACAGTGTCTCAAAAAAAAAAAAAAAAGAAAAAAGAAAAAAGCTACGTTTGAGAAAACTGGGGACTGGCTCCCCAATAAGTGCCTTCACCTTTACCTGCAGGAGAAACAATTGCTGCATAAAAGCTGGGCCTTTTAAGCTAATTAAAATCCACTAGTGAAACAGGCTTTGAAATGCAATTTACGGCTCAAAGGGATGGGCCTGCTTCTCCAGGCTAGTAAGAGTAGAAGAAATGTGGCAAAAACAAATTCAACAAAAAACAAGCCTGAACATGGAGAAAAGTGGCAGGGGTTTGCAAAGGTAGAAAAGCCCTAAAAGGTACCTCTGATCTTTGGGTAAATGAGACACCCAGAGAGCCGTCACAGTAACAACAGCCACTGGCTGGGCACAGTGGCTCACGCCCATAATCCCAGCACTTTGGGAGGCCAAGGCAGGTGGATCACTTGAGGTTAGGAGTTCAGGACCAGCCTAGCTAACATGGTGAAACCCCGTCTCTACTTTAAAAAAAAAAAAATTAGCCGGGCATGGTGGCAGATGTCTGTAATCCCAGCTACTTGGGAGGCTGAGGCAGGAGAACTGTTTGATCACCGCCACTGCACTCCAGCCTAGGCGACAGAGCGAGACTTTCCGTCAAAAAAAGAAAAAAAGAAAAGGACGGCCACTAATTACTGAATGCTGCACAGTATTACAGTATTTAACCCTCACAACAGCCCTGTGAGGAGGTGTTTGACATAGGGAAACTGAGATAGGTTCAGAGAAGCAAGGTAACTGGTTAATAGAGCAAAGCCAGAACTGGAATCAGGACCTCAAAAACAGGCACCTGCAGGGGCAAGATTGCACATGGCACAGGGATGCCTTGGGTTCTGACTTCCCTGGCAAGATTATGTTACCTTGAGTCAGCCACACACGCTCTCCTTGGTCCTCACCCTTTCCCTTTTCTACTACAATTCCTCACAGTTGTACAGAATTTTAGTGAACAAAGCCAGTTTATATCTCTTATGGTATGAATGTGCCTCCTCCACCAAATCTGTGTGTTGAAACCTAATCCCTAATGTGATGGTATTAGGAAGTGGGGCTTTGGGAGTGATGAGGTCCCAAAGGGAAGGGAAAGACCTCAAGAATGAGTTTAATACCTTTAAAAAAAAAAAGAGCCCCAGGCCAGGAAGTGGCTCACGCAAGTAATCCCAGCACTTTGGGAAGCCAAGATGGGAGGATCCTTTGAGGCCTGGAGTTGGAGACCAGCCTAGGCTACATCATGAGACCCCATCTCTACAAAATAAACAAATAAGAGGCCCAGAGAGCTACTTTGTGTCTTCTATCATGTGCGAACACAGTGAAAAGATGGTTGTCCATGAAACTGTAAGAGGGCTCTCACCAGACATCTGTTGCCCAGGCTGGAGTACAATGGCACGATCTTGGCTCACTGCAACCTCCGCTTCCCGGGTTCAAGCAATTCTTCTGCCTCAGCCTCCTGAGTAGCTGGTACTACAGGTGCCCGCCACCACAGCCAGCTAATTTTTGTATTTTTAGTAGAGACGGGGTTTCACCATGCTAGTCAGGCTGGTCTCGAACTCCTGATCCACCCTCCTTTGCTTCCCAAACTGCTGGGATTACAGGCATAAGCCACTGCACCCATCCCGCCCCATTTTATAAATGAAAAAAAAAAAAAAAAAAAGAGGATCAGCAAAGATAAGTGACTTACTTAAGGTCAACCAGCTGGTGAGGGGAGTGTAGCTAGGGGTCCTGAATCAAGGCTTCTTACTCGACACTCTCCATTCCACTGTCTCAATGGCTGTCTTAACACTCTAAAACTCTGCCATGTCACCCCTCATGTGCTCCAAATCCTATCAGATCAAGTCTAGTCTCAGGCACTCAGAGAACTCTGTAAATCCTCCCCAGCACTAAATCTCTTCCTCCTGAAATACTCATTTCAAGGGAGGAGCTGCTGCTTTAGGTCTTGATGCCCCCAATGCTATTTATAGTCTCTGTCTTGGTTCAGTCCTGCTGGACCCCTCTGGCCTTATTCTCCTGCATGGGGATGAGGGTCACAGCAGCCTGTGGCCAGCTCTCTGCCCTTAGATAACCCTGGGGACATCCGGGTGGTTCAGAAGGAAAACAGCTACTAGTGATGGGAAGACTATTTCTGGAGAAAGTCAAGCAATTAGACTCATCAGTGTCCAGGGCCTCCTTGGTCCAGAGGCTCCTGCTTTTACCAGGCGGCCAGGGATGACAGAACATCTATTAATCTCATTAAACTGGCCAAGCCCTGGTTCATTAGCAGTGCCCAAATGATTGTTACTGGCCAGACAGGACTAATTTCCCAAGGAATGCTCTTTAGTTCCTGACCATTCCCACTCTCATGAGTCAGCTCCCTGCATGTCAAACAGCAAAAGCTCCTGGATGGGTGAAGTGTAAGCAGTGCAGGCTACAGGTCCAGAAGGCTTGGCCTTGGCTCTGCTGTTCTTAGTCATGTGACCTGCAACAAGTCATTTAACTTCCCTAGGCCTTCTTGTCTTTAATCCGAAAACAGAAATAATCTCTTCCCTGATTACCTTTCAGGTCTGATACAAGAATCAAATAGGCTAATTGATGTGAAAGCGCTCTGTTGCATCTGTAATGTACTATCAAAGAATATGGATTATGCCAATTTCTATTATTACCCACTTCCTATCTCCTTCACTCACTTAACAAACATTTCTTGAGTGTCCTCCTCTGTGCTGGCACTGTGGAGATGCTGGGAAACACCGTGCTCACCAGTCTTCTGCTCTACTTGCTTTTCAAGAAGCCCCCTCTCTGGGAACCTGTTTTTTAAAAACGATTTCTTAGTAACAAAGGACAAATGCACATGAAATAGCAAAAATAGCTCAGGCCCTAGAGTCCGACAGGACTGAGTTCCAATCCGAGACCTATCACTTGAAACTGTAACTGTGGCCATATCCTTTCACTTGCTGGGCCTCAGAGTCCTCAACTGCAAAACGGAAATTATACCAACCTCCCAGAATTAGGATAAGAACTGGAGATAATATGAGTAAAGTGCTAGTATAATGGGTGGGACTAGCAGGTATTAAGAAACTGGATAACCCAAATGCTCTATGAAAACAGATGAACCTAGCCTGGCACTCTAGCTCCTCCACATCCCAGCCCTAAGATGGTATGTTCTTTACTATGTCATCTCCCTGTGCATCACACTTTGCCTGAGAGTAAGGGAGTTGGGGGTAGGGAGTAGGGAGCCTATGCATGCTCTCCCTTGTCCTAGTATCTGCAACCAAACCTAGAAACTTCACAAAGGTGTCCCTGCCCCATTCCTGTCAAACCACTACTGAATGGGGCTGGGAGAGGACGGAACCACCAGCCAAGAGGGGTTCCAGCTTTGCTGAGTCATTCTCACCCCTCAACTGTACTGCGCGGTCCTATACTACTGACATTGGTATCCATATCTAATGGGCCCTGAGAGGATACCCCAAAGCAGAAACAGAAGGCAGGCCTCAGTTATCTCCCCATAGCATGCTCTGGGTATATAATCCCACCCTCCCTGCATCTTGAACACTAACTCTACTCTTGTCTGTGGCCTTAGGCTGAGGCTTACCATCTGCGACAAGCTCCCCTTCATAGTTCCAGGAAGGGGACAAGTTAAGGAGGGATGGGTAGGTAACTTATGCCTATAATCCCCGATACTGAGTTAGAATTGAAGACCTACAAATGATTGTCAACCTCTTTATTTTTTGCCAAATAAGTCATCCAAACACAGACTTATCCATCTGATTGTAATTATAAATATCCAAACACGGAGCTAATTATGGGCCAGGTATTATCAAATAACTAACTAACCAATCATTTATTTATTTATTTATCCAGCGGTTGGTCTGGGACCTCAAGCAAATCCCAATCCAGCAGGCGACATCTACCATGGCCACAAGGCACACGTGCCCTGAGATGGTCTACTCCCCAAGCAAAGTAGTCTGAGAGATCAGAGAAGGGGTAGGAGCAGCACGGAAGGCTCTACCAAAAGGGAGAGTGTTTAAGAGGAATTCCCATTGGGTAGTGACACCAGAAGAGGCCTGGCAGGAGGGAGGAACAATATACAAAATGTATCCCTTTCTCCTCTTTGATCCCCTTATTCTCCTCTTCCTCCTGTACATAGAGCTGGAAATAGAAGTTTGAAATACAAGAATGTCTTCACTGCTGTCTCCTGCTTCCCTGGATAGATGCATACTTATTCTTGCCTTGAGGGAGAACAAAAAGGGAACATACAATTTAATATGTAGAACTTTATACCAGGCACTGAGTTGAAAGCTTTACAGGCATAATCTCTTGTAATCCTGATCACAATCTAATGAGATATGTAGTATCATCTGCACTCTACAGATACAACTGAGACTCAGAAACAGCTTAATTTGTCTACAGTCACATTAAGTTGCATGCTTTGGACCGAAAGACCCAAGGGCTTGTCTGATTCTAAAGCCTGTGTTATTCCCATTCCACTAGATTGCTCCCACTGAGCCCCCATCCACAGGAAGAATGGTCTTGGCTTTGCTGACATGCCATATGACCTAGGTTTTAAACCATGTGACCACAAAAGGTACTCCAGGCCCAAACATGTGATCATGATAACCATCATCAATACTTGTGGAGTACTTACATCCCAGGAACTGCACTAAGCCTTCTGCTATGAGATAGTGATGATACATGTTGTGACCATTTCACATACGATGAAACCAAAGCTTGGTGTCTGGTCTTGCTCAAGCCAGGAAATGACAGAGGTAGGATGAATATGTGCGAGACCAGAGCTGGTCTCATAATCTTGGCCCAGAATGGCTTCAAAACTGGGCATGCCCTGTATCTGCCTGGAGGTCAGTTTCTTCCTCTACCTCCTAACACTGATCCTTTGAGCATAAACTCACAGGGCCTAGCTGAAGGCATACTCTCAAGTCCAAGAGCCAATCAGCACTTGCTGTGAGCTTTGGGGATGGCCCCCGCCCCATTCCTATGCCTTAAGAGTTGGCTCCTCACACTGATAATGTGGCAAGATTAGTCACTGCTTGCTGTTGGTTGATTATAGCTATTCTGTTCTGTAAATGAAGTTTAAAAGTCATCAAAGGGTTTGTCAGCTGTGACTTATGAGCCTCTTTCCCACAGGGAAGTCAGGCAGTGACAAATGCCCCTCTTGTTTTGCCATCCATTACAAGTTGGAAGGTGCCATGTTCCAATTACTGGAAACCCCGATGGAGCTCAAGGAAAACCCTGCTCCAGGCTATGGCCATTACTCAGGCCTGGCAGGGCTGCCATAGGCCCAGGCCCAACTGGGTAGGAATGGAATAAGAGTGTTCTTCTGATTTTGTGAGCAGGCCCCTTCTACCCCTTAATTTGTGTTATCCCTGGTGGTTTATCCTAGTCACATTTCACAGACAAATAAAAACATAGGTATCATGTGGGCTGTCTGAAAGTATGCAGGATCAAGACTGCTTATGACAGGCAGACATAAGGAAATAAGGTCATGCTGTCCTATGAACTAGGTAGAAAATATGATGTTGAGGAAGGGTGGGGAAGGCAGAGAATAAAGTATGTAGGATGTTCAGAGAAAGTAGAGAGTAAAAGGAGCCTTACAGATCCTCTAGAGTAACCAATGGCCTCAGTACTGAATACTCATTATATGCCAGGCCTATCTAGCTAGGTGCTGTGGAACCAGAGATGAATAAAGTCCCTGGTTCCTAGGATATGCCAGGCCTATCTAGCTAGGTGCTGTGGAACCAGAGATGAATAAAGTCCCTGGTTCCTAGGATATGCTGCATGATCTAGGGAATAAAAACCTAGGTCATGTGGCATATCCTTGAGGGTAAATAAGAAAAATTAAGTCTCAGAGAAAGGGACTTGCCCAAGGTAACAAAGTAAGTTAGGGTCAGTGATAGAAAAAGAAAGCAGATCTTTACCATTAGTGATACAGAGAAAGTACAGTGACAAGGGAGCCCTCATGTGGAACAGGCTCCTTACACAGAACATGCCACATAACTCCCATTCAAATTCTACCTACTTGCTTACTTACCACACCTTTGACCTCTGGCAAGTCCTATAACCTATCCAAAGTTTCAGAAAACTTACTACAGAATTGTGGAGAAGATTAAATAATACACATACAGTGCATAGCAGTAGGCCAATCTTAAGTACTCAAAATATTATTTACCATCAAATAATCCCCAAAACAGTACTCTGAGGCAGGTATTATTAATCTCATAATCAAAAGACTTAGGTTATTTTTCACACTGTCACACTAACTAAATAAGTCAGTACTTCTCAAAACTATTTGTGGTGAAGAACCAGTTTTTTTCTTTTGTTTTGCTTTTTAAACTTCACTTTGAGTAACACAGCTCTAAGCCACTCTTGCCCAACTGTGAACTTCTATGAAACCAAAGCAAAGAAAACATGAAGTTTACTTCATTTCTTTCCAAGTCCTTCAGCCTGATTGTTTTTAGACATTGGTGTCAGACTAATTTACAAAAAACTATCCAATTTTTTTCCTTTTCTTGTCTCTCTCTTAAGAGAGAAGGGGATAGGGAGACTAAGGACTTGCCACCAAACACTTCTAATGGTGCTTTATCTTGGTCTCTGCTCTACGTCATGCTACATCCTGCAAGGGAAGACAATCTAGGCTTAATGGGGGGCTGGAACCACTTTCCTGAAGCCTGGGGGTATATTCCTGAAGAGTCTGGTATTCCAGACCCTCTCTCCATACTTTGACAAACACCAGGAAACCAGCCAGGAAGGTCAAAGGGAGAAGAAAAGGTTTTCTCATTTTCTGTCTTTTATCATGGCTGTTTACAAACCAGTCTTCTCTCTCCATCTAGGGAGCTGAGAGGAATGGACACCAGATTCATTCCTGAATGCTACTGTACTTACCTAAGACTATGACTGGGCAAATTGAGTAGCTCTTAACCAGTGCTCAAAGGCACAATTAGTGCACCTTCAATCTTCCATGTGCGTCGTCAAATTTTCATCAGTGTACAAAACTGCTTTTTGCTTTGAGCTTATGTAGTGTTTTCTTTCAGCATAACTCAGAGCTGAGTGGGTCATATGACACAGTATACAGAGAGGTAAAGCTTGCTGTGTGTAGGAGTTAAATACATGGCTTGACATCAAGCAGGAGCCAAAGCCTGAATCCTTACTCCTGTGTGACAGGACATGGAATGTCGTCAGGAGATACCTGAAACCAAATGCCTTCACTCTGTTACTGAACTGGCTGACATGACCTTTTGGGAAGTGTCTATCTTACCTGTAAGATGGAAATAGCAATACATATCTCTAGGGTTGTTAGAGGATAAAATAATTCATGTAAGCATTCAGAATAGTGTCCAGCACATCAGAAAGCATGCGAATATATTAGCTCCTGCTGCTACAGGTTAAGTATTCCTTATCCAAATGCTTGGGACAAGAAGCATTTCAGATTATAGATTTTGGAATATCTGCAGATACTTAACTGGCTGAGCATCCCTAATCTGAAATGCTCCAATGAGCGTTTCCTTTGAATGTGATGTTGGCACTCAGAAAGTTTCCAATTTTGGAGAATTTTGGATTTTCAACTTACGGATGCTCAACCTCAATTATTATTGTTGTTGTTGGAACCTGCAATAACTTTTCCATGTGAGTATAAAAGAGAAGGTGGTCAGTTCTAATGGAATATTAACCTAGAGCTGAACTGTGATCAAGGAAAAAAATACTATCACGGTGGATGCGATAAAGTCTCTTCAAGTGTCTCACCAAAACTCTAGTATTTGGAAATGTGCCTTGAACATAAAAGGAAAGACAAGAGTAGGTACTTATTAAGTGCTGAATGAATAAATAAATGAGCATATGGAACAATGCAGCTGCCAGAGCTCATAAGGAATACAACTTGAGAAATTAGGTGGAAGAGGACGCTAAGCAAAGGTTCCCACCAAGGCCTCCTTGTGCTTTGAGGACCCTCTAGAGCAGATTGGGCTCCCCTGCTGGGCAACAGGGCCCCAAGGGCTGATATTTCAAGAAGCCCTCAGTTGCTCACTATTTGGTATCTCTGATGGAACTCCTACATTCTGTGGCTGAGTAAGGGTGCAGAAGGCTGTGCCGTGGTAGTGCATCCTGTTCTCATCTCCCAACCTGTATGACAGGGAGGCTTAACTCCTACCACAACAGGCATAGCTCTAAGTTAAAATAGTAATGGGGGCTTATTAGCTTTGGATTTCTCCTTGCCTGTAGAGCGCTGGGGCCTGAATCCCGTGTCTACTAGCTGTATGACCTGGAAAGGCACTTGACTTTTCTGAGGTTCACAGTTCCCCACCTGTAAAATGGGGATAAAAATCCCTGTAACACAGGTTGTTGTGAGGGTCAAAGGAGATAACATGCTCTGTTACCTGACATGTGCCACGTAAGCATAGACAGGAATACTCCCAGGATGGACAGCTGCTGCAGGTCTTCCTAGACAGAGGCACCCAAGCAGGAAGCCAGCAGGCTGGAAGCAAGGGCTGGATGGTGCACAATTCAGCACTCCAGCCAAGTACTGTGTCCCTCAGGTATCAGGGCAGTTGATTAAAATCCTTTCATGCAGAATCAGTATTTTCCTCATTACAACAATCCTTCTCCTTGAACACACTGAGTGGCACCCCTCACAGCCCCAAAGGCTTGACCCTATAAGACAGCATATGCATCAACATATATCTTAAATTTCCCACATTCAGACAGGGGAAGGAAGGAACGGGTGACCTCTCTCCAGGGTGCTGATCCAAACATAACTTAGGGCTCTAAGCATCATCTCCCACAGTGTCACATGTTTGGTCTACAGGGGACCACTGAGAATGATGCCACAGTTGTAGCCACTCTGCCTTTGTCTCCCTGGTAACAACATTAACTCCACAAACATTACTAAGCATCTGCTTCCTGTGTGATCAATCAAGTGTGCCCCTGCCACCTCCTGTTTAAAATCCTTCAAGGGCTTCCCACCATAAAGAATCAAGTTCAAATCCTTTAATGTGGCTTACAAGACTCTTCATGAGTTAAGGCTACCAAATCTATACACAACAATCCTCTGAGTGGTTATATGTCATTCACTTTATAAATGAGTAAACCCTAGTGGGTTTAAATCCAGGATCAGCACTTACTAGTTGTGTGACCTTGGACATCTCATTAAACTCATTGAGCCAATGTTCTCTATTAGGCAAACCCTAGTGCAGAGAGTAAACCCTAGCGCAGAGAACATGCCTAAGGTCAGAGAGTGAACATGTCAATGTGAAATGGGTTCTTCCGAAGGGATGAGTATCATACTCCAAAGGATAGACTCAAGTTCAAAATCACCTTTTCTTGGATTAGTCATTGAGAAGTATGGGGATAGGGCATTGTATGGTTCAGGTGAACCGTTCCTTTCAGAGAGCAGCTTAGACACTGTCCCTTGTTTGAAGCTGCCACCCTGACCCCTCTCTCACTCCCACAGCAGCAGCATCATTAATAAACTTGGTGTAATGAACAAAATGTTCATTAGCATGTAATACGGTATACATATGCACGCTTATGTCCAAGATGCCCTGCTACCATAAGCTAAGCATCAAACGAAAGCCAACCAATGAACCCCTGCAACTTCACAAAAAACAGCCCTCAAAACGACAGGTATAACACACCCAATGCCTAGTGAACTTCTAAACTCATCAATTCAACTGATCATGACAGAAGCAGCTTTGGTATCTATGGTCTTTCCCCCTTGTCATTGTCTTAGAAAGAATTAACCCTTCCCGGCCCCCTTCCCCTCAAAAAGGAGGCACTACACTAAACAAGCTTCTACACTGCAACTGGTTAAAAGAAAAAAAAAAAGTTTCTCCAAAACTGTAATAGGTGTCTCAGCTGCAGGAGAAAGGGCATGGCTTTGGACAGAGACAGAACAAGGTTTAAATCCAGGATCAGCCACTTACTAGCTGTGTGACCTTGGACATCTCATTAAACTCCATGAACCAATGTTCTCTATTAGGCATATACATTTCCCCCACATACTGTTATTCACCACGCCCTCCTCATTTGGCCTCAATATTTTTAGAATGTAGCCCCCCTCTCTCCATTCTTATTACCATTCTTTAAATAATCCTCTACTGTCACCACAGCAATATTACCATATCATTTCTTTGTTTAAAATGGGTAAGATCAGAGGTTGTTTTTTTTTTTTTTTTTTTGAGACGGAGTCTCGCTCTGTCGCCCAGGCTGGAGTGCAGTGGCGCCATCTCGGCTCACTGTAAGCTCCGCCTCCCAGGTTCATGCCATTCTCCTGCCTCAGCCTCCAGAGTAGCTGGGACTACAGGCGCCCGCCACCATGCCCAGCTAATTTTTTGTATTTTCAGTAGAGACAGGGTTTCACCGTGTTAGCCAGGATGGTCTCGATCTCCTGACCTCGTGATCCGCCCGCCTCAGCCTCCCAAAGTGCTGGGATTACAGGCGTGAGCCACCACACCTGGCTGGTTTATTATTTTAAAATTCTTAACCAATAATTTGGGTAAGAATTTGTGCTATTATATTGAGTATGTTTATTATATGAAATTACCATATGAAATCATCTAACCCCCACCCCTCTATGGGACATAACTGTTAGCATGTTCATGTATTTCCTTCCAGTGTTTTTCTTGCACATTATGTTTGGATTACATGGTTAGATAACTCAACTCTGTAGCCTAATTTTTTCAATTAGCATTATAACACATTTATTATATATATTATAGCATATTTGTCCTTACTGCCGCATAGTTTTCGGTAAGCATCATTTTTTACACTACTGCTTTAAAAGCTCGTGGTTTTCCCTGAGTAGATTTATCATAGTTTAGATTGGTGGTCTTTTAGGCTTTTTCCAATTTCTCACTATTATAAACAATAGCATCTGAGGGAAAGCTTATTGTATAAACTAGACTATTTCCTTAGGACAGACTCCCAGAAGTGGAATGACTGGTCAAATATATGAACATTTTATTGGCTCTGGCAACACATTGCTTAACTGCTTTCCAAAAGAGTTACACCAATTTACACTGTTATCTCCAATGAATGCCACTTTCATGGCAACCTCGCAGCACCATGTATTACCATATTGGGCAGGTGGTGGGGTAGGGAGAGTAGAGGTGAATTAGTAGGGAAAATCAAATCCTCATTACTGTTTTCATGTACATGTGAAGATGTATAGTCTACTGTGTTTACTAGCTTTTGAGTCTACAAAGTTTTGAGTGCCATGAAGTTACTGTAGGTTCCTAGGTAGAGGAATAACATGCTAAAAAGATTTACTCATTTATCAAAAAATCATTTATTGTTCACCTATTACTGCCAGACACTGTATAAAACTACAGAGGTTAATAAAGTACAATCTCCCCCCTGGAAGAATTTATAGTCCAGTCAGTGGTGAAAACCTCAAGAAAACCAGAACCTATGTTTCATCTTGATGAGGTCTATGACAGGAGCAACTAGGAACTTGGAGGCATGTCAATTACCTAAGGGACAGAAAGAAAGGGAGACGACTCAGACAAGAAGAGTCAACAGTAAGTTCCAATCTTGTCCTGAAGGATGAGTTGAAGTTAACCCACACACAGGTAAGAGAGTACATTTAAGAGGAAATAGCATAAGGAAAGTTACAGAAGTTTGACAGAGATCCCACATTTAATGAATAATATGATGTATTGTGGTTTGCCCAGAGTCTAGGATGTAACAAGAAATGATGCCGATGATACTAGAGTGCCTAGCCGAGATCAGATCAGAAAGGGCTTTGTGGACACTGAAGAGTGAGCCATCACCCGTTCTGATGTTGTACGCAGCCCAGTGCTCAGTAAGGAGGCACTTGTAAGTCCCTATAGCTTCTGAGCATCTGAACCACCAATCCAACCCCTGAGCAGAGCATCCCATCTTGTGCCAAACCCTTTTTGTCTCATGTATTAGTCTCCTCTCCTCAAGCAACATAGAGATTTTTGGGCACATTGCTAGACATGTGATGGAAGCACCAATAGTGCCCATGGATCCATTAACTGGAGGTAATATATGCAATAAGACATACTGCTACTTTCTACATTAATAACAGTGACTTTAATGATGTCAAAGATATTAACAAGTTTATTATTTTAACAATCAATATAATAGCAAGGCATTCTTGCCCTGCTAGTTGTGGTATGAGCCGTTGGGCAGTGGGGTCTGATGTGCTGGCTAAGATCCACCTGAGGAGATTGTATTAAAATACTCTGTTTCAGTGTCATCTCTCCTCCCAGACTGACTGTGAATTCCTGGACAGCAGGGACCACAATCTATTTCATCTTGGCATCCCCACTGGCATCAGAACAGGCTCTAGCCCAGAGTGGGTGCTTAGGGAGTATCTGCTGAATTGAACTCCAGCAGAGCCACATACCACAGCCCCCATGCCCCACCCCTGCTTCCTTCCTTATCTATGCTGTTTAAGATACAAAGCGGCAGGCTGCACAGATGCTAAAGCCAGGAAAAGTTGGAGAGAGACAGGAAGGCAGTATCTTTGCAACAGCCCAATCCACCCCAGCATTTAGGAAAGAATGTAATATAAATGATCATTATATTAATTGCTTATTACATGGAAGATACATTGCTAAGTATTTAAATTCTCATCCTTACAACTCTTTGAGGTAAGAATTATATCAAGGTCACAATGGCTCTTTTTGGGGTTGTTTTAGGAAAATGACTCTGGAATCAGACTACCTGGGGTTCAAATCCCAGCTCTGCTATACGTTGGCTGTATGATCCTGGGTAAATGATTTAACCTCTCTGTGCCTGGTTTTCTCATTTGTAAAAATGGGAATAATATTACAGTACTTTCTCCATAAGGCTGTTGTGAGAATTCAATGAGATAATGTTAAGATAATGCAAGTTAAGTGCTCAGGAATTTTCTAAATGAAAATGGTATTACTATTGCCCCCATTTAACAGATAGCTCAAAATATCATACTCAACATTGAGTAAGGTTAAGAGGGAGACCGCTTCATCAATAAAGTACAACTGGAACCAATTTCTTTCTTTCTTTCTTTTTTTTTTTTTTGAGACAGTCTCATTCTGTCACCCAGGCTGGAGTGTGACCTCAGCTCACTGCAACCTCCACCTCCCAGGTTCAAGCGATTCTTGTGCCTCAGCCCCCCAAGTAGCTGGGATGCCAGGCATACACCATCACGCCTGGCTAATTTTTGTATTTTTAGTAGAGACAAAGTTTCACCACATTGGTCAGGCTGGTCTCGAACGCCTGACCTCAAGTGATCCACCTGCCTCAGCCTCCCGAAGTGCTGGGATTACAGGCTTGAGCCACCATGCCCAGCCTGCAACCAATTTCTGATCTGGCAGTGGTGGCTGGGGCCAGGAGTTTTCTGAGTACAAACCCACTGATGTGACGTCCCTGTAGAAAACTCTTCGGGAAAGCTTTTGTATCCCACCCCGTAGGCAGATCCAGCCACTCACTCCTCTGGACCCAGATACTCTCTGCTGACCTCTACTGCAACATCTGCTGCACTTTTGTATTTACACATCTGTCTCCCTCCATTAAATTCTGAACTCCTTGAAGGCAGAGACTATTTTATTAATCTTTGCAATCCCAGCCTCCAGCACTATACTAGCAACCAGTGAAATTTCTGCTAGTGAACAGGTGAAAGAATCCTAGGTGGGCGTTTTTCAGTAAATGGTTTCCCAAGGTACATGATACAACAACTCCTTAACAGTGAACCGTGTAGCTGATGTTTGTGAGATGAGCTCAAATTCCTCATCCATCAGCAGAATAGAAGGAGATGTAAGACACTGATGAGAAAGAAAATAAAGGAGAAGGCAGAGTGAGAAGCTGGGGGTCACTGGCATCATTGTTCAGTATACTACAGGGAGCAAAGGCAACAAAAGCTTGAGTCTGCAGCCCAGAGACTACTGAATCTGGGCTTTCTGTAGTGGGTAGTATGTATAAGGACAGCAGCAAAGGCCAGAAAATGCCATCCTTGTCAGCAATATCAATAGTGACAGAGATTCAGCCCTCCCTCTCTTTATTATCTGGTCACCCTGAGATGAAGCCCAACCACTGGCCCCACCAAGCTATCTTAATGGAAAGAATACTGGGCAAAGAGTTAGGAGACCATAAGTTAATCCCTGAGAATGTACTAAAATTTTCAATTAATAAATATTTCTTGGCTAGGCATGGTGGCTCACGCCTGTAATCCTAATACTTTGGGAGGCCAAAGCAGGAGGACTGCTTGAGCTCAGGAGTTCAAGACCAGTCTGGGCAATATAGTGGGAGCCTGTCTCTAAAAACAATTAAAAATTAGCCGGGCATGGTGGTACATGTTTATAGTCCCAGTTACTTGGGAGGCTGAGGTGGGAGGACTGCTTGAGCCCAGAAGGTTGGACCTGCAGTGAGCCATGACTGTGCCATTGCACTATAGCCTGGGTGACACAGCGAGGCCTTGTCTCAAAAAAAAAAAAAAAAAAAAAAAAAAAAAAAATTATTGAACATCTACTAAATGTTGGCCTTGCACTAGGCACTTGTGAAAAGGGTCTATCACTAATTTGCCGTCAAACCCTGGACAAGTCACCATCTCTTTTCTGAACCTTAACGTCCTCATATGATACATGGAAAAGAACCTCTATGTCACGGGATTGTGTTGTGATCAGATGTGCTTTGAACAATCTACCATATAAACTTGCAAATTTAAAGGTGATATTTTTGGGCTGGATGTGGTGGCTCACACCTGTAATCCCAGCACTTTGGGAGGCCGAGGCAGGCGGATCACCTGAGGTCAGGAGTTCGAGATCAGCCTGGCCAACAGAGTGAAAAAAAAAAAAAGTTTCTTTTTAAACTTGATTTGATCTTAACTAGAGGGCTTAGTAAAATGCAAGGATAGCCCCACTAAATGCCAAAGCCAACTTCCTCTGCCACTGTCTGGATAGAAATCCAGCAGAACATTCCTACCCCCTCAATTTTGTGATGGAGACGGTGACAGAGGAGCAGAAACTTACACATTCTCTTCAAACCCCTCTCAGGATCTTTTTTATATTACTGGTGTCAGAGCTTAGTTCTTAGTAGGAGCTGGACTGTGGGGACTGTGGGCCTACTGGATGAGTCCCCCAGATATAACTCAAATTTCTTACAGCAGGAAGAACAGAGTTCGACTTTGCACGGTAAGGGCACCTTTCCAGTTACTGAGATAATTACTTGACCCCTGGTCCTTCAACTGTTTGGAAACATCTGATGGCCATTAAGCCTGTTGTTTCCTCATTTTCCTGCCTACTGGGATAAACACATCAAAACAGAAAGCTTGATGCTCTAACAATGCTCTCTGATTAGTGGTTTGCAGGATCCTCTGTAATTTTAGGATTTGCTGGCTAGAAAAGGAACAATAGTGGAGTACAAATTATGGTGTGGCCTAGGAAAAAGTTAGGCACCCTGAGATTTAGACTTGGTTCTGCCATGGGCTGTAGACCTTGGTTAGAGACCTTAAGCTTCCCTCATCTTAAAAATTAAAGAACTGGACTGAGTCAGTTACATGAAATCTTCCACGGAAAACCAGGGTTCCTCAAGATGTTAATGAGAGTTCCTCAAAAAAGGGGCTCCAAGGTTAAATAAGAAGAGGAAATTTGGCATATTGCACTCTCAACTCGTTCCCAAGAGACACACACAATAAGGGTCTGCAAAGGCAGCGGTAAAGAAATTTACTTATTAGCATTATTCAATCTGATGTTTCCCAAATTATTAACATCTCTTCTGAGGAAGACACAATTTGAGGAAGACACACTGGGACAGATCTCTAGGGTCCCTGTCAGCTCTAACCTACTGTGATTTGCATCAGGAGTACTTAGCCAGTGCCTGGAGCACCCTGCTTCCCTTCTTATCCAGTTCTCTTAACCTAGTGAGGCATTTAAATGATACTCTGGTTAATGAGAATTTATTATATGTAGTCCATTTTACTGTAGTGAAAGTATCAGGCTGGGCGCAGTGGCTCACGCCTGTAATCCCAGCACTTTGGGAGGCCAAGGCACCTGGATCACGAGGTCAGGAGATGGAGACCATCCTGGCAAACACGGTGAAAACCCGTCTCTACTAAACAACAACAACAACAAAAAAAATTAGCCAGGTGTGGTGGCAGGCGCCTGTAGCCCCAGCTACTGGGGAGGCTGAGGCAGGAGAATGGCATGAACCCAGGGGGCGGAGCTTGCAGTGAGCGGAGATCACGCCACTGCACTCCAGCCTGGGCAACAGAGCGAGACTCTGTCTCAAAAACAAAAAAAAAGTATCAAATTTCAAAGACTCAGAGTGCAATATACTGAAAACGCTATCCTATGAGATAGGATACCTGCAGTTACTAAGCTCCTAACACATGTTCTGTACTGTGCTAGCATTTTCCATTAATTATATCATTAAATCCATACACAACCATAAGGAGTAGACATTGTTATCCTCGTATTACAGAGAAGGAAACTGAGCTCAGAGAGGCCAAGTAACTTGCCAAAGGTCACACAACTAGAAAGTGGCGAGCACCAGATTTCAAACCCAGGAGTACTCATTTTCCAAATCTTGGTTCTGTTTTGGGCTCTGCCACCATGACTATCAGATGGTCCCTAACTCTCTTTAAAGCTTCCTGGGCCTTAGTTTCCTCAACTGTCAAGTGGGAATAGTAATCCTTACACTGCTTCCCTCACAGAGTTGCTCTAAGGTTCAAAAGCAGTAACACGTATGAAAGGGGTCTGTAATATATAAAGATGTGAATATTAGGGGCATTTGAAACATCATGAATAAACGTTGCTATTTCTGTTCATGAATTTTAAGCTGTTTGTTCTTGCAAGGTTCCCAGTCATCCCTTCCCAAATAGTGCTCCTTAAAATTTTCATCAGGATTTTGAATAAACAGGAAATATGTCCATTTCTCTCAGTATTGATTACTCTCTAGGCTGTCTGACAGACTCACACTAAATTGCCAATCTGCTTCTTAGGAGTCAGGAGTGAAAACATCAGAGTGGGTGAGAGCCTGGTGGGAGGCCTGTGAGCTGGGAGTTATCTGAATAGAGATAGCATACTGGCTGTGGGGCTAGACTCCTCACCATCATCTTGGAACATGGCTGGGAAATAGGTCCAAAGGGTCATTTGGACAGCAGATCCCAGCAGCCTCTGTATGAGATCTGTCCAGGAGACTAACCCCATTATATGGGATGGCAAGAGGGGGAGGTGACTGGAAATGAGAAATGGGACCAGGCTGACCAGCTACACTCTCAGATAGAGACTACCCTGACAAGGGCCTAGGCACAGACACAGAAGTAGTTGGGTGCAGGGCTCTCAATTCATCCTTCAACCCTGCCTGATATCACATCCTCATAACCCACATTGCTGTGGCCATCTGCTCCCTCTAGTTTCTGGCAGATTAAGGCCAAAAACAACAGCAAAGCATTTTTGGATCAAGGTCCTGCCTGGGGACAGAGAAGTAAATAATACAAGTCCCTGTTCTTAAGTAAGGCACTAGACCAAGACGGTTTGAGCCTAACTAGAGGCTCTCTTGCATAGCAAAGTCTCTGGCACATGGGTTATATTCAAGAATTGTTTGAACCGAACTGAATCAAAGGAACCTACATTCTGCAAGTTAAGAGCACCTGTTTGGTGTCAGGAGCCCAAGACTTCTAGATTCAATCCTGGTTCTGACATGTACAATTCAGGGACTCTGGACCTCAGTTTGCCCATCTGTAAAGTGCACTTTGTCTACCCCACAAGTTGCTATGAGTAGCCAATGAAGTAGTGGCTCAGTAAATGGCACTCTGTAAATGGCATGAGATGGAACAGCAGGAGCTGATGGGAGCACGGGCGCACATGATCTTAAAAGTTTAGAGTCCAGCCTGAAGAAGACCTGAAATAAGCTCCTTTCTTTCTCCCCAGTCAGCTTAGATCTGCTTTTCAAACACAGCAGACATTCTCTGCATTTCTGGTGACTGTGAAAAGGGGAAGGGGATAATTTGCCACTAAGTAGGGGATAGAAAGAAAGGTTGCCATCTTTATACTTTTCAAAATAAGAGCACGGGATTTGGATTTATAATCCTAACTTTTGTTAATCAAAAGCTGTGAAACTATGAACAAGCCTCAACCTCTCTCAGTTTCCTCATCTGTACATTGTGGGGAAATTTCCTAAGTCATAAGATTGCAGTTAAGGTTCAATGAATTAATGATGTCAAAAGTGTTTTGAAATCCACAAAATGCCAAACAAACGCCAATCATTACAAAGTTGTCTGTCTTCTCATCAGTTTACCAGCTACATAGGACAGTGGTTATTTACCATTTGACAGGTGAGATCATCAAAGCCCAGAGAAAGTGCTTAAAGTAACACACAGCTCAATTCTGACTTCTTACAGCAGAGGTAACTGTTCCTTTACTACAGGGGTTCTTAATTAGCCTGCTTGCCTCATTAAACTGACAGATCTCTGAGGGAGGGGACTACATACATCTTACACATTTTTGTACCCCAGTGCCCATCATGGCACACCTAAAAGATGTGAAGTGTTACTAGAATGATGACTAACATATTGGTAGCAGAAACATATCTAGAACTCAGGACTCCTAATCCCAGATCCAGGGTTCTTTACAACCATACAGTGGCCCAAACCTCATAGACTCGGCTTGCCTTAACATCTCATCTCTTCCTCAATTCTCCACTCTAGCAAGATTCAACTTTCCCTTCAGAGCCTGGCTTTCATAGATGCCAAAGCCAGGCTCTGAAGGGAAAGCTGAATCTGGCTTTCATAGATGCCAGTTCCTCAGCCATAACCTTCCTCATCTCTCCTTGCTGAGCTAATTCCTATCCATCTCTCAGACTTGGAGGCCTTTCTAATCTCTCCTAATACTGGGTCAGGTATTTACTTTCCTCCATGGCTGTTTTGTTTATCACAGAGTCCTGGCACACAGAATGTGTTAAAAGTATCTGTTGAAGGCTGAATGAATGAAACACTGGGTGTAGAAATCCAAAGGTGATGCAGAGAAAATTTTTTTTTTTTTTTTTTGAGACGGAGTCTCGCTGTCTCCCAGGCTAGAGTGCAGTGGTGCGATCTCGGCTCACTGCAAGCTCTGCCTCCAGGGTTCACGCCATTCTCCTGCCTCAGCTTCCCGAGTAGCTGGGACTACAGGCGCCCGCCACCACGCCCGGCT
The DNA here is from genome assembly GCF_000001405.40 of Homo sapiens. NCBI lineage: Eukaryota > Metazoa > Chordata > Mammalia > Primates > Hominidae > Homo > Homo sapiens. The sequence goes on along the minus strand of NC_000020.11, from coordinate 34,048,708 downwards.
AATTTTTTGTATTTTTAGTGGAGATGGAGTTTCACCGTGTTAGCCAGGATGGTCTTGATCTCCTGACCTCGTGATCCACCTGCCTCAGCCTCCCAAAGTGCTGGGATTACAGGCGTGAGCCACCACGCCCGGCCGCAGAGAAAATATTCTTGACCTGGAAGTCATGCAGCCTGACTGATTCTAATTCTAACTCCACTACTAATGCGTTTCGTGATCTTGAGCAAGTCCCAGTTCTTCTTTGGACCATCTATAAATGAGTTACACAGTATGATCTCAGAAGGTCCCTCCATTGTTAAAAGCATATGAGACTTAGACTCATGTGAAGTCCTAGGGATGAGGAGATTCCAAAGCCAGCTATATGCTCCATAGCATAGGAGACCCAACACTCTCATCCCCCCAGGAGCACGAGAGACACACGACTCTGCTGTCAGGAGCCTCCCAGCCCATTGGTTTACTTAATTCCTCTTGATGAAGTGCCAAGAATAAATCGTAGGTGAGCAGCAGAGCATTTTAACGAGTCCAGAGCCTAATGAATCTTTTCCTTCCTGTGTCAATTAGAATTTCAAAGCTAGGATCCCCAAGGACCAATTTATTGGGAACAGAGAGAAGAAGCCTTTTGTTCATCAGCAGCTGCCTGAGCTACCTGCTCTGCTCCTGTATCTCTGCTGTGTAACAATCCTGCTTACTCAGATATAACATCTGGCACAATAAAGCCTGGCCTGGAGGCTCCTTCTTGCCCAACATTTCTGGGGTCTGAACTTGAGGAAGGAAACAAGGGTCCAGGGTATTTCTGAGGGCAAAGGTGGGGTTGGGGGTTGGTCAGGGAATCAGAGCAGTGCTGACGTTGCTGCTATCTCCTAGGGATACTGGCCTTCAAAGAGCTAACAGCCACAGATCACCAGGCTACTCACCCAACTAAGTATCTGGTACTGTGTGGCACCTATTTACCTGTTATTTTAAATCCTCACAACCTCAAAAGCAGATATCAACCACATCATTTTAGAGAAAAGGAAAAAGAGGATCTGAGAGCTAAAGGATCAGCCTAAGGAACACAATTATTACAGTAAATGGCAGAGAAGGATTTGAACTCAGGTCTGTGCGACTCCGAAGACTAAAGCTCTATCAAACCAATACAACTCTGCCAGGAGCTGATGTCTTGAATGGCAGAGATGGCCCATGGTCAGCCATAGACACATTAGGCATTTGCCACCAACACACTGTCTTTTGCCCGGGCACATGCAAGAGTGGCTGCGCATCACCAGTCCTTCCATTCAATGGAGCTGGCAATCCTCCATCCCTAGAAGATAATCCAAGCAGAGTCACCATCAACACTGCCCCCTGCTCCTACCCCAGAAACCTTTTATTTGTGAGGAATTTCCAATTCTTGATCTAATGGCTCCCATGCACCCAGTTCTCCACCTCCCATACTGTCCGCTCTAAGTCACACAGGGCCAGCCCAGGTACTACTGCTCTGTATTCAACAAAGACACATTTTCCAAGGTCAGCAGATTAGCAAGTCAGGTTTCCAAATGTAACTAGTGTTGAATTTTAGGGCTCTAGTGTGAAAAACACATTAAGAATAGAGGTCAAGGCCAGGCATGGTGGCTCACACCTGTAATCCCCCCACTTTGGGAGGCCGAGGTGGGAGGATCACCTGAGGTCAGTAGTTCGAAACCAGCCTGACCAACATGGAGAAACCCCATCTCTACTAAAAATACAAAATTAGTCAGGCATGGTGGCACATGCCTATAATCCCAGCTACTCAGGAGGCTGAGGCAGGAGAATTGCTTCAACCCAAGAGGTGGAGGCTGCAGTGAGCCGAGGTCACACCATTGCACTCCAGCCTGGGCAACAAGAGCGAAACTCCATCTCAAAAAAAAAAAAAAAAAAAAAAAGAGTGGAGGTCCAGTGACTTGTCCAAGTTTACACAGCTAGAAAATCACAGAGCAACAACTGGAACACAGGTATATACTGAATCCTAACCTGGCCTCTATCTACACACAACAAGAATAACAAATATATAAAAAATGAGATCAGTGCTTTTTAAAAATTAACTTTTTATTTGGAGACAACTATGGAATCACTTGCAGTGGTAAGTCCTTTTAAAAGCACTGGACACTTAGCAAAGTGCCGGTCACACAGAAACCCTCCCAAGAAATGTTACCTATTAAGTATTACGAAAAAGGCAAAGGGCATTCAGAAGGCACCTTTGAGGAGGAGTGAATAAGAGTTTCTCTTTACCCAATGCTTAAAGTATGTACACATACAATACCTTAAATAATCCTTCCAATGACCCCATGAAGCAGGTGTTAATAGCCTCATTTACAAACAGGAAAACCACTCCCAGAAGTCAAGTTACTTGTCTAAGATTTCTTTGGTCCCAGCATGTGCCAAAGCTGGGATTCAAATCCAACTATATCCAACTCCAAACTTTATCCTCTTTCCACATTGCTTCTTTGGAGATAAGACTGGGGCTGGGCTTCAAAGACAAGCCTCCTGGATACAGACCTGTGGTTAAGAGCAGGCTGCCAGTTCAGGTGTGGAAATAATAGCATGAGCAAGGATGCAGAGTTAGCAACATGTCTTTGCAGAGGGTAGTAGTTCAAAGACACCGGCCTGAATCAAACAGTAAATTCACATGACAAAGACCAAACAAAAAGCTAAAGTGAGGGCAGGTGGCATGGGGTCCTGGAATGCTGCTAGCTGCTTGTGTCAATTACATGGGTCACAACTTGATTCCCTTCCGCTGGAAACTGTAAGAAAAGGGGAACGGCACACAGAAAATGAAGAGCCAGACACCAGACGGCAAGAGAACTGGGGAAAAGAAATCAAGTTTTACTCCTAACTAGGTAAGTAGCCTTGAGCAGGCCAATTTCCCTCTGTGGATTTCTAATACCAGGGATTTAACTAAAAGATGTCCAAGGACCACTCTAGCCATGACCTTCCAGAAATCACTCTATTACCAAATCATGTGAGCAAATGTAGGTCTGAGAAATGGGAGAGAGCTACATGAGGGAGAAGAAAATGAAGGTATTAAATGGGATTCAAGTTAATATTGGCCAAAAGACAGAAGATGGCAGAGAGCAAAGGAAGGGAGCCTGAACCAGAACGTTCCCAATCCTGGCCTGGCTCATAACTTGCTGTGTGATCCTGGCTACATGCCAACTTCATTTCCTCATCAGCCCAATGGACCTCGGGGCCCTATGTTCTGGCCTCAGCTGCCCACTCTCCAACCTTATCTCCTGCCTCTTTCCTCTTTACTGCTGCTACTCCAGCCACACTGGCTGCCTTCTAATTATTCTACAAACATGCTCTTGCATCAGGGCCTTTTCACCTGCCCTTCTCTCAGCTGGTAATGATCTTCCTCCTTAGAGAGGTCTACTCTGGCCACTTTTTAACATTTTACTCCTGCTTATCTTTCTTCATAATGCATATAGAATTACATAATTGATTTACTAATTTTTTCATTGTTTTCCCCATTAAAATAAGTTCTACGCTGGGCACAGTGGCTCATACCTGTAATCCCAACATTTTGGGAGGCCTCCGAGGCAGGAGGATCGCTTAAGCCCAAGATGTTGAGACCATCCTAGGCAACGTAGGGAGACCCTGGCTCTACAAAAAAAAATTTTTAATTAGCTAGGTGTGGTGGTGCATGCCTGTAGTCCCAGCTACTCAGGAGGCTGAGGTGGGAGGATTGCTTAAGCTCAGGTCAAGGCTGCAGTGAGCCACGATCATGCCACTGCACTCCAGCCTGGGTGACAGAGTGAAACCCTGTCTCAATAAATAAATAAATAACAAGTTCCATGAAGGCAGTCCTTGTTTTGTTCATTACTGTATCCCAGTTCTATGGGCAGTATCAGACATCTGTTGAATGGATAACTGAATGTATGTAAGTATAAACACTGTCCCTAAGGTCCCTTCCAATGCTGGCTTTCTGTGACTAACTTACGGGCTTGTGGAACTGGGGAACATCTCAGGAGCTCCAAGCCTAGGTAAGCTTAGGTCCAATCTGTCCTTCTGGCTTCAATTTTTGATATTTGCTTGGCCTCAATGGTTCTTCAAATGTTAACACACGTCAGGTGTGGTGGCTCACGCCTGTAATCCCAGCTTCGGGAGGCCGAGGCAGGCGGATCACCTGAGGTCGGCCGATCACCTAAAGTGAGGAGTTCAAGACCAGCCTGACCAACATGGAGAAACTCCGCCTCTACCAAAAATACGAAATTAGCCGGGTGTGGTGGTGCATGCCTGTAATCCCAGCTACTAGGGAGGCTGAGGCAGAAGAATCACTTGAACCTAGGAGGTTGCAGTGAGCCAAAATCACGCCATTGCCATTCCGGTCTGGGCAATAAGAGAAAAACCCCATCTCGGAAAAAAAAAAAAAGTAACGCACATACCAACACACAGCTACATACTCGTACAAATAGACAAATATATATCACCTAATTAATCAATTATTGTTGCATGCTATGTGTAAAACACAGTACATACACAATAGCCTCCAATATTATGTCCTTCAGAGTTTGACCCTAACTTACTTTGGTAACTTTAACCCTAACCACAGTCCTATTCCTGAACTCTTATACTCTGGCTACAATGGACTGTTTTCCCTTCTCTGAAACACCCACATAAGCTTCTGTGCCTCTGTCCTCACTGGTCTTTCTGCTTGGAAGTTACAGTCTCCCCTTCATAATTACCAAATGCCTCATCTTTGAAGTCCAACTCAAATATTACCTCTTCTGGGAGGTATTCCTTCATCTCTCAGGTAGTGGTCCCCTCCAAGCTCCTAAAGCACTCTCTCCAGGTTTCCATTCAGAGTGATTATCGCTCTAGCCTACTTACTTTACCTTCCTGTCCTTCTTCATCAACTACAGGCTCCAAAAGCCTTAACCATGTGTTTGGCTACTCCTTATTCCTAAGACTTACTTCTGTGCCGAGCACAAAGTTTTATCAAATTAAATCTTAACATGGCCCCACAACAAAGAATCCTTCCTAACCTTCATACTGTCCCAAAGATGGTTTCTCTAATATTCCTACCCACTAGTATGAACCCCCATGGAACAGGGTATGAGGAGACGATTGGAGAAAGGACTGGAAAGAAAAGGGCAAAAGTCTTTGCAGAACCTCAAATATCATTCTAAGAAGATTAGATTTTAGAGGTTTCATGAGCAAGGAAGTCACAGGAATAAGATCTGTGTCTTAAAAGCTATGGAGAGAGAAAAGGTTATATTTCAGGGTAAAGACTGGACATGGAGTGGCAAGTGAGTTGATAATTAAAACGCTGCCAGAGACAGATTATTAAGATCTGGCCTTGGGTGGTAGCAGTGGGGATGGAAAGATGGACAAAACATGTTCAGAGACAAAACCACATAATGAAAGCAGCTGCCTATTCTGAGTAGAACTGGCTCTGCACATAAAATAAACTTCCTCCAAATGGAACTCTGTAACCTCTTTGCATCCAAGATGGTCCTGAGGGTGAGACCACAAGGAAGAAAAGAGCCTCCTTGAGCAGGGGAAGAAAAAGAAGCAAGTCTAGGATTAGCAAAGGCCAAATCCCAGGCCACTGAGCAGGGCTGCAAGGAGAGTGAGCTCAAGATCTTGTTGATGGCTGCTGACTGCAGAAACCTTAGTAAAGAGGTCACATCTGTTCCCTGAGCAGAAAGCTGCCTTCCTGGGTTGGGATGGCTCTAGCTGGCTTTAACACAAGAGGTTCTGATCATTTTTAGTGATTGTATGTTAAGGAAAATTATCCAAAATTTGGAAGGCAAAAAGATGATTGTGTGACCACTTAAAAGTCATGTTAGACACATTGTTTACTATGAACTAAGTCATCTGACACTCTTGGGAAATGGAATTTTGTTATTCTTCACAAACGATTAGGGCCCAAATGTTTTAAAACTCTGCAGTAAGAGGTTAATGTGTAAAAAACTAAGAAGGTATATACCTTTAATACGCAGATAAAATATTTCCAAAGGTTATATTTTCATTAGGGTACTAACCAAAACAATTTTATTTCAGCAATCCTTCTTTCATTAACAATCTAAATCTGATTTCTCAGCTATTCTACTTCTGCTGGTTTCCACATTAATCAGTTAAACAAAACCTGACACATGCTCACTCTATGTATGAAAATTATGCCCTGACGAGGTACACACATTCACAAGCCTGCCTACCTCACAGGAACCAGATGTCATGAGGCAAGAGAAGCCTGACACCCAGGCACAGGATGCCAGTCAAGTGTTAGAAGTGGTCACTTAACGAAATGACATAATGACATACAGCTCAGGGTAGTAAAAAGGACACCAGGCAGAGAGTCAGGGCACCTGCCACTAATTCACTCTGTGACCTTGGCACATTACTCTCCTTTGCTGGGCTTCAATTTAACAATGATAAAATGGGAGAGTTGGTTCAGGTCAGTGTCGTTTTACGAACTGTGATCCTGGGAACCCTGGAAGTTTAAGGCAGCTGCCTCGGCGGGAGCGGGGATCGTCTTTGTTTGGTAAGGGTAGTGGGGAGGCTGAGCTACTAGGCCTCTTGCTGCTGCTTCAGCCAAAGCAGCTCTGTTTGGTTGTTTTTGTTTATGTTTGTTTTTTGAGACGGCATCTCGCTCTGTTGCCCAGGCTGGACTGCAGTGGCTTGATCTCCCCTCACTGCAACCTCCACCCGCCGGGATGGCAATCCCGCGCTCAAGCAATCCTCCCATCTCAGCCTCCTGAATAGCTGGGATTACAGACCCATGCCACCATGCCTAGCTAATTTTTGTATTTTAGTAGAGACAGGGTTTCACCATGTTGGCCAGGCTGGTCTCAAACTCCTCACCTCAAATGATCCACCCGCCTCAGCCTCCCAAAGTGCTGGCAATTACAGGCATGAGCCACTGCACCCAGCCAGAAGCTCTGTTCTGGATGTTACATGTTTTAAAAAAAGGGTTACTATGTAAACTTGATGATTGTCAATTAAGGTCCCTTCCCACTCTGATATCCTAAAATTCCATGATTTTATGGCAATTGATCCTGGGGAAAATACAGAAACAAAAAATATCTCCTATCACCCTGTGCCTAAAAATAACACCCTATAAGGGGTTGAAATAAGTCCCTAGCAATTGAGTATGAATGAGTGAGGAGGGGGACAAGAGGGCAGAGGAAGGCTGAGAAAAAGACAGAGACTAAGGGCCTGCTCCTTTTGCAAGTGGAGACTGGGTACGCCCAACGCCAGAGAGAAAACCCTCTCAGGGAAGACTTAGCCTCACTGGCATTATCAAGACTAAAGATTTGGACTCTAGCCCCTGGCTCTGTCACATAAAGGCAGATTCCTTCAGTTTCTTCACAGTACGGTTTCTTGAAGGTAAACTGCTTTGCAAACTGTTGAGTACAGATTTGAGAACCTATCAGAACAATCTTAGTCCTAAAATCTTTTGTGTGTGCATGTCTCCACTCCTGCCAGGTCCCTGGAGGAGACTTATCACGGTTGAGGAGTACAGACCCTTTCCCTTTCCTTCCCTGTACTTTGGAGTTGGTCATACAAGTAGGGGTTATTGCTTGAAATACTCTCTCTATTCAACTTTGAAAAGGACAAATATACTTTTCACTAGGGACTCTGTTCCATGATCACGATGGAAACATAGCTTCTAACTCAGTGCTTGGATCTCTGGGCTCTATATCTGAGTTCTAGAGAAGTTGGTTTGAGGCACAGAGTGCAGAAACTCTCAGGAAAATACACTGAAGGCATGGAAGACATTCCTATTACACTCAGGGCACCAAACGCCTATTCTTGGGTACTCCCAAACACTCTACCCTCCTGGAAGGGCCGTGGCCAGAGGACAGGGAGGCAGTATGATACTCAGGAAACAGCTTACCTTACAGCTTAGTCAATGGGGTCAGGACTCAGTTCAAACTCTAGCTCTTTCAGAGACTAGATATGTGGCTTCAGTAAATTCATTCACTTCACTGAGCCTCAGCTTTCCCCTTTGGAGCTATTAATAGCTTAATGAGTTATAAAGATTAAGGGAGATAATCTATTTAAAGTACCTGTCACAATACCTGGCACACAGTATGCACACAATAAATGTTACTTCTACTCAAGAGGGAAAGGACAAACTAGCAAAAGTCTGAACGTGATTCACATGATAGGTAGGGAAGACTCGGGGATGAACCCCAGCCAGCAGCAGATCAGAGCTGTGAGTGGCTCGGAATGGGAATAGGCTGATTTGGAGAGTCTGTTGTGCTATTCTAAGAGCATCTGGATCCTGTACCAGCCAAAGCAAATCAAACAGGAGTGCTTATGGAGCGCTTGTTTCTAAAACAAGTACGGGCTGTGTTATTGACACGTGCCACAGGGGAATTGAGAGGGCTGTTGGCGGAGATGTTAAAAAAGCTGACATGCTTTCAGTTCCAATCTTTGCTACCATATCCATATGGGCACAACTGACCTTGGCTCTAGAGGGGAAAAAAACTCTGGAATGAGACACAAGAGATCTGGATTCGGGTGTGAACCTGAACCTGAACAGGTGACTTCACCTCTTGGGCCTCAGTTTTTTCTTTCCTCTTCTAAATAATTCTCTGTGTGCTGAATCTATTATCATTATTGCACTTTTTTTTTTTTGAGATGGGGTCTCACTCTGTCGCCCAGGCTGGAGTGCAGTGGTGGGATCTCTGCTCACTGCAACCTCCGCCTCCTGGGTTCAAGCGATTCTCCTGCCTCAGCCTCCCAAGTAGCTAGGATTACTGGCACACGCCACCATGCCCAACTAATTTTTGTATTTTTAGTAGAGACGGGGTTTCACCACGTTGGCCAGGACGGTCTCAATCTCTTGACCTCGTGATCCTTCCTCCTTGGCCTCCCAAAGTGCTGGGATTACAGGCATGAGCCACCGCGCCCAGCCCATTATTGCACTTTTAAATGATGGTGATATGGTTCAGAAAGATTAAGCTAGTACTGGCAGGAATCTGAATTGGGGGTCATTTGTCAAGCCTGTAGTCTTTCTTCTCTGTTGCATTATCTCTCAATGTTAAATGAGGGAGTAGGATCAGGTGAACCAAGGCATTTCTAGATGCAAATTGAATGGCCTGAAATCATAGTTTCAGGAGCATTCTAAATACTCTAGGGCTAGACAAAGCCTGGCTGGTTAAAAAGCCTTCTCATAAATGAAATCCTCAGTACCAAAGGCAAAAGCTAGAGTACAAACACAAGAGCCAGAAAAAAGGGGCCAATGAAATTTCAGAAAGCCCTGAAGAGGCACTTGGAGAATACAATGCCTAACTCATTTTTACAGATGGGGATATGGAGGATGCAAAGAGAAATAGCTTGACTGGGAACACCCAATGAGTGGGTGATAGAGCACAATCTGGGTCCTATGTCTCATGGTCCCTCTCTCACACTTGCTAGCTACTCAGTTTCCAACCTTCTAGGCCATTATGATCTTCTCTTTGACATTTATTTTCCAAATGCTGGGTGACAGGCAGGTCACTGCCCCTGCAGCATACTCCCAGCCACTTCTAACACCTTACTATAGATAGCGGCTTTTTGTTTTTAACTGTTCCTGCTGCAGGCTTAAGCAGGACCGAAGTTGAGACTTCTCTTAGGTCCCTGTTGACTCTTTAATCTCCTTGGACCACAGACCAATGCGCCTTTGGAGACACAGAACAGGAAGAAACATCAGCAATTACAGACCAACTTTCTACCTCATTCCCTGTTTGTAGAACTGAGGAAAAAGAGGCCCAGGTATAAAATGCTTTCCCAGGTTTGAGTCAGTAGAACAAGGTTAAGAGCCTGGATCGCCACACTCTCCTACTTCAATCTGACACTCAACACATGGTATCAGAATTTATTCCAATCACTAGTGATTGAACGCCAAGCCAGGCCAGGTATTTTCTTCATCTACTAGCAACACAATCACTATATAAAGTAGGCATTATTATTCCCATTTTGTATATGAGCAAACTACAGCTCAGAGAAGTTAGTCACACAGAAAATAAATGTCAGATCAAGGACCCAAATCTTGGTATTAAGAATACACACAATGGTGGGAAAGATGCAGTTACTTCATCTTCCTAAAGACCAGTTATACCACAGATATCTTTTATCTTTTACCTCTTGCCCTATGTACTCAGAATTGTTGACTCTTGACAGTTTACGTTAATTGGGGATATGGGAGGTGGCAATGAGGGGAAGGATGGATAGTGGAGACTCAAATAATACAATGACAGATAATTCCAAAGAAGCAATTTCTGCTTTGTGTTAATGGGGTAAAGTAGCTTTTGAGCACCCCCCAATCTGTCCCATTCAATAAGACCCCTTTATTCATCTCTCACTCATCTCAAGGTTCTAGAACCACCAACGCTCACAGACCTTGGTTTCTTAAGCTGTTGTTATCCAGCTTAGATTTTGCTCTCTTGGCCATGTTCTCAGGCTCAGGACCCTGTCTCACTGCCACAGCCAAAATCCCTAGAACTGCCTTCCAGTTAATCTAACCTACAGGTCCCTCTCCTGTTTGGCTGTTCTTCTGCTCTGGCCTGCTGCTCCAAAGGGACAAAAGGATCTTCTTTAGTTTTAATGAAAACTGGGGAAGGAAGCAGGGGAACCCGGGACCTCATAGAGCCCAGAGCCCTTTGCATGCAATTCCTTTCCCCCAAGCAAGCTGGAGGTTATTGCTTTGCTATGACAGCAATCCTCAAGCAAGCCAGCTGTTTCTGGAACCAAAGTAATAAAATATGGCCAAAATCCTTGGGTGGAGAGTGAATAGGAACAGCTGTTTCTTACATGAGCTGCTCTGGCAGCCTCCCCCACAGATACCCGCTCCTGCATAGAATTCTCTAGGAGCCATCTGATGATTACACTGGCAGACAATGAGTCTCCTGCCCTTTCTAAGCTATCAGGTCCACTCTGGTCAAACATTCATCCCCATACCCTGAAGGACAATGATGCACTGCTACTGCTCCTAGACCTTCTCAGACTCTATCCCAGGTCCCTATCACTGTAATTACTAACATTAATAGTCTTGTACATTTGTACACTATCCAATGGTTTTATATAGCACTTATCTGAAATGTGCTTTACACAGTACGCTGGGTAGAAACTATTATTCCTTGTTTATAGATGAGGAAACTAAAGGCCACAAGTAAGTCACCAGCAAGCCAGGCATTGCTCAGAGCCCCTCCTATCTCAATGTTACCTATGGCATCTGCACTGTAAGCCTTATTTAATGGAATCAAATCTCTGCTTAGAATTTCAGTTGTAACAGGCAAAAGAGGTGTTCAGAATGGTCCCCCAAAAGCCACTGTGAAGCCTCTGAAGTCCATGAGGCGGGCAGCGGTCTCTTCTAGCTCTGTATCAGGCAACCTTCTGCAGAAGCCTGGGAGGCCCTGGCTTGCCATGTGTCACCTGACTTCCTGCTACACCACCCCCGTATGTCTTACTCAAAGCTCAGCCTGCCCAGTGCTGATTTGGGGCAGGCAGGAGCCAGGCTGCCGAGCACTATGGGTCTAGCCCTAGCACCCTCTCTACTGGTAACACATATACATTGTAGGCCACTTGTCTTCCCTATTGTTTCTGAATCAGGCCCCCTCTGAAGTTTGATACTTCTCCAGAGGCTACTGTATCAGAAGGAGCAAACTGATAGTCCACTGGTATAGTCAAGCCTGAAGAATTGTTTGGTTTGGGGTGTATCCTGCCTCAAAAATCAATGAACGAATCCTTAAGAAACTAGAAAAGAGCAAACTAGACCCAAAGCAGCAGAAATTAGAAAATAATAAAAACAATAAACAAAATAAATAAAACAGAAAATAATAAAAAATCAATGGAAAAGAAAAACAATGAAACCAAAAGTTGGTTCTTTGAAAACACCAGCAAAATCAACAAACCTGTATCTAGACTGACCAAGAAAAAAAAAGACACAAATTACCAACAAATTAGACAACTTGGGTGAAATGGAAACATTCCTAAAAATACACAAATTATCAAAAGTGACTCAAAAAGAAAGAGAAAATCTAAGTAGATTTAACAAGTAAGACATTTGAATTAGTAATTTTAAACTCTTCCAACAAAGACAAGCCCAGGCCCATGTGGCTTCACTGATGAATTCTATCAAACAATTAAAGAAGAAATAATACCAATCCTTTACAAACTCTTTCAGAAATCAGAGGAGGAGGGAACACATCAATTCATTCCATGAGGCCACCCTAATGCCAAAAGCAGATAAAGACCTAAGAAAACTACAGAACAATATTCCCCAGCAAATCAAATCTAACTCCATATAAAAAGGATTATACACTACAACCATGTGGGATTTATTCTAGGAATGTGAAGTTGATTTAATATCTGAAAATCAATTAATGTAATGTCAATGTAGAATAAAGAACAAAGACCATAAAATCAACAAAATCCAACAGTCATCCATAATGAAACCTCTCAATAAACTAGGAATAAAAGGGAACTTCCTTAGCCTGAAAGATGGAATACTTTCCTCCTAAAATTGGGAACAAAGTAAGGAAGGCTGTCTGCTCTTATCAATTCTATTCAACGCTGTACTAGAGATCCCAGCTGGTACAATTAGGCAGGGGAATTTTTTTTTTTTTAATGGATGTCAGATTATGTCATTCCTCTATTCAAAACTCTCCAATGTCTTCCTATTTAACTCAGAATAAAGCTCTCCATGATCTGGTCCCTGTCTACCCTTGTGACTTCTCCATATTCCTATCTCCCCCTTCGTTTACTCCATCTGTAGCCACACTGGCCTCCTTTCGTTCCTTAGAATCAAGAAGCACGCTCTATGCCTAGAAAGTTATTCCCCCAAAGATACACATAGCTCACTACTCCAGTTCTTGCATATTTCTGCACAAATTTTATTTTCTGAGAGGCCTTCTTTAATAATCCAGTGTCTCCCTATTCCCTTACCCTGCTATTTTTCTTCAGATTTATTCATTTATCTGCTTTCCTCTACTAGAACGTAAACTACAGAGAGAAAACTATTTTATTCACTGCTACACCTCAAACACTTGAAACTGTGCCTGGTATATGACAGACACTCCAATACTCACTGAATGAATGAATAAATGTGTATCTTTAAAAAGAAAAACGTATATAGGAGAATGAACAAAAAGGAGGAGTGGGGGACTACTAGCTCAAGAGGCTGAGGAGGACCAGGGTTTTAGGTCGTGGGGAAAGAGCCAATGTAGGATATCATAAAAAAACTTGGTTTTCTGAAGCCAGATTCTTCTGGGTTCTAAGCTTAGCTCTTCTGATCACTGCCTACACGTCCCTCTCTAACTCTCAAGTAATTTATAAAATAAGAATATCACCACCTACCTGCCAAGTTGCTATGAAAATGAAATATATTTATGTAGAGCATTCAGTATAGTGCCTGATAATATATAGTAGATACTATAAATAATTAACATTTTCTGATAACTCTAGCCTTCGAGAGGAACCCAAAACTACCACAGAAATTACCCAGCCCCACCCTCATCTTACTGAGGGACACCGATGTTTGTGGAGGTGCTGCTCCTAAATTAAGTGGCCTCCAGACTGTTTTTTTTTTTTTTTTTTTTTTTTTTTTTTTTTTTGAGATGGAGTCTCGCTCTGTCGCCCAGGCTGGAGTAGAGTGGCGCAATCTCAGCTCACTGCAAGCTCTGCCTCCCGGGTTCACACCATTCTTCTGCCTCAGCCTCCCAAGTAGCTGGGACTACAGACACCCGCCACCACACCTGGCTAATTTTTTGTATTTTTCAGTAGAGACGGGGTTTCACCGTGTTAGCCAGGATGGTCTCGATCTCCTGACCTTGTGATCCACCTGACTCGGCCTCCCAAAGTGCTGGGATTACAGGCGTGAGCCACCGCACCCGGCCCAGACTGTTGTTTTAACTTCTTCTTTCACCCCTCCCCTTTCAGTCAGCTTTCAGCTCTCACCCCTAGATGGTATTAATATAGCAGCTCTTCTCCCTTTTTTGATATTCTTCTTTTAATCTTATGGGGTTTTAGAAACCAAATGCTAAACTTGTTACAACAACACATAAAAATAAGAATAAATTAGCACTGTGCAAATACTTAAGGATGACAATGCTTTACTTCCCTCTTGTTTTTCAGTTGGACTCTGGAAAAATGAGGCTGTTAGATAAATAAGCTATTATATGGGTAGCTTATCATATATAAATGTATATATTACACACTTATTTACGTGGAATCATTCATATTTTAAAAGTTAATAGTGGAGCTTTTTCACAGGGCAGTTGTTACAGGAAGCATATAAGATCCAAGCTTGGCACCCAGGCCAGGGAAAGGCCAGAAGCTGTAGAACTTTAGATTAACAAGGCAAAAAGAAGTGGCAGCAAGAGCCTGGATATTCAGAGTAGGAGGGAAGGTAGGGGTCAAAACCCTCTGTGCACTCTCAGGCAGACAGAAGAACAGAATGTCCATTGTTAAAACACAGTGCGAAGAGAATGGCCCCCATCGTTGGTGAAGGGGGAGAACAAGATGGTAGAAAAACTGGAATGACCATGGCCTCCATAAAATGTGAGGCTACAGCACAAGAGCCTTTTTCACTAGCAGTAAGCAGAGGCAGGCAGGGAACCTAGGGCCAAAAGAGGAATAGCCTTCTTCAAGAGATGACAGCAGGGAACAAGGCAACATCTCAGTGGAGTGCTGACTCCTGTTGGGATGGGCTCTTGGGAACTGCTGTAGTATCCTATACCACGGTTCATGAGTGCACTCAAACCTGCACTCTGCAGCACACATATTGCAAATCGTGGCTGCCTGTGCTACCTGGCTTTGTCATCTCTGCCCTGGAATCCCTTTCCTTATGGAAAGACTAAGCTATGGGTAGGGCCCACAAAAGAAAGGAGAGGAGGAGAAGGGCACAGAAGAAGATTTACAGTGAAAATTTCCAAAGGAAAACCCTCCCGTTTACTTTTGGGGAATGGGGCGGCAAACAGGTCAGGGACTGGGACGCTACAGATACTGCTATATTTTGGATGGTGGACTCCTCCAAACCTCTTGCTGAAATCTGATCCCCAATGTTTAAGGCGGGACCTAATGGGAGGTTTGGATCGTTGGGGGCAGATCCCTCATGAATAGATTAATCCCCTCCCTGGAAGGAGGGTAGGGGAAGTGAGTGAATTCTCACTCTCTTTGTTCCAGTAAGAGATGGTTGTTAAGAAGAGCCTGGCATCTCCCCTCTCCCTTTCTTACCATCTGATTTCTACCCACAGCAGTTCCCTTTCCACCACAGTAGAAGCAGCCTAAGGCCCTCACTGGGTGCAGACACCCAATCTTGAACTTTTCCAGACATTCGAATTGTGAGACAAATAAACCTTTTCTCTTTATAAATTACTCAGCCTCAGGTACTCCTTTATAACAACATAAAACGAGCTAAGACAGACACTTAAAATGCTTTCTTCTCACTTTCTTGTTTCGTTCATGCTGCTTTACAATTCACAAAGTTTTCCAACTTGCATTTCTCATTTGATTCTCTGTAACATACCTGCATGGTAGGAGTACACACATGAGACGTGAGGGGACAGGGAGGCACTCCAACTTTACAAATAGGGAAATGAAGACTGTCCAAGGGCACATGTTGAGAGAGAAGATAAAAACCTAGGTTTCTCAACTTCAAGCCAGCACTCAGGTCCTTACCCTGTACTGGCCCAAGTGTTTATGAGATCCCATGTGTTACAGACGTATTCTTCTTCTTGTGGTCACTTTTAGCCTGGGCCTCTGCCTGCTTGAAGGTTCTTCCTATCTTTCAGTCTAGTAGTCCCCCTCACTAGAAATACCACTGCTCAGAGGGACCCCTAACTCCTACCTGCCCTGTTCAGCCCCTCAACTGAATCTCCTTTCTGAATCCCTAAGTAAGTAGGCCTTCTTGAACTTTATAAGAAAAATCAGAATTAGAGAGGGAGATTAACAGCCCAAGGAAGGTCAGGTCTGGAAGAACAATGGTATTTATGGTCAGACTGACCTGGGTTCTAACATCAACTTTATAGATTCCCAGGTGTAAACCCTGGGCAAATTATTTCAGTTCCTGAGCCTCAATTTCCTCATCTATAAAATGAGGTTTCAGAGCAGGCTGTGGTGGTACACATCTGTAATTCCAGCTACTCGGGAGGCTGAGGCAGGAGGACCACTTGAATCACACGAGCCCAGGAGTTTGAGACCAGCCTGGGCAACACAGTGAGACCTGTCTCCCAAAAACAAAAATAAAACCCCCCCCAACACACAAAAAGGGATTTTGTCTAGATTGAGATCAGTAACATAGTAAGTTCTTAATGCGTTGATTTTCCTTCCTTCTCACCATCTGTCAGCTTCCCCTGACATCCACTTCATAAAACCCTAATCACTCCACTCTCACCATTATTCATACGACATTTTGCAGAATGGAAGAAACTACAGGATTTTCTGGAGCTGACCTATGAGCTTGGCAGATCACAGTAAAAACTAAAGCTAAGAAAGTCTCTACGGGGCCGGGCGCGGTGGCTCACGCTTGTAATCCCAACACTTTGGAAGGCCGAGGCAGGCAGATCACCTGAGGTCGGGAGTTCGAGACCAGTCTGACCAACGTGGAGAAACCCCGTCTCTACTAAAAAATACAAAATTAGCCAGGCATGGCGGTGCATGCCTGTAATCCTAGCTACTCAGGAGGCTGAGGCAGGAGAATTGCTTGAACCCGGGAGGCGGAGGTTGCATTGAGCCGAGATCGTGCCATTGCACTGCAGTCTGGGCAACAAGAGCGAAACTCCATCTCAAAAAACAAGTCTCTAAGGGCTGTGAGGTCATGTTAAAGAGCTTGTGAGAGGACAGGTATAGCCGCCAGGTCCCAGGATAGCCCCCCACCTGCCACATCCCAGCAGAAAGCAGCTAGCAGAAGCAAGAAGGAAGCAGACCTGCTCTGCCTTATTCATGGCAAATGATCTCAGACATTCTTGTGGCAATTCTAGGAGAGCAGTCTCAACCCTCCCAGTTCAGAAGGTTACCTGTGCAACATCCAATCTTTTAGACATGGAGTAGGAAGATAATCACTTGTAAGTTATCTGTACTAAAGGTAAAAACAATCCCCAAACGAGTTACCCTCCATGTTGGCCCAAGCTTGCCCAGAGCTTTCCCAGGCAACCTCACTCACCAGTAACAATGATGAGCTTAGCCAGCTGTTTCCTCCTTTGGGTTACAGGGTCAGCACCACCTGCCTCTGGGAATAGGGCTCACCTACAATAGAGAGAGAAGTCCATTAGGGGTGCTGCTCAGAACAGGCAGCAGGCATTCAAAATTCCTGCCCTCACACATTTTGCATCCTAGCAAAAGACAGGTCAATTATTTACAGTATATAATTTCAAGTAGTGCTAAGTGCCATAAAGAAAAATAAGGCACGCCTGGCGCGGTGGCTCATGCCTGTAATCTCAGCACTTTGGGAGGCCGAGGGGGATGGATCACCTGAAGTCAGGAGTTCAAGACGAGCCCGGCCAACATGGTGAAACCCTGTCTCTACTAAAAATACAAAAAAAAAAAAAAAAAAAAATTAGCCAGGCATGGTGGTGGGCGCCTGTAACCCCAGCTACTTGGGAGGCTGAAGCAGGAGAATCGCTTGAACCTGGGAGGCGGAGGTTCCAGTGAGCGAGATCGTGCCACTGCACTACAGCCTGGGTGACAAGAGTGAGAATCCATCTCAAAAAAAGGGGGGGAGGAAGGGGAGGGAAGGGGAGGGAAAGGGAGAGGGAGGGAAGGGAAGCAAAGCAAGGTAAGGAAATAAAGAATGACAAAAGGTAAGGGTGAAGTCTATTTTAGATAAAATGGTCAGGGAGGGGCCTCTACAAAGGGTCACATCCAGAGAGATTTGAATGAAGTCTGGGGTAAGACATGAAAAGATCTGAGGGAAGAGTGTTCCAGGGAGAGAATAGCAAGTACAAAGGCCCTGAGGCCTTGGTATGTTTAAGGAACAAGAAGACTAATAATATAGCTAGAGTGGAGTCATAAGGAGAATGAGGTACATACAAGAGACACAAGAAGGAATTTGTTCTGTATTTTACATATGAGAAAACTAAGGCTCAGAGACTAGGTTACTTGCGCAAGATCAAAATAAGTCAAGTGGTAAAACTGGGAGTCAAACTCAGGTCTTCTGGACAACTCTAACTCTGTCTCACTTGTGGCCCAGGCTCCTCCAGGCTTAGATCACCTGGATTCTAGCTGAGACAAACTTTCAAGGACTCTGAGATTTATTTCACATTTCTGTGCTCAGCTCCCTCCTCTGCTGGGTGAGGATGGTGAAGAAGAGAAATCCCTATATATTCGTTCCCAGGAATGTGGAATGGAATAGAGCAGACTCTAGAATAAGAATAGCAGCACATACCAGGCACTGATGTAAACCTTTTATTTGTATTAACTCATTTAATCTTTACAACAATCTTGTAAGGTTGGTATGTTATTTTACTAATGGAGAAATTGAGGCACAGAGAAATTAAGTACATTTGCCCATTGCACAGCTAACAAGATGGTGGAGCTGGGATTTGAACCCAGAAGTCCAACTCCAGGGCTTGCCCTCTTAATCTCACATTATATATAACAATTCTCAAAAACAGAAGGCAGGAAACATGTTCTCTTGTTCTAGTTTACATGGCTCAGAGTTCCCCACCCATCTACACCCAAGCCTGACATCCTCTCCATATACTTGCAGTCCAGGCTTTTTACTGAATACAAGTTGAATGGCTCCTGAGTCCTTCAGCCAGGTGGTTCCAGAGGCTTCTCTAATCTCTAGCTACTGTAATCTCAAAGCTATAATAACAACGGCCATTTAATAGGCATTTACCGCACAGTTGGAAACAGACTAGGTACTGGCCTAAGCACTGTTTTATTTCAGAGGGAATGAAAGTTGCTCCAAGTCATGAGTGAAGGGATTGAGGGTGCGGGGGGCCTCCAGGTCTGGAACAAAGCAGCAAGCACAAGGAACCAAAGGATCTCTGCAGCTCTGGATCAAAAGACAAAGGCAGAGGCACCAGGGAGTCAAGAATGGACACCTCCAATCAACAAGTCAACCAACTCAATTCATCTTCTATTTCCCAGCCTCCATGATTCAGAGAATGGCATAACCATTCTCCGGGGTACTTAGACTCCAAATATTCATGCTCTCAACCCCTCTTTCTCTCTCTTCCCCATTCCCACAACTGCCAAATCCTTGTGGGTTTTTTTTTTCTCCCCCTCTAAGAGTTCTACATCCAAATCATCTCCCTCCCTCCCTCCCTCCCTCCCTCCCTCCCTTTCCTCCCTCCCTCCCTCCTTTCTTCCTTTCTTTATGTTTTGCAACAGAGTCTCACTCTGTCACCCAGGCTGGAATATCCTGGCGCGATCTTGGCTCACTGCAACCCCCGGCCCCCCGGGTTCAAGCGATTCTCCTGCCTCAGTCTCCTGAGTAGCTGCGATTACAGGTGCCGGCCACCATGCCCAGCTAATTTTGTATTTTTAGTAAAGACGGGGTTTCTTCATGTTAGTCAGGCTGGTCTCAAGCTCCCAACCTCAGGTGATCCACCTGCCTTGGCCTCTCAAAGAATTCTTTATTCCCTACTATGTCAACTTCCTCTTGGTTCAGGATCACATTATCTCTTGCTTGCACTGCTGGCATATTTCTTGAAACTTACTGACATTACAAAGGCAGACTTACAGGAGTCTCTTCCCTGGTCTCTGTTTCACTAGTCTCCCCTACCCCTCCTATTCCAATCCATTAGACCCACACAGCCAGACTAATGGTCCTAATGACACTTCCCTGCTCAAAAAAAGTCATGGCTCCCAGTCACCTCAGCCTTGCTCTTAGGTATGCCAGTATCTGGTCATCATCCGCCTTACTTCTACCGTGGGCTTTCCAGCTCTCATATTTTTGGTCCACACTGTTGTCTCACTGGAATTGCCCTTCTTCATTTACACACATTCAAACCCTTCTTAATTTTCAAGGCCTAGTGAATCTATGACGTAATCCTGAACCCTTTTCTTGCCACTCTCTCTGCCATGTTTTTTTTTTTTTTTTTTTTTTTTTTTTTGAGATGGAGTCTCTCGCTCTGTCACCCATGCTGGAGTGCAGTGACACGATCTAGGCTCACTGCAAGCTCCGCCTCCCGGGTTCACACCATTCTCCTGCCTCAGCCTCCTGAGTAGCTGGGACTACAGGTGCCTGCCACCACGCCTGGCTAATTTTTTGTATTTTTAGTACAGACGGGGTTTCACCGTGTTAGCCAGGATGGTCTCGATCTCCTGACCTCATGATCCGCCCGCCTCGGCCTCCCAAATCTGCCAAGTTCTTGAAACATCTCCGGCTTGTGGGTATATTCATTTCTGCACTCACCATCAGCTAAGGCCTCAGGAATACAGTACCCCTGTTCCCCTTCTTCCTTGTAGAAATTCCTACTACTTCTGAAGAATGGAGACCTAGTCAGTTATAAGATTTCTTTTTTTTTTTTTTTAAGATAGGGTCTTGCTCTGTTGCCCAGGCTGGAGTGCAGTAGTGCAATCTCAGCTCACTGCAACCTCCGCCTCCTGGTTTCAAGCGATTCTCCTGTCTCAGCCACTCAAGTAGCTAGGATTACAGGCACGTGCCACCACGTCTGGCTAATTTTTGTGTTTTTAGTGGAGACGGAGTTTCACCATGTTGGCCAGGCTAGTCTCCTGACCTCAAGTTATCTGCTTGCCTTGGCCTCCCAAAGTGCTGGGATCACAGGTGTGAGCCACCACGCCCAGCCAGTTATAAGATTTCTGTTTCTATTCCTCCTACTTAGTCTGGATCTACCTCCCAATAAGAGACCTGAGTTCTAATCTGCATCTCAGATTCCCCATCTGCAAAATGGGAATTCCTATACTGCCAACACAAGGATTTTATAATCACATGTTTTTATCAATGTGGTAACAGGTGAGGAAAAGGGCAGAGTTAGGATGGGAGAGTCCCAGCCAGGTCTTTTATGGTTCTTCTTGTAAGCTGAATAACAGAGTACATACATGAACCTTCTATCTAATTAGTCAAAAAATATTTCCTGATACTAGCTGTACTGGTTGGCTTTGCTGTGTAAACAGCTCTGAATAAGGGGTTATGGAGGATGCACAGATGATTGAGAACAGTCCTTATCCTTAGGCACTTGGCATTCAGGATGGGACTATGATGTCCCACAAAAAATTACTAATAATAGGCAGGATCTAACAGTTCAAAGAATGTTATGTATTGTGGAAGTGAAGAAACAAATCAGTCTGACCTGGGTTTGTCTCAGAAGCTTCACAGAAGAAGCAAAGATTTAAGCCAGGCCTTGATGCAAGGTGACAGAAAGACATGGGCTGCTACTATGCCTCAGGCACACGGCTGGGTGTTAAACTGTTAATCCTTATGATACCCTGTGAAGTAGGTGATGACATGTCCATTTTACAACCAAGGTAACTGAAGACAGGTGAGGCTAAGTGTGCCATTCAAGGTCAAACAGCTAGTAAGCAACAAAGCTAGCATTTGAACCCAGGTCTGCTTTACTTTACTCCAGAGCCTGTGTACTCTCATGATCTGCCTTACTTATTACACAGCAACATGAAAGAAGACCAGAAAAACTAAAGTTCTTTCTAACCTCAAAATTCAATCATTGAACGGGGGATGTGGAGGGAGTGGGGGTTGTGTGCTCACTGCTGCTATGTCTTCTCCGTAAGATTGTGACCTTATGGCAGGATTAGGGTCTTATGAACTGTCATATGGGTCTTGGGTCATGTAGGATTAGGGTCTTACGAACTACCTGCCAGGCTCTGTGTCAGCCTAAGTATCTGTGAGTAAATAAAGGAATAAACAAAACCTGCCCGGCAACTCTTATTCTGAGGACTAGAAGTCCAAAATCTCAAGCTCCATATTCAGAGTCTCAGCCCCAGTATGAATATCAACCGAATATCTACTAATCTGTTGGCTTAAGGTGTCCTTTTCCCATTCTTGTTTTCACAAGTCAAGGGAGATGTAAGGAGTGCAAAGGCAGGGAGCAGAGAAAAGAGGATGGGAAAGGGGTGAAGGGAGAACAGGTAAGGAAGGAGACACCTGAGCAGGTTTAAAATGTCTCAGGTTTAGAGGCCAAGGCGGGCGGATCACGAGATCAGGAGATAGAGACCATCCTGGCTAACACGGTGAAACCCCGTCTCTACTAAAAATACAAAAAAAAAAAAATTAGCTGGGCATGGCTGGCGGGCGCCTGTAGTCCCAGCTACTCAGGAGGCTGAGGCAGGAGAATGGCGTGAACCCGGGAGGCGGAGCTTGCAGTGAGCCGAGAACACGCCACTGCACTCCAGCATGGGCGACAGAGCGAGACTCCGCCTCAATAAATAAATAAATAAATAAATAAATAAATAAATAAATAAATAAAATGTCTGAGGTCTAGACTTTGGAAAAGATCTTTTTCCTTCCGATACCAGAACCAAGGACTTTTATTTAAAAGAGAAGCAGCAGGAATTCCTCTTTGTAAATGTTAAATGAAGGGAGTTTGCTTGTCCAAACTCCAAACTAAATGTGTCAATAGGAGGTAAAGTGAAACACTTATCGACAAGTTGCTCAGGGCTCCAACCCTCAGCCCTCACTATTGCCCTGCCCCAGCCCAACCTCTGCCAGGTTTAAGCTGAAGCCTGCAGAGGTCAGAAGACAAGCAGGTTCTTCCTCTTGTCACAGCTTCCTCCTCTACCAGCATTACTCCAGGCTAACAAGCCTTGGGAGTATATCGTTCCTTGTGGCTAAGGGGTTACTGACATCCTCTGGACCTTTCTCCAGTAGCTCCCCATCATGAAAGCTTTGTTGAAAAACCTTCCTTATCCCCACCCCCCACAAAAAAAAAAAAAAAAAAAAAACAACCAGGAATCTACTGCTGGAAGCTAGGGAAAGGAGCCAGGAAGTGAATGAAGAGTGAAAATTATGGGAAGCCTGGGTGTGGACATCAAAGGGTGGGGAATCAAGCAAACGGTCTGGGACAAGAGAAAGGGAGCATTCCCTGGGGACCGAAGACGATTTTAACAGAGGAAATAATCTCCTACATTTGTAAAACAATTTTTTTTTTTTTTTTTAAAATAGCATGTCCCTACAGAACTCTTGTTGTTTAGAATAAGCAAGCTCCAGGGCCTGCAGGAAGACTGACCGAAAGGTGTTGGGCCAGGTGAGGTGGCTCACGCCTGTTATCCCAGCACTTTGGGAAGCTGAGGTGGGCGGATCACCTGAGGTCAGGAGTTCGACACCAGCCTAGCTAACACGGCTAAACTCCGTCTCTACTAAAAATACAAAAATTAGCTGGGTGTGGTGTGGTGGTGCATGCCTGTAGTCCCAGCTACTCCAGAGGCTGAGGCAGAAAAACTTGAACCCGGGCAGCGGAGGATGCAGTGAGCTGTGTTTGCACTACTGCACTCCAGCCTGGGCAACAGACTGAGATTGTCTTAAAAAAAAAAAAGAGAGAGAGAGAGAGACGTGTTGCTGAAGGGTTATCTTCCTCAGGAGAGAGGAAGAGAAAGGGAAGCTGCGTTCTCTAGGCCTCTGGGGTGGCAACCAAGGCACCAGTGAGCAGCCACGGGAGATAATCTCAGCCTAATGGCTCCAGGCTCCCTCAGGCAGGGCTCCCCTGAAGGCAGCCTCCAACGCATTTCTGCTAGAGTCAGCACTTCAGGGCTCACAACCGACCACACACAGGGAGTAAAAGACTGGCACAGGGCAAAGGCACAGGGCAAATAGCCCTTGTCCCACAAGCCAACTTGCCAATCTATTTGACAGTTGGGTTCCAGCTCCCCCTAACCCCTCAGCCTCAAAACTGCCTCAACCCTTCTGTAAGGCTTGCTTATCCCAGCCTTTACTAAACCCCATGGTCTTGCAGTTCTCCCAGACTCCTCCCCTCACAAGGATACCTGACCTTGACTCTTGTGACTGGCTCTACTGTATGGTTGCCTATGCCCAGGCATAATAAAACTACTGGCTGTGTTGCTGTGGGGGTAAAAAAAATGACCTCACAACATAATAAAAAATGCAGCCAGGACACAAAATGGGTCAGTAAAACCCTCCCATACTCCCAAACAAAGACAGGTGTCAGGATGCCCAGTGTATCAAAAAGTAGGCCCTAGAGGACAGCTGGTTTCTTAATGACAGGTGACATTAGGGGTCTTGAGCCCAACCCATGTTCACGTATGAGAACATAATGCATGCCATAAATAGATGAAACTCAATCTAGGCAGTCTCCAAGCTGCCTGGAGGAACGTCCACAGAATACAACAGATGTGCAAGACAATCATTCTTGCCTCTGCATTTTCTGGGCAGCTAACAGCATTTCTCCTTTCTCAGCTGAAGCTATCTCTAGTTTTCCCCTCCTCCTTCCCTAGAAGATCCAACCCTGCAGGAATTATCAAGGGAGGCACGAGTAATTACTGTTTTCTTTTCTCCATGCTAATGAGACAGTTGGATGGTTCCCCTTCCCCCTCTTGAGCTGGAAGTGAGAATCTAAAGCTTTATAATCAGTAACCAACACACCAAAGCTCCGACCAGACACTGCTCTGTGCAACTGAGACTGTGTAGAAAATGGCTTTCATGCCCCTGATGAGACCAGAGTTGGAAGGGCTCAACCATTTTATAAAAAGGGAGGTAAGACCAGAGCAGGGAGGGGAATCTGTCCAAAGTCACAGAGGGAAGTCAGTGGCAGGGCCAGAACCAGTCTCCTTATTCCCAATCAGGCCACCTCTCACCTCACTCAGACCATGTTGGCCAGGCTGGTCTCGAACTCCTGATAATCTCAGGTGATCCGCCCGCCTTGGACTCCCAAAGTGCTGGGATTACAGGCGTGAGCCACCACACCCAGCCTGTCATTGGTTTTTGAATACCTATTCAAAAACTGATATGTAAGCTTGAAATTTGCAGTTCCAGCCTCCACACTGAGGTCCCCTCCAAAGTTATTCTATACTGTATTAAGTCTGAGTGAGGTGAGAGGTGGCCTGATTGGGAATAAGGAGACTGGTTCTGGCCCTATTATACCATAGACTGACTGTGGGGCTCTTGTGATACTCCAGCATATGATCAGTGCTGACCATAAGGCTTCACTTTCTAGAGTGCACAAAATTAGGTGCTTTATTCTATAAATGGGGTTAGCTCCACATGAGAGCCCCTGCCTTAGTCACCCGCTTAAGACTTCAGACCCCCACCCCCTCGAACTAAAGCCCAACTCAAAATCCAAGGACAGGCCTCCCCACCAATGGCCATTGTCCAGAGACTGCTTGCCAGCCTGGATGTCCACTTGGGTTTGCTGCTCTCTCCACCCCTCTGTAAGGAAGGCAGCATATAGTAGAAACAATTAGCAGATAGACCTAGGTTTAAGCCATGGCTCTCCCACCAAAACTGGGTATCCTTGGTGCTTTGACCACCGTTCACTTGCCTGTCTCTTCTACCACTCTTCCCTACTTGGGAGCAAGAAATATTCAGTTGTTTTCCTGTATCCACAATGAGTCAGTCACTGTCTACCAAATGATACTCTCTAAAACTTAAGTCCTCACATTTGTAAAATGGTGATTAAATCACCTACCTCAGAATAGTGAAGATAAATGAGGGGAAAAAATTACGTAAACTGCCTAGACTAGTGCCTGGCCCTTCTTCCTCTACTGTATCTTGGATTCCCAGGGCCAAAAGTTTGTCTGTACTGAACTACACAGCCCATCCTGGAGACATCATGCCTTGCTGACGGGGTCTGTTCCACTCTAGCAGTCAGACTGACTGCCAGTTCCTGGAACTCTACCAATAAAAACAGATACGACTACTCTCCTCACAGGTGAAGGTAGTGAATTTCAAGCAAATGATCTTTGAGCATATACTAATATTCTAGATTGAAAAGAGAGGGGAACTTTGGGGGAAAAAATGCTATGCTATGAAGCTGGAGGCTTAGAGAAGAAATCCCAAGTCCCAAAAAGTGGCTGAAGATAATCTGCACTGGAGCCTACAGAAGGGCCAGAGACATGAAATGAATTGCCTTTGGTCACATAGGAAGCTGAAGGCAGAAATGAGCTTAAAACTCACCACTGTGGTCTCCCTAGATGGTACTTTTTCCGTCCTTCAGGGCAGATGCACAGTGCTGAAGGAAAAAGGAAGTGAGGCATAGGAGGCTCAGTAGAGTGGCAGGGAGAGGCACATAGGGACATCAAGTGGCACTTACAAAGTTTCTGTTTGGTAAAGGTGACTGAGGGATAAAGCCAGCCTTTAGTTTCGTAGGGGCCTTATGTGCTCTGGCAGTTGAGGGGCAGAAACAAGTTCAAACTGGCCAGAACAAGTGTCAACAGTTATGGAGGGGAAAGGTATAGGGTGTCTCAAAGTATCATAAGCCCCTCCACCCACAACATCAGCTGCTTTGAGTGATCAAAACCTTCTGCCTACCCATCCCCAACTTCTCAACTCATACTATGATCCAGATTTTCTACGGTATCTGTCTTTTCCACTAGAGGGCCCTCAAACTTAAAAACTAGGGGTGAGGTATAAGGTATAGAGAAGAGAATAAGAGCTTTGTCCAGGCTGTGCATGGTGGCTCCCATCTATAAACCCAGCAGTTTGGCAGGCCGAGACAGGAGACCACCTGAGCCCAGGAGTTCGAGACCAGCATGGGCAGCCAAGTGAGACATTGTCTTTATTAAAAAAAAAAAAAAAGAAAGAAAGAAAGAAAGAAAAAAGGAAAGAAAGAGAAGGCTGAGTGTGGTGGCTCATGCCTGTAATCCCAGCACTTTGGGAGGCCAAGGTGGAAGGATCACTTTGGGAGGCCAGGAGTTGAGGACCAGCCTGGGCAACAGAGCAAGACCCGTCTCTATTTAAAAAAAAATTTTTTTTTAATAATAAAAAAACTTAAAAGAACAAATTAAAAAAAATTTTTTTAATAATAAAAAAATTTAAAAGAACAAATTTTTTAAAAAGAGTTCCGTCTCCTGAGGAAGATCTGACTGATGAGTCTTTTCTTTATTCTACTCACCATATTCTACTTATTATATTCACCCGAACTTCTGAGTTAAGTGACTGGCCCAAGGTCACGCAGCTAATAAAGGCAAATCAGGACTTGCCTGTGTATCAAGTATCCTTTTATGGCCATGACTGCTATGGTTTGAATGTGTCTCCTAAAGCTCATGTGTTGGAAACTTAATCCCCAAAGCAACAATGTTGAGACAGGGGACTCTGAGAGGCAACATTAGTGCATGAGGGCTCTGCCTTCATGAATGGATTAATGTCATTACTGCAGGAAAGTGTCTGCTATCTTGAGAGTGGGTTTATTATAAAAGTGAGTTCAGCCCTCCCACTCTCTCTCACCATGTGATGCCTTCTGCCAGGTTTTTATGCAGCAACGTGGCCCTCACCAGATGCGGGCGGCCCCTTGATCTTGGACTTCCCAGCCTCCAGAAGCATGAGCCAAACAAACTTCTATTGTTTGTAAATGACTCAGTCTATGGTATTCTGTTACAGCAGCACAAAATGGACTAAGACGGTGACTTTCAGCCTGGCACAGTGGCTCATGCCTGTAAATCCCAGCACTTTGGGAGGTCCAGGCAGGTAGATCACTTGAGGTCAGGAGTTCAAGACCAGCCTGGCCAACATGGCAAAACCCCATCTCTACTAACAATACAAAAATTAGCCAGGCGTGGTGGTGCACGCCTGTAATCCCAGCTACTTGGGAAGCTGAGGCACAAGAATCGCTTGAACCCCGGAGGCGGAGGTTGCAGTGAGCCAAGATTGCACCACTGCACTCCAGCCTGGGTGACTGAGTGAGACTCTGTCTCAAAAAAAATAAACTAATTAAAAAAAAAAAAGAAAAAGACAATGACTTTCAGCAAATTTGATTTTTATAGTTTTGAGCGGTAGGTAGGACAGGTGTTCTCTACTAAATCATGTCCCTTCTTCAAACACCTGCAATCCATTTCAGGCCTAGTTCTGACATTTATCTTCTCTTACAGAACTTGCATAACTACCTTCTTTCTTACAGGTCAGCAAACTTTTTCTGTATAGGATCAGATAGTAATTAGGCTTTGTGGGCTACCATAGTCTGCGTGGTATTCAACTCTGCCACTGTAGTGCAAAAGCAATCATGGATGAACAAATGAGTGTGGCTGTGTTCCAGTAAAACTTTACAAAAGAGGCAATGGGCTAGATTTGCCCCACCAGTTTGCTGACATGTTCTAACTAATCTGTCTCCAATCACCTGTTGACTAATCCATTATTCCTACCACAGTCCTGTAACCTCAGTGGATCCCCTTTGCCTACAGGATGGTTTAAACTCTACCCTTATTCATCCTCTACCACATCCTTTTCCTGCACACTGCACTCCAATCACACTGAGTTGTAATTTGGCAGCTTCTACCATTCCTCATGCTGTTCCCTAACATCCTCAATGACTTTCTCCATCCCTTTGCCAATATTATCTACTCAGAGACAAGTCCAAATGCCAACACCTGGGAGAAGTCTTTGCCAATGATTCCTCCCCTCACCCCCATGGGAGTTAATCCTTCCTCATGTTCCCTGACTAGCCTCCTTCCCAGGTAATCTGTCCAGCACATCCTCCACTTACATGTGTTACGGTGAACCTTCACATGCCTATCTAATTTACTGGGAGTTCTTGAAAAACAGGAACTGTGTTTCATATGTCTATACACTATTTTCAGAACCTGGTACACAGTGGGCACTCAAGCTTCCTTTTTTTTTGAGACAGAGTCTTGCTCTGTTGCCCAGGCTGGAATGCAGTGGCGGGATCTCGGCTCACTGCAAGCTCCGCCTCCCGGGTTCACGCCATTCTCCTGCCTCAGCCTCCCAAGTAGCTGGGACTACAGGCGCCCACCACTACGCCCGGCTAATTTTTTGTATTTTTAGTAGAGACGGGGTTTCACCGTTTTAGCCGGGATGGTCTCGATCTCCTGACCTCGTGATCCGCCCGCCTCGGCCTCCCAAAGTGCTGGGATTACAGGCGTGAGCCACCGCGCCCGGCCAAGCTTCCTATCTACCGAATAAAGCTTGCTCTGTCTTACATAATTTGTATGTGTATGGTTGTCCCTCACCCACCACTACCTCCCCACTCCCCCAGAATTCTAAGTTTCTCAAGAGCAGGGACTGTGTCTTACTCAACTCTGTGTCCCTTGCAGTACCTAACAGAGCACCCAGTGTCTGCCTACTGAACAGGCTTCTAAGCTGAGTAGATTACTAGAACATGGGGATCTTCGGTTCTAGCAGAAATGTGAGACGACCCACAGCATCAAAGAATCCTTCAGTCTGCTTTATGGGCTTGCCCCTACCTCCCATCCCATCATGTTTTCGGGTCTGGCCAGGTAACCACTTAAAGCAGAGGCCAAGACCAGGCATCTCACTAGGTTGCTCTCACCTGTGCTGAGTTAAAGGAACTGGAGCTATGTGAAGAGCAGAAGGATCCTTTTTTTTTTTCTTTTGAGACAGAGTCTCGCTGTGTCGCCCAGGCTGGAGTGCAAGATGCATGATCTCGACTCACTGCAACCTCCACCTCTCGGGTTCAAGCAATTCTCCTGCCTTAGTCTCCCGAGTAGCCGGGATTACAGGTGCCCACCACCAGGCCTGGCTAATTTTTAAAATATTTTTAGTAAAGACAGGGTTTCACCAACTTGGCCAGGCTGCTCTTGAACTCCTGACCTCAAGTGATCCACCCGCCTCGACCTCCTGAAGTGGTGGGATTACAGGCGTGAGCCACTGCGCCCGGCCGAGGGATCCTATTTTTAGACCTCCTTGTCCCTGGGCTCAAACTGTATCCTAAATACTAGCCCTAAACTGACCCCCAATCCGTATTTAGCCCTAGACCAGAAGACAGCCTTCTAACAAGTACAGATCCTTGGTTCCCCAAGGCAGGTGATTTCACTGAGGGAAAGGCTGCAGTTCAACCTCAACTGAAGAAAAAACTCAAAGGTATGTAGTAAGGATCATTAGGAGCTCCATCTCCGGATGCAAAGGAACCTCTATTGAGATTAGGGGTCCTGGGCAAACCTGTAGTCCACAAGTACAGCTATCCTACCTTGGGGCATTTGTGGGGTGGAAGACTAAATTGCTAATGGAAAAAACAAAACAAACACCAAAAGAAATTTTCTTCTAAACCCAGAACAGAACAACATTCCATCTGGGTAAGTGAGCTTGTCACAGGCAAGGGGTACTTAGCATATCTTCCATTCCAGGATTACGGCTGTCAAGTTTTAATTAGGGTAATTAGAGTTAAAAATGTAATTTCATTTCAGGGGTATTTTGAACAGATTCCATTAATTTCTTTCTGTAAAAGAACACAGAAAGGAGGGGCAGGCTGTGTGAAGCAGAAGATTTTGCCATGAGAGAAGCAAGGTTATTTGCCTGGGCCAGACGAACTTTCAAACCAATGCCAAGAACCACAACACCTCTGCAGGTCTGGCCCAGAGGACAGAGGACTGCTGCTCTTCAGGCTTCCTCCCTTCTCCCCCACAGAAGTCTAGAAATAAGTTTCAGTTGGTACTTGCTAATAAATCAATCTTCTCCTCCCTACCTGCTGCACCTGCATTACTGCCATCCAATGGCTACTACTACAACCTTAAATCTGGCAAAGGATAAGGGCTCAGAGCAGTCCATCTGTTTTGCTACACGTTAGGTACTGCTCTAATGCCCACCCCTTTACCAGTAATTCCTGGACACATCTTTATGCTTTTGTTTGTGCTGGTTCCCTGGTCTGGAGTGCCCTTCCTGGCTTAACTCTTACCCTTCATTCTTCCTTCAAAACACAGATCATAATTACATCCCCTAGGAGAACCCCCATTCATGCCTTTGGAATCTCAGAATTCCTTATAAACTCTTCTATCAAGGAACATACATTATACTGTGGTTTGTATCTTTGTCTGACTCTGATGCTAGATTGTGAGGTCATCTAAGAATCCCTAGCACTAGCACAAGCCCTGACACACAGGAGACACTCAACAAGTATCTGTTGAATGACCAACTATAGGAGGAATTTGGTCTGACCACACTGGCTGCTGAGCATGTTAAGCCTGCAGGTTCTCCAATGCATCCAGTTATGAATCCCTTCCCTCTCCTTGCACAAGGCCAGTTCAGAAACCTGACTCTGCACTCCGTAGAGGAGAAAACCTTCCCATTGATCCCAAATGATGATTGATCTCTCCCATTAGAGCCTGCTCACCCCTTAGGGAACTTGGAAAGGAGATGAGAAAGCAAGAGAAAGTAAAAGCAAGCAGAGCATCCCTCTCCACCCCCTGCACCTGCCTTACCACAGGTTTTAAAGAATTTCCTCCAGTCTTTGAACAGCTCCAGGGAGACAGCCTGAGCTCCCGTTCAGTCTGTAGAAGGGTAAGTAAGAGAGGGCCCTGGTAGAAAACAGTTCATCAGATTGGAATCGGTGTTGCAAATGCTCAGAAATGTATTAATAGCATAGTACAATAGAGATTATGCTATATGACAATGGGCAGCCAAGTCACTTCATTTTGACTTTTCTGAGCTTCAGTTTCCTTTCCTTCCTATGCCAGTAGGTTGCAAGGAGAAATAAACACAATGAGGCTCAGTATTTAACACTTAGTAGGTATTCAATAAGTGATTTTTCCATCTGAAGAGGGGGCCTATACGATGTACCTAGCATCACATTAGGTAAGAGTTTATAAAGGTGAGGAAAACACATCAAATAGGGATACAAGTTAACCATTTCCCCGTTTGTTCAGGGTAGCCCTGCCTGCTGGTCCCCAGGGGAGGTGGGCTACACCAGCAGAACTGTTGTATTGACAAGTGTAACCAGATCCATTTCACGGTAATCATTCTCCCTACCTAGGAGCACTGCTCCAGCCTCCTCCCAGGCTCCCCAGGCCTGGCTACAGGCCCATATTGATCCATTTCTAATTAGGAGCTGTGTCAGTGCTTCTGGCAGAAGGTCAGGGCCTGGGCTGCCTCGCTGGCCTCTGGCCAAATGCCCTAAAATGCCCCGCCCCAGGCAGACCCAGAGAACGGACACTATGAGGTAGAAAAAGATCCCAGACTAAACTCATCATAAAGCAGCATGAAATTTTAGAACTGAAAGGGTCCTTTATGAGTATAGGTTTTTAATATTTCAGTGGAGAAAGCTGATGTCCAGAAAAGAAACTTGTCCAAGGTGGTATCAGAAGATAATGCATATCTTTTTACTTCTAGTTCTTTCTCTAGATAAGTGTTTCCCAACCTGGCTACACAACAGAAGGACTCAAGGAATTCATTAAAAACATCAGTTTCTATGCCTGACCCCAGAGATTCTGATTTGGAACACATGCAGTAGCTTTGGCTTTCTTGTGCTAAGTATGGGGATCACCTTCCAATAGCAGTGAACTCAGGTTCAAACTCACCTTGGGTCATAAACAGTAACATTCAGAGGTAGCCCACTATTGTCTGATCCAGTCCTCCCCTACCCCCATCATTATACTAGCGGCCTGAATCCAAAGGATCTATCATAAATGGTTCCAACTTCCTAACAGTCTGCTAGCTTGGCTGTCAGCAAAGAACATTTCCTTTCAAAACTAGTCTGAAACTAAAATGTCTGTTATGAAGATACAGAAACCTAAGGGGTGGTGGTGACAGCACCTGGGTATAAAGAAATGTGGAGGATGCTGTGGTACTCGGTGTGTGGCATCTGGCACGGGCAGAGATTATGTGGGCATGTGTGGAGGGGAGGACTTGTGCGCAGATGTAAGGGAGTGAACAGTGTGGTGTCTGAGTTAGGCTTGCAGATACTTTGGTAGCACACACAATTCTGGGTATCTGGGTAGAAGACAGTGGGACAGGGGTGTAAGAGGGTAAATGTGTGCACATACGGGAGGAGGAGGAATAGATGGCTTGAAAGTGTAAGGGAGATACTTTGTGTATAGAAGAGAGGACATACATGCACATCAATTGTGTGTGTGTGTGTGTGTGCACATGTTGCAAAGCATTGAGCCTGTAGGGATGGGGAAAAGTAGGTGTCTGCCTCTGTGTGGCCTATACACCTGTATGCATGAGAAAACAGATCCATGAACATTCCTGACTCATCTAGCCCTGGCTTTGCCTGAAGGCTCCTACCACTCAAGGGCAAACCTATCTGCAGAAATTTCTCATTAAAATTGACATTTTGACAACTACGAAAAATAAAATGATAATGACACCCCCAGCACTGTGGGAGGTTAAAAAAAAAAAAGTCTATGCCAATAAAACACAAGAGACAGATGAGAAGCAATTATGCCTCAATTACTTCTCAGCTTCACAAGGGGAGGTGTTATTTGGAGTTAAACATTGTATGGCTGATTCACATCTCCACCCAAAGACTTGGATTTCTTGGGTTACCTAGGAAAAGTGCAAAAAAGAAGTAGGTAGAGAAAGGTAAATAAAGTTTTTTGCTTTTTTGTTTTTTTATGAAGGACTGGAGAAAGGGGGAGATTTAAAAAAAAAGGGGGAAATATTGAGAAGAAACAAAAAATAAAAGGCAAAAAGGACAAAAGAGGTAGGAAGAAGGGAAGGAAAGAATAGGAAGAAAAGTAAATATCCTTTAGGCTGGCCCACAGAGATTTAGCACACATTTGGCAGAAATTCTGAATAAGGGGGACAGGTGGATTAGTAGGTAGGGCCTGGCTTCCGTACTTCCTCATTACTTTTACTCCTACCATTCCTTCCATCTAGAATGTTCTTCCCACCATCTCTGCCAACTGAACTCCTGAATCTTTAAGGACAAGCTCAAATGCTACCAGCTTCTAGAAGCTTCCAAGATTTCTTCCAGTTAGTTCTCTCTCAAGAATTCCAGTAAATTTCCAGAGCACTTTGTCACATTTCTTTTTTTGACTTTGAAAAAATCTGATTTTATTTTCTGAATCATAAAGAAGTATTTCATGTTAAATTTAGACTGTTTAGCTTTCCACTGATATCTCAAGATACTTTCCAGATATTAACAGTACTCAGAACTGTGTAAAGGTTAACAACCAATACCATGTTTTAAAGAAAAAAGTTTAAATGTAAGACTAATGTCTTGGGGACATTACTAAATGTATTTCTAAGAAACCCTTCTCAAAGGTCAAAGTATTGGCAATTCTAATTTTAAAATTTTTAATTTTTAATTATTGGAAATTTAAGTAACAATAGTTTCAAGAGCTAAGAATCAGACTGCTTTTTAAAACAGAATTTTTTTTCCCTGAGGGATTCATACTTGACAACAACTCCAGTTAAACATAATACTCCACCCAAATCCCAAATTTAAATGCATTATTTCACCTTGGAATAGTAAAATTATAAAATGGAATTTCTAAATTATAATACATATACATAATCCACCACTTTAACTGTCACGTTTACCCGCAGAATTATGAAATCAAAAACAAACTCTACATTCAAGAGACAAATGATAAATGCTCTTTCATTGTTTTAAGCATCCATTCCATTCTTTGTTGTTTTCTACTCCCATATTTTAAAATTATGACCAAAGGACCAAAGGCCAAGTCAATCCCATTTCCCTGAATCCAACTGCCAGTAGGTACTGGCCCTACATACGCGTCCTTTAACAAGCCCCGTTCTCAAAAGGCTGGGGGTATTTATATAAGAACTTATTCCAAAGTGACTCTAAGATCCACGTTCCCAAGATCTAGTACGGGCTACTCATGTGTTCTGAGGCATGTCCAGCATGCACGCAAACTTAATCTGTTCAAATTGAGGTAAAACAGACAAAAAACACTTAATATTAACAGAAGCTACATAATTAAAACTAACCTTTTGCTGCTTATTTAAGCTAATTATGTATTCTTGCAAAACAGAGACCCTCAAGTCAATAATTTTTTATTTTAGTCACCCCCAAATTAAGCCTCTTCTTTAAAGCGCACTGTCATATTTCATCTGTAGCACTCAACACCAAACTATACTATAAGTATCAATGCATACACATTTCCATCATTCATTTTGTAAGTACTATTTGTGCCAAGCCTATTTCAGAGACACAAGGGAAATAGAGATAAGTAGCACACTATCCCCTGGCCTATACTGTCTCGATCCAATGAATGAGAGAGGATTTGGGTGTGACACAGCACTAGAGTACAACTACAGCAGTCCTAGAAGTCAAAGGGCCTGCTATAAATCCTGTATTTTATTTGATCAAAATTAATTCTGCTTCTGTAGTGATCAGGGAAAGCTTCCCTGAGGAAGTGGCATTGGAATTGATATGAAAGATAAACAGGAGTCTGTCAGGTAAAGGGGATAAGAAGATAAGGGGATTTCTACTTAGGGGAAATACAGATGCTGCTCAATTTACAACAGGGTTACATCCCAATAAGCCCCTTGTAAGCTGAAAATACTGTAAGTCGAAATGCCTTTTTTTTTTTTTTTTTTTTTTTGAGACAAGGTCTCGTTCTGATGCCTAAGCTGGAGTATAGTAACACAATCAAGGCTTACTACAGCCTCAACCTCCTAGGCTCAAGCGATCTTCCCACCCCAGCCTCCCAAGTAGCTGCTGAGACTACAGGAATGCCCCATTATGCGAGCTAGTTTTTTTTTTTATTTTGTTTGTTTGTTTGTTTTAAAAAAGAGATGAAGTCTATGTTGCCCAGGCTGGGAAAATGCATTTAATACACCTAACTTACCAAACACCCTAGTTTAGTTTAGCCTACCTTGAATATGCGCAGAACATTAACACTAGCCTTCAGGTGAGCAAAATCAACTAACACAAAGCCTATTTTATAATACAGTGTTGAATATCTCACATAATTTATTGAATACTTTACTGAAAGTGAAAACAGACTAGCTGTATGAGTAGTCCAAGTACCGTTTCTACTGAATGCATATCACTTTTGTAACCAACATAAAGTCAAAAAATCAGTAAGTCAAACTGTAAACCAGGGACTATCTGTAGTCAAAACAAAGTCATGATACAGCCTGGCACATCCAGGGAACCTTCTACTGGGCAGAAACACAGGGAAACAGTGGGTATTAAGCACTATGCTGCTGACAAAAGGCAGCAAAGTGATATGGCACCAGACTGCATGAGCCTTGCGGCCAAGGCCAGAGTTTAGATTTTATCCTTTATGACTTGGGGTGGGAATGGAGAAGAAGAGGGGACAGTTTCAAGATGTCTAGTCTCCCTATTTTAGATGCCCTACTTTTTACTGCAAGTCCCCTTTAAAAACACAGAAAACAGGTTCAATCCCAAGCTCTGCGCACTGCAGTAGCATTACAAGAATTTCTCAAGAAGGGCAACAGTGAGGAAAAAAACAAAGGATGGCGGGTGGGGGAGGATGCAGAAGAAAGGGTAAGTAGGGCTCAAAAAGAAAGGAGGCGGAGGAAAGGAAAAAGAAGAGAAAGAGAAGAGGCAAGCAAGGCACAACGAGGGATAGATCTATCTCGGCCCTGAGGCTTCTTTTTGCTGAGCTGTCTTCTACATCTTTCTAGGCAAAAAAAATAAAATAAGGTCAATCTGATGCTAGTGACAGAAATAGACCCTTTGCACCAAGAAGAGGCTCAGCACATTACCACCTGCCACGGCAACCTTCCGCCACCTCATGATGATAGGGCTGCACCAAGAAGCCTTAGCCCAGCTCTCCCAACCACCTCAGGCTATGGCAGAAGCCACTGCCCCATGGCCCAAGAGTGTGTGAGGCAGGAAAACCAAACAAAGGTCAGGAGTTTGAAGCGGGGCCTGCCCAGGACCCATAGCTGCTTCTTTTCTTTTTCTTTTTTTTTTTTTTTGAGACAGGGTCTCACTCTGTCGCCCAGGCTGAAGTGCAGTGGCGCAAGCTCGGCTTACTGCAGCCTCCGCCTCCTGGGTTCAAACGATTCTCATGCCTAAGCCTCCCAAGTAGCTGGGACTACAGGCGTGCGCCACTACACCCGGCTAATTTTTATATTTTTGGTAGAGATGGGGTTTCATCATGTTGGCCAGGCTAGTCTTGAACTCCTGACCTCAAGCGATCTGCCTGCCTTGGCCTCCCAAAGTGCTGGGATTACAGGCATGAACCACCGTGTCTGGCCCCATGGCTGCTTCTTAAGGGTCCTACAAGAAAGCTCTGGTTTCTTCTCTGGACCTTAGTTTCATCTGCAAAACAAGGGGAGTCAACGAGAAGGGATATGGTAGCCTGTGAGTTATAGAAGCTGTTTCCTACAGAGGATGTTTAATGTGGGAATTTGTTCTAATCAAGTCTCTAGCTTTATTCTTTCCACTCCTGCTTATGGTTAGTTTCAAATCTGAAGGAGCCAGACTCAGAATAGGAGATATCCCTGACACCACCACCTATCTTGGCCCCATCCAAAGTCTAGTTACTGCTCAGACCTGTATTTTATCTCATAGGTCACAAGCAGATGTTTAGGCCCAAGGATATGTTTTTGTCTGATATGTAAAAATTTACTTAAAAACCTCTGAGTTAACTGCCAACATTCAAAATCAGATCTCACTTTTAAAAAAATTAGATTTCTAGCTGCTCTTAAAAATGTCAGAGGTCTGGCGATGCCAGACCCACCCTGGGGTAGAAGTCAAAGGGCCTGCTATAATCCTGTAACTTATTTGATGCTTTCTCACTTTATCTCAAGAATTCATGCTAATTTATCATTCATTCCATAAAAATATTTAAAGTTAAAAGCAAACTTTAAATTACCAGTTATAATATTTAATCCAACTCTGAAAAAATAAGTATACTGACACTTCAGGAAGATGTATGTTTTATCCTGTGATTTCATGTATCATCTACTATGCAGCCATGTGTTCCAGTTTGAGAACCCCCCCCCCACCCAGTTTATTCATTCACTCAAAAAATACTTAGATCCTATGCCAGGCTCTGGGAAAACACTCATCAACAAGACAGACATGGTTTCCGCCTTCATAGAGCTCACAGTTCAGCCGAGATATAATGAAAAAAGTCATGCAGAATAGGAGGCACAGAGAGATACTAAGCTGAGGATCCAGAGTTTATTCCACAAACACAGCAATCCCTTAGGCAAGTTGCTTAACCTCTCCAGACCTATAAGAGGAAGAGGTTTAATCAGGCAGTTGCTGCTGAAAGGTCCTTTCAGCTAAAAATTCTACTTAGCATCACAAGAACTTAGCTTACTACGCTTTTTGAGTTCCTAACACTTACTAGCTTCCTCTCTTTATCTGGAAAATCAGGATCAGTTGTCATGGAAATTACCACAGTACTCCACATACTGGATGATGTTTCAGTAATCACAAGAAGTCAAAGGGAACCAGCAGGTGACTTTCTGGGTGATTCTTTTGCCTACTTTCAGGCCTGGTGCAGTGGCTCAGGCCTGTAATCCCAGCACTTTGGGAGGCCAAGGCGGGAGGATGGCTTGAGCCCAGGAGTTCAAGACCCCAGCCTAGTTTGTAAAAGAGCAAGACCCTATCCCTACAAAATAAAAAAATAAAAACAACAGGACATGGTGGTGCGTGCCTGTAGTCCCAGCTACTCAGGAGACTGAGGTGGGAGAACCACCTGAGCCCGGGAGGTAGAGGGTGCAGTGAGCTGAGATTACGCCACTGCATTCCAGTTTGGGCAACAGAGTGCCACTGGAAGAAAAAAAGACCAGGTACCAACTCATAAGTAAAACGGTTTTGATTCTGAATTAATGTCCATGGTTTCCTTCATGACACATCAGACTCACTTCCACTCTACCTTACAAATATATAATAGGGATTGCAAAAAATGCCAACTTGACAAGGACATGATCCACTGAGCCTTGACTAGTTTGCTGTCCATATGAAGTCCTAAGATAGGCCGAGACAGATTTATCAGCCAATAAGGGCACCAAAAGTTCCCAGTAAAATGAAGATAATTCACTTAGTCGCAGGGGATTCACCAGCACCTTAACTAGGTAAAGTCTCTTCAATATTAGAGTTCCTTCTAGAGCTGGGCTGGACCTTGGTGGCAAGCAGGTAGCAAAAATGAATTGACCAAGTGTTTCCCAAAAAAAGTGCTATACTCTGGTGATAAACGGCAACTGACACTGGGCTTGAGTATCAAAGAAACAACAGGAAATGGTGTGGCTTTGACAAACTTGAGAACAAATATGCTGTCTAAAGAAGCCAGTCAATAAGGAAGCAGAATGTGGAAAAAAGTAGAGAAATGAAGAACATGAAGTTGTAAACTCAAAGCTTCTGCCAAATTTGGCCGAAGCTCCAAAGAGTTGCCCAAAGATCCAAGCCATGTCTCTTTGCTTCAGTTTACAAGCTTCTAAAGCATGGACTAGCCAGTGTACAAGGAGTCACAATATAACAACCCTGGTAGAGGCTGGGGCGTGGTGGCTCACACCTATAATCCTGGCACTTTGGGAGGCTGAAGCGGGCAGATCACAAGGTCAGGAGTTCGAGATCAGCCTGGCCAAATTGGTGAAACTCTGTCTCTACTAAAAATACAAAATTAGCCAGGCATGGTGGCGCGCACCTGTAGTCCCAGCTAGTTGGGAGACTGAGACAGGAGAATTACTTGAACCCGGGAGGCAGAGGTTGCAGTGAGCTGAGATCATGCCACTGACTCCAGCTTGGGTGACAGAGCGAGACTCCGTCTCAAAAACAAAACAAAACAAAAAAAAACCACACACACACCAAAACAAAACAAAACAAATCCCTGGTAGAGGACTCAAGGAGAAGACAGGCCTACCCCCACTCTTATAAATGGAAAAATTGCTCATGGTCAGCGTCAGGCTCTAGCCTCTGCTACTTTCTCAAAAATCTTCCTCCTTTTTCATGAGAAACCAGTCACCTTCATAGCCCCATGCCAGGACCTCTCATCTCACACATACATACTATCTCCACTGAAAGGCAGTCCTAATCTCCCCAGGCTTTTATTCCACTCAAAATAAAAATAGAGGCTAGGTGCAATGGCTCACACATAATCCCAACACTTTCGGAGGCCAAGGTAGCAGAACTGCTTGAGCCAGGAGTGTGAGACCAGCCTGGGTAACAAAGTAATAACTCATCTCTACAAAAAAATTTAAAAAACACTTGGGTGTAGTGGCATGTCTCTGTCATTCCAGCTACTCAGGAGACTGAGGCGTGAGGATAGCTTAAGCCTAAGAGTTTGAGGCTGCAGTGAGCTATGATTGTGCCACTGCACTCCAGCCTGGGTAACAGAGCAAGACCCTGTCTCAATTTAAAAAACAATGACACCACTACTGCAGGCCAAACAAAATATGTACACAGGCCAGATACAGCCCAAGGGGCTACCAGTATGTGACCTCTGATCTAGAGGATAAGACTGAACAGATCTGGAACAGAAAGGATTTAAGAGTGCCCCAAGGACTTCCCAATGAGGATGAAAGTTCAGCAGCTTGGTTCCCCTAAATGGAATACCTTTAAAATTCTGCTCCCTGAACATCACAACTAAAAGTTCCTTGTCTTTGCAAAAGAGCAAAATTACCCCCATTACAGTCAGATGCCGTTGGGAGTGAACAGTACAACGCTAAATATATGTTCTCCCCTGATGCAGGATGGCATTCCCCATGCTTCATTCCATCATTATTCTATGTTCCCCAGATTCCTTCAGCATCTCCATAAAAGCAATAACACCTTTGCCAAACACAAGAGAAAAAAAAGAGTAGCTGCCCTTGAAATAGTAACTCAA
Organism: Homo sapiens; assembly: GCF_000001405.40. Taxonomy (NCBI): domain Eukaryota; kingdom Metazoa; phylum Chordata; class Mammalia; order Primates; family Hominidae; genus Homo; species Homo sapiens. The sequence continues at coordinate 34,008,202 of NC_000020.11, read as the reverse complement.
TCCAAAGAAAAGTTTATTGCTGGAAGAACTTTTATTTACCAAAACTTCCATACTAGACTTACAGCAGGGAGAATACAACAAAAATGGTTTGTAGGAAAAGGTACCAGGCAACAGTGAATAGCATGGCACAGAAAACAGCAAGACAGGATGACAGGGAGGCAGGAAACTCTTAAGGGAGATTAAGGATCCCATAGTCCCACAATGACCTTGTCTGAAATAGCATATGGTCTTGCAGTCCCTGATTGACTATATGCTCCTTGAAGACAGTCTTACTCATATGGGTATTATCCACACCATCTAGTACCACACCATAACATGGTAGGCACTCAAATGGTCACAAAGAAGCTAAGGCCCAGGGAACTTTTTTTTTTTTTTTTTTTTTGAGACGGAGTTTCGCTCTTATTGCCCAGGCTGGAGTGCAATGGTGCGATCTTGGCTCACTGCAACCTCTGCCACCTGGGTTCAAGTGATTCTCCTGCCTCAGCTTCCCAAGTAGCTGAGATTATAGGCGCCCACCACCACGCCCAGCTAATTTTTTGTATTTTAGTAGAGATGGGGTTTCACCATATTGGTCAGGCTGGTCTCGAACTCCTGACCTCAGGTGATCCACCCTCCTTGGCCTCCCGAAGTGCTGGGATTATAGGCGTGAGCCACTGCACCTGGCTTTTGTTTTGTTTTTTTTGAGATGGAGTCTCGCTCCGTCACCAAGGCTGGAGTGCAGTGGCATGATCTTGGCTCACTGCAACCTCTGCCTCCCAGGTTCAAGCGATTCTCCTGCCTCAGCCTCCTGAGTAGCTGGGACTACAGGCGCCCGCCACCATGCCCAGCTAATTTTTTGTATTTTTAGTAGAGACGGACTTTCACCATGTTGGCCAGGATGGTCTTGATCTCTTGACCTCGTGATCCGCCTGCCTTGGCCTCCCAAAGTGCTGGGATTACAGGTGTGCCCGGCTGACCCAGAGAACTTAAAATGATTTGCCTAAGCTCACAGAGTGGTTTAGTGATGAAGGAACAAAAGCTTTGCAGACAAGTAGGCCTGTGTTCAAATCCAGGCGGGGCCTTGGACAAGCCACCCGACCTCTCTCAGTCTGTTTTCTTACCTACAAAATAAGAACAATACCTATTTTTGCAGGGTTGTCATGAGGGTTAAGAGAAATTGTCCTTAACCAACAACTTACAGAAAATACAGAGGACAAAGAGACACAGAAAACACACCATAGGAATGCAATGAGCAAAATCCAGAACATGGAAAAATCTATAGAAAAAAACATCCAGCTTCTTCAACAAATAATGGGGGGGATAACTACACTCATGCATCACTTAGCAACGGGGATACATTCTGAGAAATGCATCATTAGGCGATTTCATCCCTGTGCAAACACCAGTGTGCACTTACACAGTCCTGGGTGGTATAGCCTACTACACACCTAGACTATATAGCATAGGCTGTATAGTTGCTCCTAGGCTACAAACCTATACAGCATGTTACTGTGTTGAATACTGTAGGCAACTGTAACATAATGATAAGGATTTGTGCACCTAAATATACAATGGGTACAGTAAAAAAAAAATGGTATTACAATCATATTAGACCACTGTCATATCTGTGGCCCATCACTGGCTGAAACATCTCTATGCAGCATGTGACTGTAGGAGGGACCATACAAATTAAACGAGACTTGAAGACTTAAGAACCATGTGTGGACTTTATATGAATCCTGAATCAAACTATCAAAATAAGGTTGTGACATTTACAAAACAATCGAACATTTGAACACGATCATCTGGATTTTGATTTTACTGAGGAACTGTTACACTTTATAAAGATGGTAATGGCATTATAATTGTTTTTAGAAGTCATCTTTTAGAGACACACTGTGAAATATTTAAGGACAAAATATGATAGCTGAGATTTTCTTCAAAGCACAAAATGAAGAAAAGTAGGTAGGGGTATAAATGAAACAAGACTGACAATGAATTGCTAACTGTTGAAGCCAAGTGATGGGTAAATCATATTTCATTAACCTATTCGATTTTGTGTATGTTTGAAATTTTCCATATTAAAAATAAAGAGGAATTGGTTAGGTTTCAATCCTAGCCAACTCCATCTATCATATCAGCAGCGTGACCACGGCATATCTTTCTTTTGTTTGTTTATAGCATCTTTATTCATAATTGACAAAATTTGGAAGCAACCAATGACACCTTCAATAGGTGGATAAACTGTGGCACATCCAGACAATGAAATATTATTCAGCATTAAACAGAAATGAGCTATCAAAACATAAAAAGACATGGAAGAAACTTAAATGGATATTACTAAGTGAAAGAGGCAAATCTGAAAAGGCTACATACTGTATGATTCCAACTGTATGACGTTCTGCAAAGACGTATCTGTGAAGACTATAAAAAGACCAGTGGTTGCCCACGGCATATCTCTTAACCTCCCTTTGTCTCAGTTTCCAATCTGTATGATCACGATCAATACAACCTACTTCTTAGGGTTGAGGTGAGAATGAAATAATATTTTATATGTATAAAAGGCTTCGCACATAGTAACCTTCAGTAAATATTAGCTCTATTAGTATAAACAAAAGGTACCAAGTATGATATCTCAACACAGTGGACACTCAATATCACTAATATGCAAGGCTGTGTTAACATTTAAAACCCAGGTCAGATTTTTTTTTTTTTTGAGAAAGAGTCTCACTCTGTCACCAGGCTGGAGCGCAGTGGCACGATCTTGGCTCATTACAACCTCCAACTCCCTGGTTCAAGTGATTCTCCTGCTTCAGCCTCCCCAGTAGCTGGGATTACAGGCACGCGCCACCACGCCCAGCTAATTTTGCTATTTTTAGTAGAGACGGGGTTTCACTACTCCGTCAGGATGGTCTCGATCTCCTGACCTCATGATCTGCCTGCCTCAGCCTCCCAAAGTGTCAGGATTACAGGCCATGAGCCACTGCACCCAGCCCATCAGATTTTTAAATCAACTACTCGACTAGTCTCCTCGAGAGGGGGCCTAGAAATTCTCTAGTGAATGTCCCTAGTGGCATCTCTAGCACCCTGTCTATCTTGACAAACACCCCGCGACCTGACACAGGATCAGAAGCTGACTAATGTTTAACATGAAAATGCTGCTCTCTGGAAGGAGGCAGGGCCACCCTATTTTCCCCAACCAGGTAATTTAAGGTACATTTTCTAATATTTGCTGACAGAACAAAGAGGAAAGGCTCTAAGACATGATCAATGTTCATGCCAACCTTCAAAGTGATTTGGTAAAACTACACAAAATAAACACCCAGCTAGGGTCCACCGGCAGGATAAAAGCTGACAAAGAAATGGCAATTTTTCCCTGAGCAAATATACAACTAATAGATGAGCTCTGAGAGACTAAGTTCTTTAGGTTTTAGTATTCCCTCCCCAACCATTTTAAGAAGAAAAACTCTCTTTTGATATACTTCAGGTATGACTGTTTACTGGATTAATTTCTTTCTTGAAATGATGTAAGTATAAGCAAAGAGCTCATTCTCATCCTTTTATCCAGTTTAAATACAAATTGGCTTCATAACGACATGACCTTGTTCTGCTCTGAGAGGCTATGAGAAGGTATCACCCATCTCCAAAGTGTGGGACACTTCCACCACCTGCTCATTAGCAGGAATATGGATACTACTCGGTCTAGTCATTCATCTGTGCCTCTACTCAAGTTGTTCCCATTGCACAGAATGTTCTCCATCTCTGCAGCCTAATCACCTGTGACCATTCTTTCTGGAAAAGGGGGGAAGGGAAGCACATCGGTTGAGAAAAGATAACTGGGTGTTGCTTCTGCATAGTATGGGAGATAAGGTACAGACATGGCAATATTGATTGGTATTTCATAATCTGTAAGTACAACCAGACAGAATATTAGAAATTAAAATGGTCCTGGACAACAGATGGTCATTATCCTTATCCTACAAAGTCCAGCACAAATACTCACTGGTCCACAAATGTTCCTTGGGAACTCCCCCTCTGCCCCTCCTCCATGTACAAAGGAAGCAATCTCTTCCCCTTCTGAACTTCCCAATCATTGTACCCCTTTATGGTACTTGCTATGTGAGAATTCATAGTATGGTTCTTAAAATTCATATCTATAACTACTAACCAGAATGGCTTCAAATGAAAAAGATAGACAATGCCAAGTATTTACAACAACACAGAACAACAGCAATTTTCTCATCACTAACCATGTAACCTGGTAGACCTTTTAAAACTGTTTGGAGGCCGGGCACGGTGGCTCACGCCTGTAATCCCAGCACTTTGGGAGGCGGAGGCGGGCGGATCACGAGGTCAGGAGATCGAGACCATCCCGGCTAAAACGGTGAAACCCTGTCTCTACTAAAAATACAAAAAATTAGCCAGGCGTAGTGGCGGGCGCCTGTAGTCCCAGCTACTTGGGAGGCTGAGGCAGGAGAATGGCGTGAACCCGGGAGGCGGAGCTTGCAGTGAGCCGAGATCCCGCCACTGCACTCCAGCCTGGGCGACAGAGCGAGACTCCGTCTCAAAAAAAAAAAAAAAAAAAAAAACTGTTTGGCATATTTACCAAAGGTAAACATATGCCTAACCTAGGACTTACAGTATGAGGTTAGAGAACACTTACTCACTGTTCCCGCTGAACAGTTCACCTCCAGTCTTTTGCTCCATCATTGCCCCTGTCCAGATGCTTTCATCACACTTTTTCCCAATCCCAGAGACCAGCTGAGATCACTCTCCCTGCTCCCTACAAAGAGATCGATCTCCCCTCTTAAGGAAAATTCTGCCACTTACCTATTACCACTGACAAATGACTGATGGATTCTTCACATATAAATTGTCTCATGTGATTTTACAACGTTCTAATTTGCTCCTCACAATACCATTGTGAGGAAGGCAAGATATGGAGTGTTAACCCCACTTCACAGATGAGAAAATGGAACTTCAAAGAGAGAGAAGATGACATCTCCAGTTTACATGGCCTTATTATTCCAGACCCCACAGGCAATGCTAAATTGTTGGAAGAAATCGGGAGCACAACACAGCATCCCAAGTAATATTTCTCTCTGAAGGGTAGGAAAGAGGGAAGAGCCCTTCAAAACCAGGAGAGCCTCAATGTGCCCACCATTTCCATTTACTAGGGCTCCTTGCTGCAAAGTGTTCAAAGGCGGCTGGCAGTGGCAATGGGCTTCACGAACTACAATATAAACACAATTATCAAATCACAGACTGATCAAATGCCAGAAACCACACCTCAGATAATTCCACCTGCATACAAAATAGAGCTATTTTATTTCAAAATAGAGCATAATAAAACTTAAAATAATTCAACATGAAACTTAATTTTCTTCATTTCTACATAAGAAGCGAGACAATACCAAATCTTCCTGAAGCCAGCCAGAGAACTGTGTGGGTGTCCAGATGCAGATATCTGGACACCTAAACCTGAAAGGAAATGTTGTCCCCTACTCTAATATTCTTGACTTTACACACTGGGTGTTGGACACCTTAGCAACAGAGGATAAATATCTGTAAAAAACAGAAGGGAGAGAAGGGAATGCCAAAAAAATAAAGTCTACACACTGGAAGTCAGATTATCAAACTGGTCTCCTTGTCTACTGATACAGCCACCAATTATGTTATTTTCCGTTTGAACCCTCAATCCAAATATATGAGCCAGGGCGGCAGGCTGGATTTGCTTTACTTATCTGTCTTCCTCTCAAGACTGAAAGTAATTTGTGGACAGGAATTATGTCTTGTTGGTTTTTATGTTTTCCATAAGAAGAACATATAGGAGGTACTCCAAATTCCTGGAACGAATGGTTGAGATTAGGGATGGAAGGCTGTTGGGACTCCCAAGCATAAATAATCATGCCACGGCAACTAAGTAACTTCCTCTGAACCCTAATTTTAGTAAGGGTTGATTTTAATTGGTGTAAGAATCAATTAGGGTGAATCTTTAAAGTCTGAAGAGAAGTTATTCTTGTGCTCAACTGATTCACGCACAGCCCTCATTATTACTTTGGCAGCAGCACCATTCCTCAGTACCACCTTACAGGTATCCGCAAAAACAAAATTCCAAAGCCTTAAATTAATGCTTCAGGTAAAAAGGAAACGACGTGGTCAGGCGCGGCTGCTCACGCCTGTAATCCCAGCACTTTGAGAGGCCGAGGTGGGCAGATCACCAGGTCAGGAGATCGAGACCATCCTGGCGAACACTGTGAAACCCCGTCTCTACTAAAAATACAAAAAAATTAGCCGGGCGTGGTGGTGGGCACCTGCAGTCCCAGCTACTCAGGAGGCTGAGGCAGGAGAATGGCATGAACCCGGGAGGCAGAGCTTGCAGTGAGCGGAGATCATGCCACTGCACTCCAGCCTGAGCAACAGAGCGAGACTCCGTCTCAAAAAAAAAGGAAACAACATTCGATTTCTCAGTATAGTGTGGTCATATCTCTTACCAAAAAAACCCAAATCTAGATAAATGAAGTTATGGAAATGACCCTTTTAAATCTACTGCTGGGCTTGCTTTCACTAACACAAAGAATTTCAAAGGAAACTAGACAAATAGATCAAGAGACACCATGTAAGCAGTACCGTTAACTAAGCTTATTAAAATCCTTAATAAAATAAACAGGAGACAGCTAAATACCAGATAAATGCCTCTGGAATGAAGAAAATCTGGCCAATAACATTAAGCTTCCAAACCTGGCATTCTAAAAGAGAATATTTACTTGGAATAAAGCAATGAGTCTTACCTTGACAAATAACAGAGCTATTCAGTCTCTACAGATGGCACTTCAAGGGCCAGGTAACCTCAGTAGAGGCATCTACTCCATAAGCTAAAGCTCTTAGGAAATGCAAGTTTCTGGTCTAGTGTTTTTCCATTATTACCATTGTGTGAAAATCTTAAAATGTTTTTTATTTTTCCTTTATTATGTGATTTTAAACAGTTTGCTACATATTTTAATGTAATTTTTTTATAGTCTTGGACTCCAAGTTTGTCCCATGAGGCTACAGCTCCAAGTTTATAATGGAACTCAGCATACAATTTGATAAATTCATCTCACAAGCAATTTTTCAGCAATCTGTCCACTCTAAAAAGCAATATCCATCTGTTTATATACTGAAAGGTATCTTTTGTGAACCCAGAATTTAACCCTCTGAGATACTCTCAATACTTTAGCAAAGCCCTTTCTCCTTCCAGAGATAAATTCTCAAGCCACTTCCACAAAACTGTAAAAAGGTAGAAATATCACTCAAGATTATCTAGTCCAATTCCCTTGTTTCACAGACAGGAAGACAGAGATCCCACAGAATATTAGATAATTACAATTAACATGGGTTTGGCAAGCAACAAAAGCCCACTGACTGCTATTTTCCCCAGTCAAACTCATTGGTGTGTTGGGAAGATAGCCAGATTTGCACTTTAGTTAGTAGAGCACTCCCTAGGAAACTCAAGTATGTACCCTCTAAGAAACCCAAGTATTCAGCCACAACCCCCTACCCCAACCCCAGAATAGAGAACAGGGGGCAGTGGATGTCTTAAATGGCTCTTCTGGAGATGGAGACTAGAGCCCAGGGACAATATCCCATCTTTCCTTCCTTCCTCCCAGGAGGTACAGGACATTGATTACCATGAAAGCCATTATGAAATGACAGAAGACACTAACACTGAGGAAATAAGGCAAGGCTGTGGAAACAAAAGATGACCAACATTAATACTTGGCCAGATACCTGCTTCTACTTATTCGTTCGAAGAGAGGGGAGAAGTGAGAGAGACAGGGACCTCCAACCCTTTTTCTGTCCCTACCTCCCCACCCCCACTCTTTGGGCCTTTATAGAATTTCAGGGACCCCCCCAGATGATTTTATGAGGAAACAGGGCTATAAAAAGAAAGGACCTTAGTCCAGCCCACACACTGACCAAACGATGCTCAGGCTAGTGACAAGACTTCCTATTTATTCCACTGCACTCTGTCTCTATTCCTAAGGGTCTGTGAGCTGCACCCTGAGCACAATTTCCTTACAGTACCCAGGGGGAAGTTGTAGGACAAGCAGGTTAACATTACGGCTGTCATTTTCTCCCTTCCAGCTATATAGACATGAAGCCAAAATTGAATAAGACCAAGACACTCAAGTGAAAACCTTGCTATCTCCACCCCTACTATATCCCCTCACCAATGCCAAACTAAGAAGGGGGAGAAGAAGAAAGAAATACCTCTCCTAGAGATATATTATCTAAACCACCACCTAGAATCATAAAATGTAATTGCTAGAAGGGACCTTATGGGTCATCTAGTCATTATTCAGATGAATAAACCTAGACACGTGCCACCCGAGAAAAAGACTGGAGCACACAGTGGGGTCTCCTGACTCCTATCCCTAATAGAAACCCTTCCGGGTCCCTCTCCATCCTGTCCTACCCTGCCCTGCCCCATCCACCCTCTCCCCAGGCCACCGCTGTATCCAAGCTACTGAGACTTCTGCCCTTCTGGATCATGAGCTCCTTAGGATACGTTTTACTTATCTTTGTTTTCCCAGTGCCTAGCAGAGAGTAAGCAGAGAAGTGGCTTCGGCTTAGAGAGGGACTTAGGAATACACTAGTACACGAAAAGACCAGTGCCAAAGGATGTAGCCTGGATAAAATGTAAACTTTTCTTGGCTTAACGTAAGCAGTTTCCAGGCTGTGCCACACCCGGATGTCTAGGATTGAATATCTCCTCTCTTCCTAAACTAATGTTTGCATCATCCAGTTTAGCCAGGAACATGACCAGTTGTGCCATACTCTCACTCTCTCCCTTTCAGACCTGACACAAAGAACTAGAATCCATAACCAGAGGTAAGTGAAAGCATATGTAAGGAGACCCTGCATAAGAAACCCTACCCCCTCCCTTACGTGCTCCTTCTTCTCCTGTGTCCTCACCTCAATAAACAGCACCCATTTACAAAACTGCACCAGGTAGAAACCAGATGTCATCCCGATTCCTTCCTTACCCTCCACACCAATAATCTTTGTCTCATCACTCAATTCCACCTTTTTTCTTTCCTTTTTTTTTTTTTTTTTTGAGATGGAGTCTCACACCCAGGCTGGAGTGCAGTGGTTCGATCTCAGCTCACTGCAACCTCCACCTCCCAGGTTCAAGTGATTCTCCTGCCTTAGCCTCCCACATAGCTGGGATTACAGGTGCCTGCCACCACACCCGACTAATTTTTTTTTTATTTTTAGTAGAGACGGGGTTTCACCACGTTGGCCAGGCTAGTCTCAAACTCCTGACCTCAGGTGATCCACCCACCTCAGCCTCCCAAAGTGCTAGGACTACAAACGTGAGCCACCACGCCCAGCAATTCCATCTTTTTTCTGCACACACTCTTGCACACGCTCTCCCACAACCTTCATTTGAAACACCATCACCTCTTGCCAACCTCCTAACTGGTCTCTCTGCCCACAGTGTTCTAGCTCTCCAGTCCGCTCCTGAACAGGCAGCCAGAGATATCCTTCCAAAATGCACATTGAATCATGGCCCCCTCACCTCCGGATGAAGTCCAAACTCCTCAACACAGGCAAGAAGGCCCTTTCCTGACTTGGCCTCTGCTCTGCCTACCTTGAAAGTCTCCTGTCTGGCCATATCCACCCACCTCAAGCATTATGCTCCACCCAAGAATCCTGAGAAATTTGTTTAGCTCTCTTGGCCCGTTTCCTTCAACTACAGAATGGGAATAGTAACAGTACGTACTTTCGGGATGGTCTTAACCTATTATCACCATTTCTGAACTTACTGTTCCTTCTACCTAGAACAGTCTTATCTCTGCCTCTTCCCTGACTCCCCAGATCTCTTCTTTTCCTGGCTTATGTCTGTTCTCTTGAGGGCTAGGCTTAACCAACTTCTCCTCCTAAAAAGCCTTCCCTGACCTTCCAATGCTGGGTTAGGCATCATTTTTCTGTGCTCTCCTGGTGTCTGTCCCTGTGACAACACTTCTCACACTGCCTGTTTCCTTGCCTATCTTTCCCACTACGCTATACAAACCCAAATCCCTAAGCGTAGCACCAGGTCTAACAGAGGCTCATTAATTCTTCAGTGAATGAAAAACTTTCCAAAAATGAGGTATCCAAAGAAAGACAATCTCAACAAGTAACCAACTCAAATGTCAGCCAGGTGGCTGGTCTAAATGACTGTAAGGTCCCTCAACTACAAGATTCTATTCAATAAATTCAACACACTGACCTCATGGGTCATATTTGTTTGAACTTTAATATGCAGGCAATGTTGGGGCCATCAGATTTTTAAGGAGAGTGTGACATGACCAGACACATGATCATGTGTTTGTTACCCTATTAACCATCTCTGAGACACTGCCTCTCCCAACCCCCAGTTGTTATCAGGACAATATTCCAACCATCTTCATAAACATGAAGAGCCCACTCCCCTAAATGGACCAACACAGAAAACGGTCAAAGGGCATTTTGAAAGGCTATATGCAGCATCTAACTCCATCTTAACCAACTGCAAGCAGTGAGTATCCATAAACATCCTCCAAGAACCCAAAAGCTAATCCCTCCTGTGTGCCTCTATGGAAAAAGGGGGAAGAAAGAGGGAACATTTCATAAAGGTGATCTACTTAATCATTCTGAGTAGTTTTGATCCAAGCTGCTGTCACTGCACTGTTATTCCTGATAACTGCAGCCCAATATCCCCAAACCCTGGACTGTCAGAAGGGCAGGTGCAAACAAGGTGAGGGTGGGGAGTTATCTCGGTTCTATTTTAAGGGTGTAATAGCCTGGCGTGGTGGCTCATGCCTGTAATCCCAGCACTTTGGAAGGCCAAGACAGGAGGATCACCTGAGGTTCAGGAGTTCGAAGCCAGCCTGGCCAACGTGGTGAAACCCTATCTGTACTAAAAATACAAAAATTACCCAGGCGTGATGGTGCATGCCTGTAGTCCCAGCTACTCGGGAGGCTGAGGCAAGAGATCCCTTGAACCCAGGAGGTTGAGGTTGCAGGGAGCCAAGATCGTGCCACCGCAATCCAGCCTGGGCGACGGAGTGAGACTCCGTCTCCAAAAAAAACAGGGTATAAGGTCTCTTCTGCAGATACTGGGGGGCCAGCAGAGATTCAAAACAGGCTTCAGTGATACAGAACATCAACCTAAGGGGGAGAAAAGTAGGTCTTACTCAGAGAGGCCTGGGTTCCTGCCCTGGAGCTGCATGCCACATCTCTGCTGCAGGTGAGGACTAATAATTTTGCATTTACAATGCACTCTGAGACTAAAGAAGACACTAAGTGTGCCAGCTTTGCAGGCACAAAAGGACAAATATTGCATGATTCCACTTACATGAGGTTCCTAGAGTAGTCAAATTCACAGAAAGTAGAACGATAGTTTTCAGGGGCTGGAGGGAGGAGGGAAGGGGGAGTTAGTTTAATGGGTACAGAATTTCAGTTGGGGAAGATAATGGACAGTGATGATGGTTGCATAACCATGCGAATGTATTTAATGTCACATAAATGTACACTTTGAAACGGTTAAATGGTAAATTTTATGTTATATATATTTTACCACAATTTTTTTTTTAAAAAAAGCATGCCAGCTTTAAGGTTATACTGTCTGCAGTCTGAATACTGCCATGGCCACTTACCAGTTACATGACCCTGAGGCAGGTAATGTAACCTCTCTAAGCCTGTTTCTTCTATAAAACAGGGATAATAATAGTACTTAATTCATAGGTTGCTCTAAGAATTAGTAATATAGTCCATAAAGTCCTCAGTCCATTGACTGGTGGTACACGTTAAGTACTTAATAAATTTAGCTATTATTACTACCACTATAAAGCACTTTCATAGCCATTTTCTTAACAATCCCCACAACAACCCTATGAGTTTACAGATAAGGAAACTGAGGCTCAGAGAGCCACAATGAGTGGCTCAGTTTATGATGTCAAATCAAATCCTCTGCTCCAGAGAGGTGTCTTGTCCTCACTACTTACTCATTCTGTCATCTAAGGCAAGTGCTATGCTGTGTCTCCATTCCCTCACAGTAAAAAAAGAGACATAAACCAAGCTCTGCAAACTACCTCACAGAAATGGATTAGAAATTAAATCAGATAATGGTTATGGAAGAGTATATAAGCCATAAACACATAAAACCGAAGTGGTGACTTACGAGAACTAGTACACCTGTGCTTAAACCTGGCCTCCTCTTAATACTAACCATAAGGCACAGAAAGGGGTGGGGACTATAAAACTTCCTTGGGATTTCCAATTACTCAGGATTCCTGACCTTAAGACCTGAATAAGTGGTTTCGTGCCCTTTTAAGAAGTGGCAAGGTATGGGAGAAATAAAAATATTACTGGATTAGGAGGAAGAAGACTGGAAATTTTAGTTCTCACTCTGACACTAAGGCAGTCTGAATTCAGACAACTTACTTCCCCTTTCCAAGGTTCAGTTAACAGGGAAGCGGGGAAAGGCAGATATGAAAAAGTTGGACCAGATGGTAAGACCCCTTTCAGCTCCCACATAGGACTCGTAAATCCAGAATCCTGGCCAGGCACCACAGACGTACCAGACTCCAAAGAACTAATGTGAACATCAAGAGACTCCTCAAGACCTGGCCCAGAAACTCCCTTGCCTGATTTTTAGACACTCCCTCCAACCGGATCACATTGAAAAACTGGAACATTTGCCAAAGTTAATTTTAGTTCACTTTAACCACTCTGGGCCTTATCTGAAAATAGGAGTAATATTTGTTTGAAGGCAGATGACTTGAGCTACTCCCCCTAACCCCCATCAAACTAGGATCGATAAATCTAAACACAGAGAACCTGCAAGGTCTGGGAGGAGGAACACACCACACACAAACTAAAGGGTGGATCCCACCGTTTACAGTCTCAAAGCTTCCTTGAGCCAAAACCCCAGGGAATTTGAGTTGTGTCTGAGACCTGGAGTCTGCATCCATCAACTTCTAACTGCCGCAACACTAGCAAGGAATTCATCCAAACCTTTCCCTTTAGAACTATGGTAACCCCAGAATGGGATTTCATCCACAGTATAGTGGACAACGGCCCAGAAGTCAGGGAAAACCCAGAGTTATGCCCCTAATTAAATGGTGTGACCCAAGGCTAGGTAAAAATACCCTCTGCACTAAGAGATGATACATGCTCACACCAGGAAATATTAATAAATAATAGGTACTGGCACCACTCCTTTGCACTTCTGTGGCTACTGTGACTTGGAGAAAATTACTTGACCCCTCTGCGCCTTAATTTCTGCTTTTGTAAATGAGGATAAACCAGAAGGCCGTTGTGAACATTAAATGAAATAAGGCTTGGGAAGTTCCTGGGTGAAGTCTCATTAAATGTTCCCTGTCGGTGTTAAACACTTCTTTCACATATTAGTTCCCTCCCTGAATCCACGAACACCCCGCAAAGCGAGTTTCCTTCTTTCCCCCCATGTCACCGAGAGGCAAACTAAGACTCGGCCGCCAAGGAGGCTGAGTGAAACGCGGATACGGCCCCAGTTCGAGGGCCCGTTGTTGTTTCTCTCCGAGCCCAAGGCGTGCAAAGAGCCCAGAAGAGGCGGGAGCCGAGGCAGGACAAGCTCTGCGCGCCTCCGGGAGCCCGTAGACCCAGTCCGGGTTAGGAGAGCCGGAAGCAGCCGCGGCCGGGCCCGCCTGCGGCCTCCCCGGAGCAGCCTCCGTTCCCCTCCCTCCGCCCCTCGCCGGGCGGGGCGGGGCACGAGCACAAAAGACTCCAACTTCCGAGCGGGCGCGGGCCCACCCAGCCAACTACTGGCCCAGACTTGGCCCGCGGAGAGAGCAGACAGGGAACGCCGGGAGCAGGACCGGGCGCGGAGGGCTGGGGCCGGGGACCCGGGGCGGCGGGTCCGAGTGGGAGAAAGGAGCGGCGGAGGGGGCCTAGAGTTACTCGGGCTCCCGGGACTCCCCGAAGGGCAGAAATAAGTTTCTAAAAATAGGCAGCGGCCTGCCGGAAGAAGTGAGTGAACGGAAAGGCACAAAGCACACACCCTCCCCGCACCCCTAAGGAGACGCCCGCAGTCCCCACTCACCCGCGCCGAGAGGTCTGGAGGAAGCCGCGCGGCTGGGAAGGAGGCGGTACTGCCGCACTCGGGGACGTAAGGGAGGGAGGAAAAGGGCGGCTGCGGCGGGAAGAGGCTGGGCACACGCGCGGGAGTCGTCGTCGTCGCCGTCGCCGCCGCTACCGCCCCCTCAGCTTCTCTGGGTTCCGCTGCCCCGAGCTGGCGCCGCTCGCGCGCCCCGCCGCACTGACAGCGGCGCGAGCCCCGCAACCGCGAGCCCTGCCCTCGGCCGGCACCACTGAGGCGCGCGGGGGTGGGGGCACCCGGAGCGGCTCCCCGCAGCTCGGCTCCGCCCGCCGCTCCGGCCCTGGTTCCGGGCTCTCCTCCTTCTCTGTCTCCTGGGAAGGACACGGTGACACGAGCACGAGGAGTCTGCAGCCCCGCCCAGAAACAGCCCGGCTTCCCAGGCGCATGGGCTCTCCCCACCCTCTCAGCCTGGCTTTGGAAAGGTCCAGAGCTTCGGCGGGGACGGGAGGAAGGCGGGGCCAGGGTGGGGCCTGAAAGGGAGGAGGGACTGAGACGCGGCTTGGGGAGGCGGGGCTGGGGCGGGAAGAGGGCAGCTTGCACAGGTTTGGAGCCGAAGTAGGGGCGGAGCTAAGATGGTGATGAGGCCCTGGGAAGAGGGTCGCCGGACCAGTGGGGAAGGCCGTGCAGGAGATGGAGAGCCGGGAACCAGGACAGCGCTTGAAAGGAGATGCTGTGGGCGGGGCTAAATGGAGAATCGCCCAGAGGGCGGAGCCACGGGTGGAGGGAGGCGGGGCTGAAGAGAAGCTTAGAGTGGGAGGAAGATGGAAGCGGGCCTGAAGGAGGCGGGCCCGGAAGCAGGGAGGGGAGGAGGGGCCCCGGGGGTGGCTACTCTGGGCGGGTGCCGGAAGGAGGCGTGCCCCAAGGAAGGACTGAGGGGTGGTGCTTGAGGTGGGCGGGGCCTGGAGATGGCGCTCAAATCTGCAGGCTGTGGGCGGTGCAGGAGGGATCCGGAAGAGACGAGGCAGGAAGAAACTCCTGGTCCTTTCGCTTTTAAGGAACGTGCCACCTAGACAAGGTGAGGGTCGCTCTTCGCTGCCTAATCTGGGACTGGGCGGAGAGGCCGCGCTAAGGGTGATCTCCGAAAAAGATGCAGGAGATGTTTTATAACTTGATCCAGGTGCTAGTCCTCTCTCCTACACATTTCTCCTGTCGGGATTTCTCACTTTCAGTGTTCCAGCCTCCGGTGAACCAGTCTTCCTAGTGAGAGCACGAGAAGCCCGTTGTCCTTCATTCCTCAGCTATGGATTTCCCTGAAAGTTGAGAACTGACCATATTCTCGATGCCTCCTCCGACCTGTGATTTCATGACTCACATCGCTTCCCCAGAACCTGCTTAACAGACGGGATTCCTGAGAATGGAGCAGAGTTTGAATTCAGAGTCCTGGCTTTGCCATACCAGCAGTTATAATTGTCCTTCTGTTGTTTGATGACCTCCCTGCCCTGCTTCAAAAGGAAGAGAAATCAAAGAGTTGACGACCCTGAGCGCAAGGCCTGGGACGTTCTTCCCCAAACTCGCTTTAATATCACCTTCTCAAAAGAACTCTTCCCTGAACACCTTGTCTCAAGATGTTCTCTAGTTTGTCTTCTTGTTCTGTCATTTATTTGTCTGTTCATTGTTTGTGTGTTTTTTGAGGCGGAGTCTAGCTCTGTCGCCTAGGCTGGAGTGCAGTGGCACGATCTCGGCTCTCTGCAACCTCTGCCTCCTGGGTTCAAAGCGATTCTTGTACCTCAGCCTCCCAAGTAGCTGGGATTACAGGCGTGTACCACCATGCCCGGCTAATTTTTGTATTTTCAGTGGATACGGGGTTTCATCATGTTGGCCAAGCTGGGCTCTAACTCCTGACCTCAGGGGATCTGCATTTGAGGATAAACCCTGTCTTGGCTCCTCCCTGACGGGGGTGAGAAGTAGCCCTCCTGGAATTGCCTCAAAGCCCCCGGTTATCACCAGTGTTCTCGGTTGCAAATTACGAAACATAAATAAACTCAGACTAACAGATGCAGCAAAGGAATTTATCAGGAAGGAATGGGGAGCTCCCAGAACTGATGGGAAGGCTGGAGAACCAGGCTCAGAAAATGCACTGAAGTGGTGAGCGCAGAGGCTTGAATGTTGCCAGGACTCTCCTCCCAGTCCTTTATCTCTTCTCTCTGTATGCGAGCTTTTCTCCTCAAGGCTAGGCACCTGGCTGCAGCAGCGCTCACCACTCACAACTCTCACCCGTTCCACCGGAGAGAGACTGAGGATTTCTGCTTCTGGTCTGAAGGACAAAATTTTAGGGAAAAACTTTGATTGGTCCAACATAGGTAAGTCCCCGTCCCTAGACCAATCATCTATGGGTGGAAAACCAGGTGCTGTGACTGGCCCAACTTAAGCCAGGTGCCATTCTCTAACCAATACTGTGAATAAGGAAGTGGGACGTACAGGGAGATGGCAGCCCCATCGGAACCATATGGTCAGAGAAAGATGCATTTCCCAAAAGATGGAGTTCATGCTCTGGGGCAGATTGAATAATAGATTTTCACTACACCTGCCCCAGAGTTACCCCCAACCAATACATTACTTACTGCCCAACTCTCATCATTCCTTCTCTGCTCAAAACCCTTCAATGGGCTGGGCGCGGTAACTCACGCCTGTAATCCCAGTACTTTGGGAGACCGAGGTGGGGGGGATTACTTGAGGTCAGGAGTTCAAGACCGGCCTGGGCAACATGGTGAAACCCCATCTCTACTAAAAATATAAAAATTAACCGGGCGTGGTGGCAGGCACCTGTAATCCCAGCTACTCAGGAGGCTGAGGTGGGGTAATCGCTTGAACCTGGGAGGTGGAGGTTGCAGTGAGCCGAGATCATGCCACTGCACTCCAGCCTGAGACACAGAGAGAGACTCCGCCTCAAAAACAGAAAAACAAAAAACAACCTTCAATAGCCTCCCATTGCCATGTCATCAGCATGGATCAAAAACTCAAATGTCATGCCGGGCACAGTGGCTCATTCCTTTAATCCCAGAATTCTGGGAGGCTGAGGCAGGAGGATTGCTTGAACCCAGGAGTTTGAGACCAGCTTGGGCAACATAGTGAGACCCTGTCTCTACAAAAAAAAAAATTTTAATTAGCTGGCATGGTAGCATGTGCCTGTACTTCCAGCTACTTGGGAGGCTGAGGCCAGAGGATCACTTGAGCCCAGGAGGCCAAGGCTACAGTGAGACATGCTCACACCACTGCATCCAGCCTAGGCAACAGAGTGAGACCCTTCTCAAAACAAATAACAACAACAGCAAACCCTCAGGTGTCTACAGGGGCTAGAAAGAAGGTTAGGCATGAGACAATAGGGAGTGGAGAGCACTGTCATGAACTGGAGGATGTGTGTTGCATACTGTTCCTAGAATGCAGGTGCTGAGATGTAGGATTCTTCAAGAGAGCCCCCAAATCTGGATTTTCATATAAAATCTCCCAATTTCTAAATGTTGGCTCAACTATTTTTAAAAACCCTGTGCAAGCCAAATGAATTATGTCTGCAGGCCAATTACTGTAGGCTGTGGTCTAAAAATGAGCAATCTCTGACCTTTATAGGATAAAGCCTATAATCACACACCCACCTTTGGGGTCTGTCATCTATTACTACGTAAGAAATCATCCCGAAAATGTAGTGACTTAAAACAACAATGATTTGTTACTTCTCACAATTTTATAGAATGACCAGGTGGTTCTTCTGCTCCATGTGGTGTTGGCTGGGAAAAGCTTCCTCCTGTCTCCACCTCCACATGTTCTATTTCCTTTTCAAGCCCAACTGCCAATGGCGCCTCCACCCTGAAGCCTGCCTCATCTCCTGTGCCACACACATTGCCACTGGCCAAGTCTAAATGAGATGCCGTGCTCTCCAAGCTTTGTTGCTCTTTATGTATAACTATTAGAGCACACATTTAGCTCACCTAGAGAATGGAGGTCTGCCTTGTCCATCTTTATTTCCTTCTGGCACAGTCACACAGGAAAGCCCCATGGGTGCTGTCAGATTGGATTGAACTGAGCTGACTCTTGGAGATATTTAGTCAAACTTGCCCATTTTACAGATGGAGAAATGACAACTGGAGAGGGGAGTTCTACTGGAGAGGGGAGTTCACACATATACACTGAAAGCTGCCCATCAAAAGAGTTGCAGAACCAGGACTACAGCCCTTGCATCTTGACTGCCAGTACGATGCAGGTTAAACTCTGTGTTTGATGCTTGTTGATGTGGACGTCTGGAACTTGAATAGAAGACATTTCTTATTTCAGATGCATCCATTAGCAGGTCTTAGCCAGGAGCCAGGCCCTTGCAAGTATATATTGCAAGTAATTGATGACATTGGAGCCAGAAATCGAATGAACCGGGCCCAGTTCAATCCACTTACTGGACAAGCTCCTCAAGCACTCTAAGCCCCAATTTCCTCCTCTGTAAAGTGGGCATAAATTACATTTACCTTGAGGGTTGCTGTGAAGGCTAGAAATAATATATGTAATGTCCCCTGATACACAGAAGGTGCTCAAGAAATAGTAAGCTCTTCTAATGATTGTTATTGATGGCAAAGATGATGAAAAAACAAATGCTCTGACTTCTCAAAGGAGAGAGAATCATCCCTGAGGATTGTGTCTTGGAGAACATAAATCCATATTTTCTCTTTCCTGAACAAATTCCCTCTGGAAGGGCACAAAGGGAACAAATTCCCTTGTTAGGAAGGAAGGAAGGGAAGGAAGGATGGAAAACAAGAGCAAGGAAGGGTTGGCAGGTTGTGACTGTCTACCTCTCCCTGAGGCTTGCTCTGCTACACCCACCCCAAACTCTGGTCCATCCCATTTCCATGCTGAGATCAGGCCACACACAGAAGTGTTGGTGTCAGACCACCAGCTTTGAGCCATCCCTGGGAATCCCCAGGATACTGGATAGCAGATTTGGAGCATACAGTTCCCACCCACTGTGACTGACGGCTAGGGAGCTCAAGGTTATGGAGGAAGCTCTCATAAGTCAATGCAAGTTTGTGTGTCTCCCGTTCCTCACTGGCTTAGCCCTCAGAGCCCTTGTCCCTGCTTTCTGCCTTGCAACTAGGTCTTCACATTAGTGTTTTATCAAACAAAAGACAGGCTGACATCTTTAAAGTATGGTCTTTATTAAGTAGGGAGCAAATCATTCCACACCTTCCCTCCCAATACCTCCCTCACCAGTGACTTCAAGCCTTCAAACAAGAGGGGACACCTCTCCCCACTTCCCAGTGACCTTTCTCCGCCCCTCATTGCATCCATGAGTGACACCACTGAGATCAGATGCAGTGATGTTAATTGAAATGGACATTAAGGGCTCACTTGCTCAAGCAGAAGCACATTAGAAGAAATATAAACGAGGAAGACATTGGGTCAGTAACATTTGTTCTAATGAGAATAACCATCTCTAGAGCATCTTGTTCAAAAAGGATTGAGTGCCCAGGAAACAACAGATACATGAGGCCTTCCACCCCCACCCCACCCCCAATACTCAGAAGTGTCACACATACTTGCAGAGACTTTTCAATCATCCTTGCTTCAATCATGATTCCCCAGGTGCATTTCTGTGGGTGTCACCCAGCACATTCCCCCTCGTGTTCTTCATCTGTTTCTCCAAATCTACTTCTCCATATTATTTTAAGAGTTTGTGACCAGATGTTGGTAACATGTGGTCCCAGATGTTCTTATTTGCTATACCTCAGGAATTCTTGACTAAGTGACCCAAGAGCTTCTCAACTTTGGATCCAATAAGGGGAACCTAAGGCTAAAAGAATCCCATCTGGAGTAGAGAGGAAGATACCCAATTACCCAATTTTTTTGTTTGTTTTTGTTTGTTTTCTGAGACAGAGTCTCTCTCTGTCACCCAAGCTGGAGTGCTGTGGTGCGGTCATAGCTCACTGCAGCATTGAACTCCTGAGCTAAGCAGTCCTTCTGCCTCAGCCTTCCGAGTGGCTGGGACTATAGGCATGTACCACCATGCCCAGCTAATTTTTAAAAAAAGTTTTTGTAAAGACAGGGTCTCCTTATGTTGCAAAGGCTGGTCTTGAACTCCTGGGCTCAAGAGGTCTTCCCACCTCAGCCTCCCAAAGTGCTGGGATTACAGGCATGAGCCACCACATCTAGCCCAAGTTTCTGCATAAAGAACATGAAGGTTTTCCTTAGATCATGCTTTACATGGCACATCATGTCTTTATGGTTATTAGTGGGCAGTTGCAAGGTATAGATACCATTTTTGTCTATGCTGTATCATCTCCCAATATTCTTAACAGCATCTGACTTAAAAAAATTTTTTTTTTGAGACAAGGTCTTCCTCTGTCACCCAGTATGGAGTGCAGTGCTGCAATCATGGCTCACTGCAGCCTCAACTTCCCAGGCTCAGGTGATCCTCCCACCTCAGCCTCCAGAGTAGCTGGGACCACAGGTCGTGCCACCATGCCCAGCTAATTTTTGTATTTTTTTGTAGAGACAGGGTTTTGCCATGTTCCTCAGGCTGGTCCCTAACTCCTAAGCTCGAGCAATCTGCCCGTCCCAGACTCCCTGTAAGTGCTTGGATTACAGGCATGAGCCATTGTGCCTGGCCAGCATCTGATTTTTCTGTGAGCCTCTACTCCTATTCTTGGTCCAGGCCATAAAGAGTATGGAAACTAAAGTCTGACTGCCTAGGTTTGAATATTGGCTCTGCCATTGACCAGCTATGTGAACCTGGAAAAATTCCTAACCTCTCTGTGCCTCATATAAGAAATGTGGAGAATAGTATCTACCTCATGGAGTTTTTGGGTTATATGAGTTAATTCAGATAAAATGTTTAAAAGAGTGACTGGCACATAGTAAACACCCCCCAAATGTCATCTAGTATTAATATTATTACTATTAGTTCAGAAGGGGCTGACTTCATTCCCCCTGGCCCTGGTGATG
The DNA here is from genome assembly GCF_000001405.40 of Homo sapiens. Classification (NCBI taxonomy): domain Eukaryota; kingdom Metazoa; phylum Chordata; class Mammalia; order Primates; family Hominidae; genus Homo; species Homo sapiens. The sequence goes on along the minus strand of NC_000020.11, from coordinate 33,987,153 downwards.
GCACCTGACCCAGGCCTGGCCAATCAGGACATTCTGTCCCCCTGTCCACCATGGAGTCCTTCTCCATGGTCAGTCATACCAGTCATTTGGATTGGCACTGTGGGCTGTGATCTAATGTGAACTCTGAAAGCCTGGTCATGCTGGGCCAAAGCTGCAAAGTAAAGGTAAACATCAAATCTGGGCTGGTTCATCAGGAGAGAACATTCTGAGTAGGGAGACCTGGGGACTATCCAGTTTCACCTTGCAGGTGAAGGCCCACTCTCCCTACTCTAGCCGTTAGTTAGACCCCATGAAAATAATTGCAGTAGACTGTTAATTTGATGGCTTCCAGTGAACCATGCTTCTGGCATTCATACTCTTATGTAGTCCCCTCCCACATTGATTCTGGACTTTGCCATATTGATGCAGGGCAGGTAAGCCCCAGAATTGGGGCTTAGCCCGAGAAGGTTCTTCACTTCATCCAGGAAAGAATTCAAGGGCAAACAGGTGGTGGTAGATGCCAACATTTTTTTTTTTTTTTTGAGACGGAGTCTTACTCTGTCATCAGGCTGGAGTGCAGTGGCACGATCTCTGCTCACTGCAACCTCCGACTCCCTGGTTCAAATGATTCTGCCTCAGCCTCCCGAGTAGCTGGGATTACAGGCAGACACCACCATGCCCAGCTAATTTTTGAATTTTAGTAGAGATGGGGTTTCCCCACGTTGGTCAGGATGGTCTCGATCTCCTGACTTCATGATTCACCCACCTCAGACTCCCAAAGTGCTGGGATTACAGGTGTGAGCCACTGTGCCCAGCCTAGATGGCAACTTTTATTGGAGCAGCAGTGTCCAACAGCAGCAGAGGTACTGCTCCTTGTGGAACAGGACTACCCCCTAGGCAGCATGCCCAGAGTAGCAGCTCAGGGGTAATTCTGTCGTCATATTTATACCCACTTTTAATTACATGCAAATTAAGGGGCAGGTTATTCAGAATTTTCTGGACAAAGGATGATACTTCCAGGCCATTGCCATGGAAAGGGGTGGTAACTTTTAGGTGTTGCCATCACTGTGGTAAACTGACGTGGTGTTGCTGGGTATGTCTCATGGAGAGGTGCTTTCACTGCTTCCCTGTTCACCTAGTCTTCAATCTGGTCCAGAGTTTCAGCCCCATCTCTGGAGTTGAGTCCTGCCTTCTCCCTCAATGTGACAAATGTTGGCCAATGGTATATCGCAGTTGTGATGCAAGCAGAGGCTTGGTAAATGCCTGCATACTGGGGTTTGTCCTCTTGGAATGCTCATTTGTGGGAGCCCTGAACAACTATGTAAGAAGTCTGGCTACCCTGCTGGAGAGAACACATGGTGGGAAGAGACTAAAATTATGTGAAGAGAGTCAGGCCAGCCATCCCAGCTTCTCTGCTGAGCCCCGCCATCAGCCAACCTGCCAGCTGAATGCAACCGTAAGAGTGATCACCAGCAAGATCACTAGAAAAACCACCTAACTGAGCCCACCCTGGATTGAACAATCATAAACAAATAAAATGGTTATTGTTTTAAATCACAAAGTTTTGGGGTTACATAGCAATCGAAACAACAATCATGTTCAATAACATTTCCTAGCTCCACAGAGTTCTGAGAGCTCTCCCACATCTAAGAGATTAGGATTGTTATTAGCCCCATTTTACAGATGGGGAAGCTGAGGCCCAAAGATGGGAAGCAACAGCCCAGTCAAGCAGAGACAGAGCTGTCACATTCATACACTTCTGAGTGAGCTCCTTTCACCGCACCTCCCACTGCAGTAGCTCCTGTCTAGTTGAAGAAACTTATAAAGAGCAGCAGAGAGTGGTGAGGTATAGGAGCACTGGACTGGGATTGACAATAGCCTGGCTTTAAGTTGGCCATTATTTGTCTGTATGTGCTTAGACAACTCAAACCACTTCCCTCCCTGAGCCCATCTTTCCAGCTGTTCAGTGAGGGGGGAAGCAAACTGAAATGCTCGCAGAGGCCAGGTAGATAACACAGACAAGGGAAGCAGGTCAGGTGAGGACTACGGTGGCTGAGCCCATGCCCTTCTAAGCGGGGGCGGTCACTACCCAGCTTCAACCAACTGTTACCATATGGAATCGGGGCCCATTGTAGCTAGATCACCTGATTTGTTTCTTTTCCTTGGAGAGACAGGAAATGTAGGTTATGATGTTAAATTTCCCAACATTAAAATGTTATATACAGCTCAGGAAAAGCAGGGAAAAGAAAAAGAAATGTTATGAATTTATTTGAATTTTTAAAAAATAAACAGCCATTCAAACCTACAGGCTGCTGGTTTGAAACCCTGGATCAGATTATTTCAAAATTTCCTGCTAGAGTTTATGCCGACATCAAAGAAGGATGCCTACCGGTCCCAGCCCTGCCCTACGCACACAGAGCGGTTCCATCTATCTCCCCATCCCAACTCACAGAGCCTGAACACCAGAGAGGCCTTGGGTGTGGCTACCATCTTTCTCTCTGAGGACTCTCATCTCCAGCCCTACCACCCCTCTGGCTACAAGGAATGGGGTGCAGAGGCCCAGTTTCGAATGCCTAAAGTTGCTGGGGCTTCAAAGGAGGGCCAAAAGTGGAAAAGAAGTAACACCCATTAAGCAACTACTGTGGGCCAGGTGTGATGGTGGATTGCAACATTATGTAATAGCAAAGGGTCTCATGACTATGAGGACATAAGGGATTGGAGGAGTGCTGTTCATCCCTGGTCATAATGAGCCTTGGAGACAGACATGCAGTGCAGCGAGGGACGGCCCAGCTATTATTGATACTAATTAAAAGGCCATTAAATTGAAGGGGCACATACAGCCCTTCCGTCACCAGCCAGTGCTCTGACAGTCTCACCATTTTCTGTGAGGCCAGCGCAGCTCGTGTGGGGCACAGAGCACAACCCTTCACCCCCGACTCTCCACTAAAGCACTTAATTGTCTGAGAAAAAATACCAACACTCCCCCAGCTCTGGGAGAAGCTGCAATACACTAATTGAAATTCAACGGCTTGGATCTCGGGAGGGAAATGGCCACTCGTAGGGAAATATGGAAGCATACATTCATTCAATAAATCATTAGTCTGCATCTTTTATGTGCCTAGTACTGTGCTACATGCAATGAATATGGCAATGATCAAAGCAGATAAAGGGCCCCCCAAATATAATCATGGAGATTATGGAAGGTGCAAAAAATGCATAGTTCTTATTTTCTTTCTCCTTTTTTCTTTCTTTCTTTCTTTCTTTTTTTTTTTTTTTTTTTTGGACAGAGTCTTTCTCTGTCTTCCAGGCTGGAGTGCAGTGGCACAATCATAGCTCACTGCAGCCTCAACCCTCTGGGCCTAAGTGATCCTCCCACCTCAGTCTCCTGAGTAGCCTTTATTTTCTATAAGTGGTCAATTTTTTCTTGTGCTTCCTTCATTTTCTTAGAGAGAAAAACATAAATCTGATTACTAACTGTAGCCGAGTCTCTTCCAGTTTAAAAGGCTCATGAAGGAGTATTTCATACTATTTGAGTAAAAGGTTCATCTTCGTTTCCTCCCACCTCTTCCTCCCTCAAGAAGGCCTGGGTGTCAGCCAGACCACACATGGATCCTTGAGCCATCCTATGGGAATATGACCTGAGAGGCCCTTCCCATTGACTCAGCAGCGGGATGGAGAAACCCCAGCATATCATGGTTTCGTGGACTGAAAATCCATCCGGGGTCATCTGCTGGGGTCCTGCCTGTGCCTCCTCAACACTCAGAGTCCCTAAGGTGATGACTGCAGCTATGACCCTGCTGAGAGCTTTCTCCTGATGCCAGGGCACACTTGGCCCACTCACTGGACAAGACAGAAGTACTGGAGATGTTGTACTCACAGAAATGTTGTTCAGCCAATGACAGGGAATTGATGATGATGTTAGTATCCTCTCCCCTTGTACTGGATAAACCTGAGTGTTCTTGTGTCCGGGAGGTCCCCAGTGGGATTGAGCTCCAGTTGTCCACAGAGGGGAATTTCTTCATCACACCTGATTTCTTGGCAGCCTTTTCCTCCCTGTGTCACTCCCTAATCTGTTAACGGTGTTCCCTGGGATCATCCCCCAAATAAACTACCTGGCCTTGCATTCTTGTCCCAAGGTGTGCAACTGAGAGAACCCTAAAACATCACCCATTTAACTTTTTTTTTTTTTTTTCTGAGACAGACTCTCACTGTTGCCCAGGCTAGAGTGCAGTGGTGCGATCTCGGCTCACTGCAGCCTCCGCCTCCTGGGTTCAAGCGATTCTTGTGCCTCAGCCTCCTGAGTAGCTGGGATTACAGGTGCCCACCACCACGCCCAGCTAATTTTTGTATTTTTAGTAGAGACAGGTTTCCGCCGTGTTGGCCAGGCTGGTCTAGAACTCCTGACCTCAGGTGATCCACCCGCCTCGGCCTCCCAAAGTGCTGAAATTACAGGCGTGAGCCACCACACCTGGCTTTTAATTTTATAAGCCCCACTTACTGACCCACAGGGACCAAACCCTGCTGTATGGGAGGAACTTCCAGATCCCCTTCCTCCCATTGATGGGCCTCCTAAGGCACAGATGAAGAGAGAGGGCTTGCTACCAACTTGATAGTTCTCATAAGAATCTCCATAGCTCATACAAATTAAAGTGGTTTCATAGTTCCCAATGATGTCCCTGGTGGCCATGTCGGTGCGTCCCACCTTTGTTGTGGAAATGGAACCATAGTGATTGGTCCGTGCCATGAGCGTGTCATTCAAGCTAGGCCAATTAGAGATATCTCCTGGAACTTTTTACACCAAAACTAATGGAGAGATGTTCTCTGAACTCCAAGAGTTGCTAAAGCTGGAAGGCTGTGATTCTGGAGTGGCCAGAGTCCATCTTCCCCTCCCCGTGGAGAAGTCTGCCTGTGACTGGTAAGAATGGCTCCAACAGGCAAAGAGCAGCAGAGAAAAGAGAGAACAGCCTGGTGGCCTTTGGGTGTCTGAATCCAGTCATCTGGGGTATTGGCTCCACCGGGTGCTGTCCATGGTTTGTGTATGTGAAACAATGAATTACCCTTTCTTGCTCAAAGTAGTTACAGTTCGGTTTCTGTCACTTCCAACAAAAAATCTTTGATGAATACAGATATCCCCAGCAATGGAAAAGATGAGGAGATTTCAGGTGGCCTCCCAGGCAGTGGATGTTCACAGCTGGGACAAGACTGGGGGGCTACAAAAATGGCTGCCAATAGCTGGTCTTTAAGCATGTAACAAATACCTTCCAGGGACTCCTAGGGATACACATGTCCCCTGATATTCTCTCTCTCTTTCTGTCTCTCTCTTACACACACACACACACACACACACAACACCAGGGATAAAGAAAAAATACCTTTAAGGAAAAGATATTACCATAACAACATTCTTAGTCAGGTACTGTATTGTTTAACCTCTTTGTAAAGCTCATTCCTTAAGTATGTTCTTTTCAACTCTACAAGGCAGCAAAGAAAATAGATGTTTTAGCTATTGTTCTCTTATTCACGCTCTTCTTTCGGAATCGTTCCTAAATTAATTACCTTTTATAACCTTATATAACCATAAAAACTATAGTCATTCTTTATGAGGAATTGCACAATACATATCTCTCAAACAGAAGTTCTCGTGCGCATGTAAAAGCTTGAACATAAAGTGCTGGGGTCTTTGTCAAGTCCTCCAGGAGCAGATCCTAGTGTAGCGGGCAGATGTAGGAGCTAAGAGGCATAAACTCCGAGTCAATGTTTTGTTTCTTCTTTATTATTTGGGAAGAAATATTGCTTAATTGAAATAAAATGAGTGTAAATTTTTCTATAGCCCCATTCTGAGAGGTGAGGGAGGAACTATCATGTGAATATTCATTATTTGAGAATTAATTGTACTTTGGTACTTTGGAGTTGAAGGGAGAACACGAAGAAGACTTTGCAAAAAGGGTGTGAGGCCCCATGCGAGTGAAAAATAGTAGGAAGAGAAACCATGGGCTTTTGATAGAAAGTAGATTCCATCGTTGTCAGGAACGTTTCCTCCTTCCCCTCCACCTCCATGGATGGAGTATACTTCCTCACCCCTTGACTTCGGGCTTGGCCCTGAGACTTGCTTTGGCCAATGGAATAGCACCAGACATAAAACAAATGAGCTTGGAATATGCCTGCACAGCTAGGCAAACTCTCCTACAATTCCATCATCTCCAAGAGTTAAATATGTTCTGGTTAGCCCACTGGTTCCAGGAAGAGGATGGGAGTCACGTGCAGCAGAGCCACCCAGCCTACTTATGGAGTGAAGCAGAGCCACCAGCTGATCAGGAAACTTGTAATCCCAGTGCTTACTGTCATATGCCACTGAGAGTTTGAGGTTGATTGTTATGTGGCATTGCTAGAGCAGTAACTAATTGACAGAAGCTGTTAGTGTGATTTCCCTTGAATGTGCAAACTGAAGAAGCTCAGCATCGTTTGGATTATTGTACTAATAAAAGTAAAGCTGAAGTGAGCAAATCATTCGCCTTTTATTATTACTGATTAAAGTGGAGTCAAGGTGAACCCCTTAACATCCCTCCTTCTGCTTTGCTGACATTATGCTATGCTTTCAGGAGTTGGGAAGGGAGTGGTGGAGTTTTAGCTCTGGGACCTCACAGCACTCCCTAGCCTATCTGGCCTAGGCCATGCAGCTTGTGATCGGGATATCCATGAGCTCTGAGCATCCCTGCATGTTCTTGCTGGTGCACCAGGAAGGCAAGACCCTGATTGCCCTTTACTCAGGCCATTTCTCAGGGTTGTGTTTGCAGAAAACAACCTTGAGGGATGAAGTCATGTCTTCAAAGGGAAGGTTTGTGACTGCTCACTGTAAAAGCAATAGTTTCTCTTAGCTCAGTATTCCTCTCCTGTGACACAACTCTGTGTGAGCAGGCCCACCTGCATCACATCCTCAGGACTTCAGAGGTTTGGGGAATCAGGGTAAGCCTGAAGTCAGCATCTACTTTCTCTGTAAGTAATACAGTTTCTTATCTCTGACCCAGGAGTCTATGTCTTCTGCCAGCATTCAGGAAATAATCTAGCTGATGAGTTTGTAAGTAGGGTAAAATCTCAGACCCTTCACAGTTCCTGATGTGGGTCACCTCCCATGAATGTTAACTGTCTCATGCACTGCACGGGAACTCTGTCTGCGAACTCCTTCAGAGAGAGGGTGTCCTGGGGCAACATGCAATGACAACCTGGGGAAGGGAACCTCATACATTCTCAAATGTAAAAGTTAGGAGAAACCTTTGTGATCAGAAGAAAGCTTAATGCAGTAATTCCTAGAAGGTGGGATATGTCCCTGGTGAGCCACAAGATGATTTAAAATGATATATGGGAAAGCATGATTTAAAATTTTCATAGCAATTGTTTCTACTATGCGTTACAAAAATACTCTTTTTTCTCCTTAAAGACATATTTAAACCAAAAGAATAGATTAACTTAAAAATATAAGTAAACAAGACTACAGTGTAAGACTGTGATTAACTGCGAGTAAGGACAAAAATGCTCTTTACAGTGATTTCAACCATAAGAACCAAATGTAATTATCTCATACAATTGAAAGTCCGTATGTTCCAGTTATCTATTGTGTATAACAAACCATCTGACTTAGTGATATAAAACAAAAACAACTGTATTCTGGTCACAGATTATGAGGATCAGGAATTCACACAGGGCACCATAGGGATAATTTATTTCTGCTCCATGATGTTTAGGGCCTTATTGAGGAAGACTCCCAGGGTTGAGGACTAGAATCATCTGAAGACTTCTGTGCTCACCTGTCTGGTGCCTGGGCTGGGATGACTCAAAGGTTGGGCACAGTGGGGACTGTAGATCACAATACCTACACATAGCTTCTCCGTGTGGCTTGGGCTTCCTCCTAGCATGACAGCCACAGGGTAGTTAAACTCCTTACATAGTGGCTCAGGAACCTGTGAGTAAGTATTTCAGTGAACAAGGCAGCAGCTGCATGGTATTTTACGACTCAGCCTCTGAAATCACACTGCATCATTTCTGCTATACTCTTTCTTGTTGTTGTTGTTGTTGTTGTTAATGAAGAAAAGATTTATTTAGTAATTACTACCTGCCCAGAAATTGTTCTGTGAATTTCACATACAACTCATCTAATCTTCACAATGATCCTATGAGGTATTTATGATTATCCTCATTATACAGAGGTGGAAAAGGAGGTATAGAGCCGTAAAGGTCATATTGTGCCACAGGTCACAATTAGCAAGTGGTAGAGCCAGGGTGTGAACATTAGGTAGGTGGGATTTCTGTTGTACTCTGTTGGTCAAAACAGAAGCCCATCCAGGTTCAAAAGGAAGGCACATGACACCACCCTTTTATGGGAAGAATGTCAAAAAATTTACTGGGCTAGCAAAAACTTAAATTTCCAAAAGACCTGCAGGTAGTGGCTTTAAATATATCTTTTTGTTGCCTCCGCCTCCTGAGTAGCTGAGATTACAATTTTTGTATTTTTAGTAGAGACGGGGTTTCACCATGTTGGCCAGGCTGGTCTCGAACTCCTGGCCTCAGGTGATCTGCCCTCCTCGGCCTCCCAAAGTGCTGGGATTACAGGTGCGCATCACTGCGCTCAGCCTTAAATATATCATTTTGAAAAAAAAGAAAATAGAGATTTCTATACTTAAGATGCTGCCTGATACCCTCACAAGTGTTCAGTAAACTTGCTTGTTATTATTACTTGAACTAAGTCTTTTTTTTTTACATGTATACCAATATAGAGAGAGACACAAGTATCATTGCACACAGATGCAATATCATACATACAATGCTGTTTCTTTTAAAAACTACAGTGTGGCTCTCTCTTCATATCTGTGTCTATAAAATTACTTCCTTTTAAAATATTTTTATTATGGAAAATTTCAAGTATATACAAAAGCAGAGGAAATAATATATCAAATTCCCATTTGCCCATCATCCAACTTCAGTGTTTATCAATTTATGGCTAGTCTCTACCTACACTCATTTCTTTATTCCCACATTATTTTGAAGCAAATCTCAGAAATCACATTTTTTCATTCATAAACATTTTAGTATGTGTCAGAGCTATCTTTCTTTTTTTAATGACAAAAGCAATACCTGGTTGTTACTTAAAAACACTAATGTTACAGACACAGATAACATGGAAAATAAATATTCCTTGCTATGGTTTGAATGTCCCTTCCAAAACTCATGTTGAAATTTATTTACCAATGTGATGGTATTGGGTAGTGGGGCCTTTAAGAGGTGACTAGGTCATGAGGGCTTGAGGGAGTGGGTTAATTTTCATGGGAGTGGGCTCCTGATAAAAGAAAGAGTTTAGCCCGATATCCTCTCTCTGTCTTGTGCACTAGCTTCCACCTTCTGCCCTTCCACCATGGGAAGACCCTCACCAGATGCTAATGCAATGTTCTTGGACTTCCCAGCCTCCAGAACGATGAGCCAAATAAACTTCTGTTCTTTATAGATTACCTAGCCTGTGGTGTTCTGTTATAGTAGCAGAAAACAGACTAAGACATCTTTCACAGCCACAATCTCTAGACATAACTGCTTTCTTTCTTTTTTTCTCTTTTGAGACAGGATCTTGCTCTGTCACCTAGGCTAGAGTGCAGTGGTATGATCAGGGCTTACTGCAGCCTCACCTGCCTGGATTCAAGCAATTCTCCCTCATCAGCCTCCCAAGTAGCTGAGATTACAGGCACACACCACCATGCCCAGTTATTTTTTTTAATTTTTTTGTAGAGATAAAGTCTTTCTACATTGCCCAGGCTAGTCTCAAACTACTGAACTCAAGCAGTCCTCCCACTTTGGCCTCCCAAAATGCTGGGATTACAGGTGTGAGCCACTGCACCTGGCTCATAACTGCTTTTGACATCATCTTAACTAATTTTCCTCTAGATCTCTTTTTCTATGTGTGTACCAGCATATAGCAATACTTTTCAAAAAAATGTATTTTATTTTGAAATAAAAATAAAGTATTTAAATATTTTAAAATAAAATGTTATTTAAAATAAAGTATTTTTATTCAAAATAAAAATACTTTTTTTGAAAAGTATTATTATAAACCTATTTGGTACATTGTTTTGTAACAAGAATGTGCTATTTAGTGATATATCTTGGACATAGATCTGTTGCACAAAGGTTCTGGGTCTTTCTGGTAGATTCTCCCATTCCTGAGACCATGGAAAGGTTAGGCAAGCTCTGGTGTGAAGATTTTAGCCAGAAGCCATAGTGCAAACCCAAGAAAGCCAGCATGATTTCCACCCTTCCTCTTCTCCCCTCCCCTGTTAGTTAGATATTTTGTTTCATTGGTTCAGCCCAGTCTGGAAAAATTATGGTTGGGTTTTGAGAAGCAGCTCTAAGCTGGCTATTTGAGAAGCAACAGTAATGAAGGGTGAGGCAGGCAGGCCCTCACCTCGTAGGCTGCATAGAACACTGCAAATGAACTTAGACTGGGATTCCAGATACCTTTGCTTCTTGTCTTGACTCTGCCCTTTGTATCTTTATTATGGTTAATTTGTTGAGACATCTTTTTTCCAGATAGACTATTAGGGTAGGGAACTGAGGTCTCTTCTTATTAGGTCATCTTATAGGCATTGATGTGGAAAAGAGGAAATAAATCTATCAGTATTTGGGGGAAAAGATTATGTAACTGAAAACACCAAGAGAATCAATTGCGAGACTGCTGACAACAATAAATGAATTCCACGGAATAACATGGTAAAGAATTAATAAACATCAACTGCTTTCATGTATGCAAACAATAGTCAATCAGAAGACACAAAGGAAGAAGATATCCCATTTGCAATAGCAACAAAAAAGAGGCAGAGATTCAATTTGTGAAGAAATTTAAACACTTCTTTACAAAATACCTGGAAATAAAGGTGCGAGATTTATATGAAGAAAAGTTTAAAATATTACCAAAGGACATGAAAGATTTGAACAATAGGAAAACGTGTCATGTTCTTGGATAAGATGACTCAGTAATAAAATATATATATATATATATTTCTTTTTTAATATATATGGCATAAGGAAAAAATATATATAATTATACACAGTCCTTATGTGCTCTCTCTCTCTCCCTCCCTCCCTCTCTCTCTCTCTACATATATATATATATATATATATATACGTGTATATATATACACATATATACACACACACACACACACACATATATATATATATATATATATATATAAATAGTCATACATCACTTAACCGTGAGGATAAATATTGAGAAATGCTTCATTAGGTTATTTCATCCTTGTGCAAAGAACATCATAGAGTGCACTTATGCAAACCTAGATGGTATAACCCACTACACACCCTATTGCTATACCATAGACATATATATGGTATAGCCTATTGCTTCTAGGCTACAAGCCTATACAGCATGTTACCATACTGAATACTATGGGCAATTATAACACAATGGGAAGTGTGTGTGTAATTAAACATATCTAAGTTGGCTGGGCACAGTGTCTCACGCCTGTAATCCCAGCACTTTAGGAGCCTGAGGCAGGTGGATCGCCTGAGTCAGGAGTTCAAGACCAGCCTGGCCAACATGGCGAAACACCATCTCTACTAAAAATACAAAAATTAGTCAGGTGTGGTGGCACGCACCTGTAATCCCAGCTACTCGGAAGGCTGAGGCAAGAGAATCACTTGAACCCAGGAAGCGGAGGTTGCAGTGAGCCGAGATTGCGCCACTGCACTCCAGCCTGGGCGACAGAGCAAGACCCTGTCTCCCAGATAAATAAATAATAAATAAACATATCTAAGCATAGAAAAGGTACAGTAAAAATATGGTATAAAAGATACAATTGTACACCTCTATAGGGCATTTACCATGAATGGAGCTTGCAAGACTGAAGTTGCTCTAAGTGCATCAGTGGGTGAGTGGTGACTGAATGTGAAGGCCTAGGACATTACTGTACACTACTGTCGACTTCATAAACACTGGACACTAAGGCTGCACTAAATGTATGAAAAGTATCTTTTTTCTTAAAAAATAAATTTAGTTCACTGTAACTTTTTTACTTTATAAACTTAAAAAATTTTAAAAACCTATTGACTGTTTTGTAATACATAGCTTAAAACACAAACAAATTGTACAGCTCCACAAAACTATTTTCCTTCTTTATATGCTTATTCTATAAGCTTTTTTGATTCTGAAGGTTTTTGTTTTTATTTTTTAAACTTTTAAATTAAAAACTAGGACACAAACACACACATTGGCCTAGGCCCACACAGGATCAGGATCATCAATATCATCATATTCCAGGTCCACCCACATCTCATGCCACTGGAAGGTCTTCGGCGGCAATACATACATGGAGCTGTCAACTCCTATGATAACAATGCCTTCTTCAGGAATACCTCCTGAAGGACCTGCTTGAGGATGTTTTACAGTTAACTTTAAAAATGTAAATAAGAAGGCTGGGTGTGGTGGCTCACAGCTGTAATCTTAGCACATTGGGAGGCTGAAGTAGGAGGATCCCTTGAGGCCAGTTCAAGAGCAGCCTGGGCAAGAAAGCAAGACTCTCATCTCTACAAAAAAGTGAAAAAAGAAGGCCAGGCGCAGTGGCTCACGCCTGTAATCCCAGTACTTTGGGAGGCCGAGGTGGGCGGGTCACCTGAGGTCGGGAGTTCGAGACCAGCTTGACCAACATAGAGGAACCCCGTCTCTACTAAAAATACAAAATTAGCTGGGCGTGGTGGCTCATGCCTGTAATCCCAGCTACTCGGGAGGCTGAGGCAGGAGAATCGCTTGAACCCGGGATTCGGAGGTTGCGGTGAGCCAAGATCATGCCATTGCACTCCAGCCTGGGCAACAAGAGTGAAACTCTGTCTCAAAAAAAAAAAAAAAAAAAGAAAAGAAACAATAAAACAAATAAATAAATAAGAAAAGAAAAAGAATGAGAGAGGACTACCGCTATCAAAGATACAATCTTTATAAATAATAATTAAAGCAGTATAGTGTTGTTGTATGAATAGATAGACAACTAGCCGGATAGACTAGAAAGCCTAGAATACATCCAAAATACACACAGGAATTAAGTATATGATAATAGTCGCATCTTACACCAGAGGAGATAAGATAGACTGTTTCAAGAGAGTTGACGGGAAAACTGGGTACCCATATGATAGAAAGCAACAACAGCAACAAGTTAGATCTATTCCTCTCTCTCTTCACCAGGTAATTTTTTTTCTTTTTTGGTCTCTAATTCCTGGTGATAAGATAGGGGAATTTTTAAAAGATAGACAGGACTCTGGTGATGCTGCCTGGCTAGATTCCAACTCCTGGGTTTAAGCAATTCTCTCGACTCAGCCTCCTTAGTAGCTGAAACTACAGGTACATGCCACCACATACAGCTCAGGATAATTTCTACAAGGATCAAAGATTCAAATAAAAAAGTAAAGATGTTGGCCGGGCACAGTGGCTCACATCTGTAATCCCCGCACCTCGGGAGGCCGAGGCGGACGGATCACCTGAGGTCAGGAGTTCGAGACCAGCCTGGTCAACATGGTGAAACCCCGTCTCTACCAAAAATATAAAAATTAGCCAGGCGTGGTGGCACGCGCCTGTAGCCCCAGCTACTCGGGAGGCTGAGGCAGGAGAATCGCTTGAACTCGGGAGCTGGAGGTTGCAGTGAGCCGAGATCACGCCACTGCATTCCAGCCTTGGCAACAGAGCAAGACTCTGTCTAAAAAAAAAAAAAAAAAAAAGTAAAGACACTAAAAGAAAACATAGGAAAATTCCTTTATTTTGAGGGCATGGAAAAGGCCTACCTAATTATGACTCAAAACTCAGATAAATTTCACTTTTTTTAAACTATCAGATTAGCAAGACCCTAACATGTTATCTGTCGGCAGAGAGTCAGTGGAGGGGGCATGGCAGTCTCAGGAGAATAAGGAATATAAGTTGGTGCAATACCTATAGAAGATAATTTGGAAACATCAAAATTAAAAATACATGTGCTCTTTGTCCCAACAATTCCATTTCTGAGAATTTACAATAGCACCTTTACCTTTAAGTATGAAATGACAAATGCATAAACTTATTCATTGTGGCATTGTTCACAACGACAAATAATTAGAAAGAATCTAAGTGTTAACCAGGAAATTGGTTTAATCCATTGCAGCACATCTGTATAATAGTACATATATGTAAAAAAAGAATGTGTGGGATTTCCAGTTCCACCAACATGGAATAGCTCCATTTCTCCCAGGTCCTCTCCCTAAAAACTAAAAATCCCTGGACACAACACAGCAAACCTAGGAAGATTCTCAAGGGTGGAAAGAAGAAGGCACACTACAAACCAACAGCTCTCATGAACTTGGATGTAAAAGTCCTCAACAAAATATTAGCTAATCAAATCCAGCGATAGATAAAAAGAATTATACACCATGACTAAGTGAGATTTTGTTCAGGTATGCAAGGCTGGTTCAATATTCAAAATTATTTCTTCTTCTTCTTCTTTTTTTTTTTTTTTTGAGACAGGGTCTCACTCCATCACCCAGGCTGGAATGCAGTGGCACCATCTCAGCTCACTGCAACCTCCGCCTCGCAGGCTCAAGTGATTCTCGTGCCTCAGCCTCTCAAGTAGCTGGGATTACAGGCGTGTGCCAACATGCCCAGCTAATTTTTGTATTTTCAGTAGAGACAGGGTTTTACCATATTGCCCAGGCTGCTCTCGAACTCCTGGACTCAAGTGATCCACCTGCCTTGGCATCCCAAAGTGCTGGGATTACAGGCGTAAGCCTCTGTGCCCAGCCTGGCTATTTAAATTTAAGTTAATTAACATTAAATTAAATTAAAAATTCACATCCTTAGTCAAGCTAGCCATATTTCAAATGTTAAATAGTCATCTGTGGCTAGTGGCTCGTGTATTGGACAGCACAGAATTACAAAACATTTTCATCACAGAAAGGTCCATTGGACATCACTGACCTAGAGAATTACCCTTTACTGTGTGCTTACTATAAAATATAGCTGTCTGTTGAAACATCTCAGTGAGTGTTCTCTGGGGCTAGATTGTCTAGGTATGAACCCCAGCTCTGCCAGTCACTAGCTGTGTGACCCTGAGCAAGTTACTTCACCTCTCTGTGCCGCATTTCTTCAACTGTAAATTGGGCATCATAATAGTATCTACATGAGATTACTGTGAGGATTCAATGAGATAATACATGTCAAACACTTGCAACACTACGCTGACCCATAGTAAATTCTCAGCACCTGTTGTTTTTATTTAAACCTCACAGCAGCCCTGTTAGGTAGGCGTTATTATGGTTCTCATTTATGGGAGCAGAAATTGAGGCTCAGAGAGCTGGAATAACTTACTCAAAGTCACATGGCAATGAAGTGGCAGAGCTGGCTTTGAACTCCACAGCCCACAGTTTTCTAGACTTTAAGCTACTTCTGCCTCTGAGGGGTAGGATGCCTCTGCTTCTAGCCTCAGCTGGCACTTGGTCTAGCTCCACGATCTTCTTTGCCAGATGAGCTTCTGCCAACCCTACCAGGGGCTCCAAGTACTCATCCACATCCCTATCACCATCAGCAGGGGCCTCCACCATCCACTGGCACCCATGAGAAAGCCTTCCCCTTCCTGCTGCCCTAGGTGAGGTGCTGGGCCCAGAGCACTGCACAAATAGAACATGAATTCTGCTGACAGAGTAATAATAAGGCCCCTAAATCAACACTTGGACTTTTTGCTTTACATATATTACTCAAACTACATGTCAGGAATTAATACACATTATAAACCAGATGTGCCAGTTACATATTTCTCTCTGGAACATCTCTTGGATGCCTCCTGAAACTGCTACTGGTGTTAATCACACATTGTTTCCACCCTACTCTGCCCTTTGTGGGACTGCGCTGACAGCAGGAGGGGCAGGGAAGGGGCAGGAAGGATGGGAGGCCTAGAAGATCTGTAAGGAGCCAAAGCGCTGATTTTCTCACTTTGGAACCCGGCCCAGCTGTGTTGGGTTCCACAACAACTTCTGTATCTCTCTTTTTTTTTTTTTTTTTTTTTTTTGAGACAGAGTTCTGCTCATGTTGCCCAGGCTGGAGTGCAATGGTGCGATCTCGGCTCACCATAGCCTCTGCCTCCTGGGTTCAAGTGATTCGCCTGCCTCAGCCTCCCAAGTAGCTGGGACTACAGATGCATACCACCATGCCTGGCTAATTTTTTGTATTTTTAGTAAAGACAGGGTTTCGCCATGTTGGACAGGCTGGTCTCAAACTCTTGGCCTCAGGTGATCTGCCTGCTTTGGCCTCCCAAAGTGCTGGGATTACAGGCGTGAGCCACTGCACCAGGCCCACTTCTGTATCTTTCTGCTGTGCAGACTGGGACTGTTAGCCTGATATCCCAGTACTTAGCTGGGGTCTGGCACATGGTGCATATTCAGAGAAGGTGGCAGAGGCTGCTGATTTCCTACTCCAGGTTATTCTCTCCTTGTTTCCAAAATAGGGTTTTTAAAAACCTTGATGTTCTTTGGGGCTGCAATGTACCAAGCTAAAAATACTCACCTCCATAATTTCTTTTGTCACTAGGTATGGGTATGGGAACTAGCTGTGGCCAATAAGATGAAAAAATATATATATGCTGGGGATTTCTGCAAAGTCCTGACATAAGGGCCATTAGTTACTCCTTCTCATTTCCTCTCCCTCTGCCTGGAACATAGTTGTGATGGTCACAATTGCAGCCATCTTGCAACCATGAGGTGAAAAGTATGAGGACAAAGGCCTACATGCTAGGATGGAGGTGTGAAAGGGTGGAAATAATCTGGAATCACATGGATATATCTGAGCCTTTGTGCTAGTCCTGTTATGCCCTACCGCCAGACACACTGTTATTTAAATAAATAACAAGATAAACAAGCCTCACTCTTAACCTTGCACTTATCGGGACTTATTGCATTCCTGATGCGTTTGTTTTTAATGTGCTGGCATCCATAGGAAAGCAACTCTTGGGGCACCCCTTTGGTCCTTGCCTCCTTCTCTAAAGTATGCCTATGACTACATTCCTGCCCACACCCCACAGTCAGAGTGTCCACCACATTCCCCACTGGGTGAGTGGTGGGCCATGGCCATACCTGATTGAGCCAATGAAATTAACCTGGCCTAACCACTTTCCCTCCCTGACAATTTCAACTCAATCCAGAAATTTGCATTAGAACATAGAAATTAGCGTTTGCAGCCTGCTGTGGCCCCAGGAAGGTTTCCTTTGGCCAGGATAGTGCTTTTTTAGATTTTTGAAAAACATCAAGCTTACCCCAAATAGCTGGATATCTGACCTCTCTTGAAATAGTGGAAAATCTGGCATCACCGGGCTCACATTCCACATGGCAATAAATGGCTGTGGCTGGGAAATGGCTGCCCCCTCTAGACAGGCACACACTCGCACAATTTTTACAGTCCCTTGGGAGAGCTTCCCTTGGGACTATGGAAAATGTGTGTGCCTGTGTTCTATACATGGCTCCTTTTCATCATCCCTGTTGGCTCCTGTAGGCATTTGAAGTTTAAGATGCCTGCTTTAAGTAGTCTCTATAAGTCCCCAAACCGTGCTGATAATAATGCTGATAATGAAGATAACAATAGCAACAATTACTGATGGCTCCTGTGGCCTAATAGCTTGGTGAGGGCTTTACACACGTTGTGTGATTTCATCCTCAAAACAGGAAAACTGTTGTCCTCATTGTACAGATGAGGAAACAGAGCCCAAAGAGGATCAGTAACTTGACCAAAACCTTGTGGATGGTAAACTGTACATCTGAGATTTGAATCCAGGCATTCTGACCTCAAAGTGGGTGCTTCCTAAACAGTAAGCTATAATGTCTTTCCATGAATTAAGACAAAACCACAGCTGGAAAGAAGTATGTGGCAGTTGTATTGAGAGAGACAGAGAAAGAGACAGATAGAGAGAGAGAAATTGAGGCACCAAAGTGGGAGGCAGAGGGAGTAGCTGCCTGGGCCCCTGTTTTCTATTTCCCTGTGAAGCCTAGCTGTAGCCCACATTTGGGTTGCACGCAAACCACAAGTTGGGATTCATAATGCAAGCAACAGAAACTGACTGTGGTAGATTTAAGCAGGAGAGGAATCAGTAGAAAAGATACCAGAGAGCTTTTGGCATTGCTGGGAAGGCTGAAGAACCAGACCTGGACACCGCAATGGCAGAAACACAGGGCCTGTGAGGACCCTGCTGCCTCCAGTGCAGAGTACCAGACCCTTCCACTTGCCTCTCTGACTCTGCTAAAGCTCCACATCTGCATGCTAGGAACAGTCACTGGCCCTACTGCCCAGGCTGCCCCAGAGACAGGATATTGCTGCTTCTATGGCCACCACCACCAGACTACCTCTCCACTGTCCCTGTGTCTTTCTTTTTTTTTTTTTTTAAGATTTAAGTGGAAGTTTTTGTTTTATTGGTTTGGTTTGGGTTGGGTTGTTGTTGTTGTTGTTGTATTGTGTTGTGTTTTCTTTTGTTTAGAGACAGAGTCTCGGCCGGGCACAGTGGCTCACGCCTGTAATCCCAGCACTTCGGGAGGCTGAGGTGGCCGGATCACTTGAAGTCAGGAGTTCAAGACCAGCCTGGCCAACATGGAGAAACCTCGCCTCTACTAAAAATACAAAAAGTACCCAGCCATGGTGGTGTGCACCTATAATCCCAGCTACTCAGGAGGCTGAGGCAGGAGAATCGCTTGAACCCAGGAGGCAGAGGTTGCAGTGAGCCAAGATTGTGCCACTACACTCCAGCCTGGGTGACAGAGCAACACTCCATCTCAAAAATAAATAAATAAATAAATAAAATTTAAAAAATAAAAAATAAAAAAATAGAGTCTCACTCTGTTGCCCAGGCTGGAGTGCAGTAGCATGATCTTGGCTCACTGCAACCTCCATCTCCCAGGTTCAGGTGATTCTCCTGCCTCAGCCTCCCAAGTAGCTGGGACTATAGGTGCGCACCACCACACCTAGCTAGTTTTTTTAAATTTTTTAGTAGAGATGGGGTTTCACTATGTTGGCCAGGCTGGTCTCAAACTCCTGGCCTCAAGAAATCCACCTGCCTCAGCCTCCCAAAGTGCTAGGATTACAGGCATGAGCCACTATGCCCAGCACTGTCCTTATGTCTTTATATTACCGACTCCTCATTCAAAGTTTGGTTTATGCTTCTGACTGGCTGAGCCTAGGTCACTTGCCCAAACCTTAGCTGCAAGGGAGGCTGAAAAGCAAATAGCTAGCACTGCCACATTCTATGTGGGGAAGTGAGCTCTACTTCCCACCAAGACTCATATGATGGGAAATTCTTCAGACATGAGTATGTGTTTCTGAGGCTGGACAGCCAAAAGGAACAACTATCCATAAAAATTC
Organism: Homo sapiens; assembly: GCF_000001405.40. Lineage (NCBI taxonomy): Eukaryota > Metazoa > Chordata > Mammalia > Primates > Hominidae > Homo > Homo sapiens. Next base: position 33,967,772 of record NC_000020.11, on the reverse strand, counting down.
ACAGTGTCCCCTTTTCAATAAGCTAGCTCAAGTGATTAGCATTTAGAATTGCATCAAAAAAGAGATAGCACTCAAGTGCAGTGATCAAGGAAAATATTTATTTATTTTTTTGAGACAAGGTCTCAGTCTGTTTTCCAGGCTGGAGTGCAGTGGTGTGATCACAGCTCACTGCAGCCTTGACCTCCCAGACTCAAGCGATCCTCCTGCTTCACCCTCCCAAAGTTCTGGGATTACAGGTGTGAGCCACCCCACCTGGCCAGGAAAGTATTTATAAAGTTGTAACAATCGTTAAGGGAAGCCAACGGGAATGGGGGAAGCACCCCAGAGACTGCAACAGTTGAGGGGGGTACATTATGGGTCCAGGCCTAAAGAGGCAGGGAGAAGGAGTGCTTCCGTGAATGTGGAAAGAGTTGAAGTTGAGAAAACGGTTTTCCATGATAGTTCCAGTCCTTGGCCCCAGTGGCGGGGGAGCTGGGTAAATAAATACCCTCATTTCTCTCTTCTTCCATCCTCTAGTATCCTGCACGTGTCTCCCATTGAGCAAACCCAATAGAAAGCCAGGGAGTAAAGAATCCTTTCGACATATTCCATTAAAGTGAATCTCTGGGACACAGCACCACTGGTGGAGAGGGCGAAGGGTAGATCTGGAGAGCTAAACAGAATAGCTAACAACCCATGGCATGATCCTGATCTTACCATTGAATCACTCTAAGCCGGTTTTTCCACTTTAATTGAGAGACTCTGGCATTTTGTGGTTCTCCCAGAACTTTCCAACTGGCCACTGCTGACATCTCCTCCTTTTTGGCCTGACCTGTTAATTTGTTCCTATCTATAAGCCTGCATGTGAAGGTCACAGCCTTTGGTTTCCAAAAAGCAGAGTCTTTTCTATGTGGTCACAGGGAGTCGCCTTTGTTGCAGGTGAAATCAATTCTCCATCCAGGTCCCCAAATTCTGATTTGACGGCTCTCCTGGAATTTTGCCAAACAAGCAACTTGCCTCTGTAAGGCATGAACTGTCTTCCCAGATATCAAGAGCTGCCCTCGTGGGGTGGGTTGTTTCTTTCTTTCTCTCTCTCTCTCTTTCGAGACAGAGTCTCACTCATTGCTCAGGCTGGAGTGCAATGGTGCGATCTCGGCTCATTGCAACCTCCGACTCCCAGGTTCAAGTGATTCTCCTGCCTCAGCCTCCTGAGTAGCTGGGATTACAGGCGCCTGCCACCACACCTGGCTAATTTTTTTGTATTTTTAGTAGAGGCGGGGTTTCACCCTGTTGGCCAAGCTGGTCTCGAACTCCTGACCTCAGGCGATCTGCCCACCTCGGCCTCCCAAAACGCTGGGATTACAGGTGTGAGCCACCACGCCCGGCCTGTTTATTTATCTTTCAAAGCCTCATTTGGTCTCTTTTTCCTCTCACGACTTGGTCTGCCAGCCAAATTTTACTCTAGCTTCCCGCATTCCCTGTTGAGTGATCATCTCTCCATGACCCAGATCTTAGTCCTTCTCTCTACAAAGAACTACAAAGAACATCGTGTCTCTACCTTAACTGCAGTCTGGTGACTCTGTTGCCAGCATGGCTTGAAATGGTTCTTGCCTAGACTTATTTTTTTTTTAATGGTAATGCTGTATTTTATTCTGTTCATTAACAATACATGAGAACACTTACAATATTCATTGAACATAATCTAAGAGAAGATCAATTTACAATTTTTACATCTCCTCTATTAATAAGAGAGATGGTTGAATTAATTTATGGTCAAAATTACGATGGCAAAAACTTATAAATAAATAAATGCTTGGTGTTAGTGTGTCCGGAATTTATTCCCTCCAGCGGGTTCTTGGTCTCGCTGACTTTAAGAATGAAGCCGCGGACCTTCGCGGTGAGGGTTACAGTTCTTAAAGACGGTATGTCTGGAGTTTGTTCCTTCAGATGTTCAGATGTGTCCAGAGTTTCTTCCTTCCCGTGGGTTTGTGATCTCGCTGACTTTAGGAGTGAAGCCGCAGACCTTCACAGTGAGTGTTATAGTTCATAAAGGTGGCACATCGGGAGTTGTTTCTTCTTTCCGGTCGGCTGGTGGTCTCGCTGACTTCAGGAATGAAGCTGCAGACACTCCCCGTCAGTGCAGAAAAGTTCTCCAAGTCCCCACCCGACCCAGAAGCCCAGCCAGCTTCACCTCTCATTAGTATGGCCAGGTACATTTCAGTTTTTGGTGTAAAGGTCTTTGGCTACAAGAAAGAAAATTTGGTTTACTTCACTAAATAGAAATAGCTCTTAATGCTGGAATGGCCTCCTCTTAGTATTTCTTCTGCTGTTGATTTTTAGCATAGTTATCTGTGATTGTACGAATGGAGTCGAGTGAATGGGGTACAAACAAGAGCACATAGCCAATTACTATAGTAATAAGGAAGTAGAGAGGTAATGCAACTGTCCAATATTTTTGAGGCCAATAGGTTAAACCTAAGGAGTTTAGCCAAGATTCAGGAATAGAAGCCTACACGAGGTAAAGTATGAAGCCAAATTGGGAGCTTAAGAGAAGCAGAAGGCCATAAATCGGTCTTTCTGGCAATGGTGACAGTGAATTTTCCACCATTTTTCCTGGGGCTTGAGACAATCTCAGCACTGAGTTCCCTGTGCAAGCGCCGACCAGGAAGCCCCAGTGCGGGGCGAGGGGGAAAGAGGAAAAATTGAGGGAAAGGCCTAGGCGCGAAGGCTCCCCCAACCCAGGCGCAGGCACACGACGACCCTCCCGCTGGTTGGGAGCCAGTGAGCGCCTCTTGCCTAGATTTCTGATGGGAGAAGCTGTTTCTCCTCATCCTTAAAGTTTTGAGTGGATGACCTAGATAAATGAGCAATGAAACTATGAAGACTAAGTTCAAAGGAGTGACATTTAGCATTGTGATCATCTAAAATCTGTACAAGTTAGGCGATGCATTTAATAAGTGATTATAAATATTTAACGTATACATATACAGCAAGTGACAAGCGTTTTATCATGAGCATTAGCATTCTTAGGGAGAGGTGGCAGTGGAGTGGACTGTGATGTTCGGCACAGGCAACCCTCCTCCCCCACTGAGGAATGAAGGATTTATTCCACCTGCTACTGGGAAAAGTGTTGGCAGATGATCCTTGGCTCTAAGCCCTCTTTGGGAATTTCCTTGGCAGCTGCCTTTTCAGGGCAGTCTGCATAAATGATTGATCAGCTTGGGAGCTTAGAGGCCTGGTCCCCTTGCCTCTACTCAGGACAACTTGGAAGACCTATTCCAGTTTTAGAGGTCTCCATGAGGTCAGTGGAAGCCTTTGTTCTGACATTGCACTTCAATTTCTCCCTCTGCTCCATCCTGCTTCCTTCTCTGCTCTTCCACCGGTGTTGATCCCAAGAGCACTCCCTGAGTAACTTCCTGCATGTTAATCTCTATCTCAGAGTTGGCTTCCCAGAGAATCCAACCCACAGTCCTCCCCTCCTCCTTGTTTCCGGGCCCCTTAGAATGTGACTTTGCAGCTTCTCCAATCAAGAGATGGAGTTTATTTTTTGACATCTTGAATCTAAGCTGGCCTGTGACTTGCTTTGGTCAATAGAATGAGGCAGAGGTGACATTGTGCCAGTTCTGAGCCTGAACCTCCAGAAGCCTTGCATGCTTCTTCTGTCACTCTTGGAGTCCTGCTGCTACTGTGAGAACAGGCCCTGGCTATCCTGCAGGAGCAGGAGAGACGAGTGGTCAAGTCACTGCTGTTGCCCCAGCTGACAGTCAACCAATCCCTGAAGCAGAGCCACCTGGCTAACGACAGTGCCTGAATGAACCTAGCCAAGACCAGAAATAATACCTAGCTGAGTCCAGGCGAAACTGCTGACCCAGAGATTCAAGAGCTAATAAGTAGTACTGTTTTAAGACAGTTAAGTTTTGGGGTGGGCTTGCTATGTTGCAATCCTTAACTGATACAAGAAGGAACTGTGTTTGAGGAACCACAAACTGGAGGCAGGAGCACCAGGCCCCTAGTAACAGAAGAGATGATTAAGAGCTTTCCATGAGAAAATGGGAGGAATTTATCTTTTGCCCCTGCGAAGAAGGCAGAGAGAACAGAATGGGGGTAGGAGCATTAAAAGTAGGTAAGGAGGAGAAGGTTGCCAGCCAGAAGGTAAATGACTGGGAATAATATGAGTTGAAGCAGCAGGTGGAATTGCCTGGTGGGTCTATGTCCATGTAGTGAGGGCAGCAGACAGACTTGTTTGTATTTCTTAGATATAATCACTTCTCTGTTTATTTGCATCTCATTCCAATCTCCTTACGAAAACAGGAACCAGGCCGGGCGCGGTGGCTCACACCTGTAATCCCAGCACTTTGGGAGGCTGAAGCGGGCAGATTGCCTGAGCTCAGGAGCTCAAGACCAGCCTGGGCAACATGGTGAAACCTTGTTTCTACTAAAAATACAAAAAATTAGCAGGGCATGGTGGCACACACCTGTAATCTCAGCTACTTGGGGGGCTGAGGCAATAGAGCGAGACTCTGTCTCAAAAACAAATAAACAAAGAAAAAACACACACTATTGCATAAAAAAGCAACTTGCAGAAAATGAAATATGATAGCATTATAAAAACACATAAGACAAACATTTATGGATACATTATATGAGTAAAAGTATAAAAACAAGATTTGGAAGGACAGACACCAAATTCCCTATGGTGGATTCCTCTGGGAAGGAAGGCATACGTAAGAGATGTCACTTTTAACCCTATTAGATTAAAACAATCAAAAGCCGATCCTGTAAAATAATAACATTAAATTCAAAGAGTTGGAGGGCATGGGTATTTGTTAGACAGCTCTCTGTTTTTTCTGTATTTAAGATTTTTACCAACTGAGAAAAAATCTAATTATACCCATGAATGTTTTTGGTTATTTGTCTGAGAGTGTGGCTGAGTTTCACATCTGGGTCATAGAGATTCATGCCAGAACCAGGACCCCAGAGGCAATGTTACTGAGCATATGAGTCCCCTAAGGTCTCCAGACTCTTGGGAAGGGCTCTGTGGACATATAGGCCATGGAAATGGAATCTAAGTCCATCTTACTGAGCTTGCCTGTGGTGAGAGACCCTGGGGAACATCTGGGTTACATGTATAATTGTTACAGGCATTGACACCACGGGTAAGCAGATCTCATATGTTAAACAAATGGTAAACAAAACAAAACAAAACCTCTTCTCTCTTTGCTAATTTCACAGTGTCTATAATCAGGCTTGCTATCGATAGTTTTCCCTGATACTGTGTATGATCCCACACACAATTAAAGGAAAGTGTCTGGAAATGAGAGAGTTGTGAGTATTAGTTGATGAAAGAAGCAGATCTGAGCAGAGGAGCTGCCGATAAGAATGAAGAAAAGACCCACACTAAGAGGGCTCACTGATGCTCCCGGGTCTCAACTCGGGACCCGAGCTCGCTTTGGGTGCCTAATTCACACTCACCTACTGTCCCTCTGGCTACATGTTCTCTCCAAAAACTCTAAATGTAACCATGCTTCCTTTAGATTCCTGTGCTAGGCACCATCTAGCCATAGACAAAGCTGGCTTTGAGTCTCAAACTAGCTGTGTGATCTCTTTTCTTGAAATGCAGTCTCACTCTGTGGCACAGGCTGGAGTGCAGCGGCACGATCTCGGCTCACTGCAACATCTGCCTCCCGGGTTCAAGTGATTCTCATGCCTCAGCCTCTCAAGTAGCTGGGACTACAGGCCTGAGCCACCATACCCGGCTAGTTTTTTGTATTTTTAGTAGAGATGGGGTTTCACCATGTTGTCCAGGCTGGTCTTGAATGGTCTTGAACTCCTGACCTCAAGTGTTCCACCAGCCTTGGCCTCCCAAAGTGCTGAGGTTACAGGCGTGAGCCACCACACCTGGCCTAGCTGTGTCATCTTGAACAAGTCACTGAACTCTGTTGAACCTCAGTTTTCTCACCCATAAAATACTGATTCTAATCCTTGCCTTCCCCTATAGGACTGTTTAAAAAGGATTCAATAAAATAATGGACATTACAGGGGACTTGCAACCTATAAGTTTGTATATGGAACAGTTGTAAACTATTCCTCAACTGTAGATAACAACTGCTATAGATTATTTTATTTATTTATTTATTTATTTATTTTTTGAGGTGGAGTCTCACTCTGTTACCCAGACTGGAGCACAGTGGCGTGATCTCAGCTCACTGCAACCTCTGCCTTTCGGGTTCAAGCAATTCTCCTGCCTCAGCCTTCCAAGTAGCTGGGATTACAGGCCCATGCCACCAAGGCCAGGCTTTTTTTTTTTTTTTTTAGTAGAGATGAGGTTTTACCCTGTTGGCCAAGCTGGTCTCAAACTCTTGACCTCAGGTGATCCACCCACCTTGGCCTCCCAAAGTGCTAGGATTACAGGCGTGAGCCACCGAGCCCAGCGATATTTTATTTTATTTATTATTATTATTATTATTATTATTATTATTATTATTATTATTATTTGGAGACAGAGGCTCACTCTGTCTCCAGCCCAGGCCGGAGTGCAGTGGCGCAATCTCAGCTCAGTGCAACCTCTGCCTCCTGGGGTTCAAGCGATTCTCGTGCCTCAGTCTCCCAGGGTAGCTGGGACTACAGGTGTGCACCACCACGCCCAGCTATTTTTTGTATTTTTAGTAAAGACAGGATTTCACCATGTTGCCCAGGATGGTCTCAAAATCCCGAGCTCAGGCCATCTGCCCACCTCAACCTCCCAAAGTGCTAGGATCGCAGGCATGAGCCACCGCACCCGGCCCTCTTTTGTTTCTTTAAATTAAATCCAAAAGCCATGGGAGCAACGTTGGAGAGTCCAGGAGTGCTATTGTTGCTGTGTCACTTCCCATCCAGTAGAAGCTGCTGTCACATGGTGACCCTCCTACCTCCTTGAGTACTGCTGGTCCAGGCTGCAGCAATGTTTCACTATTTCCAGGTCCCAGCATGGGCCATTGTGGTCCTTTGACAGAGTTCCGTCACTGCTCTGGGGCCATGTTTAACACTAGGTGCAAGGCACAGCTCTTGTACCCTATCAACCATTCTCTTCTGGAGCACAGATGCCCAGGAAGTTTTGTGCCAAAGCTATTTAGACATCTTTCCCTTATGAAAACCACAATTATTTTTTCCCTGTTTCCAGCCTAAAGGTTGGGTCAGTTTCCTCTGGGGAGACTGGGCGTAGCAATTTTAAAAATACAGAATAATGTGAAGAAAAAAATAATCTATATTTCACCAAGGCCTGTCTTGGCATGTTTTCTTCCAGTCATTTAGAACCTGAACTCTATTGTTTCAGGGAGCTGATACAACATTATTATGAAGAATTCAAATAATAAAGGAAAGGGTGAAGGTGATAGTAGAAAAAAAATCACATTTGTGGTCTAGAAATTATAAGAGATGTACATTATTTGAAATATCTCTTTGTGCCAATATAAAATGAGGAGGATGAGATAGAAATATTTTATTAAAAGGAGATTATATTATAGTTTCAAATTTTAATTAAGAAGCATTACATTTTATTATAATTTACTAGACAAAAAAGAACTGGAGAGAAACTAAAGGAATTGTTGAAAGTCAAACAATGTTTCTGTACTTCAAGAGATAACTTTTTGAAATATCTCTCTAAATTTATAAAGGAGAGATTACAAATAGATTAAAGTTGTGGTCACTATGTTTTTATTTTAAACTACATGTTTCAGTTTTGTCTATCTCCCCATTTTGAAAATGATGGCACTAGTACTCTCACCTCCTCTCTTTTTACGTCCCAATTTTTGTTATTTATATTATTATTTTTACATTGTTAAATTTTATCAATTTTTCTGTTTTCTAATGAAGTCTCATGGATTTTTTGCAGGCATGCATTTTTATTGATATAATCTACACACCATAAAATTCACCACTTTAGATTGTACAAGTAAGTGGCTTTAGTATATTCATAAGATTGTATAACCATCACTTTTATTCGTTTATTTATTTTTGATATGGATTATTGCTCTGTCACCCAGGCTGGAGTGCAGTGGCACGATCTCAGCTCACTGCAATCTCTGCTTCCCAGATTCAAGTGATTCTCGTGTATCAGCCTCCCTGGTAGCTGGGATTACAGGCGTGCACCATCACGCCCAGCTAATTTTTGTATTTTTAGTAGAGACGGGGTTTCACCATGTTGGCCAGGATGGTCTGGAACTTCTGACCTCAAGTGACCCCCCCTGCCTCGGCCTCCCAAAGTGCTGGGATTACAGGCCACCACGCCTGGCCTCTCAGAACTATTTTTTTTTTTTTTTTTTTTTTTGAGACGGAGTCTTGCTCTGTCGCCCAGGCTGGAGTGCAGTGGCGCGATCTCGGCTCACTGCAAGCTCCGCCTTCCGGGTTCACACCATTCTCCTGCCTCAGCCTCCCGAGTAGCTGGGACTACAGGCGCATGCCACCACGCCTGGCTAATTTTTTTGTATTTTTAGTAGAGATGGGGTTTCACCGTGTTAGCCAGGATGGTCTCAATCTCCTGACCTTGTGATCCGCCCACCTCCACCTCTCAAAGTGCTGGGATTACAGGCGTGAGCCACCGCACCCGGCAGAACTATTTTTTTTTTAAGACAAGGTTTCACTCTGCCACCCAGGCTGGAGTGCGGTGGGGCAATCTTGGCTCACTGCAACCTCTGCCTACTGGGCTCAAGTGTTCCTTCCACCTCAGCTTCCCAGGTAGCTGGGAGTATAGGCACAGGCCAACATACCCAGGTAATTTTTGTATTTTTTGTAGAGACAGGGTAAGGGGAGGATGTCCCCCTGTGTTGCCCAGGCTGGTCTCCAACTCCTGGACTCAAGTAATCCATCTGTCTCAGCCTCCCAAAGTGCTGGGATTACAGGTGTGAGCCACCGTGCCTGGCATATACAAGGTTTTGTTTATGCATTCATCAGTTGGTGGACATTTGGATTGTTTTCACTTTTGGCTATTATGAATCATGTTGCCATAAACATTGGTGTATGAGTTTTACTATGAACATGTTTAACCTTTCGAGGAATTACCACACTGTTTTCTAAAGTGGCTATACCATTTTACCTTCCCATCAGCAATGTATGTGGGTTCCAGTTTCTCCACATCCTCCTCACTATTGTTGTTAGTTGATTTTTTTCTGTTTTGTTTTAATTTGCATTTCCCTAATGACTAATGATATTGAGAATCTTTTCATGTACTTCTTGGCTATTTTTTTCTTTTCTTTTCTTTTCTTTTTTTTTTTTTTGAGACGGAGTCTTGCTCTGTCACCCAGACTGGAGTGCAGTGGTGCCATCTCACTCACTGCAACCTCTACCTCCCAAGTTCAAGCGATTCTCTTGCCTCAGCCTGCCGAGTAGCTGGGACTAAAGGCGTGTGCCACCAAGTCCAGATAATTTTTGTATTTTTAGTAGAGAAGGGGGTTTCGCCATGTTGGTCAGGCTGGTCTTGAACTCCTGATCTCAGGTGATTTGCCTGCCTTGGCCTCCCAAAGAGCTGGGATTAGTAGGTGTGAACCACCACACCAGGCCTTCTTGGCAATTTTTATATCTTCTTTAGAGAAATGTCTATTCAAATCCTTTGCCTATTTAAAAATTGGGTTATTTGTCTTTTTACTGTTGAGTTGTAAGAGATCTTTATATATTCTAGGTACTAGACTCTTACCAGATACATGATTTGGAGGCCAGGCACGGTGGTGGCTCATGCCCATAATCCCAGCACTCTGGGAGACTGAGGCAGGAGGATCACTTGAGGCCAGGAGTTCGAGACCAGCCTGGGCAACATAGTGAGACCCGCCCCCCCAACCTCTACCAAAAAAATATATTAAAAAATTAGCCAGGCATGGTGGTGGAAGCCTGTAGTCCCAGCTACTTGGGAGGCTGAGGTGGGAGGATCTCTTGAGCTTAGAAGTTCAAGGCTGCAATGAGCTATGATCATTCCACTGCACTGCAACCTGGGTTACAGAGTGAGACACTGTCTCTTAAAAAAAAAAAAAAAAAAAGGTGTATGATTTGGAAATATTTTCTCCCATCCTGTGGGTCGTCTTTTCCCTATTGTAGCACAAAGGTTTTAAATTTTGGTAAAGTCCAGTTTATCTGTTTTTTGGTTTGTTTGTGCTTTTGATGTCATATCTAAGAAACCATTGCTTAATCCAAAGTCACAAAGATTTTCACGCCTTTTTTTTTTTTTTTTTTTTTTTTTTTTTTTTGTGAGACTGAGTCTCACTCTGTTGCCTAGGCTGGAGTGCAATGGTGTGATCTTGGCTCACTGCAACCTCTGCCTCCAAAGTTCAAGTGATTCTCCTGCCTCAGCCTCCCTAGTAGCTGGGATTACAGGTGCGCATCACCACACCAGGCTAATTTTTGTATTTTTAGTAGAGACGGGGTTTCACCGTGTTGGCCAGGCTGGTTTCGAACTCCTGACCTCATGATCCACCCTCCTCGGCCTCCCAAAGTACTGGGATTACAGGCGTGAGCCACCATGCCTGGCTGATTTTCACGTCTTTTCCTTTGAAGAGTTTTATAGTTTTAGCTCTTACATTTAAGAATTTGATTCTTTTTGAGTTAATTTTTAGGGTGCAAATAGGAATCCAACTTCATGTTACATGTGGATATTCAATTGTCTCAGTGCCATTTGTTTAAACTAAAATTCCTTCCTTTATTGAGTTATCTTGGCACTACTGTGGTAGATTATGTCTTTTTTTTGAGATAGGGTCTCACTCTGTCATCCAGGCTGGAGTGCAGTGGCTCTATCTCCACTCACTGCAACCTCCGCCTCCTGGGTTCAAGTGATTCTAGTGCCTCAGCCTCCTGAGTAGCTGGGACTACAGGTGTGCACCACCACACCTGGCTAATTTTTGTATCTTTAGTAGAGACAGGTTTCGCCATGTTGGCCAGGCTAGTCTCGAACTCCTGACCTCAGGTGATCCACCCGCCTCAGCCTCCCAAAGTGCTGGGATTACAGACATGAGCCACCGCAACCTGCTTCAGTTGGCTTTCTTAACCTAGAACTCTCTTCAGTTTCCTTTGTGGCCCTTGAATCACAAAGGGTTTATTCTATTTCTTTGGCTTCACTGTCTGTAGGAAGGACTCCACCTGCGTACTCCAATTTGTAACACTAGCCACACGTGGCTATTGAGCATTTGAAATGTGGCTCATGTGAATGGAGATGTGTTGTAAGTTAAAATACACACTGGGCTGCTCAGAAGGCTGAGGCGCGAGGATCACTCGAGCCAAGGAGTTCGAGGTTGCAGTGAGCTATGATTGCTCCACTGCATTCCAGCCTGGGCAACAGAGTGAGATCTGATCTCTTAAAAAAATGCACACTGGATTTCAAAGACTTAGTATAAGAAATAATGTATTTAGTACAAGAATTAGTGTATTCCAGAGGCCTGAAACAGATCCTTCTCTTACAGCCCTCAAATAATAAGAAATCATGTAAATAATATCAACAAAAAATTTTCAAATAATGTAAATTCTTTTACATTACATGCATCACATTTTACATTTGTTTATGTCTCATTAATAATGTTTATACTGACAACATGTTGAGATATTTTTGATATATTGGGTTAAATAAAATATATTATTAAGTTTTTGTTTTTGTTGTGAGATGGGGCCTCACTCTGTCACTCAGGCTGGAATGCAGTGGCTCTGTCAGGTCTCACTGCAGCCTCAACCCCTTGGGCTCAGGTGTCTTCCCACCTCAGCCTCCAGAGTAGCTGGGACTACAGGCATTCACCACCATACACAGCTAATTTGTGTGTGTGTGTGTGTGTGTGTGTGTGTGTGTGTGTGTGTGTGTGTTGTAGAGATGGGGCCTCACTGTGTTGCCCAAGCTGGTCTTGAACTCCTGGGCTCAAGAGATCCACCCACCTTGGCCTCCCAAAGTGCTAGGATTACAGGCGTGAGCCACTGTGCCCAGCCTATTGTGAAGTTAATATCATCTTTTTGGTACTTTTAAAATATGGCTACTGGAAAATTTAAAATTACATATGTGACTTGCATTTGTGGCTCATATTATATTTCTATCCATTTGATGTATTTCTAGAAATATATTTTATATTTCCAGTGCTGATTTGGATTTTAAAAACCTAAAAGGTCTGATGCCTATCCTGGTAGTGGCAGTGGTTGGAGGTTACCTTGCACATCCAGCCCAAGGACAGTGATTTACTAGTAACTATTTTATTGAGACAGAAAACACACAAGTTAAGTCTTTAACCATTAGAGACTTAAGTAACCATTTGGGTCATGGTGCTAGTTAAATCTTCAGGGGGGCATCTCAGTATATAGCTACCTGTTCAAGGTATTAATTATCATCATGACTTGGTGTGTTTCTTGCCCCTCCGGATCTCACCTATCATAACTCATTTTGGAGCCAAGCTCCCAAGCACTAGTACCTACCAGCTGGGTCTGCACCTTCATTCTGGGGTAGCCGGCATTTGAGTAATGATTTATTCTCTGAATTGGCCCTTCCCCAGCCTTTGCAAAGGATCTACCAAATTGCATCTCAAGATGAGGACAGGCCCTTGCCCCCTTCTTCTTTCCCTGCTATCATTTTAGAGTTTGTAAGATGGCATAAATTCTTCTCCATCTTGTCCAAGATAGAAGTGTGAATGAGTAATGCCCACCAAAAAATATAAACCTTGAGGAGCCCAAGCCATTTACATGACGAAAACTTCAAATATCCATCCCAGATCACATGCGGGCCACCGAGAGGGAGGCATCCATTGTGAAATTCAATTACCAGACCTCATTCAGCTGCTCCCTGGAAGACCAATTAATTTCCCCTCTTTTTCACATGTGGGACCTCTTTATAAAGCTGCAATTAAGGAGCTTCCAGAAGCAGAGCCTATTTTACCTTTTAGGTGAATATAATAAGCAGGAAACAGACCCATATTCTTCTTAGCTATGTGTGGGGTGCCCAGGGGTTGGAGGGCAGCCCATGTCCCATGGACAGACCCCTGTTCCAAGTCTACACCCTCTAGACTCCCAGGTCGGCCTGAGGCATGTGGAAATCCAATGTAATTTCCTCTTCCACAGTTGTGGGGGATCTCTTCTGGGCCAGATGCTGGAGAAATCCTGGAGAACAAAGTCCCTGCTCAGTCTGTGTCCAGTGGCCGCCAAACAAGAGCTGACAATGTAGCATCGTGAGGTGCTGGAAGAGACAGGGACAGGCTGTGGCACAGCAATAGACACCACGTCTGATTGTCACTCTTTTTGGAGACTTATTTTATTTTACTTTATTGTATTTTATTTATGATGATGATGATTATTATCTACAAAACCCTCTTAGTGAAGCAGATCTCATGAGAGAGAAGCACAGTATATACAACAGATAGAGGCCGGGCACGGTGACTCACACCTGTAATTCCAGCATTTTGGGAAGCCGAGGTAGGCAGATCACTTGAGGTCAGGAGTTCGAGACCAGCCTGGCCAACATGATGAGCCCCCCGTCTCTACTAAAAATGTAAAAATTAGCCGGGCATGGTGGTGTGTGCCTGTAATCCCAGCTACTTGGGAGGCTGAGGCAGGAGAATCGCTTGAACCCAGGAGGTGGAAGTTGCAGTGAGCCGAGATCACACCACTGCACTCTAGTCTGGGTGATAGAGTGAGACTCCATCTCAAAAAAAAAAAAAAAAAAAAAGAATAAATAAATAAATAAATAATAAAACAGATATAAATGAAACTGCTTCAGTTGAAGAGGGGGTGGAACGATGCCACAAATAGAGGACCTTCCCTTTGCTACCTAAGGCAGCCCCTGACCTTCCACGAGGCATAATTTAAAAGCCACCAGGGTGAAAAAGTATCCTCTTAATTGTTTCACTAAAGCTCCCCACAAGGTGGGAGGAGTAGACAACCACTTTCCCATCCTGACATTGTCCAAATCTACAAGATCAGCTTCACAGTGACAATGTCAGTAGTAGCATCTACTTCATCAGAAGAATTCAGTGTGACATACTTAGCGTGTGACACACAGTGTAAGTGCACAATAAATGGCCATCATTATTCTCGTTCTTATTATTCAATCTTGTGCTTTGAGACTCAGCATCACATTTGCCCCAATCTTGTGCCCACATTGTGATAAATGGTCTTGTGCTCTGCCCGTGTATCTGGATTCCTGTCCTTGTCACCTGCTCTGTCCTCAGCCTGTTAGGCCGGGGCTTGGGCTGGAGAACTTCTGGTCCCCATTTCATGGGAAAGAGTCCTTCCAGGCTCCAGCTTTGATTTGAATGGGTCTTCGTTCCCAATCACTGTTTCACGGGGCCACATCTCCTGACCTGCGTGGGTTTTAAAACCCTTTTCCTTTGTCCCTGAAGTCCAAGGATGTGCCCTGGGGGCTGCCACAACAGCAACTGAGAGTTTACTGTTCTTGATTGAAGATCACTCCTATTTTCAGGCCCTTGGAGATTTCCCTTTCCTCCTTCTCAACTCAGCTCTGCATTAGAAATATATGTTTTAGGCCCAGCATGGCATCTCACACCTATCATCCCAGCACTTCGGGAGGCCAAGGCGGGAGGATCACTTGAGCCCAGGAGTTTGAGACTAGCCTGGGCAACATGGCAAGACTCCATCTCTACAAAAAAATTAAAAAACATTAGGCGGGTTTGGTGGCATGTGCCTGTAGTCCCAGGTACTTAGGAAGCTGAGGCAGGAGGATCCCTTTAGCCCAGGAGTTGGAGGCTGCAGTGAGCTATGATTGTGCCACTGCACTCTAGCCTGGGTAACAGAGTGAGACCCCAAGCTCTATTTCAAGACTTTTATTGAACATTTCCCTACGTTTGTAGCTGAAACAAGTACCCACATAAGTGTGGTAGATCTCATTGCCAAAATCAGAATTTTCTCTTTCAAATAACTGTGCAAAGATTTCATGTTCACTTTTACTCTCTTGCTCTATTAGAAGCGCAATTTTCTTTTTTCTAAGAAGACCATCAACACTTTTTGAGCTGTAGATGCCCATCTCATGTGGGAGTTATGTCCTAACTTCAACACCGTAAAGCGAAAATTACTGATTGTCAAAATTATCCTAAGATTCTGTGTGAACTGCCTTTCAATCACCAGGACCTGGATATTTGGAAATTAACTTCCTTGGTTTCCCTCCCCATCCTGCTGTGGCTCCCTTTCCCTAGAGCAGTGAGAGCTGAGGTCTAGTGAGGAAGGGGGTTAGAAGGTAAAGGGGTAAATGTAATATAATACATGTATATTTTAGCTAATAGTTGAACCTGTGTAATTTATACTCTATTTATTATAGTCTTTACACACCTATAACAAGAGGTATATATACATGTATTTTTTGAGACAGGGTCTTGCTCTGTCACCCAGGCTGGAGTGCAGTGGTGTGATCTTAGCTCACTGCAGCCTTGACCTCCTTGGCTCAAGCAATCTTCCTGCCTCAGCCTCCCACGTAGCTGGGGCTACAGGTATGCTACACTGTACCCTGCTAATTTTTTAATTTTTTGTAGAAGCAGGGTCTCACTGTGTTGCCCAGGCTAGTCTTGAACTTCTAGACTCAAGCAATCCCACCTCAGCCTCCCAAAGTGCTGGGATTGTAGGCATGAGCCACAGTGCCCAGCCTCATTTCTTTTTATAACTCAAACTGCCTTCCAAGGAGGGTAGGGACAGTTTAAATGGAAGGTCTTTCTTTGTATTAGTCCATTCTCACACTGCTATAAAGACATACCTGAGACTGGGTCATTTATGAGGAAAAGTGGTTTAATTGACACAGTTCTGCAGGCTGTACCGGAAGCATGGCTGGGGAGGCCTCAGGAACTTACAATCATGGCAGAAGGGCAAAGGGGAATCAAGCACCTTCTTCACATGGTGGCAGGAGAGAGAGAGAGCAAAGGGGGAAATGCCACACCTTTCTTCTTTCTTTTTCTTTTCTTTTCTTTTTTTTTTTTTGAGACGGAATCTCGCTCTGTCACCAGGCTGGAGTGCAGTGGTGTAATCTCGGCTCACTGCAAGCTCCACCTCCCAGGTTCAAGCATTTCTCCTGCCTCAGCCTCCTAAGTAGCTGGGACTACAGGCGTGCGCCACCACACCCAACTAATTTTTGTATTTTTAGTAGAGACAGGGTTTCACCATGTTGGCCAGGCTGGTCTCGATCTCTTGACCTTGTGATCCACCTGCCTCGGCCTCCCAAAGTGCTGGGATTACAGACATGAGCCACCACGCCCAGCAGTGCCACACACATTCAAACAACCAGATCTCATGAGAACTCACTCACTATCCCAAGAACAGCAGTCATCCCCCATGATCCAATCACCTCCCACAAGGCCCCACCTCCAACACTGAAGATCATAAATCAACATGAGATTTGGGTGGGAAAACAAAGCCAAACCATATCAGTCTTTGTGTTCTGCTGAGCACATGGGAGATGGGGGTGGGTGTTGCATGTGGTTGTGCAGAAAGTAAGGGTTGGGGAGAGCAGAATTGCTTGGCATACTCAAGAGAGAAGAATTTGGATGGGATGATAAGGATGATCCAGGGTGGAGGGTTGAGGAGAAGAGATGGAGGTGTAAGGAAGGAGAAGCAAGGAACCATTGAGAAGGTGAGAGGATGGGGACCACATGGGGTGACATGGTGAGGGGCTGCCACAGACAGAGGCATGGCTGGAGTTTATGAATGATCATGTCTACATTTCTACTTGAAGCAGTGTGTGAAACAAGCAGTAAATCCCTCCTTTACCCTTTGCACGAACCCAAAGGTTTCTGTAAGCTCTAATATACTCACAAAAAAAATGTTTTTGAATTAGAGTTTGTGGGAATTAAGGAAGGGATGGAATTTCACATCTGGATCAACATTATGCAGGATAACAATAGCTAACTTTTATATAGTGCTATGTCTGTGCTGGGTGCTTCACATACAGTGACTTATTTAATCTATATCTCAGCCTTAAGAAGTAAGTGTTACTACCCAGGCATGGTAGCTCATGTCTGTAATCTCAGCATTTTGGGAGGCTGAAGAGGGAGGATTGCTTGAGCCCAGGAGTTCAAGACCAGCCACAGCAACATAGCAAGATCCTGTATGTCCAAAAAACAAAAAAAAAAAAAGAAGAAGAAGAAGAAAGAAAATTATCCAGGAGTGGTGGTGCACACCTGTAGTCCAAGCTACTTGGGAGGCTGAGGTGGGAGGATCACTTGAGCATGAGAAGTCAAAGCTGCAGTAAGCCATGGTCGTTGTGTCGCTGCATTACAGCCTGGGTGACAGAACTGGACCCTGTCTCAAAAAAAAAAAAAAGTAGGTATTACTATCATTTCCACTTTACAGATGAGGAAACTTCAGCCCAGACAGGTTCACTTGCCCAAGATCACATAAATAGTAAGTATTGGAGCTGAGGTTTAAACCTGGGAAGTCTGGGTCTAGAATCCACACTTTTTACCACTAACCCTCACCACCTCTCAAGATAGACATTCAGGCCAAATGTGGTGGCTCACACCTGTCATACCAGCACTTTGGGAGGCTGAGGCAGGAGAATCACTTGAGTCCAGGAGTTCAAGACCAGACTGGGCAACATAGTGAGACTCCATCTCTAAAAAAGAAAAATAATTATTATCAAAGGTAGACATTCCAGAAGCCTGGAGTTGAAGACACACAAAAGTGATCCATAAAATTAATACTCACCAAACTTCAGCCTCAACTCTCCTACCATGGCTCAGTCCTTTCTCTAGTGCTTTCTTTCTTGTCTTTTTTTTCTTTTTCTTTTTTTTTTTTAAGACAGGGTCTTGCTCTGTCTCCCAGGCTGGAGTGCAGTGGCACAATCATAGTTCACTGCAGCTTCGACCTCCTAGGCTCAAGTGATCCTCCTGCCTAAACCTCCCAAAGTGCTGGTATGACAGGCATAAGTCACCATGCCTGGCTTCTCTAGTGCTTCCTAACAGGCACTATTCTGAGCCCTAACAAGCACTAACTTGCTTAGAATGGCAAGTGGGAGATTTGAACTCATGTTGTGCTGATCTCAAGGGGCTAACAGGCCCCACCAAACTATGAGTTGTGCACCTTGTCTCACTGACTCCTCATAGCAGCTTTCTGAGGCTGGCATTATCCCCATTGAACAAACGTGGAACCCCAGGACCAAGGAAATGATATCCCCCTCCCAAGATCACGAGAACTTGAGAGATTCACATCATAAATCTGGAAGTTGAATTCACCTCTGTCTACCTCCAAAGGCAGGCTCCACTGGCCTACTAAAATTCAAAGTGTGCCAGAGGTGAGGAAGCTGCTGGTGCCTAATGTCAGAAAGAGAGAAGGAAGCAAGTTGTTTCCAACATTTGTCAGATTAATGAGGCAGTCACTGGGTCATCCAAGTGGCTAAATGGCATCTAAACATGTTTGAGAACCACTTAGCAGAGGCTCTGAAGATGGTCCCCCTGAGTCTAGGGCATCTGCATCCACAAGGAGTAACAGGCAGTGACGGGGCAGTGAATCGGACATGGCACACAGCTTCCCAAACAGCGCACAAGGGCAAGTCCTCTGCTAAGCGTTGACAAATACAGGCATGGGAATGAAAGGGATGGGAACTAGCTCGAAATGACACCCGCAGTTCCTTCCTAAGCTCAAAAGCTGCAGCCTATCATGAAATATTCAGGCTCTCAGCATGGGCTGCTGGAGAGACCAAGTGGGTGGTGACTGCAGGCTATGCAATCCCCCTACATGACTGGCAATATAGGGAGCAGAATAAGCTCCTATCCCATTCCATGGATGGGATAAGATGTAAGCTTCCTCTCAAAGCCGCAGGCCCAGAAGGGGACCTGGCATGTGGAGCCGGGGAAACTGAGACAGAACTTGATTGTAAGGACTGAGCCATGGTAGCAGAGTTGATGCTGAAGTTTGATGAGTGTCCCAGTTACTACTGCTGCCTAACAAAACACTCTAAACTTAGCGGCGTAAGACAGAGACCATTTATTTTGTCATGAGCCTGCAGTCTGGGCAGGGTTCAGTGGGGACAGGTCATCTTTGTTCATGTAATGTCACCAGGGATGTCTCTACTAAGGCTGGAGGGTCCGTTGCCAAGGTGACTCACTCACAAGGCCAGCAAGCTGGCACTGGCTGCTGTTTTCTCTCAGGTGGGCCTCTTCCCAAAGCAGCTTGGGCTTCCTCACAGCATGGCAGCTGGGTTTCAAGATGAATGTTTAAAGAGACAGAAAGAGGAAGTTGCCAGGTTCTTAATACCTGTTCCTGGAAACTTATAGAACATCATTTCTGCCATTGTCTATTGGTCAAGCATTCGCAGAACCCAGATTCAAGGGCAAGGGTCAGGGATCCCACCATTAAATAAGAGGAATGTCAAAGAATTTGGGGGCTATATGTTAAAACTGCCACAGTGAGAACATTCCCTTGCATCCTGTTACCACAAAACGTTCCATTGTTGTCTGCCTCCTCCAATTCATTACAAGAGATGGCTGGACTTCTGTACTGAGGATTTAGAAATTGTCTCCAACCTCAGCGAGAAAGAATGATGTGATTGATTAGTGGCCCCATGGACAAAGGAGTGGGGAGTAGAAGCATTTATGTAACAAGTATGCCATCTCCCTCTCAAGAGGTGGGCTGAGATTCTGTCTCTGGAAACCACTTTCTCTGTCTTGTCTCCCCCTTGCTTCAGACACTTTATTTCATTTATTCATGCAGGCATGCATGCATTTCTTCATTCACTCATTGATTTCAGCAATATTTATTAAGTACCTATTCTGGTACAAATTCAGTAGTGCTGAATAAAGCACATATAGGAACTGCACCCATGGAACTTACGTCCTATAGGAGAGTCAGACAATAAGCAGGAAAACAAATATGTGATTAAATTTGTGATAAATGCTAAGACCAAGAGGGGGCACTACTGTGACTTGTGCAGGAACCCAGCAAGGACATCTGGCAGCAATGGACAAGCAGCCATGAGACTATGCAGAATCAGTCTTCAACAGCGACACCATGTGGCAGTGAGGAGCAATGACTATTGGTGGTGGACTGATAGACTAGTTCTCTCTGTAGGTGGCATTGGAACCACACTGATGCCCTAAGCCCAAGTTATCCCCTAGACTTTGAAAATCCAGGGATCAGTGGATGCCTAAAGAGGGTGTCTTGGGACCTTGCACTAAAAAAAGTATGTGAGAACTTGAATGAGTGGAAAATTGAAATAAAGGTGGCTATATTTGTACCCTGAAACTGGCAAGGCGGGTCATTCTGATGATTCTATTTTTAAGATCTCAGACACCATGACTTGGACTCAGACCTTAGAGTGAGTAGGGAATACAGTTATAAACTGGAAAGGCTGGACAGGCTATGAAATGAGAGAGAAGTTCTCAATTGAGTCTGCAGTGGGGCTGGAGTTATTGACTCCTCCAACTTAGGGCAGGATTTTTCCATGGTAATTGGAGAGGGGCTGAGCCTGCAGCAAATGTCAAGAGGCCTCAGTTGTGGGGCAGGGAGGAGGTAGAAATAGGAACCAGGGCCGGGTGCAGTGGCTCAGGTCTGTAATCCTAACCCTTTGAGAAGCCAACGTGGATGAATCACCTGAGGTCAGGAGTTCGAAACCAGTCCAGCCAATACGGTGGTGAAACCCCATCTCTATTAAAAATACAAAAAAATTAGCTGGGCGTGGTGACGGGCATCTGTAATCCCAGCTACTTGGGAGGCTGAGGTAGGAGAATTGCTTGAACCTGGGAGGCGGAGGTTGTAGTCATGCCACTGCACTTCAGCCTGGGTGACAGAGTGAGACTCCATTAAAAAAAAAAAAAAAAAAAGAAGACGAAGAAGAAGAAAGAAAGAAAATAAAATAAAAGAAAGAGGAATCAGGCAGAGGTTAATGCATACTTCAGGACATCATTCTGTTAGACAGCCAAAAAAATCAGAATTGAGAAGGCATTAGTATATGGACAACAAAAGCATTTACACTCAGACATGATTATCCATTTGATTTAATCTGGTTGCAAATAAGAAGAAATCCAACCAAAACTGCTTCCGCAAAAGGGGATATTATTGGCTTATGGTCCAAGTGTGTGTCCTGGCTTCAGGTGCAGCTTGATCAGGAACACAGATGAGCTCACCAGGTCCTAGCTCCCTTACCATGTCTCCACTTGCTTCTTCAGCTGCTGCTTGAGTTCTAGGCCTCATGCGACAACAAGATGGTGGGAACAGATCCAGCTCTTATGTGCTGTTAGGTTTCAGGTACAGCAGGGAAGAGAGTGTCCCTTTCCTAGAATCCCAAATAAAAGTTTCATTGCATCTCATTGACTTTGATTGGGACATATGCCCATTCCTGAACCAAGTGCTGGGACCACAGAATGAGATATGCTGACTGGCTTAGGGCTAAGTCAGGACTTTCATCCCCAGAGTTGGTCAACTCTGCTTCATCAGATTCCATGCAGGCTGATTATGGGCAGGGAGTGTTTTTTTCAGAGGAAAGTGGGGGCATGGATACTGGAAGGAGGATAAATGGATGTGGGGCCCATGTGTGAGCTTCCGGAAGACGTTGCATCTGAAAGTGAGAACAGGGCTGTGCCTAAGGTGCATGGGACCCTGGAAAATATGTTTTTGGAAGCCCTGCCTATATAAACAATTTGATTTTAAAATGTATTACAAAATTATTGGGCCCATGTGAGGAATGATGAGGTATTGACGAAGATTGAGAGTTGTGAATACAGAAGAAGTACTTAGGTATTTTAGTATTTTTCAATTAGTGCATGTGAAGATTCTCTGCAGTATCCAGGCACCATCTCCTCCTGTTCTTTACTGTCAAATGTGTGGCTCTGGGCTCATATGTCCCACCACAAGGAAAAAACACAAGAAAAAAGCAGCAACATTGTTATTGCTCACAATGCCAGGCTCCTCAGGCTCTGTTTATATTGAAACAATAAAGATCTTCTTGCCTCTGCATTTCCCTGACAACATTTACTGAATGCTGGTTACTCATTAGGTTGCATCATCCGTTGTGCTACTGGGGAGTACTGGGCTTCCAATGACTCAAAGACAGTGCTTCATTGATGATGACCATAAGGGAAGTCTTCCCCAGAGTCTAGAGAATATATGAATGATCATTTGTCTTCTGGTCATATTAAATTTACCATTTGGAATTTTACAGTGTGATATGGTTTGGATGTTTGTCCCCTCCAAAGTTCACGTTGAAGCGTAATTCCCAGTGTTGGAGGTGGGGCCTGGTGGGAGGTGATTGTATCACGGGGATGGGTCCCTCAGGAATGGCTTGGTGCCATCCCCATGGTAATGAGTGAGTTCTGGCTCTGATGGTTCATGCAAGAGCTGGTTGTTTAGAGAGCCTGGCACGTCTCCCCAGCTGTCTCTCACTCTGCTGTCACCACATGATGCACCTGCCCCTTTTGCTTTCCACCATGACTGTAAGCTTCCTGAGGCCCACCCCAGGAGCAGACCCCAGTACCACACTTCCTGTACAGCCTGCAGAACCAGAAGCCAATTAAACCTCTCTTCTTTATACATTACCCAGCCTCAGGTATACCATAACATAAAAGGACGAACACACTATGTAATGTAGAACAGCGCTTTTCCCAACCATCTCTTCTCTTCAACTCTTTGTGCCACAATCACTGCATTCCTGAAACGTGATCTATTTCAATGCTGACCTCACCCGCTGCCTCCCACATACCACTACCAGTAGGGAGCATAGGTGAGGGGCTCATGAATAGAGCAAGAACTGTACCACTCACGTGAGGAATGTTTGTTCCAATCCAGCACAGCTTAAGGCCAACCCAGAACAGCAGGACTTGTCATATCAATCAGAGGCAAGAAAGGGCATTGGTAGAAAGAGCCCATGGGAGCTGCAGAACAATGAATGGTCCCAGCTGCACCAGAGGACTGTCTGACACATGGCTTGAAGCCTACAGAGGGGTGGGGGCCCAGCAGCAGAGAGTGCACGGAGTAAGGATGCCTGTTGCCACCCTGCAGCCATGGGTGCTGCAGACCAGAGGTGGCATCATAGTCTGAATGCAAATGGCTGAGACCCAGTGCATGGGCCCTACACGGGAGTGAAACTCAAGGGTCAGTGGTAGGCCAGGCCATTGATAGCCCAGAGCTCTGAACTACTTCTGGGTCTGAACCAAGAGTCACCCAAAATGTGTGTGTTGGGAGCATTCTAGAGACTCATTCATTCTGGCATGATCACATATACATGGATGACAGAGCAAGTGAGACTCCGTCTCTCAAAAAAAAAAAAAAAAAAAAAACAAATAATGAATCTAATAGGATAGAAAAATATTTGCATGCAATGCCGAGGTTTCTTTTCTTTCTTTTTTGTTTTTTTGAGACAGAGTCTCACTCTGTCGCCCAGGCTGGAGTGCAGTGGCGCGATCTCTGCTCATTGCAACCTCCGCCTCCCAGGTTCAAGCGATTCTCCCACCTCAGCCTCCCGAGTAGCTAGGATTACAGATATGCACCACCACACCCAGCTAATTTTTGTATTTTTGGTAGAGACGGGGTTTTGTCATGTTGTCCAGACTGGTCTCAAACTCCTGGACTCAAGAGATCCTCCTACCTCAGCCTCCAAAGTGCTGAGACTACGGGTATGAGCCACCATGCCCAGCCTTGGAGACCATTTCAAAGAGGAGAAATAGGAAAAGGAGCCCCTCTGGAGCCTAGTTCAGGCTCGGGGAACTCCACCCACATGGCACTGCCAGTCCCAGCCCCCAGAGGGGTTTTTAGAAATTTTTGAGGTAGGTGTTTCTGGTGACCTTGACTGAATACCTCATAGGGTACCAGGATGGAATAGCATTGCCCACTCCACCCAGTCCCAGACACCAGAAAGAGACTTCCTTTGAGGAAGGCACTCCAAAGCATGGGGCCCCTGAGGCCTGGGGCAGGGGTCCCCACTTGCCTGGGTCTAAGGACAGTACTGAGCGTGCATGGCATGCCAGATTCACAATTCAGCCTGACATGTTTACTGAGCACCTGCTAAGTGCCAGGTGCTGGGTCGAGACAAATGTGAAATCTGCGAGGCCACAGTACATTGCATATTGAGGTGTGGCCAGGGCAGTTACCCGCTGGTCACATCCCATCATCACTCCACTCCTCCAGTCCTCTCCAACAAATTCAAAATCCATTTTATGAAATGGAGGGCTACTCCGTACATCCAGGGATCTGTTTACAAACCCTGCATCCACTATTTCATTCCATTCCAATAAATATTAAATAACAAGAAACACCGAGGTGTATTCTATGTACTGCAGGCATTTGTTAAGACCTCAGTTTCTGGACAGGGCTAGTAGGTGGAGGCTGGGGAGTGTGGAGAAAGTGAGAAGCCCAAAGAGCTACGTCCTAAGGAGCCCAACCCAGAGCTGGGGTTGTCAGTCCCGGTCAGGTGTGGTGGCTCCTGCCTATAATCCCAGCACTTTGCAAGGCTGAAGCAGGAGGATCACTTGGGCCTAGGAGTTTGAGACCAGCCTGGGCAACACAGCAAGCCCTCATCTCTACAAAAATAAAAAATTAGCTGGTGTGGTGGTGCACAACTGTGGTCCTAGCTACTTAAGGGGCTGAGGAGGAAAATCGCTTGACTGTAGGAATGTGAGGTTGCAGCAAGCTGTGATCATGCCACTGCACTCCAGCCTGGGTGATAGAGACAGACCTTGTCTCAAAAAATTAAAATAAGAAAAAGGAAACAATTCTCATTCTATCTTCCTTCCACTTGGACCCCTTTCACCTCTCATGCCTTAGTAAAGAGTCTGCTGGTTAGAAGAAAAACAAACATTCAAAAAATGAGGGTAGGCCAGGCACGGTGGTTCACTCCTGTAATCCCAGCACTTTGGGAAGCCGAGGCAGGTGAATCACCTGAGGTCAGGAGTTTGAGACCAGCCTGGGCAACATGGTGAAACCCCATCTCTACTAAAAATGCAAAAATTAGCTGGGCATGGTGGCCGGTGTCTGTAATCTCAGCTACTTGGGAGGCTGAAGCAGGAGAATCGCTTGAACCAGGGAGGGAGAGGTTGTAGTGAGCTGAGATCACGCCATTGCACTCCAGCCTGGGCAACAGAGTGAGACTCCATCTCAACAAAAAAAGAAAAAAAGAAAAGAAAAGAAACAGGGTCTCACCATGTTGCCCAGGCTGGTCTAGAACTCCTGGGCTCAAGTTATCCACCTGCCTCAGCTTCCCAAAGTGCTGGGATTACAGCCATGAGCCACCACACCCGGCCTCTTCTGTTGCTTGTAAGGATGCTTGTCATTAGATTTAGGGCTCACCCAGATAATCCAGAATGATCTCATCTCAAGATCCTTAATTAAACCTGTGAAAGCATTTTTTTTGTCCGGAAAAAAGTCATAGTCACAGCTTCCGTGGATTTCGATGTGAACATATCTTTTTGGGGGGCCACAATTCAACCCACTACTAGAGTTTCAACCGATACTGAAGATTTGAGAACAAAGACAAGGAGGTGCCATCACAGAATAAGTAATCTCTTGAACTGAGTGTTAGACATTGCTGTAGCCAATGTCCCCCACCTGGGAATGTCACTCCTTTCACCCTGGCCTGTTGCCAATCTGCCCTCTGCATGCCATTTACAAAAATCAGTTAAAACAAAGTGCTAAATAAAGGTTAACAATAAAAAAAGAGCAAAGATACATGAGGCAAATGCCATAGACAGTACTTAAGTACTTAGGGAGAGCTGAAAATCCCAGTTATTTAATAAAGCGCAGCAACACTGGCCCCCCTAGCAGGTGTCTCACCCGCTCCCCAGGCATTTCTTTGCATAATCAATAGGTCTCTTGAAATATTTTCCCAAACAAAAGAGGAGTTCTTTCTCAAGGAAGAATTCTAATATCTGCCTATAGACAGTATTATGCGCACACTGCTTATAAAATAATATGTTTTGGCCGGGTGCAGTGGCTCATGTCTGTAATCCCAGCACTTCGGGAGGCTGATGTGGGAGGATTGCTTGAACCCAGGAGTTTGAGAACAGCCTGGGCAACACGACAAAACTCCATCTCTGCTAAAAATACAAAACTTAGCCAGGTGTGGTGGCGAGCCTGCTGTTCCAGCGACTCGGGAGGCTGAGGTGGGAGCATCGCTTGAGCACAGGAAGTCGGAGCTGCAGTGAGCTGTGATTGTGCCACTGCACTCCAGCCTGGGTAACAGTGAGAGACCCTGTCTCAAAAAAAAAAAAATTAATAGGCCAGGTGCAGTGGCTTACATCTGTAATCCCAGCACTTTGGGAGGCCGAGGTGGGCGGATCACTTGAGGTGAGGAGTTCAAGACCAGTCTGGCCAACATAGTGAAACCCCGTCTCTACTAAAAATACAAAAATTAGCCGGGCATGGTGGCATGCTCCTGTAATCCCAGCTACTCGGGATCTGAGGCATGAGAATAGCTTAAACCCGGGAGGTGGAGGCTGCAGTGAGCCGAGATTGTGCCTCTGTACTCCAGGCTGGGCAACAGAGCAGAACTCCGTCTCAATAAATAAATAAATAAATAAATGTACAAAATACAAAAATTAGCCAGGCACAGTGGCACACACCTGTAGTCCCAGCTACTCGGGAGGCTGAGGCATGAGAATCGCTTGAATCTGGGAGGCAGAGATCGCAGTGAGCCAAGATCACACCGCTCACTTCAGCCTGGGCAACAGAGCAAGACTCCATCTCAAAAAAAAAATTAATTTAAAAATTAAAATAAAATAAAAAGCTTTCTTCTAGCATCAGTAAACTGATCCCTCTGGTTTCCCATGAATCTAATTCAGTGTAGAGAACTTGGGATTTTCTGTTGTGGAAAGGATTTTGCAGATACTGGGAGAATTCTCAGCCCAGGGAACATTCATTTAGGCTGTGCTCATTCTTGTTTTCTTTTTAGGCCTTCAAGTAAGCCTTTCAAGCAGAAAAAGAAACTCTCGCTTATTTATATCTGTGATTTTTGAGTGTAGAGTTATGTGGGAAAGGGACATCCCCTCTCTGGGCAGTTTTTCTGTCACCAGCATAGGAGCGGGTATGCCCAGGACACCTGCAGAGAGGGCTCAGCTGTTGCTCTCTTTGATCTGTTTCAAAATGGGGCTTCCATGTCAGATTTCATTGGAAATAAACCTAAAGACTGGCAAACTCAATGACTTCCAAAGGCTCCATCCAGTTCCGCCCTTTGTTCAAGCTATTCAGTAAATATTTACCAAGCACCTGCTAGGTGCCACATACTGTTCAAGACACTGGAGACCCATCAGTGAACAAACAGGCCAAAAAAACTCTTCCCCCAATGGGACCACATTCCTTTTAAAGTAAAGTGCACATTCATCAGAAGGTGATGAGTGGTCTGGAGAAGACTCAAGCAGACAAGGCAGCTGCAATGTTTAAAAGGGTGATCATGGGGCCAGGCGCGGTGGCTCACACCTGTAATCCCAGAACTTTGGGAGGCCGAGGTGGGAGGAATGCTTGAGCTCAAGAGTTTGAGATCAGCCTGGGCAACATTGAAAGACCTCCTGTCTACTAAAAATCAAAAATTTAGTTAGGCATGGTGCTGCGTGCCTGTAGTCCCAGCTACTTGAGAGGTTTGAGATGGGAGGATGGTTTGAGATGGAGACTGCACGTGAGCTGTAATTACACCACTGCACTCCAGCCTAGATGATAGAGCAAGACCCCAACTCAAAACAAAAAATTTAATTAAACAAGAAAATGTAAAAATGATCAGGGAAGGGTTCTGTGAGGGCAGCACTTGAGCCCTCATGAGGAAAGTGAGGATCGAGCCAAGAGCCATCTCAGGGAGGAGCTTGGTAGCAAGTACTGCTCATGGGCACTCCCAGTCCTCCGGGCCTCCCCTGGCTCCACAGATTTGGCCACTGGTTCCAGCTTAGTTGCCGCTGCTCTGTGGCCAGCTGTGTGTGGGCTCTCACTGATCTCATGCCTGGGCCGCCTGTCCTTGCCTCCTGCTCCGGAGATTCCCTATTGACACTCAGGTGGGAGATGACCTGGGACCTGCTGGGAGCCCATGCCTGAGCCACTGGGAAAGTGAGGGGGTTAATGCCGGTGTTAGTCCATTTTCACATTGCTATAAAGAACTACCCAAGAATTTCTTCGTAATTTACTAAGAAAAGAGGTTTAATTGACTCACAATTCCACAGGCTTAACAGAAAGCATGACTGTAAGGCCTCAGGAAACTTACAATCATGGCAGAAGGGTGAAGGAGAAGCAAGTACCTTCCTCACATGGTGGCAGGAGACAGACAGTGAAGGGGAAAGCATCACACACTTTTAAACCATCAGAACTCACAGCGTCACACACACTTTTAAACCATCAGATCTCACAATAACTCACTCTCATCATAACCATGATGAGAACAGCAAGGGAGAAATCTGCCCCCACAATCCAATCACCTCCCACCAGGTCCCTCCTCCAATTCAACATGAGGTTTGAGTGGGGACACAAATCCAAACCATATCAATGCCCCACTAGTGAACATTTACCTAGTGGGAGCGGAAGCAGGTGGATGAATTCCTTTCCCTTTTTTCCCTTGGGTGGATTGTTCTGAGCTGGCTTTATTCATGTGCTCTCACAGAAGACATTTCCAGGAGATTGAGCAATCAGTCATGCTCTATGCCAAGTGGTGACCTGGTTGGTTGTGCACCCTTGTATTGGCTCTTCCTCCTTCCTTGGGATTACACCCTGAGTAAACACAGACGTAATAAACATAAGCTGGCCCGGCGCAGTGGTTCATGCCTGTAATCCCAGCACTTCAGGAGGCCGAGGCAGGTGGATCACTTGAGGTCAGGAGTTCAAGACCAGCCTGGCCAATATGGTGAAACCCCAGCTCTACTAAAAATACAAAAATTAGCTGGGCATGGTGGCACACACCTGTAATCCCAGCTACTCAGGAGGCTGAGGTGGGAGAATCGCTTGAACCCGGGAGGCAGAGGTTGCAGTGAGCCAAGATCACGCCACTGCACTCCAGCCTGGGCAACACCGTGAGACTCCATCTCAAAAAAAAGAAAAAACAAAAAACAAACTATGAGCTTTCTTCTGGCTCTGCTTTCTGGGGAACCCAGGCTCTGGCAAGTGTTCTAGGCAGGGAAACAGGAAGTGCAAAAGCCCTGAGGTAGGAGCAAGATTGGTGTGGCAGAGGAATAGCAAGGAAGCCTGGTGGCTGAGGCAGTGGGAGAAGGACTGTGGTAGGTGAGGAGACCACTAAGGTGCCTCTGAAACTTTAATGTGCATTATGAATCACCTGGGGATCTTGTTAAAATGCAGGCTCTGATTCAGGTCTGGGGTGGGATCTGAGATTCTGCTTTTTTTTCTTTTTTTTTAATTTTAGAGATAGATCTCACTCTGTCATCCAGGCTGGGGTGCAGTGGTGCAGTCATAGCTCACTGCAGCCTTGAACTCCTGGCGATCCTCCTGCCTTAGCCTCCCAAGTAGCTGGGACTACAGGTGCATGCCACCATGCCTGGATACTGCATTCCTAACCAGTTCTCAGATGATATTGATACTGCTGGCCGATGGACCTCACTTTGCGTAGAAAAGGTGTCAGCTATAGTAGGTTCTATATCTTTTACCCTGAATGAGATGAGAGCAAACGGAGGGTTTGGATGGATAAATGACATCATCTGATGTAAATTTTTAAAGAATACCAGGCCCAATGTGGTGGCACACGCCTGTAATCCCAGCACTTTGGGAGGCCGAGGTGGGTGGATCACCTGAGGTCAGGAGTTCAAGGCCAGCCTGACTAACATGGTGAAACCCCCATCTCTACTAAACACAAAAAATTAGCTAGGCGTGGTGGCACATGCCTGTAATCCCAATGACTTGGGAGGCTGAGGCAGGAGAATTGCTTGAACCCAGGAGGTGGGGAGGTTGCAGTGAGCCAAGATTGCACCATTGCACTCCAGCCTGGGCAACAAGAACAAAACTCCATCTCAAAAAAAAAAAAAAAAAAAAAAGATACCACTGTCTGCTGGGAGGAAAATAGGTGGGGAATGGGGGTGATGAGCTTAGAAACAGGAAGGTCAGTTAGGAGGATCTGGCAATAATCCATGTGAGAAATGCCCTAGGAGTCATTAAGATTTTATCTAAAAGTTTCAGTCTTTTCAATTTAGTATTTATAACTATTTCCCAAAATACAGGACACACATCACTGGTGGTATATGAGCTCCTAAATTTTAGGTAGGACACAAAGTAACCATGTTTTATTTTTATGGTTATGTGTTTATTACAAGTATTTTTGCTTTTCATTTTTAGTGATGATACACAGTTATCTTTTAAAATAAAAGTTTTTAAGTTTATGAACTATGTATTGATTTAAAGTGAAATGTTAAGTAAATTAACAGTGGTGATACAAACATGGCAAATGTGAAGCTGTCTCCCAAATGCCTGAGGTCTAGGAAACGCTGACTTTAAAATAAATAAAATTAGGCTGGGCATGGTAGCTCACGCCTGTAATCCCAGAAGTTTGGGAGGCTGAGGCAAGCAGATCACTTGAGGTCAGGAGTTCAAGACCAGCCTGGCCAACATGGTGAAACCCCGTCTCTACTAAAATACGAAAATTAGCCAGGCATGGTGGTGTGCACCTGTAATCCCAGCTACTTGGGAAGCTGAGTCAGGAGAATTGATTGAACCTGGGAGGCGGGGTTTGCAGTGAGCCGAGTTCTACAGCGGGGGTTGCAGTGTGCCACTGCACTCCAGCCTGGGCAACAGAGCAAGACTATGTCTCAAATAAATAAATAAAGTAAAATAAAATACATAAAATTATTACTGGTTATTTTTTTAATTTCTTTTTTTTTATTCATGATCCTGCTCGTTCTATAAGGTGGTTATTTCTTAGGGTAATTTTTTTTCTTGAAGAACCCGTCTCGAATTCTCTAATAAAAAAACAGTGAGAAAATGGGAACTCAAATCTGAGACAGGGTTTGTGAGCCACCTTTTTAAAATGCACCCAAGTGTAATAAACACTTCTCACAAAGTCATTGTCCAAAAGGACAGCCCTTGAGTAATGGGAGGCACGGTTGAAAGAGTCACCCCGTGGTGGCTGATCTGAGAGGAATGAGCTGGACTCCAGTTAAGGCAGTTGTCCTCAAGCCTGGCAGGGCATAGTCACAGCTTTAAAAAAAGAAAAAAAAAAGCCCAGGCCCCACCCCAGGTCAATCACATCGGCATCTCTGAGGGCAGGATCTGGCACCTGTGTGCTTTGAAAGCTCCCAGGTGATTCCATGCCTGTCTGTCCTCTTGTTCCTCCTTGGTACAGAGGAGAGGGTATGGCTTTTGGGACAATACAGACCTGGGTTCAAATCTTTCCACTTGCATGCTGTGTGATCTTGAACTATTTATTTGACTGAATTTCCCAAATGCACGCAGCTCATCTGTACAATAAGAATCGTCATACCCGCGCCCCCCCCACCCCCACGGCTTAGGGTAGCTGTGACAATTCAATGACACAAGATTTGTCATGTGCCAACAAACAACATGCCAAACAACAGGGGTTCGGTACACTCTCATCCCCTCCTTTCCTCAGTGACACTCCCGCCACCCAGACGCTGGCACAGAATGAGTGTCTGGTAGTAGGACTTCAGCTCCCTTGAGGGATCAGAGGGTGAAGGTCTGAGCTGATTATTTTGGGGGATTAACAATACCTATGAATCAAATCCTTAATTCATTGTTTTCTATTTTTAATTAATATTTAATTATGTCAGTAAAATGGAACCATTCTTTAAAAAAAAATTATGAACGGAGCACAAGTTTTCTTTGCCCACCTTCTGCAATCCTGGTCCATGGCCCCTTTCCAAATATTGAACTTGGCAAGTGCCTTCCAGATCTTTCAAAAATATATTCACGCATTTTATAGGAACCCATAGAAAATATATAATATTATTTTGTATATTTTAGTAAATAAGTGGATTTTTTACCATATATATCATTATGCAGCTTTTCTTTATGCAACAGTGTATTTGCAAGACTTACTCATGTTGTTACATATGCCTGAGTTCATTCCTTTTAGCTCCTTGATAATGTTCTATCGTAAGAATTACCATAATTTATGTAATTATTTTCCTCTTGATAGACAGATTCTTTCCAACTTCTTACCATCACAATCACAGCTCCCGAGGACATCCTTGTATTTACCTCCACGTACTCATCTGTATTTTTAACCTTTAAAATTACTTTTTATTCGCTCTACAGTGGAATCAGCACTGGATTGGGGGTCCATGCACTTTGACCTGGTTGCCTGGCTCCTCTGAATCCTAGGCTCTCCCCTTGGCACAGATCTTTGCTCCTTTTCCACCACGATTCTCTTACCTTAACCACTGCAACTGCCTTGTCACTGAGCTCCCCATCTCTGGCCAGGTCTCTGGTTCCTCCCAATCCTCACCTAACATCAACCACCATGTCATTCTGCTTAAAATCCTCCATTGGCTGTAGAGCCTGGCTCCAGTGAGGGCAAAACCTGCCTGGGTGAAGCACAGAGGCCCAGGGCTGGGGAGCAGGGGGTCAGAGGGCAGGCAACGGCATTGAGAAGGGCCACAGGGGACAGCACAAAATCAACCTGCCTGGAGAACTCCCTGCTGACCACTCAAATACCCAACCCCATGAAGCCTACTGGGGCATAGCTGCCACTCCCACCTCCTGAACTTGCCTGGGACTGTGTCCTGCTACTATTTCACACTCTGCACCCTGACTTTTAGCATGTTATCTTCCTGCCGGACTCCCCTTGGGCCTGTGAACTCCTCAGAGGCCAGGAGTGTGTCTCTGAATCCTCAGCGGCCAATACAGGGATTGGCTTAAATAGCAGGTGCGACTCCATGTTTGTTGAACAATGGCATGAGCTTCCGCTTGAAGCTTGGTGGGCAGAGCAGCCCTGACAGGTGGTCAGCAGCAGGAGACCCCATGTAGGTGTCAACTGGGGATCCTGAAGTTGGCCAAGTATAGTTTGCAGCATCCAAAATGGCAGGGGGGTGCCAGACTGGTCCTAGCTGGGCTGGAGTCTCAGTTACCTATTGCTATTTAATACGCTACTCCACTCCAAATCTCAGTGGCTTAAAATGATGATGTTTATTGTATTAGTCACGGTTCTCTAGAGGGTCAGAACAAATAGGATATATATATGTATATATATATATATATAAAGGAGAGTTTATTAAGTATTAACTCACATAATCACAAGGTCCCACGATAGGCCGTCTGTAAGCTGAGGAGCAGAGAGCCAGTCTGAGTCCCAAAACTGAAGAACTTGGATGCTCAAGGGCAGGAAGCATCCAGCAGAGGAGAAAGATGTAGGCTGGGACGCTAGGCCCATCTCACCTTTTCACTTTTTTCTGCCTGCTTTATATTCTAGCCATGCTGGCAGCTGATTAGATGCTATCCACCCAGATTGAGGGTGGGTCTGCCTTTTCCAGCCCACTGACTCAAATGTTAATCTCCTTTGGTAACACCCTCACAGGCACACCCAGGATCAATACTTTGTATCCTTCAATCCAATCAAGTTGACACTCAGTATTAACCATTACAGTCCACCCTCCCTCCCTCCCTTCCTTCCTTCCTTCCTTTCTTTTTGGGACAGAGTTTCACTCTTGTTGCCCAGGCTGGAGGGCAATGGCTCAATCTCAGCTCACCGCAACCTCCGCCTCCCAGGTTCAAGCAATTCTCCTGCTTCAGGCTCCCAAGTAGCTGGGAGGCATGCGCCACCACACCTGGCTAATTTTGTATTTTTAGTAGAGACTGGGTTTCTCGGTGTTGGTCTGGCTGGTCTCAACCTCTCGACCTCAGGTTATCCACCTGAGCCTCCCAAAGTGCTGGGATTACAGGTGTGAGCCACCGGGCCTGGCCTTCATTACAGTTATTTCTTATGGTTCTAAGGGATGTCCAGACGCAGACGGGAAGTTCTGCTCCACAAGGTATTTTTGGGGATCACTCCCACATTCAGCTGGAGCTGGAACATTCAAGACACACATAGAAAGGTTCTGGCCCCTTCCCTATCCAGGGGCTCATCCCTGAACCTCAGCCTTAAATGGCTCCTCCCATTGCCCTGCCTCTGTGTTCCTTCCTCTATCCTGTCTTTGTGGCAGCCTTGGTTGTCAAGGAGTAGTTGGACCGGCTGGGCCCTGGCTGGGCCTGTCTCCAGAAGGTTAGTTGGATTTCTTTCTCAGTGGCTCAGGGCTCCAAGAGAACAGAAGCTGCTAGGCCTCTTACAAGCCAGGCATGGAACCGGCACAAGTGAAAGCAGGTCACAAGGCCAGCCCAAATTCTAGGGAGGAGAAATAGTGCCACCTCTTGACAGGAGCCTGCGTGTCCAGGGACAGGAGGCGTTGTTGGCGGCCATCTTTGGAGGCATCTCCCTCAGCTGGGAAAGGAAGCCTGAACCCTTGTTTTCCAGGTGCCAGCCTTTATCATCACCTTTATCTAGGTCTTAGGTGGGGTATTGGTAGGAGGAGGACAGGTGGTTGGTAATCCTGTGGGAGTGGCTCAGCATTTGTAGGGAAAAATCCAGAGTTGTTAAGAATTGCCTAGGCCAATTGCAGTGGCTAACAACTGTAATCCTAGCACTTTGGGAGGCCGAGGTGGGCGGATCACTTGAAGTCAGGAGTTTGAGACAAGCCTGGCCAACACGGTGAAACCCCATCTCTACTATAAATACAAAAAAAAAAAAAAAAAAAAAATTAGCTGGGCGTGGTGGTGGGTGCCTGTAATCCCAGCTACTCGATTCTCTAGCTGATGCAGGAGAATCACTTGAACCCGGGAGGTGGAGGTTGCAGTGAGCCGAGGTTGCAGTGAGCCAAGGTTGCACCACTGCACTCCAGCCTGGGCTACAGAATGAGACTCCAATCTCAAAAAAAAACAAAAAAGAATTGCCAAGGCCATCAAAAAGAGGAGGTAGATGAAGGGAACATAGAGGCAGGACAACGGTAGGAGGGGTCAAGGCTGGGGTTCAGGGCTAAACCTCTGGCTGGAGCAGGGGCCAGAATCCTCCTGCCTGTGTCGAAGATGGCCATCATGTCAGGCTGAACAACCATAACCTGATTTCAGCAAGAAGAGGTGAGAAGAAGCATCCAGAAGTTGCCCACCACTCTAATATGTCAAAGAGACCACAGGTCTCACCCCTCCCCACCCACCTGGGCTGGCACTGAACCCCTCACCTACTGGAATCATTTCTAAGCCCACCCCATCCCCATGCCCAGTTACGGACCAGACAGTTTCCTTGGTTTTTTTTTTTTTTTTTGAGACAGAGTTTTGCTCTTGTTGTCCAGGCTTGGGTGCAATGGCAGGATCTCGGCTCACCATAACCTCTGCCTCCCGAGTTCAAGCGATTCTCCTGCCTCAGCCTCCCAAAGTAGCTGGGATTATAGGCATGCACCACCACACCCAGCTGATTTTGAATTTTTAGTAGAGATGGGGTTTCTCCATGTTGGTCAGGCTGGTGTTAAACTCCCAACCTCAGGTAATCCACCCGCCTCGGCCTCCCAAAGTGCTAGGACTATAGGCGTGAGCCACCGCGCCCAGCCCAGTTTCCTTGTATTTCAATTGCCCCCAGTAATAGACTAAGAATATCTGTCCAGTCTCTCCTCCTAATAAATATTTGAACAGCGGTTTGTTAATTTTTCTTACCCTTCATGATGGAGATTAATTGCTATTTTACATTACATGCAACTTCTATTAGTTTGGGATTTGCTTCCTCAGTGATACCACAAACATTGGGCTTGAATAACACATTTTAACCTAGACAAGCTCATTAAATTCTTGAAGGTGCGTGGACAGAAAGGGGGGAGAACTGGCCCTAGTTTTGCAGTTTTGAGGGCATCAATTTAAATCCATCAGGCAAGTGCCAAACAGGTTTGGGGTTGGGACATGCTCGATGAGGAAGGATGGAGGTTACTGGAAGGACAGTCCTGTTCAGTCCTGCTGCATCTCAGGCCACCAGAACCAGCCCTTCCCCAGAACCAGCCCTTCCCCAGAACCAGCCCTTCCCCAGAACCAGCCCTTCCCCAGAACCAGCCCCACCCCACCTGGCTTCACCCTCAAAGTGTCCAGAGCCTTGGTGCCAAAGAGTTCACCCTGACCCAAATAGGACTGTTGAATCCTATTTTTTAGGGTCCAATTTTACTCCTTGGACCTGACAGTCCTGCTGAGAGGGGTAAAGTTTTCTCACCTGTAAACAGGAGTGGTCATGCCCATTATCATGTTCACCATCATTATTGTCATAAATATCATGCTACCCCTAGACCCAAGGGTTGGACCCTGCTAACACCTGGGATGCACCCCCACTTGTGACTATAGCACCCTATATTATTAAGAACCCCTCTAGTCTTGAAGCCAGCCAACCCAACCACTCCCACTCCTCTCTGACTCGAGACCCTGCTGGCTCCATTGCTTCCTCTCTCCTGCCTACACAGATTATGATCGTACTCCACTTTTTTTTTTTTTTTTTTTTTTTTTTTTTTGAGGCAGTCTTGCTCTGTCACCCAGGCTGGAGTGCAGTGGCACGATCTCAGCTCATTGTAACCTCTGCCTCCCGGGTTCAAGTGATTCTCGTGCCTCAGCCTCCCGAGTAACTGGGATTACAGGCACCTGCCCCCAAGCCTGGCTAGTTTTTGTATTTTTACTAGAGACGGGGTTTCGCCATGTTGGTCAGGCTGCTCTCAAACTCCTCACCTCAGGTGATCTACCTGCCTCACCCTCCCAAAGTGCTGGGATTACAGGCATGAGCCACCGCGCCTGGGCCAATACTATTTTAAGACCAAAGAATCTAAGACGTTTCATAGAGTTATAGAATCAGGTGTCTGTAAGTTATTCTTAGCTTCCTGAAAGACTCCTAACTTCTAGATCAGGGGTGCCCAATCTTTTGGCTTCCCTGGGCCACATTGGAAGAAGAATAGTCTTGGGCCACATGTAAAATACACTAACGGTAGCTGAAGAGCTTATATAATTTATACATCACAAAAAAAGTCTCATAACATCTTAAGAAAGTTGGGCCACATTCAAAGCTGCCCTGGGGTGCTTGCAGCCCACAGGTTGGACAAAATTGTTCTAGATCTTAACCTCTGGTGTTAATCATTTGACGCCTTTCAATTATGCTGAGAATGAGAAAACATACTTGAAGTCATAACCAGAAGCAGCTACGGAAGAAGTTGGTATTTAACACTAGTCATTAGTGCAGACTCCCACAGGTACGGTTCTTTTCCCTGTGGGTCTTTACATCTTTTTTTCCTCCAGGGGCCTCAGTCAGGCTCATCACAATTAACCAGAAAGGTTGTGATCATGTTTTACCTCAAAAGAAAAGGGCATGTGGCCTCGATTCCTGACCTTCTGGGTAGCTCCTGGCCTGTATGCAGATTTGCTCAACTTTCACTCTACAAACCATGGATTTATTTTGGGGGGCATATTTACATAGCCACAGAATGTCTTGGGGCTACCTTTCCCCCAGAGCAAGAGGCATCAACTTGCCTGATAATTCCATATTTGAGGGAAGAATCTGGAAGAGTCCAAGAGAATTTGCTGCATCTAGATAGGGAAGAGGCTAAACTAGCTTAGGTTCCAGAACACCTAACACCCCACTTATGTAACTACTTGGAGAGCCACGGGGGAGAGGCACAGGGCAGTGCTCATAGGTACCAGAACTAGAGACTCAGGAACCCAGAAACCCTTTCCCTCTCTTGGAATCCACGTTTCCCTCTCTCCCCTCCCACGCCAGCTTCCTCTGCCCGTATCTCCACATCATGTCCACATGCCACCTAACTGTTTGGGTTCCCCCAGAAGCTGACCTTGAGACAGAGGTTCAAGGGCAAGTCATTTACTTGGGAGGTGATCCCAGGAAGTACCAGTAGGGGAGTGGCAAAGTGAGACAGAGAAAAGAAAGGCACATGATCAAGCCAGTTACCCCGTGGGCAATGGGAGCCCATTCCTGCCCGGGGATGCTGGAGACAGTGTAGATCATGGAAGCAGAGTTGCCCCACCCCAGGCAAGGGAGCTGGGTCTGTATCCCATCAGTCATTGGTGGAGGGCTGCTTCTGGCCATTAACCCTCTAGTAGGCTTTCCCTGCATGCAGGTGGACGTGCCCTCAGCAGAAAGCAGCCAGATAAAAGCCCTCAGGTGGGAGGTGGCAGGTGTTTGCGATTATACCTTCAGGGGGTAGAGCTGAGGGTCTTGCAGACATAGGCAGGGCACCAGCCATGGTGGCTCCCTTGCCCCAGCCCAGATGCTGTGTGAATTTTCATCTCAAGCCCTTTGTTATGGGCTGAATTGTGTCCCCTAAAATTCATATATTGAAGCCTTAATCCCCAGTACCTCCGTATCTGAAGACAATATTTTAAATATTGTCTTCTATCTAAAGATAGAACCTTTAAAGAGGGGATTGTATTAGCCAGGCATGGTGGCGTGCACCTGTAATCCCAGCCACTCAGGAAGCAGAGGCAGGAGAATCGCTTGAACCTGGGAGGCGGAGGTTGCAGTCAGTGAGCTGAGATCGCACCACTGCACTCCAGCCTGGGCAACGAGAGTGAAACTCCGTCTCAAATTTAAAAAAAAATTTTTTTAAAAAGAGGGGATTGAGTAAAATGAGGCCATTAGGGTCAGCCATAATCAGAGCTTACTCTCCTTGGGAGAAGAGAAAATTTGGACACACAAGAGAGACACCAGGGATGTGCACCCAGAGGAAAGACCCCATGAGGACGCAGTGAGAACGTGGCCATTTGCAAGCCAAGGAGGGAGGCCCCAAGAGAGGCCAGCCCTGGGCACAGTGGCTCACGCCTGTTATCCCAGCATTTTGGGAGGCCGAGGCGAGAGGATCACTTGAGCCCAGCAGTTTGAGACCAGCCCGGGCAAAACAGGGAGACCTCTGTCTCTACAAAAATAAAAAAATTAGCTGGCGCTGGGCGCAGTGGCTCATGCCTGTAATTCCAGCATTTTGGGAGGCCAAGGCGGGCGGATCACTTGAGGTCAGGAGTTCCAGACCAGCCTGGTGAATATGGTGAAACCCCCGTCTCTACTAAAAATACAAAAAAAAAAAAAAAAAAAAAAACTAGCCGGGCATGGTGGTGGGTGCTTGTAATCCCAGCTACTCAGGAGGCTGAAGAAGGAGAATCGCTTGAACCCAGGAGGTGGAGGTTGTACTGAGCCGAGATAGTTCTACTGCACTCTAGCCTGGACGACAGAGCGAGACTCAGTCTCAAAAAAAGAAAAATAAAAAAAAGAAAAACATTAGCTGGGCATGGTGGCAATGCCTGCAGCCCCAGCTACTTAGGAAGCTGAAGTGGGAGGATCGCTTGAGCCCGACAAGGTTGAGGGGTGACAGAGCAAGACCCTACCTAAAAAAAAAAAAAAGAGAGAGAGAGAGAAAGGGAGAGAGAAGCCAACCTTGCTGGCACTGTGATCTCACACTTCTAGTGTCCAGAACCGTGAGAAATCCATTTCTATTGTTTAAGCCACCCAGTCTGTGGTATGTTGTGACGGCGGCCCTCATAAATGAAGACACTCTTTCCCAGTTCTAGTTCTCTATCTCCAGACCTGCCTCTGGTTGGCCCAGCCCCTCTTTCAAGCCAGGCTACAGGTCAGAGGTGACTGAGCCTTCTTTGGGTCAGGTGTCCATCTCAGTCCAAACAGCTGCTGTGGGAGAGCAGGGTGCCAGGGTCAGGGTTATAAATGAGGACAGAGCTCTGGAAAGGGAGCCTCACTGGGGAAGGTCACCCAAAAGTGTCTACACCATGGCCTGGGAGGGTCCTGAGCTGAGGCATCCATGTACTTGCTGTAATCTGGGCTATTTCCAAGCCATCATGTCTTTGTTCTAGAGATGGATCATCCTGAGATATAAATCTGCACGATGCTGAGCATCTAGACACTGCTTCAGCAACCCACACCTTGGGCCTGTGTGAGCTGCTTTCCTGGCTCAGAGATTGTGGCGATGACATCCCCAAGCCTTGTCCACTGGGGCTGAATCGGAAGCTGAAAGGCACAGCTCGCTTCATCTGGAAACCAGCAGGATGTGAGGCTGACAGTTAATTAGATTAATAAGGAAACCATGCCTTAAAATGTAATGCTGTTTTCATGAGCCTTTAAAGCCTATCAGAATGTTTGCCGAGCTTTATGGCTGGTAATTAACAACCTTGTAAAAATATACAAGGAAACAAGGAGATATCAGGGAGCTAATAAATGTGGCAGCTGCCAGACCCACAGACAGAGCCTGGCTCTGGCTTTCACATCACTGGGGTTTGGGTCCCCGCTCTGCCTCAACTTGCTCAGACAAGTCCCTCACCCTCTATGATCTGTTTCCTCATCTGTCCAGTGGAAAGGCTGGATGACTGCTAAGCCCTGGACCAGCCGCATTTCCCAGCCTTCCACTTTGTTGTGCTTCAGAGCTCAATTCACCTGCAGGTTCCTCTGCTCTGAGGGCCATTCAGTCTTTAAGACTGAAGTTTCCCCACAATAGGTAGGAATCCAGTATCTCAGTGAGATCCTCAGCATCCCACTCCATGGAAGATGGAAACGGCTTTTGTGGCCAAAGGGCCATTCACCTTTCTTCTTTTTACTTTTTTTTTTTTTTTTTTTTGAGACGAAGTCTTGCTCTGTCGCCCAGGCTGGAGTGCAGTGGCACGATCTCAGCTTACTGCAACCTCCGCGTCCCAGGTTCAAGTGATTCTTCTGCCTCAGCCTCCCGAGTAACTGGGATTACAGGCGCCTGCCACCATGCCCAGCTAATTTTTGTATTTTTAGTAGAGATGGGGTTTCACCATGTTGGTCAGGCAGGTCTTGAACTCCTGACCTCAGGTGATCCACCCGCCTCGGCCTCTCAAAGTGCTGGGATTACAGGTGTGAGCCACCGTGCCCGGCCTTTTTTTTTTACTTTTTTTGAGATAGGATCTTGCTCTGTTGCCAGGCTGGAGTGTAGTGGCACAATCAGCTCACTGCAGCCTCAACCTCCTGGGCTCAAGCAATCCTCCCACCTCAGCCTCCCTAGTAGCTGGGACTACAGGCACACACCACTATGCCCAGCTAATTTTTAATTTTTTTGTAGAGACAGGGTCTCCCTTTGTTGCCCAGCCTGGTCTTGAATTCCTGGCCTCAAGTGATCCTTCTGCTCAGCCTCCCAAAGTACTGAGATTACAGGCATGAGCCATGCACTTGGCCTCACCCTTCTTCAGTAACAAATTCTTCCTTCAGCAGATCACTCTCTCCCAGTTCTCAATCCCTAGCTTTAGACAGAGTTGACTCTACCCCTGCTGGTAGGGGTTGGCACGTGTCTCAGTTGTGGCACGTGTCTCAGTTGTAGCCCGTGAGAGCATCGCAAGGATGAT
This sequence comes from Homo sapiens, assembly GCF_000001405.40. Classification (NCBI taxonomy): domain Eukaryota; kingdom Metazoa; phylum Chordata; class Mammalia; order Primates; family Hominidae; genus Homo; species Homo sapiens. The sequence continues at coordinate 33,926,603 of NC_000020.11, read as the reverse complement.
CACCTGACCTAATCAGAGCCAATGGGGCACAATGGAGAGAGAGGCTCTCCATTCATTTCCATTGAGATGAAGACGACTTAGACCCCACGTAGCTGGCAGCCATCCTGGCACCATGTGGGTGTGAATGCTCATCTGGCATGCAGCAAGGCCGAGCCAGATGGTGGAGAAAGACCAGGTCATGGTACTATTGTCTGGGCCTCTGAGTTTAGCCACATCTTAAATTTACCCTTGAACTTTGCAATTGCATGAGCCAATAAATTCCCTTTGTTGATTTAAGATATTTTTGAGGTGAGTTTTCTGTCACTTGCAAACAAGAAATCTAACAGTTACATGGTGTGTCCATTAATGGGTGTAAGAGAGAGAGAGAGAGGAAGAGAAACAAAGTCATAAAAACAGAAAAAAAGAAAAATTTTGTTTTACTGAAAGTACATGCTAGAGTTCATACATGCTATTAACATTTCTCATTCGTAAAATTCCATTTGCTCTCTTTTTTCTCTCTGGGGATTCCTAGTCATCCTCTCAAAGCCCATCTCAGTGGCTCCTCTTTCCCAGCTCTCCAGGCAAAGTGAGTCACTTCTTCTCCCTAGAAAGTCAGTCCTTCAAGACTTTTGACTTATGGAAAAGTCATGTACATATTACTAAAAATAAATTACAGAGCATTATAAGTGATACATCTATGTGTAAACTAAACATGTTAATAATTATAATTGTTGTTATTCATTGTTACGGTCATTATTGTGGGTTGACATGCGAGCTTGACTGATAAGACTCTTTTTCATATACCTTTTAACCCCAGGACCCTCCACATTATGACTGGAATGGATACACAGGGCTGGCACATGTACCTAGGTCAAATGGTCAGAAAGGGACCCACGGAAAGAATCTTCAAATTTTCAGTATCTTTCTTTCCTTTTTCCTTTCCTTTCCCTTTCCCTTTCCCTCCCTCCCTCCCTTCCTTCCTTCCTTCCTTGCTTTCTCGCTGTCTCTTTCTTTCCTTTCTTTTCTTCTTAGAGACAGGTTCCCACTCTGTCATCCAGGCTGGAGTACAGTGGTGCAATGATAGCTCACTACGACCTCAAACTCCTGTGCTCAAGTGATTCTCTCGCCTCAGCCTTCTGAATAGTTGGGACCACAGGTATGTGCCACCAAGCCTGGCTAATTTTTTAAGGTTATTTTGGAGAGATGGGGTCTCACTTTGTTGCCCAGGCTGGTCTCAAACTCCTGGCCTCAAGCAATCCTCCTGCCTCGGCCTTCCAAAGTGCTAGGATTACAGGCGTGAATCACTGCACCTGGCCCAAATTTTCCATTTCTAAATTTGAGAGATAAAAATGCTTAGAAAAGAGATGAGAGCAAAAAGAACCAGTTTTTGCCAGTTACTTACTTTAACCCATTCTAAGTTTTTTCCACAGTAATAGAGCTTAAACTGAACAAATGCTGATTCCCCAGCTAGCAACAACACATCCCAGGCTTCTTTGTGGCCAGTGTGGCCACATGGTTAAGTTGTCACCAATGGCATATGAACAGAAGGGATGGGGCACCTTTTTCCTAACATTCTTTCTCCTTCCCTGAACATAGATGTGCGGTGACCAAGTTCTGACAATGGGGATGAAGATAACACCATGAAGGATACAGAGAAACAAGATGAAAGGATCTTTGATACCTGAGTGATCATGTGGAACAGAGCCATCTCCCCACCCTGCACTACTTAACCTTGAGGCTGTTACATGAGAGGGATAAACTTCTCTTTTCTTCAAGCCACTGTATTTTGTGACCTCTTTATTACAGCGGCTTAGGCTTGCTCTAATTAATATATTCCCAAACACCTTTCCTCCAATGACTAGAAAAATCCTCCCAGTTAGGAATTTTGGAGAGAAAGGAGAGAAGGGTAGAGGCTATATAACCCCGCACCCCATCACACATGCACGCGCACACACACACGTACCTTGTCCTTCCCCTAAAACAAGTCACAGATTTGATGGCAGGAAGAAAACAATAAAATTCCTTTTGAAGTTTGGGGGATTAAAGAATAAAGAGAGCATGTGCCTTATTTCCATCTGGAATTTGTCCTTCGTGTTAGGATGTGAGCATCTTTTGTTTTGCCTTCCATCACTTACTTTCCCTTCTTCAGACAACAGTGTCCCAGTATCCCTCTGGGAGTTCTGGGGATACCCTTAGCTGCCTCTTGTCACATCAGGCCTGTTTCGTACAGCAGCGCAGTTTGTGCACTGCACAACACCAGGAAGCTCATTTCACATAGACCATGATGTAGATGTGTTGCCTGGAGTTGTGTAACAGGGCGGCCTTGTGGCCCTCCACATAGGCCACTAACTCTTGGTCTCCATGAGAGTGGCACCTGGCTGCTGTCGCTTCTCCAGGAGGCAGAGCCCAGTCTCAAACTGGATGGAACACTCCATGCATCAGTGGAGTGATAAATACTCAACATGACAATCTCTCCCACTCCATGCTTCCCACAGCACCGCTTATATCCTGGGAGTAAAACGTTGACCTATGGCTCTGCTATAAAACTCTTGCTGACAATATTCATTATGCAGTCATCCCTCAGTAGATGTGGGAAATTGGTTCCAGGATACTTTCCCTCCCTTGCGCACACCAAAATCCACACAAACTCATGTCCTGAAGTCAACCCTGAGGAACCCGCATAGGAAAAGTCAGCCCTGCATATATGCATACTTGGCATCCTGTGAATATTGTATTTTCAATCTGCATTTGGTAGAAAAAAAATCCACATATAAGAGGGCCCATGCAGTTCAAACCTGTGTTGTGCAAGAGTCAGCTGTATTATTCAATGCCTCCTTTGAAGAACTCAAATGACAAGCTCCCAGGACAAGTTGGGGTGTCTTGAACAACTGGTAGATTTCCTTCTGGACAATAATGAGAGTTATGGAATCTACTGGCTTTCCTTTTTACCTTCACCATCAAGTGGCCCAAAGTGAGGTTAAATGCCCTCATCAAGATCACCAATGACCTCCATGTTGCTAGATCCAATGGTCAGTCCTCAGTCCTTACCTTATTTAACCCATTTTCCGTACTTGACATACATAATGACATTCCCCCTCTTGAAACTCTTTCTTCGTTTGACTTCTAGGATCCTTTACTTTCTTAGTTTTACTCCTAGCTCACTGGCCTCTTCACATTCTTCTTTGTTGATTCTTCCTCATCTCTCCAACCTTAAAACATAGGAAAGTCATGAGTCCAGTCCTTTTTCACACTCTGCCATACACCTCCACTGGCAATCTCATCTAGCTTCATGACTTTAAATACCACATCTATGATCATGATGCCTAAATTTATACCTCTAACCTGGACCTTTCTCCTGAACTCTAGACCCATATGTCCAATTGTCAATCTGATGTCTCTTCTTAGATATCCAACAGGTATCTCAGACAACACACATCCAAGACTCAACTCCTTATCATCAAAGCTTCTCTACCCACAGGCCTCCTCATCTCAGAAAATGAAAACACTCATCTTTTAGTTGCTCAGACCAAAAACCCTGGAGACAACCCTCTCCCTTTTTTTTTTCACACCCCACTCCAATCCCTCAGCAAATCCTATCACCTCTACCTTTAAAATATATCCTGGAGCTGGGGACGGTGGCACATACTTGTAGTCCCAACTACTGGGGAGGCTGAGGTGGGAGGATCACTTGAGCCCAGGAGTTCAAGGCTGCAGTGAGCCAGGATCGTGCCACTGCACTCCAGCCTGAGTGACAGAGTGAGATTCTGTCTCTATTAAAATTTAAAAAAATAAAATATATCCTGTATCCAACCTCAGCTCCTCACTGCTTCCACTCTATTCCAAACTACCATCACCTCTTGCCTGGATTACGGCAATATTCTCCTAACTGGTTTTCCTAATTCTGCCCTTGTCACCCTTTAGTCTATTTTAATGACAGCCTCCAAAGAGATTTGTTTCATGCCATCCTCTGTGCCTCCAGTGGCACCAGGATTCTTGGAGTTAAAGCCAAAGTTCACCCTGGCCTATAAGGCCCCAAATGGTCTGACCCCCTGTTTACCGCTCTGATCATCTCTCCTACTGAGTGACTTCCTTCGTGCAAAAGATGATGACTGGTGGTCACAGAAGTGGATGAGGTCACTCAGGGTAAGGGAGTTAAGTGGAAAGGGAAGGGGAGGGGAAGGGAGAGAAAGGGAGGGAAGGGGAGGGAACCCAGGATAGAGTTTGACCAAAAAATGAGGAGCCTGAGAAAGACAACCAGAGGTCAAGGAGAAGGACCAGCAGAAGGTGGGCCCACCAAAACCAGAGAGAGAATGTCTCAAGAAGAAACAATCTCTCCTCACTGAGGGCCCACAAGGCTGAACAACCCATCTTCAATTTCCCTTTCGTGCAGTTAAACTTTTTAAACCTTTTTAAATGATGAGCCATTTGTCAGGGATGCAGCATCTTGGCAGCCAAAACAAGTAAGGAGAAAAAATATTAGCATCTTTTCACTGGTCATTTTTTCTCCCTTTCAGCCTAAGCAGGCCAGAACCAGTATTCATTATTAATAGACGCATGTTTTATTAAAGGTATAAAGACCAAAGATTTGTAACTTTAATAATCCAGATTCTTATTTTAAATTCTCCAACATTATTATTTATTGATCGGCTGGGGAATGTTTCTTTTGTGATCACCAACCTGCCAATTCCTGGAGGGTTAATAGAAGTGGTGAAATTAGAGGAGCTAGCACTGGCACTGATTTACTCCAAGGTGTCCAAAACAACTCCCACAAAATGAGCATCTGCTTTGTGCCAGGCCCTGGGCCAGGCATGGGGCATCAGAGCCAGAAGGGTTAAGGCACAGCCCTCCCCTAATTGGGCAGGCAGAAAAACAAATAATTATACGGACAAGGCAATTACTCAGGTGTGTGGGGGAGCAGAACTGAGTTGTCAGATGCTTTTCTCTGGAATTAGGAAGATTTAAGTCTCAGTGCCACAACTTACTAGCTGTGTGATCTTGGGCATGATACATTCCCTATCTGAGTCTCAGTTTTCTCGTCTGTAAAATGAGGACGGTGTGGGTTTTCATGAAGATTAACTGAGCCACTGATGCATACAGCTTGTTTGGCCTGGTACTCAGTGTGTAGAAAGCCCCCATTCAATGGTAGCTGAGGCAGTGGTGGTGGTGGTGGTGGTGATGTGAACAGTTATAGGGGCTGGGCGCAGTGGCTCACGCCTATAATACCAGCACTTTGGAAGGCCGTGGTGGCTAGATCATGAGGTCAAGAGATCGAGACCATCATGGCCAACATGGTGAAACCCTGTCTCTACTAAAAATACAAAAATTAGCTGGGTGTGGTGCTGCGCGCCTATAGTCCCAGCTACTTGCGGGGCTGAGGCAGGAGAATCGCTTGAACTCGGGAGTCAGAGGGTGCAGTGAGCCAAGATCGCCACTGCACTGCAGCCTGGAGACAGAGCGAGACTCCGTCTCAAAAAAAAAAAAGGTACGGGGGGCCAGACACAATGGCTCATACATATAATCCCAGCACTTTGGGAGACAGAGGTGGACAGATCTCTTGAGCCCAGGAGTTTGAGACCAGCCTGGACACCATGGCAAAGCCCCATCTATACCAAAAAATTTACAAAAATGTGCCGAGCATGATGGTGCACTCCTGTAGTCCCAGCTTCTGGGGAAGCTGAGGTGGGAGAATCACTTGAGCCCTGGAGATTGAGGCTGCAGTGAGCCGTGATCACACCACTGCCCTCCAGCCTGGGCAACAGAGTGAGACCCTGTCTCAAAAAGAAAAAAAAAGCAGGGGCACACACTCTGGGCATTAATTCTTCCTGAAGGAGAGGGTTAAAAGAAGGTTTCACAGAGGAGGATATATTTGAGCTGGTTCTTGAAGGATAATGAGGATTTCAAAAGGTTGACAAGCTGAGGGAAGAACATTCCAGATGGAAAGCTGTCAGGGAGAAACTCACTGGTGAGCAAATGTGAGCCGTGTCGGGGAAAAGCTGAAGAGCTCTGTGGGCTGAGGACATGGTAGCTTGAAGTGCCTGGTGGGAGGGTGGCAACAGTGCAGAAGGTCTCCAAAGCTAGGCAAGGGATCTGGGTTCGCCCTAAAGGTGATGGGGAGACTTGGAGGTGTTTTTTTTTTTTTTTAATTGTGGTAAAAAACATATAACAGGCCGGGCACAGTGGCTCACACCTGTAATCCCAGAACTTTGGGAGGCTGAGGCGGGCGGATCACCTGAGGTCAGGAGTTTGAGACCAGTCTGGCCAACATGGCAAAACCCCATCTATACCAAAAATATAAAAAATTAGCCGGGCGTGGTGGTGCACGCCTGTAATACCAGCTACTGGGTAGGCTGAGGCATGAGAATCGCTTGCACCTGGGAGGTGGAGGTTGCAGTGAGCCAAGATCCTGTGACTGCACTCCAGCCAGGGTGACAGAGCCAGACTCTGTCTCAAAAAACAAACAAACAAACAACAACAACAACAAAAAAAAAAAAACAGGCTGGGCATGGTGGCTTACATCTGTAATCGCAGAACTTTGGGAGGCCAAGGCAGGTGGATCACCTGAGGTCAGGAGTTCAAGACAGCCTGACCAACATGGTGAAACCTCACCTCTGCTAAAAATGCAAAAAAAAAAAAAAAATAGAAAAGAAAAAAACATATAAAATTTACCATCTTAACCATTTTTTAGTGTATGGTTCAGTAGCATTAAGTGTATTTACCTTTTTGCGCAACAGATCTCTACAACTTTTTCATCTTGCGAAACTAAAACTCTCTCCCCCTTGAACAACTTCCCGTTTCCCCTGTCCTGGGCAGCCACCATTCTGTTTTCTGTTTCTAGGAGTTCGACTACTTTAGGTCCCTCATGTAGGTGGCTGGCTTATTCACTTAGCGTGATATCCTCAAGGTTCATCCATCTTGTGGCATAAGACAGGATTTCTTTCTTTTTACAGGCTGAATAGTCAGGCATGAGCTCACACCTATAATCCTAGCACTTTGGGAAGCTGAGGCAGAAGGATCATTTGAGGTCTCGAGCTTGAGACAAGCCTAGGCAACATAGTGAGACCCCCATCTCTACAAAAAAGTAAAAAATTAGCTGGGTGTGGTGGTGCATACCTGTGGTGCCAGCTACTTGGGAGGCTGAGGTGGGGGGATCATTTGAACCCAGGAGGTCGAGGCTGCAGTGAGCTATGATTGCACCACTATACACCAGTCTGGGTGCCAGAGTGAGACCCTGACTAAAAAAAAAAAAAAAAAAGGAGGCCAGGTGTGAGGGCTCATGCCTATAATTCCAGCACTTTAGGAGGATTTCTTGAGCCCAGGAGTTCGAGACCAGCCTAAGCAATATGGTAAAACCCTGTCTCTACAAAAAAATACAAAAAAAAAATTAGTTGGGCTTGGTGGTGCATGCCTGTAGTCCCAGCTACTCGGGAGGCTGAGGTGGGAGGACCACCTCAGCCCAGGAGGTTGAGGCTATAATGAGCTGGGATCATGCCACTGCACTCCAGCCTGGGTGTCAGAGTAAGACCCTGCCTCAAATAAAATAAAATAAAATAAAATAAAATAAAATAAAATAAAAGGCTGAATAATGTTCCATTGTATGTAGATATCACATTTTTATCCACTCATACATAGCAGGGGGGGTGGGGGTTTAAACAATCCCTCCAAGGGGTGGTGAGGAGGGTGGTATGTAGAGTGAATTGAAGCAGCCAGATTGGCAGCAGGGAGGCCAGGGAGGGGCTGGTGCAGCCGCCCAGGTGCATGCGATGATGGCGGCCAGGCCTCAGGTATGGCAGAGGTCTTGGATACAAAAGACATTGTGGAGGTAGAATTGGTGGTATTTGATCATTGGCGATATGATATTTGTCCTAACTTTAGAAATCTAGAGGTGACTCAAGTCATTCCCGTCCTCTTACTCCAAAAGTGGGAAAGAGGGCCTGGCTGGTCCCTTCAAGGGTGAGGAGGAGGATAGAGAATTGCTATGGTGGGCGAAAGGCAAATGCCAACACTTCCAGTTCTATTAGGTTGGTGCAAAAGTAATCACAGTTTTTGCCATTAAAAGTAATGGCAAAAACAAAAACTGTGATTACTTTTGCACCAACCTAATATAATCCTTCAGAAAGTCCCCACTCTGTAGACTATCTTCCCCACCCTGTCCCCCAGCATGTGACTGGGACATTGGGCAGGATGGCTAGCCAGCCACGTGGGTGAGAGAACACAATCCCAAGGGGAAAGGGAGCTGGGCTTCTGGTCCCTGTACCACCTGTGTCTTGCTGTGTGACTCTGGATATGTCCACACCCCTCTGTGGTTCTCAGTTTCAGTGTGTAAAGTGAAAGCGTTGGTAAAGCATTGGTGCTGCCGTGGATGGTGATGATGATGATGATGGCGGTGGTGGCCAACTCTTTTTGAGTGCTTACTCTGTGCCAGGAACTCTTCTAAGTGCTTTTCAAGCATAAATGCATTGATTCATTTTATTCTTCCAGCACGATTATAATCCCCATTGTACGAATGAGGAAATGAAGGCAAGAGAAGCAAAGTTACTTGGCTGAGGTCACAGTGATAACAGGCAGAGCTGGAATTCAAATGCAAGCAGTCTGGCTCCAGACCACTCCCTGGAATCACTTGGGGAGCTTTAAAATATCAGATTCCTGGATCCACCCCAGACCTGCTGGATCAGAGCCTCTTGCTAACAAGCTCTCAGGGCTGAAGGCAGGGATTAGGGCTGAGGGTTCCATGGGGACAGACATTGCCTGGGTCTAGCCCAAGAGACAGTGGACCCTGATTCTTCCCCCACCTGCCCCAGCACTGATGTTCCCTGGGTTTGGGGGTGACTGACCCTTTTGGAGACAACCTGCAGGGTGTACCCAGATTATTCCCACCCTCTCACACATGACCTGGAGGGAGCAGGCTCCAACTTCCTCATGCCCTCCCTGGAGTCCTCAGAAAGGGTCCCAGCAGGACCTACCTGTTACACAGGTAATAAATGACCCTAAGAAAAGATACTAAACCTCTCTAGCAACCCAATGTCTTAGTTCGTTTTCTCTTGCTTATCACAGAGTACTTGAAACAGAGTAATTTGCAAAGAAAAGGGATTGACTTCTTACAAGTGTGGAAGCTGAGTAGCCCAAGGTTAAGGGCTTGCATCTACTGAGAAGCTTCTGGCTGGTGGAGACTCTCTTCAGTGTCCCAAGGCAGTGTAGGGCATCACACATGGTGAGGGGGCTGAGCGTGCTAGCTTAAGTCTTTCTTCCTCTTCTTCTTCTTCTTTTTTAAAAAAATTAGAGATGAAGTCTCACTATGCTGCCCAGGCTGGTCTCAAACTCCTGGGCTCAAGCAATCCTCTATCCTCGGCCTCTCAAAGTGCTGGGATTACAGATGCAAGCCACCACGCTCATCCCTCTCTTCCTCTTCTTATAAAGCCACCAGTTTTACTCCCATGATAATCCAGTAATCCACTAACCTATGAATCCATGAATAGATTAATCCATTCATAAGGGCAGAGCCCTCATGACCCAATCACCTCTTAAAGGCCCTACCTCTCAATATTGCCACATTGGTGATTAAATTTCAACATGAGTTTTGCAGGGGACAAATATTCAAACCACAGCACTCAGCAAATGGGAGTTAATGCAATAAGAAAACGCCCTGGAAGGTTCTCAAGAGGGAAGGGCTGTAGTCAGACACCTTCCTAATCAAATTCATCCCTGCTCCATTTGGAATTTGAATGTACTCGAGTGCTCACAGGAGCTAAATTATTCTTTTTGTACATATGGTAATGACAGTATTAGGCCCACAAATATCTTGGTATGTGGTTATTTTTTAAAAGGACAACATACTGTCAAGCTAGATACCAACAATCAGTAATCGCTCAAGTAATCACTTTTTAAAACTTCAGTCTAAAAAAGAGTTCAATAATTACTGCTATCCGCAATAAGAATGAATCTCATAGACTCAGTGAATGGGCAAAACAAGCCAGACACAGAAAGCTAGATACCAGATGATTCCATTTATATGAAATGCAAGAACAGACAAAACCAATCTATGGTGATAGAAGTCAGGATAATGGTTATTTTTGAGGAGCGTTGACTGGAAGGGAAACTTTTAGGGAGGTGGAATGACCTGTGTCTTGACCTGGGTTGGAATTACACAGGTGTACACAAAGTAAAGATTCACTGAGTTGTACATGTATAACTTATGCACTGTACTATGTGCAATTCATGCCTTAAAAATGTTTTAAAGAGTTGGATTGTTTCTTTCTGGTTATCCATGTCTTTCGTTAACATTCAGATAGTGACTGAGAACTGACTGAGCGCTTACAATGTACACACCCACTCAAGTGGGGCAAGTGGCAGAAACAAGGGAAGGTTAGGCCTTGGCTTAGCCAGCACTGGACTCTGGACTTACAAGGCTTACAGCTGGAGGGGGCTACCAAGGCCAACTGTGCTTGATGCCATTGAGACTCCCACTCCCACACATAGTCCAAAAGAGCCAAGGCCAGGCCTGCGCAGCCTGCTCCACTGGGGGAGTGAACCACTCAGAAGGCAGCTGAACGGACTGGGAATAGGAGAAGCTATTAGCAGCTACCCTGGCCACGGGGCCCTGCAGGATCAAAGATGAGAACTGATCGGGCCCACAGGGCAAGGGGGAGGCCAGAGCCAGCAGGAAGGATAATTAGGAAAGACATCAGGCCAGGCTGGACAATGGAGGCTCAGAGATGTCAGGATTCTCACTCCCTGTTGGGACCACATGGCAGGAGGCAAGGGCTCCCCCTGGGGGCCAGGCAGGTAATGGACAATGGTCCCCAGATAAGAGACCAGAGACGTCCAGTTCATGCCCAACATTTCACAGCAAGTCAGGGACTCAGCCAGGACAAGACCCCACACATCCTGCACTCTATAGGCTTCTCCCCACCATCCCAGCAACACCCCAAGGTGATGTTTATTTCCTACCCTGAATGTTCCACATTCTACGTTCCCTGCATTTTCAGCTCTTTTTTTTTTTTAAGACTTAATTCTTGATTCTTTTGACAGCTTACATCATCCTGAAAGTAAAGTGAAAAAGCCATACCACACTACCCACTTTTAATACAGATCTTTGTAGATTGGGAAGCATAAACCAACCAAAAGAGTGATAATTAGTTCTGAATTCAAGTGAGGTTTATGGAATGTGAACCATTTGGGTAATCGGCTGGGGTGGTGCCATGAAGTGGTAATTAATTTGTTTTTTTCCCTAAAATGTTTTACTTAATTAAGGGAGGTGTTGATTTATATACACCTGTCCCCTGGGGATGGTTTGTAAGGCAGGAGAAAATTCCAACTGTCTCCCCGCCACGTTTCTCATCAAATTATTTCATTACATTCAGATACACTTTTGCAGCACTGATTGTGACAGATTCTGGAGTTATGAGCTCATAAATACTGGGGGGTGGGGGGAAGCTGGAGATGCACACTTAATGGGAAATGTTCTCATAATCAAAAGAATATTTCAAGCTGTGACAATGCAGGCCAAGAGAGGGAGGGGGAGCCACTTCAAAGAATAACAGGATGCTGAATAACCCAGCACCTGCAGCTCTGCCTCCTTCTGAGTCAGCTGGGCTCTCAAATATCAGCTTGCGAAGGGCGAATGTCAGGAGGATTTGTAGCTAGTCCTGGGTTCTTTGTCATAACTTACTTGGAGCTGATAGTAGCTTAAGTTTGTTCATTTACTTAACAAATATTTATTAAGCAGCTACTATGTGCTGGGCACTGTGCTACACACTGGGAATACAATAGTGAACAAGACAAGTTTGTTTCCTACCTTCATGGAACTTACAGTCCAGGAAGAGAAAAAAATATAAACAAGTAAAAGAATAAATAGCTGATAAACATATGCCTACTCGATGATCTAGCAATTCTACTCTCAGGCATATATCCAAAATAAATGAGTGCATCTCTCCATGGAAAGACGTGTAAAAATGTTCACAGCGGTGTTATTCAACAGCAACCAGTCAGAAGCAACCCATGGTCGGCCAGCAGAAGAATGAATAAATGAATTGTGTTATACTGACACAATGGAACACTGCTGTGCAATGGGGTATTGCTATGCAGTACTCCATGCAACAGCAATATAAAAAGAACAAACTGCTGTTGCATTTATCCACATGCAAAAATGTGGCTGTATCTCACAGACAATGATGAATGAAAGAATTTAGGCAAAAAGTGTCCAAATTACACGATTCCACTTACATGAAGCTCAAAGGCAGGCAAAACTCATCTATGACAGAAACCAAATAGAAATTAGAATAGTGGCTACCTTTGAGAAGAAGAGACATGAGGGAGCTTTCTGGGGTGTCTGGGAACCTTCTATGTCCAGATATGGGGAACGGTTACAAGCACACATGTGTAAAAAGTCATAGAGGCCAGGTGCGGTGGCTCACGCCTGTAATCCTAGCACTTTGGGAGGCCAAGGCAGGTGGATCACCTGATGTCAGGAGTTCGAAACCAGACTGACAACATGGTGAAACCCCATCTCTACTAAATACAAAAAATTAGCCGGGCGTGGTGGCACATGCTTGTAATTCCAGCTACTTCGGAGGCTGAGGCAGGATGATCACTTGATCCTGGGAGGCAGAGGTTGCAGTGAGCCGAGATTGCACTATTGCATCTCAGCCTGGGCAACAGAATCAAAACTCTCTTTCTCAAAAAAAAAAAAAGTCATTGAGCTATACACTTAATATTATACTTCAATTAAAGCACGCATTTTAATGAGATCCAATACATTTTAAAAATAATAAATAGCTAAGATAATTTCACATGTTGATGAAAGATGTGAAGAAAATAAAACCAGGCCACAGGATGGGGAGCAAAGACCCTTCCGCAGAGATAGCTTTGAGATGCCACCTTTTCTGGAGGTGGCCCATGGGAAAACCTGAGGAATAAGCATTCAAGATAAGGAAGCCGCAAGGTCACTGGCTTCAAGGTGGGGCATCTGGGCATGTCTGAGCAACAGCACGGATACCAGGATAGCTGGAGTGGGAGAGTAGAAGAGGCCAGGGGGACTGTCAGGAGCTGGCCAACCCTATGGGCCACATAAGGATTCGGGTTTTATTCTAAGCATGATATGAGCCATTGGAAAGTGGAAGCAAAGAAATGGCATGACCCAACTGACCTGATTTTTTAAAACTGAGGCTACCTATTGGAATGTGGGGGGGGGGGAAACTGACAGTAGGAGAAACGGCTGCAGTGCTGAGTGGAGAGGCAGGACCTGGAGCACAAGCAGGGGCTGGGTGGGCACCGTGGCTGGGATCGCCACCATCAAGGCAGTAAAGCGCAAGAGCCAGGTTCAGCAGCAGCAGGCAGATGATGCAGAGGAGAGAGCTAAGCGCCTCCAGCGGGGAGTAGAGGGAGCAAGGTGGGCCCGGAACAGGCTGAGGCCAAGGTGGCCTCCTTGAACCATAGGATCCAGCTGGTTGAAAAGGAGCTGGACAGTGCTCAGGCGTGCCTGGCCACTGCTCTGCAAAAGCTGGAAGAAGTGGTAAAAGCTGCTGATTGAGAGTGGGAGAGGTAGGAAGGTTATTGAAAATCGAGCCTTAAAAGATGAAGAAAAGGCTGGGCGCGATGGCTCATGCCTGTAATCCTAGCACTTTGGGAGGCCGAAGTGGGTGGATCACCTGAGGTCAGGAGTTCAAGACCAGCCTGGCCAACACGGTAAAACTACTAAAAATACAAAAATTAGTCGGGTATGGTGGTGCGCACCTGTAATCCCAGCTACCCGGGAGGCTGAGGCAGGAGAATCACTTGAACCCAGAGGGCAAAGGTTGCAGTGAGCTGAGATTGCACCACTGCACTCCAGTGGGTGACAGAGGGAGACTCTGTCTCAAAAAAAAAAAAAAAAAGATGAAACTCCAGGAAATCCAACTCAAAGAAGCTAAGCACATTGCAGAAGATAGGTAGGAAGCATGAAGATGGGGCTCGGCTCATAAGTTGGTGGTTGTTGAAGGAAACTTGGGACGCAGAGAGGAACAACCTGAGCTGGCAGAGTCCTGTGGCTGAGAGATGGAGGAGCAGATCAGATCGATGGACCAGAACCTGAAGTGGCTGAGTGCTGCCGAAGAAAAGGACTCTCAAAAAGAAGACAGATATGAGGAAGCAACTGAGATTCTTACTGATAAACGCAAGGAGGCAGAGACCCGGGCTGAGTTTGCCGAGAGATCGGTAGCCAAGCTGGAAGAGACAATTGATGACTTGGAAGATAAACTGAAATGCACCAAGGAGGAGCACCTCTGTACACAAAGGATGCCAGACCAGACCTGCTTAACTGAATGAGATGCAGAGCACCCCAGTCCCACCTTGCCACTGCTCCTCCCTCTGACCCCAACTCCAACTAGGCCAGCCTGCCCAAAGCTGCCCTTTAACTGAGGGTTGATCTTTAACTGGAAGGCTGCTTTCTCCTTTCACCACCCCTACCTCCCCCACGTGTCTTTTTTGCCAAACTGTCTCTGCCTCTTCCCAGAGATTCCAGCTGCGCTAGAGGCTGAGCACCTTTGGGAACAACATTTAAGCGAATGTGAGTGCAACACATAATGTCTTTAAAAGCATGTTGTGTTGTATACATTTAGTAATTACCTTTTTTGTTGTTTTATAGCAACCATTTGTAAAACATTCCAAATAGTTCCACAGCTCTGAAGCAGCAATCTAATCCCTTTCTCCCTTTTGGAAGGTGACTGTTTAGCTTACTGTATATTGCTTTCTCTAGAAAAAAGGGAAAAAGGTATGAGCCTGCCTTACTGAGAACCAAACAGAGCCCGGGGAAAGACTCCACTCTGGGAAATCATAGCTTTGCACAAAGTACCAGCCAAACCAGAAAGGTGATTCCAGGAGTTAGCCCAAAAACAACAGCAACAAAAAATGTGCTGTTCAGGTTTTCAGCTTTAAGATATCTTTGGACAAAGTTATTTTTACTTTTTTGTTTTTTCATTAGAAGTGACCAAATTAAGCCAGGCGCAGTGGCTCACGCCTGTAATCCCAGCACTTTGGGAGGCTGAGGCAGGCGGATCACTTGAGGTCAGGAGTTCAAGACCAGCCTGGCCAACATGGTGAAACCCTGTCTCTACTAAAAATACAAAAATTAGCCAGGCATGGTGGTGGGCGTCTGCAGTCCCAGCTATTCAGGAGGCTGAGGCAGGAGAATCACTTGAACCTGGGAGGCGGAGGTTGCAGTGAGCCAAGATCGCGCCACTGCACTTCAGCCTGGGCGACACAGCAAGACTCCATCTGGGACAAAAAAAAAAAAAAAAAAGAAGTGACCAAATTAAGACGGTGAGACCTCTGAGACCAAATTTCTGTCCCATCTCCACCCCATTCCCAGCCGCTTACAGAGTGGATCATGTGCCCCTTACATTGAGGTGACCACTTGATTGCTCTCCTGCCTCCTTGAAAGAAAGAAGATTATGTTTTTGCCACTGATTTAGCCACATGAAACTCATCTCATCACCCTTTTCTGGGTTTGAAGCTGCTGTCTCTAAAAGTGCCATGTCATTGTGCTTTGTATCAGTCAGTGAGAAATCTTGAATAGCTTGTGTACAAAACTTTTTAAATGTCATATTATTTTGAAACTTTGCTTCTTTGGGTTTCTGGCACCCTGGCTACCCCCTCTGGCTGTGAGAGCTCTCCACAGTCTGTAGGCTGGCAGGTTGCTGATCTTTTAAAGTTTCTTTCCCTACCTAATCCCCACTTTTTGGTAAAGTTTCTAGGAGGTCTGTTAGGCGTACAAACTGCAGCTTATTGGCTTACAATGTACTCTCCTTTGATGCCTCTTTGACGACAACTGGGAGAAAAAGAAATCAATAGTGCAACTGTTTTGATACTGAAGACTGATGAGTGTCTTTTTGAAATAAAGAACCAGGCCACGCATGATCGCTCATGCCTATAATCTCTGCACTTTGGGAGGCCAAAGCAAGTGGATCACTTGGGGCCAGGAGTTTGAGACCAGCCTGGCCAACATGGTGAAACCCCATCTCTACTAAACAAAATGCAAAGAAATTGGCCAGGCATGGTGGCACATACCTGTAATCCCAGCTACTCAGGAGGCTGAGGCAGGAGAATTGCTTAAACCTGGGAGGCGGAGGTTACAGTGAGCCGAGATTGCACCATTGCCCTCCAGCCTGGGCGATAGAGCAAGACCCTGTCTCAAAAAAAAAAAAAAAAAAAAAAAAGAAAGAAAGAAATTAAGAACCAGTCCCTCCAAAAAAAGACCCAAACAAACAAGCAAACAAACCCTGACTGTACAGCACTGGTGAGGATGTCAAGCAATAAGAACTCTCACACATTGCTGGTGGGAAGGCCAAATAGTTCAACTTCTCCGGAAAACACTTGGCAGTTCCTTACAAAGATAAATATACACTTAACAAACTACCCAGAAATCTCTTTGGCATTTACTCAAGTGAAACAAAAGCCTATGTTGAACCAAAAAACATATGAAAATGTTCATATCAGCTTTAATTATAATCATGAAAAACTGGAAACCCCAAATGTTTCCCCATTGAGGAATGGTTAAACTGTAGTCGAGCTATACAATGTAACCCTATTCAGCAATAAAAAAAAGGATGTCTACCTTAAGTAAACAGGAGAGAGACCTGCTCTCCAGAACAGTTGCCCTCCAGGACAAGCAATTGATACATACAAAAACTTGGATAAACTTCAAATATATTGTGTTACTTAAAACAAAGAGTTTATTTGGGAATAGCAGGAGCGATATGCATGCTCTGGTGAACCACAGGCATATCCAAAGGAGTTTCCTTTTATAGACAAAAGGAAAAGTTCACAAAAGCTGCTTTGAAACAAGGACCATTGGTTACAGGGGCCTCCTGCAATAGTTGGCATCCACTCATTGGTGAAGGCAGCCATTGTTAGTCAAGTGTTCTTGTGCAAGAGGCTTATCTGAAATTTTTGAAATTGTTGTGGTTTTCAGAGAGTCCTTACAATCATTCCAGTCATAGGCATATGTGCACGAGAGCCCTTCCTTCAAGGCCCATGGGCTCCATTTTGTTCGGGGTCAACATAAGTGACTCCATTTTGATTACTGAAAACGTCCACAAGGACCAGCAATGGATACGTGCAAAAATGTGGATGAATCTCAAAGGTATCGTGTTACCTAAAAGAAGCCAAAGCTACTGTGTGATTTCATTTATATGGCATTCTGGAAAAGGCACAACTATGGTGATGAAGAACAGATCAGTGGTTGCCAGGGGATCAGGGTGAAGGGAAGGTTTGGTTACAGAGGGCCCTGGCCACATGACAGAATCTGCTTCTATATCTTGATTGTGATTGTGGTTTCTGATTCTATGCATTTTTCAAGACTCCTAGAACTACACACCAAAAAGAGTGACTCTCCGCTGCATGAAGTGGCTCTTGCCTTTAATCCCAACATTTTGGGAGGCTGAGGTGGGAGGATTGGGATCTCTAGAGCCCAGGAGTTCGAGACCACCCTGGGCAAAATAATGAGACTGCTTCGCTACAAAAAAATAAATTAGTCGGGCATGGTGGTGTGCATCGGTACTCCAGCTACTCAGGAGGCTAAGGTGGAAGCATTGCTTAAGGCTGCAGTGAGCTGTGATCACGCCATTGCACTCCAGCCTGGACAACAGAGCAAGATCCTGTCTCAAAAAAAAAAAAAAAGTGACTCTTACTATCTCCAAGTAAGTTTAAAAATAATTTTTAAATGTAAAAAATAAAAAATAGGTTATACTTTCCTATTGAAAATCAGACCACCTGCAAGTCTGGAGCATTGTTGATTTAGGGCATGCAAGGATGCTGGTCCAGGCCCTCCCAAGCATGAGCTAGCAAAAGTGCTGCACACTCACAGCCTGCTTTTCCTCTGGGCATTACTTTTGCCATAGCCTGCTGATCCCCAGGACAGGGGGACTGGCTTAGCAGCAAACCAAAGACAACGATTCCTGGGCAAGTGATTTATGAAGTGCTCCTAGGAGAAACTGGCAGGAGTGGGGGAAGAAGATAGGAAAGAGAAAAAGCCAAGCAAGAGTGCACTAGCAGATAGCGTCCCAGCCTCAATCTGATCCCACTGGGAGCCGAGGAATGTAAATTACAGCTCGGTTTGTGCCTGGAGGCAAAGGAGCTGGACTCATGCTCTTGTGTATCTGCCCATCTATGGCCAAGGGCCACCCGGCGGGGAAGTAAACTGCAGGCACTTCCAGGTCCTTGTGCTGTGCAGCCAGTGGCTCCAGGAGCCCAAGGGCAATCCTCTGAAGAAAAATCTCACATGGAAGCTGTCAGATGAAAACACCTGGAACCTGGGCAAACAGAAATGCTAAGAGGATCCGAGGGCAGCTGGGTAGAGCTCCAACAGTGCCCGCTCCACCAACTGTGGCTCATCCGCCGGACGTTTACTCCCAAAGCTCCTCCATGGGTCAAACCCAAAGGGCTGGGAAAGGTGGGCCCTGCCCCCAGCTCCTGCAGGAAACAGGAGATCAGGGGCACGAAGTCTTATCAGTAGTTGGATCCAAAGGGATGAAGTGGGAATGAGGTGAGAGGGTCTAAAGTATTTCCTGGAGACAGGCTTGGGGATCCCGGGAGCTTATCCTAACTTAATGCTGACCTCTCGGCCACATGAGGTTCCAGGGAATGAAACAGAGTTAAAGGTGGCAGCATGTGGCTCTTTACCCCAGACATGAAGGCAGTTAACTTGAGACCATAGCCCCCTGTTTATGTTCTAAAAGTTGCACTCATGGAAAGAGTGTACCCACGGGAGCAGGCAAGAGAAGAAAGCTTGAATCCCACGTACTGGTTCATGGACTGGTGCCTGTGCCCATGGTCCCCAGCAAGAATGTCCTGAGGTGGCCAATTATCCGTCGCAAGGAAGGCTGTCCTTTACTTTGGGATTATCTCTAACCTTTAGTTTTGAGGTGCAAGTTACCTATGGTTTCTGAAATGGTGGTGATACTAAATGGGGATCATGTTGTTTGTTTGCTATATATTACCTTTTTTTGGCAAAATAAAACAATAGCAGCTCTGCCTTGGAACATTAAATATGGGATGAAGGAAATTCAACCACCCGTGGAATACAGAATTGGGTACCTCTGGTGAGACGGGGATGTCAGTTTCTCTGCCTCACCTCAAGCTCTGGAGAGGGGCGTCCTGGGAACCACGCGACCTCCCACAGCTACCATTACAGTTGATGGAGCTAGAGATGGTCACCTGACTAGACACAGTGAATTCATTGGTTGATCAACAACCAATTAGAGCCAGGCATGGTGGCTCATACCTGTAATCCCAGAACTTTGGGAGGCCAAGGTGGGCGGATCACTTGAGGTCAGGAGTTCAAGACCAGCCTGGCCAACTAGTTGAAACCCTGTCTCCACTAAAAATACAAAAATTAGCCAGGTATGGTGGCACGCACCTGTAATCCCAGCTACTCAGGAGGCTGAGGCAAGAGAATCACTTGAACCTGGGAGGCAGAGGTTGCAGTGAGCTGAGATTGTGCCACTGTACTCCAGCCTTGGTGACAGAGTAAGACTCCATCTCAAAAAACAAACAAACAAAAACAACAACAACAAAAAATTGGATACTCTCAAAAAAATTTTTTTAAGGTGAGGATTATTCGAGTTGCAAAATCATAGAGATTGGCAGTTCCCCCAAATCCGGTAAGCACACTACTCCCAAATCTGTGTTTTGTAGGTTTGTATGCAAACTCAGGGGCTGACACCCTGTGGGACCCTGTGAAGCAGCCTAGCTTGTAGTCTGCAGAGAGAGGCAGGACAGTGACTTCCAGGGGCACTGAAGGGCAGGGCTGGCATTTGTCCTAAAGCCCCTATGAACTGTGTTTTTCTCTCTTGGTTTCTTCCTTTCTTTTCTTTTCTTTTTCTTTTTCTTCTTTTTCTTTTTTTTCTGAGACAGGATCTTGCTCTGTCACCCAGGCTGGAGTGCAGTGGTGTGATCATAGTTCACTGCAGCCTCGAACTCTTGGGCTCAGGTGATCTTCTTGCCTCAGCCTCTCAAGTAGCTGAGAGTACAATCACACACCACCACACCCAGCTAATTTTTTTTAAAACAATTTTTTTATAGAGACAGGGTCTTGCTATGTTGCCCAGGCTGGTCTTGAACTAGTGGCCGCAAGTAATCCTCCTGCCTCAGCCTTCCAAGGTGCTGAGATTATAGGCATGAGTCACCACATCTGGATCCATCCTGGTTTCTGTGACCTTAGTAAGCCCCTTCATTTTAACCACTGAGTGGGAACCTGTCCCTTGCAACAAGAAAACAAAACAAACCAGCCTAACCAAATTCATCCTAAAGGAAACCAGAGGTGTGAAGATTGTTGAGACACCCAAAATATTTTCAGTGAAAATGTAGGATTTTGCTAACTTAAGAAAAACAAATTTGGCTGGGCATGGTGGCTCACACCTGTAATCCCAGCACTTTGGGAGGCCAAGGCGGGCAGAACACCAGAGGTCGGGAGTTCAACACCAGCCTGGTCAACATGGTGAAACCCCATCACTACTAAAAATACAAAAGTTAGCCGGGCATGGTGGTGGGCACCTGTAATCCCAGCTACTTGGGAGGCTGAGGCAGGAGAATTGCTTGAACCCGGGAGGTGAGGTTGCAGCAAGCTGAGATCACACCACTGCACTCCAGCCTAGGTGACAGAGCCAGACTCTGTCTCAAAAAAAAAAATTAATAAAAACAAATTCACCAACTGGTTTGGCATGTGTTTCCTCTGGGCTCAGGTTCCCAAGCCCATTCTCTGAAGGTCTGGGCTCTGGATGCTCATCTCCCAGTAGCAAAGTCAGGTGGTTCCTCTGTAAAGAGAACCCAGAGCTAATTCAACTTGAAACCAATTATAAATGCTGAGGCCTGGGGATATAGCAGTCAAACAATGTATGTTCTAATTCCAGATCAGACTAGCTGTGTTAACCTCGGGAAAGTTGCTTTACGTCTCTGAGCCTCAGCTTTCTCATCCATAAATGGGACTGATAATCAATCTCCTTCTCAGGGTTGTTATAAGAAGGCTGAAAAGAATCTAGCTTAGGCTTTCATTTAATTGTTTAAGAATTATTTGTTCCTGTTCTGGTCCCCACACTTTAGGAAGGACATGAAAGAATGAAAGCTTTTTCCATGGGTGATGAGGCTGGTGGGGGCACCCAAAACTATTTCGTGCATAATTGATTTACTATTTGGGTAAAGAAAAAAGAAGATCCACAGAGATCCTTCCCTCAAAATGTATACAAAAATAAACTCCAGATGGAATCCAGTTAAATGTAAGCAAACATTTAAAACCTAGAAGAAAATAGAAACAGATATTCATCAAGTTGGGGAAGACTTCCTAAATTACAAAGCAATGGAGAAGGCAGGGTGCAGTGGCTCACACCTGTAATCCCAGCATTTTGGGAGGCCAAGGCAGGCAGATCACTTGAGTCTAGGAGTTCAAGACCAGCCTGGGCAACATGGCAAAACCCGTCTCTACCAAAAATACAAAAAATCAGCCAGGCGTGGTGCTATGTACCTGTAGTCCTAGCTACTCAGGAGGCTGAGGTGGGAGAATCACCTGAGCTCAGGAAGTTGAGGCTGCAGTGATCCGTGAATGCACCACTGTACTCCAGCCTCCACGATGGGAGTGAGAGCCTGTCTAAAAAAAAAAAAAAAAAAAAAAGCAAAGGAGAAAAAAGAATCACAAAATAAAAGACTGATACACTCGGCTCATGAAATTTAAATGATCTCTACAGACACTCACAAATGAAACATATAGGCAAACAACAAGTTGAGATAATAGTTGGCTTCCAAAACATCCTTAATATATAGAGAGTTCTTATAAATCAACAAGTAAAACACCTAGTAAGACCCCTAGCAGATAAAGAGACAAGCGACATTGACAGTTTGCACGAGAAGAAATACGAATGACCAATAAATTTTTTTTTTTTTTTTTTTGAGACGGAGTCTCGCTCTGTCGCCCAGGCCGGACTGCGGACTGCAGTGGCGCAATCTCGGCTCACTGCAAGCTCCGCTTCCCGGGTTCACGCCATTCTCCTGCCTCAGCCTCCCCAGTAGCTGGGACTACAGGCGCCCGCCACCGCGCCTGGCTAATTTTTTGTATTTTTAGTAGAGACGGGGTTTCACCTTGTTAGCCAGGATGGTCTCGATCTCCTGACCTCATGATCCACCCGCCTCGGCCTCCCAAAGTGCTGGGATTACAGGCGTGAGCCACCGCGCCCGGCCGACCAATAAATATTAAAGTATTCCATATTAATAAAATTTTAAAAAATTTGAAGAAAATGAAAAATGTGTTCATTTTTACCTATCAAATTTGCAAATATTGAAAAACAGTATTTAATGTTGGAAAAAGTACATATAATGGACACTCATACGAGTTTTTTTTTTTTTTTTTTTGAGACGGAGTCTCGCTCTGTTGCCCAGGCTAAAGTACAGTGGCACGATCCTGGCTCACTGCAAGCTCCGCCTCTCAGGTTCACACCATTCTCCCGCCTCAGCCTCCCGAGTAGCTGGGACTACAGGCACCCGCCACCGCACGCAGCTAATTTCTCGTATTATTTAGTAGAGACGGGGTTTCACCATGTTAGCCAGGATAGTCTCGATCTCTTGACCTCGTGATCCACCAGCCTTGGCCTCCCAAAGTGCTGGGATTACAGGTGTGAGCCACCGCACCCGGCCCACTCATATGATTTTAGCATGAGTAAAAATTGGTTTTAAGGTAATGAATTGGGCTGGGCGTAGTAGCTCACGTCTGTAACCCCAGCACTTTGGGAGGCCAGGAGTTTGAGAACAGCCTGGTTGACACAGTGAAACTCTATCTCTACAAAAACTAAAACAAATTAGCCAGGCATAGGGGCACACGCCTATTGTCCTAGCTGTTCAGAAGGCTGAAGTAGGAGGATTGCTTGAGCCCTCGAAGTGGAGGCTGTAGTAAGCTGTACTGGAGCCACTGCACTCTAGCCTGGGCAACAGTGTGAGACCCCATCATGAAAAATATTTTAATAATAATTTAAAAACAAATTTAATAATAAAATAAAATAATGAATTGCTCTTACAAGTCTTTTCTCAGCAGAATGCCATGCCTTTGCCTCTGTCCTCCTTGGAGCACCTCAGTCCTAGGCGCTGTCCCTGGGATCTGTACTGCTGGTGTGTGAATGATAAGATATAAATGACCAGTACAGTAAGACATCTTTATAAAATTGAAAACAAATGATAAAACTTTATAAAAGGATGTTGTGTACAGTTTTACAGTCTGGCTATTGGTGTGACATCTTGTCACACAATATGTTTCTCAAGCTGTATTTATCATCCCATTAAAGCTGTTAAAGACAAAAAAGTTGGGAGAATGTCGTCTTTAAAATACCTACAACCCTTGGACCTAATGGTAATACTTCTAGGATATGAGTCTAAGGAAATAATTTGAAAGCGGTAAAATACTTTATATACAACTTTTTTTTAACCACAGCATTGTGACATCATAGTTAAAAATTAAATATGACCCAAATGTCTAACAATTGGGAACGATCAGTAAATTGTCTAGACAATGGTGTACTACATAATCATTAAAAATAAAAATCATGTTTGAAAGAAATTTGAATGGTACAGCGAAATATTCCTGTAATAATGTTATGTGGAAAAAGCAGAGCACCAAATTTTCTATGCACTATGCGCTCAATTATGGGGAAAATGAATAGGAAGGCAGAAGTAAAAGTTAATAGTGGTTGTTTCTGGGAGTTGGAATTATGGGTAATTTTAATCTTTCTACTTTGACATACATTTCCCATGTTTTCAACAATGCACATGGATTACTTTTCCACTTAAAAAAAGAAAGGCATATATTTAAAGAGAGAGGTGTTTTATTTTCTTAAAGAAATGATGGGTCAGGCATGGTGGCTCACACCTGCAATCCCAGCACTTTGGGAGGCCAAGGCGGGTGGAATACCCGAGGTCAGGAGTTTAAGACCAGCCTGGCCAACATGGTGAAACCCTGTCTCTACTAAAAATACAAAAATTAGCCAGGTGTAGTGGCATGTGCCTGTAGCCCCAGCTACTCCAGAGGCTGAGGCAGGAGAATTGCTTGAACCTGGGAGGTGGAGCTTGCAGTGAGCTGAGATTGCACCAGTGCACTCCAGCCTGGGTGACAGAGAGACTCTGTCTCAGAAAAAAAAAAAAAAAAAAGAAAGAAAGAAAGTGAGAGGGAAGGAAGGAAGGAAGGAAAGAAAAAAAAAAAAAGAAATGGTAGATACACCTTGTCCTATAAGGAACATTTCATCCTTGTGGGGATGGGGATGTAGGCGGAGCAGACCACTTCTGGGTGGCCCCAGGGACAGACCTAGGACTGAGCATGGGGGCCTGGGAGGGTCAGGCAGGAGCTGCATGTAAGGAAGAACTGCACAGGAGACAGCTGGACTCTGCTGAAGGAGGCTGTCTCAGGAGGGAGGGAGATCCTCATGGCTAGGAGCATTCAAGTAGAGAGTGGACAACTCCTAGTTAATGGTATCATAGGAGAAAAACAGTGTCTGAAGGAAGATTAGAATAGATGTGGAATGTGCCAGCCTGAGATGCCAGGAAAGCGTGACAATGGTGGAATCTTGGTCCGTACACAAGGTGGCAGAGAGGTTTTTGGTCAGAGATGAAACTTGGTTGGAGGTTTGGGGTCTATAAGAGATAAGTGGGCTGGGCACGGTGGCTCATGTCTGTAATCCCAGCACTTTAGGAGGCCGTGGTGGGCAGATCACAAGGTCAGGAGTTCGAGACCAGCCTGGCCAACATGGTGAAACCTCATCTCTACTAAAAATACAAAAATTAGCCGGGTGTGGTGGCGCTTGCCTGTAATCCCAGCTACTCAGGAGACTGAGACAGGATAATCGCTTGAATCTGGGAGGTGGAGGTTGCAGTGAGCTGAGATCACACCATTGCACTCCAGCCTCGGCAACAGAGCAAGACTCTGTCTCAAAAAACAAACAAACAAAAAAAATTGATAAGTGGAGGCCCAGTGCAGTGGCTCATGCTTGTAATCCCAACACTTTGGGAGGCTGAGGTGGGTAATTGCTTGACCTCAGGAGTTCATAAAAAAACCCTGTCTTTACCAAAAAAAAAGAATTAGCCAGGCATGGTGGCATGTGCCTGTAGTCCCAGCTACTCAGGAGGCTGAGGTGGGAGGATGGCTGGAACCTGGGAGATAGAGGCTGCAGTGAGCCGAGATCAAGCCACTGTACTCCAGCCTAGGCGACAGAGCCAGACCCTGTCTCCAAAAAAAAAGAGAGAGAGAGAGGTAAGTGGAAAAAATGTTTTTCTACTTTCACACACCACACAACACAACACTTCTGACAGCAGATGTGTGAGTGAGAGGTTTTCCCACACACCAAGCAGTTCTCTAGCAGACACCAAGAGGGTGTCCTCTAATTCAATTAGTTCAGATGCATTCTGATGCTCTCTACGTGAAGATAGCATCAGATCACACAGAGTTCCACAACTCTGCCCCCACTTCAGAGGCTAGTTGCAAGTAATAGGTCGTCACCACTGAATGACAGCCTGCAAACTAAGAATCCCACGACTCCCTCGAGTTAGGTTAACTTGCTAGGACAGCTCACAGAACTCAGGGAAGCACTTATGTTTACAGGTTTGTTACAAAGCATATTACACAGGACAGATGAACAGCCAGGTGAAGAAGTCAACAGGGCAAGGGACGTGGGAGTGAGAGAGCACAGAGCTTCCCCGCCTTCTGGGAGCACCACCCTCCAGGCACCTTCACGTGTTCAGTAACCTAGAAGCTCCCTGTACCCAATCCTTTTGGGTTTTGATGGAGGCTTCATTTCATAGGCGTGACTGATTACATCACTGGCCACTGGTAACCCACTCAACCTTCAGCCCCTCTCCCCTTCCTGGAGTTAGGGGGTGGGGCTGAAAGTTCCAACTCTCTAATCACATGGTTGGTTCCCTTGGCAACCAACCCCCATTCTGAGGCTGTCCAGGAGCCCCCCAAGAGTCACCTCGTAAGAACAAAAGAAGCTCCTGTCACCCGGGGAATCCTGAGGGATTTAGGAGCTGTGCTACGTGCTCCCATTACTCAGGCAATTAAAAAGGTTTTTGGAGCTTTGTGTCAGGAACTGGGGTCAAAGACCGAATATCAGAACAAAAGATTCTCCTCACTCCCCTATTGCTCAGGAAATTACAAGGTCTTAGGATCTCTATCTCAGGAACCATAGGCAGAGACCAAATAAGTATATATTCACTGTCGCCCAGGCTGGAGTGCAGTGGCGTGATCTCAGCTCACTGCAGCCTCTACCTCCTGGGCTCAAGCAATCCTCTTGCCTCAGCCTCCCAAGCAGCTGGGACTACAGGTGTGTGCCACCATGCCCGGCTAATTTTTGTATTTTTTTCGTAGAAACAGGATTTTGCCATGTTGCCCAGGCTGGTCTCGAACTCTTGAGCTCAAGCAAACCGCTTGCCTCGGCCTCCCAAAGTGCCAGGATTACACGCGTGTATTTCTTATAATATCACAACATCACAGAGTCCTTCCAGCCTGGAGGCAGGAATGATCTGAGATGCCTGTGGTACTTCAGGTGTTTGTTTGTTTGTTTGTTAGCCTTTCTGAGACGGAGTTTCACTCTGTCGCCCAGGCTAGAGTGCAAAGGCACGATCTTGGCTCGATGCAACCTCCGCCTCCCAGGTTCAAGCGATTCTCCTGCCTCAGCCCCCCAAGTAGCTGGGGTTACAGGTGCCCACCACCTCGCCCGGCTAATTTTTGTATTTTTAGTAGAGATGGGGTTTCACCATGTTGGCCAGGCTGGTCTCGAACTCCTGACCTCAGGTGATCCACCCGCCTCAGCCTCCCAGAGTGCTATGATTATAGGCGTGGGCCAGCATACCCGGCTGTACTTCAGGTTTTTAATCCTGGAGTCTCAGCAGGTAGGGACAGGCTCTGAGTGTGGGCTCTTACACTTATACTACCTTCACCATCTTCAGGAGTGGGCCACTGGGCAATATGCCTCCATGTCAGCCCCCAGCCAGTCTTTTCTTTTGGCCAGGCAGAAGTTCTGTTTTAAAACTGAGCATCTACCATGCGCCAAGCACTTTACCTTCACAAACTTTTAGTCCTACAATAAGCCCAAGAGATCACTAATACAGATAAGAAGCTGGGCCTCAGAGAGGTAGTGAGACTCACCCAAGCTGGCAGAGCGAGGACTGCCACCCAGGTCCTCCTGCCTACCTGGGATGAGGAGCTACCTCCTACCTCACCTCGAATCTCCCAACAGCCAGAGATGAACAAAAGCCAGGCAGACAGACAGAGACTGCATTGCCATTGCCAATGGCCTCAGCCTAGGCTGTGAGAGCTGCACCTGGCAGCATGCAGGCTGACACAGGGCACACCCACTTCGCCATCCCGAGTTCATTTTGTCCTCATGAAACTGTATGAGAGTTGGGCACAGTGGCTTACGCCTGTAATCCCAGCACTTTGGGCGGCCAAGGTGGGAGGTTTGCTTGAGCCCAGGAGCTCGAGACCATCCTAAGCATTTAGACACATGTTGTCTCTAAAAAAAAATTTTTTTTTTGATGAGCTGTAGTACCAGCTACTCAGGAGGCTGAGGTGAGAGGATTGCTTGAGCCCAGGAGTTCAAGGCTACAGTGAGCTATGATTGTGCCACTGCACTCCAGCCTGAGTGACAGAGCAAGACCCTCTTTAAAAAGAAAAAAAGGTCGGGTGCGGTGGCTCACGCCTGTAATCCCAGCACTTTGGGAGGCCAAGGTGGGCGGATTATGAGGTCAAGAGATTGAGACCATCCTGGCCAACATGGTGAAACCCGTCTCTACTAAAAATACAAAAATTAGCTGGGTGTGGTGGCGGGCGCCTATAATCCCAGCTACTCGGGAGGCTGAGGCAAGAGAATCGATTGAACCCAGGAGGCGGAGCTTGCAGTGAGCTGAGATCACGCCATTGCACTGCAGCCTGGTGACAGAGCAAGACTCTGTCTCAGAAAAAAAATGAAAAAAAACCTTCTATGAGGTGGTGCTATTATGTACCCTTTATACAGACAAGGAAACTGAGAAAGGGGGGTTGGAAATGACTTGCTCCATTTACATGGTGTACAAGAACTTCCAAAGAAGCTGCAGGTGACCCTCAGGGTAGACTGAGGGGATACAGGGTGGGTGACACCCTGGGCATCCCATGCTGGTCTTATCCATCCTCCTCTGAGATAGATATTTTTCCATCTTTCAACAAGTCTACCATGGCATTACTTATAATATGCACCGTGATTTTATCAACACCAAGAAAGAAAAAATGCTACTGATTAGAAATATAGCATACCAGCAATTGTAAGATATAGCCTAATTTCAGAGATGTGAAAATGAAAAACTGTGCATCTTAGAATCAATACAATATGGGCTGGACGCGGTGGCTCTTGCCTATAATCCCAGCGCTTTGGGAGGCCAAGGCAGGTGGATCACCTGAGGTCAGGAGTTCGAGACCAGTCTGGCCAACATGGTGAAACTCCATCTCTACTAAAAATACCAAAATTAGCCAGGCGTGGTGGTGTGCGCCTGTAATCCCAGCTACCCAGGAGGCTGAGGCAGAAGAATTGCTGGAACCTGGAAGGCAGAGGCTGCAAAGTGAGCCAAGATCGCACCACTGCACTCCAGGCTGGGTGACAGAGCGAGACGCCATCTCAAAAAAAAAAAAAAGTAAAAATAATCACTACGGTATGGTATACCCTCATTTTGCAGATGAAAACACCAAGGAAACAAGAATTAATGTTTCCTCTAAAGCTACATAGCTAATAAGCAGCAGAACCAGGATTCATATCTGGGTCCTTTTGACCCAAAGCCTGGCTCTCAACCTCCTGTAGCATAATTTGCAAAGTGATGCTGGACAGGTTGATCGCTGAACTGGGAATGGTGCCCCCTGGGAGTTGTGCAGTGAGCATCCTGAGCGACTGTAATTGTCAGTCCTATATATTTGTTCCTCTGAGTCCAGCTAAGGTGGTAGGGTTAGGATGGTGAAGGACATTCCAGGAGGACTGGGGGTATACCACAAGCTAAGGCACTACAGTAGGAACAGTCATGAGGTATATGGCTAGAAACCAGCCTGACTGTGGCAGAGCTGTGTTCACGCCACTCTCACTCAGAGAATGAGCAGGAACATCTTGATAAAGAGAGGCTACACCGGGCGCAGTGACTCATGCCTGTAATCTCAACACTTTGGGAGGCTGAGGCGGGCAGATCATGAGGTCAGGAGATCGAGACCTTCCTGGCTAATATGGTGAAACCCTGTCTCTACTAAAAATATAAAAACTTAGCTGGGCATGGTGGCACTGTAGTCCCAGTAGCTGTCGTCCCAGCTACTTGGGAGGCTGAGGCAGGAGAATTGCTTGAACCTGGGAGGCGGAGGTCGCAGTGAACCAAGATCACACCACTGCACTCCAGCCTGGGCAACGGAGCGAGACTCCGTCTCAAAAAAAAAAAAAGAGAGAGAGAGAGAGGCTGGGGGAACCACATTTCAGTTAGAGGAAACAGCAGAAACAAATTCTTGGTAAGAAATCTGGGGTCTGTCACAAGCTGGGTTCCCGGGGAAGCAGACTTAGATGGAGATGAGTTTGCAGGATGTTTATGGGGCGTGCTGTTAGGCTCACACCTGAGGATGGGAGGGGACAGAGGCAGGATTGGGCAGAGGGAGCGGTGCGGCTGCAGAGTCTCATTGAAGGTTCAGCTGACTCTGGGAGGGGCTCTCCAGTTGGGATGGCCCTTTGGAGTTGACCTGAACTAGGGCAACTGGACCAGGTCTCTGTACCACAGCTTTGGTCAGTTGTTGGATGAAGGCTGCCTCTGGAAGGAGGCATGACCTTGGTATGAGACCGTTTTCTTCTCTTGAGACAATCTCCAAAGAAGGCTAATAGCTGAGGGCTGTCTTCTGGCAGCGTTCCCAGAAGCCATGGGAATAAATCCTTCATTTCTGTCTCAGTCCATTTGTGCTGCTGGAACAAAAAACCTCAACCTCAGTAATTTATAAAAAAACAAAAATATACTTCTTATAGTTCTGGAGGCTGAGAAGTCCAAGATCAAGGTGCCAGCAGATTCAGTGTCTGGTGAGGGCTGCTCTCTACTTCCGAGACGGTGCCTTGAATGTTGCATCCTCCAGAGGGGACAAACACCTTGTCCTCACATGGCAGAAGGAATGAATGGGTGAACACACACCCTCAAGCCTTTTTATAAAGCACTAATCCCATCCACGCAGGCAGAGCCCTCATGGCCTAACCACCTCTCAAAGGCTTCTCCTCTTAGTACTGTTGCATTGGAGATTAAGTTTCAACATGAATTTTGGAGCGGACGTGAACATTCAAACCATAGCAATTCCTAAAGGGGTCCTGGGGAGCACATTACAATGTCTGTCACAAAAGCGGTGGATGGACTTGTAGCTAAAGGAGTGGACTTTGAAATCGAGGACAGTGATCTGGTTCAATTTCGGGTTTTACCTCTGACAAGCTCTATGACCTTGGGCAAGTTATCTAACCCATCCGAGTGTTGGTTCTTCTGCTACACAATGGGGAGAGTCATGCTTCTCAGGTGTGCTTGTACTTGGCAGGTGCCTGCACAAAGTAATTACCCAACACATAGCCCTTCCATTCATGCCTATCCTGTAGTCCTGAATGACATCACAATTTCTTCCAGGGTCCCTTCTCCTCCTTTGAACACCCCCATATCCTTGCCATCCCTCACCTATAAACCCATGCCTCCAGCTGGCTGTGATGTATCCCACAGAATATCCATCAGCTTGTCCATAGTCCACCAGAAGAATGGTGGCCTTGATCCCAAAAGCACTGGGGAGCCACTGAGGAGTTTTAAGAGAGTGACAAGATCAGATTTGCATTTAAATGATAACTCTGCCTGCAGTGTGGAGTTAGACTTGTAGAGAGAAAAGAGGGTGCAACCAGCACTTTGGGAGGACAAGGTGGGCAGATCACAAGGTCAGGAGATTGAGACCATCCTGGCCAACATGGTGAAACCCCGTCTCTACTAAAAATACAAAAAATTAGCCAGGCATGGTGGCGCGTGCCTGTAGTCCCAGCTACTCAGGAGGCTGAGGCAGAAGAATTGCTTGAACCCGGGAGGCGGAGGTTGCAGTGAGCTGAGATCGCACCACTGCGCTCCAGCCTAGTGACAGAGTGAGACTCCATCTAAAAAAAAAAAAAAGAGAAGAAAAAAAATGAAAAAGAGGATGCAAAAGGACCCAACAAGAGGCTCTTGGGAGAGACAGCACAGGAGTCCCCACCCTGTGTCTTCATTTAAGGTTTGAATTCCCAGGAGATGAAGTCTGATTGATTTATTTTGGGTAATAGTGCCTGCCCTGTTGGCCTGGGGATGTGGGTCTGTGATTGACAGCCCTCCAGGATTATGTGGAGTATGGAAGGTGCATTTCTCTGATGCAAACTATGCTAGGAAAACAAAAATAAGAAATGTTTCCAGGAGACCTGATGTCCTATCCTCAAGCCATTCCCATATTTCTTGGCTCACAGAACTCAGTTTGGATACAGGCAGCCATGTACTCATTGAATGGTGTTCCTTTGAGGGGAACTGTTTCAGGAAGCATTCCACTGCAATAGCAGAATGCCTGACTAAAGTGCTTAAATTATGACGCTTGTTAATTTCACATGCCAAGGAAGCTGGTGGTGAGAGGTATCTGGATTGGTGCAATGGTTCAGTGAGGTCACCCAGACTCAGGCCCTTCACTCTGACATCCACGGTGTGTGGGAAATATCTCCTTCCTGCTCTCAAAATAGCTGCTGAAACTCCAAGCTTCACATCCCAATGAAGAAAGGAGAGGAGAAAGTGTTCCTTCTAACGTCTCCTTTATCAAGAAAGAGAGTCTTTATTGGAGCCCCTAGCACACTTGCCCTTCAATGTCATTGACTGGATGAGGTCACACGCCTACCCCTAGACTGGTCACTAGCAAGGAGGAATGGAGTAGTCATAATAATTTGGATCACCCATCATTCATCCCTTGCAGCTGGGCACATGATTGCCTGGACAAAAAAGGACCTCATTCCCCCAACTTTCAGGAGTGTTGGCTGCATCAATGGCTGGTTCACACCTGGCCTCAATGGAAGACAACTCCAGAGACACCCATAGGATTGACTGAGGAGGCCTCTGTTGCCCAACCTGGCTTTCTCACTCTCGCAAATGTTCCTGAATGCATGCCCCAATAAACTTCCTGCATGCAAATCCCCACCTCAGAGTCCGCTTCCCTGGAACCGACCTAAGACAGCTTACAAATATGGAGCAAATATGCCTCTTCCACTCCCTGCCTCCGTGGGATACATCACAAATTGACCACAGAGCTCTTTCCTGCTGAACCTGGACAGAACCTCAGAATCCTTCTCAACACAGCACTCCAGACTGCCATTCATCACCTGAGATGAAACCACCCATCTACACCTTGGACCCAAAAGCAATATCAGAGGAAGGGATCTTCTAGCTCACTCCAATCTCCTTTGAATCCACCAAAAGAACAGAAACTTTACAAAGGACCTTGCAGATAGATGACCAAGTGATCTGTGACCAGGATTCCAGGATTTCCTCAAGTCCCTGAGGTTTTCCTCCCAGCCCTCAAACAAAGCTTGTACCCATCAGATGTTCTCTGTCACAGGCTAGTTAATGATCACATCATGCACTAGATGGCTGCTGCCCCACTGATGACAGTTGGGCCCCACTGAGCAATCTTAGGATATTCTGCATTCCCCTGTTGCTAAGACTTGTGTGGGGGAATTGGACTGGCTATTTGATGTGCCAGGACAGTTAAACAAAACCATCATCACCTCCATTTGCTTACAACTGTCTTTGTCTGGGCCATGGCTGAGTGGGACGAAACTCCCTTCATTTTTCCAGAGAGGCACTGTGCTTCTCTGAATGTCTCTGTTATTATTATTGATCTCCCTGGATTTCTTAATGGCTAGAAATACAGAATCCAATTTGATTAGGGGCTGATTTGAACTCCAAGGTAAGGCATGTCAATACGACAGCTGAGAATCAGCTTCCTCACAGCCTGGCTATCTCGGAGTAATTGAACCTCTGACATAGTAGCTCAGAACTCCAGTGAGCAAAGTGGAAGCTGCCTCACCCTCTATGACACAGCCTCAGAAGCTGTGCAGAGTCACTTCCACTGCATTCAAAGAATGTGTGTGCATGTTCCACAACTGTTCCACTTTCCCCTCCAGCCTCCACTTAGGATGGAGAAAGCTGGAAAGAGTATCACATCCACCCTCACAACGAGAAAAGGCCAGATAATCTACCGTTTTATATCTTTTATTTTTTATTTATTTATTTATTTTTCTGAGACAGGGTCTTGCTCTGTCGCCCAGGCTGGAGCGCAGTGGCGCAACCACAGCTCACTACAGCTTTGACCTCCCTGGGCTCAGGTGATCTCCCATCTCAGCCTCCTGAGTAGCTAGGACCACAGGTGCACACCACCATGCCTGGCTAATTTTTGTATTTTTTTTTTTTTGTAGAGGCGGGGCTTTGCCATGTTTCCCAGGCTCGTCTTGAACTCCTGGGCTAAGGCAAATCACCCACCTCTGCCTCCCAAATTGCTAGGATTACAGGCATGAGCCACCACACCTGGCCTTGGTTGTTGATTTCTTTGTCTCTTGACAATATGTTATTTTATCTTGTTTCTTTGTATGTCTTCTAATTTTCTGTTTACAGACAGACATCTTGCATGGGATGGTAGAGATGAGGTAAATGGTATTTATGACTGGAAATGGGCATGCCTTTTCTTTTGCTAGGCCTTAAGTGTAGGGGACAAGAATGGAGCTGGGTTTGGCCTTTGTTGTTACTGGCTTACCATCAGTGCACCGTGGGCTTCAAATTCTTCTAGCATTCCTTTGTGTTTAAGGTGGAACCAGGAGCGTTTTTTTCTTCAATGATCTTATTCCACCCTCAGCTCCAGACTTTGTCTACGATCCTGCACGTCAGAGATCCTGCATCTCTATGTCGCCTAGGCTGGTCTTGAACTCCTGGGCTCAAGTGATCTTCATGCCTCGACCTTCTGAGTAGCTGGGACTGCAGGCACGTGCCGCCATGCCTGGCTTCTCCATGTGCTCTTGATCCTTCTCCAGCAGCAGACTACTACTTGTTACTTGATACTTGCTAGCCTGGGGCTGGAAGGTGTGCGTGTATACTGCGTGGAGGTTGTTTGTTCTCTGCTGTCCTGGTACTGCTTCAGTCTTAGGCAGGCACTGTGTCCCTGGGTCTTGGGGGTGGGGCCTTCTCACCCTCGCCCCTTGCCCATCAGGATAGGAATTTTTCTTTTCCCTTCTCCCAGCTGCAATGGGCACTGAGGGTGACAGGATTTGCCAACCTTTCCCAGTGTCTTATGGCTCTTCTCCAGCAGTGGCTGCTGCTCCCCTCCCCTAGGCTTGCACCACAAGGCAGGCTTTCTCTCATCTCTCACTCTATCCCCAGTCTTTCTCATAGCACCCAACGCCATCCATGAAGATGAGCCTGTGAACAGGTGCAAATTCCCCGTGTGTCTGCTGCTCCCAGTGGATCCATATTTCTATCCCAGCCATACTCAGCCTTAGCAACTTATTAAAACTTTAGCTGAATTTTTACCAGTTGTTTGGCACCTGGTCTCCACGCCAGGAGAACCGCTTCAACTTGGGAAGCAGAGGGTGCAGTGAGCCAAGACCATGCCATTGCACTCCAGCCTGGAAAATAAGAGTGAAACTGTCAGAAAGAAAGAAAGAAAGAAAGAAAGAAAGAAAGAAAGAAAGAAAGAAAGAAAGAAAGAAAGAAAGAAGAAAGGAAGGAAGGAAGGAAGGAAGGAAGGAAGGAAGGAAGGAAGGAAGGAAAGAAAGAAAAAAAGAAAGAAAGAAAGAAGGAAAGAAAGAAAGAAAAAAGA
This sequence comes from Homo sapiens, assembly GCF_000001405.40. NCBI lineage: Eukaryota > Metazoa > Chordata > Mammalia > Primates > Hominidae > Homo > Homo sapiens. The sequence goes on along the minus strand of NC_000020.11, from coordinate 33,891,757 downwards.
AAGATAGAAGGAAGGAAGGAAGGAAAGAAAGAAAGAAGGAAGGAAGGAAAGAAGGAAGGAAGGAAGGAAAGAAAGAGAGAGAGAGAAAGAAGGGAGGGAGGGAGGGAGGAAGGGAGGAAAGGAAGGGAAGAAGGAAGGAAGGAAGGAAGGGAGAGAAAGAAAAAAGAAATCAACAACCAGACTCAGATATGGCCCAGATGTTGGGACTATCATATATGGACTTTTAAATAACTATGATTACTATCTTAAAGGCTCTAATGGAAAAAGTAGACAACATGCATGAACAAATGGGAAATTTCAGCAAAAAGGTGGAAACTAGAAGAAAATATCAAATGTAAATGCCAAAAATAGAAAGCACAGTATCAGCAATAAAGAATGTCTTAGATGGTCTGGGCTTGGCAGCTGTAATCCCAGCACTTTGGGAGACACCTGCAATCCTAGCTACTTGGGAGGCTGAGGCAGGAGGATCACTTGAGCCCAAGAGTTCAAGGCCAGCATAGGCAACACAACAAGACCCTGTCTCTGTAAAAATAAAAAAATAAAAACTTTACTAGACACGGTGGTATGCGCCTCAGTCTGGAGACTGAGGTAGGAGGATCACTTGAGCCCAGGAGTTAGAAGCTTCAGTAAGCTATGATTGCACCACTGCACTCCAGCCTTAGGTGACAGAGAAATACCTTATCTCTTAAAAAATAAAAATCTTAAATGAGCACATCAGTAGACTTAACACAGCCAAGGAAAGAATCAGAATCAGTGGACTTGAACATGGATCAGTTAAAAACTATCCAAACAGTGGGAGGTGGGGGAGACCAAAAACAGATGAGAGCATCTCAGAGCTATGAAAGAATGTCAAATATCAAATGAGCTAACATACATAACATAATTAGAATCTGAGAAGTAAAACAGAAAGAGAATAGGGCAGAAGAAATATTTGAAGAGATAATGGCTGGGAATTTTTTCAAAATTAATGATGGACACCAAACCACAGATCCAGAAAGTTCAGAAAACACTAAGCAAGACCAAAAAAGAAAAAGAAAACAAACAGACAAACAAACAAACCCTACAACCCTAGACACAATCATATTCAAACTACCGAAAACCAAAGATAAAGAGAAAATCTTGAAGGCAGCCAAAGAAAAAAGGCATATTACATTCAGAAGGGAAAAGATAAGAATTATAGCCAACTTCCCATCAGAAACTATGCAGAGCAAAAGAGAGTGGGGTGACTGCTTTACAGTGCTGAAAGCAAACAACTGTCAACCTAAAATTCTATACCCAGTGGAAATATCTCTCAAAAGTGAGGAAGAAGTGTGAGATTTCTTCAGTCAAACAAAATCAGGGCATTAATTACCAGTAGACCTGCACTATAAGATGTGTTAAAGGATGTTCTCCAGGCAGAAGGAATATGATGCCAGAAAGAAACTTGTATCTATGCAAAGAAATAAGAAATGCTAGAAATGGCATAAAAGAAGATAAATATAAATTTTGCTTTTTTCATATTTTTAGTTATTCTAAAATATATTTGACCATCTAAAGCAAAACAGTAGCAAAGTACTGTGTGTTTGTGGCAAATGTAAAAACAAAATGCATGGTAAGAGTAGCATAGTGGAAGAGAGAGAGGAATGGAGAGTATATTGTTGTAAGGTTCTTATACTACATATAAAGTGGTATGATATTATTTGAAGATAGACTCTGACAAATTAAATATGTATACTGTAAACCTTAGGACAACCACTAAAGCCACCACAGTCACTCTCTCAACAGATGTTTTCTTGAGTATATATAATGTACCAGGATCCAGGCCTGGTCCTGGGAAAATGGGACCTTCATGGAGCTCACAGAGCATCCAGTGGGTCCATGGAGACAAACACCTGTTACAAAGTTGGTACAGAGGAGGCACCAATAATTTGGGGGTAGCTTATCCCATACTTTTAGCCCTTCCTCCTTTCTGGAGTCTTCAGGTTATGGAGGATGCGCTGAAGTGCAGATGCCAAGGGTTGTTAAGTGCAATGTGACCCAGGGCAGAGGACAAAAGGACATTGAACTCCTTTCCAAGATAACCACCAAGATGGTGGTGGGGGGCACCTCAGGACTTATTAAGGGGCAGCCAGACCAGCTCTTCTACCTCCCCTGGGCCCCCTTTAAATAAGCAGGTGGGGAGTTGGGGGAGGTCTTTGGAGTTAAGTGTCCCAGCCTGAGGAGAAGGCAGGTGGCACTAAGACTTTTCCCTCCCCTGGGAAGGGAGAATGACTCTCACTTCCTCAATTCAAGCCAAATGTAGGGGGTTCCAAGTGAAATCTCAGAAAGCAGAGCTGCATTTAGGAGGGTCCAACACCTCATTCTCCAGTGGAGGGTCTGCCTAGGCTCCCCTGCTCTCATGCCTCTCTTTTTGGGGAGAAGAACTATGAATGAACTATGAAAAAATATGGGCAGGCAGAGAGGACACGTGGAATAGCCCACACCCCAGCCCCAGCAACTGGGTAGCAAGGGAGTGGGAGGTTTCCAGGAGCCAAGAGGGCATCATGGGAGGGAGACATCTTGCTGCTCTGCCAGCAAAGAGGGCTGCTGACCAGGCAAGGGGGCCCAGAGGAAAACAGGCAGGGAAGGGGAGCTACGGGAGAAAAAGAGGGCACACAGAGTCAGCTGTGGGAATGCAAGGAAAAGAGGCCTCCAAGGATCCCCCAAGGACCTGCACCCCATGCCAGAGCCACCATCCGGCCCTAATGACACAGAAATCCCTGATGGCCAGTCAGGGATGGCCTGAGAGATGGCATTGGCCACAAGAGGTGAGGGAGTCCCCAACAGGAAGCTATTAGGGGAGAGACCTTTTCCCTGTGCCCTCCCTCCTCCATGTTAACCCAGAGGAGAGGTGGGGCTTTCAACTGGGCCAGACTGGCCGGGACTCCCTCATGCTCCAGTGTGATCGGCAGTCCGTACAACCCATGAAGGGACAGGGAAGACAGAATATGGGTGACGGCAGCGATCGGAGAATAAAACTACCCAGGGAGCTCAGTCCAGCCAGTAAACCAGAGACACGGAGAACCAGAGCATCCACTTCAAGACCATTTTTCTTGTTGGCTTTGAAATCTCTTTATTCCCCATCTAGCTCTTTTTAAAGACACAGCTTCCCCAGGGACAAGAGAGATTTGCTATTATGGGTCGAATTGTTCTCTCCAATCCCCTCAAAAAAAAAAAGATATGGACCTCAGAATGTGATCTGATTTGAGAATGGTGTCCTTGCAAGTTTAATTAGTAATTAAAGATGAGGCTATCCTTGAGTAGAATGGGCCCCTAATCTGATAGAACTGCGTTCTTCTAAGGAGACAGCTATGTGAAGTCAGGGAGAATGCCCTGTGATGAGGAAGGCAGAGACTGGAGTTACGCACCCGCACACCAAGGAACGCTGAGGATTGCTGGGAAACCACCAGGAGCTAGGCAGAGGCAAGGAAGGATCCCCCTAGGAAGAGGCAAGAAAGATTTCAGAGGGAGCAGGCCCGGCCCTCACCTTGATTTCAGACTTTTGGCCTCCAGCACTAACAGAATACACTCCTGTAGCTGTAAGCCTTCCAGTTTGTGATACCTTCTTACAGCAAAGATTGTTCAAGGTCTGGCCTGAAAGAGAGGCAGCTGGCACAGCCCTGGAGGAGGAGCAGGATTCGGTGGGAACATCCTGATACAATTAGAAATAAGGAATAAGGACTAACATTTATTGCTCAAGAAATGTGCCTACTACATGCCAGGCCCCATTCGAAGCCCTGTACATGTATTAACTCAAGCAAGTAGGTACCATTATAACTCTATTTTACAGATAAAGAAAGGAAGGCATAGACAGGCGATGTGATTTGCCCAAAATCACACAGCTAGTAATTATCAGGGCAAGAATTTGAACCCAGGCTGTCTGGCTCCCAAGCTGAGGCTCTTAATCACCATATCATCTGCTTCAACAAAATAAGTGAGCAATCAGTGTTATACCTAGGGCCTCCATAAAATACTGGGGGACACTTTGGGAGGCTAAGGCAGGCAGATCACTTGAGGTCAGGAGTTTGAGACCAGACTTGCCAACATGGTGAAACTCCGTCTCTAATGAAAATGCAAAAATTAGCCAGGCGTGGTGGCGGGGGACCTGTAATCCCAGCTGCTCAGGAGGCTGAGGCAGGAGAATCACTTGAACCTGGGAGGCAGAGGTTGTAGTGAGCCAAGATCAAGCCACTTCATTCCAGCCTGGGCAACAGAGTGAGACTCCATCTCAAAAAAAAATACTGAGGGAGTATTGAATTGGTCTCTCCAATCCCGTGTGTGTGTACATAAATATATATATATATATATATATATATATATATATATATATATATATATATATAGAGAGAGAGAGAGAGAGAGAGAGAGAGAGAGAGAGAGAGAGACAGGGACTTACTCTGTCACTCAGGCTGGAGTGCTATGGTACAATCACAGATCACTGCAAACCAGACCTCCTGGGCTCAAGAAATCATCCCACCTCGGCCTCCCAAAATGCTGGGATACACCAGCCTGTGTTCTCATCGGTAAAATGGGAGTGAATAACCCACCACTTCACAGGGCATAATGTACTTGTCATGTGGCTGGCACAGAAGGAACTCGCTGATTGTTCTGACCCCCAGTGGGGGGCTGGGAAAACTCATATTCTGCCCACTGCCTTCCCTGTTCTCTGTGCCTGGTAGAGCTTATTCTGATTTCCATTTGCAAACAGATTCTTCTTCCCCATCTTCTGACCCCTCTGGGAGGCCTAGCATCCAAGCACACTCCTGACAGGAGCGCCAGGCGTGGGTTTCTGAGGGCAGCTCAGAGGCACAGCCAGCTTGAAACAGGCACAGTCATGCCATCCGCTGAGCCTGCAGGCTGTGTACATGGCCCTTGCCATGAAGTGGACATGGTCAGAGGCAAAGATGCAGGGCAGGATGCATGTGTGTGAGCGCCCAGCTATCCACGTACATGTCTGAGCACACATGTGGGTGCATTCACACATGTGCTTGTGAGCGTTGGGGGGATCTTCATATGACACTCTCTGCTTCATGGAATTGGCATTTGCTCATTCATCCTGTGAGTATTTATTGAGTGCCTACTATGTACCAGGCTCTGTTGTAGGAGCTGGGGCTACACCATGAGCAAGACAATTAAATGACTTGCCCTTGTACGGGGAGGCAGACAGTAAACAAGTCATGTCAGACAGTGCATTGGAAGAAATGCGCTGGAAGATGTAGAGTCAGCTTAGGCTGCATAACAAAGTACCACAGACTGGGTAGCTTAAATCAGTGGTCCCAACCTTTTTGGCACCAGGGACGGGTTTCGTGGAAGACAGTTTTTCCATGGATAGTGGGGGGGATGGTTTGGGGATGATTCATATTATATTTATTGTACACTTTATTTATATTATTACCACACTGTAATATACAACGAAATAATTATATGACTCACCATAATGTAGAATCAGTGGGAGCCCTGAGCTTGTGTTCCTTTTTTTTTTTTTTTTTTGAGACGAAGTCTCTCTCTGTCGCCCAGGCTGGAGTGCAATGGCGCGATCTTGGCTCACTGCAACCTCCGCCTCCTGGGTTCAAGCAATTCTCCTGCCTCACCCTCCTGAGTAGCTGGAATTACAAGCGCTCACCACCGTGCCCTGCTAATTTTTGTATTTTTAGTAGAGACAGGGTTTCACCATGTTGGTCAGGCTGGCCTCAAACTCCTCACCTCGTGATCCACCTGCCTCGGCCTCCCAAAGTGCTGGGATTACAGGCGTGAGCCACCAGGTCCAGCCTGAGCTTGTTTTCCTGCGACTAGATGGTCCCATCTGAGAGTCACGGGAGACAGTGACAGATCATCAGGCATTAGATTCTCATAAGGAGCATGCAACCTAGATCCCCCGCATGAACAGTTCACAACAGGGTTCACACTCCTGTGAGCATCTAATGCTGCCGCTGATCTGGCAGGAGGCAGAGCTCAGGCAGCCATTCGTGTGATGGGGAGCGGCTGTATATACAGACGAAGCTTCTCTCCCTCACCAGCCACTCACCTCCTGCTGTGTGCCAGGTTCCTAATAGGCCATGGACCAGTACTGGTCCATGGCCAGGGGATTGAGGACCCCTGGCTCAAATAACAGAAATTTATTTTCCCACAGTTCCAGAGGCAGCAAGTCCAAGACCAAGGCACCCGCAGGGTTTCCTTGGAGGCCTCCCTCCTCGGCTTTCCTCCCCATGTCCTCACACGGCCTTCCCTCTGTGCACCCTCATCCCTTGTGTTGCTTCCCCCTTTTAAAAAGGATACCAGGCCGGGCACAGTGGCTCACGCCTGTTATCCCAGCACTTTGGGAGGCCGAGATGGGTGGATCACGAGCTCAGGAGTTCAAGACCAGCCTGGCCAACATGGTGAAACCCTGTCTCTACCAAAAATACAAAAAAAAAATTAGCCGGGAGTGGTGGCACGTGCCTGTTAGTCCCAGCTACTCGGGAGACTGAGGCAGGAAAATTGCTTGAACCCCAGAGGCAGAGGTTGCAGTGAACCAAGATCGCATCACTGCACTCCAGCCTGGGAGACAGAGCAAGACTCTGTCTCAAAAACAAAACAAAACAAAACAAACAAACAAACAAACAAAAAGGACACCACTCAGATTGGATTAAGACCCAGCCCTACTGGCCTCATTTTAACTTATTCACCTCTTTAAAGACCTTATCTCCAAACACAGTGACATTCTGAGGTACTCGGGGTTAGGGCTTCAACCTATAAACTTTGGGAAGGACACAATTCATCCCATAACTGCTAAGAAAGTGGGGGTGTTTTTTTTTTTTTTTCAAAGATGGGATCTCACTATGTTGCCCAGGCTGGTCTTGAACTCCTGGCCTCAACTGATCTTCCTGCCTTGGGTTCCCAAAGTTGGCAGGGGTGAGTAGGATATTTTAGTCAAGGTGGTCAGGGAAGGCCTCTTGGAGGAAGTGTCATTTGAGCTGAGGTCTAATCAGGAGATCTGGGGAAAAGAGAGTCCAAGTAGAGGAAAGTATAAGAACAAAAGCCCTGAGGCAGGATCGAGTTTGAGGTCTCTGAGGAACAAGAAGGCCACACTGGCTGGACCTGAGGTTGGGGGTGATGGCAGGCAGGGACGGGGTCAGCAGGGCTTTGTAGGCCACGGGAAGGAGTTTGGATTTTATACAATCCTTCTCCTGCTTCACTAGAGGCCATGGGATGTGGTAAGAGGTGCTGGGACATAGTGATGAATCTGACTCATCTTCCCCATTGCCCCCCCACAGCTCTGACCCCTGCCCAGGTGCTCCCAGCCAGGCAGGCAGATAAGGAGAGGATTTAATCCACTGTGATCATTCCTGAGGCAGAGGAGGTAAGGGAGACCCTGAGGCCCAAAGTGCTAGCCCTGCCTGAACTAGTTAGGTTAGTGTCTCTGGCGGGGCTGCCAGACTCTTGATTTGAGATGAAGAAGCAGAAGCATATCCCAGGCAGAGAGACCTGTGTGGGCTAAAGCCTGGAGAAATGAAAGGGCTGCTGGTGAGCTCTGGTAGGTGGGAGATATGGGACAGGGCAGCAGCAGCACCTGCCACACAAACATCCACTACCTGGGAGCTGGCTAAGGAAATGATGGTCAAGCTGTACCAGAGAATGAAGCAGCCTTCTCTCTGCAGATACAAAAAGATCTCCAAGATGTATTAAGTGCAAAAATGAAAGTATAGAACCACGTTCCTGATAAGCTACCATTTGTATATAAAGCATGTGTGGGGGTGGTAAATATGACGACATATTTGTCCTATTTACATTTGCATAAAGAAACTGGAAGGATACACAAGGAACTAAGGCATGTGGCAGGTGATGGGGACTAGGCAGGTGAGGACGATGCAGGAGTTAGCCTTGTTTTACTGTGTGCCTTTTGAATTGTTTTTGTTTTTGTTTTTGTTTTGAGATGGAGTCTCACTCTGTCACCCAGGCTGGAGTGCAGTGGCATGTTGTCGGCTCACTTCAACCTCCACCTCCCAGATTCAAGTGATCCTGCTGCCTCAGCCTCCTGAGTAGCTGGAATTACAGGTGTGCACCATCACGCCCTGCTAAGTTTTATTTTTTTTAGTAGAGACAGGGTTTCACCATGTTGACCAGACTGGTCTCCTAACCTCAAGTGATCCACCCACCTTGGCGTCCCAAAGTGCTGGGATTATAGGCATGAGCCACCACACGCAGTCCTGAATGTAATTTTTGAAACCCATAATCATGAAACTCATTCTTAAAAATTGAAGAGCAAGAGTACAGAGGATGCGGCGCGGGAGCTGAGGTCACCAGGGCTGAGGTTGCTGTCATAGTATAAAAAGAGACATACTGCAACTGTGAGATTAACAAGAGCCATAGGACCCACTTAAGCATCTCACAGGCCGGACACCAGGTGTCACTTAGCAGTTGATACAGCCTGGCCCCAGGATTTCCAACCCTGGCCAGGGGATTTCCAGAAAACAAGACCACCTCAGCACAGATGCAACTTTCATAAACCTTGAAACAAAGCTTCCCCTTACAAGAATAGCTTAAACTTCTTTTTTGAAAGAAACACCTGGCGACTAACCTAGACTGAACCCAGGTCTAGGGAAGGGAGAAGGATCCCCCAAACTCTGAGGATGGTCTCTACACAGAGACCCTCCTGGTCAGCTGGTCCTCTGACCTCCTAAGTGTATCTGGCCCGTGTCATTGATGTCTGTCTCGTAACAGCACAGCCAAAATAAATCACTTGAGGCCGGGCACCATGGTTCATGCTTGTAACTCAGAACTTTGGGAGGCCAAGGGAGGAAGATGGGTTAAGGCCAGGAGTTCAAGACCAGCCTGGGCAACACAGCAAGATCCCATCTTTTTTTTTTTTAAGAAAAGGATAAACCGTTTGAGCATCAGGCAGTGTCTAAGACTCATCTTTGACACGAATCAAACCAAAGGAGAGAAATCGCTCGTGGGGAAGCTGGTCACCTAGGACCACCCGAACACAACAGCTGCTTATGATTTGGGCAGTAGGGAGCCATGGAAGGATTTAAAGGTAGGGAGGAGGTGTGTGACGTGATCAGACTTGTGAGCAGCCAGTGCGGAGAGTGGTTCACAGGGGGCAGCATGGAGGAGGCAGGTGTGACCATCCAGCTAGTGCCTGGCCTCTGATCTAGGGCAGAGACAAGGAGGTGGGGTGGGGAGCAGAGCGTTGGAGGGGGAAGGGACAGTAGAAGGCAGAGCTAACGAGGCTCCACTGCCAGGCAGGGATGCTAACCAGCTCCTTCCCCTCGGAAAAGAGGTGGATGTCAAATCTTGAGCCCCGCCCAGCCACACTGGCCCCTGATAAATCCCCTCTGGCCAGTCATTACTCTTCTCACGTGCAGCCCCCTAATTGCCCAGAGATGAAGTGTCTGAGGCTGCCCTCTTGCCATGGCAGACAAATGCCTGTTTGAGCAGAAGCCGGAGGGAACAGGACAGATGGGGTCCTGTTCAGCTTCCCTGCTCCCAGATCCCGGGCCTCGCTGCTCCTGTGGGCTTTGGGAAACCAACAAGGGTTTGTGTTTAATGAGGCTGCCTGCTCATCCATCACGCAAGGCCAGTGCCTTGACGACAGCAACCACCAAAGATGAGGGCCAGGCCAGGGTCCCTGAATCAGAGCAGGGTGAGGGTGGGGCAGGCTCAGTGCAATCGAATCCAGGCTGTGTAAATCACCACACCTCTCCAGGCTGTGATTTCCTCACCAAAATGGGGATCATGTTTTATGTGGCAGACATTGCATGTTAACAACTCTACACCCACTTGCTCTACTTCTTTAGGAGGAGAATCACATTTGTTTTCAGGATGGGGAGGAAAGGTACCACTGAAAAAACTCACTCTTCCCGCTTCCCTTGGAGCAGAGGCCACTATGTGGCAAGAGATAACACATAAGGCCGGGCGCGTTGGCTTGTGGCTGTAGTTTCAACACTTTTGTAGGCAGACGCAGGAGGATCGCTTGAGCTCAGGAGTTTGAGACCAGCCTGGGCAACATAGCGTGACCTGTCTCTACAAAAAAAAAAAAAAAAATTTCCGGGTGCGGTGGCTCATGCCTGTAATCTCAGCACTTTGGGAGGCCGAGGTCAGTAGATCACCTGAGGTCGGGAGTTCAAGACCAGCCTGACCAACATGGTGAAACCCTGTCTTTACTAAAAATACAAAATTAGCCGGGCGTGGTGGCACATACCTGTAATCCCAGCTACTCGGGAGGCTGAGGCAGGAGAATCGCTTGAACCCAAGAGGCAGAGGTTGCAGCAAGCTGAGATTTCACCATTGCACTCCAGCCTGGACAACAAGAGTGAAACTGTCTCAAAAAAAAAAAAAAAATTAAGTTAGCCAGGTGTGGTGGCACACACCTGTAGTCCCAGCTACTCAGGAGGCCGAGGTAGGAGGTTCACTTGAGCCTGGGAGGTTGAGGTTGCAGTGAGCTGTAATCACACCACTGCACTCCAGCCTGGGTGATGGAGTGAGACCCTGTCTCAAAACAAAGAAGCAAACAAAAGACAGAAGACATGGGGCATTTGGAGATGAGATGCCTGGAAGTGCAACAAGAGGGTTAAAGCCGCACCCCAAGGGTGCTAAAATGTGAAGATCAAAGGTGTCCAAGTCCCTGGCAGCTTCATGGAGCCACTAAGTCACCTGGGGCTGCCATATCCAGACTTCTGAATGGCACTGGGGTTTGAATGCCTCTGTGAGGACGAAAGACAAGGCTCCTGGCCCTGTGAGAGCCCTCCAGCTGAAACTAGGCTCCCTACATCAGGAAAAAGCTGGAAGTCAGCTGTTTCTTCTTGGGACTGGAAAAACTGCCCAATAACCTTGGGCTGCAGCCTAGAAGTGGGTGTCTTGCCCTGGGCCATAGAAAAAAAAAAGTCACCCAAGATAAACTGAAAAAACAAACAAAGCAAAAAGAAAGAGAGAAACTCAATAGGTGGGTTTGACAGTAGTCTGTCATATTCATTTACTGGCCCTGTCATAATAAAACAGTAGAGTGGCTTAAGCAACAGCAATCTATTAACTTTCAGTTCTGGAGGCTAGAAGTCCCAGATCAGGGTGCTGGTGTTTGGTTTTATCGGAGGTCTTGCTCTTTGGCTTGCAGACGGCCACCTCCTTGCTGTGTCCTCACATGGTCTCCCTTGCGCATGCTCATCCTTCCTGCCCCTTGGTGCATCCACATTTCCTCTTATAGGGACACCAGTCAGATTGCATTAGGGGCCACCCTGATAGCCTCATTTTAACTTAGTCACCTCTTCAAAGACCCTATCTCCAATATAATCACACTCAGAAGTATTGGGGGCTATAGAACACCTATCAGAGGTGTTCGCCCAGAATACAGCACAGAGAGAGATAAAGAAATGTGAAACATAAAGGGGAAGTTAAGATGGAGGATGAAATGAAATGATCCATTATATATCTAATAGGATGTACAACAGGAATAGGAATTCCAATAAGAGACAGTAAAGAGGATGTGGGAAAAGCAATAAAGGAAACTATAATAGGGGCCAGGCATGGCCCAGAACTTTGGGAGGCTGAGGCAGGCAGATCACTTGAGGTTAGGAGTTCGAGACCAGCCTGGCCAACATGATGAAACCCTGTCTTTACTAAAAAATACAAAAATTAGCCAGGTATGGTGGCGGGCACCTGTAATCCCCGCTACTCAGGAGGCTGAGACAGGAGGCGGAGGTTGCAGAGAGCTGAGATCACACCACTGCATTCCAACCTGGGTGACAGAGTGAGACTCTGTCTCAAAAAAATAAAATAAAATAAAATAAAATATAGTAAAATATAATATATAAGAATTTTTCAAATTGAAGAAAGCACTGTCTTCACAGAGAAAAGCCATAGTTCAGAGTGGGATAAAAATAAATCTAGGCTGAGTGCAGTGGCTCAAACATGTAATCTCAGCACTTTGGGAGGCCAAGGCAAGAGGATCACTTGAGTCCAGGAGTTCAAGACCAGCCTGGACAATATAGGGAGACTCTGTCTCTACAAATAATTTTAAAATTAGCTGGGTGTGGTGGCATGTGCCTGTGGTCCCAGCTACTTGGGAGGCTGAGGCAGGAGGATTACCCGAGTTCAGGAGGTCAAGGCTGCAGTGAACTATGATTATGCCACTGCGATCCAGTCTGGGTGACAGAGCCAGATCTTGTCTCAAAAATAAACAAATAAATAAAATCTACGCTTAGGCATGTCTAATTGCACTTGGACAACTTTAAGGGTAAAGAGAAAACTTTTGAAGCTGCCAGAAGGGTGGGAAAGACAGATTCCTTTCAAAGAAACAATTAGACTAAAAAATAGACTTCTAATTAGCAACAATAGGAGCCAGAAAGGAGTAGACTAATATCTCCAAACACAGTGAAAAAATACTTGTCAGCCTAGAATTCTATACCTAGCTAAACTGTCACTGAAGAGTGAGATCAAAACATATTTCCAGGTTGGGCGTGGTGGCTCATGCCTGTAATCCCAGCACTTTGGGAGGCTGAGGTGGGTGGATCACTTGAGGCCAGAAGTTCAAGACCAGCCTGGCCAACAAGTCGAGACCCTGTCTCTGCTAAAAATACAAAAATTAGCTGGGTGTGGTGGTGCACACCTATAGTCCCAGCTACTCAGGAGGCTGAGGCATGAAAATAGCTTGAACCCAGTGGGTGGAGGTTGTGCCACTGCCCTCCAGCCTGGACAATAGAGCAAGACTCTGTCTCAAAAAAAAAAAAAAAAATATATATATATATATATATTTCCAGATATACATGATTTAGAGTTTACTACCCACAGGCCCTCACCAAAAGATTAAAGGATGTGCTTCAACAAGAAGGAAAATGATTAAAGAGATAGAGAAGTGAATCCCATCTTGGTCATGTTATTTGAGTCTTTGATCAAGTTCAACCTGAAGATACTCCTGAACTTTTCAGTTTCAGGTGCCCACAAAGTCCCAATTCATTGAGGGACGGGGAATGAGTTATAATGTTCTCTCATTTTCAACCAAAAGAGCCCTGATTGACACCACAGCTTTCCCATAGATGCTAACTAAATCAGTAAGATCGGTTCCCCCAGCTTGTTGTTTGAAAGAGGTAAATAAATATGTGTTAAATAAATGAAACATGGTCCCTGTCTTTGTGAATCATGGAATCTCATAACTATTGATCAGGAGAGTTCTGAAGACATTGAATCTTGGACTCTGTCCCCACCTGTGACATCCTAGTTTATCTGGTCTTTGGACCAAGACCCAGCCCATCTAATGAGATTTCCTTCCTGTTTGTAATCCCCACACCACCACCAGCACCACCACCACCACCATCACACACACACACACACACACACACACACACACACACACACTCCTATTAAGCTCACTGTCCCTCCGGGGCCTGTGCCCACGACACCCTCACAACCCCTTCTCTGTTCCCTAGCGCCACCTTGAACACTTGCCAGGATACGGCTCCCAGCACTGCAGTGTGGTTGGTGAGCAACAGCAGAACACCCACGTGGCTTTTATTCCTCGAGCATCCCACTGACATGTGCCATGTAGTGTCAGATTTGGGGGTGACTTTAGGCAGGTGGAAGCAGACTGGGAAAATGAGGTGGCTGAACTTGATCTCTCCAAGGGTCTTACAGCCACAGTGAAGGGAGCCATCAAAGAGCTGGGTCTCCCAGTTCCCCACCTCAAATAGAGTCGGTCCCTCATGGTTTCTCTTATATATCTGGCTTTGATGTAAGATATTCCTTGGAGAAAGGGCTCTGTAACAAGTTTTGTTTTTGTTTTTGTTTTTTTGAGACACAGTCTCACTCTGTCACCCAGGCTGGAGTGCAGTGGTGCAATCATGGCTCACTGCAGCCTCGACCTCCCAGGCTCAAGTGATCATCAGACCTCAGCCTCCTGAGTAGCTGGGACTACAGGCACGCACCACCATACTAAGCTAATGTTATTTATTTATTTTTTTTTGAAGAGACAGGGTTTCACCATGTTGCCCAGACTGGTCTCAAATTCCTTAGCTCAAACAATCCGCCCACCTTAGCCTCCCAAAACTCTGGGATTACAGGCATAAGTCATGGTGCCTGGCCTATAACAAGTTTTAAAGATAAATTTGGAGCTGGCTATGGTGGCACACAACTGTAGTCCCAGCTACTTGGGAGGCTGAGGCAGGAGGATTATTTGAGAACAGGAGTTCCAGGCTGCAGTGAGCTATGATCAAACCACTGTGCTCCAGCCTGGTCAACAAGCAAGACCCCATCTCTCTTTTTTTTTTTTTTTAGACGGAATTTTGCTCTGTCCCCCAGGCTGGAGTGCAGTGATGCAAACTCGGCTCACTGCAAGCTCCACCTCCCGGGTTCACGCCATTCTCCTGCCTCAGCCTCCCAAGTAGCTGGGACTACAAGGCGCCCGCCACCATGCCCGGCTAATGTTTGTATTTTTAGTAGAGACGGGGTTTCACCGTGTTGGCCAGGATGGTCTCGATCTCCTGACCTTGTGATTCACCCACCTCGGCCTCCCGAAGTGCTGGGATTACAGGCGTGAGCCACCGCGCCAGGCTGCGAGACCCCAACTCTTAAAAAAAAAAAAAAGTTTTGAAAACACCCAGAGTAGATGAAATCTTAAGATCCCATGCAATTCAGTGCTCCACGATCCCTCTGAAAGTGTAGAGACCAGAGAGTGATGGCAGAGACCTTGGGCATCCCAGAGGCCCACCGCTCCCCGTGGAAGACATCTTAGGAAGATGTCTTCTGCCCGCCCTGCTCCAGACAGATTCACCCCGCACCTTTGCAAGGGAAGAAGTCAGTGTAGCGTCCCGCTGCCCTCCTCACTGGGCTCCATGGGAGTATTCGGGCCCAGGCTTGGTGAGATGACCTGGAATAGCTCATCGTGCCTGGGAGCCCCCATTTCCCCTAATGGGCTCATCAGCACAGGCTCCAGCACCATGTATCCTGTTGGCTGAATCAGGCAGTCAGTTTCCAGAGCCCTGAGCTCAGCAGTGGGTGGGGGCTGCGAATTAGGACTCTAACCCAGAGGAGGTTGATGGACTCGTCGCCGTTTGTAAGCCGGAGCACAGGGTGTTTGGTCCGTCCAGCGCCCCCACAACTGCCACTCTTGCGGTCAGACAGACGTCTTCTGGGAGGCAAGTCCAGTTGGCCCCTCGGTGAGAGCGCAGGAGAAGCAGGCAGGCCCGTCCCTGGGAGACCGCCAGAGAAAGCCTGCAGGCATTGAAAGTCCCCAACTCGGCCGGGCGCGGTGGCTCACTGCACCCGCGGTGGTGATCCCAGCACTTTGGGAGGCCGAGGCAGGCGGATCACGAGGTCAGGAGATCAAAACCATCCTGGCCAACACGGTGAAACCCCGTCTCTAATTAAAAAAAGTACAAAAAATTAGCCAGGCGTGGTGGCGGGCGCCTGCAGTCCCAGCTACTAGGGAGGCTGAGGCAGAAGAATGGCCTGAACCCGGGAGGCGGAGCTTGCAGTGAGCCAATATCGCGCCACTGCACTCCAGCTTGGGCAACAGAGTGAGACTCTGTCTCAAAAAAAAGAAAAAAAGAAGTCCCCACCTCAAAGGCATAGCCCAAGGGCAAGTGGGCAGGGCCCTGGCAGTGTCCACCCAGTGGTGCACAAATGAGGTGGTGGCCTCCAGGACAAGAGGAAACAGGGCCTCCCACTGTCAGGATCCCCTCTCCTTCTCTTCCTTCTTTCCTCTGTGTATTAGTGAGGGTTCTCCAGAGAAACAAAATCAATAGAAGACACGGAAAGGAGACAGCTAGATTTCTCTTAAGGAATTGGCTCACACAGTTGTGGGGGTTTGCAAGTCTGAAATTGGAAGGGCAGGCCCCGGGCTGGAAACTCACGCAGGATTTTATTCTGCAATCTTGAGGCAGAATTTCTTCTCTGGGGAAGCTGATTTGCTCTTGAGGCCTTCAACTGATTGGATGAGGCCCACCTACATTACCAGGGATGATCTCCTTTACTTTGAGTCAATTGATTGTAGATGTTAAGCACAGCTACAGAACACCTGCACAGCAACACCGAGATTTGCATTTAATTGAGTTATAGCCTCGCCAGGCTGATGAGATTTGAGCCTCACACTCTGCTTCTCTTCATGTCCCTAGCCCTCCTGTCTTTGCACAGAAAGGCTTCTCCATGGGGTGAGCGTGGGGGGCATGGTGACCAGTAGCTCTGGGCTCCTGTCTTTCTGACTACATGACCAGAGAGGAAGGGATTCCTCTTCCCTGTCTCCAGTTTAAAAATTCCCAGCAAGGATGGACCCAGGAGTCTGGGTATGAAATGAGATGATGGCATCGTCTGGATCCTAAAGCGGGCGAGGGGGTAGTGGGGAGCGGCCAGGGACGATTCCCCCAGAAGAGAGGAGGAACACACACTCTTGAAAGGAGGAAGTGCCAGTGGCGAAGCAGGACCTGCCCCCACAGGTCTCCTCCTGCAGGCAGGTGAGGCTGCGCCCAGCCTTCCCCTAAATCTCTGCCTGCACCTGCCAGCCTAGACCCAGCTCCTCCCGGCCCCACCACAACCCCATCAAGGAACATGAAGAAGCCTGAAGCCTTCTCACTTCCTTTTTTTTTTGTAGACAGGGTCTCACTCTGTCACCCAGGCTGTAGTGCAGTGGCACAATTATAACTCACTGCAGCCTTGACTCCTGGGCTCAAGCAATCCTCCCACCTCAGCCTCCCAAGTTGTTAGGACTACAGGGGTGCACTACCATGCCCAGTTAATTATTTTTTTATTTTGTAGGCCAGGCACAGTGGCTCACACCTGTAATTCCAGCCCTTTGGGAGGGCTAGGTGGGTGGATCAACCTGAGCTCAGGAGTTCAAGATCAGCCTGGGCAACATGGCGAAACCCCATCTCTACAAAAAATAGAAAAAATTAGCCAGATGTGGTGGTGCATACCTGTGGTCCCTGCTACTTGAGAGGCTGAGGTGGGAGGATCACTTGAGCCTGGGAGGTGGAGATTGCAGTGAGCTGAGATCATGTCACTGCACTCCAGCCTGGATGACAGAGTGAGGCCCTGTCTCAAAAAAAAAAAAAAAAAAATTAGAGTAGGATCTCACTATGTTGCCCAGGCTGGTCTATGAACTCCTAGCCTCAAGTGATCCTCCTGTCTCAGCCTCCCAGAGCACTGGAATTATAGGCATAAGTCACCATGCCCGGCATTTTCCCGCCTCTTAAACACATTCCCCCATCATCGTTGTTTCCAGGGTATCTACTATGGCCTAGATGCTTGACACCCATTTCTCCTTTAATCAATGTCTCCTTAGTCAACAACCCTGGGAGCTTTTACAGAGGAGAAACCCAGAGAGGGGAAGGGACTTGCTCAAAGTCCCTCAGCTATTAAGCTGAGGATCCAAGACTTCGACTCAGAGACACAGAGGAGGAATTTCACACGTCTGTATGAAGCCAAAGCCCAGGACAGAAACTTCTCGCAGAAGCATGCTACTTCTCGCAAACAGCCTTTCTGGAAAAGCAATGAAGATTCGGGGTTTTTTATGATTTGGGCCAGACCTTGGCCCCCCTGGTTGGCTCAGAGGCGAGGCCTGGCTGTGGGGAAGGTATTTGAGAGTGAAGGTGTTTGTGTCCTTCCTCTGCCACGTCCTGGGCTTCCAGCTGCCAGCCACAGCTCTGACAGCAGACTTGCCTAAACCCCCTCATCTAATTAAAAAATAAAATCAAAGAAAGAAAACTTTTTATTACACTCTTCTAATGGTAGAAAATAGTTTCAGGCATAAAAAGGCGCTCAGCTGGCTACTTCCCAGGCATCAAAAATTAACAGCCACTACATTTTATTCCGAGGAATTAATGGAAAATTTTACATGGTGGTGTAAAATGCAGGGGACAAGATGAAGGACATGACTCTTCGTTGAACAGCTCAGTCCCTCGCTTGCAGCAAAGACACTGCTTTGGCCGCCTGCTCTGAGCAGGAACCATGGGTTCACAGGGGGCCAAGTGTGTTATGTGGGGGATGGAGGGGAGAGGTGGGGGGAATTGGCTGCAGCCTCTAGGGAAGCTTCTGAACCTCCCATCTGCACACACCTCTGAACCCTGGCCCCGTCAAGTTGTCATCTTTCCTGCAAGATCCCTTCACCCTGAATGATTGCTGATGGTCAAAACTTCAGACTCAGGGGCAGTAGGCCTGGGTTCTAGCCCTGGTTATGCCTCAGTCTCTCCATCTGTCAAATGGTCACTAGAACTCCAGGATCCTGAATCTCTGAATCCTATGTAAAATAAACTTGGTCTGTATCTTCTCCTAAAAATAGGAGCAAGAGCCTGGGCTTTGAAGCTGGGCAGACCTGGGTTTGAATCCAAGCTCGGCCACTCATCAGTTCCATGGCCTTAGGAGAGTCACCTCTCTGATCCTCAGTCGCCAACTCTGTAAAATGAGGACAATAGGACACCCCTCTGAGGAGGGCTGTGTGATGTAGATAACAGTTTGTCCCACCTTCTCTAGCTCCAGGGGCCCTCAAGTGAACTCCCAGCAACACAGGCCCAAGCTCCTTTTCTCCTTTTCTTGTTTCCACAAAAGAGTTTATCCTGAAACATGCCAGTGAGCAGTGAACACTACAGATGCCTACTGGGGCTAGTGGAGGGGAGGGTTTACATCACTCACTTGACAGCAAACCCCTGACAAGCCCTTTGGACCATGCTGGAAAGAGAAATCAGTTACTCCCTGGGGAGTGGGATGGAGTGGGCAGGGAGCAGAGGGAACTTTTCAGAACATAATGTGAGCATATTTGGGAAAGGCAATGTGCAATTCACTGTTATGTCTGTGCTTTTCCTTTTTTTTCTTTTTTTTTTTTTTGAGACGGAGTCTCGCTCTGTCGCCCAGGCTGGAGTGCAGTGGCATGATCTCGGCTCACTGCAAACTCCGCTTCCCAGGTTCACGCCATTCTCCTGCCCAGCCTCCCGATTAGCTGGGACTACAGGCGCCCCCCACCACGCCCGGCTAATTTTTTGTATTTTTAGTAGAGATGCAGTTTCAGCGTGTTAGCCAAGATGGTCTCGATCTCCTCACCTCGTGATCTGCCTGACTCGGCCTCCCAAAGTGCTGGGATTACAGGCGTGAGCCACCCCGCCCGGCCATCTGTGCTTTTTCTTTAAAATGTTCCTGAATCCAAATTTTAAGTTTCTAAATATATTTATTTTTAAATAATTATTTACATGTTTAATCATATTGGCAATTAAGTTATGCAAGGAGCTGTAAGCTCAGGGTGAAGTCCCCCTCCTCCTCGGCTTCTGTCCACTCCACGGCCTCAGGCGCCCCCTTGCCAGCTGTGTCCTTGCTCCTTCTCCAGCCTGGACCTTTCTCCAGACCACAGGGCCTCCTGGGCATCTCCCCCAATGCCCCACGTCCCACTCGGAGGGTCCAACATTGAGCATAGTGCTCCCCACCCCCACCCCCAACTCCTCCTCTGTGTCTCCACCAGCCACCCAGTCGTGAGCCAGGGTACTGGGCGCCATCCCCGCCACCCCCCTACTCCAATAACCACCCCCATGGATTCCACCTCTAGGACCTCAGTTGAGTCTGTCACCTACTCTCCACATCTGTCGCGCCAACCCTAGTTACCATCTCTTGGCTTACCGCCCCATGCCTGGAGCTTGGGCTCAGCCGGCAGCCTCACTGTTTGAGAGCCCCGCACGCCAGGCTATGTCCTGCTGCGGTACCTCTGCTCACACCACGCCCTCTCCCTGGCCTGCCCTTCCCTCTCTTTATTTCTCCACCTCGTGTGCCCTACCTCATCTCAACCTCACACTTAACTCATTTCTAGACACTCTGTACATCACCTTCTAGCCTGGTTCAAGCAATCAACTGCCTTCGAAAACACGTGATGAGCACCTGATGTCTGCTGGGGACACAGCGCTGAGTCCCTGCCCTCAGGGAGTGCCCAGTCTAATGAAAAAGACAGACACAGACAACTAAAATCCTGTTTTGATGATGCCGGGGTGAAGGGTGCTTACAGGACTGGATAGAAGAACCCCCGACACAGCTGGGGGATCAAGAACAGCTTCCTGGGGGAGGTGGGGTTTCGGTCAGGCCTCATAGGCGGAGGACGTATTCAGCCCACACAGTTGGCAGAGGGCACAGCATTGGTAAAGGCCTGGGGTCACCTAAACAGCCTCAAGAAATCTCCTCCCGGAGGCTCCTTTGCCATAAACCTAGGCTGGGAGCATTTCCAATTCCTTGGAGCACTGCCCAGAGGAAAACTCTCTATGAGGATGAAGATTTATTTATTTGGTTGTAAACTGAAAGCCAGACCAACGCAGGGCATAAAGAGGAGGGACGATAAAGAGCTGGCAAAGGATGGCGCCCTGCAGCCCGGGGACCCTGAGCCCGCTCTCCCCTCTGCCGAGGACAGCGCCCTGCAACCTGGGGACCCTGAGCCGGCCCTCCCCTCTGCCGAGGACAGTATCCTGCAGCCGGGGGACCCTGAGCCGACCTTCCCCTCAGCTCAGTGCTCCTCCAACAAAGGTCCCGTCACAAACACGTAGCAAGCGCCTGCTGTTTACCAGCCCTGTGCCAGGCGCCGGGGATATAGCAGCGAACGAGACAAAGCCCCTGCTATCAACCAGAGATGGACGTGGACCTGGCAGTGACAGGCCAGGGCTGTGCTGAGGCAGCAGGAACCCTGGGGCCTCGAGAACCCAGAGGCAGCCCCTGGCCTGGCCTGGCAGGTGTAGAGGAGCAAGAGAGGGTAGACAGAGACAGCGTCCAGGAGCCAAGGCCAAGTGAGGGAAGAGGGTGTGCAGGATGCCCCCCAGCTGTGCCCTGGGGCCTCTGTGTCCTCAGGGGCCCTGACATGAGACCACCACCATGGCCCTGCTTCTCCCACCCCTCAACTCGCACCCCACGCAGCCACCCCAGACCTCCTGCTGCACCCCCGTCTTTTTTTTTTTTTTTTTTTTGAGACAGAGTCTCGCTTTGTCACCCAGGCTGGAGTGTAGTGGCGCCATCTCAGCTCACTGCAACCTCTGCCTCCCGGGTTCAAGTGATTCTCTTGCCTCAGCCTCCCAAGTAGCTGGGATTACAGGCTCTTGCCACCATGCCAAGCTAGTTTTTGTATTTTCAGTAGAGACGGGATTTTACCCTGTTGGCCAGTCTGGCCTCGAATGCCTGACCTCAGGTGATTGGCCCACCTCAGCCTCCCAAAGTGCTGGGATTACAGGCGTGAGGCACCACACCCAGCCTCCTGCTTCCCCTTAAGTCCTTGCCCTGGCAAACAGTCCCAGCCAGCCTTGTTCTCTGGGGTCGACTTGGCCACAGCCTCCTCCATGCATCCCCTCTCTGCCCACCAATACCTAGTCCAATCTCACGGAGGTCCCAGGGCAGAGGCTGGGCCACTGTCTAAGCAGACACAGACCTTCTAATGTGGCCCGAGATGCCTGTCTGCCCATCTAGTGGACGCCTCCCCATCTCTGCAAGGGGTCCCTTTAGAGATCCCCTCTCCTCTCCCACAGGGAGGGGACAATAACTGACCCCCTCCAAGGGAGGGGACAATAACTGACCCCCTCCAAGGGATGACAACTTATGATCCAATAATTCCCCTCTCTCCATCTCTTGTCAGTTTCCTGCTTATGGAGCAGAATGAGGTGAGGAGCCAGGGGAGCCAGGGGACGCTGGGGATAACCAAACTGGCTGGACTGTATAAGCCCAGAAGGGTGTGTCTGGCCTCAGTTTTAACTGTGCTCTTTAGAATGTGGGGGACTTGGCCAAGTGCGGTGGCTCACCCCTATAATCCCAGCACTTTAGGAGGCAGGTAAATCACTTGAGGTCAGGAGTTCGAGACCAGCCTGGCCAACATGGTGAAACCCTGCGGCTACTAAAAAAAAAAAAAAAAAAAAAAAAAAATTAGCCAGGCATGGTGGCACACACCTGTAATCCCAGCTACTCGGGAGGCTGAGGCAGGAGAATCACTTGAATCTGGGAGACGGAGGTTGCAGTGAGCCGAGATGGTGCCACTGCACTCCAGCCTGAATGACAGAGCGAGACTCTGTCTCAAAAATAAAATAAAAAAATAACGTGGGGTACTTGATGCCTTTGTCTGTAGCTTGGCCTCAGGCACCATTTCTGGGGCAACAGAAAACTTCATTCCATGCCTCATCCTGGTATGCATGCAAAAATGTTCATTGCCCCATTATCTGCAACCATGAAAAACTGGAAACGACCCTCAGGCCTAACAGTAGGGGAGGGTTATAAACTTTGCAAGAGCAGGAACAACATCTGCCTTGTTCATTGTTAGGTCTGCAGTGCCCAGCGTGGTGCCCTGCACACAGTAGGTGCTCAGGAAACATCTGTGGAAGGAAGAGAATAAAGGAGGGAGGAAGGAAAGGAGGGGGAAAAAAGGAAGAAGAAACTTTGAAAGTTCTTCCGGAATCCCAGAAAGCAAACCCTTCCCTGCTTCCGCCGCACTGGAGAAGATGCACCTTTTGGGGGGCTGTGACTGTTCATTTTTAAAACTTCCATCCAATGCCCCCAAAACTTAATTCCATTTTGAGTGTTTTTCTTTTTTCATTTTCATCCTCCACTGTTTTTTTAACGCTCACTGTTGAATTTCTCGTTTGGAGAGGCTGATTGAATTGTGGCTCAGGGGACTTGAGACAGTCACTTCAGACATTTAGAGTTCCAATCACGCTGTCGCCACCCCAGTCCCCCACCCTTGGCACCAGGGAAACTATCTCTTATGAGAGCTGATTATCTTTACAGCCTAGAACATCACACTCTAAAACACAGGCTGTGCAAATCAGAATTCTCCGTGACTAATGTACATCCAGTGAAAATATCAAAATGCCCATTTAACAGGAGAGGGCTGATTGGAAAAGCCCACCTGATCTGCTGGTGAAGTTCCGTGGCTGATGTCATTTGAGAGTCACCGGGTCCAGGCCTGGGGAAGGCTGTGAGATCACCTGTCTGGGGGCTACTCTGTCTCATCCCTCAGGGCCCAGTCAGTGCCCACGGTCCTCCCTCCAGAGAGAGTGGCAGGCAGGGGAGGCCAGCGGACGGGGAGGCAGGCACATCAAGTGAGCACCTACTGTGTGCTGGGCACTGTGCCAGGAAGGACCTCATGCAGTCTGAGAACAACCTTGCCAGGTGAGATTTATTTATCACCCTTTTGCAGAGGGAGCTTCCTATGGGATCTCAAAGGATAAAGAGGAGTTAGTCGGGGGAAGTGGAGAGGCCTGGAAAGGCATTCCATGAAGAGGAGACGTCATTGCAAAGGCAAGAGGCAATAAAATAGAACACAAGCAGTCTGGTGTTGCTGAAGCTTAAAGTGCCAGCAGGGAGAGGGAAGGACAAGGCTGGAGAGGTGGACAGGGAAGGAGCAGGGAGACACAACTAGAAGCCTGGAGAAGCTGGAGCGGGCTGTCACTGTCATTCAGGAGAGAGATGACGGAGGCTGTAGAGATGTGTGCTGGAGGCAAAGCCAGCAGGACTGGGTGACTGATTCAATGCCCACGGAGGCTGAGGGGTGGTGAGGACCCAAGGATGACACCCAGATTCCATCTCCAGAGCTGATGGCGGGGCTGCCTCTGATTCGGGGACTCAAGGGAGGCACTGATGGAGGAAAGATGCTGCTTTGCTTCGTGGACATGCTGGGTTCATTGTGCTCACAAGACATGAGCCCAGGATGACAGGGTCTGACTCATAGTGGGTCTAGACCCAAAATCGAGGCACAGATGTTGGTCATGAGCTTGACAATGATCCCTACAGCCACAGATCAGAGGGGTGCACATGGAGCGTGGGGGAGGCTGCAGATGAGCACCCTGATCATTCATCCTGCACACAAGTTCCATTTGGCCTGCAATGTTTCAAAAATCTTTGAGCCAATGTTTAAAAATCAAGCACACTCTCTTAAAAATACAAATCTCTGGTTTTTCTTAGAAACTCAGAAGACCTGGCAACAGAGGCTGGAAATTTCTCAAAGCAACCATCACCGAGGATTGGCTGTCCCTTAGACAGGGGCACGCACTCTCCTGTTCACCACAGCCCCACCCTTGTCTATTGGCTCCCAGAACCACAGGCTAAGTAGTTCTTGTTGGCGATCATGGCACTTGTAATGATTCTTTGTCCCATATCTCTATCAGATGCTGAGAAACAGAGTAGTCTCAGAGAGTCAGAGCCACGTGTTTAGGTAAAATAGGAGAGCATGTATGTTTGCAGAGGCCAAGACAATTCCTTTACCTTTGCCACACACAATGAGTCTGCATCAAAGGCCTAGCCCAGGCCAGACCTTCTTCTCTCATTCACGTGACCTACTGGTGTCCCCTGGTCTAGAAAGAGAAGAGAAGACACACGGGGAAGAGAAAGAGATCAAAGAAAGAGGATGATGTGGGAAATTGCCAGGGAAGAGACTCTCAGAGATGTCCAAGACTGCCTGGAAGTCAAATTGGGTAAGGTAGGATCTGTCCCAGGCAAGTGCACACAAGGCCACACCTGCATCCACACACAAAGAAGAATTGCACACACATGCACACAAACACGCATGTGCACACGCATGCACCAGGACATCTCTAGGCCCTCTTACACTCATGTGTACACACAGAGGCACATGTGTGTACACACAGAGAGCAGACCCAATAAAGGGTATGCACACGCATAGGCAGGCAAACTCCCACATGTAGGTGCACGGTCACATACGCTCAGGCACAAAGACATACGTGTCTGCACAGACACGGGCATACCCCTGTGCACAAAGCCACCCGAGCCTGTGCCCTCCCAGGGAACTGCGATCCCACCTCACAAAGCTCTGCCAGTTCTAAACCAGCAACTTGTAACTAAATAAATATGATAAACAACTCCCCTCCAGATGGCTCCGCACACACCCCCACTCCTCTTGCTTAGAGGGATGGCACATTCTATGCCAATAAATCCTCCTGTTTGAAAACATTTGCCTTCTTAATTGGCCCGTTTATGGGTAAAATATGTTTCTGGGTAGTGCTCTGCCAGAATGGGATGCAGAGATGCAGGGCTGGCGGTGTGTGCTGCCGCCCTGCCCTGGAGGGGTCCGGCTTGGCCCACCCCCAGAGACAAGGCCCAAAGCTGGGGGGAAGGGGTCTCAGCATGGCCAGGGCAAGCTCTTCCGTGATCTTTTCCTCCCTGTGCCTCCATGTCTCTTTCTTAGGGTTCACATTTGTTGAGCTTACTGTATGCGGCACTCTCCAAGGTCCTTAGAGGAATCCGCTGGCCCTCACTTGCCTTTCTCTGGTAGGGAGCCTGTGAGGTGAGGCTGACTGTCATAGCTCCCAAAGATATGTCAACATCCAAATCCCTGGAAGCTGTGAATATGACCTTATTTAGGAAAAGAGTCTTTGCAGATATAATTAAGTTAGGGATCTTAAGATGGTATCATCCTGGATTACCCTAGTGGGCCCTAAATCCAATGGCAAATGTCCTTATAAGAGGCAGGAGAAGACACACAGAGGAGACCTGAAGACAGAGCAGAGATCAGAGGCCACAAGCCCAGAAAGGCCAGGGATCGCTGCATCTTTTCCAGAGAAGGCAGGGCAGGGCTCTCCCCCGGAGCGTCTGCAGGAGCGTGGCCCTTCTGACACCTTGATACGAGACTGCTTGTGAGCGAATGTGTGTCTTGTTTTCAGCCACTGAGTTCATGGTCATTTGTCACAGCAACCCCAGGAGACTGATCCACCCCCTCGCGTATGGGAGGTGCCCTGACCGCACACAGCCAGGCTCAAATCCATCCTCTGCTGCCTCACGGGCTCTGCAGGAGACCCATGCTGGAGGTGGGGAAACTGAGGTCCAGAGAGGGTCTAGGCACCAGCCGGTGGCCAGGCAAGGACTAGAACGCAGCACCTTGGCCCTCCTCATGCGGCACCCACCCTTGGAGTTTTTACATCAGGAGCAGGGAGGGGAGGATGCCCAGCCCAGGACAGCCCCAAGCAGAGGGTCCCCTCAGGGTCCAACTCTGAGATGCACTGAGGAAGGACAGGAAAGAGACCTCCTTGGGGATTCCATTTTCTTTCATTCTAAGATGGGCCCAAGGTGGGTAAAGCGTGAGGACCCCTCATAGCCACCCCAGCGAGTGTTCAGATGTGCCGTGTGCCAAGACAACCTCTCCTTCACCTGCCCCCACCCGGGCAGGTGGGTACTGACATCTCTGCTTCCCTTGCTCAGGCAGGAGAGTGAGGCTGGTGAGACCCCCACATAGCTGGGTCACCAGACTGGTCAGCGACAGAGCCGGGATTCTAGCTCAGGCCCCTCTGCTTCCAATGCCACCTGCTATGCTGCCTCCCAGGTAAGAGCCAGGAGCGCGTCCCAGGGTCAGAGGATGCAGCCAGGCCACCAGAAGCAGCATGAGGTCCTGGTTCCTCTTTCTCCCCTCATCCATAAAGTACTGGTCTCTAGCTCGGCTGCCCATTGTGGGCCAGGGTGGGTCAGAAGTTTGAATCATCCGCTGTGTGGCCTTGGTCAAGTCCTCTCCCTCTGTGAGCCTCCATTTTCTCATCTGTACAATGGGGAATATGATAACAGCCATTCCTAAGAGTTGTCGTGAGGACCCATGGAAATAAAACCCAGGTAGCCCTTGGCAACATGCTGGCACCCAGCAGGCGCTCAATAAATGCTGGTGGGTGTTCAAGCGAGGTTAGAGCTCAGTGAGAGGGAGCACCTCGCCCCTGGCCACGGAAGGTCATTTGACCAAAGTGGAGGGGAGTGGGGGAGCCTGGCTGTGCTGGGGGCGGGGGGCACTGCAGCCCTGCCCCTGTGCTCACCATCAGCACCCCTCCCCAAAGGACACCAAATCCTCTGCCCATGGCTCAGCCCAGCCGCTGTTCTCAGAGCCAAGCGATGGCCGAGTGATCCGCAGGTACAGGGAGAAGGGGAGACAGGAGCATAATCCACATGTACAACCAACGTGACAGCTAAAGTTCTCAGTCCGGCTAATACGAACAGAAACCAGATCGTCAATGTCAGCCAGGAGGGGTCGGCTAAGGTTAAATGCAGGAAGAACAAAGGAAAGTGGCAATGTTGGTGCCGCCAAACCAGGTTCTGCAGAGGCAGTGACTGCATGGCCTCCGGAGTCAGGCGTCTGGTCCCTCCCATTGCAGGCAAAGCAGCGGCCCTTTTCTGTTTCATGTCGTGGGCTTCCCTGTAAGATCTCATTTGATGAAATGAGTCTGTTGCCAGAAAACATTTGGAACAGCCCTATCCTGATCCAATTGTCCTTTTCATCAATTAATTCATTTTGTTCAATTTAGCACATCCTGAGTATCTACTAAGTGCAGGCCTGCAGCGGTACTGAGCACAGGACTACACTGCTGATGGTATAAAGGGAGAGATCATACAAGGAAATGTAGTTTCTACAGGGAAGAGAGCCAGGCAGGAACACATGTGTGCGGAGCTATAAGGATATGTAACTGGGGAGCCCAGTGTCTCAGAACCAGGCCAGGCAGAGGAGCCTTGCCCTTGCTCTCAAGGACAAGCGGCAGGTGTAGGAGTGACAAGATCCAGCCCAGAGCAACCCCTGGTTGCTGAGTGGAGAATGGTTTGTAGGAGGCCAGGGAGACAGCAGGAAGGCCAGTGAGGAGGTCCTGGCAGGCAAGCCATCCTGGTGGCCTGGAACAGAGCCAGGGCAGGTTTCATGGGTGTGCAACCTGAGCAACCACACAGGGCCCTCACTCAGAAGGGCCACACACTTGGTTTAACAGTCTATTGTTGCTGTCTTGAAGTTCTGAATAATTTTTGAAAAAGGGGCCCTGTATCTTCACTTTGCACTGGGCCCCTCAGTGATGTAGCCCATCCTGACCAAAGCAAAGCCGGGATCTTTCTGAAACAAGCAGAGTCCTAAACAGACCTTCTCACTGTTGTGCTGGAGGCGGCTTCTACCAGGTCCGGGACGCTGTGGTTCAATTTCTTTTCTCCACATATTCCAGGGACCACAGGAATGGCTGAATGTTAAGAAATGTTTTGTCATGTTGGTAGCTTGAAGCTGGCCACGGTAAGAGAATTTACATGGAAATCAGCAAAGATTACAAATCAGGGTCTTTTTTTCTGAAGTCATTTCTTCATCAGCGCTTCCCCAAGTGCATCCAAGGTCCTCCTTGGCAGTATGACAAAAACATGGCTTCTGGGCACCCCTCCCCAGGCCTTGCTGGGCACTGGACAAGGTGAGGCTCAACTCCATGAGATCCCCTCAGCCCCCTGAGGCCACACTGGGCCCACAAACCTCACAGAAGGAGGAGGCAGAGAAAATTGGTGGAGTGGGGTTGGAAAAGGAAATTTGCCTAAGGTATGGGGGTGGGGAGCTCACCAGGGAAGTAGAGGGCAGTGGTTTAGGGTCTGTGCTCTTGGAGAACCAGCTCCAGGGCAACAAGTGAAGTCCCCAGCCTGGGACCCACTCCCACCCTCCCACGAGCGGGTTGCCTTCCCGCTAAGCCAGATGCAGGGCTGGGGGTGGGGGACACACAGGTATCCATGTCCACAGAGCTGTCCTGCTTTGCTGGACTCCTGGGGGCAGCAGAGGGACCTGGAACAGGAAGACCGCCTAGAAGATGAGCTAGCAGCCCACAACTGCAGCTCCCCACCCCCGCACGGCAGAGTGGGCCTCCATACATAGTGACTATTGCTGTGATTGTTGTTACAATGGCCCCACCTCCTGGCTGGCTTGGCCCCCTTCTCCTACACCCTAGACTCGCGGCCTCCAGACTCTGGCAGGAGCTAGGACACAGCCCTCTCCCTATCCATGGGGGTGTCCCTGTGGGCAGGCGGGGGACGAAGGAGTGAGGGGGTCAGTAGGGGGAGTGGGAAGCATGGAGAGAGGGGAAAGCAAGGGAGGGCAAGGGAGCAGCGCCCGATGCTAAGCAGACACCCCTCCCCGCCCCACTCCACCGCCTCCTCTAGGCCCCTCCCTGCGCCAGGCGCAGACCACCCGGGAGGAGCCCACGGTCTCCCCGTGGTTCGACGGGAGCGGGGCCCCACAGCCTGGGACATGGCGCCACCTGCAGGCCCCTGGGCGCGCTGCCGCGTCGGCCCCTCAAACCCGGGAGGAGGGATGGGGAGGACCCACACGCTCTAGGGACCCCCGCACAGCGTTTCCCAAAAGATATTCGGCGGAACCCACACCCTGGTCAGGTAGTTTGGGAGATGTCCCTTGGAGATTCCCAATGTACATTTGCCCCTGAAGTCTGGCTTGAGTGAACGCTTCCATTCCTTAAATAAACACAAGCCAGCCGGGCGCGGTGGCTCGGGCCTGTAATCCCAGCACTTTGGGAGGCCGAGGTGAGCGGATCACGACGTCAGGAGATCGAGATCGAGACCGAGGCCATCCTGGCTAACACGGTGAAACCCCGTCTCTACTAAAAAAATACAAAAAATTAGCCGGGCGTGGTGGCGGGCGCCTGTGGTCCCAGCTACTCGGGAGGCTGAGGCGGGAGAATGGAATGAACCCGGGAGGCGGAGCTTGCAGTGAGCAGAGATCGCGCCACTGCACTCCAGCCTGGGCGACAGAGCGAGACTCCGTCTCAAAAAAAATTAAAAAAATAAAAAAATCCTTAAACTCTTTAGGAATACAGAAAGAAAACATTGAAATTTTTTATTATAATTATTTCTATCCTAGGCTTTTAAAACTTCAAGGAGTTGTGTATTATTACACAATATATTAGTACAGTGGTACATTTATATAATTTATTAATAAATAAATATGGTATATACTCACAAATATTCTTTTGATAGGGGTTCAGAGACCAGATGAGTTCATTCAATACCTGGCATATACTAAATGCTCTGTGTTAGCTATCATAGCAGACTTTAGCTCCCAAAGACAGCCCCAGTAATATCTCCTGTCCCCCAAGCTCTTTTAGAACTAGCCATGTCCCCATCAAGAGGTGGAGCCTAATTCCTCTCCCTTAGAATCCCGGGTGGGTTTGCAACTCACTGATAACCAGTAAAATGCAGTGAAGTGATTCTGCATGACTTCTAAGTCTAGGTCACAAAAGATGACGCACCTTCCCCCTTGCTAGCTGGGACAATCACTTTTAGAGCCCTGAGCTCTGGCTACACTGAAGTCTCCACGCCATAAGAAGCCCAAGTCACATGGAGAGGTCTCAGGTTCCTGCTGACAGCCCCAGGGCACGTCCCAGTCAACAACCAGCATCAACTACCACACGTAGCACACCACTGACTGGAGAGGTCCCCAGATAATTCCAGCCTCCAGCCATGGAGGTCATTTCAGTCTTCAGGTCTCCCAGGTGCGGTCCCGGTTATCACGGAGCAGAGGCAAATCATTCCACTGGCCCTTTCCAAATTTCTGACCACAGAATCTGTGAGCTTAATAACATAGTTGCGCCGAGTGTGGGTGCTCACGCCTGTAATCCCAACACTTTGGGAGGCCGAGGCAGGCAGATCACCTGAAATCAGGAGTTTAAGACCAGCCTGGTCAACATGACAAAACTCCGTCTCTACTTAAAATACAAAAATTAGCCCGGTGTGGTGGCACGCACCTGTAATCCCAGCTACTCTGGAGGCTGAGGCATGAGAATCACTTGAACCCAGGAGGCGGAGGTTGCAGTGAGCTGAGATTGTGCCATTGCACTCCAGCCTGGGAGACAAAGTGAAACTCTATCTCAGAAAATAAAATAAAATAAAATAAAATAAAATAAAATAGTTGCTTTTCACAACTAAGTTTCAGGGGCGGGTTTCTTGCAGCAATGGAGAAGCGAAACAGCAATGAGTATGTACCCTGATGTCTGTCCACGCTTTGTATGAGGGAACCAAGTGTCCCTACATAGGCGCCCAAGCTGAGGAGGGAGATAAGGAATTTTCCTACCAAACAAGGAGCTTTGTGAGAGCGGGCATAGAAGTACTCAAAAAATTCTTTGGGTATTTATTTTGTTCACTTGTTTTGTTTTGTTTTTCTGAGACAAGGTCTTGCTCTGTCACCCAGGCTGGAGTGCAGTGCCATGATCCTGCCGCACTGCAGCCTCAACCTCCTGGGCTCAAGCAACCCTCCTGCCTCAGCCTCCTGAGTAGCCAGGACCACAAGCACGACCACCACACTTGGCTAATTTTTTATTTCTTGTAGAGACAGGATTTTGCTATGTTGCCTAAGATGGTCTCGAACTCTTGGGCCCAAGCCATCCTCCTAGCTCAGCCTTCCAAAGTGCTGGGATTACAGGCGTGACCCACCAGGCCCAACCAAAATACATTTGTTTGGCTGGGCACAGTGGCTCACGCTGTAATCCCAGCACTTTGGAAGGCCAAGGTGGGTGGATCACCTGAGGTCAGGAGTTTGAGACCAGCCTGGCCAACATGGTGAAACCCCCATCTCTACTAAAACTACAAAAAAAATTTAGCTGGGCGTGGTGGTGCACACCTGTAATCCCAGCTACTTGGGAGGCTGAGGCAGGAGAATCACTTGAACCCGGGAGGCGGAGGTTGTAGTGAGCCAAGATTGCGCCACTGCACTCCAGCCTGGGCAACAGAGCGAGACTCCATCTCAAAAAAAAAAAGAAAATTGTTGAATGAATGGCTTTCATAGAATAAGTAATTCATTTGCTTCTTTACTTTGTCAGACAATCAGTGAGATTGTCTGGGTGAAAACAGACAGGTCCTCAGGGTGGGAAGGGAGACCCAGCCCCAGAGGGGATCCCCTCATCAGCCCCTTGTGGAAAAGACAGGAGCCCCAACTCTTCTGCATGGCTGACCCTGCCGCTCCATTCCAGGTGACCCTGGGTGATCCCAGGTCCTGTTGCCTGTGGCCTTTTCACTGTCAGTAGGAAGTGGCCATGGGAGAGAGCTGGCCTCTAAAATCCCAGGGTTTGGTCACATTCAGGGTCAACACCTTCTAAGGGAGTCAGGGATGCATCTCTGTGACCCGGCTCCTCCCCCACCACAGCAGCAGGGAAGGCCTGGGGAGGAGGTATGTGTGTGACTGGATTCTTGTGACTCCACAACTGTGGCTTTGGACAAATCACTTTATCTCTCTGAGCCTGGGCTTTCTCTGCTGCAAAATGGGGTAACGAATGGTTCTGCCCTGAAATAGTTCTTGTGTGGGTTCAGTGAGAAGGTACAGATTGTCTGTTCTTCGTGTATGTTCCCTAAATGTTTCTACTCTGAAGGGGGATCCTTCTCCTCTGCTTCTCCCTCAGAGCTACTCTGCGGGAATTTGGACCAGTTTAGCCAGTGCCTCATGGAAATCTAGCCTGGGATTGGTGCAGAGTCTCAGCTGCAAGACCCAAAGTCTTGCGTGTCTAACCCAGCTCCACCTGGCTCCTCTGCGGTCTGGGCAAGGCCAGCATACAGCTGAGCAGGAAGGAAGGAAGCAGTTTCTGAGACGGGGTGCCCAGGCCAGACCGGAAGAGACATGGATGGGGAGACAGGGGAGCTGGGTTCATGAATTTGCTCTGCTGGTACTTGGCTGTGACACTTGGAAGCACCTTGGCGCCTCGGCCTCCTCATCTGTAATTTCATTTCGTAAATGTTTACTGCAGGTCTGGTGACTGTGTGTCATGGTTCATCTGGAGTTCACAAGCAGGCCAAGGGTGGCTCCAGGCCTTTCTTGCACAGGCATTGAACGCGACCCTCCGACCTCTCTATTGTTACATCTTTTCCCCTGCTGAGACCTCATCAGCCTCCGATCTTGGCTGAGATATCATGTCCTCCCACAAACCCTCCTGAGCCAGGAACCCTCTTCCCAGTGGGACTCACTACAGAGAGGACCCAGCCTGTGGTGATGATGATGAAGAAGTGGATGGCTACGGCCTTTCTAATTTTCCCACCAAACTGTGAGCTTCCAGACAGCTGGCATAGAAGTACCCAAAACATGTTTGTAGAATGAATGAATGGCCTTCACAAGCTAAGGAACCCATGGCTTCTTCACTGTCACTGATTAGCAGTGGGCCCTGGAGCTTCTCTGAGCCTTGGGCTTCACATCCAGCACATGGGGCTCACGAGACCTGTGCTTCCTGTGTCTGCCCCACTGAGCTCTCTCCACCCTGCTGCGGGCTTATAGGCCCCCAGCTCACAGCTAGAGTGGGTTGAATAATGTCCCCCAAAATTCACACCCACCCGAACCCTCAGAATGGGACCTTATTTGGAAATGGAGTCTTTGCAGATGTAACTAAGGTGAGGATCACAATGAGATCATATTAGATTAGAGTGAGCTCCAAATGCAATGACAGGCATCCTTGTAAGAGACAGAAAAGGACACAGAGAAGGCCATGTGGAGGTGGAGGCAGAGTTTGGGACGATGCAGCAGCCAGCCAAGGAGCACCCAAGAATGCTGGGAGCTACCAGAAGCCACAAGGGCCAAAGAGGATCCTCCTCCACCAGACGCTCTGCTGATACCTAGATTTTGGACTTCTGATCCCTTGAACTGTGAGAAAATACATTTGCTGTTTTAACTGAAGTTGGTGTGTCCACATTACAGGCTGCTGAGGTGGCCTGGCCACACACCTGCCTGGTGTCGTCCCTACTTGGAGCAGTGAGGTTTGACTCCACAGGATCACAGCTGCTGCAAAGCTGTCTTCACATCACTGAGGGAAATGGAAGGCAACCTTAGAAGTTTCATCTCTATCCTCTCCTGGCCCCAAATTATTGCCTGAGAACCTAATTTCCTTTCTCCCTTTCTTCCTGTTTTCTGTCCCTTCTTTCCTTCCTCCTTCCCTTTCCTCCCGTCCTTTCCTGCCTGCCTGCAATTGCCTTAGTCTCATGCCCTCCATCCCATCTAGCTCCAGCCTCCCTCTTCAGTTCTACCTCCCACCCACTCCAAGCAAGCCCCTTCCCCCAGCCAACTCCTCCCAAGGCAGCCCCTGGCCTCCCTGCCGTGTCTCCCTCAGCAGGTTCCCTTGGTCTATGGTGCTCCGCCTCACAGGCATACGTGGAAAATCTGCTCCTTCACGTGCAAGCTCAGATCCCACCTCCTCCTGGCACACCCTGGCGACAGTACTTCCCTCTGACTTTCCACCACACCGGTGTTCACATAAATGTCTTCGTACCTGATCTGTGCCAGGTGGACCTAGGGGCCAGGAAGTACAGTGACCTCGCCATCTGGTAAGGGAGTGGGAAATGATGAAGAGACAGCGTTGACAGGTGGGCAGCAGAGGAGGAAGCAGCAGCTTTTGCAGGACAGGGAGGGCTGTGTCCAGGAGGGAAGGGCCACAGGGACAGAGCACATGCTCCAAGAGACAGGGAAGTCTGGGTAACAGGATTTGGGGTTCAAAGGGAAATGAAAATGGGGGCCAGGTCATGAGGTCAAGTTAGCCATTCTGAGGACTTGATCCTGTCGACGTTGAGTGTTCTGAGTGTGGGCTCCAGCCCACCTACATCAGAATTACCTCAGGAGTTTGTGAAAATGCAATTTTTTTTTGAGACAGAGTCTCACTCTGTTGCCCAGGCTGGAGTACAGTGGTGCAATCTCAGCTCACTGCAACCCCTGCTTCCCGGGTTCAAGCAATCCTCCTGCCTCAGCCTCCCGAGTAGCTGGGATTACAGGCATGTGCCCCCACGCCCGGCTAATTTTTGTATTTTCAGTAGAGACGAGGTTTCACCATGTTGGCCAGGGTGGTCTCCAACTCCTGGCCTCAAGCGATCCACCTGCCTCAGCCTCCCAAAGTGCTAGGATTACAGGTGTGAGCCATCGCACACCCAGCAGTGAAAATGCAATTCTTGAGTCTCCACCCAGCTCGGGATTTTTCACAAGCTCCTTGGATAATGGTGACGCACCTTTAGTCTGCCCAGAACAGGAGAGGATGGAGGCAGACTGAGGGATTCGAAAGGACCAAGTGTCACGATCAGATCCACTTTTTGGAAGAAACTGGTAGCACCAACTACATACGTGTCTTATGTTCTTGGTTCTGCCTCCATGGTGCACACTGTCGGTGCCACCTACTCAGCAACTATCCCTCCTTCTTCCTTGTTAACAGAAGCCCAATTCTATTCAGCATCAAGTAAGTGGACATTAATATATTCAGGGAAGGGAGGCTCCACCCCTAGCCCTACAGGAGAGCCCTATTTGTCCCTTTTGTCCCGTACAAACATTCCAGACTCCCTTGCAGCAAGAAGTGGCAATGTGACAGTTATGGTCCATGAGGCATAAGGGACAAGTTGTAAGATGACTCTGGGGAAACCTGGCCTGTTAACATGGGCTCAGGTGAAGGAAAAGCTGGCGGGTGCTGGGCCTGCTGCTTCTTGACACTGCGCATGTGAGGAAGGGCCATCTCACAACCAAGAGACAGCAAGACTTCCAGCCAGGTGTGGTGGCTCACTCCTATAAACCCAGCACCTTGGGAGGCTGAGGTGGGAGCATCGCTTGAGCCCAGGAGTCCAAGATCAGCCTAGGCAACATCGTGAGACTCCCTCTCTACAGAAAATTTAAAAATTAGCTGGGAGTAGCGGCGTGTGCCAGCTACTCAGGAGGCTGAGGTGGGAGGATTGCTTGAGCCCAGAAGTTTGAGGCTGCAGTAAGCCATGATTACAGCACTGTACCCAAGCCTGGGTGACAAAGTGAGACCCTGTCTCAAAAAAAAAAAAAAGAAAAGAAAAAGCCTCTATGTGTGCAGGGTGCCAGAGCAGAAGGATGCAAAGAACCTGGTTCTTGAGGACATGGTTCAGCCACTACCCCAAATCCAGAACCACCCCCTCGCCCCACCACCAAGATTTCTTGTCCTGAGATTGTTAGACTGTAACCACCTTGAGGGCAGGGACTCTGATACCTGTACTCCTGGCACCTTGAACAGTACTTAGCACACAGTAGGTGCTCAATAAATATCTGTTGACTAAGTTTTCATAAATAAGTAAATGTCTCCATTGCTTATACCAGTGGGTTGAGGCTTCTGTTGCTTGTAGCCAAGGAATCCTGACTCAGTAACTTCTCTCTCTGGCCCCAAGAACCTCCTGAGAACAGGAGAGGGGCTGGGTATTACTGAACACTGTACTCCACAGGCCCTGGCACAAGACCCACACTCGGTAGAAATAAGCAGCTCTTGCTCAGAGGAGTCACAGACCCTGCCCTGGACCTGGCTTCTGGGTTCACCAGAGCTGGAGGGTTGAGTCTGCAAGTTCCCCTCACACAGACCTAGGGCAAGACGCCCTGTAACAGCTGATGAGAGGAGCTTAAGAAAGTCCACTGGGGGCCGGGCGCGGTGGCTCACGCCTGTAATCCCAGCACTTTGGGAGGCCGAGGTGGGCGGATCATGAGGTCAGGAGATCGAGACCATCCTGACTAACATAGTGAAACCCTATCTCTATTAAAAATAGAAAAAATTAGCCAGGCATGGTGGTGGGCGCCTGTTGTCCCAGCTACTCAGGAGGCTGAGGCAGAAGAATGGCGTGAATCCGGGAGGAGAGCTTTCAGTGAGCCGAGATCGCGCCACTGCACTCCAGCCTGGGCGACAGAGCAAGACTCCATCTCCAAAAAAAAAAAAGAAAGTCCACTAGGTCTCCCACACCAGCGATACCCAGAGGCCACACCAGCTGCAGGCTGAGCGGGTGGAAGCTGGCAGCAAGCACTGCCACTAGATTTGTCTTGAGGTGAAAGAACTTCTGAGACTAGCCAGATCCAACCTCCACACAAGTCAGGAATTTTTAAGCCACTGTCTTCAAGTCCCTCCCAGTTCTAAGTGTGGCAGCCCTGGGATGCCGCAATGAGGGATGAGGGACAGGGCATGAGCCGCTCAACACAGACAGGACCTCAGGACTGATCTGTTCCCATCCCCTTGCTTTCCAGGTGAGAACAGGAGCCCCAGGGAGGGTAGGCAACTTGCCCCAGGGCGCCCAGTGAGCAATGATGGTGTCTCATTTTGAACTCAGGTTGGTTTTACTTTAAAAGGTTTGGGAGTGAGCACAGGGGGACAGGGGTGTCCTCTCAATACTGCAAATTTGCATGCAAAATTAAGGATAAATATGTAGAGATCCACCTTTCTGAAGAGGGTCCACAGCATGCATCACACTCTCAAGGGGATACAAGACCAAAGAAAAGGGGACAGAGTGGAAGGGGCTGGGCCAGAGTCATATGTTGAGTCTCAGCAGTCCTGAGGTGACCTCTGTGTCCTAGATTCTCAGTCAGTGCCCTACACTTCCTCCCCATGGGAAAGGCCATTTCTTCAATGTTCCTGATGAGCCTTGTCTGATGGGAGCACCATGGCTTCCAACAGTAAGGCTCCTGCTGGCACTGCCCATGGACACTGGCAGAGAAGAAATAGGGAAGACCCTGAAGTACCCAAGAACCAACTCACCCTGAACTGTACCCAGAGAGTCCCCAGGCAAGGTGAGGGCCAATCTAGGACTTGAACAGACTTCTGGTGAGACAAGCTCTGCTCTTTGGTTCAAACTGTTGACACATGTCATGGTTAAGTCTTCCATGTTTCCAGACTCCACTGTACACCTTGCTGGTCTGGAAAGGGTCAGCTCCCGAGGCAAATGATAGATTAAACACAACAGCAAAGTATGAAAATTAATCGAGATATTTAATAGACAGTGCAAACCATAATTTCATCTGAATATAAATGTATGCACGTTTCCAATGAGTTATCTATCAGTTATCACAAACAGCAACAAGGACCTTATAGCTATGTTAGAAAACTGTATAGTTGGAACTTAATTCTAACAATCTCACTTGCTCTCAAGAGAACACCATCCATTTCAAATCAATGTCACAAACTCCAGAAGACCAGGGGAGCAAGGGGGTGAGGAGTGGGCCAGAGTGGTAAACACAGGGCCAATACACAGGTGATGGACAGAAACACAGCTCTGGAGGAAATCAAAATCAGATGCATTATTACAGCTAAGGGCAAGGAAAAGCCTATGGCTTTTGAAAAATGACTTTTCTGCCAGTACCGTACAAGTACACAAAGAGATGTGCGGCAAGTCAACTGACTTACAAGGACAGAGGCTACATTTCAGGTCATTTCAACTGCAACCAGTCGACCCTTTCCATTGAGGATTCAGCAGTGGAGTCAGCGTAGTCCAGAAGCTCAATGTTGGATTTGCAAATACAGTTTATTTTACAGAAATTCAACATTATAAACAGCAGGCACTTCCCACCCCGCCCGCCCCCCTCCCCCCGCCCATCTCCCAGGTGCAGACCATGCTATGCAGAGAGTGAGCAGCAACGCGGCCCTACTGCTTTGGAGTGAGAGTCGAAAGCGATGGAACCTGCCTGCACCACATCCTGCCTGCCCCACACACGCACACGCCTGCTCGCTGCGCAGGCCACCACAGTCTGTCTGGGCCCAGCCAGCGCTGGACCCCATTACATGGATCCAGCCCAGTTCTCCAATTCCTTCATGTCGTCGTCCTCCTCTTCTTTCTTCTTGGCTGTGTGAAGACAGAAAAGGCTATTTAGGATGACTGGTGCGTTCAACATGTTCTGGCCGGAAATGAGGGCTGCCTGTGCTCCATGGTGTCTGTCAAACAGCCCTGCCCTGTGGCCAGACTCCTCTCCAGGCTGTAGGGAGACTGCTCCTTGGTGCCTAAAAGCTGCAACATACAACTCTGGAAAACCAAGCACAGTTTGGCAGCACCCACCCTCCGCCTCCAGCAGGCCCAGACAAAACAAGGATTCTACACAGAGGCCCTCAGGATTCCCACAAGGCTTCGGTCCCAGAGCCTGCAAGGTGGGAGGAGAGTGGGAAGAACCCCAGAAGAGATCTAATCCTTGCCAACCCCCAACTCCACCTCAAGTGGCTTGACTCATGGCCACACAGCTCCAGGAGGCTTGCTGGACGGCCTCTGCCTACACAGGACTCTAGGCAGCTGACTCTACTTGAGGAGGCCGTTCCCTCTTTATACATGGGAGAGGGAGGTGACCACAGCTGGTCATGCACTGCCCCCAGGGTTCTCTCTCATGCCACATCAAATTGCCTCGCTTTTTCTAGAAGTTCTGTGTGGATTACTTCTACCTGGGGGTGAAATATTGTGCGAGGGGATGGGGGAAGGGAAGAAATGAAGGGAGGAAATGAAGGTTTTATAGAATCAGGTCTCTAAAGGAGTCAAAGCTGTTTCCTTCCCCCAGGGGCTGTCTCTAGGGGCCGGGGCTTTTGCAGGGTGCGCAGCACAGGATACTAGAGGGGCAGGGAAAGAGCTGTCCTGGACTCACGCTCTCACACCTTCTCACAGTGCCTGGAACTTTCTCTTCTTTAGTGAAATAGGAAAATCATTCTAGAAAAGAGGCTCTCAACTGGGGGTGATCCTCCCAACCCCTACCAAGGGACATTTGGCCATGTCTGAAGACATTTTTGGTTGACATAACTCATGGCGGTTGCTACTGGCATCTAGCAGAGGCCAGGGATGGTGCTGAACATCCACAGTGCACCGGACAACCCCGCCCCCACCCTCCATCTCTCGGCCCAGAGAGGTATCTGGCCATGTCCACAGCGTCAAGATTAAGAAACACTGTTCCAGAGAGAAACCAGAAAAAGCCAGGTGACATGGCCTCTGTGGCCACTACAATGGATCCTGTCTGGTTCTCAATCTTGGGCAAGCTCAGGACACAGACCAAAGCCAACCGACCACAAACCAAAGCCAACCGACCACAAACCAAAGCCAACCGACCACAAGATCACCTGCCACATGACCTCACGGTGTGCCATGACTCTAGAAGCACTCACCGGGTTTTGATGGTAGGGCTATAGAGGGAACATTTGGTAGAGGGACTGTTTCGGGTCCACTGATTTCCAGCAAATTCTTGTCTAGTTCCTCCTGTTCTAGTTCTTCTAATTCCGCCATGAGCTCATCCTAGTAAAAGGAAACACAAAGTGAGCGCCCTCCCTGGGAATCCCAGCCCCCGCGGTCATGCCTCCTACCTAATTAATGCTCATGGAGACACACACCCCTCTGAGAAGGTCTGCGGGGAGGTGAATTCCAGGTTCCAGACCCTGTGATTCAAATATCCTAAAGCAGCTTCTACTGGGGAACGTATCACTGCTGCACATCACTGATGTAGACCTCTGGTGTCCTGCACTAGACTGTGAGCATCTGGGAGAGGGGATCATATCTTTGCCTTCCTATTTATTTGGCTCAGAGCTGGGCACACGAGTGAATGCTCAGAAATGTTTGCTGATTTGAAATGAACTCGATTCATCCATCGAACTCCAGTGTGAAAACATGAAAACCCTGGTGTTGAGAGCCAAAGGTAAGAGCTGCACGCTGTTTTCTCGGTTATACAGCAGGGGTCAGAAAGCACAAAGGTCCAGCAGAAAGGACCTAACCTTCAGGAGACACAAATCTAGCACACAGTGAAATACCTTCAACAGGGGCTGGTACCATACTTTAAAAACCTAAGAGACTCAAGGTCCCAAATTGCTACAGCAGAAACTGGCAGATGGCCGAGATCTAGACAGATACCCCGGGTCAGGGGTAAGTGCCCCCTCTTTGCTCTACCTTTCCCTCATGCTGAAGCTGTCTCAGGGAAAATCCTGTGAACTTCTCCAGGGCATGGTCATCTCTGCTGCCCAGCTCTGTGCCAGGGCCCACCCTGGAAAGGTGCAGGCTAGCTACTTGTTCAAATCAGTTAGTGACCTGAAGCCTGCTGAAGGGTCCTGATGAATGTGCCTTTACTCTACCTAAGCTTCCACCCCAAATAGAGAAAGTGTCCCTCAAAATGCAGAATTCAGGGAGGGTTAACACCATGCCCTGTCTCTGTCCAAGTCCAAATGCTCCCTGCCTGAGAGCCTTCAAGAGCACATCAAGGGACAGCCTCAGGGTATCATTTGTGAAGCTTATGGGATCTGTACAAAACTACTCACCTCGTCAAACTCTTCTCCAAACCCTACAGGTTTCGAAATTGCTGTTGAAATCTCCTCTGCAAGTTCTTGCTGGTCAGCAATGTCCTGCATTAACTCATCAACTTTATCGATGTCCCTTCAAATGCAATGGACAGGTATCATATCAATCGATTAGGCTGCGTAAAGGGGGCCTGCAAGGCAAGGCGGGAGCAGAAACTGGGCCCCACAAAATCAGCTTCCCAGCCACACCCCCTGCAATGACTCCCTGTGAGGGGTTACTTGGCATTATTGCCTCCTCCCCTTTAAAATAGAGAATCATAGACTCAAGGGGACGGGAATGTCTTTAAGACACTACCCAGTCCAACACCCTACAGGTGGCACTATCAAGGTCCTACATACAAATTAGTAAAGGTATCACATTAAGACCGCAGGGCTTTAACTCCTGGGCCAATAGCTCTTTTTCAAGTCCAAGGGTAACTCTGTACAGGGGGAAGTAAAAGCACAAATCACAGAAGACAGCCATGCTGTCTAATGGGCCTTCCATCTACTCAGTCCACCTATGGATCCTCTAGGACCCCAAAGGAAAGGCAAATTCCGCAAATATGCAGAATTTTCTTCTACACACTGACAATCATATAAACCTATATTTACTCAAGCCAACATACACACATATACGTCAACATTTGCACAGTATTTAATGAGCTGCACTCTGCTAGGTTTCCAGGAGAACACAGAAATGAGGCATATATGGTTCTCATTCAAGCAGCTCGGTCCAATGAACATCCACCCTCAGACAAAACCTCACTTATTTGAAGGCTACTTCTCCTGCAACCTCACATTTCTAGAGCAACATCAGCAAGCTTTTTCTGCAAAGGGCCAGACAGTAAACACTTTAGAATTTATGGCCAGACAGTCTCTGTTGCAAATACTTAACCCTGCTGCGTAGCACAAAAGCTGCCACAGACAATATGTAAATTAAGGGGCATGACTGTATTTCAATAAAACTTTTAAGGCTAGGCACAGTGACTCACACCTGTAATCCCAAAACTTTGAGAGGCCCAGGAGGGAGGATCACTTGAGGCCAGGAGTTTGAGACCAGTCTGGGCAACACAGTGAGACCCCATCCCTGCAGAAAATTTTAAAAATTAGCCAGGCATAATGTCACACACCTGTAGTCTGAGCTACTCAGGAGGCTGAAGTGAGAGGATGGCTTGAGCCCAGGATTTTGAGAGTGCAGTGAGCTAGGATTGGGCCACAGCATTCCAGCCCAGGTGACAGACACAGCAAGACCTTGTCTCAAATAATAATAAAACTTTATTTACAAAAACAGATGGCAAGCCCATAGGGTGCATTTTCCCACCCATTGGACAGCACAGCTGAGTACCCAAAAGGAAGCAAAAAAGGCACCTAGCACCCCCAAATATATGCTGCCAAATCTAAGCACTACAACAAATGCAGATTTTTTATTTTTTATTTTTTATTTTTTTATTGAGATAGAGTCTCACTCTGTCGCCCAGGCTGGAGTGCAGTGGTGCAATTTTGGCTCACTGCAACTTCCACTTCCTGGGTTCAAACGATTCTCCTGCCTCAGCCGCCAGTAGCTGGGATTACAGGCGCATGCCACGACACCCAGCTAATTTTTGTATTTTTAGTAGAGATGGGGTTTCAACTATGTTGGCCAGGCTGGTCTCGAACTCCTGACCTCAGGTGATCTGCCTGCCTCAGCCTCCCAAAGTGCTGGAATTATAGGCGTGAGCCACCTCACCCAGCCCAAATGCAGATTGTATTCAAGAGAGAGGCCTTCATTTGGAGCCTCCTTACCTTGGCCTTTAGTTACAACTGTAACAAGCTTGGTTATCTAGTTTCTTAGGCCACTGCCATGAGAGGTAGCCATATAGGGGAAGAAGGACTGCTGAGGGCAAGATCACTGTCAATGACAGCTACAGCCGGAGAGCAAGAGAGGAGGCAGAAAACGCCATCAAAAGCAGACATAGGAACAGAGAGATCCAAAGCTCTTGGATGAACCACACATTTCAGGGCCCCTGACAGCATCAGGGAAAAATCATGGGCACCGATTCTAATCCCAGTTCTAACCAAGCTCCCATGTCACACAGGGCAAATCCGCTTCCCTCTCTGGGACACAGCTTCCCCACCTTCACATTCACAGGTCTGGACAAGAGGACCTTCTAAAGGCCTTTCCAGCTTGAAACTATGCTCATCACAATAACCCT
This sequence comes from Homo sapiens, assembly GCF_000001405.40. Classification (NCBI taxonomy): domain Eukaryota; kingdom Metazoa; phylum Chordata; class Mammalia; order Primates; family Hominidae; genus Homo; species Homo sapiens. The sequence continues at coordinate 33,848,856 of NC_000020.11, read as the reverse complement.
GAATTACTCAGAAAGTACTTTTACATCCCATGAGATCTCCTTTCAAAGGCACGTCATCCATTTTCGGAGTTCCAAAAAAGAATGAGAATTAAAACAAACTCAGGTGCTCGAATAGGTAAGTCAAGGGATCCGTCTGCCCAAGGCCATGGCCTGGGTACGAGGCATTCCGGGACTAGCACTGCCCTGTGGCGCAGGGGCGGGTGGACACGTACATGTTGTCATGGGCCGCCTTCATGGCCTTGGCGGCATAGCCCATGTTCTTGAGCACCTCGGTGTTGGTGTTGGCATTCTCCAGGGCCTCCCGCTGGAACTCGATGGTTGATAATGTGCCGTCGATCTGCGCCAGCTGCTTCTCATACCTCTTCTTACGCTTCAGTGCCTGGAGGGCCGCTGCGTGAGGGAGAAAACAGGGTTTCAGAGAGTCCCGGCACAGGGTGAGGTTCTAGTGTCACTGAGTCTTTTCCCCAACTCTACTGGAAGCACCTCTGTTGTTGCTTCCACTATAGCAGAGGATTCATAAATTCTACACAAAGAGCACATTCAATTTTCTACAAAAACATAAAATTCACATACCTCAAAACACGGCCAGTAAACAAGCACACAAGCCAAAGTTCAACCCTCGGGTAACCACGCACACACACAAATCAAAGCATGGACAGCCACCTGAGGAAGAAGATGCTCTGGGGTCAAACTCCCTTAGGGTCAAAGCCCAGCTCACAGACTCAGGTGAGCTACTTGGCTTCCCAGATGGGGTCAGTGTGAGCAGCAAATGACATACTGTATGTAAACACCTGGCACATTCATCAGTGTGTATGCCTCTCAAAAAAAGCGGCTCCCATTATTATAAAGCAACTTCAAAGTACTATTTTATGCCACCTAAATTAAAGAAATCATAAATATAATGACTATATCAAATACTAGATCAGTTTGGGTTAAAAATGCTATTTCACTCATAGCCAACAACTGTGTAAATTGTTACAATGCTCCCGAAAAGTAACATGGCAACACACAGCAACAACCATCATGATGTTCTTATCCTCTGACCCAGTAATTTCCTTCTGGAAATGTATTCAAAAGCAAGAAGCCCCATGCCTGAAGATGGCTACTACAGCATCCTCCATCATCGAAAACAAGACCAAACTAAAAAGCCAGACAGAACTCCTTGCCACGGCCAAACCTAGAGTCTGGCCATTTGGTTGGGTCAGTGGCATCATCTACCTTGGCCTCCTAGCACGCTGAGGCTGTGGAGATCACCTCATGTTAAGGTCCAGTCAAGGCAAGCAATTTGACCAAGGTGAATCTGTGGCAGAACTGGGACCAAAACCACATCTCCCAACTTGAAACCCAGATTTCCTTCCCCTCACGGTCTCAGTTCCACTCTTCACACCGAAAAATATCTTTAGCACACATCTTAGATGATGTTGGGGCACAGGACACACCACCCCAAAATATGACTGTAGGAGACCAGAATATACCACCCCCAAAATATACTTCTTTGGCATATTTTGAGCTGGTTATTCTAAGAAACTAGAGTAGCTCAAAAAGCTGTCCCTTTGTTTAAAAAAAAAAACAGTACATCTAAGAAGAAAATCTACATTACTAAAAGTATCTGTGCCAGGAAGAGGGCTGCTCCAGACAACTTTTATTACCTAAGAGACCTTTTATCTGCATAACAACACATCCTTTATTCACCATAAGTAATTCTTCCCCTCACCCTCCCATAAGTTATGTCCCCCACAACAACCCCCAAGCCCCTATTCTTTTCTATAGCTCAGGATGCTATATAAGCTTCAAGCATCTGACTCTTCTTCAAGTCTCATATTTTGTGGGATTTCCACATGTACATATGTAACTAAATATGGTTTTTCTCTTGTTAATCTGTCTTATATCAATTCAGTTTGTAGCCCAGCCAAAGAAACTAGAAGGGAAGCTATTTTTTGCTCCCCTGCAATGGGCATCAAAAGCTAGGAAGGAGGCTTAGCACAGACTCTGTCAGAAGAAATGGCTGAGCTGGACTGGGCTGGGTCAGGAGCACTAGCCTCACACACACATGCACTCAGCATGCACACTCCCCCATGTCCTGGAGTTCTGGACCACAGCCATCTCCTGCAGACTGGAGGTCAAAACCCCCTCCCCCATGAGGCTGTGGTTTCTCCATATGTCACATGAATAGGTCCCATGCTCCTTCTACTCACACCCGTTGGCCTGGGATTCCGTCCTAAGGACCATTTGCCAAGGGAAAACGGCTTGGCCTGCGTATAGCACACAGCTCCTCCAAAAGCAGCAGAAAACTTCTCCCAGCCAGTCTTTCCAACAAATGCTGACCAAAATACATACATACACACATAAAGAGAACTCGTAAAACATCTGAACAACAATGAGATGTGCCTCATTAAAATCTGAAAAGCCACTGAATCCGTAATCTCCCTTGATTCTGATGTTGGCTGGAATGGCCCAAGACTTCAAGAAACCCATCATGCAGTCACACCAGGGGATCCTCAAGACCTTCACTCTCATCTTCTGTTAGCACTAAGTCATGCTCACTTCATAAGGGCCTCAAAATAGCAACCCTTTAAGGTTAGATGATAAGGTTAGTTGATGAGGAAACTGAGGTTCAGAGATGTCCTGTGACTCAGCCCAGGTAACTGGCAGAGAGGGGACTTAAACCAGGTATGGAACCCCAAAGTCCCTGCCCTGCCATTATGTTATGCCCCCCACTTAATGAAAAAGGTAGGATACTGCCCTGGAGGGATCGTCCAGTCATGCAGGAAGTGACATGGGGACTGTGGGAACACAGAAGAGGGAATGCAAATCCAACGATTCCTTTGCTGAAAAATCCTCAGTAGCTCCCTTTGCCATATGGTTTAATATGGCCTGCCCGGTCCTGCAGAGGCAAGACGTTAGAATTCTCTCCATAAGCCCAAGTCCTGGGAGCCCTAGCACAAGGTCTACAGAACCGCCTTTGCCATCAGTAATGTCAGAGGGAAGAGGTCCTGGGAGAGTCCTGTAAGTGCCCCAGGGCGTGGGGCTGCAGGCCTGCTTCCTGTGACTTCCTTGGTGCTGTGTTCCTTTTCCACAAAAGCCATACCCTAGACATACTCTAATCACCAAGTGATTGTGAATCCTTCCGAGATCAAGTGCCAATGTCCCACAGGTGCCCCTTTCTCAACTCCCCTCCAGCCAGCTCCATCACCCACAGTCCAGCCCATCATTAAGATTCACCAAGGCCTTCCATACCAGGCACGCTGGCTCACGCCTGTAATCCCACCACTTTGGGAGGCCGAGGTGGGTGGATCACCTGAGGCCAGGAGTTCAAGACCAGCCTGGCCACCATGGTGAAACCCCATCTCTACTAAAAATACAAAAATTAGCCGGACATGGTGGCGCGCACCTGTAGTCCCAGCTACTCGGGAGGCAGAGGCAGGAGAATTGCTTGAACCCAGGAGGCAGAGGCTGCAGTGAGCTGAGACCGTGCCACTGAACTCCAGCCTGGGCAACAGAGCAAGACTCCATCTCGGGGGCAAGAAAAAAAAAAGATTCACCAAGGCCTTCCAAGAGCCTGCTGAGTGATGGTGAACAAGCAACGGCAGTCCCTTCCGCCTCCTATTTCATTTAATCATCCAGAGATCCCAAATGAACAAGGAGACTGGGGATCAGAAAGGTGATGCAGCTCACCCAAGTCATCCTTCTGCCAAGTGAGGAGGGGAGTAGTCTGTGTAACTCCCAGCTCTATGCTCTTCCTCACAGTCTCAGAACGACAGCAAGTGACTCTGAGACCGTTCATAAGAGCAAACACTCGGCCGGGCGCGGTGGCTCACACCTGTAGTCCCAGCACTTTGGGGGGCCAAGGCGGGTGGATTACAAAGTCAGGAGATCAAGACCATCCTGGCTAACACGGTGAAACCCCATCTCTACTAAAAATACAAAAAAATTAGCCGGGTGTGGTGGCAGGCGCCTGTGGTCCGAGCCACTTGGGAGGCTGAGGCAGGAGAATGGCGTGAGCCCAGGAGGCGGAGCTTGTAGAGAACCGAGATCACGACACTGCACTCCAGCCTGGGCGACAGAGCAAGACTCCATCTCAAAAAAAAAAAAAAAGAGCAAACACTCTTTGACAGAGCTGCCTTGCTTTTCAGCATCCCGAGTGTAGCAGGAGCTTGGTAAAATGCTTATGAAACTGATTTTATACAGTCAGCTACATTCTTATATTTAAAACCAAAGTTATTTCCCTATTAACATCATAGATTTAGAACTGCTTTTTCTCCAATATATTTTCCACTGGCAGTGACTCCTTGTATGCCAACCCTAACTTCCTCTGACCTCCACCTCCCACTTCTAAAATCCCCCAAATAAATGATCTGGAAGCAAATACGCAAATATACCAGGGAGGAAACCAAGAGCCCATCCCCACCCCGAATGAAATAATGCTGATATTATTCATCTTTGCAGATCAGCAATCCAGCACAATGACTGATACACAGTAAGTGCTTAGTATCTACTAAATTGAACCTGCAATTTCATTTGTCTTACAAGGTTTTCATGTATTCTATCCAGGGTTCTTCATGGGGGATCCACCCATATTTTATCTCCCGTGCACCTCTGACCCACAGAATTGACGTCTTACTGAAACACAGGCTAGAACAATCATTTGGCAGCATCTTTCCACTGCATTCCTCCTGGCCCATAAAACAGGGACTTCCCGCAAGCACCTGGCTGTAAGGTGTGCTCTCTCATACTGGGGATAGGACCTGAGCAAACAGTATGAGGGACAGTCCCGGGGTATCCCCCCAGGACTCCCCTTCCTGCCTGCAGGGTTCACACAGCCTCTTCCCCTCTTCGCAGTGAACTCTCCAGGATGTTGATTTTTCTTATCTAGATCCATCTGCTGTCTGTGTTTCTCAACTAGTTTAGAACTCCAAAGAGAAAGGCTACATGATTAATTTTCCCCCACAGAAACACCTAAACATGCTTCATGAGTAAAGTTACCTTGAAAATAGACATGGGGTCAGCATCTGGGCTGCAGAAACAGATGTAGACAAATATTCACAGCACTTGAACCACCTCCTATATCTTACAAATGCATGGCTCCGGTGGTGAGGTGTAACAGGGCAAACTAAAGGCTCAGAGGTATTAGAGTGCTTCCACAAGTAAAACGCCATTCTTCTTGAATACTATTACACTTAGTAAAACTTCCTCCATGCCAACCTTATTTCTGACCACAGAAATTTGCTTCTATCTGTAACCAACCCAATGTTTTCATAAATATTAAATATATACTGGTTCTTAATGTTTTGCCTTAACTTTTCCAGATTCCTGATGGTTAGATTAAAAAACAAGTACCGAGTTAAAGAGAAGCTGTTCAGCTAAATCAAATATTCAAAAAAGAGGTGTCTAAAGAAACCCATCTTCTGCCAGAGAACCCCCAGCACCATTTATAAACACAATGGCTTTAACAATTGAAATCTAAGCCAGGCCAATAGAAGTTTAAGAGGTTGCTTTTAGATGGGAAAAAACAGTCCTTGGAATCTCCATATTTAATTATGCCTTTGCCAGTTCCAAGAGAGTAATTACAGCAGCAATTACAGAATCTAATAACCAGCTTTATTGGCTGTGAAAGCTGAAGCAAAAACAACTCCAACCATGTTGAAATAAACATTGGTCTCCAGACAGTTGCTTCATTAGCCCCTCCAAACAGCTATTTAGAGGAAGGATACAGAACAGATACCCTAAGAAGCAGAGACCAGTCAAAAAGACGTTCACCCAGGATGGAAACCCTTTCTGTGAGGCAACAGCTAGTGATTACAGAAACCATTTTTAGAGAACACATCAGTTCGATACAACTAGACAGGACGTTCCTTTCTCCTAGTCAAACACGACTTCTCTGAAAAGCTGCTGAGGACGGCAAGTCTGCCTGTCCCAGATCTGGGGGCGTTCAGTATAGGGGCAAATAGCCCAGGGCACCTCAATAGATGCCAAGAAGTCATAACTATACACTCATTACTAGTATAGAGAAATTCAGGCATGGAGGGAAGGAGGGCCCAATAATATGCTCTCACTAAACGAATGGCAGTGTCTACAGTCCTTCTGAAGACCCCAGAGTCTACATTTGAAGTCATCTAACAGAAGGTACAGGGCTGGGAGGGAAGAGGGCTGCTGCTTTCCCACTCTCAGCGTGAACAACAAAGCAAATGAACACACTCCTGAGGTCCTGAGGACACTTACACACAAATGCAACACCAGGACTCCAGCCTAAGTGAGCATTCTGAAGAACCCTCAGCAGCCTGGTCCCAGTAGGGCTACTGGCAGGCAGGGAGCCGAGCAAGGCTGAGGGGGCCCCACTTTGCCTGCCTCCAGCAATCACTCAGATAGCTCCTCCTGGCTCATTCTGCCAGTGAATAAACTCAGATATTCAGGGTGCCCTTAGCCAGGAGAACTATGCCTGGCCCTGAAGCCACTGGTTGCTCTGCTGGACGGAGGAAGTGATGGGGGTGTCATCTGTGATCTGTCATCTGCCCTGTGTGTATGGGCAAGAAAAGACCCAAAATCAAGTCTACGGCCATACCACCCTGAACATGCCCAATCTTGTCTGATCTCGGGTGACCCAAAGTCAAAACAACACAGTTAACCACCAGTGTCAAAGAAACCCATTCTCCTGTAAAGATGGTTATCAGTGACCATCCTTGTACCACATGGCATTAGAGATCCCACCAAACTTTGACTAAGTAAGAGTTACGATCATGGCATCAAGAATAGAGGGGGCTTGAGGAGCTCTTGGAGATAACGAAGACCAACCCCTCATTAGATAACTGAGAAAAATGATGTCCAGAACAGGCGGCACAGCTTGCCAGGACCCCGCAGTGCACAGTGAGACAGAGAAAGAACCAGGACTAGTACCCAGGTTTCCAGCCCAGGACTCTTTCCACCACCTCAAGTCTGTTGTCTCCAAATTTAGTTGCTACAAATAAATCAGCAGTTCCCCGTGCCATAAGGAAAACAGTCTGCCTAATGTTCTTCCATCCAGTTTCCAAACTCTGCCCTTGATAAACTCCATTTTAAAGCTCATGCTGACACATGAAAGAACCAAAAAGCTACCTGGTTTGCTCTCCTAAGTCCCCAGATAGAAGGGGGGGAAAAAAGAATGGGAAAGAGGTGCTAATCGGGCTGGTTCAAGAATACCTTCCCCTAATGAGTGCTGTTGATACACCTGCAGTTTCAGAAGGCAGGGCAAGGCTAGGCTCTCATTTCTCTACCCTGTGTGAGGGTGCCTGGGACAGCATGGGCAAACAGAAAGTTATCAGAAACCAAAATGCACCAAATGCATATTGGAAGCCCAGACAGAGGCTGTTTTGTGTCCATCGTTGCTCTGACACTGTCGCAGGCTCACCTGCAGGACAAGGGCCTCATCCTGCAAAAGCCTTGGAACGCTGTCCCTGACATTGCTGTATTTATTCCCACACAGCTGGAGAGTTCAGGCTAGAGGTGCAGACAGCTTTTTCCAGAGCAGCCTCCTTCTCTGTGATGTATCTCCCTGTTCCTCTAATTTGCTCTCCCTGGCCTGGAGCTAATGCACTCCATTTAGAGATGGTAAAATAAGTACTTGTGTATGACCAGGAAATCAGAGTCTGAAACCCTGCTGACTTCATCAGCAAACACATAGGGAGTACAGTACTCACTGCAAGGGAAAATTCTAGACAGAAAGAAAGAAGCCCCTTATCTGTTTGAAAGGGACAAAGATGAAAGAAATAAGCCCCACAACTAACAACCTAACAGAATATCAAACGCTCCAAATCATTTAAACAATACAAACAAAGTGTGTTCCGTAAAAGGCATGATAAAACACACTCTGCAGTCAAACAAGCTTAGGAAATGCTGGATCACATCAAGTTACAACGGTCATTTAGGGAGTCCAGTTGTCTAGCTTCCAGTTTCACCTCCACCATCAAGTAGATTACTTAATCTCACTAATAACCCTCATGATAACAACACGCACCTCATAGGGTTATTGTGAGGATTAAAATGAAGTATGTATGTAAAGCACCTGGCACAGGGCATGACATGTAAATGTTGGTCACTGGTATTACTTACTGCAGGACTTCCCAGATCCTATTTTGATAGGAAGAAAACACCGACACCTAACTGGCTCACCAAAAAAAAGAAAGGAAAGAAAAGACAAGAAAAACCAACAAGACACACACCAACATCTGTAAAACACAGCTTGGGAGAAACCAATTTAAAACCACCTGATCATTTGGCCAATGCCAGCTTCATCAACCCCTGCCCTTGGCTGATGCTGGCCAGCACTGGGGCACAAAGAAAAGAATATGAGGCTTGGTATCAGTAGACCAGGCCAGAATCCCAGCCCTGAAGGTGGGTGTCAGGTAAGTTATTTCACATCTCTGAACATGTTTGTCAGATGCAAGATGGGGGTGAAACCACTACCCTAAGGACAGACGAGAAAGATAATCACTATGCAAACACTTGATGAATATGAGCATTCTCTCCTCCGTCTTGCCTGTTTCCCCCCCGCCTCTCTTTCCTTGCCTGTGTCCAACATTGTCTCTGGGGATCTCTGCATCTTCTTGTCCCTGTCCTGTCCCCCCCCTTTTTTTTTTTTGAGATGGAGTCTTACACTGTCACCCAGGCTAGAGTGCAGTGGCGCGATCTCCGCTTACTGCAACCTCTGCCTCCCGGGTTCAAGTAATTCTCCTGCCTCAGCCTCCCAAGGAGCTGGGATTACAGGCGCCTGCCACCACGCAGTGGTATCCTGTCCCCTTTCCTAGCCCAGTATGTCTAAGAAAGAGTATACAGTTATGGCATGGTGGAGAAAAAGTTAATATATAACAGCAGCTAACATTTATGAGAAGCTTCCTGGGTGCCATGATTGGTGCTTTCATGGCAATGAAAAATTGATACTTTCCATGCTCACTAGTTCTTCCCAACAACCTATCTATGAGGTAGGTACTGTTACTGTACCACTTGAAAGGCCAGGGTATTGAGGCTCAAAGAGTTTATCACCTGCCCAAGTCATACAGTTAGGCAGTGGCAGGCCTGGGATCAAAGCCAAGCTGCCTATCTGCAAAGGGCATGTTCTTTCTTTGCAGAAGAGCGTCTACCCCGCACCAAGCAGGCAGCTGGGCCTGCTTCTGCCTGAGCCTGGGGATCTGAAAGCCCTGAAGGCCTTCCCCTCCCCATGGACCCCACAAGTTAGCAGCAGTCTGGCACCAAGGGCATTCAGCGGGCTGCCTGTTCTGCCCACAAACTGTCCACTAGCGACAGTCCAGATGGTATGCAGTAAAAACCTCTACCTGGAAAAAAATTTTTTTTCTAGTAGATTTTAAATTGGTTAAAAACACATGGGATAAAAATCCAACCATTATTACCATCCTCTCTACACTTAGGTCGATGACTCTACATAGCTGGAAAGTTTGCTGTGAGCTTTTTTTCTGTTTTAAAGAATAAATGTCTTCTTCCCTCACGTCTACCCTAAACCATAAGCTCCTCCAGGGTGGAACCTCCATCTTTGTGCCCCTAACAGCACTGAGACAGGGAGAAGGGAGGGGCACTCCATAACGCCCAACTTGACCCTGCCATTTCCTCATTTGTGGGTGCCCCCGTCCTCTCACCCTATAATGGCTTCCAGATCTTTTCCCAGGTCCTAAGACAGCCTTTCCTCCACATTCTGGAGGACCCAGGGACCAAAGCTACAAGAACCTCTGTCACTTGCCCACTTTTTTCCTGTGTCAACCCACACTGGAATTGCTAGAACCCTAAAACCAAAGGGTCAGGGGATTATTATTAGGGACAATGAGCCTAGGACCTCCCCTGTGACTATACCTGGAGGGAAGTAGCAGAGACCCAAAGTAAGCAGCAGATTATTCCAGACTGGGTCAGCAGGCGTGGCCCAGGGCATAAGGAAGGAGAGAAATGGCCACGGGAGTCAGGGTCACCAAAGGGAACCCTGCAAGGCCTATCTGGGCTGCCTCCTCCTGCTCCCCAAAGGGCAGCTGATCAGGAAGAGAAGGGGTTTCACTTCCTAGACCCAGCAGGCAGCCCTGGAGTAGCTCTTGGTGATCAAGATAACTCAGAGCCAGGAGGGGGAAACCAGGATACTGGGAAGGAAAGTGACCTCCCCCTGGTTAGTGAGGGCCATAGTCATTCAGCCTGTGCCCTGCAATCCAAGGCCAAAGTTCTTTCCTAGACACCAGCCAGGCTGCAGAATTTCATTTAAACAGCGATCAGAGGCTAAAACTGAGCACCCATGCAGCCCACAGATATGTCTTCATTTGTCCCATGTCTTAAGTCGTGTCTTAATACGTAAATTTGAATATTACATATTACACATAAAAATCCAGATTTTTGGCTTCCTTTTGTAAAGATGGAGTATCTGGCAACACTGAGCCCACACTGCCACCTAGCAACGATCCACTAGAGCAGAGCAGCAGCCATCCCTTTTGGAAGGGGCACACACTTTCCAGTCTGTCTCAGAGCCCACCACTGCCCACCAACTTCTACCTGGACACATTACTCATTTACATGTCCTGACCAGTCCCTGTAACACCTGACACTAATCTTACATCCGGAGGAAACTGCTAGGAGTTATCTGATATAATCCCTTGCCTTCAGGCAGTTAAGGCTGTGTTCAAGTTAAAGATAGGCAACTGATGTCATAAAGGTTCAACAACCTCCTCAAAGTAACAAAGTTAAAGGTACTTGACAAGGAGGAATCCAAGCCAGGTGCCCGAACAGGAGACTTGTATCTAGACACAACCTGCAACACGGGTCCTGTGATTCCGAATCTGGCTTCTAGTTCCAACTCTGCCATGACTAAAGTATGTCACTGAGCAAGTCCCCTCATTTCCTAGGGCCTCAGACTCCTCATCAAGGACACAAGAAGGGCGGATTAGGTGCTCTCTCTAGGTCTTCCTTGAGCTCTAACAATAGGTGAACCCATATAGTTCTGAGATTTCCAATAACAGGATTGAAACAAACACAAAAGGCTCTTTCTGGTTGATCTTGTGTGATCCAGAAAATGTAATTAACATCCATATGCTCCATTTCCTGACTGCTTCACATAATCAAGTTTTTCCTGCCCAATGAAATAAGCAGTCTTTCTTATTTTAACTGGCTTCACAAACTGAGTTAGAAAGATCAGAAACTCCCTTTAGCCTCTGAATTAAGCTGCTTCAACTGGGCAGAGGAAGTAGCACTCAGATCCAATGTGAGCCACAAATGTCACTCAGGAAGCAAAGGTAACTATAGTTAGAATGTGAACACAGACACCTTCACCCTCCGTCTCCTTACAAGTTCTGGCACTGCCTCCCTCCTCTCTCTGAAATTCCTCTCTCCTGTCAGCCTTGAGGGATCCCCTAGCCTGGCTCCCTTGCCCCAGAGGCCATTCCTTCTTGAGGTTTTTTTTTTTCCTAGATCCTTCCCTCTTCTCAATTCCTAATGGTTGAAGCTCAAATCTTAAAAATCTTGATCCTAGGTTCTTCTGTTTTTTTGTTTTTGTAAGACAGGGTCTTGCTCTATTGCCCAGGCTGGAGTGCAGTGGCACAATCTCAGTGCACTGCAACCTCCACCTCCCAGGCTCAAATGATCCTCCCATCTCAGCCTCCGAAATAGCTGTAGCCCAGGCTGGTCTCCAACTCCTGAGCTCAAGCAATCCAATCCACCTTGGCCTCCTAAAGTGCTGGGATAACAGGAGTGAGCCACCGCGCCCGGCCAGTTCTTCCTTTCTCACATGAACTAACACCTGTTCTGAGCCTCGTATTTTATTCTTGTATTTAATCCTGACAATAAGGAATTCGTCTTACTAGCCAATTTTACAGATGAAGAGATTTGAGGCCCGGAGAGATTATCTCAAAGCTTGTGAATAACCAACCAGCAGAGTCAGGATTCAAATCCAGACTCTTCCTTCTGCTTCTAGCCAAGACAGGATGGCAGGGACTAGATTTATCCGTAGCCCAAGAGAAATGAATTAACAGTTTTTGAGACACTGGACATCAAGCAAAAAAGGACAGTGATCCAAGTTGAACCCTACGATCACACCCAGTTGATTGCTGAGAGTTTCCAGGCCAAGGAGCAGGCAAGGAAAACCCAGGCAGAGCCCAGCAACTTCCTGAATTAATGAGATAGAGCTGAGAGTCTGGGGAGACCAACGCAGCTGGAGTTCATGAGAGTACCTGAGGAGAGAGCTGCATGGAGAGAGAAAACCCTGGAGAGCCACGGAGGGTCCTCCTCAAGTATTCAGCAGAATACTGATCAGCACCCATGTGTGAAAAAGCTATCTAAGGCCAGGGAAAGAACCACTCAAAAGGATGACAGAGAATAAATAATATTAAGTACTCACATGGGGCCAGTCATAGTGCCTCTTCCTCAGCTAGATTAGAAAAGCCTCATAATTCTTCTTGGAGGGCCTTCAGGAGGGCCTTGTCTTAATAGTAGGGATTAACTAGCTCTATACTAGATAAACACTGCTCTGGGCCTGCCTAATAATTCTTAGACCCAAGACCCAAAAGGCAAATTGTTACCAAAAACTTGTGCCCCCAAAACATAAAGAATATAGGACGACAGAAATATTCAGTACCCAACAAGGCAAAATTTACATTTGACATCTAATCAAAATCTACCATTTATGCAAAGAAATGGGTAAATAACACCCATGATGCAGAGTAAAATCAACAAATTCCAAGTAACCCAAACTAACACAGATGTCAAAATTAGCAAAGAGATGAAAACAGTTATAACTATAGTCTATATGCTTAAAAAGCGAAGGAGAAACAGGGAAGATATTTGCTATGGTTTGGATACGGTTTGTTTGACCCTGCCAAGTCTCGTGTTGATATTTCATCACCAATGTCAGAGGTGGGGCCTAGTGAGAGGCATCTGGATCATGGGGGCGGATCCCTCAGGAATGGCTTAATGCCATTCTCCAGGAGTAAGTGAGTTCTTATTCAGTTCCCGAAAGAGCTGGTTGTTAAAAAGAGCCTGGCACCTCCTCCTCTCTCTCTCGCCACACACATAAGCTCCCCTTCGCCTTCCACCATGAGTGGATGCAGCCTGAGCCCTCGCCAGCAGCAGATGCTGGCACCATGCTTCTTATACAGCCTGCAGAACTGTGAGCCAAATAAACCTCTTTTCTTTATACATACCCCAGCCTCTGGTATTTCTTTAATAGCAACACAAATAGACTAAGATAATCTTTTTAAACACCTACATCGAGCTTCTAGAGATTAAAATTATTACATGGATGAACAGCAGATCAGACACTTCATTGATGAAAAGATTTGTAAACTTGAATAGCAATAAAAACTATCCAAAATGAAATACAGAGAGAAAAAATAATTTTAAACATCAGCAGAGCAGCAGTGAGGTGTGGGATAACTTCAGGTAACCTATATACATGTAACTGGAGTCCCCAAAGGAGGAGGGCAGGTGAATAAACATTTCAAGAAATAACGGCCAAAAATTTTCCACTTTGATGAAAACTTTAAACCCACAGATACAAGAAGCTCAATGACCCTGGAGCTTAAGAAACTTGAAGAAGACCACATATACCAAAGCACATCATATTAAAAGTGCTCAAAATCAGTAATAAAATGTTAAGAGCAGACAAAGAAAAAAATATACATTACATATACTGAAATAAAGATGACAAAGATTTCTCATAGAAAACGATGCTAGCAAGAAGACAGTGGAGCAATATTTTTAAAGAATCTCATTACTTCTATCACCTGGGATGGAATTTAATAATTAGGAATCATAGGCCAGGTGCGATGGCTCACGCTTGTAATCCCAGCATTTTGGGAGGCCGAGGCGGGCGGATCCCTTGAGGTCAGGAGTTCAAGACCAGCCTGGCCAACATGGTGAAACTCGTCTCTACTACAAAAATTAGCTGGGCGTGGTGGCGTGTGCCTGTAGTCCTAGTTACACGGGAGGCTGAGGTAGGAGAATCGCTTGAACCCAGGAGGTGGAGGTTATTGCAGTCAGCTGAGAACACGTCACAGCACCCCAGGTTGGGCGACAGAGTGAGACTCCATCTCAAAACAAAAATAAAAATAAAATAAATAGGAATCACGAACAGAAAATCTGTTAAATCCCCACACATTTAGGAACTAAATAATATACTTCTAAATAAGCCGTAGGTCAAAGAAGAAATGAAATGGGAAATCAGAAAGTATTTTGAACTGAATGAAAATAAAAACACAACATATCAAAATTTGTGGGATGCCACCAATGTGGTACCTTAAGGGAACTAAAAGCCTACACTAGAAAAGAACAATCTCAAATGGACCTCAGCTTCCACCTTAACAAGCTAGAAAAAGACCAGCTTGGGACTGAGCAACGTGGCAAGACCTTATTTCTATTAAAAATTTTTTTCAAAAATTAGTCGGTGGCAGGCACCTGTACTGCCCCAGCTACTTGAGAAGCTGAGGCAAGGAAGATCACTTGAGCCCAGGAGTTTGAGGCTGCAGTAAGCTATGATTGTGCCACTGCACTCCAGCCTAGGTGAGAGAGTGATAACCTGTCTCCAAAAAAAAATACAAATACAAATAAAGGGCAAACAAAATCCAAAGTAAGCAGAAGAAAGGGAATAAAGATCGAAGTGAAAAATCAATAAAAGACAAAAAAGAAACAAAAGAGAAAGAAGGTCAATGAAATAAAATTCTGGCTCTTCGAGAAGTTCAACAAGATTGAACTTCTAGCCAGACTGACCAGGAAAAAAAGATTACTGGTATCGAGAATGATAAATGTGATATCACTACAGACTCCAGGAATATTAAAAGGATAAAAAGGGGATATTATGAACAACTTCATGACAATACTAGAAAAGATGAAGCAACTTCATACCAATACTACAAAGGATGCAACGGCTTAGATGAAACAGGCAATTCCTTTGCTCATTCTACTGTACCAGGAATTACACTTTGCTCATGATACCCTGCTAGGGAACTAGGGACAAAAATGATACAGTCCCAAGGCTGAAGGAATTCACAGGCCAGCAGATATGGACAATGTAATACATGACAGAGGTCAGCACAGGACACTTACTGTGGATGCCTAGAGGGGGGAAACTAACCTTTGGGGTTATCATGCATTTTAAAGGATGGTAGGAGAGAGCCCAGAGGAATATATCCAAGCAGCAGGAAAAGAGAGGCATGAGAAAATAGGGGAGGGAACAAGGAAAGATAAAAGCTAAAGAGAGAAACTCAAGGACAGACTTGGATGTCTTGTTAAGGAGCTGCTGGAATCTATCCCAGGGTTAGCAGGAAGCCATTGAAAGATTCAAAGCAGGACAGGAACGTGATCAGATTTACATTTCAGAAAGATCCCTCTGGCTGCTGTGGGGAGAAGGGGCTGGCAACCACTGCAATAATCCAGAGGGTGTGGATTTCAAGAGCCTGAACTGAGGCCACAGCAGAGGGGCTGACCAGGAGAGGGTGAACTTGAGAGATACCAAGAGGGAAGACCATGGGCCTGTATCACCTGTTTGAATGTACAACAGAAGGAAATGGAGACTGAGTCAGGAATAAGTTCCAAGTTCCTGGCTGGGGCAACCAGGTGGTGGAGATGCCATTTCTCAGAGAGACCAGTAACTCAGGGAAGAGAAGATAAGGCAGGGAGGGAGAAACTATTCTCCCAGATCTTTCTGTGGGGCCATGGGCTTCAAAATTCAAGTTAGCACCTGAAGTTTGAATTAACCTTCTCTAAATCCATATGAGGAAGATGGAGTTCAGGGACTTCAGAGTGGGTCAAATCCAAATCACTTCTGGCTGGCCGTGGTGGCTCACACCTACAATCCCAGCACTTTGGGAGGCCAAAGCAGGAGGTTCGCTTGAGGCCAGGAGTTTGAGATCAGCCTAGGCAACATAGTAAGACCCTGTCTCTACAAAAAAAAAAAAATTTTTTTTTAATTAGCCAGGCATGGTGGTGCACACCTGTAGTCATAGCTATTTGGGAGGCTGAGGCGAGAGGATTGCTTGAGACCAGGAGTTTGAGGTTACAGTGAGCTATGATTGCGCCAATGCACTCCAGCCTGGGCAACAGAACGAGACCCTGTCTCTTTAAAAAAAAAAAAAAAAAATCATTTATTGTAAAACTATAAAGAGCACAGGATTCAAAGGTAACCTAATTACTACCATTCATACATGGGCGTGTCTCAGGAGAATACATAGGTATGGTACATGTTTTTAATTGCAGAGACTACCTCAGGGCCTTGTAATTGGTCATTTCTAGGAAGGGAGTGACTGAGGCAACGAAGGCACTTTTAAAATTATGTACCATTTACATGACTACCTAATCAAAACAAACAAAAACAACAGCCTATTTCTTCCTCATCCCCAGACATGGAAAGACAGTTATATTTTAAAAAGCAAATCATTTACTAAGAACAACCTGATTATGACTGGCACTGGCGCTTTGGTGTGGCCCTCGGGTGGAATGAAGGCACTGATTGAGCTCCTCCCCCACCCGCCAGGTCCCAGGCTGGATGCTCTTAGCCAGGCTTGCTGAGAGGTGACCAGGTTCTTGGCTGGGACAGAGGGGAAACAGCCTGCTTTGGGTTTCCGTTCCCAGGCTGGGATGCACTCTTTCTTTTCCGACTGGCTTTTCTTCCTCTGCTTCCAGCTGAATCCATGCCAACAAGGGCCCCCTTCTGCCTGAGCAAGCATGAGAGCACCCTGGCAACCGAGATGACAACGGAGGTATGGGGGCTGGGGACGTTTGTGGGGAAGTTGGGAAGAGAGTGAAATGCCGGCAGAAAAATACTTCCAATGTGCGCGCTTGTTAGAAAAGCAAGGCAAGAGGGAAAACCCAACCAGCCTTTTATGCTTTTGGAATCAAGAGAGACATGATGAAGGGGTTGCAGACAAATGATTTTCCTTGCCCAGGAGGCAGCAAGGGGTGAAGGGCACAGGAAGCTGATTCTCTTTCGGGAAAAGGTAGTCTTGCCTTGTCCTTAAAAAATGGGGCACAGGTCAGACACGGTGGCTCACACCTGTAATGTTATGTATACCTTAGCGCAATTAAAAAACAAAAACAGTCTGGTTCATGGGTTTGTTATCCGATCTTCCCTGCTGAACACTGTCGATTACAACTGTATATGTGAAAATAATAAAATTAAAGAACAAACTCCAAACTGCACAGAATTACCAGACACTGAAACACTGAGAGAACATAATCTCTGAGGCCAGGTGCAGTGGCTCATGCCTGTAATCCTAGCACCTTGGGAGGCCAAAGCAGGAGGATCACTTGAGGCCACGAGTTCAAGACCAGCCTGGGCAACATAGCGAAACCTCATCTCCACAAAAATTTTTAAAACTTAGCTGGGCAGCCAGGCACGGTGGCTAACACCTGTAATCCCAGCACTTTGGGAGGCCAAGGTGGGCGGATCACTTGAGGTCAGGAGTTTAAGACCAGCCTGGCCAACACAGCGAAACCTCATCTTCACAGAAACTTTTAAAACTTAGCTGGACGGCCGGGTGCAGTGGCTCATGCCTGTAATCCCAGCACTTTGGAAGGCCGAGGTGGGCGGATCACTTGAGGTCAGGAGTTCGAGACCAGCCTGGCCAACATGGTGAAACCCCGTCTCCACTAAAAATAGCCAGGCGTGGTGGTACGTGCCTGTAATCCTAGCTACTCTGGAGGCTGAGGCAGGAGAATCGCTTGAACCCAGGAGGTGGAGGTTGCAGTGAGCCAAGATCACGCCACTGCACTCCAGCCTGAGTCTTGTGACAAAGCTATCTGGAAAAAAAAAAAAAAAAAATTAGCTGAGCATAGGCAGTCTCAGCTACCTGGGAGGCTGAGGTGGGAGGATCCCTTGAGCTGTGGAGGTCCAGGCTGCAATGAGCCATTTTCATGCCAGTGTATTCCAGCCTGAGTGACAGAGCAGGACCCTGTCTCAAAAAAACTAAAAAAAAAAAAAAAACTCTGTTCCTTTGAACAATTAATTCACAGTGCTAGATTATAATCTGATTGTTTAGAAAATAATGTAAAGAAAGGAATGTCAGAAAGCAGCCTCCCTACCAAGAAAAACAATACCTCACGGGTCCTAAAGTAGTCAATCAGAAAACAAAAAGCTAAGGAGTGCTATGGACTGACCTGTATCCCCCCAGAATTCATATGCTGAAGCCCTGGCCCCAGTGTGGCTGCATTTGGAGATGGGGCCTCTTGGAGGTCATTAAGGCTAACTGACATCACAAGGATGGGGCCCTAATCTGACAGGACTATTAGCCTTATAGGAAGAGAGACGCCCCCGCTCTCTATCCACTCCCTGCAATGCACAACACACACTCCACAGAAAGGCCATGTGAGGACACAGCAAGAAGGCAGCTGTCTTCCAGCTGGGAAGAGGGCTCTCACCAGAAACGGAATTACCCAGCACCTTGACCATCGACTGAGTCTCCAGAACTGAGAAAATAAATTTCTGTTGCTTAAACCACCCAGTCTATGGTATTTTGTTATGGCAGCCCAAGCTAACTAACACAAGGAAGATAAGCACTATAGATGTCCAAGCCATTCAAAATCTTTCAGCCTGGCCACAGTATCCCCCATACCCTCTTGCTGTAGGGCTTTCAGGTCCCTCCCCTGAGATGATCAACAGCCTCAGTGTCTCTCCCACCCAGCGCCTTGCTTTTCCTGGCTCCATATGCTGAGGGAACCACCAAATGCTTCTGCCACTCCTTTCATCTTCCTCTTCACCACCACCCTCTCCCAGCCAAGCTTCCTTCCACATCCTGCTGAGCACTCCACCAGAATGTCTTCATTCTCCACCACACGTGAGACCTGGTTCTGGTTCCAGCTCTGCTGCCAGTCAGATCTGGTCAAATCAAAGTCTGTTTCCTCATTTGTAAAATGGGAGTGGGGGAATGGGCCCAGATGATCTCTCAAGTCGTTTATATTTCCCAGACCCAGTAACTCATCAGAACCTGAACAAGATTCAGCCAGGCAGAGCCATCTGCCCTTCTTCCCTTCCTATCTACTATCTACTGTCTGTCTACACATGTACCAAGATGTGGTTCTATAATGCTCAGATGTCCTGTGGTGTTATCTCTTCAGGCTGACCCTACATTAGGCACTGGTCTTAAACTATCTCCGGAGACTCTCTTTAAGGAAAGGGATCACCATGTGTCTACTCTGGATACAGCCTCCTCCTTTCCTACCAACTACAGAGCTGTACGTGCATATATTAGCCAATTAAAAGAAAATCTAAAACTTATTTCTCATACATGAAAATGATCAGGAAAGTCTTTCTGGGGTCTGGTTTCACATAAGAAATTGAAATTTTTAATTACTCAACCAAAGAGGGCAAAGAAAGAAATTCAGGCCAAAATTAATTCACAGATTTGTGGCCTTATAGCCTTAAGACCCAATACAGAAGGGAAATCAGTTCCTTAGAGCCTAGGGGCCAAAGAAAGGGAGGGAAGTGTCTCTTATTTTTGCCTGAGTTTGTTTCTGCTTCCCAAGGGAAAGGCAAAGCTGAGCAAACACCACAGATGGGCATTCTCGGCTGGGCCTGCACCTCTCCAAGTACCCAATGTGGTCTGAGAATGCAAAGAACTGGCTGAGAAGGGGCTGAAGTTCATAATCTGGTCCCTTTCCTATGTTTATAAACAGAGAGAACTGGGGAAAATTCTGTGTCTACATAAATACCACACACCCTCCTCTCTCCCAGCAAGAAGCAGCCTCTCTCCTCCAAGCTTCCTCGCAGCTCTTCTCGCTTTCTCCCTTGGATTCAAGTCATAATCCCTAATGGGCTGTGAGCCCAAGACAGAGGCCAACAATTCTTCATTTCTGTACTCCCAGCAATACCTAGCACTGTGCCCTGTACTACAAGGTGTTTGGGAAACATGTTGAATGAGTAACAGAAGGATAAATGGCCTCTGAGATTCTAAAAGGGGCCAGAATAAACAAATATTGTTCTCTTCTCAAGTCCTAGACTGCTATAAACCCTCCAGACTGCTGAGTGCTGGAATGTTCTCATATCTTGATCTATGTGATGGTTACACAAGTGTATACATTTAAAAAACTCATTCAGGTGTCACCTGAGACTTATCTGCTTACTATACGTTATACCTCAACGAAAAAGAAAAAAAAAAAAAGACAAGAAGCACCAAAAATTACTATTTATATACCAACTGTTTCTTAGGTCTCTTTATAGACTTCCTAACCCTCCCCAGAGTCCTGTAAAATGAGCCGAAAGTAGGAATTATTCTGATCCCTTGCATGGAGGAAACCCTGATGCAGGGAAAGACAGTGCCTTGTTCAGCCTGGTCACACAGAGAGTCAGAAATGTAGGCGCAACATTTCTGTAGTTTGTGATCCTCCACCACGGCTGTGCCCGCCCGCCTCACCACTGACTGCCAGTTATAATTCAAAAGAAAACAACCCCCTAAAATAGCAACTGTTTGCTCCATCTCCCCGTCAGCTGGCTTTCTGCATGGCACTTTAACTTTATTTTCAAAACTATTCTGGCAGGGTTGGCCACATTTACCACAGCGTCTGTTGAGAAACAGGTGAGGCTACAGTAGAATTCACTGGAATGAGGAGATAGGTGTCATGAGTTCCAGTCCCAGCTTTCCCTTCAATGAGCTGTATTACTTTTAACAGGTCACCTAACCTCTCTGGGCCTGGGATTTCCCTCTGTATGGACAAGATGTGTGCTAAAGTTTGATTTTCCAGAACTGCTTAAGAGACAGGAATGTACTGTGAAGGTTAATAAAAGGGAGAGGGCTGTTTTAATGTCACTAGTGGAGACTTGAGGTTTTAAAGGGCCTAATTTAGAACCAGGTGGGTAAATGTTTACCATATTCCTAAGAGGCTTAGCTGCTCATGATGGAGCCAGGACTTATGCTAAGCATGAGGCCTTTGCAGAAAAGCCCGCTGCTCTTTCTGACACCACCAGGACCATTGATTTTCTCTTCGATCGCCATCCTAAAAAGCAGATTGAAATAAAATGACTCAAGTCAGGCCAGCCCTCAGCAGCTGGTTCCTTTCTTCATGATCCTCACACAGGAGACAAATCCCCTACATCCTGTGGCCCCAAAGGCGGGTCAGTGAGGAAGTCAAGTCCTATCACAAGTCTTACCCCAGTGTGCTTAACTGGTCACTGCTGGGGGTTTGTCCAGTAGGGCTTGAACCTGCTGAGCCCCAACAGAAATTTGTGCCTCTGATTTGCCAAAAGGCTGGCAGTAAAAGTCAGAGGCAGGCTACTGAACCAAACAAGGCTCAGGTACCAGAAAAGATGCCTTCCAGCATCTGCGCTGCTTGCCTGGATGCAGGATCAGGGGAGCAGCTAAAAACCATTATTCAGTTCTGGCCTCTGATCCAAGGAATCAAAACAGAAAAATGTCCAGTACCTTCTACAAAACAGCCTGTGGCTGACCTCGACTTTTACAATAAGCAGGCAGGTACCTAAGCTATTAACAGATAAGATGAAGGCTGAGCTACTCCATCTTTTTATGCAGTGAAACTGCTTGGAGCAACACCTGGCTGTCTGAAGGTAAGGTTACTGTAATGTGGCACTTGTTGACTAACAGAATGTTACAGCAGAGAAATCTCAGCACTCATTTAATCCATCTTCCCATTTTGTTGTTGACAAAACAAAGGCCCAGAGGTAGGAAGGCCCTTACTTGTCCAAAGACATACAGTGACAGAGTCTGAACTACTGTGCAGCGTCTCAAAGTCTTAGGGGTCTGCCAGACCAATCTGGGTGATGGAGGGGGCACCCAGGGGTAGGACAGCTAACAGGAGGCCAGGAGCTCAGGAAAGGGGGAGGAGAGTAAGAGTTCATTCTCAGAGTTTTGGGAATGGGATAGTAGATCAAGTCTGGGCTGAACTTGAAATGTATGGCCTCAGAAATACAGGTCACTGTCATCAACCAAAAAGAATAACTAGCTTTCTCTTAAACCAAAGATAAACATGAAAGGAAGATTAAACAATCCCAAAGATCACAACTAACTGAGTTAGCCAGCTAGCCAGCTGGGAGTGAAATGCACAATATTAGCCAAGGACCTGATTAATAAATGAGGCTGGGTCAAGCTACTTTAAGCAAAGAGGATTTGCCTGCTTACCTTTGACATGCAACCTGAGATACTCTGAAAACAGAAAAATTGCTGTTCTGCCTCTACCAAGCTGCCCAGAATGGCTGGACTTCAAATAAAGCAGAAGGGGAATTGGGAGAACAAACAAGAGAAAGGGTAGTGACCGATGGACTTCCTTATAAGGGAACAGTCCCCAGATACACCTCATTCCCTCAAGCAGTAATGGACAGACAACCTAACCAATGGGAAGCTTCACCTGGGTGCTGTAGGGAGATAGCTGCTGGTCCCAGCAAACTGCTCTCTAGAGACAGAAAGTATCCATTTGGTATGTGTCTCGCTAAATTCAAACTAACACAGATTCCTCAGCTTGGCATCCAGGGCCCCTCAGGGAGGCCGCAACCCATACTCTCACCCCACCTGAGCCACCACTACCCCTCATCTATACCCCATAACCCCTCAACCCTCCCACATACAAACACAGCATATGCTAATCTCTGTACCTTGGGTCCCACAGTCTCCTCGGCCTCGAATGGTCCTACCAGCCTCCTCCTTCCCAAATCCCATTCATCAAGTCCCAGCTCAGAATCCCTGCCATCCCCCTGGTGCTACCCTAGAGTCTCCCAGCTGGAATTCACTTCTTCCTCCTTCCTTCTCCTACCATACTTTGACTGAATACCAATGGTAGGCGTGCCTTATTTTACGGAGAGTTATGCACTGTCTTTCTCTACAGCCCTCACCAGACAGGGAGTTCCTGGAGGGTAAGAACTATGACCCACACCATCCCTTCAAATTGAGTCTCTCACAGTAAACACTCAAAATATTTGCCAAACTGGGTGGAACTTAACAACCTTTTTTCCTTTTCCCACCATCACCTGATAAAACCAAACAGCTCCACCCTAGGATGCCAAGCAGGGGTCCAAGCTCCTAAACCTGGAAGGAGCTGGCTCTTTTTCAGAGACCCTTTGTGTGGGCTTGGCCTCTCTGCCTCTTACCTCTGAAATAAGAACAATGGTTCTTGTCAGAGAAGCTCAGTGCTTTGAGATGAGAGGTTCTGCAAACACAGATTCCCAAGTTCAAGGCCATTATTTTATACTCCCCTTAGACCCATGCACCATTTACCAACTAATGCTAGAAACTTAAAGCTTGTTTCCAGCCAAATACCTCTTCTTTTATCACAAATGCCCTAGTGTATAGCTGTTGAGAGAGCAGCACTGAGCACTCTGGGTAGCCTGTTGGCTTTTTATTTCCAGAGTGTGGAGATTTCCATCTCAAGTGTGAAGACAGCTCATGGTTTCAGGAAAAGCCCAGAGTTTCAGACCTGCTGTTCTCTCAAGTCTCCTGGTATAATGT
Organism: Homo sapiens; assembly: GCF_000001405.40. Lineage (NCBI taxonomy): Eukaryota > Metazoa > Chordata > Mammalia > Primates > Hominidae > Homo > Homo sapiens. The sequence continues at coordinate 33,825,469 of NC_000020.11, read as the reverse complement.
GTCAATCAGTTCCCAACCTATGGACTGTGAGCTCATAGGGTTCACAGTGGTCACTCCAGCGCTCTGTGAATGTGCCCAACTGTGCCCTGCCTGTGCACTAAATGATGAATATATCACACAATAATAAAAACAACTACCATGTGACCATCTACCATTTACGCAGACACAATCCTAGGGAAGAAAGACGGTGGGTATATAGTGAATATCGGTTGAAGGGAATTAATATCTGATCTTCTCAATTAACGGGTATTAAAAGTACAACTATTATCATACACCCATTCTTGATATTTTTTGAAATTAGAAAAGGTTTCTTCAACCTGAAAAGACTAGGGACTATGGGTTGATCAGAGTCCTGAGTGGGAGGGATTCAGGTCAAGTTCCCAGCCCTAGCCAGACCTCTAGAAAGCAGAGCCAGGTGGCCTTGGGCTAAGTCTCTAGACCTTGGTTTCCCCAGCAGAACAACAAAAGGGTAGAATGAAAAGTACCTAGCAGGCTCCACCCAGCCCTGCTCTTTATGACCCCCTTATCCTTAGACCAGCCTCTAACACTCTAGAGCTCTATTTGCAGTGGCTTGACAAGCCCTAGAGCCATGGCTCTCAACCTAGGAGCTTCTGCCACCCTCCCCCCACCCTTTTGGGGACATTCAGCAATATCTGGAGACATTTTTGTTGTCACAACTGGATGGGGAGGTATTAAGAACATCTAGAAGGTAGAGGCCAAAGCTTCTGCTGAACATCCTACAATACACAAGACAGTCCCACACAACAAAAAAATTATCCAGTCCAAAATGTCAGCAGTCAAGGTTGAGAAACCCTACTCTAGAGGTCACAGAGAAAATGAGCTTATTGCGGGAAAAGATAGAAACCTGGCAGGGAAATGCACAATGTTGATGTAGCGAATTGAATGAATGAAGACAAGTGAATAAAGGCTGTCAAGCCATTCCAGAATGTAATAACAGTCTCCTCTTGGTCGTCTCCTTGGCACTAGTCCCACTGTGTATAACACGGTCCAGTCACTCTTGGGACCCCCACACCCCAACCCCAACCTTGTGCTCCTCAACCTGACCACACCCACTACTGACACAGCCTTGCTGAAGCTGGGGGGAATCTGAAATGCAGCATTAACAGGAAGGAGCCAGGGTGGATGCACAGAGTGGCAGAAACGCACTAGACTTGGAGCCTCAAGAAGGGCTCTAGCCTTGACTCTGCCTCTAGGTTCACAATTTAATTGTTTTGAGCCTTAGTTTCTTCCTCTAAAAAAAGGGAAAAAATGGGGCTAAAAACCATAATCTGCCCTACATAAGGCTTCTCTGAGTTTCAAAACCAGATTATGTATGTGAAAGTTCTTTGGAAGCCATAAAACACTGTGAAGTATTCCTCTGCAGAATAAGCATAGGTGCTCATATTGTACAGGGAATATTATAAAAATTGATTTCCAATGACAAGATTCTGTCTATTGATAAATTACGAGCACTCAAGGATTATAGCAATCTGGGGCCGGGTGTGGTGACTCATCCCTGTAATCCCAACTCTTTGGGAGGCTGAGGTGGGAAGACTGCTTGAGCCCAGGAGTTCAAGAACAGCCTGGCCAACATAGTGACACCCCCATCTCTATAAAAAATAAAAAATTAGGCTGGGTGCGGTGGCTCACACCTGTAATCCCAGCACTTCGGGAAGCCGAGTGAATCACCTGAGGTCAGGAGTTCGAGACCAGCCTAACCAATATCGTGCAACCCTATTGGCTTCACCCTATGGCTAAACAAAAATTAGCCAGCTGTGGTGGCACACGCCTATGATCCCAGATACTTGGGAGGCTGAGACAGGAGAAGTGCTTGAATCTGGGAGGCGGAGGTTGCAATGAGCCTAGATCGTGCCCCTTCACTCCAGCCTGGGCAACAGAGTGAGACTCTGTCTGAAAAATAAAATAAAATATTAGCCAAGTTTGGTGGTACATGCCTATAGTTCTAGCTACTCAGGAGGCCGAGGTGGGAGGATCACTTGAGCCCAGGATGTCCAGGCTACAGTGAGCCATGATCACACCACTGCACTCCAACCTGGGCGACAGAGCTGAGATCCTATGGAATATCAAACACACCAGAAAATCTACTGTGATACAGCCCACCTCAGGATCCCCAAGTCACAGAGCTAGATCTGCCCAGTGACTCATATAATCTGAACCTCGACTTTCTCATCTCTAAAATAGGATAATACCACTCACACATGGAGTTGCTGAAAAGATCAAACATGATCAAGTTTGTAAAGTACATGGTATTTCCCAAAGATGGGGGAAATGTTTTCATTTCCTGGGGATACTTTTTTTGAAAAAAAAAAAATTTTTCTTTGAAATACAATGTTTTTAAGCATGATGAAAATTACTTAACTGGGCCGGGCGCGGTGGCTCATGCCTATAATCTCAGCACTTTGGGAGGCTGAGGCGGGTGGATTACAAGGTCAGGAGATTGAGACCATCCTGGCTAACACAGTGAAACCCCATCTCTACTAAAAATACAAAAAATTAGCCCGGCGTGGTGGTGGGCACCTGTAGCTACTCAGGAGGCTGAGGCAGGAGAATGGCATGAACCCAGGAGGTGGAGCTTGCAGTGAGCCAAGATCGCACCGCTGCACTCCAGCCTGGGTGACAGAATGAGACTCTTGTCTCAAAAAAATAAAAAAAGAAAGAAAGAAAGAAAAGTACTTAACTAGGCCTGGGCCTATATTGCTGTGTCCTTTACACCTCCAAAATTACCTCTAAAATCTAAGCATGAGGAGGGCTGTCCGCAGCTGTGAGCCCTGCAGCCCTGTCAGCTAGGAGCAGCAAGCTGAATGCCAGGCTGACATCAGTTCCCTCCTTAGACAAGGCCACAGAAGGCTATCGGAGCCCATTACAACTTGACACCCAAAGTCCTACCTCCAGACTTGCCAAGCAATCTGCGATGACATGCTGCCTATGTGCAAAATTCTAAAGGGAGAACATGCTTTGGAGAGATGAAATCAACTAGTTCACCTGATAGAGAATTAAGACAGTAGGCTGGGCACGGTGGCTCACGCCTATAATCCCAGCACTTTGGGAGGCCGAGGCAGGTGGATCACCTGAGGTCAGGAGTTCGAGACCAGCCTGGCCAACATGGTGAAACCCCCATCTCTACTAAAAATACAAAAATTAGCTGGGTGTGCTGGCACGTGCCTGTAATCCCAGCTACTTACAAGGTTGAGGCAGGAGAATCGTTTGAACCCAGGAGGTGGAGGTTGCAGTGAGCCAAGATCACACCACTGCACTCCAGCCTAGGCAACAGGGAGAGACTCAGTACTCTCAAAAATAAATAAATAAATAAATAAAATAGCAATAGGCCGTGTGCAGCAGCTCACACCTGTAATCCCAAAACCTTAGGAGGCCAAGGTGGGTGGATGGCTTGAGCTCAGGAGTTTGAGACCAGCCTGGGCAACATGGCAAAACCCCATCTCTACAAAAAAAAAAAAATACAAAAATTTAGCTGGGCATGGTGGTGCACACTTGCAGTCCCAGCTACTCAGGAGGCTGAGGTGGGAGGATGTCTTCAGCCCAGAAGGCGGAGGTTACAGTGAGCCAAGATCTTGCTACTGTACTCCAGCCTGGGCGACAGCAAGACTGACAAAGAAAGAAAGAAAGAAAAAGAAAAGAAAAGAAAGAAAATAGCAATAATCTGGGCTTTTATTTTTAACTTTTTTAAAAAAATAGAGATAGGGTCTCGCTTTGATGCCTATATTGGTCTCAAACTCCTGGCCTCAAGTTATCTTTACACCTCACCTTCCAAAGTGCTGGGATTACAGGTGTGAGTCACCATACCCAGCCTAATCTGGGTTTTAAATGTCAGTCTTGTCAGTCAATGTCTCCAAGTCCAGGGAACTCTGGGACACACCATGCTGATCAAATTCCTCAGCCTACTGGAGGAGTCACAGAGTAAATCCTAGTCTGGGTAGCAACTCCTCTCCAAACCTCTGCAGGGAATAGCAACTGGGCTACACACATGTAAAGTCTTATTTTTATTTATACAACTATTAGATATTATAAAGACTACAAACCAGGATTTTTTTTTTTTTTTTTTTTGAGATGGAGTCTTGCTCTGTCACCCAGGCTGGAGTACAGTGGTACAATCTCGGCTCACTGCCACCTCCACTTCCGTGGTTCAAGCGATTCTCCTGCTTTAGCCTCTCAAGTAGCTGGGATTACAGGCGCCTGCCACCACGCCCAGCTAATTTTTGTATTTTTAGTAGAGATGGGGTTTCGCCTTGCTGGCCAGGCTAGTCTCGAACTCCTGACCTCAGGTAATCCGCCCATCTCAGCCTCCCAAAGTGCTGGGATTACAGGCGTGAGCCACCGCACCCGGCCAAACCAGGAATTTATAATGATTGCTTATGCAGACAGTAGAGAATCCACTGCTCAGGTTTCTTAGTTCCTACTTCCTTCCGTAGGAAGACAATTATAATTTTAACTGAATCATTAACTGAATAATTAAGCAAATTAATTATCAGAATAAACTATACTCTAAATTTAGTATTCCAAAGCTAATTATTTTATGACCAAGTTAAACACTGATCCATTCTCATGTCCCCGCTAAGAGGCTTCTGATTCAAATAAAGTACTTTTTTAAAGTACTGCAAATAGTTCCACGTTCCTGGTTTTTCTTTCGCAAAAAACTCTTCCTATTAATTTAAAGTTTCAAGCACTCATACATTTTGAGTTCCTTTCTGCTCTAACATTCCATTACTCCCCAAAATAACTATTCGATAAAACATAAATTGAAGTCCCCCACCCCCCACAATGAAGTTGTTCCAGTTCCCTCCACTGCATGTCACAAACTGAATCCTAAGTATGCTTCTAGAACAAATCACACTGTACCCTGGTTATCTGTTTACTTGTGTCACTTGGCTAGATTTTAAGCACCTCAGAGGCAAGGACCTGTCTTCATCTGCATTTACTCAGCAACTAGGACAGTATCTAGCATACAGCTCAAATTACTACATACTTATCTATCAAATAGATTCATGAATGAAGCAAGTTTCTAGCTACCATCTTTGAAAATGGATCAACTGAAATTAAATGCAAATGTGTACCTATACAGCATTAAGATCAAAGATTTGGGATCTCAACATCAGAGTCCCCAAAGTGTAAAATATCCAGATCTGTTTTAAAATCTCTCAAACTTTGATGGGCATACAAACCACCTGAGGATCTCATAAAATGCAGGTTCTGCTTCAGTAGGTCAGGATGGGGCCTAAGAGTCCACATTTCTTTTTTTCTTTTTCTTTTTTTTTTGAGACAGAGTCTCGCTCTGTTGCCCAGGCTGGAGTGCAGTGGTGCTATCTTGGCTCACTGCAAGCTCCGGCTCTCGGGTTCACACCATTCTGCTGCCTCAGCCTCCTGAGTAGCTGGGACTACAGCTGCCAGCTGCCACACCCAGCTAATTTTGGTTTTTTTTTTTGTATTTTTAGTAGAGATGGGGTTTCACCATGTTAGCCAGGATGGTCTCGATCTCCTGACCTCGTGATCCACCCGCCTTGGCCTCCCAAAGTGCTGGGATTACAGGCGTGAGCCACCACGCCTGGCCAGAATCCACGTTTCTAACAATTTCCTAGATGTCTCCATAGCCCACACTTTGAGCAGAAAGCTTGTGTAGTCAATTCTGTATTCCATTTTTGTAGCTAAAGAAGCTGTTGTTCAGAGACATGAGGAGGCTTACCCTGGGTTACCAAACTAGCAAGCGGCAGAGGTGGAATGTGAACTCAGGCCTTCTCACCCCAAAGCTAGCACCTTTTCCACTATACCACATCACTGACCTTTTGAGCTAAACAACCACAACCAGAGGGATGTATAGCTTTCCTCCATCACTCAAATAAGCCCTCCAAGCCAGCTCTGCCCTGTAAGGAAGAGGGAGGAGGTAGAGCTAGAAATATCAGCTGTCAAGGAATCAAGCCAGCAGATGCTCTTGTTAAGAACTTAAATCATTCAATCCTTCAGCTAAGACTCTTTAAGAAGGACCAAACAAACTTTAGGGGTTCCTAGATGCTCATCCCTTTACTAATGAATAAGCCACAGGAAAATACGATCACTTTTCCCTGTCTCAGTGATACCGGAAGTATCAGGGCTAAAGAGCACTCATAACCAAACTAGTTCCTAAACAAATGGCTCGGCCCTGCCTGTTCTAGGGTTGTGCTGCTCAGACTTTGGCTAGAATATTCAGATTATTCAGCTCTGTCCACTCCACACCTTAAGAGCAACACTGGCCGGGCACGGTGGCTCACACCTGTAATCCCAGCACTTTGGAAGGCCAAGGCAGGCGAATTACTTGAGGTCAGGAGTTCAAGACCAGCCTGGCTAACATGGTGAAACCTCGTCTCTACTGAAAATACAAAAAAATTAGCTGGGCTTGGTGGCGCATGCCTGTAATTCCAGCTACTCGGGAGGCTGAGGCAGGATAATCACTTGAACCCGGGAGGCAGAGGTTGCAGTGAGATGAGATGGCGCCACTGCACTCCAGCCTGGGCAACAGAGCAAAACTCCATCTCAAAAAAAAACAAACAAAAAAGAGCAACACTGGTGAACAGGAGCACATCCAAAGGAGAGTAAAAAGGAAGGAACAGAAGCACCAAAAAATGGACAGTCAATGAAATGTAGAATGGCTGTCCTAGAGAAGTGCAGGCTTGAGACATAAACACAATCTTCCTTGATCTGTGATGTAGAAGCGGGATCAGACCTGTTCTCTGTGGCCCCAAGAGGCAGAAATCACAACCCGTTTTCTAGTTCACAAATGTCTAGTGTCAAAGCTGGGATTTGCCCCAACCCTTCTGTCCCCAAATCCCACATTCTTTTCACCAGCCCAGGCTGCTTCCCTATGGAGCTATTATCCCAACCTGTAGCAGAGGTAGGTACTATAGAAAGACAGATATCAGTCCCAATTAAGAAAGGTGATTTTACAGTTGGAGCTGTCCAGAGACAGACTATGCTATAGTGTGAGAGGATAGGGCACCTAATATAAATCCTGTCAACAGAGGGGTTCAATCAGAGGTTAATCACTTGGCAGGAATGCCACAGAGGGAATCTGGGCATTGGATGGGTGGCTGGGTGAGATGAACCTGCAACCTCAGAGATGAATTAAACTCTTCCTGCTGTATTTTCCTCTAACACTTCATTTGTAAACTTGGGGTTTGCCTTTTCTCATAGTTACTTTTACCTGTGTGTCTTCCTCGATGAACTGTGTGGGCCCTTGTGGGGAGAAGGCAGTGTCTCATCCATCTTTATAGCCTTACTGTCCCTAAGACTATCCCTGGGAAGCCAAGGAAACAGTTTCATCTCGCCTATTTGCCAGGCATTCTGGCAGGCACTCTACATACATCAACTTATTCCACATCCTCATAAGAGCCCTAACAAGTAAGTATTGGTAGTATTTCCCTTTTCACACAGTGGGGAATTGAGACTCAGAGAAATATAAGTAACTACCAAGGTACTACTGATGAAAGGTAAAGCTGCATTCAAACTGGGAATCTTTTGCCCACATCACCACACCTTCCACCTAGAAGAAACGTAATAAATGATTGCTGACTTGAGCCAAACAGCTTAAAAACAGGCCAGTACTACAAACAGCTAGATCTGTAGTTTCCCATTGCTATGCTCAGATTTTCCCCTTCTAAATATAATCATCCATCTGCAAAATGACCAACTAAAGTTGTTTTCTAATATCCTCTCTCTCACACTCTTAAAGACAGTGGCACAACCCAAAATAATTCTGAGCAAGAAGACTAAGTTTTCATAAGAAATTCCTCAAGGCCCCAAGAGCTCTGCCCCTCCTCCTGGTGGGCTCTGGCTTCATGTCAAGGCTCTGGACCACTGTAAACAAATTAGGTCCTGGCTTTACGCCTCGGAGATGGCTGGCTCGCACACATCTTCATAGGATGCTCTCCAAGACCTCGCTCCACACTCAAACCCAACTCTGGACAACTCAAGGTTTCTCCAAGCAAAACAGTCCTGCTCACAGGTCTTCACGTTTAGTTAAACTTCCAAACAAAATCTATCTTGAGTTACAAATCACATTATAAACCTACTCTGGCAGGCAATTAAAAATATCTAATCTCCCTGCCAAATGGGGCAAAATAAGGATTTGTCATTTGAATTAAAGGAACCAGTGTGTTTGGATAGCCAACACATAGGGCCTCTGGTACTCCATCTGTCTTAGGAAGTAAACCAAACTCAATCTAGCCAACCATTTTTCCAAACAAGAAACTTAAGCGTCACTGAGGGAAATTCCCACTGCTCACTTCCCTGGGTGGATTTCGAGTTTTCTATCCCTGGGCCTCTGGGATAAGAGATACTGCTGGCACATGCGCCATTAAGACACTGTGCTTTTCAACCTGAGATCTTGATTCCAGAGAACCAAAGAGCCACGTTCTTTGTCTCATAAGACTATAAACTTATTACAGTGTCTTCACATATGCTCATGTTTGAGAGAGACTTTATTAAACATGAGAAAACCACCCTCACTCCAGCAATGAGCAGAACTTAATGAAGATATATCTCTTGTGAGCTTCTGGCCTCTATGCATCCATCAGACATTCTCAGCTAAACCTAAATTAACCTGTAAATGAACTGATTTGCATCCATAAATTCACAGAAATGTACCAGTATAGGGTGTTTTAGATGCCACTCTCCATTTCCTAATCTTCTCCAATTCTCTTGTTAAACTATGATCTTGTCTACAACTGTTTTCATCTTTACTAAAACAGGAAAAAAAGGGAAATCTGAACCATCTAGAGTAGATATTTCCTTAGCTAGTTACCAAGACTTAAAAAGAAAAGAATCTTTGATATTTGATCATCTTCCATTTTTTTCTTTTCTTTTTTTTCCCACATGTTCTCCAGAAAAGTATGATCACCTTTCTTAGGGAGAAAACCAAAGGGCATTGTTTAGAAAGGTACCAAAAAAGACCTAGCTTTGGGTGATTTCTGTCAGTTCACCTAAACTCTGATCTTGGTTTCTATCCAGTTCTCAATGAAAGAGACAACTAAACCAAAGAAGTCTGATCAACAATAACTTTATCAGAAAAGAAAAGTACACTTACTCAATATCCACAATTTGCCACACTCTTTCATATATTACCTTAGTTAATCCTCACCATAGGCATGTGAGATGAATATTATTTCATAAATGATGATATTTAAGTCCCTTGGATGGCAGAGACCACATCTGGTTCACGTCTGCATTCTCAGCACCAAGGATGGGGCCTAGGACACAGTAAGGGCCTGCCACATGCTTAAGAATGAATATATGACTAAAGAAAAAGAAATGAAATTTGGGAAAAAAAAGCAATCCAAATTTTGCTCTAGGCTCCTCACTGGAACCACTACCTGGGACACACCTACACAGTGCAAATACTCTACTCAAGCTTCTGAGGTCTGTTTCAAAGCTTCTGAAGTTTGTTTCATCTTTCCAATGTGTATGCCTCAAAGATAGCATCTACATTTGGCTACACACCCAGCAGGGAATAGCCTGTTTCTGCTTTACTTCTTTTTCCCCTACTCAGCACCACACCTTGCACAGGTGGGTGTTTAATGAACTGAGTGTTTAATGAACATGGTGATGGTCATGATGACACCCTTAGTCATCATGGGAGTAAACAACACAAGATGCCCACAGTCAACAGAACTGGTCTTTGAGTTGAGTTCGTCCCGTCGTGAGCCTCATTTTCCTCTCTTGTACAATGGGAATAACAGAACTTACCCACAAGATTGTTTTTTTCATTTAACAAATGCTGACCATTAACCATGTGCAAAGCACTGTGCTAGGTGGTGGGGACACAGTGATGAATGTGACCATCACATCTTACTTCATGGACCTCACAGTTTCAGGGGATGCTGAGCGGTTTTCCAAACCTACCAGGACTATACAATTATCAAGTACACGCTCCTTCTCCTGTTTCCCAACTTCATTACTGCCATCACCATCCAACCAGCTGCCCAAGCTATGAACTGGGGAATCATCCTCCACTCCCCTCTCTCCTTCGTCCTGCCCACTCCCACAATTACAACAAATCACCAAGTCTCTTTTGATTCTCCTTCAGAAAAGTCTCAGACATGTATTATTTCTCTTCCAGTTTCCCATGCTTCTACACTAGGCCCTTTATTCTCACCTGAAGAATTGCAAGTCTCCTTGTAATAATGATAATGGCAAGCATTTATCGGTCACTTACCATATGGCAGGCATTGTCCTAGGAGCTTGGCATGCGTAACATATTTTCATCCAATCAGGCAGATACTAGTACCCTGATTTGTGGAGGAGGAATCTGAGGTACAGAGTAACCTGCCCCAGGTACCCAGCAAGGAAATGATGAAGCTGCAGCTCAAACCCAGGTCTGAAAGGCACTATCCTTGCCCCTGATGGGATTCTTGCCTCCAGTCCCTTCCTGGTCAGTCTACACTTCTTCCTTTAAGCTGCTGCTAGAGTGCTCTTTCAAAATTCCAAACAGATATGATGACTCTCTGCTTTAAAAGCCAGCCAAGGGCTGAGCACAGTGGCTGTAATCCCAACACTTTGGGAGGCTAATACGGGAGAATCGCTCGAGGCCAGGAGTTTGAGACCAGCCTGGGCAACAGAGCGAGACCTTGTCCCTACAAAAAAAAATGTTTTGAATTAGCTAGGCATGTGCCTGAAGTCCTAGCTACTCAGGAGGCTGAAGTGAGAGGATCATTTGAGCCCAGGAGTGCCAGGCTGCACTGAGCTATAACTGCACCACTGCACTTCGGCCTGGATGTCAGAGCAAGACCCTGTTGCTTAAAGTGAATGAATAAATAAAAATAAAGGACAGCTAAGGGCTCCTCACTACTTCCAGGTCAAGGTCCAAAGACTACAGGCCACTCTCAGTGTTATCTCCTGTCCCACCCACAGACTCCAGAGGCGACACTGTCACTGCCTCCCAAACACACCCAACTCCTTGCTGACCCACCTCACGTTCTCCTTCCTCTGCCAAGTCTTCTTTATCCTTCCCCCCAAACAGGTGCCGCCTCCTCTGCAGCCTCAGCCCATGTACACACTCATGTTTCTGCACTGTTATAATCATTTCCTGCTCTCTCACACGCACATACACTCCCACCCCACACTTCCAATTCTGAGTTCCTGAAGGGCTGACACAGTGTATTTTCATCTCTGACTCTCAAGGTCCCAGCATAGTGGCAGGTGAATAAGCAGACTAACTGAATGGTAATGTGGTAGTGTTCACCTCCCCACACTAAGACCTTCCTCCTAGAGGATGCTAAAAAGAAGGGTAGGTTACAGTAGCTCCCATCCTCTCAAGCAAACTCAGGGAGACAGCCTGCCTTCAGCAAGTCTGACAACTGAGATTGGTCCTCCACAGTTGGCTGGCGAGCTCTCCTGCAGCCCCTTGAAAGTCAATTCGATCGCCAAAACTGCAGAAACGGCTGGGTGCGATGGCTCATGCCCATAATCCCAGCACTTTGGGAGGCCGAGGCAGGCAGATCATGAGGTCAGGTGTTCAAGACCAGCCTGACCAACATGGTGAAACCCCATCTCTACTAAAAATACAAAAATTAGCCAGGCATGGTGGCGTGCACCTGTAATCCCAGCTACTCAGGAGGCTGACGCAGGAGAATCATTTGAACCCAGAAGGCAGAGGTTGCAGTGAGCTGAGATCGCACCACTGCACTCCAGCCTGGGCAACAGAGCGAGACTCCGTTTCAAAAACAAACAAACAAACAAACAAACAAAAAAACAAACTCCAGAAACTAAGCTAGCTCCAGACCAAAAGATCAGAGGAAAATGGTAAACTGACACCCTCCTCCTGCATTCCAAAATGCAGAAAGCTAAAAACACTGATTCTGATGACCATAAACAGAGGATCTGGACTGAGGGAGAGTCATCAGAGGAAAAAGCTAGAGACAGCAAAATATAACCCTGTTCCCATCTCCACAACTAAGCTGGAGTCCAAGCCACAAATGGACCACTGCAGCTGCCTCCTCACTGTTCTCCCTGCTCCCACCCGCATCCCCCACCCACTCTCCAAAGAGCAGCCAGATGATGTTTTAAAAACTCTGTCAATAAGGACACGTTCCAACAAAATACTCTCCAAAAACTTTCCATCCACTTGGAATAAAATTCAAACTCTTCACCAACAGGTTCAAAGTCCAAGCCCCGCCCCCTTTATTCCATACCACTCTCCCTCCAAGCACTACATTCTGGACACAAGGGTCTCTCTCTTCGGTTTCTTACAACCTGCTAACCTCCGAGCCTTTTCCCATGCTGCTTTCCACGCCCAGAAGGCTCCTCCCCCTTTTTTTTTTTTTTTTACAGAGCTGGTTCCTTCTCCAGACTCAGTTCAAACTTTACCTTTTCAAAGACGCCTTCCCTGACCATTCTATCCAAAGTGGCATCCCTCCCACTCCACCACTCCCTATCAGACCATCTTTTTGTGTGTTTAGTACTTATCACCCCCGGACAATATTTTCTTCATTTATTTTCCTGTTTCTGTCTTCTCTCCCATTAGGGTTGAGGCCGTGTTTTGTTCACCCCTATGAATACAGCGCATGCAGCAGGCACTAAAAAGAATTTCCAGAATATCTGTTGACTATCAGCAGAGAAGCATCCTCCAGATAGGCTATTTTGTTCTCCTATTAGAATGGAGAAAACATCGATTTAGCCCCTACTATGTGCTGAGCACTGTAAATCCATGATTTTCCTTTCAGAAAGGTAAATGAGCTCAAGGTCGCACTGCTAGTCACTAGCAGACTTCTGAGTGAATTACCTCAATCCTAAACCCCTCTCAAGGGGAAGGGATGTCGTTCTGTGATTCACTCTCACATGGCCATAACAAGAAAAAGCAAACATTTCTAAACTGCTTTACAGTTTTAAAGCATTTTCACATTCATCTCACTTAAGAAAAACACAAAGCACTTGGAATGCCCAGAAAGCCATACGACAACAGGAAGTAAAGTAAGCAGTGCCTCAAGATTCAATACTGGGGCCCTGAATCCTAGTAGTGGGGACTGGGGAGCAGTCGGGAGTCTCTATTTCTGGTTCAGACGGATGGGGAAGCGGTGAGTCATGGGGTGAAGGCTTGCGCCACGGGAAACTTTGGTAAGGTCAAGCTACGAGGCAACAAAAAGTGAATCACAACGCTGGAAAACACCTTAGGCCTCAACAGAGGCCGAACTCTGGCTGACGGATGGGGAAACTGAGGCCTCAAAGGGAAAGCAACTTGCTCAAGTTCACTCAGCAAGTGAATAGAGCAGGAATCGGGGGTCTCATCTCCCCCAGTCCCCTTTTCTCTCCAGCAAGGAGGCTTTTCAACGAGAATTCTGAGACAAGAGGACAGGGGAGAGGCCAAGGGGCAGCTCACAGATTCCACCGAGGAGTCGGGAGAGGGCACAGGTAGGACCAGGAAGCACAGAAATGCTAGGATGGGGGCAGAAATGAGCCGAGGAGGAGGCAGGGGCAGTAGCTAGGCAGGTGGGTGAGGCGAGAAGGAAAAGGCGGAAGAGAAAGGGACAGAGTGAGGGCGGAGGAAAGTGCTGTGAGATTGGGGTCTGAAGGGACCTGGCGGGGTGGAGAGAGGCTGAGGGGAGAGGGCAGAATAAGTCTGACGATGGAAAAGTCCAGGGATCGGGGAGACATTGAAGGGAGTCGGGGAGGGGGTCCCAGACCCGGCAAGAAGTCTGACCCGGAGAGTTCCAGGGTCAGACCAGACCCCGAGGCGAGTCTGATGAAGGTGAAGTCCGGGCCCGGGGAGCCTGGGGGGAGCCCGTGGCAAGTCTGAAGGGGCCGGGCAGCCTCACCGCGCTTGTTTTTGGTGCCGTGCTTCTTGGCGGCCGTCAGCTCCTGCTCGATTTTCTTCTCCAGGAACTCCTGTTTCTTGCTTAACATCTCTTCCGTGTCCCGCAGCCGCTGGATGGCCTCCTGGGGGGTCGGGCCGCCCTTGCCGGCCTTACCCCCTCCAGCCCCGAACAGCTTCCCGAACACCGACATGGTTGCTGCTCGCCGCGCCGGCCTTCGCCGCCCGCTCCGGCTCGGCTCGGCTCGGCTCGGCTCGGGTCGGCTCCGGCGCCCGCTCCCAGTCCCGCCGCTCCCTGCCGCCGCAGGCCTCTCCTCCGCCTCCGCCTCCGCCCCGCAGCTGGGCCCGGCCGCGCCACCTCCCACAGGCCCCCACGCCCGGCCCGGCAGGCGTCAGGGCAACGCGCCACTGACTACAACTCCCAGTGGGCAACGCGCCGGCCGCGCCTCAAATCTAATAGGGGGAAGCGTGCTGCATGCCGGGAAGCTATAGTCTTCCGGCTTCAGGCGCTCCCCGGCGCGTCTTTTGCTGTAGCTGGGGTCAAAGGGCGTGTGGCATTCTGGGAAATGTAGTCTCCTTGGCCTGCGCTCTGTAGGAGTGGCAGAACAGTAAGAGAAATGACAGTAAGTGTGCAACACTGCTCAAAAATTTATTGCTAGTATGGGATACTGCCATGCTTGAACTTCACATGTATATTCATGTGAAGTTGTCTTAAAAGCGTGAAGGCAACAGTTGTTTCCAATTTCAACCTGTCAATTCTGTGGTCACAGAAGCAAAGCAGTATCTTCTCCAGTTAAGTACGGTAGTGTCCCCCTTATCTGAGATTTTACTTTGAGTAGTTTCACTTGGCCAGCTAAGGTCTGACAGTATTAAATAGAAAATTCCAGAAATAAACAGTTCATAAGTTTTTAATTTCCATTGGCCTAATGAAATCTCGTGCTATCCTGTTCCATCCTACCTGCAATGTGAATCATCCCTTTGTCCAACATACCTCTACCATCTGTTAGTTACTTACCAGCTTAGGAGTTATCAGATGGACTGCCACGGTGTTGCAGTGCTTTGGTTCGAGTAACCCTCATTTTACTATATAATGGCCCCAAAGTGCAAGAGTAGTAATGCTGGCAGTTTGGATATGCCAAAATGAAGCTGTAAAGTGCTTCCTTTAAATGTAAATGTGGAAGTTCTGAGCTTAAGAAAAAAAATCGTATGCTGAGCTTACTGAGGTCTGCAGTAAGAACGAATCTTCTAGCCCTAGAATTGTGAAAGAGGAAAAAGAAATTCATGCTGGTTTTGCTGTCGTACCTCAAACTGCAAAAGTTACAGCCACAGTGTGTGATAAGTGCTTAGTTAAGATAGAAAAGGCATTAAGTTGTATCCTTACTTACAGGGGAAAAAAAGAAAATAAATTTTTTTACAAAAGAAAAGAAAAAGCATTAAGCTTATACGTGGAAGACACGAACAAAAAATGTGTTCCAACTGACAGCAACCTGTTACCCCCCAGAAAGCATTGAGCCTGTATAAAGGCTTCAGCAAGGAATCTCCTAAAACCAGTGGCACCAAGCCACTTACTGAAAGTAATGGATGGTTGCACTGACTTAGGAATAGGTTTAGACTGCAAAATATAAAAATTACTGGATGGGCTGGGCACAGTGGCTCACACCTGTAATCTCAGCACTCTGGCAGGCCTAGGCGGATGGATCACCTGAGGTCAGGAGTTTGAGACCAGCCTGGCCAACGTGGTGAAACCCCATCTCTACTAAAAATAAAAAATAAAAATAAAAAAATTAGCTGGGCGTGGTGGCGCACGCCTGTAATCCCAGCTACTTGGGAGGCTGAGGCAGGAGAATCACTTGAACCTGAGAGGCAGAGGTTGCAGTAAACTGAAATCGTGCTATTGCACTCCAGCCTGGGCGAAAAGAGCAAAATTCTGTCTCAAAAAGAAAAAAAAAATTACTGGAGCCGGGCGCGGTGGCTCACGCCTGTAATCCCAGCACTTTGGGAGGCCAAGGCGGGCGGATCACGAGGTCAGGAGATCGAGACCATCCTGGCTAACAAGGTGAAACCCCGTCTCTACTAAAAATACAAAAAATTAGCCTGGCATGGTGGCGGCGGGTGCCTGTAGTCCCAGCTACTCTGGAGGCTGAGGCAGGAGAATGGCGTGAACCCAGGAGGCAGAGCTTGCAGTGAGCCGAGATTGCGCCACTGCACTCCAGCCTGGGCGACAGAGAGAGACTCCGTGTCAAAAAAAAAAAAAAAAAAAAGGCCGGGCGCGGTGGCTCATGCCTGTAATCCCAGGACTTTGGGAGGCCGAGGCGGGCGGATCACGAGGTCAGGAGATCAAGATCATCCTGGCTAACACGGTGAAACTCCATCTCTACTAAAAATACAAAAAAATTAGCCAGGCATGGTGGCACGCGCCTGTAGTCCCAGCTACTCAGGAGGCTGAGGCAGGAGAATGGCGTGAACCCGGGAGGCAGAGCTGGCAGTGAGCCGAGATGGCACCACTGCACTCCAGCCTGGGCAACAGAGCGAGGCTCCGTGTCAAAAAAAAAAAAAAAAGTTACTGGAGGTTGGGTGCGGTGACTCACGCCTGTAATTCCAGCATTTTGGGAGACCAAGGCAGGTGGATCGCTTGAGCCCAGGAGTTGAGGCCAGCCTGGGCAACATGGCGAAACCCCATCCCTACAAAAAATACAAAATTTAGCTGGGCATGATGGCACAGGCCTATAGTCCCAGCTGCTCAGGAGACTGAGCCATGAAGATCATCTGAGCCTGGGAGTTTGAAACTGCAGTGAGCTGTGATCTCACCACTGCACTCGAGCCTGGGTGACAGAGTGAGACCCTGTCACAAATAAATAAATAAATATTACTGGAGAGGCTACAGCAAGACAAGTTGGTGGAGAAGGATTTGGGGACATGCTTGATGAAGAAGTGGAAGATCATATTGAAGGCCACTGGGAAGTGTTAACAAATGTGGAATTGGAAGAACTTGTCAAGTCATCTACAAAGAAAGAGGAAAATGAAGGAGAAACAGAAACAGAACCAGCAATATGGGTGTTATCAAAATTTGCCGAGTGTTTCAAATTGCACAGACATTAAAGGACAAAATTATGGAATTCAATCCTCAGATAGAACACAGCATTAAAACCACTCGTGTGGTCACCAAAGGATTACAACTTCTGCAGCCACACTTCTATGAATTAAAAAGAAAGAGGCCAGGCATAGTGGCTAACACCTGTAATCCTAGGACTTTGGGAGGCCGAGGTGGGCAGATCACTTGAGGCCCGGAGTTTGAGACCAGCCCGGCCATCGTGGTGAAATCCTGTCTCTACTAAAAATACAAAAATTCACCAGGCATGGTGGCGTGCACCTGTAATCCTAGCTACTTGGGAGGCTAAGGCAGAAGAATTGCTTGAACCCAAGAGGCAGAGGTTGCAGTGAGCCGAGATTGCGCCACTGCACTCCAGCCTGGGCGACAGAGACTCTGTCTCAAAAAAAAAAAAAAAAAAAAGAATTAAATAGAAAGAGATGGCCAGGTGCAGCGGCTCACGCTTGTAATCTCAGCACTTTGGGATGCTGAGGTAGGCGGGTCACTCGAGCTCACAGGTTTGAGACCAGCCTGGGCAACATGGTGAAACCTCATCTCTACAAAAAATGCAAAAAACTAGCTGGGTGTGGTGGCGCACACCTGCAGTCCCAGCTACTCAGGAGGCTGAGGTGGGAGGATCACCTGAGCCCAGGAGGTTGAGGCTGCAGTGAGCCATGATCACACCACTGCACTGAAACCTGGGCAACAGACTGAGATGCTATCTCAGAAAAAGAAAGAAAGAGACAACTTCCAGTAATAATGTTCTTCCAAAAGTTTTTGGCAAAAACGCAATTATCCAAGGACCCCCAATCATTGGTTGACATCGTCTGATCCTGATATCCAACCACTGACATCGTCATAGCTCAATGATCCAGGATCACCCAAAGCAGATGGTCCTCCTGACATCTCAGATGGTCAGTAGTAGCCTAACACTACCTCATAATGCCTGTGTCATTCACCTTACTTCATCTCATCACATAGGGATTTTGACATCACGCATAATCTCAAGAAGAAGGGTGAATACAGTACAGTAAGACATTTTGAGAGAGAGACCACATTCACAAAACTGAATACAGTATATTGTTATAATTGTCCCATTTTATTAATAGTTGTTATTAATCTCTTACTGTGCCTAATTTATAAATTAAACTTTATCATAGATGTATATATATAGAAAAAACACAGTATATATAAAGTTCAGTACTATTTATGTTTTCAGGCATCCACTTGCAGGTACACCTGAGGATAAAGGAGAACTATTGTATTTGAAAAACAACAATAATTAACATTGATGCACATTCTGTGATTGCACCATCGATGCACATTCTGGCATTGTGCAAAGTGCTGTACATATAATATCACATTTGGCCGGGGGCAGTGGCTCACGCCTGTAATCCCAGCACTTTGGGAGGCCAAGGCAGATGGATCATGAGGTCAGGAGTTCGAGACCAGCCTGGCCAACATGGTGAAACCCCGTCTCTACTAAAAATACAAAAATTAGCCAGGCATGGTGGTACGTGCCTGTAATCCCAGTGACTTGGGAGGCTGAGGCAGGAGAATCACTTGAACCCCAGAGGCAGAGTTTGCAGTGAGCTGAGATTGCGCCACTGCACTCCAGCCTGGGTGACAGAGCAAGACTTGGTCTCCAAAAAAAAAGAAAAAAAAACACATTTAATTATCATAAGCAGCCTAGGACAGATAATACTGTTCCTATTTTATAGGGGAGTAAACCAAGATTCAGAGAAATCAAGTGACTGACTGACTAGACCTGTCTTTGCAAATGTTCTTCCCTCTACCTGGAATGCCTTTCTACTCTTCATTCACCTAACAGATCCTTTGAAACCTAGCAGAAGCTAAGGGCCTTGGCACTGAACTTTGATAGCAAAGGTTCAAAACCCAGCCTTGACTACTTACTTGGGCAAGTTATTTCCCCTACTTTCTGTGCCTCCCTTCCTGCAAGTATAAACTGGAGATGATCGTAACAGGACCACCTGAAGCTTATGTGAGATATAGAATGTAAAGTACTTGCTGAGCATAGACTTGGCACCTAGCGGATGCTCAAAAATGTGTATTTTATTCTTAGGTATTCTGTCATCTTTATAGGCAATAAGAATTGAACCAGACTCAGAACTTTCAAAAGTGGCAGAAGCGTTGAGGACTTTTTTGCCTCTGCAATAAACAGACGCAGCTAATTGTGGTACCACATTTCATTGTTTTTCCATTGTCTTTGGTGTCAAGCATCACTTCTCTAGACTCTTAGTGGTGGATAAAAAGGGGGAAAAAATCACTTCTCCATCCATTAGCAGTGAGGCTGCTGTTAGTAGCCAGTAGTTGCCCCAAGCCTACCATTCTAATTTGCTGCTTCCAATCTTTTGCATGTGTTAACCTTGCATGAAAACAAAGAATAGCCGGCGCGGTGGCTCACGCCTGTAATCCCAGCACTTTGGGAGGCCGAGATGGGCGGATCACGAGGTCAGGAGATCGAGACCGTCCTGGCTAACACAGTGAAACCCCGTCTCTACTAAAAATACAAAAAAATTAGCCGGGCGTGGTTGCAGGCTCCTGTAGTCCCAGCTACTCGGGAGGCTGAGGCAGGAGAATGGCCTGAACCCAGGAGGCGGAGCTTGCAGTGAGCCGAGATCTCGCCACCGCACTACAGCCTGGGTGACAGAGCGAGACTCCGTCTCAAAAAAAAAACAAAAACAAAAACAAAGAATAAACCAATTCTAAATGAGGAGCTGAAATGCTCTCCCATGAAGAAAAATACAGCTTCTCAAAGGTATTTTTTATTCCTTCCTGTACTTTTCAAATATGTGAAGTTGCTCAGGATCAGAGTTTCAAATAAATGAGAGCTTAGCTGGACTTTTCCTCTATTAGTTTATATGTGAGTCTTATCTCCTCCCTCAGACTATGATTTACATTTGGACAAAAGCCATGAGTTGGATGTTGTTGTTGTTTTAATCAGCCACAACCTCCAACCCTGCACATACAGGCAGCCATTCCCAGAGGATGGTAGAGTTCATTTCACCCAATTTTGTGGTTGGAATAAGTTTTTCAAATGTGAGAGACATGCTAGAACTGTCAAGAATTCACAGGAGTATTGTTAAACATTAAGTCACATTTGTGTTTGTTCCGTAATTGAGACACTGCAATGTTTTAGCAAAGTAAAAGAGAAAAACAAAGAGGCTTCAGTCAAGCCACCTCATGGGTGCAGCAGCCCCTCCACATCTAAGCAGTCTGCCTCATCACCTCTTATCTAAGTCAAGTTGCTCCCAGGTACATAGGTAGCAAAACACTTGCTGGGTTGGAGCCATTACCCAAAGGATATATGAACAGGAAGATGCTGTGGACCTCACCACCATCAGTTTCATACAGCTGTGTGGTAAACTGAGGGTGATAACAGAGCCCCTCATGTTCTAACTCTGGGAGCCCAGAAAAATATCTTGGGGATATGACAGCAGAAGCCTCAGATTTAATCTTGAGTACTGTATTAGTCTGTTTTCATGCTTCTGATAAAGGCATACCCAAGACTGGGCAATCTACAAAAAGAAAGAGGTTTAATTGGACTTATAGTTCCATATGGCAGGGGAAGCCTCACAATCATGGCAGAAGTCAAGGAAGAGTAAGTCCCGTCTTACATGGATAGCAACGGGCAAAGAGAGAATGAGAGCCAAGAGAAAGGGGTTTCTCCTTATAAAACCACCAGATCTCATGACACTTATTCACTACCACAAGAACAGTATGGGAGAAACCGCTGCCATGATTTAATTATCTCGTACCAGGTCCCTCCCACAACAATGGGAATTATGGGAGATATAATTCAAGATGAGATTTGAGTGGGGACACAGCCAAACTATATCAAGTACCAACTACAAGCAATTAGTGTTGGCCACCTGGACCGCTGGGTTGAAAAGAATTTTGAGGCTGCATCAGAAGTTCTTGTAAAAAAAAGTGCCAAGATTGGCCCGGCATGGCGACTCACACCTGTAATCTCAGCACTTTGGGAGGCCAAGATGGGAAGATTGCTTGAACCCAGGAGTTTGAGACCAGCCTGGGCGACATAGGGACACTCAGTCTCAAGAAATAATTAAAAATTACCTGGGCATGGTGGCACACACCTATGGTCCCAGTTATTCGAGAGGCTGAGGCAGGAGGATCACTTGAGCCCAGGAGGTTGAGGCTGCAGTGAGCTGTGAACATGCAACTGCCCTCCAGCCTGAGTGACAGAGTGAGACACTGTCTCAAAAAAAGAAAAAAAAGTGCTCAAGATGGATTTGTGATGTCTACCCAGGGTATGGGATGGGAAGTGGTGACACATGGGCAAAGTAGCTGCCATCCTGGCTGAGAATTCAGCTGCCATAAATAGAGATTCACAGAGTGGACTGGCTCAATACTGGAGAGCCCTGGGCTTTGCTGGCCTGTATTTTTCTGGTCTCTCAGACAAATGCACAGCCTTTTCAAACTTTGACCAACTCGTATTAACTTATTCAAAACTGTGTGAAAAAGAATGAGCCACTGATACATGCAAGAATTTGGATGACTCACAGATATTATGCTGAGTGAAAGAAACCAGATACAAAAGCTTGTATGACTCCATATATACGAAGCTCAAAAACAGGCAAAACTAATCCATGGTGTTAGGAATCAGAATAATGGTTACCTCCAGGGAGGTACAGACCAGGAAGAGGACCCTTACAAGGTGCTAACAGGTTCAATAGCAGGATCCAGAGGTGTTCACATGGCTGTATACAAATTAATCAGTTTTTATACTTAAGACGATTGCCCTTTATGTATCTTATGTACTTTATTAAACATGTTATATTACAATTTAAAACAACATCTCCAGGCTGGGCATGGTGGCTCATGCCTGTAATCCTAGCACTTTGAGAGGCCGAGGTGGATGGATCACTTGAGCTCAGGAGTTCGAGACCAGCCTGGCCAACATGGTGAAACCCCAAGTCTACTTAAAAAATGCGAAAATGAGCCAAGCATGGTGGTGCACACCTGTAATCCCAGCCACTCAGGAGGCTGAGGCAGGAGAATCACTTGAACCCAGGAAGTGGAGGTTGCAGTGAGCCGAGATCATGCCACTGCACTCCAGCCGGGGCGACATAGCAAGACTCCATCTCAAAAATAAGTAAATAAGTAAATAAATAAATAAATAAATAAATAACATCTCTAGCTGGGCATGGCAGCTCATGCCTGTAATCTCAGCACTTTGGGAAACCAAGGTGGGAGGATTGCTTGAGGCCACAGTTCAACACCATCCTGGGCAACATAGTGAGATCTCTTCTCTAGAAAAAAATTTAAAAATTAGCCAGGCATGGTGGTGCAAGCCTGTAGTCTGGGCTACTTGGGAAGCTGAGGTGGAAAAATTGCTTGGGCCCAGGAGTTCAAAGCTACAGTGAGCTATGATGACGCCAATGCACTCCAGCCTGGGCAACAGAGGGAGACCCTGTCTCAAAAAAGAAACGAACAACAACAACAAAAATACACACACAAAGTATCTCTAATAAGAGCAGCAACAGAAGAATAGTTTTTATTTGCAAAGTGCCTTTGCACACAAAAATCCCATCTTATCTCCATCATCCCTCTAAGCCCCATGAAGTAAGCATTACTATCCACCTCCATTTTACAGTTGAGGAAACTGAGGCCCAAAGAAGTAGGAATTGACTAAAGTCACATGGTTAAAGATACCCAGCCATATATTTGTAACCTTCTTTGAAAACATTAATTATGAAATGAGGCCGGGCACGGTGGCTCACGCCTGTAATCCCAGCACTTTGGGAGGCCGAGATGGGCGGATCACCTGACGACAGGAGTTTGAGACCAGCCTCAACATGGAGAAACCCCATCTCTACTAAAAATACAAAATTAGCCAGGCGTGGTGGTGCATGCCTGTAATCCCAGCTACTCGGGAGGCTGAGGCAGGAGAATTGCTTGAACCTGGGAGGCGGAGGTTGCGGTGAGCCGAGATCACACCATCACACTCCAGTCTGGGCAACAAGAGTGAAACTCTGTCCCAAAAAATCAAAAAAATTATGAAATAAAACCTTAATTATGAAACTTGGTCTCACATAATTATACCAAATTAAATACAGAGGACTTCGCTGATTTTTAGTTGTAAAAAAGAGTTCATCCAACATTCTCTCCTGATTAAACAAAAAACAAACAAACAAAAAAACAAAACCTGAAACACTCAGCCAACTAGGAAGAGGAGAGAACTTCTCAACCTGGTAAAAGGCATCTGTGCAAAACCCACAGCTAACATCACACTTAATGGTGAAGACAAAGGCCGAAAGCTTTCCCCCTAAGATCAGGAATAAGATAAGGATGCCTACTCTCATCACTTCCAATCAACATTGTACTGAAAGTTCTTGCCAGGGCAATTAAGCAAGAAAAATAAATAAAAGGCATCCAGATTGGAAAAGCAGAGGTAAAACTATTTCTATTTGTAGATGACATGATCTCATATAGAGAAAAACCTAAAGAATACACAGAAAGCTATTAGAACTAAAATGAGTTCAGCAAAGTTCAACAATATCAACACACAAAAATCAGTTGTATTTCTGTACATTAGCAACGAGCAATATGAAAATGATATTAAGAATCATTTCCATTTACAATAGCATCAAAAATAATAAAACATTTAGCAATAAATTTAACCACGGAAAGGAAAGGCTTGTCCTCTGAAAAGTACCAAACCTTGTTGAAAGAAATCAAGGAAGACATAAATAAATGGAAACACATTCCATGTCCATGGATTAGAAGACTTAATTGTTAAGACAGCAACACTCTCCAAATTGCTCAACAGATTCAATACAAGTCTTTCAAAATCTGAGCTGCATTTTTTGCAGAAATGGACAAGTTTATCCCACACCTCATATGGAATCGCAAGAGACCCTGAATAGTCAAAACAATATTCAAAAAGAAAAATAAAGTTGAAAGATTCGCATGTCCTGATTTCAAAACTTACTGCAAAGCTACAATAAAGAAGTTTATCGATCAATTGAATAGAGTCAAGAGTACAAAAATAAACCTATACATCTATAGTCAATTGATTTTCAACAAGTGTGCTAAGACCATTAAATGGGGGAAGCATAGTCTTTTCAACAAATGGTGCTAAGACAGCTGGGTATCCAAATGCAAAGGAATGAGGCCAGGCCCTGTGGCTCATGCCTGTAATCCCAGCACGTTGGGAGGCCAAGGCAGGAGGATCGCAGGAGCCCAGGAGTTCAAGACCAGCCTAGGTAACATAGTGACACCCCAGCTATACAAAATAATAATAATAATAAATAAAATTAGCCGGGCATGGTGGTGTGTGCCTGTAGTCTCAGTTACTCAGGAGGCTAAGGTGGAAGGATCACTTGAGCCCAGGAGTTCGAGGCTGCAGTGAGCTGTGATTTCATCACTCTACTCCAGCCTGGGTGACAAAGTGAGACCCTGTCACCCAGGCTGACCCTATATGAAATGTCCAAAATAGTCAAATCCATAGAGATAGAAAGCAGATTAGTGGTTGCCAGGGTCCAGAGAGGGGGAAAAAGGAGAATGACTGCTTAATGGGTACAGGGTTTCTTTTTGGGATGACGAAAATGTTATGTAACTAGATTGTGGCGATGGTTACACAATATTGTGAATGTAATAAAAAAGAGCTGCATTGTATACTTTAGTTAAAATGGTGAGGTTTTTTTTTTTTTTTTTTTGGTAGATGGAGTCTCACTCTGTTGCCCAGGCTGGAGTGGAGTGGTGCAATCTTGGCTCACTGCAACCTCTGCCTCCCAGGTTCAAGCAATTATCCTGCCTCAGCCTCCTGAGTAGCTGAGATTACAGGTATTGCCACCACACCTGGCTAATTT
The DNA here is from genome assembly GCF_000001405.40 of Homo sapiens. Lineage (NCBI taxonomy): Eukaryota > Metazoa > Chordata > Mammalia > Primates > Hominidae > Homo > Homo sapiens. Next base: position 33,800,718 of record NC_000020.11, on the reverse strand, counting down.
TTTGCATTTTTAGTAGAGATGGGGTTTCCCTATGTTGGCCAGGGTGGTCTCAAACTCCTGACCTCAGGTGATCCGCCCGCCTCAGCATCCCAAAGTCCTGGGATTACAGGCATCAGCCACCGCACCCGACCAAAATGGTGAATTTTATGTCATGTGAATTTTATCTCAATTTTTATTTTTATTGTTTGAGACAAAGAGTCTCGCTTTGTTGCCCAGGCTGGAGTGCAGTGGCACAATCTCGGCTCACAGCAACCTCTACCACCCAGTTTCAAGTGCCCACCACTACACCTGGCTAATTTTTGTATTTTCAGTGGAGACAGGGTTTCCCCATTTTGGCCAGGCTGGTCTCGAACTCCTGACCTCAGGAGATCCGCCTACCTTGGCCTCCCAAAGTTTTGGATTACAGGCTACAAACACCACGCCCGGCCTTATCTCAATTTTTTTTTTTTTTTTTTTTTGAGACAGAGTTTCACTCTTGTTGCCCAGGCTGGAGTGCAATGGCACGATCTCGGCTCACTGCAACCTCCGCCTCCCGGGTCCCGGTTCAAGCAGTTCTCCTGCCTCAGCCTCCTGAGTAGCTGAGATTACAGGCATGCGCCACCACGCCCAGCTAATTTTTGTATTTTTAGTACAGACAGGTTTCACCATGTTGGCCAGGCTGGTCTCAAACTCCTGACCTCATGATCTGCCCACCTCAACCTCCCAAAGTGCTGGGATTACAGGCGTGAGCCACTGCGCCCGGCCCCTTATCTCAATTTTTAAAAGTGCGTTGAAGTAATGAAGAGGGAACATGTTTTGGTGCCTACCACACAGACCTAGATTAGAATTGGGGCTCTGCCATTCAGCCATGTGCTTTACCTGCCTTGGTTTTCCTGTCTGTGAAACAGAAATAACACTATATTCCTCACCAGGCCATTCTGATGATTCAGTGACAACACAGACAAAGGCCTTAGCACAGAGTATGTATTCAACAGATATTTATGAAATAATAACAACAGGAATAATAATCATTAACATCCACGGAGCTCTCACTCTGACAGCTTACATAGAATATCTCATTTATTTACTTATTTTTATTTTATTTTATTTTTTGAGACAGGGTCTCACTCTGTCACCCAGGCTGGAGTGCAGTGGCACGATCATGGCTCACTGCAACCTCTGCCTCCCAGGCTCAAGCGATCCTCCCACCTCAGCCTCCCGAGTAGCTGTGACCACAGGTGTGTGCCACCACACCCAGCTAATTTTTGTATCTTTTGTAGAGACAGGGTCTCCCTATGTTGCCCAAGCTGGTCCTAAACCGCTGGACTCAACTGATTCTCCCCCCTTGGCCTCTCAAAGTGCTGGGATTACAGGTGTCAGCCATCACGCCCAGCCAGATTATCTCATTTAATCATCCAACTATAGTTCTATGAGGTAGTTACAGATTACAGCTGAGGAAACAGAAGCTTGGAGAGGTTGAATAACTTGCCGAAGATCACACCATTATTGAGTGGACTGGTTGGCACTTGAACCGTGAGAAAATAACAGAGAATCTTCATCAGCACTTTATGCTAAGCCAGACACTGAGCCGAGGATTTTACATGCATTACCTCATTTAGCCCACACAACAACTATATGAGGTAGGCTTTATTGTTCCCATTTTATACATTAACAGAGGTTGGACAGCTTGCCTAAGATCACACACTTGTAGGAGGCAGAGCTGGGATTCTTACTGTAAAGGCAACCAGTTTAGCCACTGTGCTATTCTGCCTACATGCAAATAATGAATGAACAGAGAGACACTCACACCTACAAACAGGTAAATAAATAAAGTGTGGTGGGCCTGGGAGCAGGTCTCACCTCCCAGGGGAGTGGGGCAAAGTAAGCGATGGGGGCAGGAAAGGCCCAACCCAGCAGAACTTGAGGGGTTAAGTGAGGAGTGAGGGGGAGGTGGGTGAAACTGTTGACCAGAAAGGACCCTACACTTGTGCTAATGGTGGGTTACAGGGCCTACTCCATACCCATTTGTCTGACCACATGCAGGCCATGCAGCAGGCCCTAGACGGCCACACAGGCTCCAGTCAATGACTGTGACTCCCTGGACTTTACCCCAGGGAAACCCTCATCCTCACCCAGGCGCAGGCCCAAGGCACAGGTAGACTAGAAGTCTACCTGCACGAGGAAGGAAAAGTCCACATCCAATCCCTTAGAATATCCTGTTGGCTCTATCATCAAAATATATCCAGAAAGCTATCATTTCTTACCATCTTCATTGCGGTTACTCTGGTCAAAGCCACCATCATCTCTTGCCTGCACTATTGCAGTAGCCTCCTGGTGGGCAGGATAATGGTCCTTCAAAGACGTCCATGTCCTCATCCCCAGAATCTCACCTTAAATGGACTTTGTAGAAGTGTTAAGGAGTTTGAAATGATGAGCTTATTGTGGATTATCCAGCTGGCCTCAATGTAATCACAAAACAGAAGCAAGAGGTTTCAGAGTCAGAGACTGGCAGGATGCTGCCCTTCTGCCTTTGAATGGAGAAAGGTGCCACAAGCCAAGGAATGCAGGTGGCTTCTAGAAACCGGAAAAGACAATGGAACAGATTCTCCCCTAGAGCCTCCGGAAGGACAAAGCCCTGCCAACACTTGATTTTAGTCCAGTGGGAACCATATCAGACTTCTGACCTCCAGAGTGATAAGATCTGTGTTGGTTTAAGCCACTAAGTTTCTGATTCTTTATTACAGAAGCAAGAGGAACCTAATACTCTTCCTCATTGGCCTTCCTGTCTCCATCTTTATTCCTTCCAGCTCATTCTCTACATGGTAAGCAGAGGTATCCTTTAAAAAATATGTGTTTGGCTGGGCACAGTGGCTCATCCCTATAATCCCAGCATTTTGGGAGGCCGAGGCAGGCGGATCACTTGAGGCCAGGAGTTCAAGACCAGCCTGGGTAACATGGTGAAACCCTATCTTTACTAAAAATACAAAAATTAGCTGGGCATGGTGGCATGCACCTGTAGTCTCAGGAGGCAGGGGCACGAGAATCGCTTGAATCTGGGAGTTGGAGGTTGCAGTGAGCTGAGATCACGCCACTGCACTCCAGCCTGGGTGACAGAGAGAGACTCTGTCTCAGGAAAAAAAAAATTATATATATATATTTTTTTGACATCTGACATATATATATACACACACATATATATATACATATATGTACACACACACACATATATATGTTTTGACACTGGACATACATATGTATGTCGGATCCAGTCACTGAATGCTCACAATCCTCCAATGGCTCTCCACGTCCCTCAAGTAAAACCCAAAGTCCTTTCAATGTCCCTCAAGTCCCTACATGATGTCATGATTTTCCTGTCACCTCCTTGCCCTCCCCCTTTCCAGTGCCTCACTCCAATCACACTGGCCCCTCTACTCTTCCTCAAACACACCAGCACCCTCCAAACTCTCAAAACCTCTACTCACCTCTACTTTTTTTCCTTCTCTATAGTCCTCGTCACCTCCTAACATCTATAACTTACTTATTTACTTTGTTGTTTATCTTCTGCTTCCTCCACAAAGGATCTCCACAAATGATTGTTTTGCTCATGATGTATCATCAAAGAACTATGCTTGGCACGTCATAGGTACTCAAGAAATATTTAATCAATAAATAAGTGGACTGAGGTAGCAGTGGCCTGGGAAGCAGCCTTGCCTTGATGAGACTTTGGACAAGACCTTTTCTCTCCCTGGGCCTGTTTATTCTCTGTGATTCTTCAAAGGACGCAAGGCCCTAAAGTTGGGTTCTGTGCCTAAGCCTACCTGAGGCACCCTCAGCTAGTAAGAAGTCACTGCCAATCCTTAGATGGAGCCTGCTCACCTCCCTGATCACCACCCTTCAGGCCCTGAAAGCCTTGTGTGTGGGGGGGTCACTTGCTGGCAGCCTTGGGGGTTGGGAGCACCCGTAGCTGCCACCTCCACTCCTTCCTCCCCAAAGGAGACAAAACTAGTCCAACCAGTTCCCTGGGCCACAGGGACACCTGCTCTGTCGACTTCCACCTGCTCTGTCGAGACTTCCAAGCCACCTGCCTTAGTCATTTGGCCCAGATATTCTCTGCTCCCTCTTTGAACAAAGGAAGATATCCTTTTATATCAGACATTACTTCCCAGGACCCTGGGTCAGTCATATCTCGGTCTACATGACAGATTCTCTGGTCTCCCTGGGGTGAGAGGAGCGGGTGGGTAAAGTGAGCCTTCTTCTCTCAAAGTGCTGTTGTTTATTCATTCGACAAATATTGATTGAACAATTCCTGGGAAGGTCTAAGCACTGTAGATACTTCAGGAACAAAACAGACAAAAGTCGATGCCTTTGTGGACCTTTTGTTTCTAATGAGGACAACAGACAATAAACAAATGTCTAATATAATGTCAAGGGTGACGTATAAAAATAAAATAGGGTAAGGAATTCGAGAATGATGGAGGTGGGGCTATGTTACACAGATTGGCCAAGGAAAACTTATCAGAGGAAATGAGTTTTTTTGTTTATTTATATATTTATTTATTTATTTTGAGACAGAGTCTCACTCCGTTGCCCAGGCTGGAGTGCAGTGGCATGATCTCAGCTCACTGCAACCTTCACCTCCCCAGTTCAAGTGATTCTCCAGCCTCAGCCTCCTGAGTAGCTGGGATTACAGGCACGCACCACCATGCTCGGCTAATTTTTTGTATTTTTTAGTAGAGACAGGGTTTTGCCACGTTGGCCAGGTTGGTCTCAATCTCCTGACCTCATGATCCACCCACCTCAGCCTGCCAGAGTTCTGGGATTACAGGTGTAAGCCACCACGCCTGGCCCAAATGTCCCAATTTTTTACATTTTCTAATTGCTTCTGGAGTATAGGAGCATAGTAGATTTGTATATATTGATCTTGCTATTATTTCAGCACCCTTGCTATTATCTCACCCTTTCCAATCCTGATACTATTTATTTCTTTTTCTTGCTCTATTATTCTGGCCAGGCCACTAATGTAATATTGGAGTCATAACAGCAGGCATCCTTGTGTCATTCCTGACACTTCACCACTGTAGTATATTTTAAATTTGTTTTTAAACGTTGGCTTACTTTTTCAGACACTGTGAATGCCAAACTGTCTGGAGGCTGCCATGAGCGGCCAATTTGTGATCTCTGCTTTACCTGAATTATTTCCGTGAATTGTGACATCAACCTCGCCAGGTAGGTACTATTATTCTCCACACTGACACAAGGAAACTGAGGTTCAGAAAGGTGAAGTGACTCGCCATAGTCACACAGCTAGGAGGGGGCAGAGCCAGAATTCAAACCCAGCTCTGCTTGATACCAAAGACTGTAATCTTTCTCTTTTTTTTTTTTTTTTTTTTTGAGACAGAGTTTACTCTTAGAGTAAGAGTCTGTCCATGAGTTTACTCTGTCACCCTGGCTGCAGTGCAATGGTGAGATCTCGGCTCACTGCAACCTCCGTCTCCCGGATTCTACAAATTCTCCTGCCTTGGCTTCCCAAGTAGCTGGGATCACAGGCACATGCAACCACGAATGGCTAATTTTTTGTAGTAGAGATGGGGTTTCGCCATGTTGGCCAAGCTGGTCTCGAACCCCTGACCTCAGGTGATCCGCCCATCTTGGCCTCCCAAAGTGCTGGGATTACAGGAGTGAGCCACCACACCCGGTAAAAAAACTGTGATCTTTCTGGGGGTGGAGTGAGACCCTGGATGCCTAGGCCAGCCCCTTTTTATGCTCCACTCTGTCCAGCATCTTGGAGTTCGGTGGCAGACCCTGGGGTCCTGGAGCAGCTATCTCCAACTTTCTTTTTTATTATTTATTTATTTATTTATTTATTTATTTATTTATTTAATGAGACAGAGTCTTGCTCTCCCCCAAGCTGGAGAGCAGTGGCATGATCTCGGCTCACTGCAACCTCCGCCTCCCAGGTTCAAGCGATTCTCCTGCCTCAGCCTCCCAAGTAGCTGGGACCAGCTCCAGGGCCACCACATCTGGCTAATTTTTTGTATTTTTAGTAGAGACAGGGTTTCACCATGTTAGCCAGGATGGTCTTGATATCCTGTCCTCGTGATCTGCCTGCCTCGGCCTCTCAAAGTGCTGGGATTTGTCACCAACTTTCTGTTAAACATTATAGCTGATCTTGGTATGTCCTTATCTGTGGCTTGGCTCTGCTACTTCCCTCCTGTGTGACTTTGGGCTGCTTAACCTTAATGTGCCTGTTGCCTCATCTCAGCTGCAAAATGGGCTTAAAAGTAGTGCCTACATTGAGGTGCTGGGGATGGTGCCAGGCATTCATTCGATAACTAATAAATGTTAGTTCTCGTGATTACCAGTAGACGTGTATGCCTGTGTGCACTGACAGGAAGAAGCTATAGAAAAACCACTTAAATAGTTATATTAGGAAGAAGATGTCATTTTTTTTTCTTTTTTTGAGATGGAGTTTCACTCTTGTCACCCAGATTGGAGTGCAATGTCACGGGATCTCAGCTCACTGCAAACTCTGCCTCCCGGGTTCAAGCGATTCTCCTGCCTCAGCCTCCCAAGTAGCTGAGATTACTGGCATGTGCCACCACGCCCAGCTAATTTTTTTGTATTATTAGTAGAGATGGGGTTTCACCATGTTGGCCAGGATAGTCTCAAACTCCTGACATCGGGTGATCCACCCGCCTCGGCCTCCCAAAGTGCTGGGATTATAGGAGTGAGCCACCACACCCGGCTGAAGATGTCGTTCTTCACATTTCTTTCAATGCCATTGTTACAACTTTTAAAAATGTTCACTGTCTCCCATGACTCCCCTTCATTATGTGGAGAATAAAGTCCAGATTCCTTAACCCACATCTAAGGCCCTCTCTGATTCATCAACCCACACTTCAATCGTGGAAAGTGGCTAAGAACCCATGGAGGCAGGCTGCCGTGGCTTGAGTCCCAGCTCTGCAGCTTTCCTGGCTGTGTGAGCTTGGGTAAGGAAGTTTACCCCTCTGGGCCTGGGTTTTCTCAGCTGTAAAATACAGAAAGTAACAGCACTCACATGACAGGCTGAGGCGACGTGACTGTAAATAGCCTGGCACAGTGTCCCTCGTGTGGAGAAGGTGAAGCAACAGCCATGATCATTATCCACCTACTCCTCTGAGACCTCTGGTCACCCTGGAACATCCGCCGGCCCCAGAACATAGCAGGCCTGGCACTGTCCCACCCCAAGGTGTTTGCACGCGCCCTGCTCTCACCCAGCACACCTTCCCCTATCCATCCACCCATCAAAGCACCCCGGGCCAAGGCCCAGCTCCAGGGGCATCCCCTCTGACTTCCTGTCCCCACCAGTCCCCCTCGGGCCTTTGTGCAGGCCGGTACACTTACACACCTCACCCCCATCAACTCTGTCCCTCCTGCCGCGTCACACCCTTCCTGAGGATGTGGGAAGCTGGGCCTGGCTCTGAGTTCCAGCCCTGAGATCCAACACAGATGCCTGAGGGACCTGCCAGCCTTCAAAACAATTCAGTCATCAAATGGAGTCCAACAGCCCAGAAGGGTGGCTGTGAAGATAAACAGGAAAACACTAGTCAAGGCCCTTTTCTCCTTCCCGCCTCCTCATGAGCCCGGTCCACCTCCCACCGGGACCAGCTGAGAGGTAGGAGGAAGCACTGGACGCGGTGACATTGATGGCCTCCAGATGCCGACACGAGAGGGATTTCTGATCTTGTTTACAACGGATTTGGAGGTGGCTAACTATCCTGAATTCCCACAAGTGAGTACAAACCCCGACCCCCATGGGGTGTTGTCCTGGACTGTTTTCTGTGGATGGGTGTTCCCAATTTCCTTTCTTTTTTTTCGTTTCTTTTCTTTTTTTTTAAATCTTTGAGACAGGGTCTTGCTCAGTTGCCCAGGCTGGAATGCAGTGGCACAATCTCAGCTCACTGCAGCCTCAACCTCCTGGGCTCAAGTGATCCTCCCACATTAGCCTCCAGCATATCTGGGACTGCAGGCACCCACCACCATGCCCAGCTAATTTTTTTTTTTTTTTTTTGAGACAGGGTCTCACTCTGTCTCCCACACTGGAGTGCAGTGGCACGATCTCAGCTCACTGCAACCTCTGTCTCCTGGGTTCAAGTGATTCTCCCGCCTCAGCCTCCCAAGTAGCTGGGAATACAGGTGTGCACCACCACACCCGGTTAATTTTTGTATTTTTACTAGAGACGAGGTTTTGCCATGTTGGCCAGACTGGTCTCAAACTCCTGATCTCAGGTGATCAGCCCACCTTGGCCTCCCAAAGTGCTGGGATTACAGGCATGAGCTGCCGTGCCCAGCCTTGCTTCCCTTATCATCTCTCCAGGGCTCCCTGTGTGAGGGGCCTGGGACCCCTCAGCCACCACAAGCTTCAGAGGGGGAGTGCTGCCACCTAGGGGCAAAGAAGGAAACTGCCACAGCTTGGCCCAGGCCACCCGGACACGTTATGACAAAAACATTTATTGAGCACTTTCTGCGTGCCGGGCACCATGCCAAGCCCCTGGCGCACTTCATCATACTGGATCCCCAGGACAACCCTATGAGGTAGTAGTATCGTAAGCCCCATTGTACAGATGAGGAACACGGGGCTCAGAGAAGTGAAGTGACTTGCCCAAGGTCACACAGCAAGTGCATGGCAACTCTTGGATTTGAAGCCAGATCTGTCTCATAGCTGCAGTCTAGCCGTGACACCTGAGTGCCTCCTAAAAGCTACATCACAGAGCTGTCTGAGGATGCTGTGGGGAACCGTCTGTGAAAAGGTGCAACACGTAAACTCCGAAGAGTTTATGGCAGGCCTCCTGAAGAACAGCAGACTAGAGGCTACCCAGAGGCAGCCTGGAGACAGAGTGGGGAGGAATGCCCTGTCTCCTCTCCCAGGGGCCCCGACCACCAGCCTAGACCAGCGGGACTCTGGGCTGCTCAGGCTTCAGCCATCTCTCTCCTGCCACCATGGCTCTGCCCAGAAACCGTGGATGGCCCTGCCCCCAACCCTAGAATGTTGCAGGGCTTTCCGGCAGGAGAGGGGCACAGGAGGGCGACCATGGGCTGAGGTTTCTGAATGACATTCAGCAGGATTTCTGCCAATGGCTCGATGGCTCGCTTCCACTGGTAAGGATCACCGGTCTGCCCCCAGGGGCCCTGGACCCAAACAGGAGCATCAGGCCTGCCCAGGAAACAGACACCTCAGGTCCGTCACTCGGAGGCCTGGATGTAGACGGGCACAGCGAGCATGGCACATGGGCCCTCGGCCCCAGCCTGCAGCTCCGCCAGAGCCAGGTTGGAGCCCAGCCCCTCAGCGTGTCCAGGTACCACCAGCTCAGTTTCCGCGCCCACCGCACCACCCACAACGATGGACAGCACCGCGTCCGGCTCTGCGAAGGGCGGCTTGCCGGGGACAGCCTCGGGCACCAGCCCAGCCCCTGTGTCCTTCAGCTCCTCCAGCCCCAGCGGGTCAGGCAAGGGGGTCAGCACCTTGCGCCCACCACTGCCGCAACTGCGGGGGGCTGCCCTCCTCTGGGGGGGCCGCCGGGTTTGCAGGTCCTTGTCCTTTTGGGGGCCGAGACGACAGCGGTGATCTTTGAGGTATTTGTGGCGGGAAAAGCCCTTGGCGCAGCCAGCACAGCGGAACTTGTAGTTGCCCGTGTGGGCGCGCTGATGCTCGGCGAGGTGGGCACGGCGGCTGAAGGACTTGCTGCACAGGGCGCATTTGTGGAGCTTCATGCCTGGAGGGCAAGGGAAAGTCAGTGAGAAGCATCCAGACCTTCACCCCGCAACAGTGCCCTGCGCTGGGAATAAAATCCAGGCTCTTTCCCCACCAGCACCTGTGTGATCTGGCCCCAGCTCTCTCCACCCTCGTCGTCTGCCTTCTTCCAGCCACTCTCTGCGCCAGCCACACTCGCTCTCCTCAGAGATGCCACGCTGGCTCCTCCCTCTGCGCCTTTGTACTTGCCATTCTCCTCTGCCTGGAACAGCTGCTCACTCTCTGCACCTTGGCTCGCTTTGCCAGGTCATCTCAGGCTCAGGGAGGGGCCGTGACGCCTGAGGCCACCCACAGGAACATGGCAGCACTAAGACTCCAACCCAGCCCTGTGTGTCCAAGTCATTGACCTACTCTCCCAGTTTTCACACTTTCTTTAGTGACTGACTCCTTTCTGTAAACCTTCTCAAACAAGGGAGACTTTACCCCCCAGAGGACTCAGCAATGCCTAGAGACATTTTTGGTTGTCACAACTGTGGGGGGATGCCACTGACACCAGTAGATAGAAGCCAGGGATACTGCTAAAAATCCTACAGGGCACAGGACAGCCCCCAGGACAAAATTATCTACAGGATTACAGGCCAGGCGCCGGTGGCTCACACCTGTAATCCCAGCACCTTGGGAGGCCAAGGCGGGCAGATCACTTGAGGTCAGGAGTTCGACACCAGCCTAGCCAACATGGTGAAAACCCCATGTCTACTAAAAATACAAAAATTAGCTGGGTGTGGTGGCAGGCACCTGTAATCCCAACTACTTGGGAAGCTGAGGCAAGAGAATCGCTTGAACCTGGGAGGCAGAGGTTGCAATGAGCCAAGATCACACCACTGCACTCCACCTGGGTGACAGAGGGAGGCTCCGTCTCAAAAAAAAAAAAAAAAAATTATCTGGCCCAAATTGTCAATGGTGCCAGGGTTGAAGAACCTTGTTTTAGACCTCGGCTGGCATGTGGAAAGCCAGCCAGGCTGCTCTGAGGAGGCGCTGAGAAACTGAGGAGTGGCTTGGAGACCCCTGCCCTGCCCTATCAAAGAAGCTTCCTGGCCATGTCTTGGACCTGGCTGGAATCTGATTCCCTCCACACCTCGTCCACACCTCTATTACACTGGGCACTGCTCCAACTGAGTCATCTCTGCTCAGGTCAGCTTCCTCCTTGGACTGGGGGACTGTGTCTGATTCATCTCTGTTCACCCTTAAGTCCCTAACACAGGCCTGGCTCATAGCCCACATAAGTGAAAGTGCTGGCTGGAATGTGCCAGGCAGGGAAAACAAGCCTCACAGGATATGTCTGCTCTTTCTCTTCCTGGCGGGTCTATCCCAGTGAACTAGAGCTGAACCAGACCCTCTTAGCAGGCCCAAGAGCCACTTACCAGAGTGGGAGAGGATGTGGGCCTTCAGCTTGTCCGGCCGGTTGAACTCCTTACTGCAGCCTGTGTGCGTCCTAAAACCCAAAGCCACTGGTCAGGGGGAGCTCACCAAGCTTAGGATCCTCTTGCTGGCCCCTCCACTAGCCCTGGGCACAAGGGACAGCCTTGTCCACCCTAAGGGCTGGGCAAGGAGGTAGGGTGGGAAGTGAGGCAGGCAGGGCCCAGGACAGGATAAAAGGAGAGAGGCCTGGCCAGGCACAGTGGCTCACGCCTGTAATCTCAGCACTTTGGGAGGCCGAGGTGGATGGATCACTTGCGGTCAGGAGCTCGAGACCAGCCTAGGCAACATGGCGAAACTCCATCTCTACTAAATCTGTAATCTCAGCTACTTGGGAAGCCGAGGCAAGAGAATCGCTTGAACCCAGAAGGCAGAGGTTGCAGTGAGACAAGATCTTACCACTGCACTCCAGCCTGGATGACAGAGTGAGACTATGTCTCCAAAAAAAAAAAAAAGGAGAGGCCTGCCCTCAGGCCTGACATCTGTCCCACCCTCCCCAGCAGCACCCCTGGAGAATCTGTCCCGCTACCCACCCCCCTGCATGGCAGTCTCTACTCACGAGAAAGGGCATTTGTATTTCTTGAAGGGCTCGTGGATCAACATGTGTCTCTTCAGTTTGTCCTTGCGGTTGAACGCAGACTCGCACACTGAGCATTTGTAGGGCTTCTCACCTGCAGCAGACACAGACAGGGAGAGCCAGCACTCACCAGGAGTCGGCATCCAGGGCACAAGGGTCCCCGCTGGGCCCCTCAGGGGAGCAGCTCCTCTAGGGAGGTGGCCAGGGGAGAAAATAGCCTCTCTCATTCTTCAGTGGCTTTGTTTTGCCAGAGACAAGACAGGGCTATTTTGACAGGATGGTCAGGAGAGGCCTCTCTGATGAGGCCATGCATGAGGAGAGACCTCAGGTCATCAGGGAGATGGTCTGGGCAGCAGGGAAAGCAGGTACAAAGGCCCTGAGGCAGGAGTGCGTTTGGCGGTGCTGATGAACAACAGGGAGGCTGGTGTGGCCAGAGAACAAGGCAGAAGGTGAGGGCAGCGAGCCAGCCAGGTCCGCATGGGAGGACCTGGGAGGCAGAGCTAAGGACTTGGCTTTTATTTATTTATTTTTTTTGAGACAGAGCCTTGCTCTGTCACCCAGGCTGGAGTGCAGTGGCAAGATTTCAGGTGAGTCACTGCAACCTCTGCCTTCTGGGTTCAAGCAATCCTCCTACCTCAGCCTCCTGAGTAGATGGGATTACAGGTGTGTGCCACCACGCCCAGCTAATTTTTGTATTTTTAGTAGAGATGGGGGGTTTCACCATGTTGGCCAGGCTGGTCTCGAACTCCTGACCTCAAGTGATCCACCTGCCTTGGCCTCCCAAAGTGCTGGGATTACAGGCATGAGCCACCGCGCCCAGCCAGGACTTTGGCTTTTACTCTGAGCCAGAAGAGAAGCACCAGAAGGTCTGAACAGCAGAGGGATGGACTCTGATGTAAGCTTTTAACCAGCTCGAATGAGGGTGGAGGTGAGGATAACCAGGAAGTGGCCCAGGACAGCCATGTTGGGAAGGCACAGTCGGCAGCCCTTGCCACTGGACTGGCTGTGACTGTGAGAGGAGGAGAGGAGTCAAGGATGAGGCACGGCCTGAGAAGCAAGGTGGCCTCATGTCATTTCTGGCAATGCGGTCCACCCTGGGGGACGAGGAATCACACCTTATCTAACTGAATCCTTCCAAAAAACCAGGAGGCACTGACTCCCATCATCCCTGTTTCACAGATAAGAAAGAAGACTGAAGTTCAGAGAGGTGAAGGGACTGGCTCAGGGGCTACCCCTATGGTTGCGGGAGCTAAGATTCCAGCCCAGCAGCGTGATCCAGAGCCCATCTGAGCTACCCAGATCTTCCTGCTGTTAAACCCGTCCTGGGGCAGCTCTTGCCTGATGGGCTACCTGAGGAACCCACAGGAAATCAAGGGAGGTGCCTGCAAAGTTGCCGTGGGGTCACAGCCTGCCCTTTGGAAGGGGCTGTTTCTGGGCTGCTGTGACTTCCTGCCATTATTTCCTCTCTGTTCTCCCTCTGGAATGAATAAAGTACTTCTGAAAAACCATCAACCCAGTCGATACGGAAATGCTGGTCCCTACAATAGAATGCTCTGTGGTCATTAAAAAGATTAAAAAGGTCAATCTGTGTTTCCTGATCTGGAAAGATCTCCTGGACATACTGCTAGTGGGGAAAGAAAGCAGTAGAACAGCTTAACACAATCTCGTCTTTCTTAGAAAAAAATATAATCCCTACTGGATATGTAAGCTCCAACAAAAAAAAAAGAAAGAAAAAATACAACCTGCACACCCCAAAAAAGCCCTGGCCATGTGTCTCTGTAAATAAACTGAAGATGCAGGAAGAAAGATGGGGAGGTGTAGGGAAAGGACAGACCAAAGTGTCAGTGGCAACTACAACTTGAAGGGGAAATTTAACATTTTACTTTATGTACTCCTATATTGTTTCCATTTTTATAATAACCATGTATTATTTGTGTGGTTTTTTTTGTTTTGTTTTGTTTCGTTTTTTGTATTTTTTTTTTTTTTTTTGAAACAGAGTCTTGCTCTGTTGCCCAGGCTGGAGTGCAGTGGTTTGATCTTGGCTCACTGCAACCTCCATCTCCTGGGTTCAGGCAATTCTCCTGCCTCAGCCTCCTGAGTAGCTGGGATCACAGGTGCGTACCACCACACCCGGCTAATTTTTGTATTTTTAGTAGAGACGGGGTTTCATCACGTTGGCCAGGCTGGTCTCAAACTCTTGACCTAGGTGCTCCACCCACCTTCACCTTCCAAAGTGCTGAGATTACAGGCATGAGCCACCGCGCCTGGCAGCATGTATTACTTTTGAATAATAATTTTTAAAAGCCATAAAGAGCAATTTGGTAATATCAAACTTACAATGCATTACTTCTTTTCCCTTCTTTATTGTGGAGAAATATACATAACAGAAAATTGACCATCTTAAGCTTCTTTTAAGTGTATAGTTCAGTGGCATAAGTACATTTGCACCATCATGCAACCATCACCATCATCTGTCTCTAGAATTTTTTCATCATCCCAAACTGAAACTCAGTATTACACATGCATTTTAACCTAGCATTTCCACTCCTAAGAATATACACTACAGATACACTTCCAAAAGCTTGCCAAGGGACCCACACAGCATTGTGTGTACAAACTAATAGCTGAAATGTAATTTAACGGTTCATACATAGGCTGGGCGTGATGGCTCATGCCTGTAATCCCAGCACTTTGGGAGGCTGGGGCGGGGGGATCACTTGAGGTCAGGAGTTCGAGACCAGCCTGGCCAACATGGTGAAACCACATATCTACTAAAAATACAAAAATTAGCTGGGCGTGATGGTGCACACCTGTAATCCCAGCTACTTGGAAGGCTAAGGCAGGAGAATTGCTTGAACTCAGGCGGCAGAGGTTGCAGTGAACCAAGATCGTGCCATTCAGTCTCAAAAAAAAAAAAAAAAAAAAAAAAGGTTCATACATAGAGAACTGGCTAAATACAAGATGAAAAATTCATTGAGGAAGACTACTCAGATGTGAAAAAGAAGGTGCTGTTGGTAACAACTTCTGGGGGGGGCCCGGGGGAGGGGGACCCACAGAATTTAGCCTCCAGGGGAACTGTAAGCACACATTCCTTGGGGAACATCGCCAAGGTATATGATAAGGAAAAAAAGGCACATAAGTTATAGTATGTGCTCATTTTTGCAAACGTAAGCAAGCGTTTTATATATGTGTAAAATAAAACTAGAAGAATGCAGACTAGACCGCTAACAGTTACCTTTGGGGAAGAGAATTAGGAGTATTTTGCAAACTGCAAACCACAAGTTACACCCTGTTGGTGGTTATTTTAAGAATTAAAAATAGGCTGGGTGTGGTGGCTTGCATCTGTAATCCCAGCAC
This sequence comes from Homo sapiens, assembly GCF_000001405.40. Classification (NCBI taxonomy): domain Eukaryota; kingdom Metazoa; phylum Chordata; class Mammalia; order Primates; family Hominidae; genus Homo; species Homo sapiens. The sequence continues at coordinate 33,785,599 of NC_000020.11, read as the reverse complement.
TTTGAGAGGCCAAGGTGGGTGGGTAACCTGAGGCCAGGAGTTTGAGACCATCTTGGCCAACATGGTGAAACCCCGTCTCTACTGAAAATACAGAAATTAGCCAGGCATGTGGTGGGCGCCTGTAATCCCAGCTACTCGGGAGGCTGAGGCACGAGAATGGCTTGAACCTGGGAGGCGGAGGTTGTAGTGAGATCATACCATTGCACTCCAGCCTGGGTGACAGAGTGAGACCCTGTCTCAAAATAAAAATAAAAAATAAAAAAACTAAAATTGAAAAGGACAAAATAGAAAACACTGTTTTGTAAAACTTTTGTTGCAATACATCCTATGTGTGCTTCCTGGGTTGCAATATGAAATGTATTTTTTACCATAGGTCGTAGGAAAGAAAAAAAAGGAAAAACATTGGATTGTCCATCTGAAGTGAGAGGGAGTTTATTTTTTTATATATGCTTTTGTCCCGTCAAGGATTTTCCCTCAAGTTTTCTCAATCTTTAGATCCTTTTCAATTAAAAAGCAATTAAAAAATTTAACTAATAAAAAAATCTAAAGATTAATAGAAAAGAAAATGTCAGTGTGTTTCAACTGGGGAACCAAGGAGATGGCGTTTTGTTCAGGTTTGAGTGGGAACTTACAGTGAGAGCAGTGTCCCCACCACAGGGGGCAGAGTCAAGAGTCCCTCACACAGGCTGGGTGCAGTGCCTCACGCCTGTCATCCCAGCACTTTGGGAGGCCGAGGCAGGAGGATCACCTGAGGTCAGGAGTTCGAAACCAGCCTGGCCAACATGGCAAAACCCTGTTTCTACTAAAAATACAAAAAACTAGCTGGACATGGTGGTGGGAGCCTGTAATCCCAGCTACTCAGGAGGCTGAGGCAGGAGAATCACTTGAACCCGGGAGGCAGAGGTTGCAGTGAGCCAAGATCTGCCACCGCACTCCAGCCTGGGCAACAAGAGCGAGACTTTGTCTCAAAGAAAAAAAAAAAAAGAATAAAAAGTCCCTTCCACACAACCTCCAGGGGCTCTTCTCTGCTTTAGCGGTGGTGGGAATCCCTTGTTCATGAATTAAGGCAGGTGGATCAGGGGCCAGGAAGGAGAGAGGAAGGAGGAGCAAGGGGAGAGGCAGGAGGGCTGGAGGGAGACAGACAGCGACAGAGAGGAGGGGGAGGGGGCTGGAGGGAGAGGGGAGAGGACAGGGGAGGGAGGCTGGAGGGGGCTAGAAGGAGATGGGGAGAGGGAGGGGAAGGGAGGCTAGAGGGAGATGGGAAGGAGGAGGGAGAAGGGGGCTGCAGGGAGATGGGGAAGAAGAGGGAGATGGGGAGGGTGAGGGAGATGGGGGGGAGAGAGATGGAGAGAGGGAGGGAGATGGGGGAGGGGGAAGGAGATGGGGAGAGGGAGGGAGGTGAGGAGGCGGAGGGAGGGGGGAGGGAGAGGAGTAGGGAGAGGGAGAGGGGAAAGGAAATGGGGAAGAGGAGGGAGAAGGGTGCTGGAGGGAGATGGGGAGGAGGAAGGAGATGGGGAGGAGGAGGGAGATGGGGAGGAGGAGGGAGACGGGGGCTGAGAGAGATGAGGGGAGGGACTGAGTGAGATGGGGAGGGAGATGGAGAAGTGGAGGGAAAAGGGGCTGAGGGAGACAGGGAGAAGAGCCAGATGGGGATGGGAAGAGAGAGAAAGGCATGAGGAGAGGGGGAGGGGGAGGGGAGGGGCTGGGCTGGAGTTCTCAGGGGCAGGGTACCTACCCGAGTGGATGTGAGCATGCAGTTTGAGATAATGCTCCCGCCGGAAGAACTTCTTGCACACTTGGCACTTGAACCTGCCCCCGCTGCCGTGGGTGGGCAGATGACGCCGCAGGTAGCGTTCACAAGGAAACACCTGGGAGAGAAGAGGGGCCTTCAGGTCTGACTCACCGGGCCCCCCTCCCCTGGCCATCTTCTGAACTCAAAGGTTCCTCGTTTCCAGCCCCTATAGAGACACCTTCCTTTCTGGCTATCAGGGGCCAGGACCCAGAATGTCAGACTCAGCCCTTAGAACTTCATGGCTCCCCACAAGCCCGGACAAAACATGTCTGCCCTGAGCTTTTGCCCGGATGTTCTTCCCACCCAGAGGGCCTTTCTCTCTTTACTGACAAACTCTTACACATCCTTCAAGACCCAACTCGGGCGTCACTGCTCCTGTCAAGCCTTCCCTAGCTCCCTGGTGCTATGCCTGGCAAAGCCAATTCTGCCTTTGAATGTCCACCCACACTTTTAAGTCAGCATTTAACCCACTGAATGACAGCCCTTTGCTTACACAGGAGCTCCAAGTAGGCAGAGAGGGGCTTTCACTCCCCAGCACAGAGCCTGGGTCAAATGACTGACAAGTAAAAGAATTAATGGAAAATGAGCAAATTACTAAAGAAATCTATGGAAAGGTAATTTTTTACTTTTATTTATTTTATTTTATTTTATTTGAGATGCAGTTTCGCTCATATTGTCCAGGCTGGAGTGCAATGGTGCAATCTTGGCTCACTGCAACCTCTGCCTCCCAGGTTCAAGCGATTCTCCTGCCTCAGCCTCCTGAGTAGCTGGGATTACAGGTGCCTGCCACCACTCCCGGCTAATTTTTATTTTTAGTAGAGACAGGGTTTCTCCATGTTGGTTAGGCTGGTCTCTAACTCCTGACCTCAGGTGATCCACCCGCCTCAGCCTCCCGAAGTGCTGGGATTACAGGCGCCCACCACCACACCCAGCTAATTTTTGTATGAAAGGTAATTTTTTTAAAGCCAGAAAACACAGAAGTGAAAATCTCTTTCCAGTCCAGGCAAAAGAAGGGCATGTATTCACACATTCATTCATTTTGGTAGAGCGTTGGTCACGGGCACAGACCCAGCTGCCCCACTGCTTATTAGCCCCATCGTTTCCCAGCTAGGTGACCTTTCTGCCTTGGTTTCCCCACCTATAAAGGGGGATAGTAACAGTACACCTATCCTCTAGTCAATTCCAGTGAAATGCTCAGAACAGCATCTGGCATGTGGTTCTTGCTCAATTCATGGTATCTTTTACTCGGACCACAACTTCTAAAGCTTAAAATTAGGTTAGATAATAAGAAACATCCAGAATGAGGCCAAAATGAAACCAGGGCTGTCCTGGAAAATCTGCCACATATGGTTGTAAGAAAATGAGTAGAGTGAAGAAGCAAGTTAAACACACCAGGGAGACGTAATCAGCAAAATCCAGACTGCGGGGAACACCGCTGAACCAAATGGCCCAGTTTCTTCAACAAATAAATTCAGAGGAAAGAAAAAAGGGAGCAGTGGTCAGGGGTGGTGGTGGGGACCTGTAGATTAATAGAGGCTTTTGTTATGTCAATCAATTGCAATCTATGGACCTGATTCAAATGAACTTTACAAAATGATGAAGCTTTGAGACAACTAGAAATTGGAACACTTCCTGGATGTTTGATGTTATCAGGAACAGGCTTTAGTGAGGCTTTCAGAGTCACTGAAAAGAAGAATCCAGGCTGGGCATGATGGCTCATACCTGTAATCCCAACACTCTGGGAGTCTGAGGTGGGAGGATCACTTGAGGCCAAGAGTTTGAGACCAGCCTGGGTAACATAGTGAGCCCTATCTCTACAAAAAATTTAGGCTGGGTGCAGTGGCTCATGCGTGTAATCCCAGCACTTTGGGAGGTCAAGGTGGACAGGTCCCTTAAGCCCAGGAGTTTGAGACCAGCCTGGGCAACACGGTGAAACTCCATCTCTATAAAAAATACAAAAATTAGCTGGGCATGGTGGCACATGCCTATAGTCCCAGCTACTCAGGGGGCTGAGCCCAGGAGGTTGAGGCTGCGGTGAGCCATGATCAAACCACTGCACACTAGCCTGGTGACAGAGTAAGACCCTGTCTCAAAAAAAAAAAAAAATTAAAAAGAAGAGCCAATTGTAATAAGGATAATCTTACATCAGGAAGCTGGGAGGCTTCTGCTCAGACACTAGGCCTGGGACCAGGACAGCCCACCCAGCCTGGCTCCAGCAGCAGCCCCGACATGGCCACATCTGGAATGTGATGGATGAGATGGCCAGGCAGAGACACTGTGTCATCTGTGGAGCAGCCCCTGAGCCCTGCCTGCGTGTCCTATGGTGAGAGAGGAGAAGGAAAGGGTGAGGTGTGCACCCCACCCCACCTCCTTGCCCTTATTATAGCCTAGGCCCCAGAAAAGAGGACAGTGGCACCCACCTTCTGGCAGTGTGGGCAGGGGAAGTTGTGAGTGGCGGTCTGCAGGTGGTGCTCCAGGGCCTCAGGGGTGGAGTATTTGTTGACACATTTGACACACCTAAGTGGAAGGAGCAGGAGAGATGAGGGAGGAAACACAGCAGGCATAGGAAGCAGCGCCCCGGCCACCCCAGGGCCAACATTAGGAGGCAACATCCTACAGTTAATTCATTCCAAATCCATCCACTCTTCTCAATTGCCACTGCCTGTCCTCATCTGAGCGCCATCATCTCTTGTTCGGACTTGTGCAGTAGCCTCCTCGCTGGCCACCCTGCCCCTGCCTTGCCTCCTGTAGTCCATTCTCCACAGGGTGGCCAGGGGCACCTTTAAAAATGAAACAGGCTGAGCACAGTGGCTGGCTCACACCTGCAATCCCAATACTTTAGGAGGCCAAGGTGAGAGGATTGTTTGAGACCAGGAGTTCAAAATCAGCCTGGGCAACATGGCAAGACCCCTATCCCTATGAAAAATTTAAAAATTAGCTAGATGTGGTGGCTTCCCAGCTACTCAAGAGGCTAAGGCAGGAGGATCGCTTAAGCCCAGGGGTTTTGAAGTTACAGTGAGCCATGATTATGCCACTACACTCCAGCCTGGGTAACAGAAAGAGAACCTGTCTCTATTTAAATAAGAAAAAAAAAAAAAGGCCTGGTGTGGTGACTCACACCTGTAATCCCAGTACTTCGGGAGGCCGAGGCAGGCGCATCACCTGAGGTCAGGAGTTTGAGACCAGCCTGGCCAACATGATGAAACCCCGTCTCTCTACTAAAAATACAAAAATTAGCCAGGCGTGGTAGCGTGGACCTGTAATCCCAGCTACTCAGGAGACTGAGTCAGGAGAATCACTTAAACCCAGGAGGCGGAGGTTGCAGTGAGCCGAGATCGCACCACTGCACTCCAGCCTGGGCGGCAGAGTGAGACTCTGTCTCAAAAAAGAAACAAAAAAAAAAAGTAAGTCAGACCATGCCACACCATTGCTTAACCCACCTCCCACCTTGGCCTACAAGGCCCTGTGGTCTGACCCACTCCCACCTCTCAGACCTCATCCTTCTCCTTTCTCCACCTCACTCACTCTGCTCTGGCCACCCTGGCCTCCTTGACCTACCTTGAACACACCAGGCTCATTCCCACCTCAGGGCCTTGGCACTGGCTGTTCCTGTTCCCCGGAACACTCTTCCCCAAGTCTTCCCCAGGCAGTGCCTTCTCATCCTTCATATCTCAGCTCAAATGTCACCTCCCCAAAGAGGCCCTCCTGGCCACCCTGTCTCAAGTTGCCCCCCACGATGCACTCCCAGTCACTCCCTATTACATCACTCAGTTTTATTTTCTTCTTACCACTTCTTACCTGGAATTATTTATTATTTGCTTACTTGGTTATTGTCTGTCTCCTCCACTAGCAAGTGGTCCCTGTTCCAGATACCACATCTTGCCCATTCACAAGCTGCTCCCAGCACCAGTGAGAACTTGTTACATTAAAGAGTCAGACAGATGGGGATCCAAGCCCAGCGCCTTCCCATTTCTGACCTGCTGGGCCTCCTCATTCAAAATATGGGGTGTGAGTCCCAAACAGACCTGCCTGTCACTCATTCTTACAATTGTCACATGGCTGGATGCAGTGCCTCATGCCTGTAATCCCAGCACTTTGGGAGGCTGAGGTGGGCAGATCACCTGAGGTCAGGAGTTCAAGACCAGCCTGGCCAATACGGTGAAACCCTGTCTCTACTAAAAATACAAACATTAGCCAGGCGTGGTGGCACCTGCCTGTAACCCCAGCTACTCAGGAGGCTGAGGCAGGAGAATCACTTGAACCTGGGAGATGCAGGATGCAGTGAGCTGAGATCACGCTACTGCACTCCAGCCTGGGCGACACAGTGAGACTCCATCTCAAAAAAAAAAAAAAAAAAAAGGGAGATTGTCACAGAGTCTGACATAGTTTGTATCTGTGTCCCCACCTAAATCTCATGTTGAACTATAATCCCCAGTGCTGGAGGTGAGTTCTGGTGGGAGGTGATTGGATCATGGGGGTGGATTTCTCATGAATGGTTTAGGACCATCCCCTTGGTGCAGTCCTCAGGATAGTGAGTGAGTTCTCATGAGATCTAGCTGTTTAAAAGTGTATGGCGCCTCCCTCTCTCTCTATCTGGCTCCTGCTCTGGCCATGTGACATGTCTACTTCCCCTTCTCCTCCTGCCATGAGTAAAAGCCTCCTGAGGCCTCCCCAGTGGCAGATCTGCTAGCTCAGACACTATGCTTCCTGTACAGCCTGCTGAACCGTGAGTCAAATAAGCCTCTTTTCTTATAAATTACCCAGTCTCAGGTATTTCTTTATAGCAGTGCAAGAATGGCCTAATACAGAGTCAAAAAACACAACTGTGCCAAACAGCTCATAAACATGTCCTCACAACAGCAGTCTCAGGCCACCAACCACTCTGAAGGGAGAAAAGACACCACCATCTCCCCATCATGAAAACATGTGCCAGCTAAGGAAGAAAGGGTATTATCAGACAAAAAAAGAAAAGAAAAAAGAAAACATTTGCCAGCATATTGACCTATTTACAATGAGTTATCAGTGAGGAATGTCACAGGTAGGTGAACAATTCAAAGCAAAAACCAAAAGGCAGGCTGTGTAGAGTACTGCCTGTGGGAAACCCCAGGCAGGCTGCACCTGCGAAGGGCCCAGGGGAGCCCCATAGACCGCACTCTGAAACTACACACTAGCCAGGCGCACTCTGAAACCACACACTAGCCAGGCGCGGTGGCTCATGCCTGTAATCCCAGCACTTTGGGAGGCCGAGGTGGGCGGATCACTTAAGGTCAGGAGTTCGAGACCAACCTGGCCAACATGGAGAAATGCCGTCTTTACTAAAAATACAAAAATTAGCCAGGTGTGGTGGCTCACACCTGTAATCCCAGCTACTCAGGAGGCTGAGGCACAAGAATCACTTGAACCCAGGAGGGCAGAGGTTGCGGTGAGCCAAGATCATGCCACTGCACTTCAGCCTGGGTGACGGAGAGAGACTCTGTCTCAAAAAAAATAAAAAAAGAAAAGAAAAAGAAAGAAGCCACATACTAAATGCCTCCAGGCAGCAAGAAAGGGAAGGTGGGGTGGGAGCAGAGGTACCAGGAGGGCAGAGACTTAACTAGCTGGTGAGATGGGAAAGGACAGAATCTCACATGCTTCAGGGGCTGGGTTTGGGGGAGACATAGATTTGTGTCAGAGATTGTTTACCAATAGCCAGGAAAATTAAAATCTCCTGCCAGAAACAGCACCTGAATTAAGTCATCCAAGGTAACATCACCAGTAATAGAGCAAATCAACATCACATGCCTCCTGATATGACACACGGAGGAGGACACAGTATTTGTTGTGACATTCCTGACAAAAGTGCATGACCTGAATTTAATCATAGGGTAAAATCAGGCAAACCCAAACTGAGGACATTCTACAGAATAACCTGTCTATACTCTTCAGAAATATCAAGGTCTCGAAGACAAAGACAGAAGGAGGAACTGTTCCAGCTTATAGGACACAAGAGAGACGAGAGAGACATGACAACTGAATTCAACATGTGATTCTGGTTCAAAAAAACCTTTTTTTTCTTTTTCTCTAAAGCATGTTATTGGAACAATTGGAAAATTCTGAGTAAGGCCTGTAATTAGATAATAGAATTGTACTGATATTAACTTCCTGATTTCTTTTTCTTCTTTTTTTTTTTTTTTGAGACAAGAGTCTCGCTCTGTCACCCAGGCTGGAGTGCAGTGGCCCGATCTCGGCTCACTGCAACTTCCGTCTCCCAGGTTCAAGGGATTCTCCTGCCTCAGCCTCCCAAGTAACTGGGAATACAGGTGCCCGCCACCACACCCAGCTAATTTTTATAATTTAGTAGATACGGCATTTCGCCATGTTGGCCAGGCTGGTCTCGAACTCCTGACTTCAGGTGATCCGCCCACCTCAGCCTCCCAAAGTGTTGGGATTACAGGTGTGAGCCACCGCACCTGGCCTGATTTTTTTTTTTTTTTTTTTTTTTTTTTGAGATAGGGTCTCACTCTGTCCTTCAGGCGGGAGTGCAGTGGTGCGATCTCAGCTCACTGCAACCTGTACCTCCCGGGCTAAAGCAATTCTTCTGCCTCAGCCTCCTGAGCAGCTGAGACCACAGGCATATGCTACCATACCCACCTCTTTTTTTTTTTTTTTTTTTTTTTGGTAAAGACGGGGTTTTGCCACGTAGTCCAGGTTGGTCTCAAACTTCTGGGCTCAAGCAATCTGTCTACCTCAGCCTCCCAAAGTGCTGGGATTACAGGCATGAGCCACCGCACAGAGCCCAACTTCCTGATTTTGGTAACTATAGTATATTGCCCTTATGGAAGAGGTTATCCTTGTTTTTAGGAAATACAGGCCAGGTGTGATGGCTTACGCCTGTAATCCCAGCACTTTGGGAAGGCCAGGCAGGAGGATCACTTGAGGCCAGGAGTTCAAGACCAGCCTGGGCAACACAGTAAGACCCTGTCTCTACAAACAAACAAACAAACAAATTTACCTAGGAGTGATGGCGCCTGCCTGTAGTCCTAGCTACTGGGGAGGCTGAGGCAAGGCGACCACACCTGTGAATAGCTGATGCACTCTAGACTGGACAACACAGTGAGACTCTGTCTCTAAAAAAATAAAAATTGGCCAGGTGTGTGGCTCACGCCTATAATCCCAGACCTTTGGGAGAACAAGGCAGGTGGACCGCTTGAGCCCAGGAGTTCCAGACCAGTCTGGTCAACATGGTGAAATTCCATCTTTATAAAAAATAAAAAATTAGCCAGGCCTGGTGGCACACACCTGTGGTCCCAGCTACTCAGGAGGCTGAGCTGGAGGATTGCTTGAGCCCCGGAGGCGAAGGCTGCAGTGAGCTGTGATCATGCTACTGTGCTCTAGCCTGGGTGACAGAGTGAGATCCTGTCTCAAAAAAAAAAAAAGGCCAGGTGCAGTGGCTCATGCCTGTAATCCCAGCACTTTGGGAGGCCAAGGTAGGAGGATCACTTGAGCCCAGGAATTTGAGACAAGCCTGAGCAATATGGCGAAACCCTGTTTCTACAAAAAGTTTAAAAAAAAAAATCAGATGGGCATGGTGGTGCATGCTTGTAGTCCCAGCTACCCAGGAGGCTGAGGTGGGAGAATCACCTGAGACTGGGGAGGTCAAGGGTCAAGGCTGCAGTGAGCCATGATCATGCCACTGCTTTCCAGCCTTGGTGATGGAGTGAGACCCTGTCTCTAAACAAAAAATTAATTAATTAATTATATTAAAATTAAAATACATACATAAGTTAAATTCATGAAACAAAGGAAAGCTTTAAAACACATATATTGAAGGCCAGGCATGGTGGCTTATGCCTGTAATCCTAGTACTTTGGGAGGCTGAGGAGGGTGGATTGCTTGAGCCTTGGAGTTCTAGGCCAGCCTGGGCAATATAGCAAGACCCTGTCTCTACAAAAAATACCAAAATTAGCTGGCAGTGGTGGCACACACCTGTAGTCCCAGCTACTCAGGAGGCTGAGGGGGATGGATTGTTTGAGCCAGGGAAGTCAAGGCTACAGCAAGCCATGATTGTGCCACTGTACTCCAGCCTGGGTGACTGAGCAAGATCCTGTCTCAAAAATCAATCAATCAATAATAAAATTATGACAAAATAAGAGGTTTACAAAGAACACTTTTCGAACATGATTGCCCGTGATATGGGGAAGTGGGTCACAGTGGATGGAGAATTCCTGTTCACTCTATGTCCTGTGATAGTTTTACAATATTGCACTGTATACATATAGTTTTTGAAGTAGATAATTAATCTTTAAAAAAAAAAAAAAAAGGCCGGGCACGGTGGCTCACACCTGTAATCCTAGCACTTTGGGAGGCCGAGGTGGGTAGATCACGAGGTCAGGGATCGAGACCATCCTGGCTAACATGGTGAAACCCCGTCTCTACTAAAAATACAAAAAATTAGCGGGGCATGGTGGCAGGTGCCTTGTAGTCGCAGCTACTAGAAAGGCTGAGGCAGGAGAATCACTTGAACCTGGGAGGCGAAGGTTGTAGTGAGCTGAGATCCTGCCATTGCACTCCAGCCTGGGCAACAGAGCGAGACTCCATCTCAAAAAAAAAAAAAAACAAAACCCTTTCAACTCTGACCTGCAAAATCACTTCTAGGAACTTAGAAAAGAGCAAAGATGTACTTCCGAAGTTGTTCCCTGTATAATTGTTATACTGATGACAAACTGAAAATAACCTCACTAACCAACAATGGGAGATGACAGAAGTAAATCACAGTACACCATGCACAATGGAATACAAAGTAGCTGTTTAAAGAATGAGGCAGGTCTATTGTTGCTGAAATGCAAAGATGTCCATATTACTGATGTTTTTGTTTTTCCCCGAGACAGGGTCTCACGAGTGCAGTGGCATGATCACGGCTCACTGCAGCCTTGAACTCCTGGACTCAAGCAATCCAGCTCAGCCTCCCAAGTAACTGGGACTACAGGCACATGCCACCATGCCTGGCTAATTTTTGTATTTTTTGTACAGGCAAGGTTTCATCATGTTGCTCAGGCTGGTTTTGAACTCCTGGCCTCAAGTGATCTGCCTGCCTCGGCCTCCCACAGTGCTAGGATTACAGGCATAAGCCACCATGCCCAGCTATATTACTGTTTTAAGTGAAAAAGTTTTAAGTGATAAAACCACATGTGCAGTGATCCCATTAAATCAGTCTGTTTGTTGGACATTGCGCTACAGGAAGACAGTGTGATGAATTTTCACCAAATTCAGTGACTCTATTTGGCATCACCTGACTCAAATATAGTCTGTGATATTTATATCTGTATCCATATCTGTAAACATATTTATTACACATATATGCCAAAGGATATCCACCAAGAGGTTAATAGTGCAGTGGCGATCTCTGGGTGACAGTTTTGGTTTTTTGTTTTTGTGTGGGTTTTTACAAAATTGTTTTCTCTGCATTGAACATTGACTTTTGCAATTGGGGGAAAAAATCAATAAATCTTATTTTTCTCTTTTTTCTTTTTTGAGACGGAGTCTCTCTCTCTGTCACCCAGGCTGGATGGAGTGCAGTGGCACAATCTTGGCTCACTGCAACCTCCACCTCCCGAGTTTGAGCGATTCTCCTGCCTCAGGCTCCGGAGTGGCTGGGACTACAGGAGTGTGCCACCACACCCAGCTAATTTTTTTTTTTTTTTTTTTTTTTTTAGTAGAGACAGGGTTTCACTGTGTTGGCCAGGCTGGTCTCAAACTCCTGACCTCAAGTGATCTGCCCTCCTCGGACTCCCAAAGTGCTGGGATTACAAGAGTGAGCCACTGCACCCAGCCAAATCTTATTTTTTAAAAGGAAATATTAAACATACAGTAAAGATATAGTGGCATGACTAAAAGTCATTTGAGAGGTTTGGGGAAAGTACACATAGGCAGGCCAAGGCAATGTGGCTGACAGGGAACAGAAACCAGAATGACAGGGCTTGGACTTCTAAAGATATGATGAAGCCACCACAGCCACTCAAATGTCACTATGAGACAGAATCAACTCTCATGGTGTATAAGTCACTGTTATTTGAGGTTTCTACTGCATGCAGCCAAACTTCTACTTAAATAACACAAATAATAATAATTGTAGCAATAACATTTATTGAGTACCTACTATGTTCCAGGTACCATGTCTAAGAGCCTCAGCCTTGTCTTACTTGATCCTTATAAATAATCCAGTAGGGCAGGCACTACTGTGATCCCCATTTCACAGAGGAGAAAACCGAGGCTCAGAGTGGCTGAATACCTTGCCCAAGGTCATCCACTGGATTTGCAGTCAAGACAGGATTTAAGCACAGGCCAATGGCTCCAGAACCCTTATCACTACCCATGACACCATTCCACCTTCAGGCCATCCAAATGGGGGCCTGGCTCATTGGGCCTTACTTTTGGGACAGGACAACAGCTCCAATGTCTACAAAGGGCCACTGGCACTATGACCCTGCAAGGGGACTGCACAGGGTCATCAGCATCGGGCTCAATCTTCAACCTGCAAACTCCAAGACCAGGGCTATGAGGCTTCCAAGATCTCACACTAGGGTTCGAATCTAAACTCTGCTGATGTTGTTACTCTGGTGGGCAGGTCACTTCTCTTTGAACCTCAGTGTCTTCATCTTCAAAATGGGGAGAATATCACCTACCTCCCAGGGCTGCAGGGATTCATGTCACTAAAGGCAAAGCTTGGCACAGAGCAGGTGCTTCCTTCCCTTTACTTGGCATCTCACTCCAGAGTCACACAGCCACAGGAACTCACAGATAATCCACAAATCAGAAGGGCAAGAGCCAAAGAAAATTTATCAAGTGCAAACGGGAATAAGTCATCACTGCCAGAAATCTCTGCCCCTTGGCTGGCCAAAGCTTTGCCCAGCTTCCCTGCCTCTCTTGCCCCATTTCCCAGAGTCTTGGGGGCAAGTTACCCTACACCCCATTTCTTGAGTTCTAGCTCCTCTGCCAACTTCTCAGAGCTCTTGTGATTTCTACGTGGCCCTTCATGCCTTGGCCCCACTTTTTCCCATAGGCCCCATCTAAACATCTCCCTCCCGCTTCCACTCCACATAACAGTCATTCTATTAATACATCACTTGCTGTTGTATTTTAAACTTGCGGTTCCTCCTGATAGGAACACACTCCATCCATTGTCTACCTGGCAAACTCCTATTCATCCTTCAAAACTCAGTTCAGATGTCACTGCTCTTGGGACAGCTTCTCTAGCCTGCCTCCCCTGTGGTATCTCTATACCTTATAAACATATATGATAGCATTTTATCAAGTGATAGGGTGCATTTGTTTACACACCAGTCACCCTGAGCAGCCCATGCATTTTAAGCTCAAGGTATTTACTTATCTCTGAACCCCAGAAGCTTCACCCAGGAGTTACAGGGGCCTCATTAACAGAAACACCAAATCTCTGCAGGTACAAGTTTGTACAGAGAAGCAAAAACCACTGTAATGGGAAAATATTTGCTAATGAACTGGAAGGAGGCCCCACACAAACACCACTCCTGGCCTTTTGCTACTATCTACCCCCATGGGTTTTGTGAGGCAGGTGCTCCCAGATGATGCAGGCAAATGTACAGCAAAATGACTGCAGATGGGGGATTTCATGACATCATCAAAGTGATGTTGCACAACTGCAAATAACACCATCAACAAAGGAAGACCTGGCAAAACAGACCAGAAAACAACTGAGGCAGAGAAACTCAACAAGGATGATCAGAGGTCAATAGGTCCAAAGAGAATGACGTGAAGATCTTTTTTTTTTTTTTTTTTTTTTTTTAAGACAAGCGTCTCTGTCGCTCAGGCTGAGTGCAGTGGCGCGATGATGGCTCACAGCAGCCTTAACCTCCTGGGCTCAAGCAATCCTACCATCTCAGCCTCCTGAGTAGCTGGGACTACGGGTGCGTGCCAACACACCTGGCTAATTTTTCTATTTTTGTTGAGACAAGGTCTTGCTATGTTGCCCAGACTGGTTTCAAACTCCTGGGCTCAAGCCATCCTCCCACCTCAGCCTCCCCAAATGCTAGGATTATAGGCGTGAGCCACTGTGCCCTGCTTTAACATGAAGATCTAAGGATAAAAAGCATGTTGCAAAACTGAGGAAACCTTTCATCATTTCTGCCAAAGGGACCCTCTTCATGACCACAATGGAAGACTGAAGTGATATAAATGATTATCAGAATAAATTACCCCAATAAAATCCATACCTGATCCATCCCTTGTTCATTCTAAGAATCATCATATAGGCTGGGCACAGTGGCTCACGCCTGTAATCCTAGCATTTTGGGAGGCTAAGGTGGGAGGATCACTTGAGTCCAGGAATTCAAGACCAGCCTGAGCAACATGGCGAAACCCCGTCTCTACAAAAAATACAAAAATTAGCTGGGCGTGGGGCACATGCCTGTTAGTCCCAGCTACTCAGGTGGCTGAGGTGGGAGGATCACCTGAGCCCGGGGAGGCTGCAGTGAGCTGTGATGGTGCCACTGGACTCCAACCTGGGCAACAGAGCAAAACCCCATCTCAAAGAAAAAAATAAAATAAAAATAGGAATCAGCATATAGCTTCAACTTTAACCTAGATCTTATAGATTATAAAACAAATGAATATTATTTTTATGATCTTTGCTTTTAAACATGTTACCGTTCATTTTATTGTATTTTATTTTTTTTGAGACGGAGTGTTGCTCTGTCGCCCAGGCTGGAGTGCAGTGACACGGTCTCAGCTCACTGCAAGCTCTGCCTCCCGGGTTCACGTCATTCTCCTGCCTCAGCCTCCCAAGTAGCTGGGACTACAGGCGCCCACCACCACGCCCGGCTAATTTTTTTTGTATTTTTAGTAGAGACGGGGTTTCACCGTGTTAGCCAGGATGGTCTCCATCTCCTGACCTCATCATCTGCCCGCCTCAGCCTCCCAAAGTGCTGGGATTACAGGTGTGAGCCACCACGCCCAGCCAACTGTTCATTTTAAAATGTATTTTATTTTGTAGAGATGGGGTCTCATTATGTTGCCAGGCTGGTCTCAAACTCCTGGCCTCCTTCTGCCTTGGCCTCCCAAAGTACTGGGGTTACAGATGTGGGCCGCCACACCCTGCCCATTCTTTTTTAATTGTTAAGAACCGGTGTACCGCTTTGACTGTAAGCTAAATTTTGTAGATTATGAGACAAAATAATACTGTCATAATTGTTTAGTTTGGAATAAAATGCTCAAACCTTTTCCCACTATGAACAAGGAAATATAGGTTCCTCTTTTTAAGGATTTTTTTTTGGGAAAAATGTCTGCCAAGACATAAGAATGATATAAGGAGAGCCAGCATCCTTTCTTCCACCAGTGCCAAAGCCCAGAACCCACTCTGCCAGGCTGGACCCCAGCCAGGAGCCTCGGTTTCTCCTTTCAAATATCTCACTGGTCCTAAGCAGTCAGAACCACCAAGGCCACAGGCCCTGGGCTCCCTGCCCACCCACCCGTCCACCCAGGGAGAGGGAAGCAGGAGGCACTTACTTGTAGACGGCATTGTCCTTCTTGGGGCTGTGCTGTGGCAGGAGGCTGTGGGAGTACTGGTGCACGCCCAGGTCGTACAGCGAGGGGAAGTCCTTGCCGCAGAGGTGGCAGCGGTAGCTCAGCTCCTCCTGGTGGCTCTTGATGTGCTCCAGAAATGTGTCGAGCTTTGGGAACGTCTGGGCACAGCTTTTGACCACACACTTGTACACCTTGAGGGAAGACGCTGGGCAGGTGACAGGAGGCAGGAGAGCTTCCTCCACTGCAGCCCCTGGCCTGTGGCATTGGCCTTGGACACTGATGGTAAATGATCTGACCACTGCTCCCTCTGCCCCCCTGCTGCTACTGGATCCCAGGGTTTTTATTCATTCATTCATTCATTTTTGAGACTGAGTCGCACTCTATCGCCCAGGCTGGAGTGCAGTGGTACAATCTCGGCTCACTGCAACCTCCACTTCACAGGTTCAAGCGATTCTCCTGCCTCAGCCTCCCCAGTAGCTGGGATTACAGGTGCACACCACCATGCCCAGCTAATTTTTGTATTTTTAGTAGAGACGGGGTTTCACCACATTGGCCAGGCTGGTCTCGAACTCCTGACCTCAAGTGATCCACCCGCCTTGGGCTCCCAAAGTGATGGGATTACAGGCATGAGCCACTGTGCCCAGCCCCTTGTTTTAACTTGATTAGAGGGTTCCCTCCTCTCAGCCAGTCGTGATGGCCCTATTACCCTTCCCTCAGGCTCTGTGTGGCATAGGTATATTTAGAAAAATTATTCAAGACCTGGAAATACAGTGAAAAGATGACAGTGTATACCCTTTCAATGTCATACTGGAATACCGGCTCTCAAACTGGAGCAGGCCTCAGAATTACAGGTTGCTGAGGGCTGTGCCCCCGCCACCCCTCCCACTGCCCCCCCCCCCACCACCACCCCTTCACCCCCTCCCTGGCCCTGAGAAATCTGACTTAGTGGGTCTGAATATGTGCATCACTAACGAGAAATCCTCAGGGGATGCTGGTGCTGCTGGCCTGGGACTTTGAGAACTGCTGTCTAAGGAGCCTGCCTATAGCCGGCCCACAGTCATCACACTCTCTACAGGATGTGGCTACTTCTGACTACTTTCCATTGACTAGGACTCTACAGTTAAATGTTAATTTGTTAATTTGTAAAAAACTAATCCAACGTAATTGATTTTTGTCAGATAGAGAAGATAACCCCAAAGGTC
The DNA here is from genome assembly GCF_000001405.40 of Homo sapiens. Lineage (NCBI taxonomy): Eukaryota > Metazoa > Chordata > Mammalia > Primates > Hominidae > Homo > Homo sapiens. The sequence goes on along the minus strand of NC_000020.11, from coordinate 33,769,072 downwards.
ACAGGTTTTGTTGTCTTGCAGGACATTAACCAGATTTGTATGTAATTTGACAATCTGACTTCAGTATCTCTTTTTTTCATTGACAGTTATTAGGCATAGCTATCCATGGCCTCTGTTGAACAGGCTTTGTCTTCCTTTGGGTTTCCTCACTAATGAGTTAAGTAAAATTCTGACTCACTTTCAGGCCTCATTTGTATGAGAAGTATGTTTTTAACATCTCGAAAATCATACTTTGATAAATAGTACGTAAGTCCTGGTTGCCTACACAATATCATGCACTCCTTCTACCTAAAAAAGTGAACCCTGATTTGCTCAGAATAGCAACATACCTAGTTAAAACACTTGATCCAGGCCGGGCGTGGTGGCTCATGCCTGTAATCCTAACATGCTGGGAGGCCAAGGCAGGCAGATCAATTGAGCCCAGGAGTTCGAGACCAGCCTGGCCAACATGGTGAAACCCCATCTCTACTAAAAGCACAAAAATTAGCCAGGTGTAGTGGTGCATGCACGTAATCCCAGCTACTCAAGAGGCTGAGGCAGGAGAATCCCTTGAACCCAGGAGGTGGCGGTTACAGTGAGCTGAGATGAAGCCACTGAACTCCAGCCTGGTGACAGAGTGAGACCCTGTCTAAAAAAAAAACAAAAACACGGGCTGGGCGCGGTGGCTCACACCTGTAATCCCAACACTCTGGGAGGCCGAGGTGGGTGGATCACTTGAGGTAAGGAATTCGGGACCAGCCTGGCCAACATGGTGAAACACCGTCTCTACTAAAAATACAAAAATTAGCTGGGTGTGGTGGGGGGCACCTGTAATCCCAGCTACTCAGGAGGCTGAGGCAGGAAAATCCCTTGAACGTGGGAGGTGGAGGTTGCAGTAAGCCGAGATCGTGCCATTGCACTCCAGCCTGGGCGACAGAGTGAGACTGCCTCGGGGGGAAAAAAAAAACACTTGATCCTGGTTCCCTTGCATCTAGTGTCAACCATGTGACTCCTTTCTAGCCAACGATATACAGTCAGTAGTCTTTGAGGACTGCATCACTTCCAGAACACAAAGGCAAAAGCTTCCCAGGAGAAATTCCCTCTGCTTTCTGTTTATCTTGACTGGAATACACATTTGATGTATGGAGACATAGCAGCCATCCTGCAACCTTGAGGATGAAGCCCATAAGCTAAGAATGGCAGATCAGACAGCTAGAAGCCTGAGTCTATGGTGACATATTTGACCTGCTCTATATAAGCCCAACGCTGCCTACTTAGGGATTTCTTCTTTGAATTTCTTTAATGTGAGAGAAATAAAACCCTAAGAAGCCAGTTTTCTATCATTTGTAGCATAATAATGCATTGTCAAATGATAGAGCACATGTACTGGGTTTCACCAAAAAGAGATCTACAAAGTGCTTCTAGGAAAAGCTTTCTTGCTCCTATAAAAGATAAAGAAGAGATAACCCCTTTTGGCTCACGGATAACAGTGGTTCTGGATTGGTGCCTAGAAAGAGTGACCACCAGCCAGACACAGTGGCTCATGCCTATAATCCTAGCACTTTGGGAGGCCAAGCGGGTGGATCACTTGAGGTCAGGAGTTCGAGACCAGCCTGGCCAACATGGAGGTGGAGGTTGCAGTGAGCTGAGATCGCACCACTGCACTCCAGCCTGGGCGGAAGAGTAAAACCGTCTCAAAAAAAAAAAAAGAAGTGATCACCATCCCAGGACAGGAGTACAAGGTGAGCCATCAGGAGAGGTCAAGGCCACACCCTGAGATGACAGAGACCAGAGCTGGAAAGACACAGAGTCCTTACGCTGGGTGGAGTCAGCTGTCTCAGGTCTGGAGGAGAGTCAAAGTTTTCTGTGATTTGCCCCAAGGGTAACCTTACTTCATCAATCCCCTGCTCGGAATCTAACCCGGGGGGAATAGAGCCGTGGAAGGTCTGACTCACTGGTTCCTACCCCTTTCTAGGCAGCATTCAAGACCCTAGCACCAGTGAAAGGTTTCGACTGGTGTGGTGTGGGCCCCTGCTGCCACCATCCACCTACCTGCTCATTCTTATGCTGGGTCATGTGAGACTTGAGCTGGAAGTAGGTGCTGAATTTGCTGGGGCAGAATTGGCACAGGTAGGAGCTGTCGATGAGGACCACCTGCTTGGACTCCGGCTTGTCCCCCTCTTCCTCACCAGCTGTGGACAAGGCCTGGGGCTGTGGCGCACCCGGCAGGGGCTGGCCCAACCCTGTGGAGAAAGCCAGGGAAGTCAGGACAAGGAGCCGGCCCATTCAGGAAGGATGCACAGAACCCCTACTCCGTGCTCCTCTGTGTTCACCCGGCACCTGCTACTCGCTTTGGGTCAGACTCTGTGCTTAAGGTGCTGCACTCACACTCAGCTGCTGTGCACTGGTACGGCCATTCCCAGGCTCAAATACAGAAATGCTTCCTTTCTGAGTGAGAAACAGCTGCTGCCTCGAGCCTCCCCTCTCTGGCCTTCCCCTCAGACACTGTAGACCTCTCCATGGTTGTTAAAAATTCTAAACACCATCCTAGTTGTACTCCTAATGCCTCCCCAGTCCCCTCTTCTAATTGTAATCATCTGGCCGGGTGCGATGGCTCACACCTGTAATCCCAGAACCTTGGGAGGTCAAGGCGGACGGATCACTTGAGGTCAGAAGTTCGAGATCAGCCTTCCCAACATGGTGAAAGCCCATCTCTACTAACAATACAAAAATTAGCCAGGCGTGGTGGAGGGTGCCTGTAATCCCAGCTACACAGGAGGCTGAGGCAGGAGAATCACTGGAACCTGGGAGGCGGAGGCTGCAGTGAGCAGAGATTGTGCCCCTGCACTCCAGCCTTGGTGACAGAGTGAGATTCTGTCTCAAAAAATAATAATAATAATTGTAATCATCACCAGGTGCGGTGGCTCACACCTGTAATCCCAGCACTTTGGGAGGCCAAGGCGGGCAGATCACCTGAGTTCAGGAGTTCGAGACCAGCCTGGCCAACATGGTGAAACCCCGTCTCTACCAAAAATACAAAAAAATTATCTGGGCGTGGTGACGCACACCTGTAATCCCAGCTACTTGGGAGGCTGAGGCAGGAGAATTGCTTGAACCCGGAAGGTGGAGGTCGCAGTGAGCCAATATTGCGCCATTGCACTCCAGCCTGGGCAACAAGAGTGAGACTCCATTTCAAACAAACAAACAAAAAAAATTGTAATCATCTGTTTCATCATCCTTCCCTCACTACACTGTTCCTCACTTTCCTTGACATCAGGGGCCTCTGGCCTCATCCCTGCAGGCCCAGTGGCCTGGCACATAGTAGGCCTCTATAAATGTTTGCTAAATGGTTAAACCTTTGGTGCTAGGCACTAAAGGAGTTTCAAAAAAAATGGAAGAAATTATTTATTCTTTAGGGCCGTGTGATGGCTCATTCCTATAATCCCAGCACTTTAGGAGGCCGAGGAAGGAGGATCCCTTGAACCCAGGAGTTCAAGACCAGCCTCAGCAACATAATGAGACGCCATCTCTACAAAAAATAAACAAAATTAGCTGGGCATGGTTGCATGTGTCGGTGGTCCCACCTACCCAGGAAGCTGAGGTGGGAGGATCACTTGAGCCCGGGAGGTTGAGGCTGCAGGGAGCCACCATCATGCCATTGCACTCCAGCCTGGGTGACAGAGCAAGATCTTGTCTCAAAAGAAAATTTTTTTTAAAGAAAAAAAAAAGGAGTTCACAAGAACTCAGAAGGCACACAGTAGGGCTAGTTCCAACAGGAAGCCTGAAGGAAGGTCAGATAAAAGTGGTCACACATTGCTTTCCCAGCAAAACACTCCCTTCATTACCTAGCATGTGCCTGGCATTGCTCACCCTTGGGTCTACATGGGAATGGCTTAGACTCTGGCCTTACACTATCCAATAAAGTGGTCCTGAGCCACACGTGGCTACTGAGAACTTGAAATGTGGCACCAGGCATGATGGCTCACACCTATAATTCCAGTACTTTGGGAGGCTGAGGTGAGAGGATCACTTGAGCTCAGGAGTTTGAGACCAGCCTGGGCAACAAAGCAAGACCCTGTCTCTACAAAAACAATTTTTAACAATTAGCCAGGCGCAGTGGTGCACCCCCATCCCAGCTACTTGGGAGGCTGAGGAGGGAGGATCACTTGAGTCCGGGAGTTCGAGGCTACAATGAGTTATGATTGCACCACTGCACTCCAGTCTGGGGTGACAGAATGAGACCCTAACTAAAAAACAAAACAAAACAAAACAAAAAACAGAAAGAAATGTGTCCAGTCCATATCCAGATGTGCTATAAGTGTATATACCTGCTGGATTTCAAAAATTTATTAAAAAAAGAATATAAAGTATATTCAATCTTTATATTATATGTTAAAATAATAATGTTAATATATCGGGTTAAATACCAGGAGGTGGAGGTTGCATTGAGCCAAGATCGCACCACTGCACTCCAGCCTGGGCGACAGAGCAAGACTCCATCTCAAAAAAAAAAAAAAAAAAAAAAAAAAAAATATATATATATATATATACACATACACACACACACATATATATACATATATATATACACACACATATATATATACACACATACACATATATGGTTAAATAAGATATATAATTAAAATTAATTTGATCTTTTTAAAAATTGCTTTTAATGTAGCTACTAGAAAATTTTATTTCATTTATTTATTTAAGATTATTTTTGCCATTAAAGACAGAACTTTTTGTTTAAATAGAGATGGGGGCCAGGCGCAGTGGCTCACGCCTGTAATCCCAGCACTTTGGGAGGCCGAGGTGAGTGGATCACGAGGTCAGGAGATGGAGACCATCCTGGCTAACACAGTGAAACACCGTTCTCTACTAAAAATACAAAAAAAATTAGCCGGGCATGGTGGCGGGAGCCTGTAGTCCCAGCTACTCGGGAGGCTGAGGCAGGAAAATGGCGTGAACCCAGGAGGCGGAGCTTGCAGTGAGCTGAGATCGCGCCACTGCACTCCAGCCTGGGCAACAGAGTGAGACTCCGTCTCAGAAAAAAAAAAAAAAAAAAAAGAGAGAGATGGGTTTTACCATATTGCCCAGGCTGATCTTGAACTCCTGAGCTCAAAAGATCCTCTCACCTCAGCCTCCCAAAGTGCTGGGATTACAGGCGTGAGCCACCATGCCCGGCTGAACATTTTAAATTACATATGTTGTTCATACTATATTTCTGTTGGGCAGCGCTGCTCTAAACCTAGTAAGTTCTCAGTCCTCATGCAAGAAAGAAACTAAATCAATATCAGGGATAGGAGCATTAGCTCAGGGACAAATGATGAGAATCCCACATGTATAAAGAGCTTTGGAGACCAACTAACCTTGGAGGTCAAATAGCTTTCAACTTCTGATCAACTACAGTGACTGCCTGGAGCAACATATAGAAAACAGATTCTGAGCAGGGATGGTGAGGGAAGGCAAGGGTTGAAAAACTACGTGTTAGCCAGGCATGGTGGCTCACGTCCGTAATCTCAGCACTTTGGGAGGCCAAGGTGGGTGGATTACTTGAGGTCAGGAGTTTGAGACCAGCCTGGCCAACATGGTGAAGCCTTGTCTCTACTAAAAATACGAAAATTAGCCAGGTGTGGTAAAGGGCACCTGTATTCCCAGCTACTCGGGAGGCTAAGGCAGGAGGATCACTTGAGCTTGGAAGGCAGCGGTTGCAGTGAGCTGATAGCACTACTGCGCTCCAGCTTGGGTGGCAGAGTGAGACTCTGTCTCAAAAAAAGAAAAACTACCCGTTGGTACAATGTCTAGTATTTGGGTGATGGGTACACTAGAAGCCCAGCCACCACCATTATGCATCTAATACCCATGTAACAAACAAGCACATGTACCCTCTAAATCTAAAATTTTTTAAATGAATGTAACTTAAACATAGAAAAGGTAATGCAGTGTGCTATGATTTTACAATGGCAACAATGTCACTAGATGACAGAAAATTTCCAGCTCCATTATAATTTTATGGGACCACTGTCACATATGCCATCTGTTACTCATGGAAACATCCTTACATAGCATGTGACTGTATTACTATGGTGGCTGTCAAATAGTTATTTTCTAATTTAATCATTATTTCTACTTTTATCAGTTCACATTTTACTATAAGAAAGGGCTTTCTTTAAATGTGGCACATATATACCATAGAATACTATGCAGCCATAAAGAATAATGAGTTCATGTCCTTTGCAGGGACATGGATGAAGCTGGAAACCATCATTCTCAGCAAGCTAACACAGGAACAGAAAACCAAACACCGTATGTTCTCACTCATAGGTGGGAGTTGAACGATGAGAACACATGGACACAGGGAGGGGAACATCACATACCAGGGCCTGTCGGGGGGCTGGGGACAAGGGGAGAGAGAGCCTTAGGACAAATACCGAATGCATGCAGGGCCTAAAACCTAGATGATGGGGTGATACGTGCAGCAAACCACCATGGCACACGTATACCTATGTAACAAACCTGCACGTTCTGCACATGTATCCCAGAACTTAAAGTAAAAATAAAAAAAAAAAGAAAGGGCTTTCTTTTATCCCCTATTTATTTATTCATTCATTTATTTTAACAGTAGGGGATCATAAATTTTTATTTTATAGTAGTCTCCCCTTACTTGCAGTTTTGCTTTCCATGATTTCAATTACCCAAAGTCAATCATGGTCTGAAAATATTAAATGGAAAATTCCAGAAATAACTCATAAGTTAAAAAAAAAAAAAGATTCTGAGGTGAGATCCAGGCTCAGCAAAAAATGGGTAGGTGATTGAATAGTGATGTCTGCCATGGGTACAGTATTAGAGTAATGCCACACATGTTGTATGTTTGTCATCCTTCCTTTCATCTTATGCCACATTTTATAGATAAAGGTAGATTGAAGCCCAGAGAGGTCATGGGGTTTGCCCAAGGTCACACAGCTAGCAATAAAACCTGTGAAGCGGCAGAAGAGAGGTGTGGGAAGCATGGCGTTCCCTACTTCCACCCACCTGTGCTTTCCTCGTCCTCCTGCCTGCTGGGGTTCAGGGCCATGACCTGTACGGTCACAGAGTTTCGAGACACGGTGCCACCACTGTGTCCTGGAGGCCACACCTTGTGGGTCTGCATGTGTTTCTTAACATTAGACTTCTGGGCAAAGGCACGGCCACATGCAATGCACTGGAAGGGCTTCTCACCGGTGTGGCTGTGGAAGACAAGCTTGTCAGTGCCCTCCTGCAGGAACGGGGACGAGGCCTCAGCCCAGGAGCTCACAGCCACAAGGAAGGCCCAGAAAGAACATCCAGATGCCACTTGCCACATTCTGACACCACGGCGACAAGCCCCTTCGCTGAGGCAGGCAGACCAGAGATGGAAAGACCCTGGGTTCCGGGTCACGTTACTGAGCTGCTCATCAACAAACCCTGGAGCCGCCCTCCTCTGACCATCTCATACTGTGACAGAACATTTCCTAATTGTTCAAGCCCATTTAAATGAGGACTTCTGGCCTGGCACAGTAGTTCACGCCAGTAATCCCAGCACTTTGGGAGGCCAAGGCAGGTGGATCACTTGAGGTCAGGAGTTCGAGACCAGCCTGGCCAACATGGTGAAACTCTGTCTGTACTAAAGATAAAAAATTAACTGGGTGTGGTGGTGTGCATCTATAATCCCAGCTACTCAGGAGGCTGAGGCAGGAGAATTGCTTGAACCCAGGAGGCGGAGGTTGCAGTGAGCCAAGATTGCGCCACTGCACTCCAGCCTGGGTGACAGAGTGAGACTCCATCTCATAAATAAATAAATAAATAGGGACTTCTGTCATTTGAAGCAAAAAACATTCAAGTTGTCACAGCACAGCACTTGTACCACAGTTTAACATTTTTCTTCAAATCAACTCACTTTTTTAAAACTTAAAATAATTTTGTGGCTCACGTATGTAATTCTAGCACTTTGGGAATCTGAGGCGGAAGGATCACTTAAGCCCATCAGTTGGAGGTTACAATGAGCTATGATCATGCCACTGCACTCCAGCCTGGATGACAGAGTGAGACCTTGTCTCTAAAAATAAAATAAATGAAAATAAAATAATCTTTAAAAAAGGCTTATTTTTGTTATTCTATGTGGAAAACCACTTATCATAAAGTAAACAAAAAAAAATGCAAGATCTAGAGCTATACTGTCCCATAAGGTAGACATAAGCCATATGGGGCTATTTAAATTTAAATTCAAGCCCAGCATGGTGGCTCACACCTGTAATCCCAGCACTTTGGAAAGCTGAGACGGAAGAATCGCTTGAGCTCAGGAGTTCAAGACCAGCCTGGGCAACATGATGAAACCCTGTTTCTACAAAAAATACAAAAATTAGGTAGGTGTGGTGGAGCGAGCCTGTGGTCTCAGCTACTTAGGAGGCTGAGGTAGAAGGATTGCTTGAGCCTGGGAGGTTGAGGCTGCAGTGAGCTGAGATTGCACCACTGCATTCCAGCCTGGGCAACAGAGCAAGACCCTGTCTCAAAAAACAAAAAAAAATTAAATTCATTAAAATAAAATAAAATACAAAATTCAGTTTCTCAGACTCACTAGCCACATTCCAAGTGCTCAACAGCCATGTATAGTCAGTAGCTACCATATTGGACAGCGCCAGTTTGAGCATTTCTTTTTTGTTGTTTTTTGAGACAGAGTCTCACCCTGTCACCCAGGCTGGAGTGCACTGGCACGATCTCAGCTCACTGCAACCTCTGCCTCCTGGGTTCAAGGGATTCTCCTGTCTCAGCCTCCAGAGTAGCTGGGACTACAAGCACCCGCCACCATGCCCAACTAATTTTTGTATTTTTAGTAGAGACGGGGTTTCACCATGTTGGCCAGGCTGGTCTTGAACTCCTGACCTCAAGTGATCTACCCACCTCAGCCTCCCAAAGTGCTAGGATTACAGGCGTGAGCCACCATGCCCAACCCAATTTGAGCATTTCTATCGCTACAGAAAGTTCTATTGGACAGCGACAGCACTTGTGTAGACCAGTTCTCAACTGAGGCCAGTTTTGCCCTCCAGGGAACATTTGGCATTTTTGATTGTCACAGCTGTAGCTGCAGTACTACTAGCATCTAATAGTTAGAGGCCAGGGATGCTCCTAAACATTCCACGATGTGCAGGTCAGCTCCCTACAGGAAGGAATGATGTGATCCAAGATCCAAAACGTCAGTAGTGGCAAGGCTGAAAAACCCTGGTCTAGATAGAAGCTGTTGCCAGCCATGGCTGGAATGTGAGGTTTGTTCTCTCTCTCTCCCTCTCTCTCTCTCTCTCCCTCTCTCTCTCTCTCCTTTTGTTATAAGAGACGAGCATGTATACCAAAGGTGCTAAAGACCAATTATACCAAATTGAGGTTTTCTCTATGACTTCCTAAGGACTGAAATTGCAAAGGGAATAATTTTCCCACTACATTTTTCAGAACTTTTCAACCCCATATTCATGAACCACCAAAAATCATCTCATCGGCCAGGCACGGTGGCTCACACCTGTAATTCCAGTACTTTGGGAGGCCGAGGCGGGTGGATCACCTGAGGTTGGGAGTTCAAGACCAGCCTGACCAACATGGAGAAACCCCATCTCTACCAAAAATACAAAATTAGCCGGGCGTGGTGGCGCATGCCTGTAATCCAAGCTACTCGGGAGGCTGAGGCAGTGGAATCACATGAACCCAGGAGTCAGAGGTTGCAGTGAGCCGAGATTGCACCATTGCACTCCAGCCTGGGCAACAAGAGTGAAACTCAGTCTCAAAAAAAATCATCTCATGTACCAGTGCATTTCACTGTGTGAGAAATGAACAAGCCCAGCCTCCCCTTCCACAGATGGAAAAACCAAGGCCCAGAAGGGATCCCTGCATGGTTAGTCTGGAGTGAGCAGAGAGCTCACAGAGTCCTATTTGCAGAGTATGGCAGCCCTGGTAGGCCAGCCTGTTCTGCAGAGGGGAGGCCTAAGACAGCACTAACACATCTGTGAAACCCCTCTGGGTTCAGTGCTTTTCTTCCCCTACACGGCCCATCCCTGACCTTCCCAGTCTCTATGGGCAGGTCCCACAGCTTTCACAGGTCCCTCCCACAGCCTCTGAGATAGAAGAGGGAAAACCACCCGACCTGGACTACAGCCTGAACATGCAAGTGCAGCCTGGGTCACCCCACAGGCTAGGGGCTGAGAAGGGAGTCTCGCTTCCAGCACAGATGGTCCCAGCCACACCTGCCCAGGAGCCACCTGCCTCACCACGCATGTGTACCTTCGGATGTGCTGCTGCAGGTCAAAGTTTTTGGTGAATGACTTGTCACAGTATGAGCACTTGAGTTTCTGAGCCTTTGGCTTCCCTGCAGCTGAAAGACAAGTGGAAGGAGGGGACAATGAGGCTGGGGGTGCAGCTCAGGGCACCAAGGGCAGCCTCTGACTACTGTATCTGAGCCAGACAATCCATACCCCAGGGAAGTCTATGCCCATACACAGGCCAGGGAGGAGACATGGGAGAGCTTCACAGGGCCTGGAGAGGAAAGCCCAGGACATGCTCCAGCTGGGAAAGCAAGATGAATCCTTCAAAGGCTCCCCTCTGCCCTACAATCAAATCCACGCTCTTTGCCATGGCCCACAGCACTCTGTATCCCCTTACTCCTGACAACCTCATCATTCTCTCCATCCAGCTGCAGTGGACTCCTAGCTAACCTTGCTAACCTTAAAAGACTTCAAGCATGTTCCTGCCTCCGGGCCTTTGCACCTGCTGTTCCCCCTTGCCTGGAATGCTTGTCCCACAGATACCCACAAGGCTGCTTCCTTCTCCTCCCACATGAATAGGTAGAATCATTTTCCAGCCTCTCCCTAGTTATTCTCAATCATAAGACCCATTAACCTCCTTCCTGGAGCAACCCAGAAATATTTATTTATTTATTCCCTGTCTGTCTCTTCCATTAAACTGAAGGCAGAAGGAATCATAGACCAAGAGACTAGATTCCAGTGCCTGACATGGGGCCTGGCACACAGATGCTCAATACATCATTGTGGAAGGAAGGAAGGGGAGGAGTAGTTGACTGGAAAGCCACTGAAAAATTCTCAATTTCTATCCTCTCCATCTGCTGCCTGCTCTGACACCACCTCCCACCCCATACTTAGCATCTGCATTAGGATGGCAGATACTACTGCTTGCCTAATATCCACTCTCTCCTTCTTCACTCCTCACAAATCCCATAATGGGAATATCAATGTCCCTAGCCAAAATAGACACTTCCCAGCTTCTCTTGCAGCTAGGTATGGCCATGTGACTAAGTTTTCATCAATGAGATATGAGCAAAAATATCAAACAGAACTTCTAGAAGCTGGGAGAAGCCCCTTTTATCCTTCTCTTTCCCTTCTTCTTACTGCCTGGAATATTAAAGTGATGACTGGAGCTCCAGCAGCCATCTTAGACAATGAGGCACCAGGATAACTGATACCATGTTCTGGAGGTGGTGGAAACAGAAAGACAGAAGAAACGAGGGTGCCTGGTGCCCATGCAGTCACATGATCCCCAGATTGTCTGGCTTCTGGCCTTGACTTACACAGGAGAGAAACAAAATTCTATCATTTTGAAGTCATTGATATTTTGAATTTTCTATTACATGCAACCAAACTTGAACAACCATAAAAGGGAAGACCAGAACCAAGTAGCTTGTGGATTGGCCAATGTTGAGGAAAGATGCCCATGGCAGGCTGGGGGCCCACCTTCCGGGAGTCCCCTGGCACCTTTAGCTCGTCGGGTCTTCAGCGTTGCTGGAGAGTCAAAGGTGGCCACCGTGCCCCCGGTGGCGCTGGTCATGGGGGCGGCGGGGTTTGGTCCTTTGGGTTTGAATCCCTGTTTGCCAGGGCTGTACACTGTGGGGGTGGGATATACTGGAGGCTCCACACACTGGTTTGGCACCTAGGAGGACAACACAGTCAGGGAAAAAGCCCTGCCAGGGAAGGGGAAGAGCTCCCAGCCAGGGGCACTCTCCCTGCCTCCCTGATTGACCTCAGCCGCTCTCCCCTACATCACCATCACAGCCCCTCCACCTGGCCCGGTCACCCAAGCCACTCCCAAGCTCCCTTAGAACTTCATGAAGCCAGGAGGCCAGAACAGCTATGGAGCCAGGCTGCCTGGATTCAAATCTTGACTCTTCCACTTAGCACCGAAGTGACCTTAGGCATCTTTTTAATTTCTCTGTCTCAGTTTCCACATCTGTAAAATGGGACTCATCATAGTACCCCTCTCATGCGGTTACTGTGAAGATTAAATGAAGCAACATATAAAGGGCTTAGAACAGTGACTGGCATAGAGTGAGCATGCAATACACATTAGCTGTTATTATTTGCCCTGTCTATTCTTATCAGTGGTACTTTGCTAGCATTAAGAGAACTAGGTGGCTGAGCCTGGTGGCTCACACCTGTAATCCCAGCACTTTGGGAGACCAAGGTGGGCAGATCACCTAAGGTCAGGAGTTTGAGACCAGCCTGGCCAACATGGTGAAACCCCATCTCTACTAAAAATACAAAAATTAAGTCAGGCATGGTGGTGTGTGCCTGTAATCCCAGCTACTCAGGAGGCTAAGGCAGGAGAATCACTTGAGCCTGGGAGGCGGAGGTTGCAGTGGGCCGAGATCGCGCCACTGCACTCCAGCCTGGGCGATGGAGTGAGACTCTGTCTCAAAAAAAAAAAAAAAAGAGAGAGAGAGAACCAGGAAGTCAGAGGGGTCTGTGCTCCCCCAGCTGCTCCACTTCCTGACTGACACTACCCAATGCCAGAGTAGCAGGCTTCTCTTCACTGAGAACTGAAGCCACGAGAAATTACCAAATGAATTCTGAGGCATTCAGATTTTTCTTGCTCTATTGTCCAGGCTGGAATGCAATGATGTGATCTCGGCTCACTGCAGCCTTGACCTCCCAGGCTCAAGCAACCCTCCCGCCTCACCCCACCAAATAGCTGGGATAACAGGCACACACCACCATGCCCAGATAATTTTTGTGTAATTTGTAGAGACAAGATTTCACCATGTTGCCCAAGCTGGACTCAAACTCCTGAGCTTAAGTGATCCACCCACCTCGGGCTCCCAAAGTGCAGGGATTACAGGCGTGAGCCCCTGTGCCTGGCCTATTCATCATCCATTGGTCTTCCTGAGGTGTCCTATCCAAAATCTCTGGCCAGGCACGATGGCTCATGCCTGTAATTCCAGCACTTTGGCAGGCCGAGGAAGGAGGATCACTTGAGCACAAGAGTTTGAGACTAGCCTGGGCAACATAGGGAGATCTCATCTCCACAAAACATTAAAAAAATTAGATGGGCATGGTGGTGCATGCCTGTAGTCCCAGTTACTCAGGAGGCTGAGGTGGGAGAATCATCTGAGCCTGGGAGATCGAGACTGTGGTGAGCCGTGATCATGCCATTGCACTCCAGCCTGGGTGACAGAGCAAGACTCAGTCTCAAAAAAAAAAAAAAAAAAAGAATTCAACTCAGCAAAAAGCCCAAAGTTGAAAAAATATTTCAGACAAATATAAATAAATAGAAAGCTACAGTTGGAGTAATAAAATCAGACAAAGCTGAAAAAAAGGTACAAAAAAAATTATAAAATCTGGCCGGGTATGGTGGCTCATGCCTGTAATCCCAGCACTCTGGGAGGCTGAGGTGAGAGGATCACTTGAGGCCAGGAGATGGAGACCAACCTGGGCTAAAGTGAGACCCCTATCTCTAATTTAGAAAAGAAAAAACATCCCTCTGCAGAAATACCTTGCCTGGTTTCTATTTTCCTGACCAAACCCTGACCAATACAGCACTCAATAAATACTTGTTGGGACGGGTGTGGTGGCTCATGCCTGTAATCCCAGCACTTTGGGAGGCCAAGGCAGGCAGATCACCTGAGGCCAGGAGTTCGAGACCAGCCTGGCCATCATGGTGAAACCCGTTTCTACTAAAAATACAAAAAAAATTAGTTGGGCGTGGTAGCTCATACCTGTAATACCAGCTACTTGGGAGGCTGAGGCACGAGAATCGCTTGAACCTGAGAGGTGGAGGTTGCAGTGAGCCGAGATCACACCACTGCACTCCAACCTGGGCGATAGAGTGAGACTCTGTCTCAAATAAATAAATAAATACTTGTCACGTGAATAAATTCAGCCATCACTCAAGGCATTACTGAGTAATTAATGTGACTGCCACTGGCATAGGCTCTTATTATCCTCAACAGCTTTTCAGGAGAGTTCCCATTTTAGAGGAGCGCAGACTGAGGTCAGACAGTCCAATGTAAGATATCTACTCTAGGAGTGCTCTGCTAGGTGCTAAGGATGCAAAGTCTAGTAAGACTCAGACCCTGCCCTCAAATACCCTCATCTACATGGAAAATCAACAGCAGCAGCTCCTTCTGTGCTGGTCCTCTCTGGGCTGGTCCCCTCTGACTACCACAAGCCACCAGCATTATCTCAGCATCCCACTAACTTAACTTTTTCTCAATGCAATAAATTCCCTAGAGAAGCTTGTTCTATTCTCCCAGGGTAGGGCAAATCCCCTCGCAGCCCCTCAGAACATCACGTGAATGCCTCGTGGTGGGATCTTCCCACTGGTCTGGGCTCTCTTTACATAAAGAGACTACCTGACAGGGGATGTCTGTGGCTGGATTCTATGGTGAGTCTGAGTTAGTGTGATTTCTAGTGCAGGTGGGTTGTTTCTGTCATAACCATACCCTCTAGCACTGGTGTCTTGGAAGGTTCTATGAACTCAGTGCATTTCAAGTAGATGGCCTATAACTTAGAGCTCATTGGCAGGGAATTAGTATGGTACATTGATTGTATTATGGCACCAATTCTTTGCCCCTCCCTGTACCCAAGCCTTTGCAGTGTGACTCTGCAGTTCCTCCCATCAAGAGGTGGCATCTATTTCCCTACCTGCGCTATCTAAGCTGGACTTGTGATCTGCTTTGGCCAATAGAAGTGATTCTGTGTTACTTACAAGCCTAAACCTCAAAAGGCCTTGGGCATTTCTGTCTGCATTTTTGCACCTCCACCATGGCCATGAGAACCTAGTGGAGGATGAGAGTCACGCAGAACAGAGCTGAGTCACCCCACTTGTCCCAGCCCAGGCCATCCTAGAGCAGCTGACAGCCAGCCAACGTTCAGACATATGAGTGAGCCCAGCCAAGATCCGCAGTTGTCTAGCTGACCACTGTAAACACGTGAATAATAAACACTTTTGGTATATGCCACTGATGCCTGATGGATATTTCTTACCCAGCAATAGCTAACTGATACACCTAGCTTATTAAAAACTGTAAGAGACACTCAGGCAGATAATTTTTTTGAATCTTTTTTCTTTTTTTTGCCTGAAAAGGTAGGCATTCTCTGACTGTTCTGAGCATTACCTGCAGGCAGCTTATATTTCTGCTACAACCTGTACTCCATTCCACCTTCTCATGGCTTGCATCTTACATCTGTGGGTGTGATGCTTTGATTAAAGTCCTTCTCCCCTGTGATGTGGTACACCCCATGAAGGCCAGGACCGGGTCTGGTTTTCATGGTATCCCCAGCACAGTGTCTGGCACACAGCTGGTGCTCAGGATGGGTCCGGGTTGGCCATGATGTCCATGACCAGTGTCCTCTTCCACCCTGCCCCCTCTGCTCACCTCTAGGGGTGGGTAGGGCTGCATCCCCAGTGCCTGGATCTCCACCGTTCCACTCCCAGCCAGGGGCGCAGCAGCACTGTACACCTCCACCACACCGTTCCCACCAGGGTTGGGACGCCCAGGGGGGCCCAGGCTCTGGGGTGGAGGTGGTGGAGGCTGAGGTGGTGGCGGTGGGGGCAGTGGTGGAGGAGGTGGAGGAGGAGGTGGAGGCTGGGTGAGGTAGCTGGGCACGGAATGCATGTTCAGGCTGCTCTGAAATCAGAAAAGAAAAAGTGTTATAGCCTCTTGATACCAGTTGTCTTATTTATCAGGAAGGAAGGACATTTGCTTTAGCCAGCCAGGTGGAAAAACAGCTACTTACCAGACAGCTCAGGAGAGGGGCTAAGAGAGGTTGGGGAAACAAAGTCATGGGAGAATTCGAAGGAAGCCTCAGCTTGGTGCTGCTATCCCTTTTCCCTATGAAAGTAGGCAAAAATGGCCGGGCGCAGTGGCTCACGCCTGTAATCCCAACACTTTGGGAGCTGAGGCGGGCGGATCACGAGGTCAGGAGATCGAGACAACCTTGGCTAATGGTGAAACCCTGTCTCTACTAAAAATACAAAAAATTAGCCGGGCGTGGTGGCGGGCGCCTGTAGTCCCAGCTATCGGGAGGCTGAGGCAGGAGAATGGTGTGAACCTGGGAGACGGAGCTGGCAGTGAGTGGAGATTGCACCACCACACTTTAGCCTG
This sequence comes from Homo sapiens, assembly GCF_000001405.40. NCBI lineage: Eukaryota > Metazoa > Chordata > Mammalia > Primates > Hominidae > Homo > Homo sapiens. The sequence continues at coordinate 33,752,694 of NC_000020.11, read as the reverse complement.
GGTGACAGAGCAAGACTCCATCTCAAAAAAAAAAAAAAAAAAGAAAAGAAAATAGGCAAAAATGACCTCATTCATGCAGAAAAGAGTTAATATAGCAGCCTAATGTTGCTATCTTAAGAAGGGCTTCCCTTTCCATCTTGGACCCAGCAGAATGGCTCCCAGAAAGAAGGGTGGCGAGAAGAAAAAGGGTCATTCGGCCATCAATGAGGTGGTGACCTGAGAATACACCATCAACATTCACAAGTGCATCCATGGAGTGGCTTCAAGAAGCGTGCTCCTCAGGCACTCAAAGAGATTCGGAAACTTGCCATGAAGGAGATGGGAACTCCAGATGTGTGCATTGATACCAGCCTCAACAAAGCTGTCTGAGACAAAGGAATAAAGAATGTCCCATACTGCATCCGTGTGCGGTTGTCCAGAAAATGTTATGAGGATGAAGATCCACCAAATAAGCTCTATACTTTGGTTACCTATGTACCTGTTACCACTTTCAAAAATCTACAGACAGTCAATGTGGATGAGAACTAATCGCTGATCATCAAATACCTCAAATAAAGTTATAAAATTAAAAAAAAAGGGGGGGGGGCTTGCTTGCAGCACTAGCTCGTGACTGGGATCTGAGAATCTGGTTTGTGGGACATCTCCTTTGTTGATAAGGCTTATTTTGCCCACCTGGGGCACTGTTCTATTGTACCAGATTATGTAGACTGCTTGGACAAAATATGTGATTCATGGTGAACACTTCCTTCTCTTCTGGGAGTCTGGAATTTTGGTCATGGTGGCTGGTCACCTACATGACCAATCCCTAACAGAAACCCTGGCCTTGGGCTTGGTGCAGCGGCTAACACCTGTAATCTCAACACTTTGGGAGGCTGAGGCGGGTGGAGTCCAGGAGTTTGAGACCAGCCTGGGCAACATGGCAAAACCCCATCTCTACTAAAAATACAAAAACATTAGCCAGGCATAGTGGTGCACACCTGTAGTCCCAGCTACTTGGGAGGCTGAGGTGGGAGAATCACCTGAGCCCAGGGAGGTGGAGGTTGCAGTGAGCCGAAATTGCACCACTGCACTCCAGCCAGGGCAGCTGAAGTGAGACCCTGTCTCAGAAAAACAAACAAACAAACAAACAAACAAAACCCTGGCTTTGGAGTCTGAAGTGTGTTTCCCTGGGTAGAAACACAGCACACATGTTGCTAGACTTCACTGCTGCAGGAAGAAGTGTGTTTTGTGCAACCTCTCCCCACCTCCCCAAGACAGAGAACTCTGGATTCCTCCAGATTCCACCTGATGTGTCTTTTTCCCTTGCTGATCTTGCTGTGTGTTCCTTTGCTGTAATAAACCACAGCCATGAGTACAACTACCTCTGAGTCCCGTGAGTCTTTTGAGAGAATCATGAATGTGTGGGTAGTCGTGAAACGCAGCCAGTAACTTCTAGAAATTTATGCTACAAAAAAAATCAAGCAGGTGGGCAAAGATGTCTGTTTATGGATAGTGACTCCAGCCATTTTCATAAAAGCAAAAAACAGCAATGACCTACATGTCTATACATAGAAACTTGGCTAAGCAGAAGATGGCCTATCCATATGGTGGAATCCTTTGCAGTTGTTAAAATGATGGTACTGCTGGGTGCAGTGGCTCACACCTGTAATCCCAGCACTTTGGGAGACAGAGGGAGGAGGATTGCTTGAGCCCAGGAGTTCAAGACCAGCCTGGGTAACATAGCGAGACTCTGTCTCTAAAAAAAAATTTTTTTAGGCCAGGCACGGTGGCTCACGCCTGTAATCCCAGGACTTTGGGAGGCCAAGGTGGGCAGATCACCTGAGGTCAGGAGTTCAAGACCAGCCTGGCCAACATGGCAAAACCTTGTCTCTACTAAAAGTACAAAAATTAGCCAGACATGGTGGCGGGTGCCTGTAATACCAGCTACTCAGGAGGCTGAGACAGGAGAATCGCTTGAACCCAGGATGCGGAGATTGCAGTGAGCCGAGATGGTGCCACTGCACTCCAGCCTAGGTGACAAGAGCGAGACTCCATCTCAAAAAAAAAAAAATTTTTTTTTAAAATTAGCCAAGTATGTTGGCACCATGTATGTAGTCCCAGCTCCTCAGGAGGCTGAGCAGGGAGGATTGCTTGAGCCCTGGAGTTTGAGGTTACAGTGAGCTATGATCCTACCACTGTACTCCAGCCTGAGTGACCTGAGTGAGACGCTGTCTCAAAAATAAAAACATGATGCTGATCAGCATTTCATAAAGGACACGGGGTCCTCTTCTTCACTGTGTTCGTTGGGTTCCCAAACAGGGAAAAAAAAAGTCTCGGTTGAGAAAATCAAAAGGATTTCTATATGGCAGGAAGAATCCAGGGACACAGCAAGGGGAGAAGTAAAACACCTCCACCTTAGGTTCCTTTGGCCACAGATCTTTTTTGTATTAAAAAATCCTGGCCAGGTGCAGTAGCTCACGTCTACAATCCCAGCACTTTGAGAGGCCGACACTAGAGGATCCCTTGAGCCCAGGAGTTCAAGATCAGCCTGGACAACAAAGGGAGATGGTCATCTCTACAAAAATTTTTTTTTTAAATCCCAGGGAGCTACTGTGCATTTTCTATTTTTCTAATAGACATGGGACACTTGTTAAGAATAAAAACAAGGCTGGGCGCGGTGGCGCACACCTGTGATCCCAGCACTTTGGGCCAAGGCAGGTGGATCACCTGAGGTCATGAGTTTGAGACCAGCCTGACCAACACAGTGAAACCCCATCTCTACTAAAAATACAAAAATCAGCTGGGCGTGGTGGCGCACACCTGTAATCCCAGCTACTCAGGAGGTTGAGGCAGGAGAATTGCTTGGACCTGGGAGGTGGAAGTTGCAGGGAGCCAAGATCGCACCACTGCACTTCAGCCTGGGCAACAGAGCAAGACTCTGTCTCAAAAAAAAAAAAAGAACAAAAACAAAAGTCAGGCTGGGTGCAGTGGCTCACACCTGTAATCCTGTAATCCCAGCACTTTGGGAGGCCAAGGTGGGAGGATCACCTGAGGTCAGGAGTTTGAGACCAGCCTGGCCAACATGGTGAAACCCCGTCTCCATTAAAAATACAAAAATTGGCTGGGCACAGTGGCTCACACCTGTAATCCTAGCACTTCAGGAGGCTGAGGTGGGGGGCTCACTTGAGGTCAAGAGTTCGTGATCAGCCTGATCAACATGGAGAAAACCTGTCTCTACTAAAAATACAAAAAAAAATTAGCTGGCTGTGGTGGCACATGCCTGTAATCTCAGCTACTCAGGAGGCTGAGGCAGAAGAATCACTTGAACCCAGGAGGCAGAGGTTGCAGTGAGCCAAGATCGTGCCACTGCACTCCAGCCTGGGCAACAGAGTGAGACTCCATCTCAAAAAAAAAAGTCAAAATAGCTGCACTGTATTGACAAAGCCCCACATGTTCTGGGTCCCCACCTAGACGTAGCAGCTTCCCCATCTATAGCAGAGCTGGACAAGGGAAAGCTGATAGCCTCCCTCAGCATCAGGGAGAGCTGGGGCCAGGCCCCCTTTATTCTACAAGATTCTGAATCTGCAGGAGTTAATGTACAGGTCTGGAATCAAGACCCTGTGAGAAGCCCACACCTTCTTACCTGCACAGGTGGGGGGCCCTGGGGCATGGGCTGGTCCAGGGATGTGAAGGCTGACATGGCAGACATGAGCACATCATCGCTCACCAAGATGTTCCCCTGCACCAGGGTCTGGATCAGTGGGGACGGGGGCACTGTGATGTATGTGGAGATCTGGACAGTGGGAGAGAGAGAATGAGTGAGACGGAGAGAGACAGAGTGTGTGTGTGCTCATGTGTGCGTGTGTGCATGTGTGGACATGTCAGGCTCTGTAAGTAAGCCGAGGGCATGGCACAAAAGATCCAGGTTCTGGAATCCCACAGACGTGGATTCCATTTCTACCTCTGCTGCTCCCTGCTGTGTGACCCTGGGCAAGTCACTCTACCTCTCTGTGCCTCCATTTAATCATCTACTGAATGAGGATGATAAGACTGGGCACGGTGGCTCACAACTATAATCCCAGCATTTTGGGAGGCTGAGGCAGGTGAATCACTTGAACCCAGGAGTTCAAGACCAGCCTGGGCAACATGGTGAAACCCTGTCTCTACAAGAAAAATACAAAAATTAGCCGGTGTGGTTTTGCACGCAGCTGGTGTGGTTTTAGAGACTCTGTCTCTAAAAACAAACAAACAAAAACGGAATGAAAGAAAAAACAAATGAGGAGAATAACTCACATCCCTCTGCAAAGTACATACCCTATGACTCAGTAATAATACTTCCTTGTATCAGCCAGGCATGGTGGCTCACGCCTGTAATCCCAGCACTTTGGGAGGCTGAGGCGGGCAGATCACGAGGTCAAGAGATCGAGACCATCCTGGCCAACGTGGTGAAACCCCATCTCTACTAAAAATACAAAAAGTAGCTAGGCGTGGTAGTGCGCGCCTGTAGTCCCAGCTACTCAGGAGGCTGAGGCAGGAGAACCGCTTGAACCTGGGAGATGGAGGTTGCAGTGAGCTGAGATCGTGCCACTGCACTCCAGCCTGGCGACAGAGTGAGACTCCATCTCAAGAGAAAAAAAAATACTTCCTTGTATCTATGCTAGAGAAACACTGAACACATGTCCACATGAAGTCCACAAGTATCTTAGGTCAAGAAGAATATCTGGTGTGGCACGGTGGCTCATGCCTGTAATTCCAGCACTTTGGGAGGCCAAGACAGGCGGATCACTTGAGGTCAGGAGTTCGAGACCAGCCTGGCCAACAGTGAAACCCCATCTCCAATAAAAATACAAAAATTAGCTGGGCATGGTGGCGGGTGTCTGTAGTCCCAGCTACTCAGGAGGCTGAGGCAGGAGAATCACTTGAACCTGGCAGATGGAGGTTGCAGTGAGCCAAGGCCAGCCTGAGCGACAGTAAGACCTTGTCTCAAAAAAAAAAAAAAAAAGGTAAGAGATGGTGAGGGGAATATTTTCTACTAGCAAAACTCACAGTCAAGCAGTGAGAAAAATGACTGTGTTTTTTTTTTTTTTTTTTTTTTTTTTTTGAGACGGAGTCTCGCTCTGTCGCCCAGGCTGGAGTGCAGTGGCGGGACCTCGGCTCACTGCAAGCTCCGCCTCCCGGGTCCACGCCATTCTCCTGCCTCAGCCTCCCAAGTAGCTGGGACTACAGGCGCCCGCCACTACGCCCGGCTAATTTTTTGTATTTTTAGTAGAGACGGGGTTTCACCGTTTTAGCCGGGATGGTCTCGATCTCCTGACCTCGTGATCCGCCCGCCTCGGCCTCCCAAAGTGCTGGGATTACAGGCGTGAGCCACCGCGCCCGGCCAAAATGACTGTTTTATGCCAGAAGATGCCTGTTTCAGTCTATATGTCCTATGGGTCTGGGGTGAATGCTTTCATAGTGATGGCAGAAATGACACCTATACAATGAATGAAGATAATGTTCTAAAGGGATAAGGAAAGAAAAGGAAGCCAGTTGAAAATCTGACCCCTTGACCTGGCATCCTGAGATATGCCCAGCCTCCTTTATGAGGGATCCTTTAGTCTTTCTATGAGCCCCCTATCCAGGGTGTCTTTGCTCCAGAACCGTGTTTTCGGCTGAGGACTCTGGAAGCTTCCCCAGATGCCTCCAGCCTTGTCCTCTGCTCTGGCCTCCGGACTTGGAAATCTACATTGTCTACTTTGTCACTGCCTCCGTTTAAAGGTTGGCAGGCATCTCAACTTCAACGTGCCCAGCTGAACTCCTGACATCCCCCCAAAACCTTCTCCTCACAGCCTCCTCCCTTCAGCTAGTGGCAACTCTAAATCAGGAGTCCTCTGTGACCCTTCTTGATCTCACACTCCTCACCCAATCAATTCACAAGTTCTATCAGCAACACCTTCAAAGTATTTCTAAAATCTCACACTTTCTCACCACCTCCACTGCCAACATGCTGGTCAAGCTACCCGCATCCACTGCCTGGATTTGCACTACAGTCCCTCAACGGGTCTCCTGGCTTTCTCTCTCACCCTCCCTCAAAACCTATTCTCTGTCCAGCAGCCAGAGTGACCTGATAAAAGTCACTATGTCCCTCCTCTGCTTGACAGCCTCCAATGGCTCCCATGTCATTCTCAGTAAAAGCCCCAGCGGCTGGGTGTGGTGGCTCACACTTGTTATCCTGGCACTTTGGGCGGCCGAGGCGGGGAGATCACAAGGTCAGGAGATCGAGAATATCTTGGCCAACATGGTGAAACCCCATCTCTACTAAAAATACAAAAATCAGCTGGGCGTGGTGGTGCGCGCCTGTAGTCCCAGCTACTCTGGAGGCTGAGGCAGGAGAATCACTTGAACCCAGGAGGCGGAGGTTGCAGTGAGCCGAGATCCTGCCACTGCACTCCATCCTGGGCAACAAGAGTGAAACTCCGTCTCAAAAAAAAAAAAAAAAAAAAAAGGCCGGGCGCGGTGGCTCACGCCTGTAATCCCAGCACTTTGGGAGGCCGAGGCGGGCAGATCACGAGGTCAGGAGATTGAGACCATCCTGGCTAACATGGTGAAACCCCGTCTCTACTAAAAATACAAAAATCAGCCTGGTGTGGTGGCGGGCACCTGTAGTCCCAGCTACTTGGGAGGCTGAGGCAGGAGAATGGCGTGAACCCAGGAGGCGGAGCTTGCGGTGAGCCGAGATGGCGCCACTGCACTCCAGCCTGGGCAACAGAGCAAGACTCCGTCTCAAAAAAAAAAAAAAAAAAAGGCCCAGACCCTACACGATCTGCCAAGACCCTCCTGCTGCCTCTCCTAGCACCTCCCACCTTCCTACTTACTCAGTCCCAGCCACTCTCACCTCCTTATAGTTCTGGAACAAACCCAGCACACTCCTGCCTCAAGGCCTCTGCATCTGCTGATCCCTGCACCTGGCTCCTGCTTCCTTCCCCAAACCAGCCGCATAACTCATTCCCACACCTCCTTAGGTCTATCTGGTATGTTCTTCCTACTTATTTAAGTAACTGCGGAAATTATATAGTACTATTGTTTCAGATTTTAAAAATAATAATATATTATCTACTTATTATTCTACAATTTGATTTTTCATACAAAACCTTTTACCTGCTATATAGTATTCTTCCTGGTCACCTCTTCACAGAGCTCTTCCCCAAGCACGATAGACAATATGGCAAAACCTCCCATCCCCGTCTGGCATCCCCTATCTCTCCGCATTTAACATGCTGAAAACAGTACATGTGCACCATCCATCTCGCCCCACTCCACAAGGGCAGGGACTTGGTCTGTCTTATCCATTGCTATAGCCCCAGTGCCCAGCACAGTGCCTGAGCATGTTAGGCCCTCAAAAAAGACATGTTGAATGAATAAATGAACAAATACCTGGCGATTGGCAGGAGTTGGGGCCTGCTGGACCGCTGTGGGTGCTGCCGAAGGTGGGTAGATGCTGTTGGTGGCCAGTGAGACTGTGGCCAGGGCGGGGGCATTCCCCTGGCACTGTTCCCGCTTGTGGGTCATAAACGCTGGCAGCGAGTTGAATTGCTTCTTACACTTCCCGCAGAGAAATACATCCTCGTCATCTGGGGTCATACCCGCAGAGTAGTGGGAAGAGGCCACAGATGAAGGTAAAGTAATGAAAAAAAAGCAAGACTATGTCAAGGGGCATCACAGTATGAGACAGGAGAACTGCAGCTGACCACAAGCAGCAATCTGGGGGGCATGCTGCGACTTGACATGCAGGTGTCAGCCATCAACTATGTGCTTCCTGGGAGTTTTCGAAGCCACACAGGTGGCCAGGCACAGTGGCTCATGCCTGTAATCCCAGCACTTTGCGAGGCCTTGGAGGGTGGATCACCTGAGGTCAGGAGTTCAAGATCAGCCTGGACAACATGGCGAAACCCCATCTCCACTAAAAATACAAAAATTAGCTGGGCATGGTGGTGCGCGCCTATAGTCCCAGCTACTCGGGAGGCTGAGGCAGGAGAATTGCTTGAACCCAGGAGGCAGAGGTTGCAGTGAGCCCAGATCGTGCCACTGCACTCCAGCCTGGGCAACAGAGCGAGACTCCATCTCAAAAAAAAGAAAAAAAACCACACAGTTTCCTGCAGGGATAGCCATATGTGGCCAGGTACCAATTAATTAGAAATCAAAAAACAGTAAAGTATGTTCACTACAAAGTTGAGAACTCCAGAACCTTTATCCTGTCTGAATTTATTCATCAGTCCCCAAATGAGCCACCTGATCATACTCCTCCCATGCCTTTGCATCCACCGTTCGCCCTGCCAGGCTGCCTCTCTGAGGACAACTTGTTCTGCAAGCCTCAGCTTGACTGTCACCTCTTCCAAGAAGTCTTTTTTTCTTTTTCTTTCCTTTTCTTTTCTTTTTTTTTTTTTCTTTCTGAGAGAGAGTTTCACTCTTGCTGCCCAGGCTGGGGTGCAGTGGCACAATCTCAGCTCTCTGCAACCTCTGCCTCCCATATTCATGCGATTCTCCTGCCTCAGCCACCCCAGTAGCTGGGATTACAGGCATGCGCCACCACGCCCGGCTAATTTTTGTATTTTTAGTAGAGACGGGGTTTCACCACGTTGACCAGGCTGGTCTCGAACTTCCTGACCTCAAGGGATCCACTCACCTCAGCCTCCCAAAGTGCTGGGATTACAGGCGTGAGCCACTGCACCGACCTCTCCAGGAAGTTTTTCTAAAGCCAGCGGCTATAGTTCCTTCCTCTGGCACACCTATCATATAACAGTTTTCTTATCAACACCAGACTGTGAGTCCCCTAAGGGAAGGACATGTGTCTTATTTATCACCATAACTACAATATCTCCTGGACACAGAGGAGGTTCTCAATGGACGTTTGTTGAATGAATGAAAAACTAAATGAATGATTAACTACAGTTAACACCATCCATTGCTGAGGGCCTACCACAGCTATGCGCTCACTGTGTCAAGCACCCAACATGTGGTAGCAGAAATGTCTAATTGTTATTCAATTCTAATTGTATCCTTTTTTATTTATTTATTTTTTTAAGAGACGGGTTGCCAGGCGAGGTGGCTCACTCACACCTGTAATCCTAGCACTTTGGGAGGCCAAGGTGGGTGGATCACTTGAGGTCAGGAATTCATGACCAGCCTGGCCAACATGGTGAAACCCCAGCTCTCCTAAAAATACAAAATTAGCTGGGCATGATGGTGCATGCCTGTAATCTCAGCTACTCAGGAGGCTGAGGCAGGAGAATTGCTTAAACCCAGGAGGTGGAGGTTGCAGTGAGCGAGATCACACCACTGCACTCCAGCCTGGGCAACAGAGCAAGACTCTGTCTCAAAAAAAAAAAAAAAAAAAAAAATTGGGCAGGGTGCGGTGGCTCACGCCTGTAATCCCAGCAGTTTGTGAGGCTGAGGCAGGCGGATCACCTGAGGGTCACGAGTTCGAGACCAGCCTGGCCAACATGGCGAAACCCCGTCTCTACCAAAAATACAAAAATTAGCCGGGTGTGGTGGCAGGTGCCTGTAGTCCCAGCTACTCAGGAGGCTGAAGCAGGAGAATCACTTGAACCCAGGAGACAGAGGTAGCAGTAAGCCAAGATCATGCCATTGCACTCCAGCCTGGGCAACATGAGCAAAACTCCGTCTCAAAAAAAAAAAAAAAAAGAGAGAGACAGGGTCCTGTTGTGTTGCCCAGGCTGCAGCACAGTGGCTATTCACAGGCATGATCATAGTGCACACCACTCTCAACTCGTATCCTTCTTATACAATAATACAAATTTCAGTGGGAAACATGGCTTCATAGTTAAATAATATATTTCCCAGGCTTCTCTGCAGCTAGGAATGTCATGTGACAGAATTCTCACCAATGGGACAACAATAGAACTGTACCGTATCTGCAACTTCCTCATAAAAGGAAAAGGAAAGGGCATGGACAGGGCACTGTGGCTCATGCCTGCAATCCCAGTACATTGGCAGGCTGAGGTGGGAGGATTGCTTGAGCTCAGGAGTTCAAGACCAGCCTGGGCAGCACAGAGAGACCCTATCTCTATTTTTTTTTTTTAATTAAAGAGAAGTTTTTTGGCCAGGCATGGTGGTTCACGCCTGTAATCTCTGCACTTTGGGAAGCTGAAGTGGGTGGATCACCTGAGGTCAGGAGTTCGAGACCAGCCAGGCCAACATGATGAAATCCTGTCTCGACTTGGCCGGGCGGTGTGGCTCACGCCTGCAATCCCAGCACTTTGGGAGGCCGAGGCGGGTGATCATGAGGTCAGGGGGTTTGAGACCAGCCTGACCAACGTGGTGAAACCCCATCTCTACTAAAAATACAAAAATTAGCTGGGCATGGTGGCGGGCACCTGTAATCCCAGCTACTCAGGAGGCTGAGGCAGGAGGATTGCTTGAACCCGGGAGGCGGAGGTTGCAGTGAGCCGAGATCGCGCCACTGCACTCCAGCCTGGGCGACAGAGCAAGACTCCATCTCAAAAACAAAACAAAACGAAAGGGTATGAATTCCACTTCCCTCTTTCTTCCCTTCATGTTGGCTGGAATGTGCCAATCAAAGTGGGAGCTAGAGCAGCCATCCCGGGCTGCAGCTCGAGGGCAGTAGAGCCACAGGAAAGAAGGAGTCTGAGTCTCACCATGCCCACCCCAAATGCCCAAATGCCCATCAGGACTTCGCGTAACACAGAAACAAACTTTAATCTTGTAGAAACCATGGTAAACTTCAACAGCTAGAACCAAATCCCAAGTACTCTCATAAGATTCCTATGAGGCAGAACAATTGTCCCTATTTTACAGGTGTAGGAACTGAACCACAGAGAAATTCACTCACTTGCCCACGGTCACAGAGCTAAGAACTATAAGAACAATAATTCAAACCCAGCCATTTATCTCCCTGCCCCTAGTGTGATTCCCAAGTACACAAAAATGTTTGTGGAATGAATAAATGAACACAGTCTCACATAGAAACTTCCAAAAGAAGGCCCTTACAGGCCAGGTGCAGTGGCTCATGCAGGTAATCCCAGCACTTTAGGAGGCTGAGGTGAGCAGATCACCTTAGGTCAGGCGTTTGAGACCAGCCTGGCCAACATGGTGAAACCCCATCTCTATTAAAAATACAAAAAATTAGCCAGGCGTGGTGGCGCACGCCTGTAATCCCAGCTACGCAGGAGGCTGAGGTATGAGAATTGCTTGAACCTAGGAGGTGGAGGTTGCAGTGAGCCAAGATCGTGCCCTGCACTCCAGCCTGGAGGACAGAGTAACACTCTGTCTCAAAAAGAAAAAAAAGAAAAAAAAAAAAAAGAAGACCCTTACAGGCCTGGCCCAGTAAACAGGAGCAATTCATGCTCAGCCTATTCTTTCCACAGAAGGGAGGCTGAATAATCACTTCCAGGGCAAAGGCACAGGCATTGTTGTCAGGCATTGGGGCCCTTAGCCATTCCCTGCATCTTGATCCCATCTCCCCACATTTACTAAGCAATTGAGAGCAGTGTCCTCAGAGCTAAGCAGAGAAAGCCGTGAGCCCAAAGATCCCGGCTGGGAGGCGGGGGAGAGGGTTCAGACACCAGAGCATGTCCTGGGGACCACAGCAAGCATTTCACTCCCACAGCCCAGCACAAGCTCCACCTACTCTTCGCGGGGAGCCATTCACTCTCCCACCGGTGAACCTGAGCAGATACTCACCCAATGGCTGGATAGCAGGGGGCGCATTGACACTCTGGCCTGTCGGATCAGGGACTGCTCCTTGGCCATCCAATAATGACTGGACAGCCAGAACGGTCTGATTGTCCATTCCTGAAAAAAGAAGTGCAGCCTCTTTGGAAGGTAGGCCCAGCATCATGCTCTGACATCACCCTTACAAGCCAGACCCAGGCAAAACCCCTGTGGCGGCTGGGTACGGTGGCTCAGACCTGTAATCCCAGCACCATGGGAGGCTAAGGTGGGAGATCGCTTGAGCCCAGGAGTTTAAGACCATTCTAGGCAGCAACATAGTGAGACTCCACCTCTACAAAAAAATACAAAATTTAGGTAGGCTTGGTGGTGCATGCCTGTGGTCCCAGCTACTAGGGAGGCTGAGGCGGGAGGACTGCTTGAGCCTGGATGGTCAAGGGTACAGTGAGCCATGATCATATCACCTCACTCCACTGTACTTGCTCTTGACAGAGCAAGACCCTGTCTCAAGCAAGACAAAACCCCATGGCAAGGATGGCCGGCTATGCCCCAATATACATTCTCTTCTATTTCCATTGTGAGAGAGCCCAAGATTTTGGGCTGCAAAGATGGCCCCCAAATAAAGGTTACACTTCCCAGGCTCTCTTACAGTTAGGGAATGACTAAGTTCTGGCCAAAGGAATGTAAATGTGCTATGTGGCAGCTTCTGGAAAGTTTTCTTAAAACTGCCTGATATGTGACCCTCTTCTTTGTCCCATCCTCCTTTCCACTTCCCAGAATAAGAATATGGTGGTAGCAACTCAATCCACCATCCTGGATCATAAGGACAACCTTAGGATCGTAGGATAAAAAGCTGGATGGAGCCAGGCGCAGTGGCTCACGCCTGTAATCCCAACACTCTGGGTGGCCAAGGCGGGCAGAGCACCTGAGGTCAGGAGTTCGAGACCATCCTGGCCAACATGGTGAGACCCTGTCTCTACTAAAAATACAAAATTAGCTGGGCGTGGTGGTGTGTGCCTGTAATCCCAACTACTTGGGAGACTGAGGCAGGAGAATCACTTGGACCCAGGAGGCAGAGGTTGCAGTGAGCTGAGATCCTGCCACTGCACTCCAGCCTGGGCAACAAGAGCGAAACTCTGTCTCAAAAAAAAAAGCTGGATAAATCCTGGGCCTCTGAGAACCTTGTAGAACACAGCCATCTTCCTATCTTAGACTGCCTTCCTCTGGACTTTCATGTGAAAGAAATAACCTTCCAGCCTGTTGAAGCCACTGTGACGTGGGGCCTGTCTTACTCATGGCTGACGCTAATCCTAGGTGACAAAGTCCCTCCAGAAATCACGTTAGCCAGTTTTCCTCATGCACACTCCCCAAACCCCACAAATCTGTGTGCACGCGGGCGTCCTTGCCTTCCTTATTTCTCAATGTGTGTCTATCTTTTTTGTTCTGCAATAAACAATAGACTCTGAATTGGTGGCTGGGGGATCGAGAAACTGACTTCTTCCATGTTTTCTAATCAGTTATCACAGTTGAAGTTCACAGTAGTACACTGTCTGGCCATGTCACTAGCCGGATGACAGGCCTCCTCACATCTCAGTGGCCACCAAGGCACACTGTGCCACTCCCAAAAGACCCAGATGGTGCCTCCTCTCTATGACCCCACAGCCGATGCTCTGCCTCCAACCTCTCAGCTTTTACTGGGATGTCTTCCCCAGCTTCTAACTGCAATGCAAATTGAAACCATCAGACCAGTTATCTCTGGCCGGGCATGGTGGCTCACGCCTGTAATTCCAGCACTTTGGGAGGCAGGGGCGGGTGAATCACGAGGTTAGGAATTCAAGACTAGCCTGGCCAAGATGGTGAAACCCCATCTCTACTAAAAATACAAAAATTAGCTGGGCATGGTGGTGGGTGCCTGTAATCCCAGCTACTAGGGAGGCTGAGGCAGAGAACTGCTTGAACCCGGGAGGTGGAGGTTGCAGTGAGCGGAGATGGCGCCACTGCACTCCAGCCTGGGTGACAGAGTGAGACTCCGTCTCAAAAATAAAATAAAATAAAATAAAAAATTGAAACCATCAGCTACTGCAGCCAAACTGAATCCATGCCTTCCCTTGTCACAATGCAGGCTGTGTCCCTCCTGACGCTGCCAGCGCAGCCCTCCCCTCCATCTCCTCCTGCTCCTCAGAAGCCACTCTCCACCAACTCTCACCACACTGTGCCTGGGAACCATCCACAGCTACACACGATCAGTCTCTCCAGAGTGCCCTCCTGCAAATTCATGTTTCCATCTCTCCTCCCTTCAATGGCAAGTATCCCATGAGGGTCACCTACACCCTCTATCTCTTCTACCACCTTCCAGTTCTCCTTCCCCACTCTAGTGGGACTTAAGCCCTCCACTATCTGGAACCACCTTTGAAAAAGTTGCAAAGTGAGAAAATCATGACAGTGAAAGACACCTGACCTAACGAACCCCCATCTTGCCTTTAACCTCCAAACTGCCCTTAGTAATCCCTGGGCTTGGGCCAAGATAACTAGGGAGAAATTTAGTTTACAGTTTAAATGATAATAGCCCTTCCCCAAAACTAACCCTCCTTTGTGAAGCTAATGAAAGACCATGAGGTTAGGAGGATAAGAGGAACCTACATTCTGGTAAGGTGTAGACATAAATATTACCAGCCATTATTCCAGAGATCACAAGATTTGCAACTTCCCCAATTACTCCTGCATATAATATTATTATCATTATTATTATTTTGAGATAGAATCTCCCTATGTTGCCCAGGACAGTCTCAAACTCTTGCACTCAAGGGATCCTCCCACCTTGGCCTCCCAAAGTGCTGGGAATACAGGCATGAGCCACCACGCCTGGCCAACTTTTTTTTTTTTTTTTGAGATGGAGTTTCACTCTTGTTGCCCAGGCTGGAGTGCAATGGCGCAATCTTGGCTCACTGCAACCTCTGTCTCCCGGGTTCAAGCAACTTTCCTGCCTCAGCCTCCCGAGTAGCTGGGATTATAGGCACACGCCCCCA